>NC_000007.14:21490242-22740242 GCF_000001405.40 Homo sapiens | reverse complement strand
CAAGGATAATCTAACTTCTTCCTTTTCAGGAATGCCCTTCATAACTTGGATGCCCTTCATAACTTTCTTTTGTCTGATTGCTCTAGCTAGGACTTTCAGAACTATGCTAAATAACAGTGGTGGCAGTGGGCATCCTTGTCATGTTCCAGATCTCAGAGGAAATGCATTCTGTTTCTCCCCATTCAGTATGATATTAGCTGTGGGTCTGTCATATATGGCTTTTATTATGCTTGGGTATGTTTCTTCTGTCCTCATTTTTTTAAGAGTTTTTATCACGAAGGAATGTTGAATTTTATCAAATGCTTTTTCAGCATTAAGTGAAATGATCCTGTGGTTTTTATCCTTCATTCTGTTGATAGGATGTATCATGTTGATTAATCTACATATGTTGATCCATCCTTGCATCCCAGGGATAAATCCCATTTGGTCATGAGGAATGACCTTTCTAACGTATTGTTGAATTAGAATGCTAGTATTTTTGCTAGTATTTTTTGAGGATTTTTGCATCAACATTCATCAGAGATATTGGCCTGTAGTTTTCTTTTTTGATGTGTCTTTGCCTGGTTTTGGTATCAGGGTAATACGGGCTTTGTAGAATGAATTTGAAAGTATTTTTTCCTCCTGTATTTTTTGGAATAGTATGAGTAGGATTGGTATTAGTTCTTTTCTAAATGTTTCATAGAATTCAGCGGTGAAGCCATTAGATCTTTGGCTTTTCTTTACTGGGTGACTTTTTATTACAGCTTCAATCTCATTACTTGTTACTAATCTGTTCAGGTTTTCAATTTATTACTGGTTCAGTCTTGGTAGGTTGTATGTATCTCAGTATTTGTCCATTTCCTCTAGATTTTTCAATTTACTGGCTTACAGTTAGTTATAGTAGCCACAAATGATCCTTTGAATTTCTGCAGTATCAGTTGTAATGTCTCCTTTTTTATTTCTGATTTTATTTATTTGGATCTCTCTTTTTCCTTAGTTTGGTTAAAGGTTTGTCAATTTTGTTTAACTTTTTTTTTTTTAACTTTTTGTTTCATTGATCTTTTTTTTAATTTTAATTTCATTTATTTCTGTTCTGATCTTTATTTGTTTTGATATAAATTTTGAGTTTGGTTTGCTCTTGCTTTTTTAGTTCTTTAAGATACATCATTAGATTGTTTATTTGAAGTTTTTCCTCTTTTGTGATGTAGGCACTTATAGCTATAAACTTCACTCTTAGTACTGCTTTTGCTGTATCCCATGGGTTTGGGTATGTTGTGTTTCCATTATCACTAAATTTTTCAATTCCCTTCTTAATGTCTTCATTGACCCACTGGTCATTCAGGAGCATATTGTTTAATTTCTATGTGTTTGTATAGTTTCCAAAATTCCTCTAGTTATTACTTTCTAGTTTTATTCCATTGTGGTCAGAGAAGATGCTTGATATTATTTCAATTTTTAAAAAATATTTTAAGACTTGTTTTCTGACCTAACATATGGTCTATCCTTGAGAACGATCCATGTACTGAGGAAAATGTGTTTTCTGCAGCTCTTGGATAAAATGTTCTGTAAATATCTGTTAGATACATTTGGTCAATAGTGCAGATTAAATCTGATGTTTCTTTATTGATTTTCTGTCTGGAAGATCTGCCCAATGCTGAAAGTGGGGTATTGATGTTTCCAGCTATTATTGTATTAGGACCTATCTCTCTCTTTAGCTCTAATAATATTTCCTTTATATATCTGGGTGCTCCAGTGTTGGGTGCATATATATTTAAAATTGTTATATCTTTTTGTCAAATATATCATTTTATCATTAATAGTGACCTTCTTTGTCTCGTCTTATGGTTTTTGTCTTGAAGTCTATTTTGTCTGATATAACAACTCTTGCTTTTTTTGTTTCCATTGGCATGGAATATCTTTTTCCACTCCTTTATTTTCAGTCTATGTGTGTCTTTATAGATGAAGTGTGTTTCTTGCAGGCAATGGATCAATGGCTTTTTTTCATCCATTCAGCCAGTCTGTGTCTGAAGATTGAAGAGTTTAGTTCATTTACATTCAACGTTATTATTGATAAGTAAGGACTTACTACTGCCATTTTGTTATTTGTTTTCTGGTTGTTTTGTGGTCTTCTCTTCCTTCTTTCTTTCATTCCTGTCTGCCTCTAGTAAAGATAATTTTCTCTGGTGATATGATTTAGTTTCTTGCTTCTTATTTTTTGGGTATCAATTGTATGTTTTTTGGTTTGAGGTTACCATGAGGCTTGCAAATACTATCTTATAATCCATTATTTTAACGTGGTAACAACAACACTATTTGCATAAACAAACAAACAAGCAAAAAGAAAACTAATAAAAACTCTTAACTTTGTCCCCCAGCTTTTTAACTTTTTAAGAGTGGTTTACATATAGCAGTTACAGTGTTATCACATTCTGTGTTTATCTATGCACTTACTATTACCAGTAAGTTTTATACCTTCAGGTGATTATTTATTGCTCATTAATGTCCTTTTCTTTCTGACTGTAGTACTCCATTTAGCATTTCTTGTAGGACAGATCGGTTATTTATGAAATCCCTCAGCTTTTGTTTGTCTGAAAAAGTCTATTTCTTCTATATGTTTGAAGGATATTTTTGCTGGATATACTATTCTAGGGTGAAAGGTTTTTGTTTTGTTTTGTTTTTCCAGCACTTTAAATATGTCATGCCACTCTCTCCTGGCCTGTAAGGTTTCCACTGAATAGTCTGCTGCTAGATGTCTTGGAGTGCCATTGTATGCTATTTACTTGTTTTTTCTTGCTGCTTTTAGGGTCCTTTCTTTATTCTTTACCTTTGGGAGTTGGATTATGAAATGCCTTGAGGTAGGCTTTTTTTGGGTTAAATCTGCTTGGTGTTCTATAATCTTCTTGTGCTTGGATATTAATATCTTTCTCTATGTTTGAGAAGTTCTCTGTTATTTTCCCTCTGAATAAGCTTTCTACCCCATCTCTTTCTCTACCTCCTCTTTAAGTCCAATAACTCTTAAACTTACCCATTTGAGGCTGTTTTCTAGATCCCATAGTTGTGCTTCATAGTTTTTTATTCTTTTTCTTTTGTCTCCTCTGACTATGTATTTTCAAATAGCTTGTCTTCAAGTTCACTAATTCTTTCTTCTGCTTGATCAATTCTGCTATTAAAGGACTCTGATGCATTCTTCATTATGCCAATTGCATTTTTCAGCTCCATAACTTCTGCTTGATTTCTCAAAATTATTTCAATCTCTTTGCTAAGTTTGTCTGACAAAATTCTGAATTCCTTCTCTGTGTATCTTGAATTCTTTGACTTTCCTCAAATAGCTATTTTGAATTCTCTGTCTGAAAGGTCACATATCTCTGTTTCTCTAGGATTGGTTTCTGGTGACTTATTTAGTTCATCTGGTGTGGTCACGTTTTCCTGGATAGTGTTGATGCTAGTAGATGTTCTTTGATGTCTGGGCATTGAAGAGTTAGATATTTATTGTAGTCTTCATTGTCTGGGCTTATTTGTAGCTATCCTTCTTGGGAAGGATTTCCAGGTATTTGAAAGGATTTGGGTGTTGTAATCTAAGCTGTTTCTTCTTTAGGGGGCACCTCCCACCCAGGAATGCTGTGGTTCTTGCAGATTCATAGAGGTACTGCCTTGATAGCCTTAGACAGGATCTGAGAGAATTCTCTGGATTACCAGGCAGAGCCTCTTGTTCTCCTCTTTTACTTTCTCCCAAACATACATACAGAATCTCTCTTTCTGTTCTGAGCCACCTAAAGCTGGGGGTGAAATGACACAAGCACCCATGTGGCCACCACCACTGTGACTGCACTGGGTCACACCTGAAGCCAGCACAGCACTGGGTCTTACCCGAGGCCTGCTGTAACCACTCTCTGGCTACTGCCTATGTTTGCTGAAGGCCCTGGGGCTCAATAATCAGCAGATGGCAAAGCCAGCCAGGCCTGTGTCCTTTCTTTCAGGGTGATGAGGTCCCCAGGGTAGGTCCAGAAGTGCCATCTGGGAGTTAGGGACCAGAGTAAAAAACTTAGAAGTCTACCTTGTAGTCTATTGTCTTGTGACTGAGCAGACACTCAACCCACAAGATGCAGTCCTTCCCACTCTTCCCTCCCCTTTTCAGAAGCAGAGAACCCTCACCCTGTAGCTACTGCCCACCCTGCTCCCCAGTGGCCTTAAGAAGTGCTACCAGACCACCATGGATGTTCCCTTAAGGCCTTAGGTCTTTTAAGTCAGCTTGTGGTGAATGCTGCCTGGCCTGAGACTCACCCTTCAGGGCAATAGGCCTCTCTCTGGCACAGGGCAGGTCCAGAAATGCCACTCATGAGTCAAAGCTTGGAATCAGGGACCCCAAGATCCCACCTGGTGCTCTACCCCCTTGTGGTGGTGTTGGTACCTAAGGTGCAACAAGATACAGCCCCGTTTACTTTTCCCTCTGCTTTTCCCAAGCAGGAGGAGTTTTGCCCCATAGCCACCATAGGTGGTAATGTGCTGAATCTCACCTGAAGCCAGCAAGTCTCAGAGGCTCACCTAAGGCCCTCGATGTAGTACCTGGGGATCGCTACTGGTTATTCAGGGCCCAAGGGCTTTTCAGTTAGCATGTGATGAATGCTGCCAGGACTGGGTCCTTTCATTCAAGGCAGTGGGTTCCCTTCTAGTCTAGGATGTGTCTAGAAATGTTGTCTTGGAGCTTGGGTCTGGAATACGGGCCTTATGACTCTGACTAGTGCCCTATCCTGCTGTAGCTGAGCTGGTATCCAAGAGGTAAGGCCAAGTCCTCCCCACTCTTCTGTCTTCTCTCCTCAAGCAGAAAGAAAAAGTCTCTTTTGAAGCTATGACTTGTGCAGCCTAGGATTAGGAGAGGGGTGAAGCCAATACTCCCTTGGCTGCCTCAGCTGGTATCTCGGTATGTCACATGTCCCCTCAGTCCACTAGGTCTCCGGGCCTTGTTGAGCCCTAGTACTTGCCTAAGAGTTGCAGTCCTTATGGCCTAGACTGCCTTTCAAGTTTGGCCCTCAGTGGAGAGTTTTGCGGCTACTCAAGTTTGGACTGCTGGGGATTGACAATTCCTCTTGGGCTAGGGATGGTTTAAATGCTCCCTCTGTGAGTGGACATCAGCTAAGTTTAGTCTGGTTTTCCTTTCTCCTCTAACAGGACAGTACTGAGTTCAGTGCCCCACAATTGATGTGTTCTCCTTCTCCCAGCACCCAGAGACATTCTCCGCACCACACCACTGCTGCTGTGGATAGGGGAGGGGTAGCATTGTGATTCAGGACTGTTTTTTAATTTCTTCAGTGCCTGTTTCAGTGATATGAAGTTAAAACCAGGTACTATGTGTGCTCACCTGAGTTCTGATTCTTATGAAGGTGTTTTTTGTTTGTTTGTTTTTCTGTGCAGATAGTTGTTAACTTTGTATCCTTGCCAGGGGGTCCATTGGTGGAGCTTTCTATTCTGCCATCTTGCTCTGCCTCTTACCCACTTTCTTTTTCTTCCTTTTCTTTCCTCTCACCTCTTCATTCCTTCCCTCTCTAGACACTCCCCTCTGGCAATGTATGCTTATCTAATTATACTCTTGCTTTAAAAATCCCAGAGGCTGATCTTTAAACAAACGAGGCAAGGAGCCCCCATTGCAGAATCCTCCTGGTTAGAAGGAATCATGAACAATGAATCCATCATCTAGCTGAAGTTAAGATGATCCCAAACAGACCTCCGGACAGGCGGTTACCTGAGATAGCCATCAGAACAAGACACACAGACCCTACACCACGCACCACTCCCACGTATCTCCCATACCAAGTTTCTCTTTAAAAACTACTGTGATAAATTTTAAAATTCAAGATGGTACTTTAAAATACTAGCTCACCATCTTCTTGGTTTACTGGCTTTCTGATGAACTGGCTTTTCCTCCCACCAACCTTGTCTCTCATGTCTGGCTTTCGAGTGGTGAGCAGCCAAACCAGGGTTCACTTAGATTATCCGTGCCTCTAGTATGGGTTCTCAGCACAGCCCACATTTCTTTTTGGAAACCTTATCACATTTATAGTCTTTATTTAATGTCTATTTTCCCTTCCATAGTGTGCTACACAAGAGGGCAGGGATCATGTCTACCCTTTCACCTCTTTCTCAGGAGCTTTCCCTGACTTATCTATGAAACTCAACCCATTTTTGTTTGAAGAATGAAAGCATCAGTTGATCGCAATTTCTCTTTGTTCTTTGACTTGACCCTAGTTTTGGGAAGCCCACTTGTGATGCGTGGTTTCTAGAAATCAGAGTATGTGGCTCTTTTCTGGCTCAGCTCCTCTCGGTTTTTGACCTCTGTGGACTTTCCCTTACCCAGAAGAACTCCTCCCCTGGAGGAAGAAGTCTGTAGCGGGTAGAATGGGGAAAAGCTTTATAAGGAGACAGAACTTTTATATTGCAGGGGTTAGAAAGGGGAAATCTGCACCAAATTCCCAGTGTCGTGTTGAGATGGATAAACGAGGCCATGTTAAGTTGTCCAGATTGCCTCTCTCACTACCACTTTAGGTCGGGGAGGGGAGAGGGCAGATGAAGATTATTGCCAGTGGCAAAGGAAATGGAGGTAGGTGTACATGCACTGGCTATTCATTGCCTTCTCTGGAAGTCCTTTGAGTGTTTCTTTCTAATTCTTGCTATTTTTCCTGAAGATGAAGATACATAAACACACAGAATTAGTGATTTCCCCTACCACTATATGCCTACAAGAATTGAGGTGTCTTCTTATCTTTCTTATCTTTGATCATCTATATTTTCTTTTGTTCAAAAAATATTTACTGGGGCCTTCATTGGTCAGGTTTGGGGCCATGGGCACAGGATGCAAAGATTAATATAGGAAAGAGTCTTTTTTTAAAAAAATTATTTATTTATTTATATTATTATTATTATTTTTTGAGACAGAATCTCCCTCTGTTGCCCAGGATGGAGTGCAGCCCCAGGCTCTACCTCCCAGGCTCAAGCGATTATCATGTCTCAGCTTCCTGAGTAGCTGGGATTATAGGTGCGCCACCACGCCCAGCTAATTTTTGTATTTTTAGTAGAGACGGGGTTTTGCCATGTTGGCCAGGCTGGTCTTCTGACCTCAAGTGATCCTCCCGCCTCAGCCTCCCAAAGTGCTGGGATTATAGGCGTGAGCCACTGCGCCCAGCTCGTCTTTTTTTCCCCCCTGAAATTAGTTTTAGGTCATGAAAGGAGTCTGCTTTATTGAGGCATCCACATGCTGGCTGAGAAGAAAAAAACCATTGATTTTAAGGTGTGGTACAATGTGGTAGATGCTTTGACAGGTAGATAGGTGCAGTGCTTTAGGAACCCAGAAGAGGGAGGCAGAACTTCTAGTTATTGTTTGGAAGCTTGTACATTGTTATGCTTTATACAGTGGTTGTATAGTCCCAAAGACTTTGATTGCATGTTTATAGGTATTCCCTATATTAACATGTTTTGGGATTTTCTACATCATCCCTCAGTTCCTGGGTAGGCAGTGGGACCTACAGGTTAAGAGTAGGGGACCTGTAGGTAGGTAGACTTGGATTTCAAATCTGGGTCCCTGCCTGACCTTCCAGCTGGGTGACTTAGATAAATTACTTAGTCTTCCACAACCAGAAAGGAGTGTGCAAGTGCTGGGGTTAAATGACGTGATGGATGCAACACATTTAATGATGCCTGGCATGTAGTAGGTGCTTATATGTATATATATATGTGTGTGTGTACATATATAGTATATATATATATCGTATACATACATATATAGTATATATACAGTATATAGTATATATAGTATATAGTATATATAAATATATAGTATATATAGTATATATGCATATATACTATGTATGCATATATAGTATATATATACTATATATATACATACACAGTATATATACTATATATACTATATATATACATACATAGTATATATACTATATATACTATATATACTATATATACACATACATAGTATATATACTATATATACTATATATATACATACATAGTATATATACTATATATACTATATATATACATTCATAATATATATGTGTATATATAGTATATATGTGTATATATAGTATATATGTATTATATATAGTGTATATATGTATTATATATAGTATATATATTTATTATATATAGTATATATATGTATTATATATAGTGATTGATTAGCTTTTTTTGGTCGTGGTGGTGGCAGTGACAAGAAACTTGTTTATATTAAGCTTCACGTGACACACTCAAAGTTGCTGAATTTTTTAAAATGCCATTTATTGGTATAAAAACCATTTATACATTATATAAATACAATATAAATATTTCTTTAAAAATATGTATAAGTTAGCCATTTATTTGAGGTAAGCCTACACTTTCCAAGAAATGATCTGGCTCTGAAACAAAGGATATTCAAACTGCATAGCCACTTTCCATTATTATTTCAAAACTAATACATAAAATGTTTCAAGTGGTACTTCTTAAAAATATAAATATGACTTACATAAATTAACTCAGCTTCACATATTTAAATATTAATAAATTAAAAATAATTAAAATAGTGTCCTAACGCTCATACTTTTAGTTCTCCATAGAGAACAACATAAGTTCTGTGCCCAGTGGACAGGTTTCTGACCAGAAGAAGGAATGCCCATTAACAACAACAATCTGAGGTGCCCATGCTACATTTGCCGAAGAGCCCTCAGGCTGGACTGCAGGAACTCCTTAAAGCTGCGCAGAATGAGATGAGTTGTCATGTCCTGCAGCCACTGGTTCTGTGCCTGCAGCTTCGTCAGCAGGCTGGCATTTGTGGTTGGGTCAGGGGTGGTTATTGCATCTAGATTCTTTGCCTGAAGGAAAATGAAAGTAAAAAGGATTGTTTAAATGTTGAATAAATCCTTTGCAGTGGAGGGATGCTCTGGGCTATGGGATGATGTTCAAATGTGAAATGTGGGGTGAATGAGATTAACTGGGGTGCCTGCTCTGAGTAGGACCCTTCCATAGCAACAAACTTCTTTTTTTTTTTTTTGAGTCAAGGTCTCGTTCTGTCACCCAGGCTGGAGTGCAGTGGTGCACAGCAACCTCTGCCTCCTGGGTTCAAGTGATTCATGTGCCTCAGCCTCCTGAGTAGCTGGGTTACAGGTGTATGCCACCATGCCTGGCTAACTTTTTTGTATTTTTAAGTAGAGATGGGGTTTTACCATGTTGACCAGGCTGGTCTTAAACTCCTGGCCTCAAATGATCCACCCACCTCAGCCTCCCATAGCGCTGGGATTATATCAGCACTGTGCCTGGCTCACAGCAACCAACTTCTAATCATCCCTTTGCTGTTCTGTCTCCCATTAGACCACAAGCATCCTGAGGGAAGCACCACTATCATTTTTGTTTGTTTGGTTTTGGTTTTTTGTAGAGATGGGGTCTTGCTATGTTATCCAGGCTGGTCTTGAACTCCTGGCCTTAGGAGTTCAAGGAGTTCTCACCTTAGGCTCCCAAAGTTTAGGGAATACAGGCATGAGCCACCAAGCCTGACCAGCATCACTATCTTATTTGTTTGTATTCTGTCATATGAAATAATGCCTGGCACATAGTTCATATTTAGTATATGAATGAAGAGCCCATACTTAAAGGCATTTTAATATGGGTTCTTCAGTGGCCTCTAAATCTGATACTTTTCTCCAGTTTCCCTCTCACCATCCCTTTAGGATCTGTTGAAAGACCACTGATCCGGTGGTGTAAAGAGGACTGGGAAACACCTTTCCATAGACCCACCATATGGGATAAGTAACTTGTGGAAGGCCTTAAACCTCCAAGTGTGGTCCTGGAATTCTGCAGCATCACCAGGGATATAAGCCTGGTAGAAATTTGACCCTCAAACCCACCCGAGGCTTGCTAAGTCAGACTCCACACCACAAGAAGATGCCCAGGGAATTCCCATGCATGTTAACATATGAGAAACCCTGGCTTAAGTAGAAATGGCAGAGGCAGGATCAGCACCAAGGGTTTCATTCTAGGCCCCTTCTTATTGAGCTTTGGCTCCTCCACATGCTAGCCAGCAAGTCTACTCCCTGCTGTCTGAATAGCCAGCTACTGGTGGCCAAAGCCTTTGGTACCTCTTTCCACCCTTGAGTCTCTGACCATTTCTCTGAACTAACTCTCTGGTAAAAGGTAGGAAAAAGAATTGAAACAACCACAGTGAGAAGAATGTCACTTGGCAATGACTAAAATCTTAAAATCATTTTGTGCTCCTTGGTCTTTGTTTCTGTGGATCACTGGCTGGAGTTGGATGCACTTTTTTCTGCCCGCCCCCCCGCCTTTGGTTTTAAATCTCTTGCACTATTAAAAATTGATGTTAAAATCCACCTCAGTTAATATATAGTTTAAAATACAGTTATTGATGTCCTTTGCAGAAGAGAGCCAACCAACCAAACAAACAAAAAAAGATTTAACAATAACAATCAGAAACTATTTCTCAGACTCTTTTGTTTACGTGTAGCCTTCTCTTTTGGAAGTGGCATTGCATCCCTGAGTTGTCCAGGACACTGTCTTTGAGCCTGTCTTCCCCCACACCAAGTTGAGGGAATGAGGACACACCCACCTTTTTCTGCAGGAACTGGATCAGGACTTTTGTACTCATCTGCACAGCTCTGGCTTGTTCCTCACTACTCTCAAATCTGTTCTGGAGGTACTCTAGGTATACCTCAAACTCCAAAAGACCAGTGATGATTTTCACCAGGCAAGTCTCCTAAGAGGAAAGATGGTGGGAAAATTGGTTATCGCCAGGAGATAGAATCAATTTGAAAAGTTAAAATTGCCACAGTTCGACATCTTTTCCCTCTGCTCCTCTAGAGAACTTCAAGTACCTCTTAGGCAGCATGTTTTGGGACATTGGACAGCACCATTTTAAATAACTGGACAATCAGAGGCCCCATGTAATTAGTTTTATCCAAAGCCCAACAGATGCTAGAATGTGGCAATGGGGATCCTTCTCTGATTGTCCCCCTTGATGTTCTTCCTGCACTCTTGCCCTTGTTAATGCTGGGCTGGAACCTCCTTTTATAAAATAATCAGAAGACAGTGCAGGTTATCTCACTGTGGAGAATGAGCTGGGCAGGGAGGGAGGGCAGACCTGGACCCTGCCAGGGGCAGCCAGAGAGGGAAAAGGCCCTGAGAGTACCTTTCCCAGGATGAACTAATTAAACCTGTGGGAGTTTTAAACATTTGACAGTTGTTAAAATCTCACCACAGTGGCACCATCTCTGGCCATACCTGTCCAAGAATAAACTGCCTTTAAAAAAGCTTGAAGTTGGCCTCCTCATGAAATTTACATAACATTCTTTACATTTACCCACTTTTTGTTGCTGCCTGGATCTATATGTATACAGGCACTGCATGCAAGAGGGAGAAGTTTTGCCTAAGGAATAGTGAAAAGTGAGTGCGACAAGTTGGTACCTCATTGAATCCAGATTGGAAGCATCCATCTTTTTCAGCCATCTTTGGAAGGTTCAGGTTGTTTTCTGCCAGTGCCTCTTTGCTGCTTTCACACATGTTACTCTTGTTACATGTCTGGGAAAGAATACCAGAATTGTTATCACCTAAGTGTCCCTAAAACAAACACCACTAGAGGGCCTTTTCATTGTTCAACCACAGCCAGGAAAGTCTCTAAGAAAAATGAAGCTACAACTCATTGGCATCCTGGCAAGCAAATTCCAGTGGAGTGGGGGCACACTTGGGTTCAGTTCCAAGCTCACCTGTGACTTTAGGTGTGTTACTTAATCCTGAGTCTCAGTTTCCTTATCTCCAAAAACCTTCCTTGCAAATTTGTTTTGAAGATTAGACACAATATTTATTTAAAGTGCCTGGCACACAGTAGATACTTAATAACAGCAATTTTGACAATAATTAGGAGAATATAATTCAAGCCATAGAATGTTCCAGCAGGAAGGATCTATGAGATCACCTAGTCCACGCCCAATTTTACTGATGGAGTCCAGAGGTGGTAGGGAATTTACCCAAGATCACAAGGCTGGTTTGGCAGAACCAGAATTCGAGTGTGGGCTCCCAATCTCCCCTCCTGTGTTCTTTTCTTTCTACCAAACAGGACCAAAATACCTTGCATTGAAAGTGGGGAGATGCTTTAACCTATTTATGATTTGCCACTTTGGTGGGCTCTGAGGTATGAATCTTAGCTGGAATGGCTTTGAGGAATCCTAGCCATTGAGTTTACATAACCAAAAAGTACTGCAACTGCTCTGAGAAGCTGAACATGCCTTTCAGGTGGCACTTTTCTAGTCCTTCCAAAGCCCGGGGGACAAAAAGGAGCTTCACAGACCTAATTTTTTGGAAAGGGAAAAGGAAGCCCTGAGAAGCAATAACCCTCAGCTCATGCCAAAGGTGGGCATGGATTTCAGACCCATTCTGCATTTTCCAGAAAGGAAAGGAACTTCCTGACACCAGCAAAGGATAAATACAGAAGTCAGTCTAGTCGGCCCCGTTGGCCTCAAATCTACAGTGCTCTAGAACCCAGCAAAGACCTCCTAATGCAGGCAGCCCCCGGCCACACGCAGGGGCAAGGGGAACGCATGCGCACCGGGCCCTTCAACCCCATCGCCAAGCCTACCCACCTCCTTTCTCAGGGCTGAGATGCCGTCGAGGATGTACCGAATTTGTTTGTCAATTCGTTCTGAAGAGGTGAGTGGCTGTCTGTGTGGGGCGGCTACATCTTTGGAATCTTCTCCTGGGGGTACTGGGGCAGGGAAGGCAGCAGGCAACACCAGGAGCAGCCCCAGGGAGAAGGCAACTGGACCGAAGGCGCCTGTGCCGGAGGGGAGCGAGCGCAGGGGTGAGCTGACAGCACAGCTGGGAGCCTGCCTCTGCTGCTGGCCGCCCGCCAGCCCTCCCTGGGCCACACACCCCTCCCTCACACAGGGCTCGACCGCCGCTGGCAGTTCCAGGGCTAAGGATTTCCTGCACTTACTTGTGGAGAAGGAGTTCATAGCTGGGCTCCTGGAGGGGAGATAGAGCTTCTCTTTCGTTCCCGGTGGGCTCGAGGGCAGAATGAGCCTCAGACATCTCCAGTCCTATATTTATTGGGGGTTGAGACTCTAATATTGAGACTCATGGGAAAATCCCACATTTGATAAATCTTTGTTGGAGGGTGAGGGTGGGGCCAGAGCGGGTGGGGCTGATTGGAAACCTTATTAAGATTGTGCAATGTGACGTCCTTTAGCATGGCAAGACACAACTAGGGGGAAAAGTGCAGCTTAGGTCGTCATTGAGGCTAGCGCTAAGAAGCAGAACCACTCTTCCTTTACTTTCTTTTTTTCTTTTATTAGTGACTCAGCACTTTGGCATGTCTTGACAAAGAGTAAAGCTGAAGTCATGCACGAAGTTTTACAAAGAGAAAAAAAATAAGCTAAAGCTATGTTTTTTGAAAAAAAAAAAATTTTTTTTCAGTGACCAGATTAACAGGCTAGAATTTAGCGTTCCAGTTAATTTGTATTTGTAAAAACCAAAGATGTTCTGAACTGAGTTTCCTCTGACTCCATCGCAGCCCCCCAAGCCTGGGATTATGAAGAAGGTAATACTACCAGTCATCTGAGTTCTTCTGTGTTCTGGCTCTCCCTGTGAGCGGCTGTTGTAGAACTGCCTGGCCATCCTCAAATTTCGTGCAGTTACTTCAAGGCGTCTCCAGGTGGAGTGTGTGACTCCTTTTTGCCACCGCGTGGCTTCTGCCACTTTCTTCACCTGCTTCAGCCCACTTAGAGGAGGTTGGCTGCTGCCCTGCCCTCTCCCAAGTGACCCCTTGGGAATCCTCCCAGTGAGGACTTTGCTCTCTGTGCCAGAGGTTTGCCTTGTGCTGCCAGTGCTCTCCCCATTGCCACTGAGTCTCTTCACCACTGTTTCACTGGGGCACCTGCATGGGCCCCAGGTCTCCTGGAGCCCTGAAATTACTGAAGCCCACTTGGTTCAGGGCAGAAAGGGGGAGAATACTACTCACCTCTTTGTTGGGGATGTCAAAGGAGGACCTTGTGGCATCTTGCAGAGTTTGTGTTTATCGCTCCCTCTCCCTGTAAGTCTTGATTTGAAATCAAAAGAAGCTAGAAGGAAACTACGGACGCAGGCACGGCTCTAGGCTCTGAATCTGCTTCCGCGTCGGCACCCAAGAATTTCTTATTGGGTCAAGCTGGTTCAGAAGCCCTCTTCCCTCAGGATGGTGTCTCTTGCAGGAGGATCCTTGGTCTCATGCAAATGGGCTCTAGACTAGGTTGTCCCTCCAGTCTCCAGAGACCCAGACAGCTCTGAGATGGCTTCAGGCTGAAACCAGACCCTTGCACAACACCAAAACACTTATTTACCAAACATGGTGTTACCTTCACAATCGGTTTCTTTGCTTTGCTAAGAAGAGATCTCTTCAAGATCGATAAAACAGTGACCTCTGTTGGGCATTTACTCAAGTTTTGTTTCGTGCATAACATTTCAGGACCCGCCTGTTGGGGAAAGTGAGGTCATCCATTCTTCACCGATTGTCTAAACAGAGACGGTGGTCCTCTGCCGCGGTGGGATTCTTTGGTGTGAAAATGAAAATGGGGGAGGATGGCTGGATGGTTTCATTTTTAGTGCTCTCCTGTCTTAAGCAACGTAGACACTCCTGAACCAAGTTCTCTTTCCTGCATGAAACGAAGCCACTGCTCCCAGCTCCGCAGCCGTGCACTGTGATCCGTCTATGTAATGTGAGCTTGCTTTTACTCAACTATCTATTTTTTAGAAAATACAATTCAATAAATTTCAAGTACTTGAACTGAGTGACACAATACAACACACAGATTTATCTTTTCAATAAAAAGTGTTTTTTAAATAGGAAGTTCGTGTTCATGATAAAATGTTCAAATAGGACATCAGGGCATGCAGGGAAAAGTGTCTCCTTCCTCTCCTGGCCCCTTTTCCCAGAGGTAGCACCTAATTGCCTGTATTTTCAACCAAATCCTCTGTTATCCTAGCCTGGGAAAGGTTTTCTCGTCTTCCCAGCTGTTTGATCCTGGCTGTTACATCAAGGACCTGTGCCCTTGTTTATTCACCTATAAAACGGGGGTAATAATAGTTCTTCCTTTCTAGGGCTGTTGTGAAGATGGAACGTGATGCAGTGTAAAAAATTCCTGGCGCATAGTAATCCCACAATACATGCTAGCTCTTTGAACATTCCTTGGCTCAGAGTCTCTGCCTTGGAGAGCTCTTCCAGCTCGGCTATATCGGTTCACCTGGTGTCTTGCCTATGAAGGAATTATGAATGAACCAGGCCTCTGTGCCAGCAATGAGCTGGTCTCCCAATCATTTTCCCTCAAAAGAAATGAGATTCTATGTTTTGTTGAAAATGTTTTATGGCACAAAGTGCAAAATGAAAAATAATAATAATTTTCTTTTTTGAGAACATTAAGATCCCCAAACCAGGTCTCTTGTTTTAGATAATTAGTCCAGCTTGCGTCTTGCTCCTACTAGACTTTTTCCAAGCCCTCCACTAAGTGTTTTTATGTCAGAATTCCACAGCCTTCCCTGTGCATGGTGATTGCCATTAATTCAAACTCCTGATAGTGGCCCTCGAGGGTGAAGGGGCCTGATGCTTCTGGGGTCAAGAAAGGGCAAACTGTGGGAAGGCATGTGTGTAGGGAGCTTGGAGACACTGTCTGCCCCCTGCACATCGCAGCATGGCACTTTATTAGTATCAATGCTTTGGGCTGGAATTTGCTTGTGGGAGAGATGAGCTCTACCTTGCTCCAAAAACGTTAATGTAACTGACATGTGCAATTCCACAATGATAGCTTCCTTCCTTTGCATCTCAATGGATTTTTCGCGTGGAGAGCTCATTCTTTGTTTTTTCTTGTTTTGTTTTGTTTTTTCTCTTGAGAAGGAGTCTTGCTCTGTTGCCCAGGCTGGAGGGCAATGGCATGATCTTGGCTCACTTCAACCGCCGCCTCCCAGGTTCAAGCAATTCTCTTGCCTCAGCCTCCTGAGTAGCTGGGACTACAGATGCATGCGACCACGCCCAGCTACTTTTTGTATTTTTAGTAGAAACGGGGTTTTGCCATGTTGGCCAGGCGGGTCTTGAACTCCTGACCTCAGGTGATCCACGCGCCTCGGCCTCCCAAAGTGCTGGGTTTACAGGCGTGAACCACTGTGCCCAGCCCCTTGTATTTTTTAAAGGGCAGCTTTAGGTCATAGCAAAATGGAGAGGAAGGTACAGAGATTTCCCATATATCCCCCTCTCCCCCCAACTCTCCCCCGTATTTTAGTATGAATACGTGACCAGAAAAGGCTGTGCTGTCAGCATTTATTAACTAATACTTTAGTTGCTGGATTGCATCATAGCTGATGTGAAGTGAGCGCCAGCTGAGATCAAGAGAGGCCAGACAAATGGGAGTGCACAGGGAGGAAGCAGCAACTTGGCTTCCTATGCCACCAGTGTGGGGCTGGCATGTCCTATCTGGATCTCCCAGAATTACTGCCCATGACTGCTTTCTTACGTGATGGTGGAGTCCAGTTCAGAATCTAGTAATACATTTGAGACCAAGGGGGAAAAGTAGCTTCCATTTGGTACTTAAGCTCTCAGGAGGAGAAGTGTTCTCCACGTCTCAGGAGTTAAGATGTAGTGTTGTGCTCTTTCTCTATATTCTGGGGGTTGGAGATGGATGAGTCTGTGATTTAACAGGAGGGAGTACAGCAAGAAAAAACGGGAAGTCCTGGGTACTAGGGAACTTGCAGTTGCTGCCAGAATGTAGTTTCACTTGTTGCCAAGTCGTAAGAAGTTTGTAAACTGAAACAGTGGGTGATTTAACAGCTTCTTCTGGGGTTGAGTCCCACTGAGCAGACACCAGGCTCTAAGGCTCTGGGAAATGTCCTGCTTTGATGGTGGTATTACTTGAAGAGAGAATTTTAGGGACATGTGGTGTGTCAATTTAGAAAGAGCCAGCTGATGTTGGAGGGCAGCCAGGCCTGGTGACCAAAGCTCTTGACAGTTTCCTGCCTGGTCTGGTCTCAGTCCTGGCTTTGCAGCCTCAGCTCTGATGTCCTGTTGTAGCTCCTTGGTCTGGTGAATTCTTAGTCTGGCCTCAGCTTTTCTGAGGGGGAGGATGTTCAGGGGCTGGACCTAGCTCCTCCTAGACTAGAGAAGGGGCACATCTGCCCTGCTGTGTTTCTCATTCAAAACTCTATAGGGAGGTCATCTGTTCTGTGCCCTCATTATTTTGCTATGTGACTTACCTTCCCCCTGCTGAAGTGGAAAATCCCAGGCATCTTGGGAGGGAAGTAGCCTCTCCGGGGGCAAAAAGTGTAGATTCTCTTTGCCTTGGGACACCCCCGTACCCCTTTCCCTGGGTCTCTAGGCTTGGAAGAGAGTGCCCTGATTGCAAACTTCTCTGAAGCTAGTTTGCTGATGAGAAAAATGGCTTTGCTGGTCCTGAAGAAGCCCCATTTGGCCCTGCCCCCATGGCTGGGGAGGTCCCTCGGACTGAGTTTCAGTGCTTTGCCTCTTCTCCATCTGTGGGGTAGGCTTTCTATGGTGGTGGCCACTGGTTCTGCTTTATAATTAGGAAACTTCAATTTGTCAGCGAGCAGTAATACGTTCATTTATTATCACGAGTCATTTGAGCCATCTTTGGTTTCTCCAAAGATCTCAGTTCTCTGAGTTCAGTGTCATCAGCAGAAACTAAGCATGCAAAGCATTGGCTGGTTTCCTCTAC
The DNA here is from genome assembly GCF_000001405.40 of Homo sapiens. Lineage (NCBI taxonomy): Eukaryota > Metazoa > Chordata > Mammalia > Primates > Hominidae > Homo > Homo sapiens. The sequence continues at coordinate 22,722,525 of NC_000007.14, read as the reverse complement.
TCTTTTCCCTCAAAATTAAGGTACTAAGAACCCATTTGAAATCATCACATGTAATGGCCAGACCAGGGGATTCTACTGGCCTGGTTATGACGTCTTTTACCTCCCTTCCTTGCCCTTTTGGTTAGTTATTTGCTAAAAGGAGAGTGTCTTAGTCCCTCTGAACTAAGCCTCCTTAGCAAGCTGAATCCATGAAGAGAGGCCATTCTAGTCTTCATGGTGGAATAATTTCCACGAAATGCTTTGGACATGTTGAGGACTCTGACTCTGTAATTCTGAGACATTGGGGTCCATTATTTCTGAAGATGGGTACACCTGGATTGATTTAAAATGTTATGGAAGAATTCAGATCCAGGTAAGCAAGTTGAAGAATCATAGGCAATTTCTTCAAGCTATTGAATTCTATGTCATGTGTACCTATGTATGTGTGTGGATGTCTGCGGCACAGAGCAGAGCCCTTGGTCTATAGACCTACCATAGATATTGTTCCAAGGGGTGCTGCCTGCCTCATATGAGTGTGGCCTTACAGGCCTGGGTACCCAGAAAGCCTGGACCGGCCATCTGCTGTCACTTTTCTCCCAGGCCTGCAGCCCTTCCTGTGCTGCTGGATCTGTACAGTGGTCTATGTCTGAGCCACATTACTGTGTCCCCCAAGGGCACTGTGGGATTCCCTATATCTCTCACCCTGGAAGCCATATTTTCTATGTGCTACTTTTCTGTGGGTGAGACGGGGGTCGGGGAGAGGTGGGGACAGGAGGGAAGGCACCCATCAGCTTGGCAAGTGATCTGGATGTGTGGAAATGGCTTCCTATTGCTAAAGGCTTGTTTGGAGGCTTGCTGCCTAAGCAGTTGCCACCAAGTGCCTCAGATCCTCCTATCTCTCTAGGACAACCAATAGAGAGGCTGTCATGCACATTCTTTCTCTGTGTTAAGTTTGTCCACCATGGGCCCAGTGAAACTACTGAAGACACCAGGTATGTAGTCAGGGGCAGGTCAGGTGTCAGAGGGAAATTTGAGTCCTGGGCTGTTTCTGTCTGACATTGTGTGGGTAATCGGTTGGCCAGGCTTGTAAAAGCCCTGTTGCCCTTCTTGGCTTGATTTAGACTGCAGGATTCAGAAGGAAGTGGGGGTTTTATACTGCCAGCAAAAAATTTTGGCTGAATGTAGGGTTTCCCTGAATTAGGCTTGTCTTTTTACTGCATTGCCAAATCCTCGGCTTCTTGTGTCTTGGGAGTGTAGCTGTTGGCAGATGAAAGTGTTCAGATGACGATGAACTGAGGATTTGGGGCAAAGTACTCTCCCACCTTAGGGGTTTGCTGAATTCCCTCCTAGCTCCAGGATTCTGTGGTTCTGTGATTCTGTGGATTTTCATTAGCCATGCTTATTAATCAAGAGTCTACTGTTAATGGGACTACAGGAATAGGAGTCTCTACATTAAGAAATACTTTTTGAAAGCCCAAAAGCCTGATGCTGTCTTCTAGTTCCCACCCAAGGACCTGTTAGTGGAAGTGCTTTGACTGGGCAGGGTGCCACCCATTTTGACATGCCCAGATCTTAGTGGCTTCAGGGAGACTAAACTGATTCAGGAGATTCTAGAGCCCTGGTAAGGGCTGCTACCTGAAAGGAGGTAGCAGATTTCTTAATTATTATACAAGCACAATTATTATACAATTAATTATTTCTTAATTATTATACAGGCCAGACCAGGCTTCCTGGGTACCCAGGCCTGTAAGGCCACACTCATATGAGGTATTCAAATTAAATGTTTTTAATTTAAAAACAAGTAATACATTTTCAATGTAGAAAACAGAAAAGAGAGATAAACAAAAGGAAAAAATTATAAAATACATTATCTTAGTACCCAGTAGTAATCATTGTTATCACTATGGTGTAATCATTCTAGTCGTTTGTACATTTTTTCATATGTATCTAGGTGTAATGGGAAAATGCCATCCACGGCGTTTGATAACCTGCTTTCCCTATTTATACTCCTTTGTATGCGTAACATTCTGGATAACTCTGAGTAGAGGTGAAGTAAATAATAGCTGTAGGTATACCAATCAGAGTTCAGAGGGGAAACATCAAGTGAGGTTTACAGATGACTCCTGCATATGCACACAATTCACTTGTTAAGGCGCGGGGAAAGAGTTCATATCTTAATGGGGATGAGATGCATTTAAAACAATCACTGAGTTTCCTGGAGGGTTAACTTACCAGTTGTTCATGGAGCAGTGTAATCCCTAAATCAAGCTGTGCAAATTGTTTGGCATCATGAAAATGAGTTTGCAGTTCAGCTGAACTTTGCTTTTCAGCTGGTTCTGGGACATAACCATGCTTTTGTTGGACCCCACAATGGGCATCAGTAGCTCATTGCTCTTCCTTGGTGGCAGGACCTACGGAGAATTGTCATGAATGATGGCATCATCATCTTTTCTCATCTTGTGTGGCCCGTTACCTCTAATACATTGACATTTCTTATAAAGGTCTGTTTTGCAAGGCAAAAAAAATGTAAACCTTGATAAGGACTTTGTAGTCTTGTACCATTTCTCTCCTTTCCATCTCCAGGTCTGGTTGTATCTCCCTCAGGTGACCTCTCACTTATTGTGATTGTGTTACTTGTGCAAGAGAAACTGCATTTCCTGTGGGTGCAGAAGCAAGACCCACCACAAAGCAGAGAGTTTCTCTTGATAACGGTCAGGGAAGGAGTTTGAGTGTTTGGCCATGGTCTTGCTTGAGGATTCTGAGATGCTAAAATGAGCTACTGTTGGGTTTTTTAGCATTTCTTCTCTCTCTAGAACTCATCAAAAATATAATAGTAAGCACCAATGTGGAATAGTTTTGAGGTACTGAGTGAAGTCCTTTGAGGATTCGTGGCCTTTGAATTCTATAACGACACCATTGTTTTCCTTCTAAGGTACTTTGAGTAATTGACATGTAGGATTAATCAGGTATTTATTGGATGCCAGGTGCTGGACTAGAGGCTTTACACACATTAATTCATTTAAACTTCACTCTATGGAGGTGACTATTTTATTCTCACTTTATGGATAAGAAACTGAAGTTCGGAGAGGTTAAATGATTTATTTACCTGAGATGATGCAGGAACCCAGAATCATGAAAAAAGTTCATTGGTCTTTGGGAGAAGAGGTAAAATGGGGTGGTAAATTGGGGGTAGGGTTGTCAGAAGAACAGTGACATGATGAAAGTATTTCATCTGAGTGAGCAGGAAGAAGACCCCAGGGGATTGTAGTCTGGGAGGTGGGCTCAGAGGCTGTTGCAAACATCTCAGCATGACACCAGATGGAGGAGCCCAGGCAGGGTTGCACAGGAGCTGGCCGGTTCAAGAGAGCCAACTGTACTGATCTCTTCCCAACTCTACATTAAGTGACTCCTGATGGTAGCTTGAAATTAGTGTGGAAACATTACACCATGGAAATTGGCAAATGCTACAATCAGAGCCCTCCCTTCCCTCTGTTCCTTAGCTAGTTGTTAAATATCTTCCAGACCATAAGTGGGTCCAAGGAAATAAAAGGATATTTTGAAGGCAAAATCAATCCATTCCAGAGATTAGTTATATTGTATGAGCTCTATTTGGGGAGTGTAAGAAAAGGATGTATCAAAGGCATTAAGGATTATTTGATCTTCTCTCATTTCAAAGGCAATTGATCACAAAGCTTTTTAAGGAAAGAGATTGTTCTGGTCAAAGTATGCTGCTTCTATACCTCAGAATGAAGGCTGCCACTTTTATAAACAGATAGGCACAGGCTGCCACCTGAATGAGGGAGAGTTAGGATGTGCGCAGGACACACCTTGTCCTACAGAATTATATGCGCTCAGATTTTCCCCAGCCACGTGCTGGATCATGGCTTGATGGATCAAGGCAGAGGCTGAGCCCAGCTTTTCTGAGCCATGGGATAAGTTAGAAGCAGAAAGTTAGTCACAGTGAGGGAGTTTGCTGCTGCACAGCAGCAGCCCAGGGGCCTAGGGATTTCTGCTTTGTCACTGTCTGTCCCATCCAGAGCTGATGAATGAAGAGGCTGGCTTTGGGGCCCTGAGTGAAAAGGACGAGGAGAGCCCTGAAGAGTTCTCAGGGTCTCTAAAGGATTGCTGCTTCTTGGATCATAAGTTTACTCTTAACTGTAACAGAATGACAGAACGTCACTTCTCCTAATATTATTCTTGGCATAGCATCTTGTGCTGCGTCCTTCTTGTGATTCATCTCCATTACAGTTCTGTTACATATTTCTACGATGTTGCATTAGAAGAACAAACAGTGTTGTTAAATCCAATTCCCTGTCCTCTTCCAACAGTACCCACTGATGACAGGAACCTGGTTGATACTTAATTGTGTGATAGCTAAACTTCAGAATATTGAGTAAAATGTAAAACTCCCTGAAGGAAATTTGGTTCCATTGCATGGCACAGCTCCCAGGCAGGTCACAGGAGACTCTATGCTACATTTTTTTTTTTCTCTCCGAAGCATGCCAGTCTTTTTAGAACAGTTTCAGTGCAGGGTAGAATGCCGTGACGTCTCTGTGTTCTGAACTTCTGTCAAGACTCAAATCATGCCTCGATCCTCCCAGAAGCCTCTGCTGATCAATTTCCAGGAATAGTGCAGGTTCTCCTCTGGGCTCTCCCGCAGGGGCATGTACTGTACTAATCTGTTTCCGGGCAGTGTTGTGATGGCACAGGCTCTGGAGCCAAACTGCCTAGGTTCAAATCCTTGTTCTGTACTTTCTAAGCTGAGGTCCGCTGGGAAGTTAACATCTGGGCTTAATTGTTCTCATTTTAAAAATGGAGGTAGCAGTTGCACCTTATGTCACAGAGTTATCAGAACCTATGTAAAGTGCTTAGCATCTGCCTGGCACATGGTAGAGTCCCAGTAAACATGAGCTATTAATACTGTTATTATTTTCTCCCCAGTTGATTGAGAGTTTCTTGAGGGCTCTATCTTTCTTGTGCGAAGGAATAGCATGAATTTGAGTACGTGGTTGGTGCACAGGATGGTAAACGAATGAAAGCTGGGATCTCCTTGGAATTTATGTCTTGGAAATAATCGTCAAAGATTTAGAAGTAAAGAACAGTTTAATTTATAAAATTTTCTTTGTATATGTGCTTTCTAAAAGCCATATAAAATATTAAGCTTATTTGATTTACAAATTAGAAACAAAGATGGTCATACTTTACGCAAAAGTTAAGAAAAAAAATACATGTACTTATTCCATATCACAGGCAGTATGGTTTACTAGAGAAAACATGGATTGCAGAGGCCGACTTGGTTTAAATCCCAGCTCCATCATTTACAGCTTGTGTGGGTTTGGGCAAGGCACTTCAATTCCCTGTGCCTGCGTTTCCTCATTTGTAAACTGTGGCAAATAATACTTAACCATCTGGGGGTGGTTGTGGGAATTAAATGAAATCCTATCCATTAAGGACAGTTATTGGTATATGCTAAATTGTTGGTAGATGATAATTGTTGTTGTTTAGTTGTTGATGTATTAGACAGAGGTGGGGCAAGGGAAACAGAGAGGAGAAGGGAAAAAGAGAGAAAAGCATCAACATAGACAAAGCAAGAAGGGGAAAGGCAGCTGAAAAAAAAAAAAAGCAAAACCCAAAATGACCACCAAAAAAAAAAAAGGCAAATAAAGTGGCTCATAGATTTCATTTGGTTTTGAAATGTTTTAGAATTGTTTTTTGTAGAGACAAGGTCTCACTATATTGCCCAGACTGATTGTGAACTCCTGGCCTCCTAAAGCACAGGAATTACAGGCATGAGCCACCACACGCAGCCATTGTTTTAAAATGTTATATGTTAAGTTTCTAGTTTTTACATAGGTAACACATACCCATGGCACAAAATTCAAAAGATAACAAAGAGTACTTAGTAACAAAATTACAAAAAAAATTTACACTTCCACCATGTGTGAGCCATTAGGGGTAACTACTGGGTTCTTGTGATTCCTTCTAGAAATACTTCATGCATGTATTAGCAAAATATTCATATTTCCTAGGATTTATTTTTATTCTTCTACATAAGTGATGGCACATCAGTTACACTGTTCTACATTTTGCTTTCTTTATTGAATGGGTTTTAGCAATCATTTCTTATCAGGAGATGCAGAATTGCTTCTTCCTTTTTAGCCTTCGAATTCCATGTATTTAACCAGTCCCCCATTAAGGGAATTTTAGGTTGTTTCCAATCTTTTGTTATTACAGCTAAAGCGGCAATGAATAATCTTGTCCATGTGCGATTTCATACATGTGAGTGTATTAGTGTGATAGTTTCCTAGAAATTGAATTGCTGACTCAAAGGATATGGGCAGTTTTGAGACAGAGACAGGTAGAGGTTGTACAAATTTAATACTCCCTCCAGTGATGTATGGGAACAGCTGTTCCTCATATGTTTGTCAGCACATGATACTGTCAGTTTTCTTGATCTTTGCCAGATTGCAGAGGGAAGAACTTATATCAGCGTAGTTTTAATTTGCATCTCTCTTGTATAAGTAGGATTGAGCACCTGGTCAGGTATTCAAGAACCATTTTTATTTTGTTTTCCGTGAATTCTATGTTCATATCCGTTGTCTATCTTTCTGTCAGTTATTGATCCTTTTCCATTGATTCAAAGCCCTTCTTGATATATTCCAAGGAGCAAACGTTTGTTTTTCACATGTCTTTTAAAATTTATCATTCGTCTTTCTGCTTAATTTATAGTGTTTTTGCCATGCAGAAAGTTTTGATTTATATGAAGCAGACTATATATCCTTTCTTTTATGCTTCTAGATTTTGTGACATACTTAAAATGGCCTATTTAGTCTACTTTGATACAATGAAAATATTCTTCCAGGTTTTCTTCAAGTTTCTTTAAATAATAGGTTTTGAAATATTGGGCAAATTCAGACTATGCTTGTCACACGACAAGATGAACTATGCTTGTTACACCTGATATAAATACACATACACGGGAAGAAATGTAGGTATGTCTGGAAGGTAGAATGAGAAATACTTCTTTTCCTCTTTGTAGTTTTCTTTGTTTTCCAGGTTTTCTGCATTGATTATGTATTACTGTAGTACTCATGAAAATGTTAATTAAATGCAAGTTTATTTTGACCATTTTAAACCTTTCTTTAAGATTCTTGGTCCCTGGATCTCTCTGAATGCTAGTGTTGCCGCCTGTTTTGCTTTGGAAACTGTTTGGCTTCTACCCAGAATAGCTTTGACCCACTCCAAATGACCTCTTGTGGCTAAATCCAATGAAACATTCTGGTCCTAAGCTTGCCTTACCTGTAGCCCATCTGAAGCTACTGACCACCCCTTCCTGCTTGGCCTGCCTCCCTCCTCTCTCCCTGCATCTCCTCCTTCTGGTGGATATTCCCTGGGCCCTTGCTCTAGCCGAGCCCTGTACAGTAATAGGGAACATTTCAGAGGGTCCACTGTGAGCTAGGTGCTCTAAGTCTGTGTATATTATCTTATTTAGCCCTCATCACAATATTTCTTTTATCTTTTCTTTTCTTTCTTTCTTTTTTTTTTTTTTTTTGAGACGGAGTCTCGCTCTGTTGCCCAGGCTGGAGTGCAGTGGTGAGAGCTCAGCTCACTGCAACCTCTGCTTCCCTGGTAGCTGGGACTACAGGCACCCACCACTACGCCTCGCTAATTTTTGTATTTTTGGTACAGACAGTGTTTCACCATATTGGCCAGGCTGGTCTTGAACTCCTGACTTTGTGATCTGCCCACCTTGGTTTCCCAAAGTGCTGGGATTACAGGCGTGAACCATCGTGCCCAGCCTTTCATCACAATATTTCTAAGGGAGCTATGGCTATCAACTGGGTTTTTCAGATGAGAAAACGGAGCATTACAAGAACTAGGTAACATGCCCTAGAGCAACCAGATAGAAATGGGTGGAGCCAAGATTTGAACCCAGGGACTCTGATCGTAGCCCATGCTAAACCAGGCTCTCTTCTCTCTGTGCCTTCTGTAGGCCAACCCATCCTTGTGGGACTTTACCTACCTTTTCTCTTTTACACAGATGACTGCCAAGTTTATGTCCCCAACTCTGAGTTCTCTCTTGCATTCTGGACAGCCCAGTGGCTGATCCACTTGCATGTGCCACAGACACCTTAAATTCAGCACGCCTATATCTCCTAAGATTTTCTGGAGAGATGGGGCTGTTATTTTTCATAGTGTCTGGTAGAAGAGGCTAGAAAATGAGAACACAGGGAACTTGACTCAGGTATTCTATGAGGTTAGTGCTTTGCTTTATAATTAAGTTAGATTCAATTCATCAACCTATTACAGGCCTTAATCCCTGACCTTAAGGAGTTTTTAATGATTCAGTGTGATTTTCATATCCTTGTTCTTTTAAGACCAATATATCCTTTTAGAAGATTAGTTACCTTTTTTCCCACAGCCCAAAGTAATTTGCTTATCCTGATGGGAAGGCCAATTCATTTCCTAAAAGTGAACGTTGCTTACTCTCAGAGAGCAATTAGCATTGAAATTCTGGATCCGTTTAAATCCTCTGAGATTCTGTGGTTCAATCCATTGTAATTAATAATCACAGAACACTCAAGATGGGACATTAGATTTAAAAACAATTGTGTTCCAGCAAGAAGAGGAAACTTCAACTCGGCAAGGAATCTTCTGGCTTAAAGATTGGTTTTTATGCCTTTGCAATTGAGAACAATCTCTATGAGAAAAGCACTAGCAATTCCAATTCTCTAGGATAGTGTTTTTCTTTTTAGCTTTCCTATTAACTAAAAAAAGGTATAAAAGTAACACATGCTAAGTGTAACAATGGCAAGATTGCCAGCCCCTTGAGTGAGCTGACCACTGTTAACAGCTTGTACCACTTTTGGCACCCTGCCATGGGCTCACACAGTAGGATATCAATAGGCATCCTAATTACATATGTAGAATCGAGGTTGGTTTGTTTATTTTATAGTAATAAGATCATACAATGGTTATTACTCTACAAGTTTTTTTTTTTTTTTCTCACCTAGCTCTAGACCATGGATACTCCATCCAGGTCAGTTAACATAGCTTTATTCTCTTAGATAGCATGTAACATAGCAAGTTACACGACTTATTTAGCCAATTTTCTCTTGATGGACATCCAGGTCATTTTTTATTTTCTACCTCTGCTGGCAAGGCTGCAAGAGACATTCCTGTACACATATTTTTATACAATAAAGCATCTGTTTCTAACAAGTCCTAAAAGTAAGAATGCTGAGGTCCAGGCTTGGCTAATTTCTAAAACTACATTAATATATGAGCTGAGGAAGGGAAAAGGGAAGTCACATACTTCTGTCTGCCAGGTACTACAGTAGGTACTTTCCATAAGTTGTTTAGTTTCATCTTGGTCTCCTGTCTCTAGTTCTGCCCCAATGTCTCCTCTACATAAGCACAGATAAGCATATCAATCTGCTCAAAACCCTACGTAGTTCACATGATCTTTATGGTAAAGGCCAAGCTAGTGATATTGCCCACAAGGCCTTCCAGAGTTTGGTTTTGTCCACCTCTTCCCTCTGTCTCTTGTCCCTCTCCCTTTCTCTTTACATTCCAGTACACCTGAACTGCTTGCAATTACCCACCTTACCCGGCCATTTCAGCCCTCTGGGCCTTTGCTCTTCCTCCCTCTCTGCTCTAATGGTCCTTCCCCACCTCATCCCCTGGCTCTTCTATCACTCATCAGTCAATACCCACTCAGTCTTCTGCTCTTTCAGAACGCCTTTTGCAGGTGGGCTTATGAATTCCTGAGGCTATATCATGCTGTGGTGACTTAAAATACAGAAATCTTGGTGGCTTAATACAATTTTTTGCTTGGCCGGTGAAAGTCTGCTGCAGGGCTGGGTCATTCACTTGGGCAACTCCCTTCAGAGACTTGCCTGATGGAGCCAATGGAAGCTCCATCATTCTGTAATTGTACCATCCAGAACACTCAGCCTCCTTGGTTGCTGTGGCAGGAGAAGAGAGGGTATTGTGCTAGCTATGAAGTGTATTGGCCCAGAAGTGACTGCATTAGTCCCATTCTCAGCCCACTGGCCAGCCCTGTTCCGTGGCTCTGCCTAACTCCAAGGGACAGAAGTGTAATCCTCTCATGAGGCTGGAAGGAAAGGAGATTGGACATAAGTGAGCAGTAGAAGCCTCTACCACAGGTGAGATGCTACTACTCTCTCTATGTCTACTAGAATTGTTATATGGCACTAGAATGATGACTTACATGTGTCTCCCCCACCACAGTGGACGCTTTGTGAGGTTAAGGTGTTTTATCTTCCTATCTCCAGTATCTGGCACAGTGTATGGCATATAGTAAATGATGAAGAAATATATGTTGAACAAATCCATTCACACAAATCAACAATCTACATTTTATAGATGGGGACACCAAAGTTCAGAGAGGTCAATTAACTTACCTGTGATCCCATAGCTAGAAGGTAATAAAGCCGATTCACACTCAAATCTATCAGATTCCAAAACACATAATTTTAGGAAACGTTCTAGAAGTTAATATTCCCAGGTCTGATCTGGGACATAAAGAGTTCAACCATAGGGAATGAATTCAATCTTGGAGACACAAGAATCCTACCAGCCTCTACAGCACACCATGTCTGGAATGCCCAGGGTGCATCTGCCTGGGTCCTCTCTGTGTTTGGGGAACCAGTGGTGAAAAATAGGCAGATCTTTATGATTCGACATCTCCCAGGTATGGACTTTAAAACGAAACAAAAAAGTAAGAAAAACCAGTCCTAGCCAACCCAAAGTACATTCAGGTCTCTATCACAGCATCTCTCTTTCCTCACTTAATATATTTGAATTTAAATAAAACCCCTACTTTCATAACTTATGTAGCTACAGAGTGCTCTAAAATATGGGGTTTGAAATTGAGTTTGAGGTCCGACTCCCATGCCCCAGGCCTATCACTGCACCTCACTGAGTCTCCCTTTCATTATCTTATAAAATAACACCAACTATAAGAAGACCCACTTCCCTGTAATTTGGGGTAGACTACAAAGTTCTAACTAAGCTCAAAATTCCAATAGAGAACTTCAGATAAATACCCAACCTTCTTCATGCATTTCTAATTTGTACTGTCTGTTAATCTTCTTATACTGGTGTTCCTTCTATGTTGCTGATTTGTGTTGTTAAAAAACCTTAAAGGAGAGAGTACTGAAAGTAGAGTCATTTTACTCTCTAAAGGTATTTTATTTTATTTATTTTTCTTTTGAGACAGAATCTCACTGTGTCACCAAGGCTGGAGTGCAGTGGCACAATCTCAGCTCACTGCAACTCCTATATTCAAGCGATTCTCGTGCCTCAACCTCCCAAGTTGCTGGGACCAGAGGCACGCATTGCCACATCCGGCTAATTTTTGTAATTTTAGTAGAGAAGGGGTTTCACCATGTTGGCCAGGCTGGTCTCGAACTCCTGACATCAAGTGATCTGCCCACCTCGAACTCCCAAAATGCTGGGATTACAGGTGTAAGCCACCGCGCCTGGCCCTCTAAAGGCATTTTAGAGTGAAAATTGTTAAGAGTCCAGGCAGGGCACGGTGGCTCACACCTGTATCCCAGCACTTTGGGAGGCCGAGGCAGTTGGATCACAAGGCCAGGAGCTCGAGACCATCCTGGCTAACACTGTGAAACCCCGTCTCTACTAAAAATACAAAAAATTAGCCAGGTGTGGTGGCGGGCGCCTGTAGTCCCAGCTACTCGGGAGGCTGAGGCAGGAGAATGGTGTGAACCTGGGAGGCAGAGCTTGCAGTGAGCTGAGATTGGGCCACTGCACTCCAGCCTGGGTGACAGAGCGAGACTCCGTCTCAAAAATAAATAAATAAATAAATTAAGAAAAAAAAGATTCCAACAACAATTCAGTTCAAGATAATCCTTACCCCTTTTCATTCTGTTTTCCCTTACCCTGGTTTACTTTTATCACAGCATTTACCACTAGCTAAGGTTATATTATTTATCCATTTGCATGCATGTTCATTGTCTATCTCTCTCACTAGTATAGAAGCTTCTTGAGAACAGGGACTTTGTTTTATTCACCACAGTATCCTGTCCTTATAAATGTTCCCAGTACATAATAAGCCCTCAAAAATATTTATGGAATTAATGAATGGACAGCCCCTTATGTAAGGAATCAGTTCTGATACGTGTTATGCAAGAGTTAATCTGATACTGCTGTTTCAGTGAGATTTAAATGTGATAAACTTGAAACATTTGAGTCCCTTTTGGTTTGGATGTGGAACTGTAGAGTTCATCAATAATAAATAAAAAAGAAGAAATCATTGGTTTCCAGCAAAGTATCATTTAGAATTTTATGTAGAAATAGGGTATAATGAGAAGTGAGACTATTTAATTTTGTATTACGAGTGCTTCTGGTGAGGTCTATTTAAAACATTTTCACATTTTCTATTACAAAAGCAATAAGGTTTACCACCTGCACATCCACTGACCCCAGTTCCGCTTCTCAGAGGCAACCTCTCCTAAGAGCTCTGGGAGTTTTATGTAATATGTTTTTGCATAGTGGGTCACGGATTAATTCACTCCCTACACTTGGATACACAAAGGGCAGCACCTCTGTTTTGCTCTAACTGATAGGTTATCTTTCTTCTTATAAGTCCTTCCTTTTGGGCAGCAGGGAAGTCCAGCCTTGCTCGCTAATGGGAGCCCAGTCCCTTCTGCTTTACTGTCTCCTTTCGCTTCGACACAGCTCCTTTCGAGGAAATGCTGCATCTTTCAGCGCTCCGCTCCTCCACCTTCTCTTTCCAAAGCTGGCACTTTGGGGAAGTTATCTGGACACTTACTGATACCTGTGGTGGAACGCAGATCACACTGTCCTGTGGTCAGCCTGGTGGCATCTGCTCTTACTTTCTTCAGTGAGTGGCCTTGAGGCCTGTACTCTGTCAGCCTGCTCTGACTGGGTCCACCTGTGATTCCCCGGGTGGGGGCAGGCCTGGGAGCTCTCAGCAAGGTTGGGTCAATCTCACTCCCCCATGCCCTTTGCCTGGAGACCTCCTTTGTAAACTGATCAGCGAGCACTACCAGACCTCTTTTGTGCCTCTCCCCAGGGAACAAAGGAACTTGTGCACACTCCCATGCCACCAGGTAGCTTAAAGTGTCCTCAGCCCCTAAATCCAGGCCCTTTTCCTGCCTTATCACACCTCAGAGGATTTCTCCTCCTGATGCAATGGCCGGGCACTATGAGGGGCAGTATCTTTCATGCGCGTCCGTGTGAAGAGACCACTAAACAGGCTTTGTGTGAGCAACAAGGCTGTTTATTTCACGTGGGTGCAGGCAGGCTGAGTCTGAAAAGAGAGTCAGCAAAGGGAGATGGGGGTGGGGCCATTTTATAGGATCTGGGTAGGTAAAGGAAAATTACAGTCAAAGGGGTTGTTCTCTGTCGGGCAGGAGTGGGGGTCACGAGGTGCTCAGTAGGGGAGCTTTTGAGCCAGGATGAGCCAGGAGAAGGAATTTCACAAGATAATGTCATCAGTTAAGGCAGGAACAGGCCATTTTCACTTCTTTTGTGGTGGAATGTCATCAGTTAAGGCAGGAACCGGCCATCTGGATGTGTACGTTCAGGTCACAGGGGATATGACGGCTTAGCTTGGGCTCAGAGGCCTGACATTCCTGTCTTCTTATATTAATAAGAAAAATAAGACGAAATAGTGATAAAGTGTTAGGGCGGCGAAAATTTTTGGGGGTAGTATGGAGAGATAATGGGCTGCTTCGAGCGGGATTGGGGCGGTGTGGGAACCTACAGTGGGAGAGATTAAGCTGAAGGCAGATCTTGTGGTAAGGGGTGATATTGTGGGGTTGTTAGAAGAAACATTTGTCATTTAGAATTATTGGTGATGGCCTGGATACAGTTTTGTATGAATTGAAAAACTAAATGGAATAAGAGAAGGAGAAAAACAGGTATTAAAGGTCTAAGAATTGGGAGGACCTAGGACATTTGACTAGAGAGTGCCTAAGGAGATTCAGCATAGTCCTGCCAGCAAAGATTATTTATTTACTTTAAGAGTTAAGAGTGGCAGTTTGGGGATAGCATCAGGAGATATCAGCTGTGATGACTTGGAGAAACAGTATAAACCGGCAGTGTAAACAAGAGCAGGGCATGTATGAGTAGTTGAGAACGGTGAATAGGAGTATGACTAGACAGAAAATAGTAGGGATGACAAGTTTTTTGGGGCACAGTCTAAGTTGGTCTGGTGTCTGGGATGAGACTGGGGCCTAATAAAAAGGAGCGTCCGTACAGGAGCTCAAATGGGCTGTACCCTGTAGCATTCTGAGGACAGGCCTGAATTCTGAGAAGGGAAAGTGGTAAAATTATTGTCCACTCCTTTTTAAGTTGGTGGCTGAGCTTGGTGAGGTGTGTTTTTAAAAGACCTTTAGTCCGTTCTACTTTTCCTGAAGACTGAGGACCAACCGTAAGGGATATAAAGGTTTCACTGAATACTAAGAGCCTGAAAAACTCCTTGGCTGATTTGACTAATAAAGGCTAGTCTGTTATCAGACTGTATAGAGGTGGGAAGGCTAAACTGAGAAATTATGTCTGACAGAAGGGAAGAAATGACTGCAGTGGCCTTCTCAGACCCTGTAGGAAAGGTCTCTACCTATCCAGTGAAAGTGTCTACCTAGACTAAGAGGTATTTTAGTTTTCTGACTTGGGCATGTTGAGTAAAGTCAATTTGCCAGTCCAGGGTGGGGGCAAATCCTCCAGCTTGATGTGTAGGGAAGGGAGGGGGCCTGAATAATCCTTGAGGAGTAGTAGAATAGCAGATGGAACACTGAGAAGTTATTTCCTTGAGGGTAGATTTTTACGATGGAAAGGAAATGAGAGGTTCTAAGGGGTGGGCTAGTGGCTTGTGCTGTAGCATAGCCTGCCTTTGCTGGTGTGTGGCGATTAGGCCTGGTGGAACTGCCATCAATAAATCAAGTGTGATCAGGGTGAGGAACAGGAAAGAAGGAAATATGGGGAAATGGGGTTGAATGTCTGGTGGATAAGAGAGGTACAGTCATGGTGGTCAGGTGTGGTATCAGGAATAATGTGGGAGGCCGGATTGAAGTCTGGGCCAGGAACAAGGGTAATTGTGGGAGACTTAACAAAGAGTGAGTCCAGCTGAAGGAGCCGGGGAGCAGAAAGTATATGTGTCAGGTGTGAGGAGGAAAATAGATTTTGGAAGTTATGAGAACTGTAGAGAGTGAGTTGAGCATAGTTTGTGATTTTAAGGGCCTCTAAAGTATTAGGGCAGCAGTAGCCACTGCACAGAGACATGATGACCAGCCTAAAACAGTAAGGTCAAGTTGTTTGGACAAAAAGGCTACAGGACATGATCCCGGTCCTTGTGTAAGAATTCCGACTGCACAGCCCTGCACTTCGGCTGTGTGTAATGAAAAGGGTTGGGATGAGTCAGGGAGAGCTAGGGTGGGGGCAGTCTCTAAAGCTGTCTTCAAGGAATGGAAAGAGGAGTGGGGAAAGGATTTAGGATCTATGGGGTCAGCTAGGTTTCCTTTTGTGAGTTTATATAATGGTTTTGTTAGGATGGCAAAACCAGGTATCCAGAGGCGAAAGTATCCAACCAAGCCCAGGAAGGAAAGGAGTTGTTGTTTTGTAGAAGGGGTTAGGGTTTGAGAGATCAGTTGGACATGATCGGCAGGGAGAGCACGTGTGTTTTTATGAAGAATTATGCCAAGGTAGGTAATGGATGGACAATAAATTTGAGCTTTGGAGGGGGATACCTGATATCCTTTGGAGAATAAATGCTGAAGGAGCAGAAGTGTGTCTTGTTGAGAAGATTCAAAGGAGGGGCTACAAAGAAGAAGATCCTCAATATATTGAATAAGGTGAGAAGCGGAGGGGTGGAAAGAAAGTAAATCATGAGAAAGAGCTTGGCTGAAGTAATGAGGGCTGTCCCTGAAACCTTGCGGCAACACAGCCCAGGTAAGCTGCTGGGACTGATGGGTGTCAGCGTCAGTCCAGGTGAAAGCAAAGAGAGGCTGGGACGAGGGGTGCAGGGGGATAGTGAAAAAAGCATTTTTAAGATCAAGAATGGAATAGTGAGTTGTGGAGGAAGGTATTGAGGACAAAAGAGTGTACGGGTTGGGCACCACAGGGTGGATAGGCAAAACAATTTGGTTGATAAGGCACAGATCCTGAACTAATCTGTAAGACTTGTCCGGTTTTTGGACAGGTAAAATGGGGGAATTGTAAGGAGAGTTTATAGGTTTTAGAAGCCTATGCTGTAGCAGGTGAGTGATAACAGGCTTTAATCCTTTTAAAGCGTGCTGTGGGATGGGATATTGGCGTTGAGCGGGGTAAGGGTAATTAGGTTTTAATGGGATGGTAATGGGCATGTGATCCGTTGCCAGGGAAGGAGTAGAGATGTCCTATACTTGTGGGTTAAGGTTGGGGGATATGAGAGGAAGACGCAAAGGAGGCTTTGGGTTGGGGATAAGGGCGGCAATGAGATGTGGCTGTAGTCCAGGAATAGTCAGGGAAGCAGATAATTTGCTTAAAATATCTCGGCCTAATAAGGGAACTGGGCAGGTGGGAATAACTAAAAAAGAATGCATAAAAGAGTGTTGTCCAAGTTGGCACTAGAGTGGGGGAGTTTTCAGGGGTTTTGAAGCTTGGCCATCAATACCCACAACAGTTATGGAGGCAAGGGAAACAGGCCCTTGAAAAGAAGGTAATGTGGAGTGGGTAGCCTCCGTATTGATTAAGAAGGGGACGGACTTACCCTCCACTGTGAGAGTTACCTAGAGTGTCTGTGATGGTCCTGTAGGCTTCTGAGGTGATTGGGCAGTGTCAGTCTTCAGCTGCTAAGCCGAGAAGATCTGGGAAGGAGTCAGTCAGAGAGCCTTGGGCCAGAGTTCCAGGGGCTCTGGAAGTGGCTGCCAGGTGAGTTGAACAGTCCGATTTTCTTGGGGGTCCCGCACAGATGGGACACGGCTTAGGAGGAATCCTGGGCTGTGGGCATTCCTTGGCGCAGTGGCCAGATTTCCAGCACTTGTAGCAAGCTCCTGGGGGAGGAGGTTCTGGAGGAACGCCTGGCTGCTGTGGTTCAGGTATTTGGAAGTTCTTGTGTGCTGGAGATGTGGCTGGGGTTTGTCTCACAGTGGAGGCAAGGAATTGCAACTTTTTTCTATTTTTGTACACCTTGAAGGTGAGGTTAATTAAGTCCTGTTGTGGGGTTTGAGGGCCGGAATTTAATTTTTGGAGATTTATTTAAAGTCGGGAGTGGATTGGGTAATAAAATGTGTGTTGAGAATAAGACGGCCTTTTGACCTTTTAGGGTCTAGGGCTGTAAAGTGTCTCAGGGTTGCTGCCAAATGAGCCATGAACTGGGCTGGGTTTTTCATATTTCATGAAAAAGAGCCTAAATGCTCTCTTATTTGGGATAAAGAAAAGGAGCATTAACCTTGACTATGCCTTTAGCTCCAGCTACTTTTTAAGAGGAAATTGCTGGGCAGGTGGGGGAGGGCTAGTCATGGAACGAAACTGTAAGCCAGACTGGGTGTGAGGAGGGGAGGTGATAAAAGGATTATAGGGTGGAGGAGCAGAGGCTGAGGAAGAATTGGGACCTAGCTGGGCCTGGCATGGAGGAGAGAGGTCAGATGGGTCTGTAGAAAAGGAAGATTAGAAAGACTCGGCGACACTTGGGGTTGGGACTGAGGGGACAGGCGGGAAGGAAAGAGGGAAGATTTGGGACGAGTTGCATTGGGAACACAGACTAGGGAGGACTGATGTGTAAAAGAATGCCTGGACGTCAGGCACCTCAGACCACTTGCCCATTTTATGACAAGAATTATTTAGATCTTGTAAGATGGAAAAAATGAAAGTGCTGTTTTCTGGCTGTTTGGAACCACTATCGAGTTTGTATTGGGGTCAAGCGGCATTGTAGAAGAAAATAAGGCCTTTAGGTTTTAGGTCAGGTGTGAGTTGAAGAGGTTTTAGGTTTTTAAGAACACAGGCTAAGGGAGAAGAAGGGGGAATGGAGGGTGGAAGTTTGCCCATAGTGAAGGAGGCAAGCCTAGAGAAAAGAGAGAGTAGAGACACGGAGGGAAGGGGTTCGGGGGTTCTTACCCTCCAGAAAAGTGGGAAAGGGGTCGGGGTGTGGAAATAAAGGGTTGGGGCACAGAGATAAGGGGTCAGGGTGTGGAGATAAGGGGTCAGGGCGTGGAAATAAGGGATCGGGGGGTTCTTGCCCCCTAGAAAAGCGGCACTTGCCACTCAGGGTGAAGGAGAAGGGGTTGGGGGGTTCTTGCCCCCCAGAAAAGCGGTACTTGCTGCTAAGGGTGAAGGACCAAGGCAGTCGTCCCTGCGTGGTTGGACACCTCTGAAACGTGGGTGAATAATCAGGCAGGCGTCCTCGCGTGATAAACATCAAGGGAAGACTGTCTTCCCGAGTCCGTGACAGGCACCAGAGTTTTGGGTCCACAGATAAAATGCGTCTCCTGTCTCTACCAGAAAAGGAAAGGAACTGAAATTAAGAGAAGGGAGAGATTGAAGGGTGGTGCCAAGATTGAAAGGAGAAAGTGGTCGAGGGATAGTGAGAGAGGTTGGAGAAGAGAGTAAGAAGAGGCCGCTTACCCAATTTAAAATTAGTGAGATGTTCCTTGGGCTGGTGGGTCTGAGGACCCAAGGTCGTAGGTGGATCTTTTTCATGGAGCAAAGAGCAGGAGGACAGGGGATTGATCTCCCAAGGGAGATCCCCCAACCTCCCAAGGAGGTCCCCCGATTCGAGTCATGGCACCAAATTTCATGTGCGTCCGTGTGAAGAGACCACCAAACAGGCTTTGTGTGAGCAACAAGGCTGTTTATTTCACCTGGGTGCAGGCAGGCTGAGTTCGAAGAGAGTCAGCAAAGGGAGATGGGGGTGGGGCCATTTTATAGGATCTGGGTAGGTAAAGGAAAATTACAGTCAAAGGGGTTGTTCTCTGTCGGGCAGGAGTGGGGGTCACGAGGTGCTCAGTAGGGGAGCTTTTGAGCCAGGATGAGCCAGGAGAAGGAATTTCACAAGATAATGTCATCAGTTAAGGCAGGAACAGGCCATTTTCACTTCTTTTGTGGTGGAATGTCATCAGTTAAGGCAGGAACCGGCCATATGGATGTGTACGTGCAGGTCACAGGGGATATGATGGCTTAGCTTGGGCTCAGAGGCCTGACAGTATCTTCCTGACCAGTGAAATGAAAGGAGCAAGAGCCCCGCTGCTTTCAACTTTCCCCTCAACCTCACACCTCCCCTCTGGAATTTTGACTTGGGAGGCAGGATTTCCATAACCCACATATCTGACCCTCTGCAAGCCCTCTGGGTTTCCTCTTCTCTCCAGAGCCCATCCAGCCTGAAGGTTAGGCTTTTATTTCATTTCTCCTTCCTCTCTGCTAGAGACTTCTCCAGGGCTTATCTTTTGTCTAAACTCTAGTGCAATATCTTAGTCTAAATGCTAAGTACAAGTTCAGGGAGAGAAATAACCTTGCTGATACAGAAACAAAAATTGAGAAATACTTCAAAAATTACCTACAGTGATCTATTTTTTATTAGTTTAACAATCCAAAGTGAGATCATATTACATATAATGCTCTGTTACTTCTGCTTCCATTTAATATTTCTTGAAGATTTTTCTATACTCATGTACACATATCTACCTCATTCTTTTTTTTTAAGAGCAGCATAGAATTCCATACAAAGTAATTTATTTAGTCTCCTACTGATGGACATTTAGGTCATATCCAGTTTTCTGTACAAACAATGCTCTAGTGAACATTACTAAATACAGCTTTGTGGTGTTTTGCATATTTGTGTGAGTATATCCTTTGGCTATATCTCTAGCAATGAGATTGCTCGACTAACTGGTATGTGCATTTAAGATTGACTAAAAAGGGCCAGGCGCGGTGGCTCACACCTATAATCCCAGCACTTTGGGAGGCCGAGGCAGGAGGATCATCTGAGGTCAGGAGTTCCAGATCAGCCTGGTCAATATGGTGAAACCCTGTCTCTACTAAAGAAATACAAAAATTAGTTGGATCTGGTGGCATGAACCTGTAATCCCAGCTACTCTGTCGGCCAAGGCAGGAAATCATTTTGACCCGGGAGGCAGAGGTTGCAGTGAGCAGAGATTATGCCACTGCACTCCAGCCTGGGCGACAGAGTGAGACTCTGTCTCGAAAAAACAAAAACAAAAAGATTGGCTAAAAAGGTTTTAGCACTTTATCTTATCTACTGATATGAAGTTATGCTTTTCCCTTAAGAGAATGGGTTTTTGTTGTTGTTTTAAAATTTTTTTTAATTTTTTGTAGAGACAGGGTCTCACTATGTTTCCCAAGCTGGTCTAGAACTCCTGGCCTCAAGCAGTCCTTCCATCTCAGCCTCAGCCTCCCAAACTGTTGAGATGACAGGCGTGAGCCATTGTGCCCAGAAGGGGAATGGTTTTTATAACTATGTCAGTGATTAATAGAACATGAGAATACATTTGGAAGAAAAGAGGGGAAGAAATAGGAAGGAAGGAGAAATAGGAATGATTACCAATGCATTGTGACAGATAAGATTCATGGGTGTTGAGAATCCTATAGACTGGGTGGGAATTCTAACTCTGCCATTTATTAGCTGTGTGACCTCAGTTTTCCCATTTCTATGGGCTGCTGAGAAGATAAATCACTTAATGCATATAATGTATTTAGAATTCCTTAACTGCTTGCTCTTAGTACTTTTATTATGCACCTAGTACTATGCTAAATAATTTAACATGTCCTTGGCACTGATGGGAATGAAAAAGGGAGTACTAGACTTTATTGTAGGCTAGTTGGGAAAACACAGCAAGCCCATTAGAAACTATCAGGAAACAACAAAGACCCAAAGCTCTAAGTGCTCTACAAATCCAGGTCTACTTTGGATTATTTTTGTGTGGCTAATTTATGTGGATTATTTAGGTAGATAATTTTTTAAAAAATCAGTTCCAACAAAATAACTTCTTATTTTTTGTTTTTTTGAGGCAGTCTCGCTGTGTCACCCAGGCTGGAGTGCAGTGGTGTGATCTTGGCTTGCTGCAACTTCCGCCTCCCGGGTTTCAGTGATTCTCCTGCCTCAGTCACCCAAGTAGCTGGGATTACAGGCACACGCCACCATGTCCAACTAAATTTTTGTATTTTTAGTGTAGACAGGGTTTCACCATTTTGGCCAAGCTGGTCTATAATGCCTGACCTCAAGTGATTTGCCCTTTGCGGCCTCCCAAAGTGCTGGGATTACAGGTGTGAGCCACCGCACCCGGCCCCAAATAACTTCTTTTTGTGTGTTTGATGTCTTGAAGAGCTCTCTTTAATTTTGCACGGGTTTCTTGAAAGCATTTCATAGGTCATATGACAGGTTGATATGTCAACCTTATTTTTTAAAAACTCAATTATATGTTTGTCACGGTTTCTAGAGAGTCAACATCCTGAAATTCTTTTAAAAATGTTATTAGTATATGTGTTAAAAAACAGCTTTAGAGTAAAGTTGAGGTAGATTTGGTTCTCCCATTTGGCTTCAAAGGGAAATTTTAGGCTTGTTTGTAGGATTTTTTGTTTGGTAAAATGTGAGAGTCCTGTGTGTGTCCCTGGTTGAGGATGTGGTGGTGCCTGCCCTGGGTCAGCAGAGGAAATGATGAAATAATGAAACTTAACTGTAGCACTCTCCAACTAGGAGATAAGGGGACAGCTACAGCTTTTTCCCAAGCCTGGCCCACTTACATGCTGAAGTATCACTGGCGATGCTATGGAAATTCTGTTTGGGACCATCTCCATTCACTCCTTTTACTCATATCTTACAGTTTTAGAGTGAGTCAGACCTGGACTGGAGCCCTCATTTTGGCTCTGCCTGTACCATCTTAGGCAAGTCTTTTAAATCTGTGCTTTTTCATTATCCAATGCAGACAATTGTCCATGTATGTGCATGTTCACAAGCACTTCAGGAGATTCTGATATGGGAGGAAGGTGTGAAGGACCTTTCAGGGAACTGAAATCCACAGAGGTGAACTGACTTGCCTAACACCACAGAGCTCATCAGTTTCCAGGTGCAAGTCGATCCAGAGTTTTCCAACTTTCTCTATTGATCCTCTAGTGTTGTCTCCTACTATAAGAGTTCAAAAGTTCTTCAGCAAGAGACACCCTAGACAGACCCATCATTCAGCTCAAAGGTGCACCAGCTCACCTGCCTGTCCTCCTTCCCAGCTTTTGCCAGCGCTACTGTCTTCCTCCTTAAGCCCCAGTAAAAACCTGGCAGTCATGGATTCCATGGATTCCTTCTCCTGTACCCCATATGTAATCTTCTGGAAGTCCTGTTGTTGTTGTTGTTGTTGTTGTTTTTGAAATAGAGTCTCGCTCTGTTGCACAGGCTAATGCGACAGACACAGGCTCTGTCGCACAGGAGTGGAAAGGCTCGATCTTGGTTCACTGCAACCTCTACCTCCCAGATTCAAATGATTCTCCTGCCTCAGCCTCCTGAGTAGCTGCTGGGATTACAGGCGCCCACCACCAAGCCCAGCTAATTTTTGTATTTTAAGTAGAGACGGTGTTTCACTGTGTTGGCCAGATGCCCAGCTAATTTTTTGTGTGTGTGTATTTTTAGTAGAGACAGGGTTTCACCATGTTGGTCAGGCTGGTCTCGAACTCCTGACATTGTGATCCGCCCGCCTTGGCCTCCCAAAGTGCTGGGATTACAGGCGTGAGCCACTGCACCTGGTGTCCTGTTGGTTTTAAACTTGTAAATAACTTTCAGATTTATCTACTTCTCTCTGACTCCACCACCAAGTCTCCATCACCTCCCATGTGGACGATAACTTTCTATCTGGTCTCAGGGCAAACTTTTCACAATGTGAATCTCCTCTCTCTCCATCACCTGTTTTAGAACCGTCAGACTGGGTGTGGTGGCTCACGCCTGTAATCCCAGCACTTTGGGAGGCCAAGGTGGGTGGATCACCTGAGGTCAGGAGTTTGAGACCAGCCTGGCCAATATGATGAAACCCTGTCTCTACTAAAAATACAAAAATTAGCTGGGCATGGAGGTGGGTGCCTGTAATTCCAGCTACTTGGAAGGCTGAGGCAGGAAAACCATTTGAACCCAGGAGGCGGAGGTTGCGATGAGCCGAGATCTTGCCATTGCACTCCAGCCTGTGCGATAAGAGCAAAACTCTGTCTCAAAAAAATAATAAATAAATAAATAAATACATAAATAAAAACCTTCAATGGTTCCCTATAGCTGTTAGTTTGGAAATACAACATGACATAGCCTCCCATGTCCTGCAAGGTCCTGCTCTTCAGTCTTAACCTCATCCCATTCTCCATCATTCTCCCTTCTGTGCGTCTTCTTCCAGCTCTCTGAATGTGTCAGCTCCTCCCTGCCACAGGGCCGCTGTGCATGACACCCACTTGCTGGAATACTTCTTTCTCTCTTCCTCCTCCTTTGCCCAGTCAGCTCCTACTCATCCTTCAGTTCTTACCTCAAGGCTCCCTTTCTTAAGAAAACCTTTTTAACTGCTTCCGGTTTGTTGGGTTCCTGTTACAGGCACTCCTAGGCACCCTCCCCCACTTTTTCTATATGCGTGCTCATCACAGTCTGTAATTAATACACTCATTTGTGTAACTACTTGATTAATTTCGGTCTTTCCCATCATATTATATATTCTACAAAAGCAAATAATGGGACTGATTTTGCTCAGTCCCTGAGGTACGAGTCACTGTTGTTCCCCTAGCATCTAGAACAGTGCCTGGCACGCAGTAGATCCTCAATAAAAAAAAATTGTTTAATGAATGAATGATGTTTATGTCCAACTCTTCCCTAAATCTCCCTTGATGTATCCTATCTGGCCCCCGTCACCCAAGGCTCATCTTTCATACATTTACACTTAGTTCAGCCATGTTAATACATGTGTATCTTTTATGTTCTCTTTATTGTAAGGTAACTTCTATTTAATATATTCCTTCTTGGCCATCTTTATTGATACTTTCTAATCTGAGTGTCTCAGATAGGAAATAGCAGGGACCTCGTGACTGTGAGGAAGGGAAGTACTTAGTAAATTACCCTTCCTCTCTCTCTTTTACTGAACTGCTGGGGAAATCCCTTTGATCATTAAAACCAGAAACAGAGTCAGGCTGGAGGCCACAGACTGTCATGATTTGCATCAAAGCTTGAGCCCTAGATAATGAGGAAAAGAAAATGGAAATCTGTAGCTCTTCATAATCCACTGAATTCCTTTGCCTGTGAGAATCATAGCACTAGGGTGCTCTCTGAGACCTTTGGATTGATCATGTCACAAATTTCATACTATTGTAAATCATAATTGCAAATTGCTTTAGGCTATAATCTATGCCTAGACAGACTCTAAAATTAGTAGATGGTTAAATCAGGCCAAACTATTGGCCTGAGGGAGAGATGGGGTGGGGAGGCTCTGAGATCTTCCCTGGGGCAGCTGGGAGTGTCCCAGAGAACCAGAAAGTTGGCATTGTGATATTAGGGACTATCCGAGATAAGGTATGTGGTGCCTTTGCACTTCATGCTTAGAATGTGCTGACAATTCTAGAGAGCAAATAGGCACTTATGTTTTAGTTGGGAAAGAAATAACCTGCATAGCTCTCCTTTTCTCCAAAGCACAGGCAAATTGGAATCTGCCTACTTGTTTATTAACATATTCCAAAGGTCTATCAAACCTTTAGAAAAGGGGCCATTTATTTTATTTTATTTCCTTTTTTTTTTTTTTTTTTTTTTAGACAAGGGTCTCACTATGTTGCCCAGGCTGGTCTTGAGCTTCTAAGCTCAAGTGATCCACCAGCCTCGGGCTCCCAAAGTTCTGGGATTACAGGCATGAGCCACTCCACCTGGCCAAGGGACATTTCTTTAAAAATGCAATCCTGAGTAGAAGATTCTATAACATACACTCACTGTTGGCAAAGAAAGGGAGCTTTTTCTGAGTACCTTTTGTTGCAAAACCATTGAATTCCTGCCTGTTGAACTCTAACAAGTTTGTGACATGAGAAAAGACACAAAATCGATTGAACCCACCAACTCTGTTGGCTGCTGCTTCTGTTTAAGTAACTTCAGTACTAGAGCTGGGAAATCATGATCCAGAATTTAAATATAAGCACATTCCCTATTGTAACCTTCATTGTACTTTTACTCTTCCTTTATGGACCTCATTACAATGTGTAATCATTTGTTATTTGTGTTTTTTTGTTTGTTAGTTTGTATTAAGAGAACTGAATTGTGCCTTTTCTACTAGACCTTAAATTCCACGGGAGCAGGAAACTCTATTTTGATGACTTCTGTATCTGTTTGACCTAGAACCATCTTTGTATAGGGAGATGCCCAGTAAGCATTCACAGGTGTCAACCGCTGAGTCTCTGCTGCA
Organism: Homo sapiens; assembly: GCF_000001405.40. Lineage (NCBI taxonomy): Eukaryota > Metazoa > Chordata > Mammalia > Primates > Hominidae > Homo > Homo sapiens. The sequence continues at coordinate 22,697,149 of NC_000007.14, read as the reverse complement.
GCCTGAAGGCAGTCATCATGATCATCTCCATTTTATAAATGAGGAAGCTGAGCACAGAAAGGTTAAGTAATTTGCTAGTCACTTGAGGAGCCAGGATTTGAACCTAATAGTTTGGATAGATAATTACACTCTTCTGCCACAAATAAACATTTGTTAAAAGAATGAAGGCTCCACAGGGGCAGATTTGGAGTAGCCCTGGCTATGCTATGTATGAATCACTCAGGCAGACATTTTTCAGTGAGCTGGGAAGTCCTGATTACGGTGTGCCTGAGCTAGCGGGTGTTAGGTGAGGGACTGGGGAGGGTGTGGTAAGTGGAGCAGGAAAGTCTTGTCAGAGGTACTTCAGAAGCCAAGGAGGTCTGGCCTAGTCTATTTCATACTACTCCTTTTTTTCTGGATCAAGAGTTAAAGTTCAGGCTGTTTTTATTCCTGGAAGCAGAACGGCCTAAGTGGGAGAAACCTTGAATGTATTTTCAAGGTTCCTGAAACCAGACTTAAGAGCTTGTGTGCTTTCCAATTGTGTAAGTGGTTCTAACCCTCTCTGATACCATTGACAATCTAGAGTAGGTTCAGGGAGATTCACCCTGACTTGTGACATGCCCTCTTTCTTAAATATGATTTTATTTTTTTAACTAGGTCTTTAAGATTTTTTTTAAAAAACTAGGTCTTCACAATTATTCATGCTTATAGCTTTTGAAAAAGAAACCAACCAGTACAGAAGGATACAAAGTGAAAGAAAAAAAAAAAAACTCATTCTCATTTATTTTTCCAGATGTCTTTTTTGTACTTATCAGTACATATCAACCACTGTATAGTCTCACATTGTTTTCACGTAAATGGGAACATACTATGTTATCTGTTCTGAATTTTTTTCTTTTTTAAAAATTTGAGGGGACTGCTGGGTTATGGTAGCTTGAACACATAATTTTGTTGTATTCCAAAAACTCCACTAAAACTGCAGAATGGAGGCTGGGCACAGTGGCTCATGCCTGCAATTCCACCACTTTGGGAGGCTGAGGTGGGCGGATCACTTGAGCCCAGGAGTTCAAGACCAGCCTGGGCAACATGTCAAAATCCTGTTTCCACAAAAAATACAAAATTTAGCCAGGCATAAAATACAAAATTTAGCCAGGCATGGTGGTGCATGTCTGTAGTCTCAGCTACTCAGAAGACTGAGGCGGGAGGATTGCTTAAGCAGAAACACATAAAGATATGGACCCTGCGCCACCCAGATCAGTCTACAGAGAAGGTCAAAATCAGTGAGCCCCATCCTCAAGGCTTCCAATCAACATAGACAACCAGCTATGTAAGGACATCATCTAACACAGGAAAGTCCAAAATAAACAGAAAAGTAATTTGTGCAGGTAGAAGAAACATGACATTAATATCCTCAGGGAAAATATTTCTTCATGCACAAGACTACACCCTAGAGAATGTGACCTGTGCTAGCAGAAACACATAAAGCTTCAACAATTCCCGGAAAGAAAGAGAGAACAGAGAACATGGAGGAGATAACATTTTTCAGAACTGATGGGCGTGGATTTTGAGGTTAAAGGGTCCCAGTGATGTTCAGTGTAATGGATGAAAAAATACCTCCAGCATAATGTGAAATTTTATCACATTAGGGATAAGGAAGATTCTATAAGCTCCCAGAGAGAAAATAAAACAACAATAAAAAAAAAAAAAAACAGATCACGCACAAGAGATCAGCAACTTCTTACCAGCAGCACTGAAAGCCAGAAGACAACGGACAATGCTTTCAAACATGTGAAGGACATTTATTTCCAACCTAGATTTCTATTGCAAGCCAAACTGTGGATCAAGTGAGAAGAGAAAACAAAACAACACATAACAAAAAGATAATTTCAGGCAGGCAACTCAAAAAAACATTTTTAAGTCTTCTTTCTCAGGAAGCTCCTGGAGGATACATTTCATATGGATGAGTAAATAAGCCAAGAAAGAGGAAGGCATGGAATACAGAAAGCAGAAGATCCATCGCTGTGGAGAAGGGAAAGGGAATCTCCTGGAGAGTGGTGAAGGGAGATCCCAGGATGACGATTACACATTAATTGAAGAGGGCAGTCAGTACAGATTGGAACATCGTGACTCAGGAGGTGGCTTGAGTACTGTCATTGCCAAATCTTCTGCCATTATACTTGTCTTTTTAAAAACTGGTAGGAAGCACATAACATAAAATTTAATATCCCCCAAATTTTAAATTGTACTGTTCAATAGCGGTAAATATATTCACATTGTTGTGGAACAGATCTTTAGAACTTTTTTATCTTGCAAAACTGAAAGTCTATACCCATTGAACGATAACCTCCTAGGCCCCCTCCCTTTAGCCTGGTAACCACAATTCTACTTTCTGTTTCCATGAATTTGACTATTTTAGATACCTCATGTTAGTGGATCCAGAGAGTATTTGCTTTTGGTGACTGACTTATTTCACTTAGCATAAAGTCCTCAAGGTTAATCCATTTTGCAGCATGTGACAGATTTTCTTCCATGTGAAGATTGAATAATATTCCATTGTATGTACATACCATATTTTGATTATCTCTTTATTCACTGATGGACATTTAGGTTGCTTCCACCTCTTGGCTATTGTGAATACTCTTGCTGTGAATATGGATATGCAAATATCAATTTGAGATTCTGCTTTCAATTATTTTGAATCTATACTCTGAACTGGGATTGCTGGATCATATGTTACTACTATTTTTAATTTTGTGAGAAACCACCACACTGTTTTCCTTAGCAGTCGCACCATTTATAATCCCAGCAACAGTATACAAGGGTTCTAATTTCTCCACATTTTTGGCAACACTTATTTATTTTTTTATAGTAGCCATTCTAATCGGTGTGAAGTGATATCACGTTGTGGTTTTGATCTCCATTCCTCTGCTGATTAGTGATGTTGAGCACCATGACTGTTGGCCATTTGTATGTCATCTTTGGTAAATGTCTGTTTGAGTTCTTTGGTCACTTAAAAAATTGAGTTATTTGATTTTTTTGATGCTGAGTTACAAGAGTTCTTTATACATTCCAGATATTAATCCCTTATCAGATATATGATTTGCAAATATTTTCTTTCATTTTGTAGTCTACCTGTCCATGATGTTGATCGTGTCCATTGATGCACAAAGTTGTAAAGTTTGTTGTAGTCCCATTTGCCTATTTTTCCTTTTGTTGCCTGTGCTTTTGGTGTTACATTCAATAAATCACGGCCAAATCCAGTGTTATGAAGCTTTTTTCCAAATTTTCTCTTCTTATTGTTTCTTTTCTTTCTTTTAATTATGTGGTGTTTTTTTTAAATTTGTTTTTCATATCCTTTCTTCTAGGAGTTTTATTGTTTTGGGTCTTATTTTTAATCTTTAATCCATTTTGAGTTAATTTTTGTAGATAGTGTAAGATACTGATCCAACTTCATTCTTTTGCAGGCAGGTATCTTGTTTCCACAGCACCATTTGTTGAAGAGACTATCCTTTTCCGTTGATTGGTCTTGGTTCCCTTGTCAAAGATCATTTGACCATATATGTGAAAGTTTATTTCTGGGGTCTCTATTCTATTCCATTGCTCTGTATATCTGTCTTTATGTCAGCACCATGACATTTTGATTATTGTTGATTTGTAATATGTTTTAAAATCAGGAGTTGTGAGTCCTGCAAATTTGTCTTTTTTTTTTTTCAAAATTGTTTTTGCTATTTGGGGGTCTCTTGAGGTTTTATATGATTTTTAGGATGTGTTTTTCTAATTCGGCCACAAATTCAGTAGGAATTTTGATAGGATGCATTGACTCTGTGCATCACTTTGGGTAGTACAGACATATACTACTAGAAGATTAGTTTGATTGGAATGAGGTTACAGACCAGGTGCAGTGGCTCATGGCTGTAATCCCAGCACTTTGGAGGCTGAGGCCAGTGGATCGGATCACTTGAAGTCAGGAGTTTGAGATCAGCCTGGCAAACATGGTGAAGCCCCGTCTACTAAAAATATAAGAATTAGCCAGCTGTGGTGGCACACATCTGTAATCCCAGCTGCTCAGGAGGCTGAGGCAGGAGACTCGTCTGAATCTGGGAGGCAGAAGTTGCAGTGAGCTGAGATCACGCCACTGCACTCCAGCGTGGGCAACAGAGTGAGACCCTGTCTCAAAAAAAAGAGTATAAAGCAAGCAAGTAGAAGAGGGGAGACCATTGGAAATTGATAAATTGATGGGACTGACTAGCGGAACACTGCACTGAAAGGCCATTTGCTGGTGTGGAAGAGTTAATATAATAGGTATAAAGATTCTCAAGATAAGCTTAAAAAATGGCAATTATTAAATTCAGGGAAAAGAAACAAGAATAAACACTTTCATAGCACACTGCAATGCTTGCTGTGATTAATATTTGCATGGGAATATAATGCAAATACTGAATAGTTAATCAAAAAATATAATGTATTATAAAGTCATAAAGAGAAAGTACAGTCCTAGGAGAGCTAGACCATCATTTACCCATTGTAGGAAGTCAATAATGAATCAAAAAACAGCAGAATTCTGTTTAGAGCTGTGTTATCCAATATGATTGTCACTAGCTTCAATAGCCATATGTGACTACTGAGCACTAGAAATGTGGCTGGTCCAAATTGAGATATGTTGTTCGTGTGTACTACTCACTGAATTTTGAAGATTTAGTAAAGAAGAAAAAAAAAGAACATAAAATATCTCATTAAGAATTTTTACCTGGGCACAGTGGCTCATGCCTGTAATCCCAGCACTTTGGCAGGCTGAGGCAGAAGGATTGCTTAAGCCCAAGATTTCGAGACCATCCTGGGCAACAAAGTGAGATCCTGTACCTACAAAAAATAAAAAAAAAATAGCAGGACCTGGTGGCATGTGCCTATAGTCTCAGCTGCATGGGAGGCTGAGGCTGGAGGATTGCTTGAGCCCAGGATTGCAGTGAGACATGTTCATGCCACTGCACTCCAGCCTGGGCAGCAAAATGAAACCTTGTCTCAAAAAAAAAAAAAAAAAAAAAAAAGAATATTTATATTGATTACATGTTGCAATGATATATTTTGAATGTATTAGATTGAATAAAAGATTTTATTAAAGTTCATTTTACCTATTTCTTTTTTCTTTTTTTTTTTTCAGACAGAGACTCACTCTGTCACCCAGGCTGGAGTACAGTGCCACAATCTTGGCTCACTGTAATCTCTGCCTCCTGGGTTCAAACTATTCTTGTGCCTCAGCCACCTGAGTAGCTGGGATTATAGGCGTGCACCACCACGCTTGGCTAATTTTTGTATTTTCTGTAGAGATGGGGTTTCGCCATGATGGCCAGGCTGGTCTCAAATTCCTGGCCTCGACTGATCTGCTAGGCTCTGCCTCCCAAAGTTCTGGGATTACAGACGTGAGCCACCATTCCTGGACCTATTTCTTTTAATTATTTTAAATGTGGCTACCAGAAAATTTAAAATTACATATGTGGCTTGTATTATACTTCTATATTTTGTATTTGCCAAAAAATTCATTTAAATAAATAAAATCACATGTGTCCCAGAAACAACAGTACTGGTTTAGAAATAAGGTGATGAGTAAATGCCAGAAGATATCACAGCTAAGATAGTGAGACAAGAGTGTTTCTGGGGAAGGAACCAGGGAACTGGGGAGGAGAACAGGGAATTATGATATTTCATTTTAAGAATCTTAATGTCATTTGACTTTTAAAATAAGTTCCCGTATATGACTATGAAATACAATGTAATTAAAATATATTTATGACTGGTTTCCTGATCTTTTTAAGGAACTACATAATACTTTACGATGTGAAGTTACCATGATTGCTATAATCAGTCTCTCTTTTTGATGGATACTTAAATTGTTTCCAGATTTTTTTGCTATTTCAAATATTGCTTTAATGAATATCTCTGAATATGGATCTATGCCATATTAAATCTGCAAGATAAATATCCAGAAGTGAGATTTCTGGGACAAAGGGTATGTGCATTTACAGTTTTGATAGGTCTATCAAATTTCTCTTATGAGAAATTGCACTGGTTTATACTCCCACAAACAATAGATGCTTCTCCACGCTTTGATCAACATTGAATATTATTCATTTTTTAGTCCTCACTCTTTTACTGTTATTCGTGGATATTGAGCATCACGTGTATAGTGTCCCCTTTATGTTGATGTCCTTTGTTTTTCTTTGGCCTGCTGTCTTTCTAAATGATTTGTAAGAGTGGATAGATAATTTCTTAGTGAATCCTGAGGGCTGTTGTAAATGTCAAAAAATGTTTGTTCTCCTAAAGAAAGACAAATCCAGGAGCGTCTGTTGAGGACATAGGTGAGAATGCTAATGTTGGCCACATTTCACATTTGGCAAAAAAAAAAAAGTCATTTAAATACATAGGACTACATGTGTCCCAGAAATAAAAACAACCAACCAATCCTGCTAAAACCCCAGCAAATTATTAGGGTGATAAAAATTGTTTTGAGGGAGAAAGTAATTTTGTGGCAAGAAGCAAATTGATTTTTAGTTTTTTAGATCTGTTACCTCTTTCCTGACCCACTGTTTAATTTCATTCTTAGTTTCCATAATTTGTCTTCAACCCCAACCTTATAAAAGTGCTGTCTCTTCCAGTTTGAATATTTACACACATGCATCCTCATTTTTATAAAAACTAAGAAATGGTTTTCCCACTCCATGTTATTCTTTCCCTTTACTCCCTAGCAGTCTTCAGGAGCAGCAGCTGCTTCCAAGACAGGGTTTGGGCAGTTGAAGATATTCCTGGTCGGCTGAGGATGCATGCAGGTGTTAGCAGTCCTTAGCATTCTGTCAAGGGAAAGAGTGGTTTCTGATATAGCAGTAGCTAGGGATAACTTACTTAGATAACTTCTCTTTCCCGTACATTAGTAGTAAGATAACTTCGTAAAAGTAAAGAAGAGAAATGTGCCATAGGGTGGAGAGATATGTGATGGATGTTTGTAACTTACACCTATCAACACAGATAGGTAATAACTAAGAATCCAAAAATAAACCTCTCTCCATTGTTTGTAGAAACACAGGACCAGAAAGCCGCATATAATGTCACAGAGTACATATCTTTGTCACTAGGGAGGTTTCCCCTCCACACTACCCCAGACAGTGGGTTGGGCATCCTCCTGCTCTTAAATGTCTCTAGGGGAGGAAGAGCTCCATCACCATTTTCAGAAAACCACTTGGGTGCCAAACTCTCCTGCAAGTCAGAAGGTTCTTGTTTCATTTAGTTGAGATTATTTGCTCTTGTATCCTATTGTGAACATGGAAAGAGACCTGACCGCTATTCATAACCTAATAGTCTTCCACTGGCTTCTTTTATCACTTCTATGCTGTTTCTTCAAACTAAAATAATCCTCTTCAGTGACGCATTTTTTCCCCTCTACATTCGTGAATGATGTCAAAGCGCTGTTCTGACTTATCTCTCCATATGACACCCAAATTATCCTCCTTTGGTGTTGAAATTAGCAATGGAACATTAATTATTTTAACATAATTGGTGGTAGAAATGGACGGTGATGATGTTGTTCTGTCATAACTACAAAACTTTATTTTTTGTCTCTCCTGCTTCCAACCTCCAATCTTCAGCTCCAGCCATTAGGACAAAAGTACCACCTGTTTAAAGGCCTTACAATATAAATTCAACAGAATTTATGAGTGGAGGTCAGGTGTGGTATCTCACACTTGTAATCCCAGCACTTTGGGAAGCCAAGGCGGGCAGATCACTTGAGGTCAGGAGTTCAAGACCAGCCTGGCCAACATGGTGAAACCCTGTCTCTACTGAAAATACAAAAATTAGCCTGGTGTGGTGGCGGGTGCCTGTAATCCCAGCTACTCGGGAGGCTGAGACAGGAGAATTGCTTGAACCTGGAAAGCAGAGGTTGTGGTGAGCTGGAATCGCACCATTGCACTCCAGCCTTGGTGACACAGTGAGACTCCATCTCAAAAACAAACAAACAAAACACAAAATTTATGAGTGAGTGCTGGCATTGTGCCAGAATCTTTTTTCTTATAGAACCCTCAGAGATAGAAAATTCCATTTTTTTTTTTTTTGAGGCAGAGTCTTGCTCTGTCCCCCAGGCTGGAGTGCAGTGGCTCAATCTCGGCTCACTGCAAGCTCTGCCGCCTGGGTTCACGTCATTCTCCTGCCTCAGCCTCCCGAGCAGCTGAGACTACAGGCGCCTGCCACCACGCCCAGCTAATTTTTCATATTTTTAGTAGAGATGGGGTTTCACCGTGTTAGCCAGGATGGTCTTGATCTCTTGACCTCGTGATCCACCCGCCTCGGCCTCCCAAAGTGCTGGGATTACAGGCATGAGCCACTGCACCCGGCCAGAACATTCCATTGTTAAAGCAGCATTCTGTGAAGGTCTGTGAATCCAGCCACCAGAATGTTGATGTGATGTCAGGTAGAACTCATCCAGACTTGCAGAGGAGCCACTATTCCTAACCTCCGAAGGCAACATGAAAGATCATGGGGGATTGAAGAAGCATATGCCGTGGAATTAGAACTTGATATAATTTACTCTGCAGTTAACTTCCACATAATTATCTATAATACATTATTAATGATTTGCAGTAGGGTACTGATACCAAGTTCCTATTCTTCCTTGACTATGGCACTGGTGAACCAAATTCTTGCTCAAAGATAGTTATGAGAATTGCCTCCTTTTCCTCCTGGCTCAAATCTCTTCTTGCATTTCTGTGTTTATGCTGCCCTGTTCTTGTGCTGTGCTAGTCAGGGTTGGGGCAGCCAAGTTCTTGAATGAAAAATCTCATTCTCACCCTTTCGAAGTTTTTTTTAGAGTTTTTGCCAGCTGCATTACTAAAGAGACAGCCTCTCATCAAAGGAGTGTGCAGTAAGCCAAATGTTTGTCCCTTGTTACTGAGAAAGGACTCCTCCTTCTCTCTTTATTTACATGCTTGTTCTGTTCTGTTCTCTTTCCCTCCAGCAATCTGATGCTGTGTTTTGTCTATTCCTTGGCTGGAAAGATGCTTCCTGGTTTCTTCCCCCCTTTTTCTTAAGAACGAATGTTGGCCCCCTATTTATAGAACATGCTCAACAGAAAAAATTTGGAAAACACCAAAAAGCACAAGGGAAAAACTATTCATAATCTTAGTACCTGGAAGTCACCACTATTATTATTTTAGCATGTCTATATTTATCCATTCATTTATCTATCTAATCTTTCTAGGCATTTTAAAATTTATTTTATGAAAGAGCTATCATACCATGCTTCCTATTCTACACATTTTTTTTTTTTTTTTTTTGAGACGGAGTCTCACTCTGTTGCCCAGGCTGGATTGCAGTGGTGCCATCTCAGCTCACTGCAACCTCCGCCTCGGGGGTTCAAACGATTCTCTGGCCTCAGCCTCCCAAGTAGCTGGGATTACAGGTGTGTGCCACCACGCCCTGCTAATTTTTGTATTTTTTAGTAGAGACGAGGTTTCACCATGTTGGCCAGGCTGGTCTTGAACTCCTGACCTCAGGTGATGCGCCAACCTTGGCCTCCCAAAGTGCTGGAATTACAGGCGTGAGCCACCGCGCCCAGCATGTTCTATACATTTTTAAATTTGGCAATATGTTAAATTCATCTCTCCATATTTTGATGTCGAGAACATTTTCTGCAACACTATTTTATTAAGCTTAATAGATTTTATTAGCTCAATTTTATAAATGTAGATTATTTTTATTTTTCTATCATATAATATTGCAGTGAGTATGATTGTACAGACACCGTTGCACTCATTTGACATTTTCTTCAGTATAAATTCCTAGAAGTGAAGTCGTAGGGTCAAAGGGTAGGCACATTTTAAGACTTTGGATGACATTGCCACAGTGCCCTTCTAGAAGGTGGTACCAGATTGCTTTCCCATCAGCAATCAAGGGTCCATTTCTCAGTATTACGGCCAAGACTGGGCACTTAACTTTCAAAAATTTTTGTCAACTTGATAGGTATTAAGTAGTAGCTCAGTGTTTAATATAGCATTTCTTTGCTTATGAGTCTGAATATATTTACATGCGTTTCATGGTCAGATATACTTTTTGGTGATTTGCTTCTTTAAGTTGTTGTGCTTTATCTATTTTGTTTGTCTTTTTCTTATTTTGTTGTGTTGGTAGATAAACTCCACTAACTCTGGGGCAACATGGCAGAAGTGATTATCAGCCTGGAGCCACACTGCCTGGGCCCAAATCCTACTATACCCTTAAGAGCTGTGACCCTGGGTAAGTTACTTAGCCTCTATCAGTGCATAAAACACAAGAAAAAAATCAGTAAAATTAGGTCAAATGTTACTGCTGTCATGTGGCAGCTGTGTTACTGGGGATTAGGCAAATTGTCTATTATTCTGAATTTGGCTTCCTCTTTTGAAAATAAGGATTACAATATCTACAGAAGTTACAAATTTCATTACTTTATGAAATCCAAGAGGAATATGAAGACTGTATACATATACAGTCTTAACTCAGTAGCTCTCAAATTTTAATGTACACAAGAATCCAAGAATCACCTAGAGTGCTTTTAAAAATACAGATTCTTGGGATCTACTTTCAGAAATTCCTATTCAAAGAGGGTGAAATGGGGTCCAGAGATGTATAGTTTAGAAAGAAGAGAACCACAGATAAATAGTGGTTTTTGTATCAGTCAACCATATCTCATAACTATTTGGAATATAGAAATTCTGCTCAGAGCTAATACAACAAGGCACTCCTGTTAGTTGTTCTAAGGCACTATTCTTATACGGAACAGTTCTCCTAGGTTAATCACCAAGCCTATTTAGTTTGTTTAAATTGAGGAAGAAGAAACTGGTGTTCTGGCTGAGTTGGAAAAGCAAATCTTTTATTGAATAAGATGTTGCTGTCAGTATCTATGATGTTGAAGGAATAAATTTTTTTAGTCTTTTGCGAGGACCCACATTTTATTCAAAAGTAATTAAGAGTTTCTCTGATGTTTTGTTCTTTGTTTATTGCTGCTTCAAGTAAGTTCTTATCTGAAATTCTCTCTTTTCCACATGGTTTAAGCCTACAAATTTGGGTAGTTTTAAAAGAAATTAAGTATTTCTTATTATCAGGTTATATTATAAAGTATATAAATCACTACATCTTCAGTTTGGTTGAGAAGACAGGCTTTGCATTTATATCTAGGACATATTTATTCTAGTGGCATTAAGTAGACATGAACTGAGTACCTGTGAAAATGATTGAGTACTTGGTTTTAATTATTTATGTGGTCTTACTTATGTGCTATATTAGACTACAGTTTTCCTGTTAGAGAACTGATCTTCTCATATATGGTAGGTTGGGTTTATCTTCCCTATACCCGTCCCATAGTTTCAAACATCAAATAAAAGTTATCACCATTTCTAAGATTATGGATTTTATTGTAGTTTTTGGAAAGCAGCCCCAAGTACATGCTGGCAGCAGAAGTTTTTTGCCCTGGTGGGGCCTCATGAAAGAGAATTTTCATTTACTTCAAAAGACATCTTTAAAAAATCTCCAAATACAATGTACCTTAATGCATACAAGCTGGAAAGCAGGATGTAGAAGAAGCTGTGAAATCAATCACTAGCATAGTGCCCAGGTGTAGAAGGACTGGAACAACTGAGACTGTTACTGATGAATTGATTCAGATACTATACCAAGTAGATGCCTAGATGGTGCAATTCCAGGTTCCCAAATAATTCTCAGGTCAAGTGTCTTAGAGCCTAAAATTTACCCTTAGAGAAGACTTTTCCTCATTACATGGACCTGTTTCACAATTCCAAGAGATGGTTTAATTAGTCTCTAATTCTTTGGTTTATCAGAAGGATTTCTGCCCAGATAAGACCAACAAGGAGAAAGGTAGTGAAAGATGAAGAGCTGAAGAGAAGAAAGAGCCCCCTGAAAGTATGAGAAGACCATGCGGGGCTTGACAAGTTTCTCCCAGCCAGACTTTTAGGAGTTTCTGTCTCCTCCTCTTGTGTCACTTGACTCTGCTATTCTGTGTCCCCTGAACCAGATGGTCATTTACGAAAGGTTTTCTGAATTCCTAGACGAATTTTTCACAGATTGGTTAAGCTTCTGCTTCCTCTCTGGGCATGTGCAGGTTCTCGTTTTCATCTGGGTCACTTGGAAACTTTGAGGAACATTCTGTGCAGGAAAGCAGGTGTGATGATGATGATGGTGATGATGGTGATGATGATGCTTTTTGAATCACACCCTGTTTGATACAGAAAAACTTGGGGACACTCCACCCACGATGACATGACATTGAATGTAATACCATGGTCAATTGGCCTCCACCCTCATTTCAACTCTACTTCTTTGGTAGGGGCTGGGAAATGACTTCTTTCTGATCATTTGACACTTGGTCAGTTCATTTGTAAGTTTGTTGCCTAAACATCTAGTAAGTACAAAAGTTTTAAAATTTAAAATATTATTTTTCAATAGCCTTACAGTATTATACTTCTGCACTTTACAGCATTAAAATATTTGGACTCCATTTACCCTACTACAGTATAGTTTAGTTGTAAGTTTGCCCTGAGACCAGATAGAAAGTTATTGTCCACATGGGAGGTGGTGGAGACTTGGTGGTGGAGTCAGAGAGAAGTAGATAAATCTGAAAGTTATTTACAAGTTTAAAACCAACAGGATGCCAGGTGCAGTGGCTCATGCCTGTAATCCCAGCACCTTGGGAGGCCAAGGTGGGCAATTGCTTGAGCCCAGGAGTTTAAGACCAACCTGGGCCACATGGCGAAACTCCGTCTCTGCAAAAAAATACAAAACTTAGCTAGGTGTGGTGGTGCGCACCTGGAGTCCCAGCTACTTGGCAGGCTGAGGTGGGAGGATGGCTTGAGCCCAGGAGGCAGAGGTTGCAGTGAGCCGAGATTGCACCACTGCACTCCAGCCTGGGGGACAGAGCCAGACTCTGTACAAAAAAATTGTAATCTGATGTTTTCCTTAGAATTTAAACCCTTCCCTGGCATTTTCCTTCCTTTCTTCATTCCTTTCTTCCTCTCATTCCCTAGCACTCACTGCACCACAGGCACTTTCCTTAAGAAACTCCTAGTTGGGGTGGGGATGTTGGGAGTGAGTCTAACTGGTTTATTATGATTGATTGAATAGCGTAGAGGGCTGTTGAAGCAAAGCAGAGGTGACCCAACACCAACAATTCTCTCTTCCCTCTCACAAGTGTAACACTAACCTTTAATTTGTTATTTTCACCTAAAAGTCCCATTTCTCAAACACTATCATACCCTATACCAGGTGCTTCATTCCCCCCTTCACTCTCATCAAAAAATCTTCATGAATCGCTTGAGTGGTTTGTTACTATCTCAATCTGCCATTTCATTTCCTTGGCCACTTCCCCAGATGCTTTGGGGTCTTCTCCTGCTTCTTCTGCTCTCTTCTTAAGGAGCCTTAGTGACCACGCAGCAGAGGCTTCTATTATTCCATTCCCCTGGAGACCTCTTCAGTTCTAATGATCCTCTTTTTCATTGCTGCCTCTCACACCAACAGCCCCATCTTGGACTTTGCCATCTAGCAGGGGTGCTTCACCCTGCTGACTCCACCCTGATCACAGCTTCGTTACTCCCTTTTTCATTACATCACTCTTGGATCTCCCTGGGTTCTCCAGTTCCTTCCACTTCCCTGGATTTCAAATGGATTAATCCTCTTTTGATTTCATTTTCTTTCCTGGGCATACATAGACCTTATTTTGTAGCCATCTGGGGCATGTGTGTGTGTGTATGTGTGTGTGTGTGTAGGAATGTGTGCTACATTTAATTTGTTTTATATTACTTATTTTTATTGATAAGGAATGTATACACCTTAAAATGCACAAGTCTTAGATGTACAGCCTAAAGAAGTTTTACATATTTATCACCTGTGTAACCACTACCCAAATCAAGATCTAGAACATTTCCATTACTCCATGCAACTCTGTCTAGCTCATTTCCAGTCAATAACTGCCCTCCACATGTAACCACTGTCATAATTTCTAATAGCAGCTATTAGATTTTGCCTATTCTTGAGTTTCCTAAGAAGTGAGAAACCTCTGCTCCATAGAAATCAAGATGTGAAGAAATTACATGTTACTGCTCTTCACATGGTGGGAACTGGGCTTTGAAATGTGTTCATTAGCTACACTTGCATAGACATACATGGCTATTATAATAAAGGGGAGGAAATCCCTTTCCCCATGTCACTGAGATATTTGTCCTTTTCTCCGAGTTGTGAGTCCCTAGAGCCTCACCTCTATCCCTCTTGATATCTTGTGCCATTTAGCTCAATGTCTTGATGCTTATATCCTTCTTGCCTCCCCTTGCACCCACCCCCACCCCCACCTCCCTGCCATGCAGCTCCAGAAAAGGGAAATAGTCCTTCTGTGTCTTTCTCTGACTCTTCCCTTACTCACAGAGTAATGTAGCTGGGCCCAAGCAAAGACAACTATGCAAACAGCCACTGTGAAAACACCACCACATGGCTGTAGGGCAAGCATGCTCTACCTTGATTTGAGCACAGAAGGAAGCATAGTTTGCTGTAAGTTTTTACTTTGCATACTCCTTTAAGCCTTCCAGTACAATAATGTACAAGGTATTATTGGTCTAGTTTGTTCATACCTACGTTGTATGAAAGAGAAGAAACAATGTCAGGATCCAAAGGTGGAGCCAACCACATTTGTTGTTTGTTTCAAACTGTTTGTAGTTTCCAGATGACTTGCTTTTGTGTTCCCAGAAATCCATCCTGGGTCCTCTCTTCTCCCTCCCCTCACTCTCCCTGGGGAATTGCATCATCATCTCCTGTGGTTTCAGCCATTACTTTGTATTCTCCATGGGTGTGACTTCCGAATATGTTTATCTCAACCCAACCTTGGACTGAGACCTTGACCCTAGTCCACCCTTCCTTGATCTCCCCACTTGCATGTCCTCTAGGCATCTCCAAGTCAACAGGTCCCAAACTGGACTCAGACTCTGCTCACCCTCTGTAGTCTATGTATGGATGAGGCAATGTCTCTCCTCAGCCTTGCCAGTGAGTTCTGCCTAATTCTCCTTGATCTGTTCCTTTCCCGCCACTTGCATGGTCACTGCCCTAGTTTACACCCTCATAACCTGCCAGATCTTGCCTTAAATCCTTTCTGTTTATTCCCCTCCATCTATTCTGCTCCCATTGCTGGCAGTGGGGGTGGGGGTAAGAAGGGAGATCTTTCTGACACAAGATCTGTTCATATCAGTCTCTGAGTCATAATACTTCAGTGGGGTTGAGGGGTAGGGAAGACGTTGGTCAAAGGCTACAAAATTTCAGTTACGAGGAATAAGTTCAAGAAATCTCTTGTACAACATGGTGGCTATAGTCATTAACATAGGTTCTTAAAAATCTCTAAGAGAGTCGATTTTAAATGTTCTCCCCACAAAAATATGTGAGTTAATGCATATGTTAATTAGCTCAATTTAGCCATTCCACATTGTATACATATTTCAAAGCATCATGTTATACATAATAAATATATACAATTTTTGTCAATTAAGAAGAAATTAATTGAACAAAACAAAACAAAAACCTCAAATTGCTTCAGTGGTTCCCCATTTCAAGCTGTTAATCTGGCATGCAATCCTTTCATAATCTGGCCTCTGCCTACTTGATCAGACTTACCACCTGGCCACTGTGTCTTGAAACTTTGAGTGTTAGTAATGCTGAACTATCAGACATTCGTATGTCTGATACTAATACGTTGTATGCTATGCCCTTGTGCTACTGTTTACTTTTCCTGAAGTGCCCTCTTCCTATCTACCTGGGAAGAGTGGTACAGCCTCAATGCTACCTCCTTTGTGAGTCTTCCCTGCCTCCCTCTCCCTTAAGCATAGGCTCCTCAGTCCTACAGACACAAGGTAATGAATTCTGCAAACAACATGAG
This sequence comes from Homo sapiens, assembly GCF_000001405.40. Taxonomy (NCBI): domain Eukaryota; kingdom Metazoa; phylum Chordata; class Mammalia; order Primates; family Hominidae; genus Homo; species Homo sapiens. The sequence continues at coordinate 22,681,233 of NC_000007.14, read as the reverse complement.
TGAGTTTAAAAGCAGCTCCACGGAGCAAGTGTCTTCCTGTACTGTAATTGCCTGCGTTCACTGTCTCTTTCTCAGCTATAAGTTCCCAGAGGTCAGAGTCTCTCATTTAGCTTTGAACAGAGAGATGCTCAGTATCCATTTGTTCAATGGAAGAATGAATAAATAGAAAGAATGTAGCATTGGGCTGGGTACTTCCCAAAAGTAGGACACCGTTTTTACCCTCTTTAGACTTATCTGTGGAAAGAATGATGAAAGCCAGCAAGGTAAGAGACCAGCAGTAAACAGCTACTCTTTGGGAATACTTGGCTCCATTGAATGTGTGGTAGGGTATGATTCCAGGAAACTACCTTCTCTTTCTGATTAATTGGTGGAGCTATGACAACTGGCGGGGCTGGGGCTTCAGGTACTGGGGCCAGGGTGTTAGTGAGGAAGACTGTTAATAGGGTGGGGATGGTTTTTCCAGGAATTTGGGTGTGTTTTTGGAAGACTCCTGTGCATGAGTAGAATGTTGCTAGGAAGGTGCTTATGGCAGATTTGCCCACGCAGTGACAAGTTGTCAGGAGAGGAGTGAGATAAGCAGTGCGATGGTGAGATAATTCAGGGCTCACTGACAGGCATAATCCACGTTGCTTGGGCTGAGTTCCCTTCAAGTGTGCTCAGATATTCCACCCTTGAGGATCACATCTCATTCATCTATCTTATCTTAAGGGCTGACCTATCGTAATTGTCAAATAACTGATTTCTTCTCCCAGCACCACTGAGACAGAAATTAAGTTAGGGGAAGCTGAATATGTGTACACACACACACACACACACACACACACACACACACAGTCACACACACACGATCATTCACAAGCTCATGGTATTTCAACTGAGAAGAAATGTAGGTCACAGTTTTTGAGACCATATTGGGAGAGGTCATTTGATATCATCTGTAAGGTTTTCATTATTCTCTTCTGGGGTAGAGGCAGATTAATGTGTAAGTGCACACACATCTTCAAACATACATGTGCTCAGCTATATAAAACACAAAGTTTGCAAATTTCCTGATGGCATTATTAGGTCCTTATAAAAGAAGTAATTGAGGGCCAGGCGCAGTGGCTCACGCCTGTAATCTCAGCACTTTGGGAGGCCGAGGCAGGCAGATCACTTGAGGTCAGTAGTTTGAGACTAGTCTGGCCAACATGGGAAAACGCCGTCTGTACTAAAAATACAAAAAATTAGCCAGACATCGTGGTGTGCGCCACGATGTAATCCCAGTTACTTGGGAGGCTGAGGCATGAGAATCACTTCAACTCAGGAGGCAGAGGTTGCAGTGAGCTGAGATTGTGCCATTGCACTCCAGCCTGGGCAACAGAGTGAAACTCCATCTAAAAAAAAAAAATAGTAACTGAGGACTAGACGGGTCAAATGACTTGCCTTTGATCACAGAATAATTTTGGACAACTTACTTAGACTTTATGAGCCTTCAATCAACTGCAGATTGAAAATAATTTGGAAAAAAAGCAATGGTTTCACCTGTACTGAACATATACAGACCTTTTAATCTTGTTATTATTCCCTAAAAATATAGTATAATGACTATTTACATAGCATTTACATAGTATTAGCTATTATAAGTAATATAGAGATGATTTAAAGTATATGGGAGGATATGTATAGGCTGTATGCAAATTCTATACAATTTTATATAAGGAGCTTGAGCATCCATGGATTTTGGCATCCGACAGGGTCCAGGAATCAAGCTCCCACAGATACCAAGGGACAACTGTACTGTGATTTATTTATTCACGTTCCTACTGATAGACACAGACTATTTCCTGTTTGTTTCTTCAAGTATTGATGTACTTCATTTATTATGTATTTATATATTATGTATTTATGTTTAGTGAATATTTCTTCATCCACTTTTATGAATATATCTTCAGAATAATTTTTAGCAGTAAAATTACTGGACTAAAAGTTATTTGCATTTAAAATTTTGATAGCATGATCAGTTTTCCCACAAAGACGTTACACCAATATGAAGAAATTTTCTTTTATAGCTGCCCACAAGTGGAATGGGGGAGATTTGGAGTAAAGGTGGCAGATTGAACATACCTTTCTAGTTCTTTCTCTCTCCCCAAACCACTCAAACTAAAATAAAGACTGTTTTTAAGTGGCACAGACCCACAAGGATAGGAGAATGAGACAGGAGCTCAAGCAAAAATATTTCGAAGGTAGCAAGTGATGGACAAATGGTAACCAACTTAACACATCTGGGCAAGGTGAATGTTAAGCTGGTAGTGGGAAACGTTGTGAAATCCTTGATTTTAACTTTGAATCTTTCAAAAACTTTGGAATTGGTGGCACCAGCTACGTATCTATGGATACAGAGTAAAGAGAAGTTGAGAAGTAGTTGGAGTGCTGGGCCTCTCCTTCCAACAATTCAGCGATGCTAGAACATTGCTCCATCCTCACTTTAACCTTAGCAGAAGCCTGGAGGTTTTTTTCTCTAGAAATGATAAAACATAGTCTTTGAACTGTGGATTCAAGCATAGGTGAAGGCAGTGGCCGAGGTATTGTTCCAAAACACCCTGAGCTCTTAGACTCTGTCATGCAGGACTCCAGTTTCCAAACAGAAGAACAGAAGAGCATACCCTTCCATATCTGACCAGCCCAAGAAGAAATACTTGATGTTTCTGAGGTTGGAGGTTCCCCCAGCAAACAGCTCAGCTAGATTAACCTTCCGTGGAGCCAAAATTGGACAGCCATATTCAAAGATCAGAGCTTCCAATCAGCTTTTTAATCCCTCTATTAAAGAGTAGACAATCAAGGAATAGCAGACCACTGAGAATAGCCTCAAATGAAAGATAAAGACCAAAACATTCAAATAAACAATGGGAGAAAGCTAACTCAGAGCGGGGAAAAAGGATTATGCAAGCAGAAGAAACCTTCAAGGAAAAAAATTATTAATATTTTTATAGATAGAAAATAAAATATTTTAACTGCAAAATGAAAATTGGATGCTAGAAAACATAATTAACAAAACAAAAATAAGCTCTTGGAAATTAATAATGACATCAAAAATGAATATTTCCATAGAATGGCTGGAAGGTAATGTTGAGGAAACATCTCAGAAATTAGAAGAGAAAGAAAAGAGACAGAAAACAGGGGAAAATAAGTAAGATAAAATAATTAGAGGATCAGTACAGGAAGTACAGTATTTGAATACGAGTATTCAAAAGAGGAAACAGAGAAAACTGAAAGGAGGAAATCATCAACAAAGTAATTCAAGCACATTTCCCAGAACTAGAAGACATGAGTTTCCTGACTGAAATTGGAAACTGAATGTGGTGCTGAATGCCGACCACAATGCAAGAAAATAGACCCACACCCAACATAGCATTGTGAAATTTCAGGACACTCAGGAAGATATTAAAATCTTCAAGGAGGCCAGGCGCGGTGGCTCATGCTTGTAGTCCCACCACTTTGGGAGGCTGAGGTGGGCGGATCACCCAAGGTCAGGAGTTTGAGACCAGCCTGACCAATATGATGAAACCCCGTCCCTACTAAAAATACAAAAATTAGCCGGGCGTGGTCGTGGGCGCCTGTAATCCCAGCTACTAGGGAGACTGAGACAGGAGAATCACTTGAACCTGGGAGGCAGATGTTGCAGTGAGCTGAGATCGCACCATTACACTCCAGCCTGGGCAACAAGAGTGAAACCTGGTCTCAAAAAAAAAAAAAAAAAAAAAAGCTTCAAGGAAGACAAGACAGGTCATATACAAAGAACCAGCTACCAGAATGACTCTAGACTTCTCAGTAGCAACAAGAGAAGCTGGAATACAATTTTGAATCAAGTTATGGTAGAATAAAGACATATCTAGCCTTGAAAAGATTCAAAAAGTTTACCTCCCACACAGCCTTTCTCAGGAAGCCACTCTGGCACCACTAAAACAATGGAGAAAACCAAAGGAGAAAAAGACTGGAGATACACAAAGTGGGAGAAGGGTAAAGGGAATCTCCAGAAATGGTAAAGGAAAATTCCCAGATGGTAACTCTGCACCAGGCTTGGAGGTAATCAGTTCACATTAGGATAGGCCCAGAGGCTCTGAGAGAGGCTTCTTCAAAGAGGTGAAATGGCTTGAATATCCGATGTGTCTGAATGTCTTGAGAGGAAATTCAGACATTTGGCAGAAAATTGAGGGTTTGAATTACTGATAAATACATGAAAAACTAAGTGAAAACAAAAAGTAAGGTTCTTCAATTAATTTCAGGGAAACACAAGAGTTGTATAGAAGAGGAGAAATAATTATGATTTACCCCATGACTCAGCTCTGAATAGTGTTTATGTAGTTATAATAATGTGAACACTAAATACTGATCTAACCCAAATCAGTACATAAACTATGTTGGAATAATAAGAACATGGAGAGGGTGTGTGTATTGTGTATGCGGAATGAAATAATGAAATCTTCATCCAACATTGTGGGTGGTTAGTGGAGAATACCTAACACGGAAAAATAAAGAAATAGCAATACAAGCATGTTATTTAGAAATACAGAGGTAAATCTTTCTAAAAGAATTACCAAAGAAAATTGAAAGTGGGTGCCTCTAGGGAAGGACTTCTGCTTTTCTTAATGAATCTTACAGATTTGACTCAACTATGTGCACAGGTAACTCTGATTAAAAAAGAAAAGAGTGTGCCATCTCTGGTGTATTCTTTGTCCCTGGGATGTTTGAGAAGACCTTTTAGGAGTGTGCTATAAAGGTGATCCAAGCATCCTGAGGGTGACTGGATGAAATTCCTTAGTTTCTTCCGAGCCTGGAGGTTGATGGGCTTATGATTTTCAGTAATGAAACTATTTCCAAAGCACTTGATGTCCTATGGAACTGTGGAAAATTTCTTCCTTAAACTGAAATATAGCCCCAACTAATCTCTACTGTTGATTCTGGTTTTACTACTTGGGTCATAAAAAACAAATCCAATCCCTGTTCTTTATCAGCCCTCTTCAAGCATGATTAGACTGTTTTCATCTAAAAACCATTCCTCACACCCACTGTTATGGTTTTTGATCTCCTCACATCCTGTTCAACTTCCTGTGATTACATTCCACTTCTGAAGTGTGTGTGTGTGTGTGTGTGTGTGTGTGTGTTCAAAACAGAACATAATATTCCAGTTGTGGCGTGACCACAGGACACCTCCTTCTTGATTATAAAGCTCATCAGTCAAGAGTAGAGACTTCAGAGTCAGCCAGCCTGGGTTTAGGCCTAGCTGTTTTTTGTTTGTTTTTGGTTTTTTTGGTGAGACAGAGTCTCGCTCTGTTGCCCAGGCTGGAGTGTTAGTGGCGTGTTCTCGGCTCACTGCAACCTCCACCTCCTGGGTTCAAGCAATTCTCCTGCCTCAGCCTCCTGAGTAGCTGGGATTACAGGCACCTACCACCACGCCCGGCTAATTTAGTAGAGATGAGGCATCACCATATTGCCCAGGCTGGTCTCAAACTCCTGAGCTCAGGCAATCCACCCACCTCGGCCTCCCAAAGTGCTGGGATTACAAGCATGAGCCACCGCACCTGGCCTAGACCCAGCTTTGATACTTCCTGGCTGTGTGACTTGGAATGAGTTATACAACCTCATTGTCCTTCAGTTTCTTTGTTGATAAAACAGGAACAATGTCAGTATCTTCCTCGTGAGATTGTTTTGAGGATTTAGCAATATGATAAATGCCCAGCACTTAGAACAGAGGATGTCAAATAGTAGATGTTTAAAGAGTGTTAGCTATTAATTTTTTTCCTAGAATTTTCTATCAGTGTAGCTCAAGAAACCTATGAATATTTTTGACTGCTTGTTTCAATTAATCAATAAAGCAATCAATTAAACAGCAAACATTTGTTGAGTGCCTCTCTGTGCCAGATGCTGAGAAGAAGGGGAATAAGACCCCTTATCTGGAGGAGTTGATAAGTTGAGTTAGTTAAGAACTAACATCCTTTATATTTGTTTTATTGTCTCTTTTTGAAAAAAAAAAAACATTTTAATCAAAGGTATACATGCACATCATTTAAAAAGGCATGGTGCTTCATGTCTGTTATTCCAGTGACTCTGGAGGCTAAGGTGGGAGGATTGCTTGAGGCCAGGAGTTTGTGACCAACCTGGGCAACATAGTGAGATCTCATCCCTAAAAATAAAAAATATATTAGCTGGGCTTGGTGGCTCATGCCTGCAGTCCTAGCTACTTGGGAGGCTGAGGCAAAAGGATTGCTTGAGCCGAGGAGTTCAAGGCTGCAGTGAGCTGTGATCACTCCACTGTACTTCAGCCTGGGCAACACAGTGAGACTTTGTCTCTAAAAGAATTTTTTTTTTTTAATTTTAGTTTTTGAAAAAGTTAAGCCAGGCATAGTGGCTCATGCCTGTAACCCCAACACTTCGGGAGGCTGAGGCAGGAGACTTGTTTGAGCCCAGGAGTTTGAGACCAGCCTGGGCAAGATGGCAAGACCCTGTTTCTATAAAAATAATAAATAAATAAATAAAAATAAAAGTATTGTTAAATAGTATTAAAGAAATTACAATGGTTCCCTGTATCACTCTTCACACTCTTTCGTTGCTTCTTCCTAGAGGCAACTACTTTTGATTCTTTTAGCCATTTCTTCTTGCATATACATCTCAGTACTTCTAAATGATATGCCTAGATATACTGTTTGCAATGGTGACTTTTAGACATAATCATCTGTTATGATAGATGAACATCCAACTCTTATACTATCCTTCCTTATTGTTCCCATGCCCCACCCTCCCAAGATAATACAATTTTTGATTAAACTTCTGTATTTACCTAACTTTTTATGCAAATACAATTTCCAGTTGAGCACTGTGAACTATGGTTGCCTTTTCTAGTTTTTCCTGAAATTGTTGCCTTTTTTCCTATTTGCCTAATTTTCTTTGTACCTCTTCTAGCAGACGCACCTTCTAATAGACACCAACATTGGATGGTTTATCACTTTCTTTTTTTCTCTTAGGATAGCCCACTCCCCACCCCACCCCCGATCCCTTTCCTCTTCTGAGTTGAATGCTCTCCAGGCTGTTGCAGAGCTGTCATCTATCTTGAGTCTTTCCTTCACTGTGGACCTTGGAATTCTCTAGATTTTTCTCCCAAGTTGGATTCCTCATCTCTTCTTTTTTGGTTTACTCTCTTATTTTGGGGGAGAACATCCTCCAGTAATCAGGTTAAAAAGGATCTTCCCTTAGTCCCCAGTGTTGTGAAATTTCACAATAATCTGCCTGGATTATTCTGGGCCCTCAGTGGCCCCTTCAGGAAATCTGGAAACTTAAGTCTTTCACTTCTGAGAAATTTGCTTGAATAATTTTACTGACGATTTCCTCTCGTTGGCTTTCTTCTCCCTTGTTTGGAAACTCTTGTTAATCAGATATTCAGACCCCTGGATTGGTTCTCTAATATCTTCATTTTCTTGTTTTTGTTTTCCCCTCTGTCATTTTACTCACCTTTCTAGAATGCCTCAATTCTATTTTCTGGTCCTAGGTTCCTTTTTATAGTTTCCTACTCTTGTTTCAAAGGTATGTCATTGTCTCTTATTTCCCTGAGGGTATTCATGATACTTTTAAAGTTTTAGTCACTGTGTATTTTATTTCCTCCGAATTGCTTTTATCTATTTGTTTTGTTCTCCAGTTTTCTTGCCCTGGGCTTTCCTTAGACATCTGGCACCCTTGGATGTTTGTTCAGGATTAGAGGACTAAAAAGTGGATTGGATGCTCTCAACTTGCAGGCAAGGCTTGTTGACTTTGAGCTTCACTGTAGGGTGAGCTGGAAGCACTGTTTGTTTTAGGAAACTTTTTTGCTTCAGTATTTTCTGACCTTTTTTCATGGACTGGTCAGATTCCTCAGAAAGAAACCTTTCTAATCTCCTGCCAAGGTTACAAGTATGCTGTCACTGTTCTGATGGCCAATTGGGGAAACAGAGCTGGGGAAGAAGGGCTGCGGGTCTCACCATTTTATGGTTTGTGTTACTGTTCTCAAATCAACCGCTGTGCCAATTGACCTCCGGTCAGGAAGGATTCCTTCAAAGAATAAACCTGCCATCTTGTATGGGGGAGGGGAAGAGGACATACTCAGTGATGTGGAGCAGAGAGGGGAATGAAGGCTCTGATTGCTTCTCACACAGCTTTTACCCAGCCCATCCTAGATTGGTTTCTTTCACCGTAACCTTCAGTTTCAGAAGCACTATCTGAAACTGCCAGTTCCTGAGCCTGTTGAGGACTCTGCATTGTAAATTTTGTTGGTTTTCTGGTTTTGCCACTGTTGGCTGAGACCTCGACATTCTATGATGTGCTAAATTATGTCAGCCCTAACTACATTTGAGCTGCATTGTGTATCAGGATTATATTTCTCTCTCTTTCTCTCATTCTGTTTTCTTTATTCTCTCCTTCTGGGTATTGGCCTTCCTGGATGGATCCTGTTTTTAAAAAAATCTTCTTTCCCTTTTCAATCTCTTTGTCTCTATCTTATACTTCCTGTGAGATTTCCTCAAGTTTATTATTTAACCCTTTCATTGAGCTTTTAATCTCTGCTATCACATTTAGAATTCCCAAGAGCTCTCTTTTTAAAAATGATGTCTTGTTTCATGAATATATCTTCTATCTCTCTGAGGACATTAATATTACCTGAAAACATTTTTTTATCTCCTTGTTTATTTCTTCTGAATTTCTTATTTCTGTTAGTTTCCTTCAAGAGAGTTGCTTTTCACAAATATCTTGGCCACTTATTTATTTTTGTTTTTTAGTTATTTTTTACAGATGGGAGTCTCACTTTGTTGCCCAGGCTGGACTCAAACTCCTGGGCTCAAGGAATGTTCCCACCTCAGCCTCCCTAGTAGCTGGGATTACCAGCTTGTGCCACCCCACCCAGCACTGGTCACTTATTTTTAAGGGAGAGGCACTAAAATGTTGATTGGAAGCCTTATTTAGGGGGATTTCATTAGCTGCTGGGCTTCTCTGAAGGGTGATCTGGCAGGTCTCCCATTTTTTTCCATTGGAAGAACTTTAAATGTGCAAAGGCAGGTTTCCCTTTGATATTTAGTTTCCCCTGAGGGGAGTTGTCTAATCTCTTGCCTAAAGGACAGAAACTTGCCTTCCAAGCATTCTGAAGCTGAGCCTCCAAAAGGTTGACAACATGGGCAATATTGGTGTGGATGTGTGTGGACATGTTTCCTCATTCCAGTTTGACCCTATCCCCTAATCCTGTTTTTTGCTGGTATTGCACTCTGCCCACTCTGGTGGCTGGAGTCCTACAGGCAGACTGCCTTGGCTGCTTAGTGTTATTTTTTCTTAAAATTTGTTTTTGTAATGTCCTTTAAGTAGGTTTGGAGGAAATAAACACACATCTTTAACTCTTCAAGTAAAACTAGAAGTCTTGCTTTTATAATGATTCATATCTGCTTGGCCAAATCATGCCTTTCTGAACTTGGGTAATTGTTTACATGGAGCTTCACTTCCCTGCATCTTTTTCATCAGACAAAGCATACTGGAATTTTGATTCTCTCATTTAATATACAAATAAGAGTATTTTGGTGCTGGCTTTCAAGAAGTTGGGCTAGGCTTCCTCAGGATTCTGGAATGTGGGTCAATATATCAACTTCTGCAGGACAGCTGTGGGCAAGAGAAAGAAGGCTGATACATGGAGCAAGTGCACTTGCTGTGTGTGTGAGGGTGAGAGAGGGACATGGATGTGATGCGACCCGAACTGACTTGTATGCTGAAATAACAGCATGCACTCATCCTCAACATGGCACCCCTGCTCTGCTTGGGCACCTCTGGGAAGCTGCACTGATGCCCTTGAGTCACGCTTTGCTCTGCATTTGCATATCCAGATTGCCAGGTCCTCTCCTCCCGAGCAGAGTTTCTTGAGAAAGCCCAGGTGGTGCAGCATGGCCTTTTTGAAGGCTTGCCTGCAACTCCTGCTCCAACAAGAGGTCATAGCCTAATTAAGATAGTGTGGCCAGTGGTAAATCTCAATTCTAACTGGTGAGAACCATTGTTATTACGTTTGAGTGGGAATATAATTTTATTAAAAGCTTAAAAACAAACAAAACTCAAAGAATGAATGATTTCCAAGTTGTATTTAGAAAATTTAGAACTTAATGAATGGTTGCCTTGGAAGTCTTTCGTACCTAGCCACTAAGCAAGAAATACCCATAAAACAGTACTTTGCCAGCTTATCCTAAATTACATCATGATTTTGAAAGTAATAAAAATATTTTTAAAAACTTCTATAAATTACTTAAAGTATAAAGGGGGCTGCTTCCCCAAAGGCTTGGGCAGGGCAGCTCGTCTGCAGATGGGCCCAGGGGTGTAGCAGCACTTCTTATGGAAAAAAAAAAAAGTATAAAGTGGGTTTTCATGAATTCAGACTGGCTGTCATCCTATTAGTTCAAAATGACCCATATTTTCAAGCAGATTGTAAGGTTTTCTTTTGAATTATCTAAGGACACTTTAATGGAACATGAGGAATTTGCTTGCTGTTCTAATCTGGAGCCCAGGAAGCTGGTTTGATGTCAGGGCCAAGCTGTGGAATGGGGTGGGATAGTGCTCTGGTTAAGGTTGGCATTCAGTCCTCAGCTGTCTGTCCTATCCATGTGTTTGCCAGTCTCCATCTACAGGGCAGGAGGGAAGGGGAAGCCAACTTGTTCTGGCCTTGGGTGTATTAGAAAACATCTGCTAAGAGAAGCGTTTTTAATTAGGAGTAGAATACCCCTGCTAACCAGAAGTGGTGTAGATGGAATGTGGAATTTTTATAACAATTCTTAAGAAGTTCTTAAGCTAATATACTTCACCTTCATGATTATTCATAAGCACATTATGAATTATTATTAACTTTGTAAATGTTCAATGGATTTTTTATTTGTGACAATGACATTTATAGAATTTATTTTCCATGCCTTATATGTATTGTGGTTTAGACTTAAGGTAGTTATAAAATCCTTAATTGTATTGCAAAATTCAACTATGACATCATCATTTGCTAATTCATGTTTCCTAAACATGGGAATGAAATTTACTCCCAATAATACTATTGCAATTTTTTAATGTCCTTAGAACCTTAACCTTTTAAATAAAGGGTAAAAATAACACCAGAATGCCTGTTAATATGTAATTTTCTTCTTAGACAAAAACTTTAATAGAACCTTTAATTTCTATCATGGTGAGGACAGAGTTCCTTTATGGAAGTATTGGTAAAATGTTAAGATGTAAAAAATTGAGCCCTGCTTCTAAGCAACTGAAATGAAATGAGTTGGGATTCCGGTGGCAACATCCGGGATTCCAGGTGTTAAGGCATAACACAGCTGGAAGCTCATCTTTCAGAGGTTGCTAGTTGAGGAGTCTTAGTGGAGCCGAAGAAGGGAAGTAAAGCAGCAAGGATCCTGTGGCATGTGAAATGCTGTGTTACTTATCTTTCTTTTTGTAACCATTTATCGTGGAAAATTTCCAGCATGAAGTTACACAAAAGTAGAGAGATTCATATAATGAACCACCGTTGTAAAAACTTATTTTTAACCTAACACCTTCAACCTGGTATGGGAAAAAACAAAGTTCCAAGTATAAGTCCTTTTAAACATGGTAGTACTTAAACACCACAGCCAGGTCATATTTCTTTGCTGTTTTGTCCACTCCTCCTCCAACAAATACCAGCATAATACAAATGTGATTTTTTTTTTTTTTTAACAATAACGAGCTTTCTAAATTTTGACAGCGGTATATTTCTTTGGAGACACATTGATTTGATAGGGCTCAGGGCAAGCTCATGGGAATGAACCTGGGCATCTGACCTGAGAGGTCTGCTGTCTTAAGTCAGGTATGCATGGAGTTCATGACAGAAGAAGCAGGTGCTAAAAAGGCACAGTCACATGTCCACAGTGGCCTGGGGAAACCTAGCAGACAAGGGACACACTTGACTCATGGGCTTAAAAGACGCCAATGTTCTATGGTCCCTGAGAGCTGGTGGAGGTGAAGATGGAAGCTTTGTGCGCTGTGGGCCCCATCAACTCCACTCGCCTTTTGGGCCCTTAATGACAGCTGTTGCAGGTGAGCACTCCAGGGAGCAAGGCTGCACATTCCTTTTCAGAGGAATGTTACTATTTAATCTATTGCATGGAAAGCCCTAAAACCCCCTAGGGCCTTCCAAAAATAGATGGAGTTAGTCACTAGTGACATTTACAGGGGTTTTTGTTTTTCCCTCCTTCTCCCCTTCTCAGGAATAGCAAAAGTTTTTCTTCTTTCTACGTAGTGAACTTATCTCCCTTGAGTATTTTTTTACCATGAAAGAAAGACACAGTTGAAGTCTATATGGTATTTACTGGATTTTATTGCAAAAAAACACACAAAAAACCGAAAACCACCACACATACACACACCCAGAACGCAAAACCAAACCCAAAAAATGAAAATTCTGTAGCCCATATGAGATGTTTCAATGATGTTGACAATGGAGAGGGCTGAAATGGAAGCTATTAACTAGAAAAAATGGGGGTGAATGTGAAAAGCTGAAAGGAATGGCTCCTCTGAAGTAGAAAAAGTCTGAGATTTCTCCGCCCTTCATTTGGATAATGAGTGCTTTCCAACCAGTAGGAACCCTGGAAATGTTTGTGTAAGTGCTGCAGGAGTCTCTTCTCATCACAGTGGTAGGTGTCCAGGACTCATAACTGCTTTATAGGATTGAATGTCATCACATGTGCCTGGCAATAGGATGTGCTAATTGAGAAAGAAATCCAATGAGGGTAGCGTGCCAGTAACCAAGGGGGAGGCCGGACCGCTTATTCATTGGTCTGTCCTTTCGTTTATTCAATCATTCATTTTTTCATCCATCCATCCATCCATCCATCCATCCATCCATCCATCCATCCATGCATTCATTACTTCCTTCTTTCCCACTGCAGGGCTGTGGACTGGCTTTCTTGACTATTCCTCTTCTTCCTTCAGGTCTCACTTCCTCAGGGAAGCCTCCCCTACCCCCTCCACCTCCACTTAACAGGTGGATCACCTCCTTAGAGAACTGTAAGCCATGGTAAATAATAGACACACTCAGTAAATATTTGTTGAATGAGTGATCAAGCTAATCCATTCAGACATGCATTTTTCCTTTGTCTCTTCACTAAGCAAGAATTTACTAACAATAGCTCTAGGCAGGTAGGCCAGGGCTGGCCTGAGAACAGCACTTTGCAACTGAGAACTCAAAACAACTCAGGCCCCACCTTCTTCAAAATCCAAGGTTGCTGAGGGTGAGGTGGATTTCAGCCTGTGTCTAGGGGTGGAAGTTCATGGAACTAACCAGAAAAGGATAGAGAGATAGGAAACAGTGGAAACTCTGTTTACATTTCTGCCAAGCTCATGTGACTCAGAATTTGAGGTATATCGTTTTCCTTGTAAGGAAGCTGCAGCCAAGAGAGATTAGGTGACTTATTCTGAAGTCACGGAACTGATGAACTTGGTTCCCTGAGATTTCTTAGAACTGATTAAAAGTAGTTGCAGCCTGAACTGTGGGAACTTGCAGTATGTTTTGGTGCTTTGAATTTGAAGGGGACAATTTATTTCCAGAGATATGAAAGGACCCAGAGTGTGGATCCCAGAGGAAACATCTGGAAGAGAAAGAAAGGGAATCCCTCAGAGTCACAGGGCTTTTCTACCCTACCGCAGTGGCAGAAGAGCAAGTGCCAGCAACCCCATCAAGAAAACATTCTGAGGGGTTGGTGCGGTGGCTCACGCCTCTAATCCCAGCACGTTGGGAGGGCGAGACCAGCATGGCCAACATGGTGAAACCCGTCTCTACTAAAAATACCAAAATTAGCCAGATGTGGTGGCATGTGGCTGTAATCCCGGCTACTCGGGAGGCTGAAGCAGAAGAATCACTTGAACCTGGGAGGCGGAAGTTGCCGTGAGCTGAGAACGTGCCACTGCACTCCAGCCTGGATGACAGAGCGAGACTCTGTCTCAAAAAAAGAGAAAACATTCTGGGAAGGGGCTGTTCCTTTAGCAGTTGATTTAACCGCTGCTGAGCTTTAACAAAAAAATCAAGCTTTTCTCGTGGCACTGTATAAACTTCCATATGGTTGTCAATGTTCCACTTAACTCACCTGTTCTATTTATAGGCCATCAATTGTGTATTTTCAAAATAACTGCACCTCAAATTTTCAGGCTTTTAGTGGGTACAAAGCCCTTTCATACACATGGGGCTCACTTGGCTCCATGTGAACAAATTGAGGCTTAGAGACATTGGCAGTTTGCCCAAGAATCAACCCACAGGCTAGTGGAGGAGCATGAGCTTGGGCCCTTGTCCCTGACTCAGCTCCTATACTTTGTCCTGTGTGCCACAGGGGAAAGGAAATGTTTCTCCTGCAGGATGGAGATTAAGGTTTTGAAAACTCTCAAATTTCATTCTTTCCAGTTTTATCGAGGTAAATTGACAAATAAAAATTTGGTATATCAAAGTGATGACTTTATATATACACACACACACATATATACACACATATATACACATACACAGAGTAATGATTACCACAGTCAAGTTAACACATCCATCATATCACATAACTACCATTGTGTGTATGTGAACACTTAAGATCTACTCTCAGGAAATTTCAAGTAAACAATACAATATTATTATTTATAGTCACTATGCTATATGTTAGACTCCCAGAACTTACTCATTTTATTACTGAAAATTTTTACCCTTTGACCAACATGGAATTCCATTTTTCTACTCAATCCACGTATCATCCTTCTCAGAGGCATGCTTTACTTCCCTGAAACTTCTCACCACAGACTGGAGCAAAAGGTGACAGAGGTGAGCGGCAATCTATAAGGATAATGGCAGTGAGCCATTCTCCAGCATCCACTCTGTGGCAGACACCAAGTGCTTCATATACGTGAGTTCATTTCATCTCACCATAAATCTGTGACATGGGTACTATAATTATTCCCATTTTACACATGTGGAAACTGAGGCACAGAGAGGTAAAGACACTTGATTAAGATCTCACAGTGGGTTTAGTATCTGAGATCTACCACCACAAACTGAGTTTTTAACCTATGTGACTCATTCACCACCACCACCACGACACCAAACCAAACTGACTTTTAACCAGTGTGATTCGTTTCAATGAAGCCTTTTGAGTACAAAGGGAAGGCGAGCATCAGTATGGCATTGCGCAAAATATTCTGAAAACTCTGGGGCTCAAAAAAATGACTTTTCTTTCGCAATTAATTTTCCAAACAAGTTACACTTCGGGAATAAGCAATCCACACACAACAGTACAACACTCACAACTACTGAAGAGTGTAAAACTGTCAGTCCCCCTCCACCCTGTCCCCAGACGCGCCGGGCCACACTTGCTGTTCAGTTTCTGGTGTGGAAAAGCCATTTGGAGAGCAGGAGAAAGAAACGACGCGGGCAGGGGGGCGAAGGGGGGCGGTTTGAGAGAGAGCGGGAGGTCGGGTGTCCTCGGAGTTTCCTCAGGCGAGGACCTGGGCGCGTCTGGGCCACCGGGGGTAGGGGTGCCGAGGGCGGGAAGCGCTCCACCGAGGTCCCGGCGAGGATCCAGGCGTATCTGGGCGGCCACAAGCTCGCCGGCCCCCAGGCAGAGGGAAGGGCGGCGAGGAGCGTGGGGCAGCGCCTGGGGGAGAGGAGCTTGGCCGGAGGGCGGGGGATTCTGAGGTAGCCTTGGCGACTTTCGAGACTACCCAGGCCGAGCACACCCAGCCCCCTCAGACCCAGGCATTTCTGCGTCCTCTGGTTTGGAGGGAACCCAGGGGGCTGAGGTGAAGCAAGCCAGGACTGTTTCTCTGACTCTTCTGGAAGACGACCCGCTGCTCGGGCCGCCTCATCACTGCGGGCCACGAGGTGGGTAAAGCTCCTTCCTTAGCTCACCTCGGACCACCGGGCCTGGTGGCCACTTCCAGGTTTCCCGGGGGTGGGGGGCGGAGGGATCCCTGGAGGCTGCAGCGCCCGGAGGAGGCGGGGAGGTGGGCGAGCGGTAGGCGTCAGGCAGTGCTTCACAGGCTGTAGGCGCCCAAGGAGCCAACCAGAGAAGAACAAAATGGCAGCCATGACGCCACACCTGGCGGCCGCACACAAACACACACGGGGCAGACGTTTGCTGATGTTTGCACAGGGCATTCTCTTGTTCGTCCTGATTCTTTGTTGATGGTGCTGTCTTTGCCCGGATTGGCTACTTTTTTCCCCTTTTGCTGTCCAGTTTCCTGTTTATCCTTTAAGACTTGATCAGATAACTCCTTCCCTGGGCCCCCACTTCCCCCTCAACTCCTGCCCCTCTGTCTTTCCGTGACTGGTGTAAAATGACCTGCTAGGGAGTCAGCCTAGGGCCAGGAACTTCTTATGTTTCGGGGTGGTTTTGCTCAACTTTGTCCTTCCAGTGCCTGGCTTTCAATCACTACATTGAGGTGGTGTAGAGTTCCTGTGGGATGCTCCGAACTACACCGGGGGTACCACTTGTCCATGTGAAAGATCCCTCCATGACAGTTTTGGTCGTCTAATGATCTGCTTTATTTTTATTTTTTAAAATTGCTAGTGTTCTCTGTTTTGTTGCAATTTTAGTATACGGGATGCTGAAGCGAGCACATGATCTACCTTTTGGAAGCTTGGGAGACCTAGTGAAATAATGGTAGAAATGGACCTATGAAAATCTGCCTTTTGCTTGAGAGTAGGGCTAAAATGTCCACTACACTCGGTAATTTTGACTTGAGTGAGCATATCTGGAACAGGGTGTACTGGAAACTGGAAAATATCCTTTTTTTTTTTTTTTTTTTTTTTTTGAAACGGAGTCTTGCTCTGTCACCCAGGCTAGAGTGCAATGGCACGATCTCGGCACACTGCAAGCTCTGCCTCTCAGGTTCACGCCATTCTCCTGCCTCGGCCTCCCAGGTAGCTGGCACTGCAGGCGTGCCCCACCACGCCCGGCTAATTTTTTTTTTGTATTTTTAGTAGAGATGGAGTTTCACCGTGCTGGCCATGCTGGTCTCGAACCCCTGACCTTAAGTGATCCACCCGCCTCGGCCTCCCAAAATGCTGGGATTACAGACGTGATCCACCGTGCCCGTCCGATGACCTATATTAATACGTCACCCTAATCATTTAATTATCTTAGATATCCATTAAAGTACTGCCAAGTTTGGACGTTTAAAAGAAATACCCAGTTGAGAAATCTTATCTTGTTCCTGTGAAGGAAATGTGAAGTATGTTGAGATGGCCTGAAGAAATACTGCATATGATTGGTATTTCCTCCATCTTGCTATTTTTCTTTTTTCCCAGTGCCCTTCTTCATTCCAGACATGGTGCTTTGAACAATTTGACTTGGAGGCAAGATTGCGATATAGAAAATGGGCCACTGTGGAGGAGATAAGTAAATGCTTTGTCGCTTCTAAGTGACAGGGGAAACTGATCACGATTGGTATACTTCTGACATGTAACTTTCTATATCTTTAGAAGATCGTCAGGGAAATAGAAAAAAAAATCTGAAATCTCCAAGTAGGTTCTACTTTGTGTGGTTCCAACTAAATGAACTAAATTTGTGTTTAAAGATTGTAAGTCTACATGTAATGGTGAAAGCTGAAGGTTTTACACTGCACAGAAATAGTGATTTCCCCCCGTGGAGGGCAAGAAGACCGGAATAGGAGGGGTGGGTGGGGGAATCAATGTGTAGGCCAAATATTTGAAATTTCAGTGCAATCTTCTTAGTCATCACTTTCATTTCTGTCTTCTAGGGAAATCTGACACAGCTAGAAAGCAATGGAAAACACTAAGAGTTGCATCAGATGTTGAAGAGGAACTGATATTATGGGATAAAAAATGATTCTTTAAGGGAGATAACTGGTCATTTAAAGGTAGCAGCCTTTTTGGGAAAAGCTAACAAGTGTTCCCGAGGCCAGCCTGTCTCTTGTTAGCAACATTGGCCCTGTGTTAGAAGGAAGAGTGGATGTGTTTTGATGCTATTCCTTTTCCTCTCAGCATAAATTTGCAAGCATGTACTGTAAATGAATTTTCATGTCTTTTCAGGATGTTTCCCTATAGAGCAGTTTCTAGATTGACTCTGTGGAACAGTCTACAATAGATTTAATATGGTTAGGATTTTGCCTAATTCTGATTGGTGAGTGGTTTTCTTTTATTCATTCTTAATTCTGCATCTAATATTAGCTTACAGTGTTACTGTCACTGTGTGTGACCCAGGGAGAGAAAGGAAGTAAAAGATGTGACCTCAGAGAGCTCAGAGGGGAGAAACAACACAATAATGATAACTCACATTCATATAGAACTTTAAAATTTAAAGGTTACTTTTTACTGCGTTACCTCATTCGTCCTCTCTGCAAGCACATTGGGTAGGCTTTACTATTGCCATTTTACAAGTGAAAACAGTGAAGCTTGGAGAAGTTAAGGAACTTCCCCCAGATCACATTCCTGTAAGTGGCAGTGTCTGAACTTAGTATTCTGACTCTAAAAGGGCATGAGGTTCCATTCAAAGCTAGTGAGTACTGTACAAGAACATGCTAATGAGGCTTTGTGAATAGTCAGAGTGAAATGGGGCTCTTCAGGGATGGTATCTTGGGGAAGCACACAGTGTATGCAGATTATTGAAGAGAGTCAAAGGAGATCCTGCTGTGGGGAGAAGGCTGGAAAGTGCCATGGGAAGAGAACAAGGACAGAAATGAGGTTGACATGTGGGGCAGAGGAAGGAGGCAGACCTTCATAAACAGAGGAACCATGATTGGGAGTAATGGGGGCTAAGTGTAGGAGACACTGGGGGCTGTGTATTTAAGGGGTTGGGGAACAGTAACACCTGGAATTTTCTTTCTATTACCTCAAGAAACCCACAGTGGAGGGGCTGTGAGTGCTCCTAAGAACATGTTCTGCACTGGTGCCTCAATGGGTAGAAAAGGGGGTTGCCAACTGAGTTATATATAGAACTTGTGCAAGGGAAGTTCTTATGCAAAATGACTAAACACACTCCATTGCTCTGCCTGGTTACTTATAAATATTGTTTATGTGCAGAAGTTGATGGGAATCCAGACATTGTCTAAGAGATGGCTCAGAGAATAAAATAACAAAAAGTTGTTGTGAAAGACAAAGGGTTTCTAGGTTACCTGCAGCAGTTGATGACAGTCTGTCCTTCTGTCACAGTAGAGACAGTTTAAGCCACATTCCCAACAAGCATTCCGTATATCTGGCACTAACACATTGGAACTTGGGGGAGACTATGTGACGTAGCTTTACTCTAGGGAGGGACAGACAATCTGAGGGTGGAGAGGGAAGTGAGACCCCATACAAACCTGGGTGATCTCTACAGTTATGTAACTGTCCAGCCACAAATCACTTATTAAACAACTGGATTCAGAAGACCAAGATCTGCATTTGGGTCACTCCAGTTATCTTGAGATCTGGGACCCAGGTGGCTGGGGTGGCAGCTGATCATGTCAGGAGGACTCCTCTGCACAACATCACAAGCACAGGAGAGAATGCTAAACTTGATTGGGAGCTCACAGAAGACCCCTGGAACCCAGAGCAATAAGGTGAGGAGGCTTAAAGAGCCTGGAGAGAGGAGCTGGGTTGCAGAAGTTCTCTCTTACCTTCCTTTGAAATTTCCAGGTAGGTCCCAGGGAACACATGATGAAAAGAAACATCTGACTAGTTAGTGCTCAGCTGGCTGCACCTAGAGCGTCTCATCCAGGGAAATATTTGCCTAATTCTAGCATAGGGATTACAGTTTGCTGATCCAGGTTGGTTAAGAGCATAGACTCTAAAATCAGGGAGTTTGCAAGTTTACTGAAGCTCTTGGGGCTTGAATTTCCACTGTAAAATAGGGATAATAGCAGTTCTGATCTTGTGGAGAGGATCAAATGAGACAATGCATGCATTGCAGGTTGGGTTCCTTGGGACACAGATTATGAGATGGAGATTTGCATGCAGGAACGTTACTGAGGAGTCCTTTTGAGATCGGTACTTTTGGGAAAGTGTAGATAGCATTACTGGGCACAGGGAGAAGGAGAATTCTGATGCAGTTGTAAGAAAACTTCACTAATCCCATCAGTGGCTGTGTAGCTGCAATAACCCTTCAAGGTTATTTTGAATTGAGGTTGGTCTTATAGCCCTACATCAGTTAATCATTGGATATCAGATGTCCCTGGGATGGGGATGTGATCTTGGGCAAAGAAACTGTTCAGCAAAGGGCAATGCCTGAAGAGCAAGAGCTGATAGCTGTTAGCCACCAACATTCCCTGCAGGTGGGGAAATGAGTGCTTGAGTCCTGAAGGGGGCGATAAACCTGGGTGATACACTGCAGGTTCACCGCAGTCCACTCTTTGCACCTCAGAGTCACTTGCTTCCTATCATAAGTTCTGACAGCAGCTCTTCTAGATTCTGGTGGTCTTCTTTTCCTGGGGAAACATACAAGAGGAAGGTGAATGGAATGACCTAGTGCTCTCACCATAGCCGCTGCTCTGGTGGCTACAAGTGATGCTCATTGTCTTCCTCCTTTACTACCTATTCTAGTTTCCCCGTCCCATCTGGTCCAAGTGGTTTACCTGGCAGGTATAAAACTAGGCTGTGACAGCTGTATTTACCTATTTTCCATTAAGAGACACCCAAGCAGTTTACCTGGGTGCCAAACATAGTTTTCCCTGCTCCCAAAGCAGCCCTCTCACTTCCTGGGGATCAGAATCAATTACTCATGCCAGGAGGCTGACTCTTTTTCTTGTCTACTCTTCTCTTGGTATGAGGAATGTGAAGCAACTGGGTGGCAGCCACACTTTGTCATTTAATGGGAAACTTATTGTGTCCTCTGGTGAAAGCAAGCAACCAACAATGGTGCAAGCCACTGAATCTTTGTAGAGTATATCTCCCATCATCTGAAGGGCATGTGACTTATTAAGGCCCCCAGCATACTTGCTACTTCTTTCTCCCTGGGTCCCAGTAACATAATGTCATAAGTAGTATGGACTGATAGGATGTTTTGCAGGATAGCAGGTGACCCAGCTTTCTTTTGACTATATTTTGATGGAGGGTGAGGAGTTAACACAGCCCAGGGGCAAGACTGTAAGACAATGTATACTACTGTCTGTCCCAAGTGAAGGAGAACTGTTTACGATCTATCTTTCTGATAGAGACGGAAAAGAATGCATTTGTCAGATCCATGGCTGCAAACTAGGTACTAGAGGCAACACTAATCTGCTGTAGTCAAGATATCATATCTGGCAAAGCATTTGCGGTTGTGGATAGTGCTTAGTTGAGTTTGCTGGTCCACGGTCATCTTCCAGGATCCACATGGCTTTGGTAAAGGTCAGACTCGTGAATTAAGTAGGAATGTGAAGGGGATCACCACCCTGCATCCTTAGATCTGTTGTTCCCCTCGGGATATGATACTGTTTTTGATTTATTATACTATCATGGCTGGGTGGGAAAGGCAATTTCAGTGGCTTCTACTTAGCTTTCCCACTGTGATATGTGGAGGCTCTGCCAACAACCAAGTATGTTGATTCTAGTTATGAATACAGGAACAGGAAAAATTTCTAAGTGAGTCCAGGGAACCAGTGTATCCACTGTGAGCCAGAGTTGAGCCAGAACTCCGTTTATTAGTTGGCCCCCTTAAGCCTCCACTCTAATGGTGGGGGTGGTTGTGGAGCATGATGTTACTTTGGATCCCTGGGTTTCAGTGCAAACTTGTGTTCTGTGTCCAGCCATTCTCAAAATGCTTGGGATTTCCCCCTTTCCAAGTGTACAGTTACTTGAGTAAAGGATCATAGATTCTTTTAGGGAAAGATTGAGATAATCATTACTATATATACTTACCATGGTGTTACAGGATCCTCCCTCCTAGAGAACTTGCCCCTCCTTTAGTCAGTAGATTCTGGGTCAGAACACTGGCTCAGATCCAGAAACTGGGCCAGGGATAATGACTTTTCATTGGGCTGCCCTTAGTCTCTTAATCACGAATCCTTGATTTTTTTGGGGGGGTGGGGGGAAGTGGGGGTCTATATATTGAACATTACTCTTAATGACTTGCCCTAGAAATCCTGTATTCTATTAACTGTCTCCATGGATTATGACAGTTGTGACCACCTTGCTTCTAGTGGTTAAAGGTGGCTGCCTGGGCTCTTTTTAGGATTCTTCCTGAAAAGGATTTTAGGATCCTTTTTAGGATCCACTATTGCTATCCATGAGTTCAGCTCTGTAATAACAACTACTACCATCAGCCTGGTTCTATGGCCACTGAGAATTCTACTGAGAATTTCAGTAGAGGATGTTTTCTACTGAAATTCTCAGTGACATTGGTGGCCCTCTCACCAGGGTATTCCTTGTCACTTTGATAATCAGAATATCTTTTCGCCCCTATCATGGAACAAAGCCATCTGGTGTATTTTCTCATCTTGTTTAGTCTGTCTGCTCTAGCATGCCTACTTTTCTGAGCCTTTTGATCTTTTCTTCCACTGTTTGCTGTGGCAGTTATGGCATTTCTTCTTTACTGTTTTCTCCAAACTTACCTGATCCATCCTACATGTGTCTTAGTGCTGTCTTCTGGGGCATTAAATCCTGTCCAAACATATTATTCTAGTTCCTGCTGGCATATGCTAGCTAAGTACTGCAGTTTATTTGGGAATATGATTTTTTTCTTTCCTTGGAAGACCCAGAACTTCCTTAATTGGTTATGTTGTGATTTAATTCTAGTTAGTGGTCTGATGGCCAAGATGGGAGGTAGGAGTAGATTCTGAGAGGATGTATTATTTTATCTATTGCTGTATAACAAATTACCCCCAAAATCTAGCAACTTAAAATAACAAAATTTATTATCTCAGGATTTCTGGCTCAATGTCTCCCATGGGATTTCAGTCAAAATGTTGGCTAGGGCTGTGGCCATTTGAAGGCTTGACTGGGGATGGAGGTCCTACTTCCAAGATGGTTCATAACATGGCTTTTGGCATGAAGTCTCAGTTACTCACTGGCTATTGGCAGCAACCCTCAGTTTGTTGACACATGGATCGTTCCGTCATGCTGTTTGAGTATACTCATAACATAGGAGGTAGCTTCCCCTAGAGTGGATAATCCGAAAATGGCAAGAAGGAAGCCACAATTCCTTTTGTGGCCTAGCTTCAGAAGTCACACTCTGTTGTTTCTGAAATATCCTATTGGTTACAAAAGTCATCTCTATTCAAAGTAGAAGAGGACTACATAAGGGTGGGACTGTCAGAAGGCAGGGACCATTGGGGCTATTTTAAAGACTGCCCAGCACAGGCAAGTGTTTTTTTAGAAGAGGGCTTACCTGTCTTCAGGTAAGAGGTAGTGATAGAATTTATTAGAAAGGAGTGAGCCAATTCTTTAGGCTCAGGAAGTTTGGGGGTGGGGTGGAGAATCTGGGGATTTGAGATTTATGAGTGTATCAACATAAATTTCCCCATTCCAAGTCTCAGTGTCTCACCCCTTCATAATTAGAGACCAGACTCTGATGTGGAATACCTTCTGGGTTGAGAATTCAATTTCCTCTGTGATTCTGCTATTTTTATAATGAAGTCCTGGGTCTGATACTCAGCGTTTTCTGCCCTCTGGCTGCAGGATATGAGAGTTTCTCTATGTGTTTCCAATAAGGCCTCTGGTAGTCACATTTAATTTTAAATAGTGATTGATCACACTCAGTCTTTCACTGTTTTTACTCAATACATCTCTCTCCCTGACAACAGCCATCAAATTCCATAGCCCTTATAATTATTATCCAACCCATAGCTCAACGACTTAATACATTGCATCTGACAGTGCATTCCCTTCTACTGTTTCCCACCCTAGTTCATCCTAGTGCAAATTTAAAAAAATTCACTGTGGTTACAAATCAGTGTATCTCAGTGCTTCATCTTATCACTAGGACTGAGTTCCTCATTGTAGCCCATTTTAATGTTGCTTCTTTAGACCATTCCTGCAACAACTTTTGCTAGACATACTCACTAAGAAATGGGCTCTGAGATGGAGATAAGCATGCTGAGAGGTAACTGGGGACTGCTTTTGTGAGTGAGGAAAATAAGATGGGTCAGAAGGAGATGAACTGCAGTGCAGTTACATGAAAGCTCTGAGCCAGTACTATGGGCTACTCTGAGTATGGGATGACATCTCAGAGTTTACCCAGGTTGATGCAAAAGTGCTGGAACTTCATACTTCTACCCTCAACAGTTATTGGATAAGGGCTGCCCCCAGGAAGGGGATGAACCTGGGCAAGGCAATTATCTTCTGCTGAAAGAAATTCCCTGTGAGGGACTCAGCTGACAGTGCTCAGCCTCACACTCCCAACACTGGGAAATGAGTACTTTGATTCTGAATGTTGTGGTAGATCTGGGTGGCACATTGCAGCATTGGGGCTGACACTAGGGGGAAGCAAGAGGGGATCCTAGGGTGTGACATTTAAGGAGGCATCCACTCTCAGGTGCCAACATGCACATGAACAACCCTGAGAGCAAGTACCTTTTTAAATTTTGCACCTCACTTGCCTCACCCTGCACAGTATCCCTTCTAGTGTGTAAGGCACTTAACCCAGGGCCTGGCATATGGTGAGTGCTCAGTAATTGTTGTTATTGTTTCATTATTGCTTTTATTATTGCTATACAGTTAGGCACAGTTGAGTTTCCCACATAGCTGGAACAGGACAGCTGGCAGTGTGAAAGCAGCTTTTTAATCCTGGTTATATCTTTGATAAGATAGTTATCTTCGGGCTGGGTGCGGTGGCTCACGCCTGTAATCCCAGCACTTTGGGAGGCCAAGGCGGGTGGATCACGAGGTCAGGAGTTCAAGACCATAGTGAAACCCCATCTCTACTAAAAACACAAAAAATTATTCGGGTGTAGTCGTGTGTGCCTGTAATCCCAGCTACTAGGGAGGCTAAGACAGGAGAATCGGGTAAACTGGGGAGGTGGAGGTTGCAGTGAGCTGAGATTGCGCTATTGCACTCCAGCCTGGGCGACAGTGCGAGACTCTGTCTCCAAAAAAAAAAAAAAAAAAAAAAAAAAAAAAGGCATCTTCATTTTAGTGCCAGAAATGTCTTCCTAGAAGTGGGAGCTGTGGAAGACGCCATTGGTTGCCTACTTATAGCCCTTACTAATAGAACTCCCAAAATTTTGGGTATCAGATAGATGCTTTAGGCGAGACTGGCCCCTCCTCGTCCCTGGTGAATTCTAATTGGCCTAAGCCAAACATAGTGGTCCTGTTCCTCTTGCCAATGATTGGTTTAAGCATGGGCATGTGACAGAATTCTGGCCAATGAGAGAAGGGGAAGTCTGTTGGAGACTTCTGGGAAATATTTTCCTCATTGATTAAAAACAAATTTTTCGGAGGAATCATCCTTTCTACTCTTGGCATTTAGGACTATGGCAGCCATCCTGGGGTCATGAGGGGAGCCAGATAACAGGTTTAACTAATACAGTGAGGATGGCAGAAGGGAAAGAAGAAAAGATTCTGGTCCTCAATGATATTTTTCAGCTTCTAAATCCTAGACCACCATACCTTCACCTTTTGTTATTTGATAAAATGACTTATTACTTAAGCTAGTTTAGGTTGTTTTCTGTTATCTGCAGCCAAAAGCACCCTATTGTAACTGACACAATATGCTGATTGATAGGGCTGTTAAAGCATAGTGTGTGAGGTGATGACTTGCCAATATCATTTATTACCTACAGTCAACATATAATTTGCATAAATTAGCAGGTATATTGTATGATAGCTTTTTCAACACATCAGAATTGGTCCAGAACATGATCCACATTCACTTCAGGCCTCAACTTTCTAGAGCCACAATGAAACTTGTATTTTAACATTCAGCCCTTAGTTGAATAATCCCATGTTTGTTCATTCTTTAGAAAATAAACCCGAAGAAGGAACCATAATGGGAAAATTGAAGACTGACTAGAGGCTTCTCGTTCCTGACTCTGGTCTGGATGTATTTGTACTAGAAGATGAGTATTTGCACTATAAGAATAGTAGCCCCAGTGGAGAAGGTGGGACAAAGTGAGTTTCAGGAGAAGAAGGCACTAAAATGATAAAACAAACAAATGAACAATCAGATATGGAATATCTAACAGACTTAAAAGGTGAAGGAATGTGAGTTTGAGAAGATTCCAGCATTTTAGCCTTGAGTGACTATTCCCTCTAAACTTCTATGAAATGCTGCTGTTCTGCCTACACATAACTCTGACAGTGAGGTTCCAGCCGGGCCCCTGGCTCAGGCAGATAGTCCTGGATTTGGTGCTGCTGCTGGCTGATGCTCATGTTTGTGGCTGCATCTCTTTGTTCCCAGGTGGACAACTATTGGTTTATCTGCCCAGGTCACAAGTCAACAAATGTTCTATTTGAAGACCTCTCCTCTATATGGTCCACAGGCATGGACTCCTAGCAGTCAGGCATTGCTGACAGATCTTGGTTACTGCTGCTTGGTGCAGGGACAGACACCTGACAAATCATTTCCTGTATTGGGAACTTGGAGTTGTGACTGTGAGAGACGGTTCTTCTCCATAGTCTTGGCTGTAAGGTGTAAGCTTGGGAGCTGTAGGGTGGCCATCTTCTGCCTGCCATGAAAATGGATAAGTAAAAAAGGCCAGTCTTCAGAGAGAGAAGAAGGACAGTTCTCCCCTTGCTTCTAGTCTGGGCATCTTCTTTGAGAATCTGTGTGCTTATCATGTTTGTTCCTCATGTGGTTACTTTGTCACATCAGAGCTTGTATTGATATAACTGTCTTGTACATGTATTGCTTTTCTTCTCAATTATATTTACTCCAAGGGCTTTTGTTTCTGTGAGTTCAGACTTGATCTTATTTACAGTTAGCAGCTTATTAGAAACATCATCCAGAATGTTACAAATACTGTTTGTTGCATGAACACACAAAGACAGCACTAGAGCAGAGGACAGAGGAGCTGTGACACCTGGGGTTTGATAAATAATGTCATTATATCAATGGGGGCCTGATTGTTCCCACATTCACAGGTTTTATGTTTCCCTGTGCATGTGTTTGTCTTCTCTGCCTTTGTTCTGTTGCAGTCTTTGTGTGTGTCCTCACTCTTGCACTTCCTCTGGAAGCTCTGTTGCCAAGAAACAAGGAAAGGCCAAGGCTCTTGATTTGAAATTCAGTGTTAATAAGAGAAGGCAGAAGGAAAGTTGGCAGACATCAGGTGTGCTTTGGGTTTGCTTAATTCCATGCCAGAAATCATTTTTTGACAACAGGAAGATCAAGGAAATTGGGAAAGGTGCAACAATTGCTAGGGTAGTAAAGTTATTCTGTGCCAGGAATTTTGCAATAAAGAGAACAGAATTGGTACTCCATCCTTTGCTTTGACACAAAACCAGAGTCAGTTGTGCATCATGGTTTTGATTTAAGCAAAGGCTTTGGATAGCAATGGAGAATGATTTGAGAGCTTTGGAAATTGACACATGCACTTGATACCAGGATGATGGGTGTTCGGATTTTTATTTTTATCATGTTATTACGATATTTAAACCTAAAATTATTTTGATGTAGAAATTGACTATCATATCCACATGTATCAGTGGTATCCAACTAAATACCTTAATTTGCCATTATTTCTAAAATTTTTAAAGTGTTAAAACAAGTTCTATTTGTATTATTTTTCTGGTAGTATAAACTTCTCAGTGCCTATCATTTTGTTTTACACAGTGTATGTTGAGTAAATACTTGCATGAATGAATACCTAAATGGTGATTTAGAAAAGTGCTTCTCAAATTTTAATGTGTGTTAGAATCACCTGATCATCTTGTTAAAATGCAGATTCTGATTCTTTCAGTAGGTCTGGGTGAGGCCTGAGAGTCTGCATTTTCAATAAGCATCTAGATAGTGCCTGCTGTTTATGGACTACACTTTGAATAACAAGGACTTAGAAGATGAAGAACAAAGAGCTTCATATAGATCAGCAACACTCTTTGGTGTTCTTCCTCCTGTGTTCAAGTCAGTGGTAAGATGAACTGAGCAGTGAATGCAGTTGGAGATCTGGAGACCTAGGTTCTAGTCCCAATTGTGTCACTAAATTATTCCCATGACTTTATGTAGATTACATATCCTTTTTGGACCTCAGTTTCCAGTCCTGCCAAATAAGGGACTAAGGCTGGATCATGTTTCAAGCTGTCCTGAAGAGACCTCTAACTCTGCAGAGAAGCCTCAGGACCCCACCCCCTCACCCCAAGAAAAGTGTGAGGCTAGTGTGAGGAGGAAGAGGAGCAGAGAAGCCAATGGAGAAGGAACTATTCTTTAGAAAGGTAAGAGGACAACCAGGAACATGTCCTGTCACTAAGAAGATGGCTTGAAGAATGATGCAATGGGCTGGGCACTGTGGCTCATGCCTGTAATCCCAGCACTTTGGGAGGTCGAGATGGGTAGATCACCTGAGGTCAGGAGTTCAAGACCAGCCTGACCAATATGATGAAGCACTGTTTCTACTAAAAATACAAAAATTAGCTGGGCATGGTGGCATGAGCCTGTAATCCCAGCTACTCAGGAGGCTGAGACAGGAGAATCACTTGAACCCGGGAGAAGGAGGTTGTGGTGAGCCGAGATCACGCCATTGCACTCCAGCCTGGGCAACAAGAGCGAAACTCCATCTCAAAAAAAAAAAAAAAAAAAAGAATGAGGCAATGGTGGGTTGTGTCAAATACTTTCATTCAGTTGTCATTCAACACAGTATTTAAGGCCATTATGTTTCCCACTCCTGGAATGTGACACACTTGTTCTTCTGAAGAAGTTTGAAAATTAATTCTAGACCCGACCCCTCACTAAGTGGTAGCTAGAATACTTGAGGTCCATCCCTTAGGTGTATTAGTGTGCATATTCTCTGAATGTCTCCAGGAGGCAGGTAAATGGTGGGGGGATAGGATGAGGCATGGAATACACATGTGATCTGGATGGGTCACTTCATTACTCTGCAATGTCCCCATAACCACCATCACTACTAACAGGATTCTTGGATGAGGCGAGGACTTAGACCTCTCACAGGTCTGATGTTCTAGGATTTGACTATTGTTATGGCAAAGGAAGAGGAAAAGGGAAATGCCAGCTAAATGAGTCAGCAGTTATAGCAAAACTATCCCACTGTTCGTGGGGTCTGATCTACTCACCCTTTTTCCCGCTTATTTCCCCAGTGGGTTCCCAAGGTTCCAGTGGCTCCTTGAGAACAGGGAGATAACTGACTCATCCAGCTGCCACTCTTGGGCAGAGCTCAAGAGGAGCTAATGGCTAAAGTCTGACCAATGGGGAGGTATACATGCTGAGATGACTTTTATGTCCTTTCATTATTTCCAGGAAAGAAAGAGGGGGAAGAAGAAAGGAACATTTTTCCAGTGACACATTTTTAGTTTGAAACCAGCTGTACATGAAAATCACCTGTAGTACTTTAAGAAAATACTGACGTCCAAGGCCCACCCCCAGAGGTTCTGACTTCATTGGCATGGGGTGGGAATCAGGCAGTGTTTGTTTTTCAAGTTTCCCAGGTGATTCTAATGTGCAACCAGAAACGAGTTATTTTAGTGCTTAGGATCATGATTTCCCTTCTCTTTTCAGTCTGACTGTGGGCAATTTGACCAGAGTCCTGAACTGCTTAGTAAGAAGCCTGTGGTGGATATGGATTATTTAAAGTTCATCTTGATCTGAACAGAACTGTTAGGATAACTTTCTCTTCAAAACTGATGTGTTTTGGCTCTTGTAATCTTTCAGCCTTTGTAGCCTGAGATGGCTCTGGTGGGCAACTCCAAGCCAGAACAATGCTTCTTAGGTAGCAGGGGCTAGGAAATTGGTGTTCCTAACTTCAGCGTACATGGAATGTTTTAGCTAAGCATAAGCTCCCTGGATGACAGGGATTGTTTCTGTCTCAATCTGTCAGACAATGGGCAAATGTGGAGGAATCTTGCTTCTGTATTTTTTACATGGAAGTGGAATTCAGAGCCAGATTTCATAGATCTAAGATTAGGCTCCACAGTGGAGCTTAAGCATTGCGTATAATGACCTCATTCAATTGGCAGTGTTTACTCACTCTCTGCTACCTCATTTCTCCTCAAGGTTTCAACGGTGACCTGCCAACAGCTCCCAAATCTACAGGTTTCACCCAATTTTTGACTCATGACCTGTTGACAACCTCCGCCTGGATATGTCATGGGTTTCCTCAAAACCCAACATTTACAAAACTGAACATCCTCAAAACATCTTCCCTTTCTCACCATTCCTCTCAGTTAACAGCATCTCCATATACTCCATCACTTGGGTGGAACATATCAGAGTCCACTTAGCTTTCTTCACAAGCCTTTAATGGAGGAAATATTTATTGAGTATCTACCATGTGCCACCCACTGTGCCAACCACTGTCCATATGATGGTGAATAACCAAGACAAGGGCTTGCTCTCATGGAGCTTGCAGTCTTGTGGAGAAAAAGATAATAGAAAGTAAAGACATACTTTACTTTCAGGTAGTGAGTAGTGCTGAAAATAAAGCAGTGGGAGAGAGAGTGATAGTGGAAGCTACTTTAGAAAATGTAGCCAGAGAGGGCCTCTCAGAGAGACCACTTGAATGATGAGAAGGGCCGTGAAAAGAAGGGGGATGATAAAGGAAACTGCAAGTACCTGAGCCCTGAGACAGTTAAAAAAAACATCTGAGAGACCAGTGTCTGGAGTTTGGGCTGAGCAGAGATGAACTTGGCCAAACCACGCTGGACTTGTACAATGTGGTAAAAATGATGGATTTAACTGCACTTTATCTTAATATATCTCTTTTATCAACACCTTCCTTTCCACGCTCCCAGCCGCATTGTTTATCAAGAACCTGTTACATTTCACTTGACTATTTACCTTCTCAACTTTTCCAACTCCTCTTCCTCAGGCACCTTTGCTGGCTCTTCTCTTTCTCTCTTTACCCGCTATCTCTCAGCAGGCCTCAGACTTCTCTCCTGTCTCTCCCAAGAGTGCTACCCTAGACCAGCCTGCCTCAGATTCTGTTTCGGCCTAGAAGGGCCAAACATCTGGTTTGTCATCTTCCTTGGGTTTTAGCACATTATCACACACACATTAGGTCTTAGCACATTATTAGAACTCGCAAATCCCTTATTTGATAGAAGAACTGATTTCCTTTTTAACCCTAATTCCTCTCCCCTACCCCCATTTGAATGTGTATCTTTTCATTTGGATGTGTTCTTGTGGAATGTCCATTTTATTTGTATGCACTTATTTTAAATTCTGTAAATGATATTATAGTATCCCTTCTAGCCTCTTTCCTACTTTTTCATTAAGCACTGTGGTTTTAAGATCTATCCATGAGGCTATGTATGTTTCTAATCTGTTGCTGCTAACAAATGATAGTATTTCATGGTGTACACATTAATCAAGGTAGCCCAGGCTATGCCGAAGTAAAAACCCCCAAATCATAGTGGCTTAATAGACAAATTTTTTTTTTTTTTTTTTTTTTTTTTAGACGGAGTCTTGCTCTGTCACCCAGGATAGATGGCAGTGGTGCAATCTTTGCTCACTGCAACGTCCACCTCCTGGGTTCAAGCAATTCTCCTGCCTCGGCCTCCTTAGTAGCTGAGACTACAGGTATGCACCACTGTGCCCAGCTAAGTTTTATATTTTAGTTGAGATGGGGTTTCATCATGTTGGCCAGGCTGGTTTTGAATTCCTGACCTCAGCTGATCTGCCCTCCTTGGCCTCCCAAAGTGCTGGGATTACGGGCATGAGCCACCGTGCCCAGCCCTGTTGATTGTTTATTCATGTAGAATCCTCTGTAAGTCTGGCTGTTCCCTCCATAGGTCATGGAAGCTCTATTTTTTTGTTTGTTTCTTTGTTTTTGAGACAGGGTCTTGCTCTGTCACCCAGATTGGAGCGCAGTGGTGTGATCTCAGCTCACTGCAACCTCCACCTCTCAAGTTCAAGTGATCCACCCACCTCAGCTGGGACTATAGGCATGAGCCATCACCCCCAGCTAATTTTTGTATTTTAGGTAGAGATAGGGTTTCTTCACATTGCCCAGGCTGGTTTTGAACTCCAGGGCTCAAGCAATCTGCCCACCTAGGCCTCCCAAAGTGCTAGCATTACAGGTGTGAGCCACCATGCCTGGCCAGGGAAGCTCTTTTTTAAGCCACAACTCAGAGATCCCTTCTACTTCCATTTCATAGCTATGTCACTGGGAAATTATGACTTTCAGGGTTGCTAAAGGAGAGAAGAAAAAAATATAGGGAATCCATATCCATTCTTACATTCTTCAGACTTGAAGTACACATATCACTGCTATTCACAGCACATCGACCAAAACTGTTGAATGGCCCCGACCAACTGTGGGAGGGGCTAGGAAATGTGAGAAGTGTGTTGGCAGCCAGTGAGCCATAAATGTCTCTGATACAGTGAGTATCCACCATATTTTATCTACATACTGTCCAAGTGGTGGACATACAACCCCCAGCTGACACAAACAATGCTGCAGTGAGTATCTTTGGCCTAGAATCTCATGAACCTAAGTGAGAATCTTTTTGGAAAGTTGTAGTAGGTTAAATGGTTCTCAGAAAGATAGGTTCACATCCCAACCCCTAGAACCTGTGAATGTGACCTTACTGGGAGAAAGCATCTTTGAAAATGTAATTAAGGATCTTGAAAAGAGATCACCCTGGGTTATCCAGGTAGGTCCCAAATCTAATGACAAATGTCCTTCTAAGAGACAGAAGAGAAAACGAAAAAAGAAGGCAGAGGCAGAAAGTGGAGTGGTGCAGTCATAGTCAAGGAGCACCTTGAGCTGCCAGAAGCCAGAAGAGATAAGGAATAATTCTCCCATAGGGCCTTCAGAGGGAATGCAAATTTTATTTCAGATTTCTGGCCTCCAGAACTGTGAGAGAATGAATTTCTATTTTTTAAGACACCAATTTTGTGGCACTTTATTAAGGTAGCCCTAGGAAATGAATACATAGTTTGGTGACTAGAAATGAGGTGCTACTGTAACAAATACCTAAAACTGTGGAAGTGACTGTGGAATTAGGTAATGTGCAATTACCCAAAGCTGGAAGAATTTTGAGGCAGAGGATAGAAAACTTCTGGATTCTGGTAAGGGCTCAGAAGGAAGTAGGGTACATGGTAGACAAAGCTTCTATTGTCTAAGAGAATACAAATATTGCTGTAAACAGAATGTTGCTAGAAGGAAATGAAGAATGTGTTACTGAAAGCTGAAGGAAAGGTCATCTTTTATATACGGGCAGAAAAGTTGGCTGAATCATGTTTTCTTTGTTGTATGGAAAGCCTAATTTGTAAGCAATAGCTTGAATATTTCTGAGTAGAAATAAAAGCAGACTTCCGAGAAAAGTATTAAAGATGCAGGCTGGTTTTTCCTTGCTGCCTATAGTCAAATAAATACAAGCAAAAAGATAAGATAAGAAAGGAACTGTTAGATAAAAATGAACAAGCACTTTTATTTTGGAAGTTATCAGTCTACCCAGATTGCAAAGGATGCTAAAGTTAGGAAATTCTGTTAGGAAGCGTGTTCTAGAGAGAAGATCAAGGATGTGGCTGGACAACCTTTTGCTGAAGAGATAAAGCATGACTCATGGATACACTCAACCACCTCACCAGAAGCCAAAAATAGAAATGAGTTACTCATGGGAAATCTGTGGAGAACCCTTTTGTCTAATGGCATGAATCCCTGGACCCCCACAGGAGAACCACAAGGGTTTTGAGAATGTTGTATCTGCAGACTGCCAGCTTGAACTTTTAAAAGGATAGAAGCAGGATGAAATGTGAGAACACTATCAGACTTCCAAACTTCTACAGACAGAAAGTGGGCCAGTAGAGCTAGTCAGCTGTAAATATTTGCTACCATTTAAGAAAATGAAAGAATGATCCTGAGGCCACTGTAGGTCCAAAGGATAGACCACTGTGGACTCAGAGGATAGGGCTACCACAAACCCAAAAGGCAGAACGGCCATGGGCCCCAAGGGTGTGTTGAGTGACAGAGGATTATTCTCAAGGCTTGAGACCTAATGAAATTTGCCCTGCTCAGTTTTGACTCCTTTGGGATTGGTGACCTCTTTATTCCTTCCATTTAATATTTTTTGGAATGGAAATGTCTATCCTATGCCTAGCCCACCTTTGTATTTTAGATACTTGTATTTAGATAACTTGTTTCCTAGTTTCATAGGTCCAGAGATGGAGAGGAATTTTGCCCAGGATAGACCATACAGATTTCAGCAACACCTGATTTAGATGATGCAATTTGTAACTTTTTGAGTTGGTGATGTTTAGATTAGATTTGGAACTTAAAGTTGATGCTGGAATGGGTTAAAACTTTTGGAAATGTTGGCCTGGGGCCATGCTGCTGCTGTGCCCTGCCTTCTGTGGCCCAAGCCACCACTGCACTTCATCCTCTCACCAGAGCCCATGCCACTGGGGAACACCCCAGAGTTTTCTGGGGCCCATCTCTGCTGCTGCTCTGAATACTCATACCCCAGAACCCAGTGCTGCTGCAACTGCCTGCAGGCCATACCAGACCTGGCACCAAGAAGGATCCCCTCGGTTAGGACTTCTTTCCCTAGAGGAAAAAGAGCTAACAGGGAGATCCCAGAAGTCTTTGCCGCCAAGGATCCCAACAGCCTTTGCTGCTGCTGCCATAACTTCAGATATCTGTAGCCTTGGCTGTCTAGGACTCCTAGAGTTGTCCCCAGTGCTGACCTCAATGATAGAGCTGCATGAAGAGTACACCACAGCACACTCTCTGAAACCAGAGCTGCTGTACCCCACCCAACTGGCGTTCCCACACCTTCCTGGAGGTGAAAGTATTTCCCCCACTGAGGCTAATCTGTAATGTCTGGAATAGGTGACTGCTCCCTCAAGTGTGCAGATATCAATGCAAAGCCACAGGAAATACAAAAAGTCAAGGAAACATGACACTACCAAAGGAGCACAATAATTTTCTTATAACTGACCCCAAATAAATGGAGGTCTATGAATTGCTTGAAAATGAATTCAAAATAATTATTTTAAAAAAGGTCAGTGGGATACAAGAGAACACAGGTAGATAACTCCACAAAATCAGGAACATAATGTGTGAACAAAACTAGAAATTCAACAAAGAGATAGAAATCATGAAAAGAACCAAAAAGAAATCTTGGAGCTAAAGAATACAATGAATGAAATGAAAAATGCAGTAGAGGACTTCAACAGCAAAGTCAATCAAGCTGAAGAAAGAATCTGTGAACTTAAAGACAAGCCTTTTGAAATTATCTAGTTGGTGGAGAAAAAAGAAAGAAAAAGTAAAAAAAAAAAAAAAAGCTATGGGACTTATAAGACACCATTAAGTGCCACAATATTTGCATTACAGGGGCCTCAGAAATAGAAGAGAGAGAAAAGGGAAGAAAGCTTATTTAAGAAATAAGGCTGAAAACTTATTAAACCTTGGGAGATACAGACATTCAGATTAATGAAGCTCAAAAGTTCCCATTCTCAACCCAAGTAAGTCATGACAGAGACATATATATATATAATCAAATTGTCAGAAGTCAAAAAAAAAAAAAGAAATTCAAAAGCAGCAAGACAAAAGTGACATATCAGACACAAGAGAATCTTCATAAGGCTGTCAGCAGATTTCTCAGCAGAAACTTTACAGACTAAGAAAGAATGGGATAATATATTCAAAAGGCTGAAAGAAAAAACTGTCAATCAACAATACTTTCTCCAGAAAAGCTGACCTTCAGAAATGAAGGAGAGATAAAGACTTTCCCAGATAAACAAAAGCTGAGGGAGTTTATCACCACTAGACCTGTCTTACAAGAAATGCTAAATGGAGTTCTTCAAGCTGCAATAAAAGGACACAGTTACTAAGATGAAAATATATGAAAGCATAAAATTTGCATGTAAAGGTAAATATTATAGTATAATATTATACTATAATATTTACAGTATTTATAGTATTATAGTATAATATTTGATATTTTATGTTTGATAAATATAGCAAATTCATGATATTCTCATATGTAATGGTATGTAAGTCACTTTTAACTCTATAAAGGTTAAAAGATAAAAGTACTAAAAGTATAACTACACTATTTCATTAGTGGATACATAATATAAAAGATGTAAATTGTGACTAAAAAAAACCCATAAAATGCGGGGTCAGAGAGAGGCAAAAGTATAGTATTTGTATGCAACTGAAGTGAAGCTGTTATCAGCTTAAAACAGACTGCTATAAGATGTTTTATGTATGCCTCATGGTAACCATGAAGCAAAAATCTATAGTGTATACAAAATGATGAAGAGAACAGAATCAAACATACCACAGCAAAAAAAAAAAAAAAAAAAAAAAAAAAAAAAAAAAAAAAAAAAACCCCACAAAGGAAGACTGCAAGAGAGGACAAAACGTACAAGAAAACTACTGCATAGTCAGAAACAATTAACAAAATGGCAGGCTGGCACAGTGGCTCATGTCTATAATCCCAGCACTTTGGATGGCTGAGGCAGGAGGATCACTTGAGGCCAGGAGTTCGAGACTACCCTGAGCAACATAGCAAGACTCTGTCTCTACAAAAAATTTTAAAGAATTAGCTAGGCATGGGAGTACACACCTGTAGCCCTTGCTACTCTGGAGGCTGAGGTGGGAGGATCACTTGAGCCCAGGAGTTTCAGGAGTTCAAGGTTACAGTGAGCTATGATAGTGTGATTGTGCCACTGCACTTCAGCCTCAGTGACAGAGCAAGACTCTGTCTTTAAAAAATAAAATAAAATAAAACAATAAGTCTTTACTATCAAAAGTGACTTTAAATGGATTAAATTCTCCCATTAAAAAATAGAATGGTTGAATGAATTAAAAAGAAGACAATTATATGCTTCCTATGAGAGATTCACTTTAGCTTCGAGGATACACATAGGCTGAAAGCAGAGGGTGGAAAGAGATATTTCGTGAAAATGGTAACCAGAAGAGAGCAGGAGTGGTTATACTTATAACAGAAAAAATAGACTTTAAGTAAAAAACTGTTACAATAAAAGAAAGAAGATAATTGTTTAATGATAAAAGAATCACTTCATCAAGAAGATATAGCAATAGTAAAGATTTATTCACCCAACATTGGAGCAACTAAATATATAAAACAAACATTAACAGAACTGATAATATTAACATAAACTGATAATACCAATACACTGTCATTAGTACAACATTAACTGGTAATATTGGTATAAATCAAATATTAACAGAACTGGTAAGGAGAAATAGTACAATAATAGTAGAGGACTTTAATACCCAACTGTCAACAATGGATAGATTGTCCAGATGGAAAATCAATACGGAAACATTAGGTTTAAACAATCCTATAAACCAAATGGAATCAACAGACATATACAGCACATTCCATCCAACAGTAGCAGAATATACATTCTTCTCAAGTGTGCATGGAACATTCTCCAGGGTGGATCATATATTATGTCATAAAACAAGTCTTAATAAATTCAAGAATATTGAAATCATATCAAGTATCCTTTCCAACCATGATGGTATAAAACTAGAAGTAAATAATAGGAAAACTGGAAAACTCACAAATATGTGGAAATTAAACAATATACTTTTGAGCAATCAATGGGTCAAAAGAGAAACCAAAGGGAAATTAAAAACATTGAGACAAATTAAAATGGAAACTCAACATACCTAAACTTATTGGATGCTGCAAAAGTAGTTCTGAGGAAGACGCTTGTAACAATAAACACCTATTTTAGGAAAGAGAAAGATCTCAGAAAACAACCTAACTCTATACCTCAAGGAACTAGAAAAAGAGCAAACTAAGCTCACAGTTAGCAGAAGGAAGGAAATAACAAAGATCAGAGCAAAAAATAAATAAAATAGAGATTAGAAGAATAATAGGAAAGATCAACAAAACTAAAGTTTTTTAAAAGACAAGATCGACAAACCTACACTGACAAAAATTGACAAAATTGACAAACTAAACAATTTTAGTTTGGCAGCCAAAATAGACAAAGTTAGACTGAGAAAAAAAGAGAGAATACTCAAATGAAATCAGAAATAAAAGAGGAGACATTACAACTGATCCCACATATATGCAAAGAATCATAAGAGAATAGGATGAATAGCCAACAAATTGGGTAACCTGAAAGAAATGAATAAATCCTTAGAAACTACATCCTACCAATACTAAATCATGAATAAACAGAAAATCTGAGCAGACCAATAATGGGTAATGAGATTGAACCAATAACAAAAATCTCCCAACAATGAAAAGCCTAGAAACAAATGGATTCATGGGTGAATTCTGTCAAACATTTAAAGCAGAATTAGTATGAATTCTTCTCAACCTTTTCTAAAATACTGAAGAAGAGGGAACGCTTCCAAATTCCTTTTATGAGGCCAGTGTTACCCTGATATCAAAGCTAGACAAGGACACTAAAAGAAAAAAAACCATATACCAGTATTCCTGATAAACATAGATGCAAAAATCCTAAATAAAATACTACCAAATGGGATTCAACAGCACATTAAAAAGATCATTCACCCCAAACAAGTGGATTTATCCTTGGGATGCAAGGATGGTTCAGCTTATGCAAATCAGTAAATGTGATACACCACATTTAAGAATGAGGGATAAAAATTATATGATCATCTCAATAGATACAGAAGAAGTATTCTATAAAATCACCCTCATTTCATGATAAAAATTCTCATCAAAAAGGGTATAAAAGGAAAGTACCTCAATGTAATAAAGGCCATATAGGACAACCCCACAGCTACTATCATACTCAATGGTGAAAAGTTGAAAGCTTTTCTTCCAAAATCAGAAGCAAGACAAGGATGCCCATTCTTGTCATTTCTATTCAACATAGTGCTAGAAGTTCTAGCCATAGTAATTAGGCAAGAAAAAGAGATAAAAATATCCAAACCAGGAAAGAAATTAAATAGTTTCTGTTTGTAGATAACATGATCTTGTACATAGAAAACCCTAAAGATTCCACCAAAAATCTGGTAGAACTAATAAAAGAATTTAGTAAAGATGCAGGATACAAATTTAACGTATAAAAATCACTTGTGCCTCTGACACTAGCAATAGAATATATGGAAAATTAATAATTTATTAAGAAATTAGGAAAACAATTGCATTTATTGTAGAATCAAAAAGAAGAAAATACCTAGGAATGAATTTAAGTAGGTGAAAGATCTGTGCACTGAAAATTATAAAACATTAATGAAAGAAATTAAGGAAGACTGAAATAAATAAAAAGATATCCCGGGTTCATGGATTAGAAGAAATAGTGTTTGTTAAAGTGTCTATACTACTCAAAGCAATCTTCACATTCAATGCAATCCGTATAAAAATTACAGTGACATATTTTACAGAAATAGAAAAAGAAATTTTAATTTGTATGGCACCACAAAACCCTGAATAGCCAAAGGAATCCTGAGAAATAAGAACAAAGCTAGAGGAATCACACTATCTGATTTCAAATTCTCTTATAAAACTATAGTAATCAAAACAGTATGGTACTGGCATAAAAACAGTCACAGACCGGTGGAACAGAACAGAGAGCCCAGAAATAAACTCAAGGAAATATGGTCAACTAATCTTGTACAAAGTATCCAAGAAGACACAATGGGGGAAAGCATAGTCTCTTTTATAAGTGGTATTAGGAAAATGGAATAGCCATATGCAAAAGAATGAAATTGGGCCCTTTTATCATACAAAGAAACAAACTAAAAATGGATTAAACACAAGCCTGAAACCAAAAATTCTAGAAGAAAACATACGGGAAAAGCACCTTGACATTGGTCTTCATAATGATTTAGTAAATATAACACCAAAAACATGTCAACAAAAGCAAAAGTAAACAAGGGGAGCTACATCAAACTAAAAATATTTTGTGCCACAAAAGAAACAACAAAATTAAAAGGCAACCTATGGGATGGAAGAAAATATTTGCAAACTATATATTTGATGAAAAGTTAATGACCAAAATATATAAGGAAGTCATATAACCTCAACCTCAATAGCAGAAAACAAAATAAAACAAAACAAAAAACAATTTAAAAATGGGCAAAAGACCTGAATGTCTATTTTTTCAAAGACAACATACAAATGACAAACAGGTACATGGAAAAGTGCTCAACATCACAAATCATCAGGGAAATGCAAATCAAAATCACAATGAGATATCACTTCATGCCTGTTAGGATTGCTATTTTCAAAATAGGAATCCTATTTTGAAAAATAGTAAAAGATAGTAAGTGTTGGTGAGGATTTGGAGAAAAGGGAACTCCTGTACACTGTTGGTGAGATTACAAATTTGTGCAGCCATTATGGAAAGCAGTTTGGAGGTTTCTCAAAAAATTATGACCCATCAATCCCTTTTCTCAATATGTACCCAAAAGAAATAAAATCAGTATTTCAAAGAGATATCTGCACTCCCATGTTCATTGAAACATCATTCACCATAGACAAGATATGGAAACATCATAAGTGTCCTTTAACAGATAAATGGATAAAGAAAATGTGATTTATATACTTATTATATTTATAATGAAATATTATTCAATGTTTAAAAAAAGAAGGAAATCTTATTATTTGTGACAACACGGATGAACGTGAGGACATTATGCTAAATGAAATAAGCTAGACACGGAAAGATACGTACTGAATCATCTCACTTATGTGTAGAATCTAAGCAAGTTGAACTCATAGAAACTGAGAGTAAAACGGTGGTTGCCGGTAGTTGGGTGGAGGGGGAGAATGGGGGATTTTGGTCAAAGGGTAGAAACTTTCAGTTATAAAATGAATAAGTTCTGGAGATGTACTGTACAGCATGGTGACTATAGTTAACAATAAGGTATTGTATGCTTGAAATATGCTAAGAGTAGATCTTAAGCGTTCTCATCACCAAACCCAAAAAGCGGCAATAGCAACAAAAAAACCAGGTAACTATGTGAGGTAGCTATGTTAATTAGTGTGATTGTGGTAATCACTTCATAATGTTTATATATAACAAAATGTCATGTTTACAACTTAAATTTATAAAATATTTATTTGTCAATTGTACTTCAACAAAACTGGAGGGGGAAAAAGTGAGACCTAAATAAAAGTTAGGGAGAAGGCATTTTAGATAGGGGGACTGGCTCAAGCAGAAGAACCAAGACAGGAGATAGTATGGCACATTTACAAGCAGGAAACCTATAGCTGGCATAGCGGTGACACTCAAGTGAACAATGGAAGATGAATTTGTAGGAATGAAAATATTAGACTAAGAATTTTGAACTATTTTCTCTAGACAACAAGAAGCTATAGAAGATTTTTAAAGGGGTGGAAACTTGTGGCATTTGAGGAAAATTAATCTGTCAGTAGTATAATATGTAAATACATAAGCTATGGGAAACGTCGGGAGAATAGATAATGTATCTGTCTTATCCATCATTGTCTCCAAAGCACCTAATTCAGTGCCTGGCATGAGGTCCGAGTCAAAGGAGATAATTTGTGAAACAATAAATGAAAGAAGTATTGGCAAAGTTCAGTTAGAAGGCTATTGCACAAAACACCCAGTGTTACGAGCTGAGGCTAGGGTAGTAAAGAAAAGGAATGGCTACATGCGGGAAACTTCACATAGGAGAATCTGTTGTGTATAGTGACTAATCACATATCCAGGGAGAGGGAGAAAGTGAAGTCCAGCATGACGTGAGTGCTTGGGAGGGAAAGGTCCAGAAGAGGAGTTGTTTGGATAAAATGATAATGAATTTGGCATTATTCATACATTTATTCATTCACTCATTTATTTATTTTATTCAGTCAAATGACAGCATTTTAGGCAGAGGGAAAACATAAAGGAAGTAAAGCAGGAAAGAGCTTAGTTACTTCAAGGCATTGAAAATATGACAGTGAAGTGGAGCTTGGTGTGCAAGGAGGAGAGTGTTGCCGCATGAGATGATAGAGTATGTAGGTGCTGAGCTGTAGGGAGTGGGAAACAGAGGCCTAGAACTCTGGTGAGACGTTAGATTGGGAGATACTTAATTACTAGTGGAGATTCTAGACAATTTCTCAATGGCCTTCAGAGATTGCTTGGCTCTGTGGGAAACCTGGTGAAATGCTTTTCAGATACCCATGTCTAAAGTTAATTTAGCATATTGTTCCAGGACAATGAAGCAGAGACTGCTGTGTAGGTGGCAGTTTGATAATCCCTCGCTGTAGTGACCTGGTCATAGGCCTTAAACACCGTAATTTTTTTTTTTTTTTTTTTTTGAGACGGAGTCTCGCTCTGTCGCCCAGGCTGGAGTGCAGTGGCGCGATCTTGGCTCACTGCAAGTTCCGCCTCCCGGGTTCACGCCATTCCCCTGCCTCAGCCTCCCAAGTAGCTGGGACTACAGGCGCCCGCCACCATGCCCAGCTAATATATATATATTTTGTATTTTTAGTAGAGATGGGGTTTCACTGTGTTAGCCAGGATGGTCTCGATGTCCTGACCTCGTGATCTGCCCGCGTCGGCCTCCCAAAGTGCTGGGATTACAGGCATGAGCCACCGCACCTGGCCCAAACACCATAATTTTATATTTATGTATCAAAATATTAAAACCAACCATCTTTTATACATAGGGGAGGCCATATGGTATTATGGTTGTAAACTCTAAAGTCAGACTGCCTGAGTTTAAATCCTTGCCCTGCTACTTCCTACTTGTGTGATCTTGGGAAAGTTTCTTAACCTCTCTGTGTCTCATACTCTTCATTTCGAAAATGGTGGTAATCGTAGTGCCTCCTTAATGGGTTTATATGGAGTATTGGATGAAATGGTTTATATCGAGTGTTAAGATCAGTGTCTGGTATATAAAAATGTTTAATAAATATTAGTACTGTTATGATTAGTGAAACCACTTACAAAACATAAGTTGGAGTATGTTTAAAAATAAAAAATAAAATAAATAACGCAATTTAAAAATGGGTAAGGGAACTGAATAAGCATTTCTCAAAAGATATACAAATGGCCAACAGATATAAGAAAAAATGCTCAACATTGCTAATCATTAGGGAAATGCAAATTAAATCCACAATGAAATATCACTTAACACCTGTCAGAATGGCTGTTATCAAAAAGATGAAAGATAAGTCTTGGCAAGGATGTGGAGAAAAGGGAATCCTTATAAACTGTTGATAGAAATGTGAATTAGTCCAACCATTATGGAAAACTGTATGGAGGTTCCTCAAAAAAATAAAAATAGAATTACCATATGATCCAGTAATTTCATTTCTGGGCATTTACCCAAGAGATTTGAAATTATCTTGTACTCCCATGTTCACTGCAGCACCATATGCAATAGTCAAGTTATGAATCAACCTATGTGTCCATCAACAGACAAACGGATAAAGAAAATATGGAATTGAATACTACTCAGCCTTTAAAAACTGGGTGCAGTGGCTCACGTCTGTAATCCCAACACTTTGAGAGGTCAAGGTGGGAGGATCTCTTGAGGCCAGGAGTTTGAGACCAGCCTGGGCAACATAGCAAGGCACCATCTCTACAAAATTTTTCTCTAAAAATTAGACATGGTGGGGCACACATGTAGTCCCAGCTACTTGGGAGGCTGAGGCGGGAGGCCCCCTTGAGCCCAGGAGTTTGACGCTGCAGTGAGCTATGATTGCATCACTCCAGCCTGGGTGACAGAGCGAGACCCTGTCTCAAGAAATGAAAAACAGGCAATAGTGTTGGCTCACACCTGTAATTCAGCACTTCAGCAGACTGAGGCAGGCTGATCACTTGAGGCCAGGAGATTGAGATCAGCCTGGCCAACATGGCAAAACCCCGTCTGTACTAAAAATAGAAAAATTAGCCTGGCATGGTGGCACACACTTGTAATTCCAGCACTTTGGGAGGTCAAGGTGGGCAGATCACTTGAGGCCAGGAGTTTGAGACCAGCCTGGTCAACATGGTGAAACCCTGTCTGTACTAAAAATACAAAAATTAGCTTGGTGTGCCATTGCTTGGACTCAGGAGGTGGAGGTTGCAGTGACTGTGCCACTGCACTGAAGCCTGGGTGACAGAGTGAGACTCTATCTCAAAAAAAAAAAAAAAAAAAAAAAAAAAACCATGAAATTCTGTCATTTGCAACAACATAGATGGAATTGGACAACATG
Organism: Homo sapiens; assembly: GCF_000001405.40. Classification (NCBI taxonomy): domain Eukaryota; kingdom Metazoa; phylum Chordata; class Mammalia; order Primates; family Hominidae; genus Homo; species Homo sapiens. The sequence continues at coordinate 22,637,087 of NC_000007.14, read as the reverse complement.
CTGAATAAAATGAGCCAGGCACAGAAAGACAATTACCTCATATTCTCACATATATGTGGATTCTAAAACACTCGAATTCATAGAGCAAAGGGTAGAGTGGTGGTTACCGAGGCTGAGCGGGGGCAGGAAATGGAGACATGATGGCCAAAGGGCATGAAGTCTCCGTTAGACAGGAGGAATAAGTGTTTTTTCATTGAGCTTTATTGCATAGTGTGGTGAATATATTTAATAATAGTGTACTGCGTATTTCAAAATGGCTAAGGGAATAAATTTCAAATGTTCTGACCACAAAAAATGATAAAAGTATTTGATATGAATCAAAGTATTTGAGGTAATGAATATGTTAATTAGCCTGATTTAATTATTTCATATTGTATTCATAAATCATAGCATCACTTTGTACTCCATATAGTTATAAATTATTAATTTACAATAAAATTTAAAAAATAAACTTAAAAAAGGAACCAATACAGATATTCACTCAACAAAGGTCATAGTTATGAATAGATTTTGTTAAACTAAGTATCTGCCAGATTGGTCTCCACATTGATTGTACCAGTTTATAGTCCCACCAACAGTGCACATAAGTGCCAACATTTCTGCCAACACTTCCTATTACACAGCTTTCTAATTTTCTACTAGTCTAACAAGTATAAATCAAAATCTCACCATTTCTTTAATTTTCCATTTTACTGATTATCTTTTACTTTGAGTATTTAATGGTATACTTGATAGTTTTTTTGGTTTTCTTTTTTGGAAATTGTCCATTTATAGCCTTTGCTGATTTTCCTGTTGGGACTGCTTTCTTTTTTTGACCTTCAGGAATTCCATGTATATTCATTCTAGTTGCCATCTCTCATTGGTTTTAGACATTACAAATATCTTTCTCTATTTTTTTAATTTTTTTTTTTTTTTGAGACGTAGTCTTGCTTCGTCGCCCAGGCTGGGGTGCAGTGGCACGATCTTGGCTCACTGCAACCTCTGCTTCCTGGGTTCAAGTGATTCTCCTGCCTTGGTCTCCCAAGTAGCTGGGACTACAGGTGTGCACCACCACGCCCAGCTAATTTTTGTATTTTTTGTAGAGATGGGGTTTCACCATATTGGTCGGGCTGGTCTCAAACTCCTGACCTCCGGTGACCACCCACCTTGGCCTCCCAAAGTGCTGGGATTACAGGAGTGAGCCACTGTGCCCGGCCTTCTTTCTCTATTTTTCAGCTGTCCTTTAATCTTGTTGATAGGTCCTTAATTGAAAAGAAGTCCTTAATTTATTTCTTTGATTGCCCTCATCCATGTCAAATTATACTAACACCTTTTACTGTCTTTGTTGGAATTTACTAAATGATATGACAATGTCATGTTAGATGCCTTGTTCTTGTTTCACTTACCCTTCAGCTGTTGTACATTACTTTTTTCTGAACCCAGTAAACTGTGCAATCTTGGATTTAGTAAAAGTCAGGAAATGGCAGGCCTTATTCAATAACAGAAAACACTGCAACTAATCAGGAACATTTGGTACTCCAGCACATTTCCTTGCAGTCAGGCTGCTCACATGTGGATTTGATGTCCTGTGGTTGGGCCAGAAGTTACAGCCTCCTCTCAAGGGCCCCTTAGGGTACCTGCTGAGACACATCAGGGCAAGCAGCAAACAGCTCTTTGGCCATTAGTGCAAGTGACAGCAGGTGTGAACAGAACAAGCAACAGCTGGACAGGAGCTCAGGGGTCATGCAGTTCGACCCCCATTTTACAGATGCAGGAAGTGGGGCCAAGGGAAATAAATGAGCTTGTCCTAGTCACACAGCTGTCAGTGAATTGCTAGGACTAGAACCCAGATCTCTTGACTCCCAATTAGCGTGTTTTCAGTTTTTCTGCCTTCCCCAAGAGGATGTCAGAAATCATTTTTTGAAGGGCTCTCAATCGGATCTTGGACTTAATCCAGGAGGTCAGCAGCCTCCAGAATTTGGACCCATTTAACCTCTCCAACCTTATCTTTGGCCATTCTGAGTTAGTACCTGCCTCATTCCTCTAAAGCTCCATGCTCTACTCTTACCTTTAGGCCGTTACATATGCTGTAGTCATGCATGATCATGCCAGGCATCCCCTTCCTTCTTCTCCCTGCTGATCTCACCCTTCAAGTGCTCATCTTTGGAGATGTAGTACTACCTCTTTCATGCCACTACTAACTAGCATTAGTCTCTCCCTTCTTTAGGTTTTCATAGCATCTGTGGTCTACACAAATGCAATTTAGGCTTGATTATATGCTACCTTTGTTTTCTGGAATATTTCTGTTGTACAACTGAGCAAATCACTTAATGTCTCTGTGCCTCACTCGATGTATTCACTAATAAAAAAGGAAGATTCATAAATCATCTCTAAAGATGCTTCCGTATAACAATCTATGTCTCCATAAGATTTTACACTCCTCAAGGAAAGGGACTCTTTTTTCTATTTCTGTTGAAATTCCCTTAGTCTACTTGTTCTCAGCTGGGGACAAATCTGCTCCTTAGGGACATTTAACAATGTTTGGAGATATTTCTTGGTTGTCACAGCTGGGGAGGGAGGTGCTTCTGAAATCTAGTGAATAGAGGCCAGGGACGATGCTAAACATTCTACAATGCACAGGACGGCCCTCTACGAAAAGGGGGTTTTCCTGCTCAAACTGTCAATAATGGCAAACTTGAGAGATTCTGCCTTAGTCTCTAAGCCAACACCATGAACATATAGTAGACACTGAACAAATACTTTTGTCTTTCATTCAAAGAGGATTATCCTCATAGAAGGAATGCTGTCAGATATGGAGCTGTCAGGGGAATGAAGAAAAGCAAGTGAGCACTCTTGCAAAACAAAATGCTAAGCCAGAGAAGAGAATCTAATTTTCCTTAGTCAAGAGGCAGAGTAGGGAGTACTGTAAAGAAGAAAATGTTGGATGGATGAAAGCTGAGAGCTGAGAAGTTATTTACTTTGTAGGAGGTGTTGACTTAAATAGCTCATCTTTTAGATATCTCTAGGGGAATAGCTTGTGATTGTGGTAAACAGTGGTAATAACATTGGAATACGTGAAGGAAAGTTCTGGGAACTATAATTTATGTTGTCAAGAAGACTTGTGTTTATAAGATCCTTATTCTTACCTTCATTTGAAATAAAGTCTGGGTGATGAAAAGTGTCTTTAATTTACAAATGAGGCAAGGAAATTGGTTCAAAGGGCTCTGAACACTGACCCCCCCAAAAAGACTCTTTTTTCCGTTCCCTATTCAGGATTTTTGGGGATGGGGATGATGGATGACTAATTGCTTTCAGTGACTCCTCCCAGCCTCTGCCTTGGCTGTGCTTCCAATGTTCTTCCTCATCATGCCATGTCTGCCTTTCTCCTTAGGTTATAACATGCAAGGAAACCAATTAATTACTTCTTTGTCCCCCATCCCCTCTCCTCTTCATCATTTAATAAATATAATAGGAAATATCCTGGGCATAAAAAATAGAAAGCTCCTGAAAATGTTAGGATTGGAGGGAAAATCCATGACCTACAAATTCTCTTGAGATGGATATCATTATTCTCAACCTCTCGGAACACTTGGCAGGAGATTCCATTATTAGTTCTCCTTGCTACCAGAGGTATTTGGCAAGGTTTTTGTTTAGATTTCTTTTGGGGAAGACATGCTTAAATTAAACATTGAAATTCATGAGAATATTTCAGTTCCTTGTAAACTTTTCTAATCACACTTCAAGTGAGGTATTATTTGTGGCTTCTCAATGAGGAAAAGTTCTCCTGAGGGGAACTTCCAACAGTTCATTTCAGCAGGTCTCTGAGTTGATGGTCAAATGCAGTGCATCATATAACAGGCTGAAATAGGTATATAAGCAGTACTCAAAACCACTTTTAATGGCTTAGATTCTTCTCTGTTGCATAGGATTATAGATTGGATCATAGAAAAATGAGTTCTCAGCCAGTGATACCTGGATTCCTTTTTCAGTGTTTCCAGTAACAGAAAAGTAAAAGAATTGAAGCACCTCTTTTTTTTTTTTTTTTAACTTTCCTGTAAAGGTTTTTTGGGAAAACATTCTGGGGCAAGGACTGAGTGACTGTGGTATAACCAGTGTACAGACCTATGTATAATAGAAATTTGATGAATAAGTGTGGCTCATTTGCTGCCACTGTATTTTTTGGCAGATGAATGCATGATATCTCTTGGTAAAATGGCCCAGAAGAAACACAGGAAGGAGTTATGAAAAGATAACACCCGTAAGTGTGACTACACATTTTGTGATCCAGTCATCATTTCTGTAAGTCTGGAATTTTGTTTTTGCACGCTTCTTTAAGGTTGCCTTTTCCACCTTCCATCCTGTTTCCTTAAAAACAGCAAATAACAATCTACAAGGAACTGAGTGTAAGAAAGTTGAATTACTACTATAAAACCTCTCTGTTGGTGGGCCCCTGCTTGGGATTTTTTTTCTTCTTCCCCCTTTTGTGATCACTTAAAAATACAATCCCAAAAGAGTTAAGGCAGCTCTTTGTTTGGTCTCTGGTTTTGCTTTCATAGGTCTTTTATCTCTGTGTGGCTGGGTGCAACTGAGGCTGGTTTTACAAGAAGCTACCAATAAATCTCAGAATGGGAAGAGATGAGTAAACTCTTACTCTGAAGGCAGAGTTTGTATAAGGGAAGAAAGGGAGATCCCTTTTACATTTTATGAGAATGCATTATTTAGCGAGGCTCTATTTGATAGTTCTCCTGATTCCTTATGTGGGAAGGTATGGCTCAGTCCCTAGCTACTTCTTATACTCCTTAGGAAAATGGGTTTGCTCAGTCATTGATTTTTGAGCATTTCACTTTAATTCTGTTATTTTCTTGAATATAGAAGGTAAAACCTTTTGCAAATAACTTGAAGAAGAATGTGGTAGGCAGAATTCTAAGAGGGCCCCAAGATTCTGGACCCTCCTCCATGTACACATCTCCTGCATAATGGATATGATGCAGGACCATGAGTGTAATGGAGTTTACTCCTGTGATTAGGTCATGTATATGGCACAGTTTACTTACGAAAGGGGGATGATCTGGTGGCCTGACTGAATAACATAAGCCCTTTAAAATCAGAGAGTTTTCTCCAGCTGGTGGCTGACAAGAAAGGCAGAAATTTGACACAGGAGAATTTGACATATTTTTATTGGCTTAAGAAGAGAAAGGGCCACGTGGTAAGGAATGTAGATGACCTCTAAGGGCTGAAAGTTGTTCCCAGCTGGCAGAGTTCAGTCCTACAACTGTTAAGGAAATGAATTCTGCCAACAGCCAGAGAGCATGGAAAAGGACCCCAAACCCTAGAGGAGAATGCAGCCCCACCTTGATTTCAGTCAGGGAAGATCCTGAGGAGGGAATTCAGCTACACTATATCTAGACTTCTGAGCTATGAAAATTATGAGATAATAAATTTGTGTTTTAAGTCACTAAGTTTGTGGTAATTTGTGACACAGTGATGGAAAACCAATATGAAGCAGGAGAAAGCTTTTGGGAGAAGAAAGCTATGTAAAACCAATATTCTCATGTTTGGTTCTAAAACAAAGTCATTGTGATGGTCAATTTTGTGTGTCAACTTGGCTAGGCTATGGTGCCCAGTCATTTGGTCAAACCCTAGTCTAGATATTGCTATGAAGGTATTTTGTAGATGTCATCAACATCTACAATCAATTCACTTTAAGCAAGGGTGATTACCTTCCACAATGTGGGTGGGCTTCACCAATGAGTGCTGGTTTTAAGAGCCAAAACTGAAGTTTCCCAGAGAAGAAGGAATTCTGAGAGACTGTAACATCAAAATCCTGCTTGATTTACCAGCATGCCAGCCTGCCCTGTGGATTTTGGACATGCCAGCCCCCACAATCCTGTGAGCCAATTCCTTAAAACAAATGCTTTCATGGATAGCCTGTTGGTCCAGTTTTTGTGGAGAACCTGGACTGATACAGTTATAAACTCATTTTCCCTTGGGGACTACACAAATGGATGAGGTGTGTTGACAGTTGATTTGACACAATAAGGAATAGCACTTGACACTCAGCTACAACATGGTGCCCTCTCAAAGGCAGCAGCTCATACACTGGGCCACAAATTGTAACCAGCCAGGAATACACACCAGGCACTGCCAGGTCTTTTGATTTTTTTTTTAAGTTTTTAAAGCCAGAAATCCAGAATTTTACTCAAAATTGCCTGAATTCTAAATGTAGGCTATTTATTTAAAAACATATATATTTTTAAAGCATCATATGTACCACAAGGAAACAATCAGACATGTTCAGAATATGAGCTGTCTTATAAGACACACTACCCTGGTCTCTTCAATAAGTCAAAGTCATTAAAAAAAAACAAGAACAACAAGAAACAGACCAGGGCTGGGAGACTGTTGTAGATTAGAAAGATTAAAAGAAACTAAGGTGTGAAGTGTTGAAGTGTGATAATGTCTGTAATTTATTTCAGAATTCCTTTCTCTCCCTTACTCTTTCTCTCTCCACAAAAACACACACAGTAAGATATTAACAATGATTGAATCTAGATACCAGGTACGTGTGTGTTTATTGTACTATTTCTTGTATTTTTTTGTATGTTTGAAGCATTTTATAAGTAATTTTTTAAGCCACTTAGCAGAGTAGACCACACATATATGCCAGAGGATTCCAGTTTACAATTGTTAGCAAGCTTTACCACATTCTGTGTGGCGAAACAAGGGAATTTCTGGAAGAACCAGTCAAGGAGAACAGGAGGCTTGACCAGTAGCACCCTGCGCACTTGGGCTGGGGAGCAGCTTCTGTGGACTCCACACAGAGCTGAGCCTGGGACACCAGGATCGGGTCACCTAGAGGCCTGTGTGACTTCAGCCGCAGGAGGGATGAACATGTGATGGCAGGAGCAGCAGAGATGTGTTGCCCTTGATTCCCGCACTCTGGGGCAGCCTGACTCAGCGACAGTATGCAGGTGGGTGAGCGCCTCCTTCCTTACTCAAAGCCTCAGGCACCTGCCATTCTGTTCTCCCCTAATAGCCCTGGGTCCTGTCTGAGCCAGGGGTGATAGTATTTGGCCTCAATGAGTGTTCAATGACTGCCAGAAAGAAGAGCTCAGTTCTCCACCAGCCTGCCCCCATGGATCCCCAGCAGGCCACCTCACCAGGCAGTGGGACGCAGACTAATTGTGTTTGTCTCCCACTCAGACAACTGTTCAGGCCCATTTTGAAATCATGCATTACATATTTCTAGAGACATTTGTAAGTGCAGCAAATACATTTAAATGTTTTGTTGTTGGCTGGTTAAGAAAGAGAAAAAAAATTAAAAATGAGCATAGGGACCAGGATCTCCACCAAGCTCTTTACTGGAGTTGGTCTTCACCTTGAAACCTTCATTGCAGAGGCACTGGTATCCGACAGTGACCTTCATCCCCTTACCTTGGGCCTTTTCTACTGCAAATGTGGTCCCTTGTACCCATCAGTTCTTCTCCAACTCTTTTCCTTCCACACTTCCTCTAGGCTGCTAGCCCTGTGCATTTACCTGTCCAGAATACTGTTCCATAAAGCTCTTCACATAGAGAGATGTGACACCCATATGGAGGTCTCTTGTTCAAATGAGTGCAAATGTATTCATTTCACAGATGGCTTGGGCTACGCTAATATATTAGTATCCTACTGCCACTGTAACAAATTAGTACAAATTTAGCAGCATTAACAAAACACAGATGTATTGTCTTATGGTTCTGGAGGTCAAAAGTCCAAAATCAGTTTCACTGGGCTAAAGTCAAGGTGTTGGCAGGGCTGTATTCCCTCTGGAGGCTCCAGGGGAGAATCCATTTCCTTGCTTTCTGGCTTCTAGAAATCACTTGCATTCCTTGGCTCAAAGCCCCTCCCTCCATTTTCTAAGCCAGTAATGTAACACCTTCAAACCTCTCTCTGACACTCTGCTTCTAGCAACACATCTCTCACTTGGACCCTTTTACCTCCTTCTTAGAAGGACCCTTCTAATTACATTTGGCCTGCCTAGATAATACAGATAATATTATAATTTACTATCAATTGTAATCTCACCATCTCAAGATCCTCAATCACATCTGCAAAGTCCCTTCTGCCACATAAAGTAATATATTCACAAGTTCCAGCAAGTAGGAACTGAACATTATCTTTGGGGGCTGTTATTCTGCCCAACGCAACTAATGTTCGGACTAGATAGTAACTGTAAAATAAGGGTTTTTATTATTTTGCTTGGAATCTATTTTTAAATGGTGACAAGTCCAGCTGATTTTTAAAGCTATACCCTAAACAATCATTTTCACTCAGCCTCACAATCTTCCTGTCATAGTTGCTTGGTAACTTAAATGTCTTTTGCTTTTGCTTGTTTTAACAGAACTATTCTTTCCAGTTTCTAAGCTATAACCCTCTCCTCTGCTGCCGCTATTATAAGCTGAACTGTTTTCCTATATTTTTCTTTTTTACAAATTTTGGGGACAAAATTCATTAAGAATTTAACTACTTGGATGAAATAAGAGTGAGAATTTAAAAAAATAGTTATACACTGCATAATGATGTTTTGGTCAATGATAGGCTGCATATATGACAGTAGCCCCATAAGTTTATAATACCATATTTTTACTGTACCTTTTCTATGTTTTGATACATAAATACTTACCATGGTGTTATAATTGCCTATAGTATTCAGTACAGTCACATGCTGAATGGGTTCGTAGCCTAGGAGCAATAGGCTATACCACATAACCTAGGTGTGTGTAGTAGGCTATATACCCTTTAGGTTTGTGTAAGTACACTCTATGATGTTTGCACAATGACAAAATCATCTAACAATGCATTTACCAGAATGTATCCCCATTGTTGTTAAGTGATGCATGACTGTATAATCATTGGTGAAAGACCACTGCTTAATAAAATCTATCAAAGTATGTATATTTGCCAATATGTTTTGATGTAGCCATTTTTTATCATGAGTAAAATAATATAGGAGCTTAAATTTTTTTCAGTATAATGAAGGATGCAATAATATCCTTACAAAGATAAAAGCTAACTTGATACTTTAACATTTTTCAAATAAATTAGAATTTTATAATTTTCAGCCCAACCTGTAACTTTAGATCAGCTTCAACAAAGTTAAGTGACACATCCATCTTTTTTTAAAAAATTTTATTTTGTAGAGGTGGGGTTCTATTATGTTGCCCAGGCTGATCTCAAACTCCTGGGCTCAAGTCATCCTCCTGCCTCGGCCTCCCAAAGTGCTGGGATTATAGGCATGAGCCACTGTACCTGGCCATCCATTTTTTAACTCCATAAAGAAATAATCTCTATATGATAAAATATAAATACCTGTTTTAATAAGTAAAAGGGATTATTTGAAGTGAGACATATCCTTTTATAGAGTATCTTACCTATTTTTAGAAGTGAGATGCAAGGTCTTCCATTTACTGTAAATAGTGATGTCCACATGAAAAGTCTGGCTATTTGTACACTGGGGGAGAGAAGGGAAATTCCTACAAGAGTTGCTTTTCCAAAATTGAGTAGTGACATAAAATTATCTTCAGTTTGTAAATTACTGTTGATTATGTTTTTAGTTTAAATATCTCTTTTTCCTTGTCATAAATCACTTTGGTGTTTTCCTTGGAATTTGAATTAATCTAAGCTGAAGTGTTATCGGAACATTTGGCAGAAATTCAGGAAATGGCCCTTGAGCATTTTGGTATGTGTAAATCCAAGAGGGTTATGGTGAGATAGAATATTTGGGGCATGTGGGCAGAATAGTTTAGTGGTTTTTCAGCTGTCTTAAAACAGTGTCTGGAATCTTTGCAGAAATTTAAACGTGTCAATTTTAAGCAGATATAATCTTCATATGGCTTGCCTTCTTTTTTGTCACTTTCACCCCTACAAATACACCCATACTCCATAGACTGTCATCTGAAGACAGCAAGGAATGAATGAGATGCTACTTTATTTCTTCCAGAGTACATTGCCAAAGATCATATCATTGGTCTGGCATTTAGGATGGAAAGAGAGTTGTTCCTTAAGAAAATTATGATAAGACCTTAGTCAGTGCACATTTGAGAAAGTATCTACACATCTCAGAGAAGCTTTTTTTCCAATTATGTTATTTTGCTAACTAATTATTATATAGACTCAGGGAAGATATGACAAAATAAGGAGGGAGGTGTAACCTCTGCAGAATGGGAATTCAGTCCCTTCCCTTTGTCCTGGATCTGAGGCGGTGGTGAAAAACAGTAAGAGCCCATTCAACTAATTGCCAGTACTATTTTTCACTCTCTCATTCATTCAGCTATTCAGATTGGAGAATGGAGGTATAAGAGGTCTTTTAAACTATTTGGAAAGAAAAAAGTTAGATCTTTATATTCAGGCTCTATCTAGATGAATAAATGATTTGCAAAAAGATGACAACAAAACTCCAGAAGAATGAGTATTTTTATCATCATGAGATAGGAAAGGCCTTTCTAAGCACAGTGTAAAACCTAGAAATCCTAAAAGACCAACATATTTGACCACATGAAAATTTAAAATATTTACATGACAGAATATACTCTGAACAAAGTTAAAGAACAAGTGAGAAAGATGGGGAAAAATTTGCAACATACATAGCAGATCAAAGGCTTATACAGAAAAAAATAAGGAAAAAGAAAAACTCAAAGAAGAAACACTAATTAGCAATAAACCTGCTAATATCAATAATACAAATTAGGCCGAGTGTGGTGGCTCATGCCTGTAATCCCAGCACTTTGGGAGCCCAAGGCCGGCAGATTACTTGAGGTCAGGAGTTTGAGACCAGCCTGGTCAATGTGGTGAAACCCGTATCTACAAAAATACGAAAATTACCTGGGTATGGTGGTGGTGTGTGTGTAATCCCAGCTTCTTGGGAGGCTGAGGCAGGAGAATCACTTGAACTCAGGAGGCCGAGGTTGCAGTGAGCTGAGATGGCACAGTGGCACTCCAGCCTGTGCAACAGAGTAAGACTCCATCTCAAAAAAAAAAAAAAAATTAAAATACCCACTCTATATGATATAGGTATGCATATATGCAGATATACTATTTGGTAAATCAGATTTGACAAAACTAAATAATCTCATAATGTTGAATGTCTGGTATTAGTGAGAATAGGAGACAACGTAAAACCTAATTGAAGGGAGTATAACTTGTTATAACCTTTTCGGAGTGTGATTTCTTAGTGCCGATAAAGGTAATAATGTGCTTTTCTTCTACCCAGCAATTCTACTTCTACCAATAGATGAGAATTTGACAAGGATGCTGCAGAGGAATTCTCACATCAGGCAAGGAGTCCAACCTGCTCATGTTTATTGTCCTGCAGTGCTGAGAATCTCTAAGGCTAGTATGGAGAGTAACGTCTATTTTCTGGTTGCGAGGCAAATCCCTTCTCCTGTAATACTTGGTTTGGTTCTGTACAACTGAAGTGAATTTTTAGTGACAAGCCCATCAACAGTGAATTTGCTCAGAGGCTCACTGTCTACTTTAGTCCTCAGTTGTCAGGATCCCATGTGGCTATGGAATAGGATGCAACTTGCAGTGGAAAAATCATGTCTCCAGTATGCTAGGATTGAGGCAGCACCTCTCTGCCTCTGCTGACAGGGGAGAGACCAAAGGAAGCTTAGCAATTCCCAGGGAAGTGATGTTATCTTGTCTGTGTGGTTTGGTTCATGCCAAGATGCCTTTGGATAACTTTATAAATAGCAGGTTATACTGAATACTAAATGCAATGCGAGCTAGGAGAAGAAAGTACCTGCCTTTAAGTCTACCTTTATTCTATAATAAACAAGGTAATTTACCTTAGGGCTTTGTGTTACTCTCTTAAGGATTAGAATTTTTTGACCAGGCGCAGTGGCTCACACCTGTAATAGTACTTCGGAAGGCTGAGGTGGGAGGATCGCGTGAGGCCAGGAGTTCAAGACCAGCCTGGACAACACAATGGGACACCATCTCTACAAAAAGATTTAAAAAAATAAAAATTAGCTGGGCATGATGGCTTGTGCCTGTAGTCCCAGCTACTTGGGAGGCTGAGGTGGAAAGATCACTTGAGCCTGGGAAGTCAAGGATGCAATGAGCTGTGATTACGTCATTGCATTCCAGCCTGGGCAAAAGAGTGAGACCCTGACTCAAAAAAAAAAAAAAAAAAAAAGAAGTTTTTAATATTCTTGGTTTACTTAGGAGAGTAGTTTGTTTTGTGTTATATCAAGAAGAAGCCAACATGTAGCTAAGGGTTTTCGAGAAACTTAATAACCATAATCAGTCTCTCTCTCTTTTGCCTTACTTGCTCACTCTCACTCACTCTCTCACCAGTCCAGGTACAGTTGGTAGTTTAAACCAAAGTAATTTACCATAACTACACAATCAGAAGCTTCCTTCCTAGAATTTATATTTATTTCTGAGTATTAACCTAAGGGAGATGCAAACAGCCATTACCTCCATCATTCATAGACATACGTAGTTTCTTAGCCACCCCTGATCCAGATCTTTTGGATGACTTCAGAGGGTCAAATGTTCCAGGCAAGGAAAGGGGTGGGAGGTGTACTCAGATCGCATCGCTAACCCCATGGGCAGGGTCTGGAATCCTGTTAGTGCAAAGAAGTGTAGAGGCATTTCTGTAACATAGTTGAATACTTAAAACAATGAACCAATGCCAAATGATATTTCAAAATGAGAGAAAGTAATTTTAGATGAGTTATCTTCTCCATTTGAATTTAATTGGCTCAACTAACTTTTTAATCCAGTTCAAATTCTGCTCATTCTTCCTGGTTGGAGTCTATCTTTGCTTATCCCTTCTTGCCAGCCCCAATCAGTGTGCCTCCTGGATTTTCTGTATTAGGTCACATCATCCTTTTGGGCAAAGATAAATCTCATACTACTATTATAGTGCTCTCTCTTCTACCACAGAGCCATTATCATTCTGTTTGGACGAGTGATTCCTCCTGTGTTTCTGTAGCTTCTTTCCAGGGCCTCTGCTAAGCCATGAGACACCTTTTTGAGAATGAAATAAAACAGGTTACCCTCAAGGACTGTGCAGCCCCAAGCTGGGGACCTAAAACAAACAGTACTTTATATTTTATTTACCATTCACCTCCTCAGCCAGGTGCCTTGTGCAGTTAACAACCTTTGTAATGGCATGTGGTCTCCCTGCCCCTTCCTACTTCTGCTGTAGAGTATAAGAAAGATAAATGGTTAGGAAGAAGGATGCTGGAAGGAATAATTTATGAAAGTCAAATGCAATATCAGGCAAACTCTGGCCACAGCAGTGACACTGACTGTTTATGCACTCACCCTCTTTTTATGGATTTCTGTAGAATATTAAAATGAGATTCATTTGCTCTCAGAGTTTTGGCAGGTACCCCAAGTTTGAGAACCAAATATTCCAGTATTCCAAAGGGAGGTATTGAACCATCTAGGCAGGATATGCTTAGAGACAGTGACATCTGTGTTGCTGGCATTAGTCCATTGGCCAGGTCCAGGTGACATAATAGAGAGGATCAGAGATGCCAGGGTGGAGAGCATCTTTGGAGAGAGTTGTCAGTGTGTGGGGGCATTGGGGAGGGAGGGGAGGGAATACACCTGCCATTTCAAACCAACTAAGGAGAGCTGGAAGATAAACTCTCAGAGAAGTTGACACGTGTCCCCCGGAGTATGAAGGAAAACATGAGAAGTTTGAAGAGGGGAGACTGTCTCTAGTTTGCTGCTCTGGAGCCATGGAATAGAGAGTTTCATTGGTCATAAGTTGTACTTCCAGGGTTTGGTGGGGCAAAGGTGTTTCCCCTCAGTCAGATGAGAACCCCATGGAAGGGACTAGATTGGATCATTTTGTAGTAGACACCGAGAGGACCTTGAGAGAAGGTGACCTCAACAGATGGAGATGAACTGTCGGAAACCATGGGGCAGGGGTCCAGCTGATCTCTTTGGGAGATTCTTATCTATTGGATGTCTTTGAAGAATCTATAAAAATGCTTCAGAAGAGAGAAAATTAGTACTTAAATTCTGCATCCTGAAAGGGCATCTATGCTGAATTATAACACACCAACTGAATAAGGCCTTTCTTTTACCTTTCTTACCTACTGGATTCCAGCCATGGAACTGCCAAAAAAGCAAAACAAAACAAAACAAAAACAAACCAGCAGGTCAGACTGACTGTGGATGAGGTGAAGCAAGCAGGAAAGGAGAAGCAACTTCTCCTACCCTTCCCTCACTGGTGATTTCCTGGTGTGGCAAAGGCCAGAGCTAGAGGAGAGGAGAAACTTAAAATTAAATTTTGGAGTGTTGATAATACACAGGGTGCTAAACATGACTAATGGATTTTTTTGTTGTTGTTGTTATCTGAGAGTAATTGAAAAAGCCATGAGATGTTCTGGAGCTTTTGTCCAGGAGCAGGAAAGTACAAGTTGAGAAAGGTAGTTCTGTGGCATGGTGGTGGGAAAGAACACTGGCTTTCTGTTTCTACCTTTTCAAGTTTCAGTTTATTTACTGAGTCAGTGCTGTATTAGACACAAAGGGTCCTGTTTGCGGAGAAGCATGTGTATGTTGTGAATCCAGCCCTTCTCACCTTCTCAAGGGTGTCAATCCTGAAGCTGTCTCCTTCCTCTTGTGCACCACTGACTTCTCCTTCACTACTGGATCTTTCCTACTAGCATATATTATAAAAATTACTTAGTATCATCTCTCTCAAAAAAAGTGATCCCATGCTCCCTCTAACTATTGCGCAGTTCCCTGTTTCCTTTTACTGAAAAATTTCTGGAGGGAGTCATCCAACCCCAAGGTCTACGTTTCCTCATCATTCATTCTCATCCTCAGCCCACTCCAATGGGCTTTCATCTCTGCCACACCACTGAATGGGCATTTATCAGTAACAGCAGTTCTCTACCCACATCTTCTTTGATTTCTCAGCTGCACACAGTAGGAATGGTCGGTTCCCCCTTCTTGAGACATGTTCTTCTCTAGGCTTCTGTGCTACGCATTTATCTGGACTCCTTCAACTCTACTGGCCATTTCTCATCTGCTAGCTCTTCCTCCTTCATCAGACCCCCATCCTTGGCCTCTTCTTTTCTTTGTCAACGTTCTCTTTCTAGGCACTTTTACCCAGTCCAGGGACTTCACTGGACAGTGCAGATGTAAAACATTTCCATCCCTGAAGAAAGTTTGATTGTTCAGTGCTGGTGTAAAAAAAGAAAACAAAATGCCCTGTCTATTAAATGAAGCATACTTAAATCAGAAGCAATAAAAATAAAGAAAAATCAGGGACATCTGTGTGTGTGTGTATATGTGTGTACGTTTGTGTATATGTGTGTGTATGCATATGTGTGTGTCTGTACGTATGTATGTGCATGTGTCTATGTGTACGTGTGTATGTGTGTCCATATGTGTCTGTGTGTACGTGTGTGTGTGTGTGTGTTCATTAAGGAAAACACTTCTTTTGGTTGTGACAGAAAATTCAGCCCAAATTCTCATAAAAGAAAAGAATGTATTGGCTGATAGATGCTGAAAAGTTGAAAGATCCAGGGGAGCTTCAGGCACAACTTAAATTAGGGCTTAGCCAATGTCCCCAGGATTCCTCTCTCTGCTCCCCATCCTCTGAGCAGCTCCACTTTTAGCTCTATTGACTCCTCATATATAAAATATGTAAATATGTTTATATACATATGAATATATACATTTATGCAATCTATTTATATATATGTATATATGTGTGTATATATACATATATAAAGAGATTTATTATAAAGAATTGGCTCCCATGATTATGGAAGCTGACAAATGTCAAGATCTGCAGAGTGAGTCAGAAATCTAAAGACCCAGGAGAGCTCATGGTGCAAGTCCAAAGTCCAAGTCTGAAGGCCGGAGAACTGATGGTGTAGTTGCAGTCCAAAGGACCCAGGAAGAGCCACTGTTTCAGTCTGAAGATACTCAGACAGGAGGAATTCCATCTTACTTGGGAGAGGGTCAACCATTTTGTTCTAGTCAGGACTTCAACTGAAGGGTGAGGCCCACCCACATGAGGGGGACAATCTGCTTTACTCAGCCTACTGATTCAAATGACAATCTCATCCAAAAACATCGTCACAGAAACACTCAGAATAATGTTTGACCATCCCGTGGCCCAGTCAAATTGATATATAAAATTAACCATCATGGTTTCATTGGACCTCATTTGTCCAAGGTGCTTTTTGACCGCTAAAGCCCAAATACAGGGTCGTCTATATATGGGTTGTGAATAGAGGTAAGATAGTCCCTACACAGGAGAATTTGAGGACTATTGCCCAAGAAGATAAGTGGAAGCTAGGGGCAATAAACAAGTGTCTACTACAAGCTGCAGATTTGAAAGTTAAAGTGAGAACGGAACCAAAAAAATGTTGAGTGACTGCTATAAACTAGGCACTGTCCTAAGCACTTTATATTACCACTGAGCTGATGGACTTATTGAAAAAGTTTGCTTGCAGCTTTTTCTTCCCCTGTAGATTTACAATGTAAAAATTCACATCCCTTATCCCCAACCCACAATAAGAAAAACTAGGATTATGTTTCTAAAGGTGTGAACTCTCCTTGCCCCCTTGGGGAGTAAACGCTTTTTAAAATGTAATGTTTCTGGTCAAGAAAGCAAATTTGCTGGGAGGTTGTAGGCCACTTTGGAGACAACTCTAAGAACACTTGTCTTCTTTTTTTTCTTCCCTTTTAGACTAAATTCCTGATTTACCTAGCCAAAGATTAAAAAACACAGTAAAGTGAAGAGGAAGAGTTTGTGTAAGATCGATATTATTTATTTCTTAAATACGTGTAAAGATTCACCATTGAAGCCCTTGTGAAAAGAGTTTTAATTTCTTTCAATTCCTTTAATAGATATAAACTATTCAACTCCATAGACATAGAACAATTCAATAGGTAGATTCAATTTCTTTAACAGATATAGAACTGTTGAGATTTTCTATTTCTTCTTGTGTCCATTTTGGAGTTTATTTTTAAACAATATTTTATCTATTTTATCTCAATTTTTAAAATTAAGTGACACACGATTGTTTATTAAATGTCTGTAGTGATGATTTTCCTTTTATTCCTGATATTGATAATTTGTGTTTTCTCTCCCTCTTTTTCTTGATCAGCATTAATAAGGACTTATAAATTGTATTACTATTTTCAAAGAACTAACTTTTGGCTTTGTTTGCTTTCCCTGTAATATGTTTTTTAATCTATTAATTCTGCTCATTAATATTTTTTCTTCTGTTTTCCTTGGATTAAATTTGTCTGAATTAGGCTTATTGATTTTCAGTCTTTCTTTTTTCTCTCATCTTAAATATTCATTTGCATTTGGAACTGTAAATTTCCTTTTTGGCATCACTGTTTAATATGTCACTTTTATTGTTATTTTGCTCATATTTTCTAATTTTATTTGATTTTTTGATCCTTGAGTTATTTAGAAGTATGTTGCATAATTTCCAAATATTTCGGAGATTTTCTAATTATCGTTCTCTGATTTATTTATATTTTAATTCTATTGTAGTCAGAGAACATATTACATATAATTTGAATCCTTTGAAAAAAAAGTTAAGACTTCCTCTTAGGCTAACATACAGTGTATTTGGCAATGTCTGCTATTAGCACAATGACATCAGCTATCTTTTGGTTAGTGTCAAGGTGATATATCATTTACCATCTTTTCATTCTCACCCTTTCTGTGTCTCTCTATATAGTAATTATTGTCTGTAACATGTAGTCAAGTTTTAAAAATTTAATCTAACAATCTTTAAAAAAAATGTTATTGTTTGGCTTATTCATATGGAATGGAATTACTGATATAGTTGGGTTTAAGTCCACTATCTTGCTATTTATTTTTTATCAGTTCATCTGTTCTTTGCTCATTTATTCTTCTTTTCTAGTCTTCTTTTGGATTAATCAAGCATATTTTATTATTTCATTTCTCTACTTACTATATGGTTAGTAATAAATTATGTTATTATTTTATGATTTCTCTGGAGACCATAATATGCATTCTTGACATAATACTCTTCCTCTGGCCTTTGTGATATTGTCACATATTTTGTTTATATGTTATAATTTCAACAAGACATTATTATTCTTGTTACATGAAACAATAATATTTTATTTTTACCCACATATTTACATTTTCTGAAGCTCTTTATTTCTTCTTTCAGTTTCATGCCTTTATATGATTGCTTTAAATTTTTTCTTTAATTGATTTTGTGGTGAAGATCTGTTAAAAATTCATTTTCATTTGGATGAAAATTTCTTTACTTTTCCTTCATTTTTGAATGATATTTTAAATAAGCATAAAGTTCTAAATTGACAATCTTTTATTTCAGCACTCTGAGATATTGTCCCATTATCTCCTGGCTTTCATAATTTATGTTGAAAAGTCAGCCATTCATTTTATTGTTGCTCCTTTGAAGTTAATGTATTTTTTCCCTCTGGGTACTTTTAAGGCTTCTTTTAATTCTTGATTATTAGAAGTTTGACAAAAATATGTCTAACTGTTGTTTTCCTTTTATTTATCTTGCTTAGAATTTGATGAGCTTCTTGAATCTGTTGAGTAATGTCTTATCAACTTTGGAAACATTTTGGCTGTTGTTTCCACAAATACTGCTTCTGCTCCCATTTATTTCTCCTTTTATTCCGGAACTTTAAATAAATATGGTATACCTTTTAACTATCTCGTATGCTCAGTTTTCTTTTTATACGTTCTTTTCATCTGTGCTTGGATTTGTATATTTTCTATAATCCTATCTTAAAGTCTAATAATTTTGTCTACTTCTCTGTCCAGTCTGCTGTTAAATGCACCTAATGTGTTTTTAAACTCAGGTGTTATATTTGTCAGTTAGAGAATGTACATTTGATTCTTTTACAAAGATTTAAATCTTTCTATATTCATTATCATTGCATCCATTTCCCCCATTTTCTTCTGTTTCATGTAGTATATTAATGAGTTTTTTAATAAAGTTCTCATCTGCCAGCTTCAATATTTGGCTTATCTGTGGGTCTGCTTCTATTGTTTATCTTTTCTCTTGATTATAATGATCAGTCACATTTTTTCTGCTTCTCTGCATGTCTAGTAATTTTTTTATTATAAACCAGACAATATAAATAGAAGCACTGCAGAGGCTCCAGTTGATGCCCTATACTAGAAAGGGCTTCCACATTCCTCTTTGGAAACACTCTTAGGATGAAGGTTTTATCTTCGAGCTGAATAGGGGCTAAGTTGCAGCTTTAGTAAGACTTAGTCCACTTCTGGTTTTTTTCTGTTCCTCAAACATAGCTATTCTGGACTTTTGATTACAGCCTGCAGGAATTCTGTCTTCTCAGTTCTGAAAGATTGTGGGGAATTTAGTGCTGTACGTTAGAGGTTTTGAACTTAGCTCTTTAGCCTTGCACCCCTTGCCCCATTACAGCTTCAAAATCTGGAAGATGTCCTAAACAGGGTGGCTGGCTGTGTGTTTGAATGGCAAGACTTCTTCCTTTAATTAGACTTTTTCCCCTTAGCACCATGAAACTAGAGGAGATTTTATTATGACTTTTTGAAGTCTTTAAACAAATGTCCCAGCCTTCTTTGCATAGCCCCTGAACCCAGAAGATGTCCCGGGGGAAAACCAGCTATGTGTTTAGCACTTACCAAATTTCTGGTTTCTCCCACCAGCCCCACGTGACTGCCAAAAACCTCTCTGGTTTCTCTTTCCCCAAGTAGATTCCTTCTTTATAAGTCAAGTCAAATTCTTAGTCCATGCCCAGAATTGTAAAATGTCCCCAGGGAAGAAAACAATTGGTGATTTATGTAGCCTTCATTGCTTCCTCATTTTCTGAGATTCTTAAAAATGTGACTTTCTTAATTTATCTGGTTCTTTATAATTGTTGCAATGGGAATTCTAGTCTGCTACGATCTTACTACGTTTTATTCAGGAACAGAAGTCCCCTGATCTTTATGTTTTAAGAGTAAAAGCCCACTAATATGGGTACGACTTCAAAGATTGAAAAGGGCTATGGCCTGCTTTCAGTACTTGGATTCCTGGAGGAGTGAAGTTACATTGGTGGTCCAGACTTGGGCCCTTAATTGCAGAGGCTCTGAGAAAATAAGTCATATGGCTTCAGGAGATATTGCTAGACTTGATGCAGGGAGGAAAGCTGTCAAAATGAATGGGAGGTTTTGAATGAACCATGTACCCTTGCAGTAACAATTATAGTTAGCAGCAATCAAAACTGATAAAATGACTGAGTCTCTCCATTTTCCTAGATATAAATTCAAATATGATTGAAAGATAAGAAAGGTGTCCTTCCATCTTTTTATGGGTGGTGTTTAAATTAAATTAAATTTGATTCTGAAAACTGAATAAATTTTTACTCTGTGTTTCAGAATACTTGTTGTACTGTTATTCTTACAGGTGTGACCAGGCAACTGAGTATAAAATTGATTCAGAGATATGGTACTTTGAATATGAAGCTTTATGAGTACCTTAAGTTTATTTTGCTTATTTTGTCTTTTTTCTCCTATATACACACACACATGCACATGTGTGTATATACATATAAATGTATATATTAAATATGTATGTGTGTGTATATATATTTTGCTCTACTTTCTATTTTCAATCATTGCTAATATAATATGGAGATTTATTAGTTTTATTAAATTATGTTTTTTCATTATATATGTATGTGTGTATATGTATATATGTATAGTTTTTCAATATTAATATATGCATTTTGAACCAGAACCACACCTTTTATACCATAACTTTACTAGTTTTTGTTTCTTTGTTTTATCTCATGTTTTAGTCAGTTGAGTATCTGCAAGTCATTTCTTCTAGAAGATATATTAGTAGTTCGTAAGTACTTGAATGCCTGTTGTCTTCATAAATGAAAAATAACCTAGAAATCCTTAGATTACAGAAGTTTGCCCCCAAAACTCTAGAGCCTTGACTGCACATTGGAATCTCCTGGGGAGGTTTAAAAGGTACTGATGCCTCAGTTCCATCCCTAGCAATTCTATTTTAAGTTGTCTGAGATGTGGCATGGATATAAAAATTAAAAACAAACGACATCAACAAAAAATGCTCTAAGGCCCTACTGTAGGTCAATTAAATCAGAGTTTCTGGGTGAGGGCCTTGGGGATCAATATACTCTTTCTGTTTTGTGTGAAAATTTCCCAAGTTTGCCAGCCATACTGTCAGTTTCCTACAGTGTCAATACTGGTTTTCATTGACATCAATGTGGATTAAAATTTTGCTTTTACATTTTTAGATTCTTTGTAATTCTTTCTTTCCTGTCTCCTCTTTCCTCTTATCTTAGTTTTTTCATGCCACCTGATTCTCTTCTTTTAGCTTTTCCCTGCTTTCTCTATGGAGGTGGTCATTTAACATTTTATAAAACAGTTTTCTGAGATTGTCATCTGTATTTTGCAGGAGATAGTTTTGGGGGCTTTGCTTTTCTTCCTTATCTCCGGAATGATGCTCTCCTTTTTTCATGGTGTTTGTTTGTTTTTTGTTAGACTCCTGTTTTTATTGCTGCTATTATGGTTTGGGTTTGTATGTGTTTTCTTCTTTTTACTCATCTCAAATAAGGCAAAGCTAATCTCACTGGCTCTAATCTCAGGCGATGTGGAGATAGGTGATTAGTTTTCTCAGATCTCTTTCTGTAGTACAGTTATAAACATTCCCATCTCCCACCCAAATTCCAAAAATCTTGAAGGCTTTTTCTTCATGTTGTTTCCTGTCATGAGGAATCATTTTCTACCTCTACTTGCCTGTCCCTGTGATTCTCCAACTGGGTTCATTGGGTTCATCAAGTTCATTGGGTTCATACGTATGAAAGCCTTTCTCCAGCATTTGCTCTTACCACATGTTCTTCCCCATCATCCACCCACAATGCTTTTCTTGTGGGGACCTTTCTTCTCAGGAAGCAACTCACTAAAGCCAGGACACATCTCCCACCTTACTTCCTGTCCAGTTGTTTTCTGGGGTTTTCCACGTTTGCCAGCTGGTGACATGGGCTGAGGAACAATAGCACTTCAGAGAGTGGCATCCGTGGGCTAGGGAGTAGCTGATTTGCCGCTTTGAGGATGCAAGACTGACTCTCTGAATCAGTGGTCTATCAAAGGGGCAGACTTGAAGTCCCTTCCTATCCTCATTCAAATAAATAAAATAAGTTATGGTGAAAACTGGGTAGGCTATTCTCAATCTGTCTGTGCCTGGTTTATAGATAGTGTAAATCTACAAAGCTCCACAGGTGATTCCAAGGCATATAAGGTAGGGAACCACTGTTTTGGTCAGCAATTGGAAAAGTTGCAGGAGGGACTCAGGGGTACCATTTCCAACTGAAATTCAGGCTGAATTTGAGAGGATAACTCCATGTGCAGGTGAGATTACAAGGGAAGCCAAGAAAACAGGTGAACAAGTGTTGCAGTCATCCATGTGGTGGTGTTACCTGGGACAGTGACCCTAGAAGGGAAGGTGAGGACAGATGTGAGAAGCATTACTCAACACTTGGTGACAGGATTTGGATCCTGAATAGAAGAAGCAGGAAGAAAGTGGAAGAGCTGGCAACAATGCTAAAGCCTCCACTCCCCTCTGCCCACCCTACCCCTCAGTGTTCCTAGGCCAGAATAAAGAAGTACCCATCTGGTCTTTTTAGAAGTGGCATATTAAGATTGAACAATAACTTAGTTTTATCCATTTACTAACAAGGATTTATTGAATACCTACTGTGTACTAGACATTTTGCTAGATCCTGGGGACACTTGATTTAAGAGAAAAGTACACAGTTCTTGCCCTCACAGAGCCTTTAGTCCAGCGGTGAGACAGTGTCAATCAAATAACTCCCACCAATGAAGGAAATGAAACCCTCCACCCATCCCATGAAGACATGTAATAAAGGAAGCTGGGGAAGATAGGGATGGGTGTCTGGAACATAACATTCCAGGCTGAGGACAGGTGACAAATTACCGGAGGACCACAATTCAGCTTGAGGAGATGGAAGGGCCCCATTGTGG
Organism: Homo sapiens; assembly: GCF_000001405.40. Classification (NCBI taxonomy): domain Eukaryota; kingdom Metazoa; phylum Chordata; class Mammalia; order Primates; family Hominidae; genus Homo; species Homo sapiens. The sequence goes on along the minus strand of NC_000007.14, from coordinate 22,614,082 downwards.
CAGGAACACAGTGTGAGATGAGACCAAGTTCAAGAGGGGAATGGGCAGGTGAGCAGGACCTTGCAGAGAATAAGACACCTTCCATCGTTCTGTAAATAGTGCAGTACTAAAGCTTGCTTTGCTCATTTCTCCTGTATATCAGTCAGCCTTGTAAGTTGTTGCTGATCTATTCTGCCTAAGTAAGCAAGTAGGATTTTCTTATTGTATGACCTATGAAATTCTAAAATATATGATGAGTAATAAAATAAAAATATTTTCTTCGCATAAAGCTGCTATGAATATTTAATCTGGCTTGGAAGGTCCAAAGTGGCCTAATAAATCTATTTTACAAACTTGAGCAAAGCCATCTGTTACTGTAAATCCAGTAGATTTTTTCCAGTGAGGAAATCACTAGAACAGACATCATCTCTGTCTGCAAATGAACAAATGAGTACTTCTGTGCCATCTGTGCCTCGTGAAATCTCAGGATTTACAGACTCTGTCATCTTAGTCACCAAAAAAATTTATTGTAATCTGTGGTCACAACAGTGATCCTCACCTGTGTGTTTTGTTGCTGTTGTTGTTTTGCAGATTTTTCACCAAGTCTCATCATAAACTAGATTATGTGGAAAGTGGAAAAAACATTAAAAATCAGAAAAAAATAAATACCAACCCCTCAGGAAGTACATTCCAGTCCTTAATTCCTCCAGTGTGGTTGATAGCTCTGTCAGAATAACTGCAGTCTAATTTTTCCCTTCATTTTTAAAGTGATTTTTTTCTACTAAATGATTTCTTTTATCTATTTTCTTTTTCTTGAGCCTGATTTATTCCCTAGTTTGGGCCTTTATGTAACTTTAGCTCCAGCAGAACTTCATTTTTCAGTCCATACCCTTGCTAGGTATCCCCAAATCCCAGTATCTTTCTCTTATTCTAATCATCTGATCTCCTCTCTCTTTCTCTCCAAATCTTCCTCCTCCTCCTCCTCCTCTCTCTCTCTCTGTTTCTCTCTCTCTTTCTCTTTCTCTCTCTGTTTCTCTCCTCCCCCACTTTTCAGTCTTCACACATGCACAGAGGTACCATCTCTATATTTGCAATTGTGGAGCTCTTTGAGTTGCTAATAACAGAAACCGACTCTGACTGGTTACAAAAAAGAAGGGGAAATTTATTTGAAGGCTACAGAGACACCTCACAGAACCAAAAGTTGAACAATCATGAGAAGTGTCTCTGGAGTCCACTGCTATTACCTGAACTTAACGCTGGGAATTCCTAATCTCCTAATCTCCTTTTTTTCATTCCTGGTTTCAAATTCCTGGGAGAGAGAATCTGACCAACTCAAATCTATTCCTGGATCACCGATATGAATAAAGGTGCAGGATTGTGTTATGAGACAAGACTACTTTTGGTCTGCCCATGTCTAGTGGGCTGTTCCCAGCATTCATAAACTAGGCAGCAATCCAGATGGTTGTGCACCGAAATGTCAGTCCACTCCTGGTCATACCATAGGTCTACTTAGATGAACCATAGTAATGACTGCAATTTTCATCTTCCTTCTAATATCCACTGCTGTTCAGTGGGATTCACTGTTACTAAGATGATAGTCTTGCCTGGTGCTCCAGCCTGGCTGTTATCACCAGTCCCTCACCATCCTAATCCCATACTGTACAAGTAAACAGTCACACAAGCCCAAATCTGTGTGTGAGAAAAGAGAGAACTGAACCAGTCAGAAAAAAGAAAGCTCAGGGGATAATTACAAATAATTTACAAAGACTTTTCAACTGTAATTCATCTTGAATCACAGTAAATAGAACAGTATACTTAATAATATGAATTGCTATTTATTTATTTATCCATTTAAAACATTTTCTGAGTCCTGACTTTGCGCTGGTTTCTACTCGGGGACATGGGAACAATGAAGAGCAACATTAGGCAAGTCCCTGATCTTGGATCTTCTGGTCTAGCAGGGATGATCAGAAACTAAGAGTCTCATGGAACTGTGTGTAACTTACAACTTGTTTAAGTGCTCCAGGGAGAGGTATGAGGGTCTATGAGCACATTTAATGGGAAGTCCGGGGAGTCTTCCCTGAGGAACTGATGCTTGGTCTGAGATGAGAAGGCTGGGAGTGGGGGTGTCAGGGAGGAGAAATCGAGAGGAGCCTTTCAGGCAGAGAGAGCAGGGTGTGCGTGGGCTCTGGAGCCCACAGGAGCCCTGTACATTTGAGGAACTGGGAATCCGGTGTGCAATTAGAAAGTAGAGTTGAGAGGAGCAGGGTGGGAGGCAGAGGACACAGCAGAAAGGGCCAGCCTTTGAGAGCAGGTTACAGTTTTGGCTGAGAAGCCACAGAGAGGCTTTTAAGCTGCAGCATAAGGGGATCAAATGCAAGCTCTGAAATGATCATTCTGGCTGTTGTGTAGAGAATAAATTGAAAGGGATTGAGAGAGGATATAGGCAGAGTGGGAGATACATTGAGTGAAATCTGGAAACAACTATTGTGAAATGTCTGTGTATTCATAGAATTAGCAGAAAGTCAAAATTTTCTGATAATTTTACGGCTGTTTTCATTTTTGAACCTGCCAACCATTATAGTTCGAGATTATGTGAATAAAATAGCAATAACATCAAGACAGAAATGTTAAGTGACTAAGATCTGTCCCAGATGGTGAAACAATGATGTCAAGCGTAAGTCCAGGATAATTCCTAGGTTTCTGGTTTGAGCTACTGGGTAAATGTTTGTTGTGACTGCCAAGGCTTTCTCCTTTATTTCTCTTCAAGAGTAGGTTAGCCATTGGGAAGCAGCCATCTTGGTTATGCCTTTTCTTCAGCTGGTCAAGTTCCTAACTCAGCCTACAATAATAGATTTCCCTTGTCATCCACCAAATTGGAGACTGCACATTTTTGTGCTTGCAGTTTTTTTCTAAAGACCTGTAAATATTATTTTGGGGACTGCAGGAAATACCAAATTTAGGTACTTAAGTCATTATGAAAAATATCCTTCAAAACTCTGGTAGTTTATGACTCACACTAACAGAATTTTATTAAAAACATCTTCAGACATTTCCAAAGTAGCATTTTAAACATTGGCTATTGCTTATGATGATGGGAGAGTTTGAGGCAATCTGAGTGTTCAGTATCAAGTGGGAAGACTTTGTGGTGGACACAGAAGCTAGAAGGAATAGGTTAGATGTCCACATAGCAACAAGGATGGGTCTTATTAACACAGACCTGTGTTCATTACACAATTATTTCAATGAGGAAGATGGAGTTCAGGTTTGAGTATTTCAGACTCACAATACAATTTAATTTCTTTATAAGATTTTAATAATTTATTCCTTCCTCCTTTCCTCCCTTCTTCTCTTCAATCATTTAGTTAGTATTTTTTGATTGCCAGGCACTATGCTGAGCTCCAAGGATTCTGTAAAGAATGGCATAGGTGTTTTTACTCCTCTCATGGAGCAGCAGGACAGGCAATAACAGATAATTATATAAATAAATACATAGTTATGCATGATGATGAATTCCTTGAAGGAAAATTACAAATTGCTAAATTACAGAGAGGTGGACAATGGTAGGCCTCTTTAAGGAAGTGACAGTTAGCTGAGACCTAAAGAATGGGATTTCCCCAGAATAAGCAGGAGAAGAATGTGTCACTCAGCAGGAATAGCACAACAAACTTCAAAGGAAAAGGGCCCAGTGTCCATGAGAAACTGAAAGGAAGCTGATATAGGTGCGCATATGAGGGAACGGGGCTGGGATGCAAGATTGTGCTGGAGAAACATGCAGAGACGCCCTCTAAGTCTTGTTACTAATCTAAGATGTTAACCAAAAAACAATTGGTATCTGTTGAAGTGTTTTGAGCTGGGGAATAAAATGATTTGACAATATAAGATTATGTCTTTGCCATAAGGAGAAAGGATTGGAATAGGAACAAAAATGGATGCAGGAAAAACCATTAGGAGGTTTCCCAGGAGTTCAGGAGAGAAGCGACTTGGACAAGGTGGATGGTAGTGGAGATGGAGAGAAGTTGGATGGATTTGAGAGATATTCCAGTGGTAGAATAAACAGAACTTTGTGTTATATTGGCTATGATGGTGAGAGTGGTGGAATCAAGGCTAACTCCTAGATTTCTGGCTTGAACAATTAGGTAAATGTTGGTATCATTTACTGAATGGGACAGGCTAGAGGAAGACCACGTTTTCAAGAAAGGATATAGAGTTCCATTTTGGACATGTTAAGATTCCTGTATAGTTGTGTGCAGTTGGGTCTAGAGCTGAAAGAGCAATCAAGGTTATATAAATAAATGTGGGAGTGATGTATATAAAGAATGGAAAACATATTTAAAGTCATTAGAATACATGAGTTAGCTAAGAAGGAGAGTATATAGTGGGAAGAGAAGGGGCCCCAGGGTGGAGCCCTGAGGGGATCCAGTGTTAGAAAAGGAAAAGCCAGGGCAAGACACCATGGCTCATGCCTGTGATCCCAACATTTAGGAGACTGAGGTGGGAGGATTACTTGAGCCAAGGAGTTTGAGGCCAGCTTAGGCAAGATGGCAAGACCCCATCTCTACAAAACAATAAAAAATTAGCCAACCACAGTGGTGCATTCCTGTAGTCCCAGCCACTTGGGAGGCTGAGGCTAGAGGATTGCTTGAGCCCCAGAGGTCAAGGCTGCAGTGAGCAGCCTTGCAAAGTGAGACCCCATCTCTAAAAAAAAAGAAAGAAAAGAAAAGAAAAGAAAAGGAAGAGCCAGGAAAGGACAGCACGAAGGAGAGTCCAGGAGAAAACCTAGAAGTGTGGTGCCATGAAAGTCAAGAGAAAAGAGTATTTTGTGAAGAAAGTGATTGCTGTGTTGAATGGTGCTGAGATATTGAGTAAACTAAGACTGGAGAAGGTTCAATGGAATTGGCAAGATGGAGATCATTAGTGACCTTGAGAAGAAGTTTGGGAGATAGTAGATGTAGTAGATGTGGGAGAAGTCAGCTTACAGTTGGATTAGTTGTGAATGGGAGATGAAAAGTGGAGGTAGCATATGTACACAAGTCTTTCAGCAAGTATGACTGTGAAGGAATATAAGGAAACAAGTTAGCATATGGAGGGGACTGTATTGGACACCTCTTGTATGTTACTTTAAATCCTGTTGGCTCTGCTCTTAGCCTAGCCACTGCCTTGCTAAGTTCTGAGCTCCTGCAGGCTTAACTTGGCCATGCCTTGCTTTGAGCCCTTTCCTCTCACATACTACTCTAGGGCTTCTTTGTTTTGTGGCTGGGAACATGTGAGGGAACCTTTTCAGCACTCATGCTTGTGCAACCCAGAAACCAGGGGAGTTGACAACCAAGGGATGACCCTTGACTACAGGGCAATAAAAGCTGATAGATAAATGCTGTCCTCTTTTCTCTCTTTGGTGGACAGTTTTTAAGACCCATTGCATAAGTTTGCTCAGAAGGTCCCATGGGATTGGTGCCTGTAAAGGTGATTTAAAAAAAGGCATCTGTGTATTGGCTTCACTTCATTCTTTACTTTGCCCCTCTTTTTCCCACCTTGGGATCACTTCTAGATAAACCACCTGCGTGCATTCAAGTGTTTGACTCATACTAGAACATGATAGAAAAGACCCAGTAGAAAAGGAAAAGATGGAAACACAAAAGAGGTAAAGGATAACTAATGGAGCAACACCTTTGGGAAGGTGAGAGTAAATGGGATCCAGAGTCCTGTGGACAGGAGAGCAGATGAAGATGAATTTGGGGCAGGTCTGTTTGTTTGTAGTTTGGGGGTTGTATAGATGAGAGAGTTTCTGTATTAGAATTTAACTGGAGAAGCAATTGAATATATATCTGCTACTGAATATCTGTATTCTATATATAGAGAGAGATTTATTGCAAGGAATTGGCTTGTGTGATTGTGGGAAACCTCCAAAATTCACAGGGCAGGCTGTGAGGAAGAGCAGGCTGTGAGGAAGAGGGCTGGAACTCTCAGGCATAAAATGAAATGTCCACAGGCAGAATTTCTTCTTCATCAGAAACACCTCTGTTCTGTTATTGAAGCCTTCCATCCAGCTGATGGGACCTGGCCCACCTGAATAATCTAGGATAATCTTCCTTACTACAGGTCAACTGATTATGCATTTTAATCACACCTACTAAATCACGCCTTCACAGCAACACCTAGATTAGTGTTTCATTGAATAACTGGGGACTGTAACCTAGTCAAGTTGACACATCAAAAAACAATCACACTATTTTCACCCCTAGAGCTGGAATATCTAATAAAAAATTTTGTAATAATAGAAATGCTTTATATCTGCATTGTCCAGTACAACAGCCACATGTGGCTATTGAACATGGTCAGTGGTTGGTGCAACTGAGGGACTGAAGTTTGGATTTTATTTAATTTAAATTAATTTAAATGTAAATAGCCATGTGTATCTAGTGGCTACCGTATTGGGCAGCACAGTTCGAGAGTATAAGGCAGGGTCATCAGTTGAGAATATTATTGCTAGTTAAAAAGAATACGTTGAAAAAAATAAATTGATTTATCAAAACTAATGAAAAAGAACATAATATGTTCTCATTTGTTTTTCAACTTGCACAGCAGGAATCTCTTAGTCACAGCTAACATCTTTGATGCTGATCCTGCAATTTGCCTGTGTCATAGTTTACAAACATGAACAGTAATCATGAGATTGTGATTCTAGCTGAGCAGGCTATACCACGCAACCGTAGGTGTGTATTCCAGCACGAAGCAAGCAATGGTCTGTTTCCCAGAGGCACAGGCCCTCTTCCAGATGGCAACCCATTATAAACAACAGCGCATGTACTGCATCACGTACTCCAATTAATAGCCTGCATTACATCTCATCAGCACTATGAAAACACATGTGATAGGAAACTTGTCCTTTCTATGACAAAGAAAAACTCAGTGATTTCTTAAAAATAGAAAACATATGAGGCATGTTGCCTCAACACACTGCAATGAGACTTAAATTAGCAATGACAATAAAACTACTCATAACACTTGGAAGTGTAAAAACATTATTCTAAATAATTCTTGGGTCTAAAGGAACTCAGAACTGAAATTAAGATTTATTTAGGTAAACTGATGGTAAGACTACTATATATTAAAAAGCGGGTACAGACAAAGGCATGTTAAAATAGTTCCCTCAGATGACTTTAAAATACCTTTTTAGAAAACAGGAGAATAAAATAAACATAGTTACATATTCAACTCTAGAAGCTAGAAGAAGAGGATCAAAATTAGGCTGGGTGTGGTGGCTCATGCCTGTAATCCCAGCACTTTGGGAGGCTGAGGCAGGCAGATCACTTGAAGTCAGGAGTTCAAGACCACCCGGGCCAACATGGTGAAATCCTGTCTCAACTAAAAATACAAAAATTAGTTGGGCATGATGGCACATGCCTGTAATCCCAGCTACTCGGGAGGCTGAGGCAGGAGAATCACTTGAACCTGGGAGGTTGAGGTTGCAGTGAGCCGAGATTGTGCCACTGCACTCCAGCCTGGGTGACAGAGCAAGACTCTGTCTCCAAAAAAACAAACAAAAAGATAAAATTAACTCAAAGAAATAGAACATAGTAATAAAGACAGAAAGAAAACTGAAGTGTAGAATTGATAAATAAAAGCTAGAGTAAAAGCTAGTGTTTATCCTTTATAAAATATACATGTCTGGGAATTTGTACATTAAAAAAAGTATAATACATTTTAGGAGTGAGGAAGTATAAATAAGGAAATATAAAAACATTTCTATGATTATACATAAGAGCCAGTATTTATTGAGAGCTTTCTATGTTTTGGGTACTACTGTTAGATGAATGTGTGGTTAAATAAACTATCCATGCAGTAGAACACTGTGCAAACATCAAATGGAAAGAGGTAAATCTACATAAACAACACTGAAAGTTGTCCACGACATACGAGCAAGTGAGACAGGCAGGTTACAAAATTGAATGCACATATGATCTCATTTAAAAAAAAATATCTATTTGTATTTCTATTAATATCTACATTTTAAAAATCTAGAATAGTCTAGGGATTGGGACTGAGTCAGAGAAGAGAACTTTTTTACTTTATCCATTTCTGCCTTGTTTAATCTTGTTTTACAATGTGCATGAATTACTTTTAATAAATGCATGATATTTCAAAGTAGCTATGACTTGAAATGTTCCCAACACAGAGATGATAAATACTCAAGGGATGGACACCCCCAAAACTGATTTGATCCACGTAACAAAATATCACATGTACCCCATAAATATGTAAAATATTATATGTCAGTTTTTAAAAAGGCAAAAAATAAGTACATGGATGATAGTTTTAATGCCACTAAGTATGTTAAACATGGTTATCAGTTTCCAGGAGACTGCTGTTTGGAGAACATTATTTCACTTAGGGAGTGCTCAAAGCAAGGCCACTCTGACAGTTTTGATTCTGTTCCATACACTTCTCACTCATTCTTAAAGAGGACATGCTTTGTCGTGTGCATGGCATATTTTGTGGTGTGCTCTTCAAGCACGGTCACGAACTAATGAATCTTGATAATGGCACATGTCACAAGGAATGGAAACTTGAGGTGAATTTCAGAATGCTTGAAGGGGTAAAGTTGAGATATGCAAGGACTGCAGGCTCTTGAGGGCTGTATCGGTGAAGTCCCAGTTGATCAAGACCTTTTGGTATCTGTACCAAAAGAGGGACTGAGGCTGTGGCTATCTTTGTCCAGTAGGGCACAGGCACTGGAAGAGGCAGCTTCAGAGCTACTCCATTGCAAAGCATCAGCCAGCCTGGCTTCGCACCCAGACCAGTTTTATAACTTAGCATGTTTTTATTTTTCTTTATACTTTCTTCATGTCTGACTATCTCTTGCTTCTGGCACAGCCATTGTATTCATACATTTCTATTGAGAATTTTTAAAGGTGTTCTGATAATGACTTGCAATTCTCCCCGGCTGTTAGTGGCAACTTTTGAAGTTACCAGCGAGCTGTTCTTCCAAGGTTGGGGACGAAGTTTGTTGTTTACTTTCTCTCTCACTGACTGACTGATGGACAGAATAATTTTGAGCTTAACAGGAACCATCAAGATTAAATCATTTAACAAAACTTATTGAGATCCCGTTATGCTCTGGATCTTATTTTCAGTGCTTTAGAGCTTACCTTCTTGGTGGAGAGCTTAATGTCAGTGTGAGCCAGGACTAGCTGGAGAACTTGTTTGCCACAGATTGCTGGGCCCTACTGGAGTTTCTGACTCAGTAGGTCTGAGCTGGGGCCCAAGGGTTTGCATTTCTAACAAGTGCTCTAGAGAGCTGCTCTAGAGCAGCACTGTGCAATAGAAATATAAGGTGTGCCACAAATGCAAACCATGTATGTAATTTTAAGTTTTCTAGAAACCATACTAAGAAAGTAAGAAGAGGTGAAATCCATTTTAATGGCATGTTATTTGACCTAATACAAAGTATTATTTCAACATGTAGTCAACGTTACAAAAGTTATTAATGACTTATTTTACACCCTTTTTTGGAGGAGTAAGTCTTTGAAACCTGATATGAATTTTATACTCATAGCACCTCTCAGTTGGGAGTAGCTAAATTTCAAGTGCTCTATAGCCTCATGTGGCCAGTAGCCACTGTGTTGAGCAGTGCAGTTCTGGAGTATCATAGAATCTAGTATGTCTTAACCACTTTTCTTCCCCAGCATACTTGAGGGATAGGATACATTTCCAACCATAACAGTGACTCATTAAGACTACATTTTCTAGAAAATATATAGGCAGTCCAGCCCCTCATTTACTTATATTAGGGGCTGACGAAGGCCATGTGTGAAGACAGAGCAGGTATAACATACCTGACTCAGTAAGAATGCAGCATTTTGGGCAGAAGGGTCAATTCCAAGTAAAGCACAATGCTCTGTCACATTTACCTAACATTGGAATCCTATGGCTCCATAGGGATGGGGCTTGGGGGAATAAGCAGAAAGAACTGTTTTACAGTACCTCAAAGACCATTAGAGCATCAACAACATTCTTTTGAGATCTCCCTGATAGAGTGGACTCTGACTCCTCAGTAAGGAGGAGTTGCAGGTTCATTCTGCAACTTACTCCAGAACACTGTAAACCTTGACGTGGTAGGAGCTCCCTAGCTGTGTCAGGAGCAATGGTGCCCAGCAGATGCTTGGGGGAAGATGGCAGAGCACTGGCAAGACCTGAAAGAAGTGTCCTTATTCAGGGAGTACATGTGAGGCACCCTGGGAACTTCTAGAGACACTTCTACAATGGAACTTAGGCAGGGGCTGAAGGTCATATTGATGTGTGGGACAGAGCTGGCAGCACCTGGTTGATTGTTGTTAGGGTGACCTCATTATGGGGATAAGTTCTATAGGGGTTCAGAAGAAGGATTAGGTAGAGATATCAGGAAAGGTTGCACAGAACAGGCTAAGCTTGAGGTAGCCCTAGTGGTTTTAGATGTGCAGAGATGGAGGAATTGGGGTGAGGGAACTTTAGGCAGAGGAAACAGCTGGAGAAGAGACCCAGGTGGATAAGAGGCATTTTGACAGGAACAGTGCATGTCTAAAGAAAACCAGAGCATGCCCAGGCTGCAAAAGATGAATAGAACCATACTGTCTTGGCTCTGGAACATGAGGCTTACGACTTGGTTTTTACTCCATAGGAAATGTAAACCCTTAAAGGTTTTTGAGCAGGGCTGTGTTATGAATAGATTGCTGTTGTAGGGGAAATAACTTGGCAGCTGCATGTAGGATAAAATATCTTGAAAAGAGATTATAGCCCAGAAGCAGCCTTGTCCAGAGGGTGGGGTAAGGAACTACCTGGACCTGGAACTAGGGTTAAGGGCAGAGGTAGAGGGAAGAATGGAGTAGAACTGATAGCACTTTACACAGGATGGTGGCAGGGATAGGAATAAAGAAGGGAAAGGGAAAGGTCAAAAGACAGATGTTGAAAAGGTAGTGGTCAGGGAAGCAAGGAAGGAAAGGAGTTGAGAGATTGGGGAGAAAGAAGAGAAAAGTGTGAATGAGAGAGGAAGAGAAGAGAGGGAAGGAAGACACAAATGATACAAAAGATTTGAAGCCAGTGGAACTGTTACCTCTTTAGGACAATGCATTGGTACTGAAGGTGAATGGCTAAATTCATTCTGACTGTGACCCTTTCCTGGTAGTTATTGGGAGAAGTGCGGACAGCAGAATGAGTGTCCTTTATAGCTGCGGTCCTCAACCCCCAGGCTACAGATTGGTACTTCTACACGGTACTGGTCTGTGGCCTGTTTTGAGTGGCAGGCAAGTGAGTGAAGCTTCATCTGTATTTACAGCCATTCCCCATTGCTCACATTACTGCCTGAGCTCCACCTCCACCTTCGACCTCCACCTCCACCTTCCACCTCAGCAGCAGCATAAGATTCTCAAAAGAGCGTGAACCGTACTGTAAACTGCACATGTGAGGGATCTAGGTTGTGCACTTCTTATGAGAATCTAATGCCTGATCATCTGTCAGTGTCTCCCATCACCCCCCAGATAGAACCATCTAGTTGCAGGAAAACAAGCTCAGGGGTTCCACTGATTCTACATTATGGTGAGTTGTATAATTATTTCATTATATATTACAATGTAATAATAATAGAAATAAAGTACACAATAAATGTAATGCGCATGAGTCATCCTGAAACCATCCCCCCACTTCCCTGTCTGTGGAGAAATCATCTTCCATGAAACTGGTCTCTGGTGCCAAAAAGGTTGGAGATTGCTGCTTTATAAAACAGTCCTACCATAAGATAGTAACACATCTCTGTTGCTAGGAGACACATTCCACAGTCTTCTGCTGAGAAGGGGAGAGACAACTAGTTTCTAATCAAGTCAGCTAATATTCAGAAAAGATTTTAAATTTGATCCAAGGCAGATTCTGCCCAAATTTTAGGTTAAGACAGTAGTTCTCTAACTCCCTTCCCAGCCCCCCAGGGCAGTGGCTCCACCTTTTCTTGCCAACAGACATCCCAGGGGGTCTTTGCAGTGTTGCTCGGGCACCACTGGAACGTGTCAAGGATGCAACTGTGGCAGGAGCTGGGACATTTGTTTGATGCTCTCAGCCTCACTTAACACCACCATGGGACAGGCAACTGTATCACTCTCAACTGACAGATTTGAAGCCCAGACTTAGAGAAATGGCTAGAACTGATTGCAAAACCATCTGCAGGACAAAATCCAAGCCCTTACTTCACATTGTTCGACAAAGAAAGAGGAGAAAATGTACCCTGGAGTAAAATTTAGGGGGGAAAACCATTTGTCCTTCATTTTGTCTACAGATCACATTTTGACTCTATTGTAATTTTTTTTTTTTTTTGGTATGCTTTGTGGAAGGGAGACATTAAGGAGTTTGAAAAACTTATTTAAAACCCTTGTGTTTGGTAAGAAATTTACCCTTTCATTTCCCCTGGAAGAAATCTAACAACTCTGGACTGTTGACAAACATTCCCTTTTGGTGTCCCAACTCTGCCTGAAGTCAAAATGAGGTAATCAAAATTTTCTAAGCAAGTATGTAATCACTGTAATTTGCATATTATTTGCATAACCAGAGATGCAGGGATTTTCTCCTCCTTCTGTGGGAGAAACCCAATCACAGAACTTTCTTAGATTTCATCTTGTATCTAATTTCCTGCCTTAGACATATGAACATATTATAATCTGACCCATCCTCCCTCCCCATCTTCCAGTATTTTTTAAATAAGTAAATTAAATTACTGTACTCAAACCCTCATCCTGCACAACAGCAGGAAATCCATTCTCTTCCAGACTGTTTCAGAGGACTCTAGAGAGAGTGATTTCCTACTACCTAGTAACAGCTCCTGAAGGCTTCTGCCTCTCTCCAGGCTACGCTCCAAGAATAAGTACAGTTCCTCCTTCATTCTCTAAGGCGTTGCTAATACGACGTAAATTATAGTGGTTAATCAGTTTCCTAAAAGATGAGGATGACAAAGGGAAATTACAAAGCACAAAGTAAAGCCCTCAGATATAAAGGTCCTCTTCAGCAATTCCCTTTCAGTGAGTCCTTTCTTCTTTTCTCCTCGTGTTCTAGCTGCTGGCTGGGACCCTGTGTCTCACTCAACCCCAGGCCTTCTTTGCTTTTCTCCCAAACTCCCAGGTCCCAAATTCTGTGGAGAAAAATGAAAATACATTAGTTGAAGCAAACTAGCAAAAACTTCTCTTCCTCAGAAACCCAATTCATGACTCTCTGCTTAAGGAAGACCCCTTTTTACTTTATTAAGATGACATTTACCTCCTTTTCTAACAACTTTCCCCATTCCAATGTAGCCTAGGCCTTATCTCAGACAGTCAAAAAGGCTTTTAAAGCCTTTCTAACAAAAGAGGTGTTTTCCTCTAAAGATTGATCCACTATCCACCTAGCAAACCACAATCTGTAAGTAGATTTTTGTTCCCACAACAATATCATTCTGAAACATTTACTTTTCTGCTGCTTTGTCCTTACTTATGTCCAATGGTACAGTTAAAAATAAAAATGTTTTCTGGGATTAAAGAATCTGTGAAGAAGACAAGAGCCAACAAGGAAATTCCCTATAAATATTTAGCAAGCATGAAGATATTCAAACTCTTTAAAACCATGTGAAGAAAAATGGTGTCACAGAAAATCCACATTTGGGGTTCAGGAAGTTAACAGACCCGCATTCAAATCCAAGTCCATCTAACCATTTTATTCTGTGTTATTGGGCAAGTCACTAATTTCTATAAAGCAGGAATAAACATACCTGCCTCACAGATTGTTGTAAAAAATGAGCAAACTTATATAATGCCCTTGGTATCTAGCAGGTGGCTCAATAAATATTTCTTCTCTTCCCACTCCTCAGGCTAGTGAACTCCTATTGTTAGCCCATATAAACTGGTGCCTTAATACTTTAGGGTAACCAAAGGAATAAGAAAATTGTTCATTAGGTGGGTTAGAAGCCACAGCCATTGAATCACCTTTTCTTTTGTATTCTTGTCCCCATTAGCATCTCTGCACCCTACGTCTGTCTTTTCTACTCCCCACTCCCTCTCTCCTCACTGTCATTTATTCCTTGCTATAAAATGGGAAACTGGCCATTGGATGGAGCCAAAATGTAACTAGTGCTTGTTCTAATTAACGAATAATATTTTATCTTTCTTCTTTTTCTTCATCCAAATAATAATTTAAAAGTTGTCTTTCTACGAAACAAAGAAAAATGAATAAACAGGCTTTAAGTATATTGATCTCAGTTGATTTGGGGAGGCGGGGATGGAGGTCTGCTGGTTCTTGATAAGAGATTCCTTAGTTTGCTTTAAGTCACTTTGTGTCTTCTTTTGATTTATTATTATTTACTATTTATTATTATTGCATCCACACATCTTCAGACTGCAGAATGAACAAACAAGCAGAGAAAACCACAAGCATTCTGCAATTATCACCCCAGGTGTCCAAAACCTAGGAGTCATCCTTGATGCCTCTTCTTTCTTCCTATCCCACAGCAATCTTTCAGCAAGTACTTTTAGGACTCCCTCCAAAATATATTCTGCATCCACCCACTTTCCAGATCTCCACAGTAATCAGGATAGTGTTGCTAGACTTAGCAAATAAAAATACAGGACACCTAGTTAATAATGAATTTTGGATAAACAATGGGTAATGTTTGGTATATAAAATATTATTAAAAATATTTTTTATTCTCCTTACATTATTCATTGTTTATCTGACAAATTTAACTGGACATCCTGTATTTTATCTGGCAAGTCTAAGCTAGAATAATCTCTTTAAAAATATAGATCAGGGCTGAGGTGGGATAATCACTTGAGCCCGGGAAGTTGAGGCTGCAGTGAGCCATGACTCTGGCACTGCACTCCAGCCTGGGCAACAGAGCCAGACCCTATCTCAAAAAAATGTATATCAGATCCCGTCAATCCACCAATGGCTTCCGATTGCCTTCTAAATAAAAGCCAAACTCCCTGCTCTGGCCTTTCAAGTCTTCCATGGACTGACCCTCATCTTCCTGTCTGGCCTGAGCCATACCACTCTCTTTTTCCTTGCCTCCCTCTTCACATTAGCCATCTTCTTGTTTGTAGGCCAGTCAAGTCTGTTGGATGTGCTGTTTTTTCAGCCTGCAATTTTCTTCCCCACAGCTTTACCTGGCTGGCTGTGTAACCAAACTCAGGTCCAGGCTACTCGTCACTTGAAAGCCAAAAACTTAAGAGAAGAGCTTCGACGAGAGGAAAGTTAGCTTTATTCGAGAAGCCAGCAACCTGGGGGAGGCAGGGAACTAGCGTTCAAAGACCACTTCACCGAGTTGGATCTCCAGATAAGGGGTTTTTAAGGGAAATTAGGGGAAATGATGATCAAAACATTCTTGTGAAATGTGTGCTGTCTCAGGCAGGCCGTTCGTCATTGCTTTCCTGGTCAACGTACTGTGGCTTCTGCAGATCCGTCACCTATTCTGATCAGGCTTGGCAGCCTGTTTCTAGAGTTGTTTATTGCACACACTTCCTTTTATCTCTGTTGAAGGTCCTGTTTTCCTGAAGCTGTTTTTAGTAAATAATCTATAAATTCAAGCAAAGTAGTAATTATGTTTAAGTGAGCAAGCATTTCTCTAGCATGGAGTCAGTGCTGTTACAGCTTCTTTCTGTCGATCTGGTCTGAGCCCATTTGTCTCCTCCTTAGTGAAGATTGGTCAGCAGAGAAGGTCCCACTAAGGTCCCTCATCCATCTTTGTCACATCACTTTGTTATTTTCTGTATATCACACATCCCGGGCTGAGATTCTCTTGTCTATTGCCTCCTTCACTGAGCTCCATAAGATCAGGAAATGTGTAGGACCTTTATCTTGTTACAGCCCTTGTATTTTAGAATAGAGTCTGGCATATAGTAGGTCCTCAGTAAGTACTTTTGAATGAAGACTCTAGTTGAGCAAAGAGGTGGCTTTTAACACTGCTTTGTGAATGCACGTCACCAGTTCAACTAGTGTCTCTATCAGAGCAGGCAGACACGTCAGCCCAGAGGGGATGACAGAAACCACATTATTGCTTGTTGAATTGTATTTCGTACTTTTCTGACTCAATTTTCTGTACTGACAGGCTAAAAATAAAATTTACATGATCCACTATTATGTGAAAAACAATTACAAAATGGTATATGTCATATGACCCTTGTAATACTCATAACACAATAAATATTTGTGGAGTGAATCATGTTTTTCTAAAAATGCCTATATACAAATATCTGGAAAATGGCCTGGAAAATAAACACACAAATGCAAAAAGGTAGATATTTCTGGGAATGAGATTATAAATAATACTTAAAAATTTTTTCATTTAATTATTTTTACTATGAGCATATAATCATCATCACTTTTAGAATCAGAAAAATACAGGCCACCATGCCTGGCTAATTTTTACTTCAATTTTTAAAGAAAAAGATTTACCCATAAAAACTTTATATTTTAAGTGAAGTGTATCGAAGTATATAAACTGATGGTTCACAGAGAACTACAAATGGCTTTTAAACATATGAAAATAAGCCCATTCTCAGAGAAATACAAATTTAAACTACTCTGAAATACTGTTTTCACCCGTTAAACAAAAAATCCAAAAGCTCAATAATATACTTTATTGGCAAGGTTTAGAGGAAAATAGCAACTTATATATTGCTGTTGGAAGTATGAAGTGATACAACCTATATAAAGGTCAATTTGGTAATACTTATCAAAATTTCTATCGCATAAACCAGTGGTTGGCAAACTGTAGCCTGTGGGCTGCTGTCTGTCCTTGTATAGCCCATGAGGTAAGAATGGCTTGTGCATTTTTAAATGCTTGCAGCAAAAATCGAGAAATGAATACTATTTCGTAACACATGAAAATGATATGAAATTCAAATTTTAGTCTCCATAAATAAAGTTTTATTGGAACACAGCCATGCTCATTCATTTACATGTTGTCTGTGGCTGCTTTTGCACTACTGTGGCAGAGTCGAGAGCTGAGACAGGAACCATATGGCCCACAAAACTAAAATATTTACTATCTGGACCTTTACAGAAAACATTTGCCAATCTACTTTTAGCAGAAATTGTTTGACCAGTAACTACACTTTGAGCAATTCGTTTTATGTACTTGGACAGGTGCAAAATGAAATACTCAGCATTATTTATAAAGTATATAATAAACAAAATGTCCATTGTAGAAAATTTAATAAATTATGGTATATCCATACTATGGCATAGTAGTGGCTGTAAAAAAGGATAAAGATGTATTTTAGGTACTGATATAGAAAGATATCCAAGACTTATTTTTATGTGAAAAAACTGCACATATTGTCAAATTCTTCCATGTTGAACAACTTTGGGGTCACCGTTTCCATTGTATTCTATGTACATGGCACCCCTGGAGTTGTGCAACAGCAGATGCCCTCATAATATGCCATTGCTGTGTAAATAGGAGGGGGAACACGTATTCGTATATGCTGACATGTGTATACACAACCTTTCCTGTGTGAATGTTACATGAGATGCTACTAATAAAGCTTGCCTATTGGAGACGTGGGAGCTGGACTAAATAGAGACAGAAGTAGAAGGGAGGCTTTTGACTATATTTCTTTTTAGTAGCCTTTTGATATTTCAACCATAGAATGACTGAATGTCCTAACTTTTTTATGGAGACAGTCTCATTCTGTCTCCCAGGCTGGAGTGCGTTGGCATATTCTTGGCTCATTGCAACCTCAGCCTCCTAGGTTCAAGCGATTCTCCTCCCTCAGCCTCCCAAGTAGCTGGGACTACAGGCTACCATGCCTGGCTAATTTTTATATTTTTAGTAGAGATGGGGTTTCACCATGTTGCCCAGGGTGGTCTCAAACTCCTGAGCTCAGGCAATCTGCCTACCTCAGCCTCCCAAAGTTCTAGGATTACAGGTGTGAGCCACTGTTCCTGGCCAAAAATTAAATAATCTTTTAAGGAATGAAAAATATATATCTAATTCTTAGGAGAGTCTTGTCTGTTTATCTTATTCAGCGAAGGCAGTTGTCAGCCCACTAGTGCTGTCCTGCCAGCTGCTCCTTCCTCTTTGCAACCTGCATTCTGATTCTCTGCTTTTTCATAAGCAGTTTACTCCCCAACTTCATGCACTCCTCTCTACCCTGTCCTTCTCACCATCTGCTATGTGCCTCGTGCTCTGTGAAACTCCTGCTTTGCAGGGACGAGCTCACCTTAACGCTAACCTGTGCTTGTCCCTTACCTGCCTCTCTTGGCCCTATGGCTCTCAGTCTCCCTAAAGGCCCTGGGCCTCCTGCAGAATTTCCAGGCAGTCTTCACCTCCTCTCAGGCCCCCTCTTCTCCTCAGCAGTGAAGGTGGTTGGGCAGGATTGCCTCACCCTGCAGGGCCATTTCTAGGCCATTTCCCAAGACACAGGTGTCTTCCGTTCTCATTCATCTTTTGGATTCCATGTCATCTATCCATGCCGTCCTCTTCAAATCAGTGATACTATAGCCTTGTGTCTGCTCATGGCCACCTCCACGTTGTCATGGCGTTCTTTCTTCTCCCCATGCAGGTTTTCCTCTATCACACCACATCTTTGTCCTCCTCCACAATGCCCCTTAGGGGGATCTCCCACTTCTGGATTTCATACCTCAGGCTTCTCTCTGTCAGATCACAGCTCTCAGCTGTCTGCTCTCCCCTTTGCTCAAGTCCATTCTCCCCACTCTGATTACCACAGTAACCTGCCCAATGTCTCAATCCCCTCTGTCTGACCTACCACAAAGCCTGCCACACCAACCAGCAGCCTGTGTGGCATGTCTTCACCATCACCCCTCTATGCTGCTCATGGTGGAAGCTACAGAACAAACGTATTCTGGGGTCCTGCTGTCTGATTTCAACCTCTAACATGCTGTTAATTTTTTTTTTTTTTTTTTTGATACAGGGTCTATTGTATGGTTTGGCTGGGTCGCCACCCAAATCTCACCTTGAATTGTAATCACCCCACATGTCAAGGTCAAGGCCAGGTGGAGATAATTGAATCATGGGGGCAGTTTCCCCCATACTGTTCTCGTGGTAGTGAATAAGTCTCAAAAGATCTGATGGTTTTATAAATGGGAGCTCCCCTGCACAAGTTCTCTTGCCTGCTGCCATGTAAGATGTGACTTTCCTCCTGATTCTTCTTCACCCTTGATTGTAAGGCCTCCCCAGTCATGTGGAACTGTGAGTCAGTTAAACCTCTTTCCTTTATAAATTACCAAGTCTCAGGTATGTCTTTATTAGCAACATGAGAACACACTAATTCAGTCTTGCTCTGTCATCCAGGCTGGAGTGCAGTGGCACAAACATAGCTCACTGCAGCTTCCACCTCCCAGGCTCAAGTGATCCTTCTGCCTCAACCTTCCAAGTAGCGAGGATCACAGGCATGCAACACCATGCCCAGCTATTTTTTAAAAAGTTGTTATAGAGATGGGATCTGGCCACATCGCCATCACCCAAATAGTCATTTTATCCCTACTTTCTCCTTTAACTCTAATGAAGTGGTTCTCAAACTTTGCCGTTTGGAATCACCTGGGGAGCTTTTAAAAATCCCAGTGCACAGGTTGTACCCCTTACCAACTAAATCAGAATGTTCAAGGATGGGAACCAGACATCAGTATTTTGTGAAGCTCTTCAACAAAGTTTGGAACCACCACTGTAGTGTTTCTGGTTCATGCTTATTCTTAGGGAGGACCTCAGTGTTGCAAGTTGAGACCACCTGCATCGGTGAACAGAGCTTACCTCTCAGAACTAAGCACTATGACCATCTCTGTCAACATGACAACTATTCTTTCCAGGAAATTATTGTCTGTAAATCAGTAAGTAACTTCCCTATTTGTTTTTGGCTGGGCAAATAGTTTGCTCACCTGGGAAAACAGCTGTCTTCTCTGGACAATAGATTGTTTACCTTGGCAAACAGTTCGCTTGTCAAACCACTGTCTGCTTATCCAAAACTTGATTTTTCACCTTGCCCTGTCCACCAAGACTAAACAATCATGTCATGAATTTTGTTGATTCCCAATCAGATCCCCATTTAAAATATTCACCTTGAGAAATCCAAATCAAAACCACAATGAGATACCATCTCATACCAGTCAGAATGGCAATTATTAAAAAGTCAAGAAACAACAGATGCTGGTGAGGCTGTGGAGACATAGGAATGCTTTTACATTGTTGATGGAAATGTAAATTAGTTCAACTATTGTGGAAGACAGTGTGGCAATTCCTCAAGGATCTACAACCAGAAATACCATTTGACCCAGCAATCCCATTATTGGGTATATAGCCAAAGGAATATAAATCATTCTATTATAAAGATACATGCACATACATGTTTATTGCAGCACTATTCACAATAACAAAGACATGGAACTGACCCAAATGCCCATAATGATAGACTGGATAAAGAAAATGTGGTACATATACACCATGGAATACTACGCAGCTACAAAAAGGAATGTGGTATCATGTCCTTTGCAGGGACATGGATGAGACTGGAAGCCATCATCCTCAGCAAACTAACACAGGAACAGAAAACCAAACACCACATGTTCTCACTCATAAGTGGGAGTTGAACAATGAGAACACATGGACACAGGGAATGGAATAACACATACTGGGACCTGTCAGGGGGTGAGTGAGGGGAGGGAGAGCATCAGGACAAGTGGCTAATGCATGTGGGGCTTAAAGCCTAGGTGACAGGTTGATAGGTGCAGCAAACCACCATGGCACACGTATGTAACAAACCAGCATGTTCTGCACATGTATTCCAGAACTTAAAGTAAAAAAAAAAAAAAAAAAAAAAAAAAAATTTACAAGACATAGGAAAAAAAAAGATTTGCCTTAAACCACTTGAACCCAGACCCACAAATCCCTGTAAATATCTACCCCTTAGTTTTGCTTGGTTCTAAGGGTTTTCTATGGTCATTTGGGGAGCTGGCGTTTGACAGTGTAACTTCACTGACCTCATTTTACAACTTTAGGCTAGGATTCTGACCTCAGTCATATGAATCCCATCCTTTCCTAAAAATCTGGATCCCTCAGCCACTCTTCCCTTTGAAACATCCTCTCTCTTCTGATTCTTTTTCTCCTATCATCCTGTGTACTGAGATTTGCCCACATTGACATGATCTTCATTTGAACCTGGTGGTTCTTTTCACTACAGGGCAACATTCTTTCCTCTACAGGGCAACATTCTTTCCTATCCAAATACTTGAATACATCAGGCACCACCACTGCCTCACCTTCCTGGGCAGCCACATCTCTCCTGGCTTTCTTCTCACTCATCACATGTCTAAACCTTTTCTCCTACATCTTGCTAATGACCTCTTTATTGCCATATTTAATAGACTTTCATCAGAGTTTGATGACTCTATCAGGATGTGGCACTGTTATTTCGTCTCTCTCTCGTTTTTTTTGTTTTTGTTTTTGTCTCCCATGACATGTCACTTTCCTAGTGTCACTACCTCACTCTCATTCTCTCACTTCTCTCTCTCCTTCTTACCTTTTCTCATTCCTCTTCCCTGCCCTACTTACCAACTGTGAGTACCCTCCAATACTGCAGTCTGCTTACATACCTTCCTTGAAGGCATTTATTTTCATGGCTTCAACCCACACCTCGAGAACAACATCCACGTCAGTAAATCAAGCACAGGAGATAGCAGACACTTCACAGACAAACACCCCTGGATTCATTCATCACGTAGCTGATGAGGATGAGCACATCATTTCCAGGGAATGTCTCATAGGACTAGATGGAATTGCCAGCGGAATCTGCATCTGGATGTGAGAAGGGTAGGACTACCCAACAGTGGCTCCATAACCTAGAGCAGGGCCTGCCCCCATGATACCTGGTACATTCCCATGACTGTCAATCCATTCCAGCAGTACTGGCTGCAGGACACCAACCTCAGATCTTTGGCTGACACTCAACATAACTGGAATAGAGTTTATAAAAAGAAATGGGAAATGCCCTCTTTTTTTTTTTTTTTTTTTTTTTGAGATAGAGTCTTGCTCAGTCACCCAGGTTGGAGCACGGTGGCACAATCTCAGCTCACTGCAACCTCTGCCTCCCAGGTTCAAACGATTCTCCCTGCCTCAGCCTCCCGAGTAGCTGGGATTACAGGCGCCTACCACCACACCTGGCTAATTTTTGTATTTTTTAGTAGAGACAGGGTTTCACCATGTTGACCAGGCTGGTCTTGAACTCCTGATCTCAAGTGATCCACCCACCTTGGCCTCCCAAAGTGCTGGGATTACAGGTGTGAGCCACTGCACCTGGCCAAAATGCCCTCTTTAAAAAAAATTTTTTTTTTAATTTTTGCGGGTACATAGTAGATATATGTATATTTATGGGATACATTAGATGTTTTGATACAGGCATGCAGTATGTAAAATCACATCATTGAAAGGAAATGCCCTCTTGAGAAGAGAGAGGGTAACATGAGTGGTCGGGAAACATGAGTGATCTTTTGTTGTAGCAGGGACACAGTGACTTTCTTGCCCTGAGGTAGTCATATCATAGGAACTGACTTAGAGATGGAAGAAGAATCCTCAGAGGACATGTTCATGAATTACCCCTGAAATAGTTTTGGAGACATTCATAACTGCCCTTGGGCAAGTCATATTGATGTTTCATCCACCCATCCAGTAATCATTGTTCAACAAATATGTTGACAGTAACTTTTTAGCAGGCATGTACTAAATGTTGGTGATACAACATCAATAAATGTGTCCCCTGCCTCCCAAGAGCTTGCACTCTGGCACTCACACAACCACATGTTAGACATGTGCAGAACCTAGAGTTAGACAGACCGGAGAGAGAGATAGAATCAGATGGATTTGCTGGCAGAATCGGCATCCGGATGTGAGCAGTGTAGAACTGCCCAACAGTGGATCCATAACCTGGAGTGGAGACTGTTCCGTGATACCTGGTACAAAAAGGTATTGTTAGTTATAATAGCATTTAATGTTTCACAAAGTGTTTTCATATTCATTCTCTCATTTAACATTCATAACAGCCTAATAAGACAGTCAGATAAAATAGTGTTGACTTAATTTTACAGAAGAGGGTATCAAGGCATAAAGAAGTCATGTGCAAAATCATGTGTCCAGCATATGGCTGAGAACTGAGCAGGAACCCAGGTGACCAGGTGGAATGTTCTGCTTTTTCTATTACCTCAGGCTGACTTCCAACCTCGGGTTCCTCATCCATATAAGGAACGTGCTAGGCTGGTGGTTTTTCTTTTCTTTTTCCAATAGTTGCTTTAACTATAAAAATCTGACTCTATAACAAGTTCCCTTCTCCAGGGACTGTGGAGGGACAGATAAACCAAAAACTAACAACATTGTTCCCCTTCCTACTGCACAGGATTGTTGTAAAGATTACATTATACAATCCACTAATCCATTGAAAACACTTTGTGATTCAATAAACTAGATGCAATCTTAGGACTTTGTGTTTATCACTTTATTAAAGGCACTTCTCCAGGTTCTCAGTAGTTTTCCAAGTACCTGCCTCTCCCAGGAGACTACAAGGGCAGAACATGTTATACCTCATCATTAACAATCATATTATCCACATGAATTTTTGAGAAAACAGTGAATAAAATGAGGTTTAGAAAGGGAGGTCACTAGATCCCTGTGCTGTGTTCCTTTTACCTCAATGCACATTTTTGTGTTTCTCAAAGTACCTAGCTCAGTACGTTGGTGGAAATTCATAGTGGAAGTTCAACAACTATTTATAAGATGGGGTTGATGGCGGAGGAGAGGGAGAATGAGGAGGCAGGAGGAGGAAGAAGAAAGAGAAAAAAAGAAGGAAAAGCATCAGAATTCATAAAAATGCTTTTATCTCCGTAGATGTGAGTGCCAAGACTTCATTTGTCTTGGCATCCTCATATTTTCTCAGTATCCCAAATAAGCATGCCAGTAGAGCAGGTCTGCCATGGGAGAGGGTGCCTAGGAGTTCTCATGACGACATTGTGTTCCAGAAAATCACAGCAGCAGCGGCAGCGACAGCAATAGCTGCCCCCACATTCCTCTGGAAAGGCTGGAGCTTTGCTTTGTGTTGTTTTAGGCTTCCTTCCCCAGGAAGCATTATTGGAAGGAAACACTCCACCCCGACCCTCCCAGCTCCCAGTGCTGGCTTGTGGTCAGTAAAGTAAATGTAATTTTTGCCTCTTAAGAAATGTGGGACAAGAGACTGCATGGAGCACTGCCAACGTGACAGTGGAGGTGCGTCAGTGGGCTCGGTGACAGGTGGCAGAGGCCAAGGGTCTGGGGAGTCACTTACAGTCACGGAGGCTTTCTCTCCCAGCCATTGTCCATTGATGGGAATGAGGTAGTGGGCAGCCAAGCCACACAACGGGAGCCTGGAGAAAGAAGTCTAGGGCAATTTGCACATGAATTTCCTTCTTTAAATAGCTACGCAATAAGTCAATATCCCTAGGAAGAAGTTGCTTATTGGCTGCCTTATTCTTTTTTTTTTTTTAAGCGAGTCTCTTAAAGACACTTATTTTGGCCTTACATGCACTTAATCAGGCTTGTCTTATTCTTTTAATTCTGAAGTTCTACTGTTCAACAGTTAGGAAGGAACTGGCTTTGCATCTGGAAACAAGAGCAGGCACAAAGACAATGAGATAGATGGTGGGCTTGTTTTGCAGACGTGTGTTAGAGAGAGAGCACCACTCATGCATAGAAGAGAGGTTTGAAAGATTGGACATACAAAGTGGAGTCTAGGCCAGGCATGGTGGCTCACACCTGTAATCCCAGCTACTCTGGAAGCTGAGGCAAAAGGATTGCTTGAACCTGGGAGGCGGAAGTTGTAGTGAGCTGAGATTGAGCCACTGCACTCCAGCCTGGGCAACAGAGCAAGACTCCGTCTCAAGAAGAAAAGAATGATCCCAGCACTTTGGAAGGCTGAGCAGGTGGATGACCTGAGGTCAGGAGTTGAAGACCAGCCTGGCCAACATGGTGAAACATCTCTACTAAAAATACAAAAATTAGCTGGGTGTGGTGGTGCGTGCCTGTAATCCCAGCTACTCGGGAGACTGAGGCAGGAAAATTGCTTGAACCGGGAGGTGGAGGTTGCAGTGAGCTGAGATCATACCACTGTACTCCAGCCTGGGCAACAGAGTGAGACTCTGTCTAAAAAAAGAAAGAAAGAAAGAGAGAGAGAAGAAAGAAAGTAAAAATAAAATAAAGAGGTCTAGCTGGCAGCACCAGGGCCATCAGCCAATAGTGGGATTAGGGATGGCTACTACTGGAAAAAACTGCACACTGGGATTGCCTCTTGTTCAATATATGACATCTGCATTGATTCTAAATCCTCCCTACATGGAATTAGGCAATGGTGTGCTGTTAGCTTGCTCTTTGAAAAGAAAGAGAGGAAGAAAAAAGATCCTGGTCTGTAATATCAGCCAATATTTCAGTGTAAATATTCTGACTGTGGCCAGCTTCCAGCTACCAAGATTGACCTGCTCAAAAGATTCCTGAATATTTAACAACCAGCTCTCTGGGGCTGGTACCCACAGCTCCAGCATACCACTGGCTAAGATACAGATTGCTACTCACCACTTCCAGCTTTGGCTTTGCCACTATTAGATGTATGCTCTGTAGCAAGCTCTTAATTTCCTCAAACTGCAGTTCTCTTTTGAAAAATGGGAGCTGAGATGATGCAGTAACGATATTTAGAGTCTCTGCTGAGCCTACACCACTCTTCTCTGAGAACCGCATCCTTCCTGGTGCTCCCTACTGGTGCCATATTCCACCTGATTTTTCAACTTCATTTTGGAGTCTAGCAGATATCCCAACTGCTTCCAATAAATGCCCTTCTGCACTCAGGCCAGTCTGAGTGGGATTTTGTAAGTTGCAACCAGCAGCGCTCTAAGTAAGGCAGAAATGATTTCCAAGGCCTTTGTGAGTTCTGATATTGCACCATTTGTTCTCAGAGTGTGCTGCCGACCAGCAGCATCAACTTCACCTGGGACATGTTGGAAATGTCAGTTCTCAGGGAACCACCGCAGACCTATTAAATCAGAAACTCTAGGGATGGGACCCAGCAACTTGTGTTTTTACAAGCTTTCCAGGTGATTCCCATGTGTTCTCAAGCTTGAGAACTGCTGCATCACTGTTCTAAGGATGGTATGACTTATTTGAGAAAGGCATTTTCAGACTGATCCAGTTTTCTTTTCTGATTAATGAAGGCCAAAAGTTAATGTTTTACTGGTAAAAAAAATTGATTTTTATAAACGAAACATATTACTATTACAACTTGAAAGACATCAATTTCCTTTTCTCCTTCTTTCTTATTTTAGTTTCAATGGACAGAGACTGACGTTTCAAAGACTAGCCTAAAAGAATATAAGGAGAAGAAAAGTGTAGAGAATGAAAATACTGCCAATAAATAAGCGGAAATAAAAAATATGCACCAGATAATTTCAAGATAGTGAAGGCCAGAAAGAAATACAGAACAGGAAGCCCAGATGCTGTGTGGTTTTTGCATTGGAAAAGATTTCACAAAATGTGCCATTAACACATTGAGTGACTAATCATTTCTGGCATTAGGAAACCATTTAAGAGTCCACTAATGATTGATTTACATAAGTACAGTAAAAAGTGAAACAGGAAACTTTGACTTAACTTCATCCTGACATATATCAAAAGCACAGTTTTCACTGTAAGATTTGGAGAGATGTGGCTAGATAGCAATTTTCACTATAAAATAGTCTTGAACAGACCATTCGAATGGATAGAGCTTGTTGGTAAGCTGGTTGTTTGAAACTAACACTTTTTTTTGTATGGAAAATCATGCCTTTGGAGAGCAGACTGCAGACTGGACGATGGAATCCTTAATGGAAGTAAACTGGAGGGCTGGTAATTGGTAATCATGCAGGTGATTGGGAGGAGAGGGGCCCAGGAGAGGAGCTGCACTGGGTAGAGAGGGGAGAGAGGGGAGAGAGGGGAGAGAGAGAGAGAGAGAGAGAGAGAGAGACAGAGAGAGAGACAGAGAGAGAGACAGAGAGAGACAGAGAGAGAGAGACAGAGAGAGAGAGAGAGAGAGAGAAAATTGGGGAAGGACAGAGTCCTCTAGTGGGAGGAATGCAGTCTGAAAGGGGCTCCCTTTCCAGAAATGTCAACAGTATGGGGCCTGAGGGTAGAGGAAGGTTCTGCAGCTGAGTGACTGAGAAAAACAAACTGTATTTTTCACCATGCTTACACTCACACTTCACTTCTGGCTGCCAAATGTATAGGGGTTATTCTGTGTGGGAATAATTCTCCAGTTCTCTGCAGACACCAACTGGATGTCCAACTCCAGGCTGCACTGATGAATACAGAGCACAGACCCCACAAGACTGCCCCTACTCCAGTGCCAGTAGTAAGTCCCAGCTTGTGATCTGTACTCTGAATCAAGGGTTCCCATGACCCCCTTCTCAGGTTCAGTCATTTACTAGAACAGCTCACAGGGCTGGGAAACACTTAATGTTTACTGGTTTATTACAAAGGCTACAGATAAACAGTCAGATTAAGAGATACACAGGGTGAGGTCCGGAATGGTGCAGGGCACGGGAACTTCTGTCCCTGTGGAGCTGGAGTGTGTCAGCCTCCCAGCACATGGACGGATTCTTATTCACAAACCCAGAAGCTCTTTGAGCCCTGTCCTATTGGGTTTTTATGGAGATTTCACTATGTAGGGCATGATTGATTTAAATCATTGGCCGTGGTGATTAACTCAACTTTCAGCCCCTCCCTGAAGGTGAGAGGCTGATGCTGAAAGTTCTAACCCTCTAATTACATACTTGTTTCCCCTGGCAGCTAGCCTCCCTCCAAGGCTCTCCAGGAGGCCCCAGCCGTTAGTCATCTCACCTTAGAATACAAAAGATACCCTTCTGAGATTATATTAAGATTATATTATAATATTTCTTATTATAAATCACAATATCTCAATGACCAAATATGTATGTTATCAGTATGTTGGACAAACAAGTTGGGAGCTGCCCTACTTGCAAACCGCTGCTGTGCCCACACTCCATTGTGGTATAGATGTCTGAAGCGAGTTTGAATAGCACAGTGGTTATGACTTTTGGCTTTGCTGTCAGATGGATGTTGGTTGGAACCCAATTCCTCCAGTTACCTGCTGCGAGACTTTGGGCTAGTTACTAAAACATACTGTGTCTTAGTTTCCTCACCTATAAAATGGTGATGATAAGGTAACAATAAAAAATATATATGGCCCGTGCCACCAAATATGTATATAACTGTGCCACCACCACAGAGTTCCTAAACTTTTTAAATTTCCTGAATGATAGAGGTGCTAGGTACATTATTGTTCTAATATTTAGTCTGTGATCCTGATTCCTGACACAAAGCTTCTAATTCTTTGGAATTTTCTGGGTAATAGGAGCTTCTTTTGTTCGAATAAGACAACTCTTGCTAGACTCCTAGAAGGGGGCTGGTCATCAGAAAGATTAAGCCATGATTAGAAGGTTGGAATTTTCAGCCCCATTTTCTATCCTCCAGGGAGGAAAGAGGGCCTGGAGATTGAGTTACTAATTGGTCATTCCTATATAAAAATCCCTCAACTATGAGTTTCAGGGAGCTTCCGGGTTGGGAAGCATACACAGAAGCTGGGAGCATGGTGCATTTCAATTCCACGAGGACAGAAGCTCCTGCACCCGGCCCCTTTTGGACCTCACCCTCTGTATTTCTTCATCTGGCTGTTCATCTATATCCTTTATCCTATTTTTTAACACAATAAACTGGTAATGGTAAGTTAGTGCTCCTCTGTGTTCTGTGACCCTTCCTAGCAAATATTCAAACCTGAGGAGGGTGTTGTGACAACTCTGATTAATAGCCAGTCCATCAGAAGTACAGGTGACACCTAGGACTTGTGATTGGCATCTGAAATGGGGAACAGTCTTGTGGGATTAAGTCATTAACTGGTGAGGTCTATGCCAACTCTGATTAAAATCAGAATTGAATGGAATTTTAGGACATCCAATTGATGTCCACAGGAGAATTGAATGTGTGGGGAAAAAACCCACATACCTGCTCACAGAAGTGTGTTGAATGTGAACATACAGAGAAAGTTTATTTTTTTCTATACAATAAAAATAATAGGGTTTACCTGACAAAGTTGTTTTGAGAATTCAGTGATATATTGCATGTAAAACACTCATCACACTGAGCATTTAATGTGTGTTAGATATTGTCATTTGTAATTAATCATTGAGATACCTTAGATGATTCTCATTCTTTCTGAAAAAGATAGTGATAGATCAGCGTTTAGTTAGAGAGTTCAATTAGCTAACACATGTATGAAGTATAAAGAGGACTTAGTTAATGGTTGTAAGAAATTGCATCTACTTCTTATGTTAACTGGTGGCCCACATCTCTGAATCTTCACAGAAGATCCTACCAATAAAAATTCATATTAGGAGCACGATTTATAGGCACTTTTATTTTTTATTTATTCCTATTATTTATAGGAATTATAGAGAAAATAAACATAGGAAAAACTTCCATAATAACTTATGATGCAGAAAGAGGTATTTATTATTACAGTGCTTATTTCCTTCAATATGACTGCTGTTTGAAGGAAATAGGAATTGAAAACAAACCCTGCTAGTAATGTAGGGAAACTGCCTGGATATATTTAGCCAAGGGCCCAGCTCTTCTGACAGCCCCAAATGCTAAAAATATTCACGAGTGTGGTTTTTGCCTTCACTGTGCTGGGTAAATATACATACACACTGCCCTTTAGGGTTTTTGAAATGCTTTGAAGTACTTACAGAGTTACAGCTCTTTGACTCCAACACAGAATCTTTGTGGTATGGGGGCAAAGCAATCTTGGTTAGCATGTGAAGCTAACCAAGGGATATGCATTTGAAGCACATCCCTGTGTGGAGCCTCTGGCTTCCATCAGAAACTTGGGAACAGGTTCTGTTGGTGCATCCATGTTTACTGCAAACAACTTCATCCCTGTAACACACCCTTGAAGTCCAAGTATCTGCAGAGCAAAGGACCAACTTCAAAGGAACATGAATCCTTGTACCAGATGGAGTTTGAGAGCTCTCCCATTCATTTCTCTGGGTCTGTCCTGGTTAGTTGTGCATCCTCAGTCACTGCATGAGTTCCCAGGAGGGCCAAGATGGTGGGGTCACACAAGGAGTAATAAATGGAGAAATTCAGGATATGACTGGGATGTTGGGCCAACAGAATTTGCTAATGGAGTGGATGTGACATTTGAGTAAAAGAAAAGATAAAGGATGACTCCAAGATTTTTGACCTGATCAAGCTGAAGTTTTTTCCTAAGGTGGCATACACAGCAGAGTGAGGAGCAAGTTTTGTGAGGGGAAGTGAAGGACTTGGTCTGGCCACTCTTATAGTGTCCTATTGCTGCCTAAAAAACCACCCCAACAGTGAGTGACTTAAAGCTGCAATGTATTATCTTTCATCTTTCTGTAGGTTGACTGGGCTTAGCTGGGTGATTCTGTTTTTCTCTTGCAGTTACAGTGAGACATCTGGGGCTCACTTATATGGCTCTTGTTACTACTGGCTCTCTGCTGGGAGCTGAGCAACGGCCATCCACAGCAGTGCCAACATATGTTGCTTGGCCTTCTTACAGAGGAGTGGCTGAGTTCCAAGAGGGAGTGTCCCAAGCAGTTGCATTCCAAGAAAGTCAGGTGGAAGTTCCAAACATTCCTATGACCTAGCCTAACAAGTGCACAAAGCGACTTCTGCTGTGTTTTATTGGTCAAGCAAGTCACTACGGCCAGACCCTATTCAAAGGAAGGGGAGAAAGGCTTCACTGCCTGATGCGAGAAGCAGGGAGGGAAAGAGTTGTTAACAACCATCTTTGGACAACTTCTATCACTGATGTTGTAAATTTGAAATATGTCTTGATATTCAAGTCTGGAACTCAAGGAGAGATTGGGTCTGGGAAATGGGCAGGAAATTTTGTAATTGTGGGACCAGCCCAAACTGAGCCTGCTTTGTTGATAACAAAAGTGTCGAGTTACCTTGTAGGTATAACAGAGCCAAAAAACTGCAAGTCATATAACCTGGGCATGTGCTATAGAAAAAGCTTTGACCTCTAACAACACCCAGAACCAATGATTCCTCCACTCAGAACCAGGAGGACCAGACCATGACCAGAACATGAACACCAGAACACACCAGAACGCACCAGAACGCTTTCAGAAGGAGGGGTCCATTGGCCTGGAAGATCTGGGGCTAAAGTCTGCCTCAACATACCTTACCGTAAATGGCCAAATTTGAAGCCCTCCAATCAGACCAAACCAACATTCCCAAATCCTTTTTCCCTTGCCCTTCAGGCCCATAAACTTGCCCCAGACCCCAAATCAAGGAGATAGATTTGAACCCAACCCCTGTCTTTTTGCTGGCAGGTTTTGCAATGAAGCCTTTCTTTTCTCAAAAGCCAGTGCCATAGTTATTGGCCTCTGCACTCAGCAACCCCATTTGCTCCACAACGAATTCCTCCTCAGAGATTTCTGTTTGGAGCATTAGATCTAATGCTGTTAAATTAGAAACAAATTGCCTTCCTGTGTGTGTGTGTTTTTTTTAAGTGATCGAGTTGGAATTCTGTTATTCTGTTGGATATCTCTGTGGTAGCTGGTAAATGAACTACATATTTTAATCATACATAATATTTATCAATCGCTTAACACAATGCCTCATGTTAAGCAGCTACTGTAGACAAGTGCTGATTATTGTTATTAGCTATATATATATGTTTTATATGTTATTAGCCATATATATGTTTTATATGTTATCAGCTATATATATATATATGTTTTACATTTCCTTATTCATGTTCTTTCTAAACCAGATAGATGTCCCATGCTGGGGCTCCATGATGCACTAATCTGGCTGTACTCACATTGGGTTGATCGTTCTTGAGGTTGTACATCAGTTCAGATGACCTGAATATTAACGTGTGCACCACTTCTCAACCTGGAGCCTTCTGGCATATCCCCAGAGCCCATTAAATCTATAAAAATCTAAAATGTGTTTTCCTATTTATAATACTATTAAAGTAATAAAAATACTTTCTAGAATCCCTGCATTAGAGGAGTGTCTGATTACTAGGCTTTTAGTTTAACAAAACGTGACTAGAGCGACCCAATCTTAAAGCTCGTAGCTAGGCACTCACAAAGCACCTATAAAGTGAATGCTTATGGTCTGCAAATAGTCACATTGTAAGCTGACTGCTCTTCTAATTGCAGAATATTATGGCCACACAGAACATCTCCCACCAGGCCTACAGAATGTCCAGATGTCCTAAGAGTACAGCCCACTTTTCTTAAATATAATGTTAATGGGCAGGCTTAGGTTGAAGAATTAATGGTCATTGATAGCACCAATAACCCCTACCTTCAGTGAGCACATCTGTACATTCTAAGTTTAATTATAGCTCTATAGTTTCTTATAAATAGAGACACTAACAAAGGACGGCACGTTTTTCGTCCTGCTTTCTGAGGATGTGCTACTCAATAACAGAGTAGTTTCTAATAAACTTGCTTATTTCATTGTGGTTTGAGATTCACCCTGAATTCTTTTCTGTGCAAGATCCAAGAACCCTCTCCTGGCCTCTAGATGGGGACCCCTTTTTCCGGCAACATCTTGACCACCTCCTTTTACTGAAGTCCCCCATACAGTTTTAGAGGGGCATTTACATTGAACATATGGTCATGTTAATACCAAGGAAACCCACATTCTATTACAATACACATGCTGAGGTTTTGTGGTCATTGCACAGAGAAAGGCAGTGGGAGAATGAATGGCTAGGAACATCTCTACATGAAGCCGCAAAGACTGCAGAGCTGGCTGGAGGTACAAATTCAGTCAGTGGTTTTGTGATGAAATCCTGTCTTCATATACACAAATTAGCAATGATCAATTAGCAGTAAACGCTATAGTGAAAAACAAAAAATTTTCTTTTGTTAAACAGCATTTTTAAATTTCAATACTGTATTTTGGAGTGTGCTAATTGGCCTTTCAAGATAATGGATCTATTGCTTTAAAAAAGCTTTGTTTGTTAAAAAGAAAAACAATAATTACAGTAACAATAATGGTTCCAGGGCCAGGTGTGGTGGCTCACACTTGTAATCCCAGCACTTTGGGAGGCCGAGGCGGGAGAATTGCTTGAGCCCAGCAGTTCAAAACCAGCCTGGGCAACAGAGTCAGACTCTGTCTCTATAAAAAATAAAAAAATTAGCCCAGCGTGGTGGCATGTCCCTGTGGTCCCAGCTACTCAGGAGGCTGAGATGGGAGAATCTCTTGAGCCGAGGAGATAGGGACTTCATTGAGCCCTGATTGTGCCACTGCACCCAGCCTGGGTGAAAGAGAGAGACCCTGTCTCAATAATAATAATAGTTCCAACGGCCAACATTTGCAACAAGTAAAACTAAATACATCAGTTTATTTTCTACTATTAAACCAAACATCAACAAGTTAGTGGCAGCAAATAACATCAACCATTACTCTGAATTAATATTGATAATTTTCATTTTGTTAGTTTTGTAGTTTAGTTTGTATTTAATTCCTACATTAGATTTACTCTTAGATTTGCATAACAGCTATGCATATACAGCATTTATACTTCATTTATCTTAAAGAAACATAATTAAAATGATTTGTCCACACTAATGATTTATAATATTTTTCCATTTAAAGGGTTACTTCATTACTCATGTTTAAGAAACAGTGACTTAATCAATAAGCTCCTATAAACCCAAGAAACATTCTCAACATCTGGCTAGTAAGAGGGTTTAGAAAACCCACTATAGGGCCCATTTTTTTCCTCCCAAAGATGTTGATAGACTTGGAAAATTCTGGATCTAGTTGGTTTTTGTTGTGGTTGTTTTGCTTCGCAGATATTTAAACAGATGTTTAATGGAGGAATTTGCTCATTGCGCTCCAATGAAACCAATCTACTTTCACTTCTAAGAATGTGCCAAGCTCTTTCCCATCTCAGCAACTTTGTACTTACTGTGTCCTCTGCCTGGTCTAGAACACTGATATGGTTTGGCTATATGTCCCCACCCAAATCTCATCTGGAATTGTACTCTCATAATTCCCACATGTTGTGGAAGGGACCCAGTGGGGGATAATTGAACAATGAGGGCGGTTTCCTCCATACTGTTCTTGTGGTAGTGAATAAATCTCATGAGATCTGATGGTATTATCAGGGCTGTCTGCTTTTGTGTCTTCCTCATTCTCTCTTTGCATGCTGCCATCCATGTAAGATGGCACTTGCTCCTCCTTTCCTTCTACCATGATTGTGAGGCTTCCCCAGCCACGTGGAATTGTAAGTCCAATTAAACCTCTTTCTTTTGTATGTCACCCAGTCTCAGGTATGTCTTTATCAGCAGCATGAAAACGGACTAATACAAGTACCTTCCTCTGCTTTTTGCATGGCTGATTCTTTTTAATCCCTGGGTCTCTGCTTCAACATCCTTTCTTCACATGCCCTTCGGTAACCACCCCTGTCTAAAGGAGGTGGTTTGTTATTATCCCTCATCACCTTCTTTATTTCCCCCCAGACACTCACAGGACCTCTTATTCTTTAAAATGTTCATTTTACTGATTCATTGCTTGCTTCCCTCATCAGGCTTTTCCTCATGGTTTGATGAGGGGATGGGGGAGAAATAATGGTTCCTTAAGGCCCTGTTCTACTAGACAGTAGGCCAGATCATCAGCACCTTAGTCAGGATAAGACCTATGTAAGTTGATATTCAATTAATAGACTCAGTGATCAAAAGAGTGACTTATTTTTACACCTCAGATTTTTATCCATTCATTTTTAAATTCTGTTGAGTTATATAGTGAATAATTACCATTTTTATTAATTCTAACATGCATATTTCCTCCATCATTTAGTATCTCTGAAATTGATCTTAACAATTGATATCATGTCCCATTTTATTTGGTGGCTTTCTTTTAAAACAGTGCATAAAACTATGTGCATCTTACACACAGTGTGGATGGCATTTGGGAGTCCACCAAATAAGATAACTCTATTTCTTTAAGGCAATTGACTAATATTAATTTGTCCAGTGAAGGAACTTAGAAACACCTTGCTAGGAGTCAGCCACTGTAGTAGCTTTTCTGCAAAAAATGGCCACCAACAAACCCTGTGTACCACGCAGCTCTTTCAGCCAAGAAGTGGAGTCTTTCTTCTCTGCATGATTCTAGGTGGATCCTGAGATTTACTTTGGTCAGGTCAGTAGAATGTGGGAGAAGTGACACTGATTTCTGATCCTTGAGAGCATTTCCAGTTCCTTTGGTGAGCCAGCTACCTCAATGTAAATATGACTACTGAATGATGAGAGACCACAGAGATAGAGTGAGAGCAAGAGTGAAGGGTGGGGTGGAGGATTGGGGGGAAAGATAGAGAGAGAGAGAAAAGAGAGAGGTCCTTGGAAGAGAAGTGAGCTCCCCCCGCCATCAGCCAGCACCAATGCCTAAGCCCGTGAGTGAGGTCATCTTGGATCTTCCAGCCCCAGGCAACATGATGTGGAGCAGAGGTGAACCATCCCCACTGAGCCCTGTCTGAATTCCTGACCCACAGAATCATGAACAATTACATGGTTTTTGTTTTAAGCCACTAAATTTTAGGGTAGTTTGTTACACAGTAATAAATAACTGAGACATCAACAGAGTTAGAATTTAAGTCCTACTAACTGTTCTCTCGGTTTTCTCCAATTTGGAGCAAGCTCTCTCCCTCAAATAAAGAAATAAACTTTAATGATGTGAGCCTTAGAAAAAGTGCCAATGTTTCTCCCAGATCAGATTTCCTGGCACTAACAAAACAATCATGAAATGCTATAAGACGTCACAGTTCAAAACCAGATTCCACTGGGGGATTGTCACTTCCTCAAATCACCTTCCTACTTGCAATTATTTCTGTTCAATGTGATGGTGCCTCATTGAGTATCTGGGGCTCCTAAAAGATATTTTGCTGCATAACTTAATGTAAAACCGTATAATCACCATGAAAGCACACCTAAAAGTGTCCAATGTTTCTAAATAAGAAATGATTGCCTAGCTATGGCAATTCCATAAGAGAGCAACCTTTGAATGACAAATGTTGGCTCAAGACCATTGTTAGTAGAATGATCTGGATCTGATAAGTGTCAGAACTACTACGGCACAGGAGTGCCCCCCAAAGCAACACTCTGGAGAAATACTGAAGACATCTCCCCTGAGAGTTGGCACTTAGAATAGCCAGCCTGCTGACCAAGCAGGATATCCTCAGTGTGTATGTGGTAGTTTCTCAATCGGAAGTATGAAAATCAGGAACATTGCGAAAGGGAGGGCAAGAGCTCTGAGCGATTAATATCCTGTGAAGTGTGAGAGGGAAACTTGAGCTTTTTACTTTGCAGTAACAACCTTGGAATGGAAAGCTATTTCGGTAGCCAAGTGTGGAAAGTGAACATTAACCAAATAAAACCATGGGGTCATAAAGCTAGGAATGTGCAGGAATTCATGAGTCTGGTTTTCCTCAGCATATTTGCTCTTTCCGAAGAAATTTTCCTCTATTGCTCCATGAAATATGAGTGTGTGTTTACATTTTAAAATAAACCACATTATATCATGAGGTCCTGTTATTCCTAATCCACAGCTCAATCCATGTATGTAATCCAATAACTATAATAACTTTAACATTTCTTTAAAAGTAAACACAGGACCTTTTCCTCTGTGTTTGCCCAATCTTCTTTATGGGACACTAAAATTGAGAACCGAATATCTTCTTTAGCCTTTGACTGACACATGAGGCCTTCTCTGGAGGTAAGCTGGGGTTATAAAACCTTCCATGAGTGAGAGGCCGAATCCATCAGTCATCTCAGAAAACCTCACGGCCAGTTCTACTCCATATGAAATCTGTCTGGGCATCAATCTACTGATGGATGCAATGAAGATGTGGCTCAACACTATTCTTACTGTGATTCAGTGGAGTTTCGTACTCGGCATTGGATGGCTGCATAACATCCAGGAGAGACATAAACATAAGAAGAAAACTTAGGAATGGAATCATTATCAAGAAAAAACAAACCACAAAGGAAAGGTGAGTGTGTACTGGAAAAGTTCAGCCTGACAGATACTGCCCTAGATTCAGTGATTTGCCAGGAGGCAGAAAGAAATGTATCCTTTCCTATCAAGTGTTAAAAGCACAATATCATTTTGTCATTGTTGCAAAAACACAATGACACTCAGCAAGAAACCCCTTTTCTGAAGCTCCTGGGATTTTCCCTGGACCCTGTCAGCAGCCCTGGAGGAAACAATGCCAGATATTATAGGCCATGCTTTACAAATTCTCACTTGAAGCTTGGAGATCACTATTAGTTTTTCTTCAAATACATCTAGAAAAAGTAGGTTTCTTTCAAGCAAAGGAAGTAGGGAAATTCACACCAAATCAAAGACTCAGGGTTGAGTTTTCTGGGGCATGACCCTTCTGTCTTTTTTTTTTTTTTTTTTTTTTTTGATGGAGTCTTGCTCTGTCTCCCAGGCTGCAGTGCAGTGGCACGATCTTGGCTCACTGCAACCTCCATCTCCTTGGTTCAAGCGATTCTCCTGCCTCAGCTTCCCGAGTAGCTGGGATTACAGGCACTTGCCACCATGCCTGGCTAATTTTTTGTATCTTCAGTAGAGATGGGGTTTCACCATGTTGGCCAGGCTGGTCTCAAACTTTGGACCTCAGGTGATCCACCTGCCTTGGCCTCCCAAAGTGCCGGGATTACAGGTGTGAGCCACTGCACCCGGCCAACCTTCTGTCTTGACAGGAATAGGTTAAGGTAGCTTTGGGGGTAGGAGTGAGAGGTGTCCTTGTGATCTCTCAACAGTCCCCAACCTTTCCCCTCATAGTACCTGAGTGTTTTCCCTTCTCTTTGTGACACTCCACTGAAGGACCACCAATGAAGACTACTACTAAAGATGCAAATATCCCTGGAAAAGGAGATGGAGTGACAGGAACACTGATCCTACACCAGGGCTGAGCACAGAGGATAGAGACAAAGCAGGACCCAGGAAATGTGTATTGCAAGTTTGAAGGTTGAGCCTTTATAGAACAGTGATCTTGCTGGAACACTCAGGTGAGGAATGAGAGTAGATAGCGAGGCTGAGAAGGACAGCTGAGATGGGGTGGGGAGGGGGTGGGGAATGTCGTCAGGGGAATCAAAGATCTGAGTGAGATAGGACAAGCACAGGGAAAAGCAGCAGGCATTCAAGGAGAGGACCTTTATAGGTTGCAAAAGGTGCCCAAGGTTGTTGGAAAGGGAGCTTACAAAGGTGAATGTGGTGAATCTCTACCTGCAGGAGGAGATGAAGGGGTGCTTCTCTGTTCCCAGGGTCTGAGATTAGGCTGGAACCACTGGCCAGAAACTTAGTTTCATGGCAGGCTTCTTCAGCCTTTCTGGCATCTGCGGACTAATCACACCAAACTCGGTCACCCTGTTCATTAGGTAGTATGTCATATCCTGCAAACCACTAGATTATAAACCCAATTTGTGGTCTGCTTTCGGGGTGAGACTGTCGCTATCTCAGGTCAGATTTTTAAGGGTCAGTCTTATGGCTGCACCTAGAGCTTTGTCAGAGTCAAGCCCTCTGGGTTAGTTTAGGGAGCCACAGTTTGGTACCCAGAGTTGGGCTTGAAACAGTTGAGCAACAAGTCACTTTTCTTTATCTTCCTGTGCATTTTCAGCAGTCATCATGATTCATATGACATAGTTCCTCGAAAGACCAAGAAAAAGTCACACAATACTTCCTATTTCCTATGGTGCAGGGATACATATTTTCTTTCTTTTTGAAAAACGCTGTCGCTGTGTCGACCAAGCTGGAATGCAGTGGTGCAATTACAGCTCACTTCAGCCTTGACCTCCTGGGCTCAAGGGATCCTCCCACCTCAGCCTCCTGAGTAGCTGGGACTACAGACACATTGCCACCACACTTGACTAATTTATTTACTGTAGAGATGAGGCGGGAGAGGGGTCTCACTATGTTGCCCAGGCTGGTCTCGAACTCCTTGGCTCAAGCAATCTGCCTGTCATGGCCTCCTAAAGTGCTGGGATTACTGGCGTGAGCCACTGTGCTCCAGCCTTCATATTATTTATAACTACAGTACATAGTTAAGAATGTCTGGGACTTCAGAGTTGGAAGCATTAAGAAATATTTCTGTGATTAAATATAGATACTGGGTAATAGTGTCTGTTTCTAATTTATTTTTTAAACTATTTTTTTTCACCGCAAACAAACTAAAAGATAGTGACTTTTAGTCCTGGTGCAGTGGCTCATGCCTGCAATCCCATTGCGGGCACTGGGAGGCTGAGGCAGGCAGATCACTTGAGGCCAGGAGTTCAAGATCAGCCTGGCCAACATGGCGAAACCCTGTCTCTACTCAAAATACAAATATTAGCCAGGTGTGGTGGTGCGTGCCTGTAATCCCAGCTACTCGGATGGCTGATGCACAAGAATCGCTTGAACCCGGGAGGCAGAGGTTGCAGTGAGCCAAAGTCATGCCACTGTACTGACTTCTTAAATGTGGAGGTAGAAAGAGTTAAGACTTTGCATATATCTACATGACACTAATCCATATCTAAAATTTCATATTATGGATTAAAATTCTGAAATTTGAGTTTCCGTTTAATGGTATAGTTAGAAAGAGAAATCCAATCAGGATATAACAAGATTATAAAACCACTATTAGTCCAACAATTCTCAAAATATGGCTAGGGGACTGCTGGGGGTCCCTAGGTTCTTTCTGAGAGATCGCAAATCCTGCCTTTTCCAACTGTATACCTATCTAAGACTTGACTTTACTGTGTAAGACTGGATTTTCTTTTTATACTTCAGCCAAAGCAACGTAAGTAACAGATTGAATACAGAAGTAGATAGGAGATTTTAGCCATCTTCTCTAAGACCAGATATTAAATAAATTTCTAAAAATATAACACAATGCCAATCTTATCATTACATTTTGTGGGGGTTGGGGGAAATATAGTTACTTTTCATGAAAACCATTATTAATGTTAAAAAATAAAGAGTTTGTTATAGTTATTTTAAATGAATGAACACATATTACAACCATTCCTTACTTTTAATTTCTAATATAGTAAATATTAATACATATAAGTCACACAAACAAAAGCTCTTTAAGGTCCTCACGAAGTAAGTTTTAAGAGGGTAAAGGGGTCCTGATATTGAGATGTTTGAAAACTCCTGTGTGAATCCTGGTTCATTTTCCTCAAGCTAATTCTCTGGACTTTGTACCCATCCAAATTCCATTTCCTTAGCTTGAGTTTGTTACCACCTCCACCCTCTTCATTTTCCCTCCCAACAGTATGCTTATGTGCAAGGGTAACGTAAAAATATGTAGCACGTTATATGGCATGGAAACCCACCAATGCAAGCATTTGCACAACCGTAAGCAAAGATTCTGACTGAAAGCAAAAAGTTCAGTCCCCCTGTCTCTGAACTTCTAGGTCTTTCCACTTGTAAATTCCATCTGCCTGTGGATATATGAGAATTCCCTCTGTCATCCAAAAGACTGTCCTGCTTACAGGTGAATCCTGGGGGGCTGGACATAGTACCTAGCACATCGGAGGGACTCAGCTGGAATCTGTGCGTGAGTCCATATTTCTCTATCCTGAGTGCAAACTCTGCCGCACTTAGTAGTGTCCCTCACACCAGTGTGGAGGAACACAACGTAGGGTTCCATTATGGCGATGAGACTGAGAACAGTCACCAGCCACTTTCATCACCATCATCATCATTGCCCCAAGGAGATGGAGCTTCAGATGGTCTAATATTGTGCAATGTCTTAAACACCTGGATGAGATTTGTTTAGGCTTAAGGAATGCGTGAAATGACTCAGAGATCTATGTTAACCAAACCAGTTAAACCACCCTAGTTAAGACGTAGTTAGCACATTGCTTAGCGTGCACCAGAATGAGCTTGTCACCAGAAATGCATGGAATGTATTGAGATGCCGTATTTTGGTGAAATGAGATTATGAGAACTGGGAAAACCAGATTCAGGGGATTTCCGAAGGCCTGAGGCTAGGCTATGACCACCAGCTCTGCACGCTTGGAACTCTCCCCAAGCGAGCATGTGATTCCTTGGGCACTTATCCCTTCCTTCTTAATGTTATGGAATGAATTGTGCATCCACCCACCCTGAATTCAGATGTTGAGGTCCTAGCCCTCAGTACGCAGAATGTGATCTTATTTGGAGGTAGGGTCTTTACAGAGGTAATCAAGTTAAAGTGAGGGGCGGGGTGCTAACCCAATAGGACTGATTTCCTTATTTTAAAATAGGGAAATTTGGACCCAGAGATACATTCAGAGAGAAGATGATGTGAAGGCACAGGAAGGATGCCCTGTGAACATCAGGACCAATGCCTGCAAACCTAGGAGAGAGGTCTACAACAGATCCTTCCCTCGCAGCCCTCAGATCGAACTGACCCTGCAAGTACCTTGATTTTGGACTTCTGGCTTCCAGAACTGAGCAACAATAACTTTCTGTTGAAGCCGTCCAGTTTTGAAGCCACCCAGTCTGTGGTGCTTGGTTACCGCGGCCCTAGCAAACTTGCCTGAGGCTTTCCAAATCACAGCCCCGTTTTGTCACAGGGGAAGAATTCTAAGAAGTTCTTTATTTGGCCAAGTGAGGGATAGAAGAATAATGAGCATTTCCCTCATCACAGCTCTGACAACTGCCTCAGCCACACACGGCTTAGGAGATTGGCCACTTCCTCCGCCTTCAGCTTGCAGGGGGCTTCAGTAATAAATGTGTAGAAGTGTTTGGTCTTCTCAATGCTGGGAATCCAGGGAGTATGGCCTGGCATACATGGAAACCAGTCCCCTAAAGACCTCATTGACACAGGCCTCATTTGGGGGTCTCCTCAGGCACTTCCCCCTTGGCTCCTGAGGCCAGAACCCGACCCTGCTGTGTCTCTCTTCCATGCATCTTTTTGCCATCTCTGCTCTCTGGAATCTGCAACAATATGAGGGTGCTCAGGACTTTGATGTTGCTACTGACCTCAGCATGCCCCAGTCCAAACCTACCTTCTTCCTCCTGGGCCCACATCCGCTTCTGCTCCCCACTTCCCCAGTGTCTTCATTCTTTTCATCACATGCTGACCAAAGACTCATCTTTAGGCACTCTCTATGTCCCTTCTGCTACATCCACTCTGTTGCCACATCTCCTGAATTCTTCTGTCTGATTTCTTCTCACTCTTCCTTTCCACCCTGGATCAGTCCATTGGGGCCGCATGTCAGGACACCGGATGACACTGTTTGGACACCTGGAAGGATCGGGTAAAAGATACAGAGAAGTCTAAGGAGGGATAGGGTGAGTCTGGGATGGGCTGTGGATTAGGCACCAGGTAAAGCTAATTGGGGGGTGGGTGAGGAATGGGGTGAGGGTATCTATTGCATCTATTTTATGGTAATAAAAGGAAGTTGAAAGTTCAGTTGCTTGTTTTGGGGAATTAAAAATGATCATGAATGTCAAAATGTGAGCAACTTTGCACAGAATGGCAATATCAGAGTGTCATGGATCATCGCAGAAGCCTTCTCCTTGTTGCCTGCATTTCCTTCCTCTAATATTGTACACACTACCACCATATTTAAATATGCAATTCTGGTTAAATGCACCATTTCATTTATTCATATAGTCAACAAACATTTGCTGAGCACACTTCTCATTATTGAAATTTAGTAGAAAATGAGACTGAGTGGATCCCTGTTATTTTCCTACCATTCCCTCCAAGAGCTCCCGCTCCAAATCATTCTTCTTTTAGGCTGACTCTTAGTCTTAGTCACCATATATGTGAGTGTGTGTGTGTGTGTGTGTGTGTGTGTGTGTGTGTGCATGTGGTGTGAACATATGGCAAATATATAACTAGGGCCCCAGATATAGATTCGTAACTCATTTATTATAATCAAAATGAAGATACTAAAGGGTACAGATGCTCAGTGGTTACCGTGGTGATGAGCACTCTGCGAATAGCCTTATTCCCCTTTGACGGCATTTTCATTCATAGGATGAAATGAAGAAAACATGAGAACATTTCCAAAAGT
This sequence comes from Homo sapiens, assembly GCF_000001405.40. Classification (NCBI taxonomy): domain Eukaryota; kingdom Metazoa; phylum Chordata; class Mammalia; order Primates; family Hominidae; genus Homo; species Homo sapiens. The sequence continues at coordinate 22,570,996 of NC_000007.14, read as the reverse complement.
GCAGGAATTATCCCCTCTGTCATGCCATGCATTTGTTTTCATTTTTCGAATTTTAAGCTTGAGAACTTTTAAGCTGGCTTTTTAAAGTTTATGCAAGGAGAACAAACTTAGTTGCTTAGTTTGCTGCTCTTCTAATTCCTTAGATTTGTAATATAAAGCAGCATCCCATTTTAATTTTGAAAGGCAAAGAGCTACGCTGTTGCCTCCATCCTTCTCCCAATTCCCCTTATTTGATACTCCCCAGCACCAGAGATGCAGGCTGTTCCGCTCTCCTCTCATCCAAGTGCAGGGAAACTTTCTCTCAAGTTTTCTCTCTCAACTAATAACCATAAGTTTTTGGAGAAGTCAGTCAGTTCAAAATATATGACATTTTAGGCCAGGTGTGGTGGCTCACATCTGTAATCCCAGCACTTTGGGAGGCTGAGGTGGACAGATCACTTGAGGCCAGGAGTTCGAGACCAGGCTGGCCAAGATGGCAAAACCCTGTCTCTACTAAAAATACAAAAATTAGCCAGACGTGGTGGTGGGTGCCTGTAATCCCAGCTACTCAGGAGACTGAGGCATGAGAGTGGCTTGGACTTGAGGGGGCGGAGGTTGCAGTGAGCTGAGATCACACCACTGGACTCCAGTCTGGGTGACAGAGTAATATTTTGTCTAAAAAAAAAAAAAGATATAAAAAAATTAATCATACAGACCTCATAGAATGGTCAGAGATAAGATATAAACTGCTGGGTATTTTCTGGATTTAAACCAACTAAGCCGAAAGTTTGGTTTATATTGGGCAAGCATGAAGATGAATATAATCTGTGACTGAGTGCTCGATTCATCACGCTCTGAGTCTCCTTTCTAAGACACCGTCGGCTGCGTAGACTTGGAGAGGGTCCAAGGGAGGAAGTTGCGGGCAAGGCAACCAGTGGGAAATGCCCAGTTTCATTCTAAAGTCTGCTGAAGGGGTACGACGAGTCTGTACTTCTTTGAAAGGTTTTGGAGAAATACCTTGCACATGACAATTAGAGAAGTTCTGGTTATAGTAGCAGGAACTTATTTAGATTGTCCCTGGATCATGGGTAAGAGGGCACAAGAAAGAGAAGCCTCTGGTTAAGATATTTAGAAAGATGGGGTAGAAAGATGGGTTCCTGGGTAGTTGGCTATTGTCCCATAAATCAGGGCCCCTCACCTTCTGGTCAAGCCCTGCAGCCTGATGGGCAGAGGGACATGTGTCAGCTGTACTTGACACATGGTTTTAAAGCCAACACTTACTGAATGAGCAGTTCGCAGGTGCCAGGCCTAGAACTGTGCACTTTGCAAGCATTGTCTGGTTTAGCCCTCTTAGGATCCAGAGACTCGGCCTCATTTGATAGAGGAGAACATAGAAACCCAGAAAAGTTAAAAATTGTTCCCAAAGTCACATCTTGGTCTCTCCATCTCCCAGAGTTTCTTAGGTACCACCCCCACTACTTCAATGCTATCACTAATTTTTTTTGTGTGTGTGTTCCTCCAAAGCTTTCTGTACTGTACAAGATAAATGCAGAAACTTTCTTGTGTGCCATTGATTCAAAATTCAACATGCATTTTTAAAGAATTATTAGGGACTAGGTTTGTACTAAACAGAGACGAAGATATACAGCCCCTGCATTGAAATTGCTCATCCTCATTTATTTATTTATTCATCCATCCAGCAGACTTTTCCTGAGCACTTTCTATATCCCAGGTACTGTACTAGGTGCTGCGAATAAAAATGCAAGTCAGACACTGTGTTTAACATTAATATTAATTAACATTAATAGTAATGATAATAACAATACTACTAATAATAGCTAACACTTACTGAGCACTTACTGTATGCCCTCCACTGTTTTAAGCACTTTGTACTATCAACTCAATCAATCTTCACCACAAGCCTGTGAGCTGGGTACTATTATCACAATCTTGATTTTACAGATGAAGAAACTAAGGCACAGAGAGAGTAAGAGATTTGTGATGGGCCAGGAGCGGTGGCTCATGCCTGTAATCCTAGTACTTTGGGAGGTCAAGGCGGGTGGATGGCTTGAGCTCAGGAGCTCAAGACCAGCTGGGGAAACACAGCAAGACCCCTCTTCTATCAAAAACAAAAACGAAAGCAATTTTCTGGGTGTGGTGGCATACTTGTAGTCCCAGCTCCTTGGGGAGGTGAGATGGGAGGATACCTGAGCTGGGGGAGGTCAATCCTGCAGTGAGCCGTGATCACACCACTGCACTTCAGTATGGGCGACAGAATGAGACTCTGTCTCAAAAAAAGATTCAAACTATCCGTTTGAATACTGTATGCACACCAGTGTGGGAAGTAAATGAAACAACAACAAAATGTTTGCAAGGCAGTGAAATTGGAGAGAATTGAGGTCAGTTCATGGTCATGAGGGCCAAGGAGAATCAGCGACCAAATATGCCTATCTCCAGGGTTCTGGTAGGGTCTCTTGTCCTCAAAGTGGGCATGTGGCTCTTGGCAAGCTAGGTTAGGAGAGTTGCCTAAGTGTGATGAGCTGGATATTCAAGCTGGCAGAAATGAATTTCTTATACCCTTTTTCAGCTTCATTTCAAATATATGGGGCTGTTTCTACAACAATTGAACTCATGGACACATGGACGAGATGGCTTTTGTTGTGTTTGAAAAAGGGTCAGCAGCAAAGGGGCCAAGAACATATATTGGTGAAGGACAGTCTCTTAAGTAAATGGTGCTGGAAAAACTGATATCCACATGCAGAAGAATGAAACTAGACCCCTGTCTCTCACCATATACACAAATCAAATCAAAGTGGATTAAAGAGTTAAATTGAAGACCTGAAACTATGAAACTACTAGAAGAAAACATTGGAAAAACTCTCTAAGACATTGGTCTGGGCACAGATTTATTGAATAAGACTCAAATGCACAGGCAACTAAAGCAAGAAATGGACAAATGGATTACAGCAAGCTAAAAACCTTCTGCAAAGCAAAGGAAACAATCAATGGAGTCAAGATATAACCTACAGAACATAAGAAAATATTTGCAAACTATCCAATTGACAAGGGATTAATAACTAGAATATCTAAGGAACTCAAACAACTCAATAACAACAAAAAATCCAATTTACGAATAGGCAAAAGATCTGAATAGACATATCTCAAAAGAAGACATGCAAATGGCCAAGAAGTATGTGGAAAAATCCTTAACATCACTAATCATCAGGGAAATACAAATCAAAACCACAATGAGATATCATCTTACACCAATTAAAATGGCTGTTATCAAAAAGACAGAAAGTAACAGATGCTGATGAGGATGAAGAGAAACGGAGCCCTTGTATACTGTTGGTGGGAATGGAAATTAGTACAACCACTATGGAGAACAGTATGGAGGTTTCTCAAAAAACTAAAAACAGAGTTACTATATGATCCAGGAATCCCACTGCTGGGTATATATCCAAAAGAAGGGAAGTCAGTATATCAAAGAGATATTTGCATTCCCATGTTTATTGCAGCACTGTTCACAATAGCCAAGATATGGAATCAACCTACAAGTTCATCAATGAATGAATAGGCAAAGAAAATGTGGCAGATATATATAATGGAATATTATTCAGCCATAAAAAATGAAATCCTGTCATTTGCAGCAATGTCAATGGAATTGGAGGACACTGTTAAGTGAAATAAGCCAGGTGCAGTGAGACAAATATCACATTATCGCTTATATTGTGGGAGCAAAACCCTTGATCTTATGGAGGTAGAGAGTAGAATGATGGTTATCAGGGGCTGGGAATGGTAGTGGGGAGGGGAGATAAGGAGAGATTAGTTAGTGGGTACAAAAATATAGTTAGATGGAAGGAGTAAGACCTGGTGTTTGGTGTCACAATAGGATGACTATAGTTAACAATAATTTATTGTATATTTCAAAATAACGAGAAGAGTGGCATTGGAATGCTCTTAAGACAAGCAAATGATAAATGCTTGAGGTGCTGGATACCTCAGCCATACACTGTATGGTTGTATCAAATTATCCCATGTACCTCAGAAATCTGTACAACTATTTTGTATTCATGAAAATAAAAATTAAGTTACTTCAAAAAAAAAAAGGTCGGCAGGATGCTAGTGGCCTCCCCCAGGGGGAATCCTGGGATGGTGTTTTCCCTTATTAAGATTCCACAGGGACAGGCACACCCCGAGTGAAAGCCACATCTAAGCCTTACTCAGGGTCCAGGTGTCAGTCAGACGAAACAGCAAGGTGTTTGTGTAGTGTTCATTCATTCAGTAAATATTTATCAACTGCCTACCGTGTGCCTAGAAACTGTTCTAGTCCTTTGGGATACATAGTGAACAAAATGGAAAAACAAAACACCTTTCTCTCATGGAGTTTACATTCTTGTGAGTGAGACAGGCAATAAATAGTAATCATTATAAATAAGTAAATTACCAAGTATGTTAGAAGGTGATAACCTTCTATATAGAGTTATGAGTTCATATAGAAGGCAAGGAATTGAGAGTACTAGCTTGGGGATCTAGGGCTTCCTCATTCTGGGGTCTGATTCCTGGAGGTGACTAGGCAGGGCTCAGCGGGCAGGTGATATTTGACCAAAGTCCTGAGGAGGTGGCAATAGCCAGCGCCAAGGTCCTAAGGTCGGGGGAGGTGCCTGGTGTGTCTGGGGAACAGCCAGGTGGCCAGCGTGGCTGGAGCAGTTAGAAGGAGGAGAGAAGTAGGAGGTGAGGTCAGAGGGAAAGTGCCTGGTAGTGCCTTTAGACCATTGTGGAGACTTTGGCTTTTACTTTGAGTGAAATGAGGAGAGCAATAGTAATGGAGGGATTGAGAAAGAGTCTGGTTCTGGATATATTTTGAAGCCAGCAGATGTCCCAATAGATGATAGCCTGGGTATTAGAGGAGGGGTACCAAGGTCAAAGACTACTCCATGGTGTTTGGCTGGAGCACCTGGGAGGATGGGGATGCTGTTCCCTGCATCTGAGACAGAATACTGAGACAGAAAGGTTCCTGTGGAAACGTTTGGGGGAAGACCCAGCCCTTCACATTAGACCTAGGAAGTTAGGGGAGGCTGTTGGACAGGAAGATGGAGAGGATGCATCGGGACTTGGAAATGTGGGTAGGGGTGCAGAAGAGAGGTCTGGGCAGGGTTCCTCAGAGGCAGGCGCTATTGAAAGCCAAGAGACTGAATGAAGTCACCAAGGGAGGAAGAGAAAGAAGGGGGTGGAGGACTGCACACTGGCCCTTCAGTGTGAAGATGCTGGGAAGGGGCAGCCGTGGAGACTGGGAAGCAGCAGCCACTGCTAGAGGAGGAGAGAGCAGGGTGTGAGCAAGTGGAGAACAGGTGTAGACAGGCAGAGGAGAAACAGCTTGGTCTGTCTGCTGCCCACAGTCACAAGCACAGGCACACCCCAGGGGAAAGTTGCCTCTGTGCCTTACTCAGGCCAGATAAAACAGTTTTAAGGAAGAGAAACAGCTTCTTTTTTCCTGCCATGAGGAGAGGGGGGGGGAAAAAAAAAAAAAAGACTGCCTCAGCAATTTGCATAATTGGGCCTTGTGAGAAAGATCCCTGTGAGTCCAGTACTGAAGGGAGTTGATTTTAGCCATAGCAATTAGTCATTCTCCCACTTCATGAGCTGTCTGTGTGTGGTTTCTAAACAGGCAGCATTTGTTTAACAAAATAATCAGCATCTCCATTTCCTCCGAATCATCCTTGAATCTAAAGATCATTTGAAAAAATGCTAGGCCATGCTATGGTGGCACTCCTAGGGGTGTCTTATTTCCATTTTCCTAATTTCAGAGGGAAAAAAGTAGATAGAGCCTTGATGCACAAATTTGAAAATAAAACCAACATTCACCTGTATGCACTGGCCCCTTCCTGTGCACCCTCCAGCCCTGTGGTCCTTAGAGCTGCTTCCTACAATATTCATGACTTAGAACAGCCCATTCTTAAAGCTGGTCCAACATTCTTCCATCGGCCTGTCCACACTCTCTGGTTTGCGCTGGATCCCCAAGGAAATGGGTTTGGCTGCCTCAGGCTGTGGTCTAGGGACAAAGGAAAACCAAAGTCTGAGTTCTGGGTAGATGTTGTCAAGAGACAGGAAACCACTCATGGCTTAATTCCAGGAGCCTGCAAGGTCAGGCAGTGGGTGAGTGCCTGTGAGCAGAGCCTGGAGAGATCTCTGAGGTAGCAGTGCCCTGGGAGTCTGAGCCTTGGAGGTGCTGAGTCTTTGGATGAGAGGGAACTGACAGAAGCTCCGGTCCATTCAGTCATTCAATATTCATCTACCCAATGACTCCCATGGCTCACGTCCTTTGCTTCTTCATGAATTAATAATGTTTATTTTATGATGTCGTAGAAACCAGACATAGCCTAAGCCTGAGAAGTCTGGGAATGGTAGATGGTATAGTGTTGGGGAAACCGCACTTGCTGTTGAGTCAGGCTGGCTTGGGTTCAAATCCTGGCCTGGCCAGTTTTACCTTAAAGGGTAGCTTAGCCTCCCTGGGTCCCTGTAGTTCCCTCCAAAGGGGCCATTATGATGCGTTCCTTGAGCAGCTGTTGTGAAGATCACGATGATACATGGAAAACACCTTATACAGTGCTGCTCACGTAGTAAGGACTCCATATATTGTAATGGTTATCATTTTTTGTTTGTCGTAGCAAGGTGTGGGTGAACTAAGGAGCCTAAATGAGACTTCCCATGCAGAGGCTGAGAAAATGAAAGGTTACTGCTCTAGAAGAGAGGTGGGGAGGGTGCCACAGGCAGGCTACTGTTCGCCCTATTTTGCCTTGGGCAGACATTGATGCCCTGTCCCCACAGTCCTTTCACTCCCGCTGGGAGATGGCTTCCAAGGTGTGGCTCCAGGCCAAGGCCAATTACTGGGGTTTGCCTGTGGGCTGTAACTTCTTTACCACAGTCACCCTGAGCAGAAAGCCAAGCGAGTAATTTCGGAGCGCTTGTGTGCTGACACCCTTTTTGATGAGGTGAAAGGATCTGACTCAAAGCTAGCCCTCGACAGTGAAAATTAAGAAGTGTTTCTAAGCCTGAGAGGCAGCTTTGAGCTGTGTCCTCAGTCAGGAACGCATGTTGAAAAGAAGTTTGAAAGGCTCTGAACTCTTCTAGATGGTCCTGAATAGACACTCCCCACAGTCCACGTCCCGGGAAGGGGTAGACACAGCTATGAGCAGCCTAGCTTGCCGAAGCAGCAGGGCTTCTGTGCCTGTGCACCTCTGTCATGCCTGGAATGTCCCTGGAAGAGGGGACTTGCCCTGCTCAGCTCCCTCCAGGGAAGTTACCTGCTTCTCTGTCTCCTGCCATCACCCGAAGCCCAGCTCTGCCCTGGCTTAGGAGACAGGAAGGGAGCCCAGTCCTCAGTTTCCTTCTCCAACTGCAGTTCAGCCTGTCAGAGCTGGCAGTGAGAACCTGGGAAGTGTATTTTCTGCCTCTTCCCAAGGGGAAGCCCGTGGTTTTAGTGCTCAGCAGAGATCCCCATAGGCTAAAAAGTCTTAGCACCGATGATGTTCACCCCCAGGTGCAGGATACTGAAAATAGATAATTAATAATAAACAAGTACTCTACCTGACAGCAAGTGGGTAAGGGGTGACAGCCAGCGGAGCGTTGGTTTCCGATTCCTTCCTAATGTGGTTGCTGCTGGGCGGCTCTGCTGCTCGTTAGACAATCAGAGCTGCTGCCCTGCTAGTGTACGGTGGGGGGTGGGGAGCACAGCCATGGCGTGTATTTGCTGATAACTCAGCCCAACTCAGGTCCTTTTTAAATGACACTTCCTGATGCACGACCTTTTTCCCTGCAACACCTCTCCTTCAAAGACCCAGAAAACAAACACTGAGAATGAAGCCAGCCTGCTGCTTCCTGACCCTGGATGGATCCTTCCATATTCCAATATCACAGTCACGTCTGCAAACATCCATTCTATTAAAGCAGTATGCAGATGTAGGTCAGAATACAGAGCAGCAGATGTGTAGAACAAAGAAGTCTAGGGATCTAATATACAATATGAAGACTAAAAGAAAAAAAGAGCAGCATACATTTTGTGAGACATACTTAGAAAAGCAGCAAACCCGGGAAAATGAAGTAGGAGGCACAGTGGTTTCACTTGATCAAATCAGCTTCTGAAGCTGTATTGTGAGGGGGCAGGGAAGGTTGGAACCCTCAAGCATTATTTGGGGGAGTTCACAGGTTTTAAATAATTCCATAAGACTGATAACACTTTAATGAGTCCCTAACCAAGAATGAGATTGTTGTGGATTCACTGAATAATCATGGAAAATAGACAATTTCTATGAAAAAAAGTGAGCATGCTATGGGAGTTGATAAGGTAACAATGGACACAGCGATACCGTGTAAAGGCTCAGGTTTTTTCTCCTAGCATTTTGGATGCCTCACCTACATGTAACTGATAATAATCTGCTTCTTTGTACCAAGAACCACATGCAGCCTCTTCCATACACTAGCTCATTGATTCCCAATAACAATCGTACACAGGATGTATTATTTTCCCCTTCTTCAGAGGGCAGAACAGGATCAGAGAAGTTTAGAAACTGCCCTCAGTCACCCAGTAGGGAATGGAGCTCAACTGTGAACCCTGGAACTCCTGACTCTGAAATCTGCTTTTTGACTGGCTGACCACACAGCTTCCCAATGACAGCAGACAGGAGAGAGAGGAGGGAGGGAGGGAGGGAGGGAGGGAGAAAGGGAGAGAGAGAGAGAAGAAGAAGAAGAAGGAGGAGGAGGAGGGGGAGGAGGAAGAGGAGGAGGAGGGGGAGGAAGAGGAGGCGGAAGGGGAAAAGAGAACAGAAGGGAAGAGGGAAGAAAGAAACAGAAAGAGAGAACGAGTGCGCCCAAGCTGGAGCCAACAACTCTCCATACCCTCGGGTCTCCCTTCACAGGGCCTCTTCTTTCTGTGGCTCTGTGGTTCTCTGTCTTAGGATGCATTCTCACAATCACCTGGAGGGCTGGTCACAGTCCAGATTGCTAACTCCACCCCTAGATAGAGTTTCTGATCTCTTAAGTCTGCACTGGAGCCTGAGAATTTGAATTTCTTAGCTGTTCCCAGATATTGCAGGTCTGGGGACTCCACTGAGGACCACAGCTAAGTATAAACCTGCCTTTCTTGGAGCACAGTACTAGTACTGCAGAGAAGCTGCTTTAACATACTCTTTCTTATTCTTATGTATAAATTGACAACAAACAAACAAATATGGTTTTGTTTAACAATGAACCATCAAGCTTTCCTTTGTTGTAAAAGTAGAGATTTCACCTACTGCACAGGTTCAGTAAGCCCCGCGGCGGGCGGGGGGACTCCACATACCAGCAACCGTCTGCAGGAACCACGTTTTTTTCCTATGTGAAATGCCCTCTGAGAGCCGGCAAGTGACTAACATCCAGTCTGTCTCAGAACTCAACCTATTTGGAGAGTGGGTGTTCACAGCCAGCATGTGCTCAAGTTGGAACTCTCCCATGGATAAACTGTTATTAAAGCACTGCAGCGGCTGCAGGCTCAAGGACGTTTCTCTTCCAGGCCTGGCTGCCAGGATGTGAGGCCCGGGTGGAGGAATGCGCTTAGAATTCCATGCGGTCAAGAATTCTTCCCTTGAGCCCTGTTAGGCTCTGCTTCTCCGATTTCCACTTTCCCCTCCATTCTTGCCAAAGCTATTTACATCCTCTAACCAATGCTGTCTAATAGAAATATATTGTGAGCCACATATATAATTTAATATTTTTAGTAGTCACATTAAAAACATGAAAAGAAGCAGGTGAAATTAATTTTAAGAATATCTTTTATTTAACGTAATATATTTAAAAAATCATTTCAACATGTAATTAGTATAAAAAGCTAGGAATAAAATATTTTACATTATTTTTCCCTTATGGAGTCTGCGGAATCTGGTGTTATTTAACACTGACAGCACATCTCAGTGCAGAACAGCAATATTTCAAGTGTCCAGTAGCCACATGTGGCCGGCAGCTACCATATGGGAGAGTGTAGCTCTTTCTGCATTTAACTGCTTTGCGAGTTCAGAACCTAGAAAGAACCACTATGTGAAAGGCAGAGACAGCCAAATATTCATAGCTAAGCGCTGGTGTTATGTTTATTAAACATACAGATGCAGGTAGCCACAACAGGGCTGTGCCTCAGAATCAGCTGGAACACCTGTTAAGATAACTGCGGCCGGTGTGGTGGCTCACGCCTGTAATCCCAGCACTTTGGGAGGCCAAGTTGGGCAGATCACTTGAGATCAGGAGTTCGAGACCAGCCTGGCTAACATGGTGAAACCTCGTCTCTACTAAAAATACAAAAATTAGCTGGGTGGGGTGGCGTGAACCTGTAATCCCAGCTACTCAGGAGGCTGAAGCAAGAGAATCGCTTGAACTTGAAAGGTGGAGGTTGCAGTGAGCTGAGATCGCACCACTGCACTCCGGCCTGGGTGATAGAGCGAGACTCCGTCTCAAAAAAAGAAAAAAAAAAAAAAAAGAAGAAGATAACTGCCTGTACCTAATCGTATACCTACTTAATCAGAATGGGCTATGAGAGAGGGAATCTGCATTTTTAATAAGCACGTCGGGTAATTTTGCTGCATCCAGCCTAGGACTTTCCACAGAAGAACATTTCTGAATCACCAGACAGAGAAGTATGAAATCCCACCTGGGGTGCCAGGCTAAAGGAGAGAGGCCGCACAGCATCCAGCTCCTCTTCCTGTCTGCCATGCAGTCTAGTTTTACTCATACTTGAAACCTGATTTGCATGGATATGTGTTCTTAACAGAGAAACATTTTGATCATTTGTCAGGTTTAGATTACCATCCAATTTATAGAATAAATGCAGTTCACGTGGCTTTCCCATCTTGCTTTTGTGATTGAATTTAAAGTTTACGGGCCCCCTGTTTATATAGAGATTTGTATGCCGGTGCTGCCACCTTGTGCTGGAAGAGACTGTTGACACAGGTTGGAATAAACGTGGACTTGCCCTCTGCTGGTAAAGAGGTTAGAAACCCAGTGTATCCCCAGGGTTCTGCCCCATGTGGGCCTGCACTGATCATAGCCATGGCTGACACTTTTTTTTCTTTTTTTTTTTTTGAGGCAGGGTCTTGCTCTATCACGCAGGCTGGAGTGCAGTAGCGCGATCTTGGCCGACGGCAACCTCCTCCTCCTGGGTTCAAGCGATCCTCTTACTTCAGCCTCCCAAGTAACTGGGATTGTAAGCGTGCATCACCACACTCAGCTGATTTTTATATTTTTAGTAGAGACAAGGGTTTCACCGTGTTGGCCAGGCTGGTCTTGAACTCCTGACCTCAAGAGATGCACTGGTCTTGACCTCCCAAAGTGCTGGGATTACAGGCATGAGCCACTATGCCCAGCCACGGCTGACATTCTAAAGCAGTGGTTCTCCAGATATCTTCCCTGGGGCAGCAGCAACAGCATCCCCAGGCAACTCATTAGAAATGCAGATTCTTAAGCTCTGCTCCAGGCCTACTGAAATAGAAATCCTGAGGGCAGGTTCAGGATCTGTGTATTAACAAGTCCTCCAGATGATTCTAATACATGATAAAGTTTGAGAACCACTGCTGCAAACTAAAACAATGACTTTTGCTCTTTTCAGAGGCACAGATGCAATGAACCTCGTGGACAGTTGCCCTAAAAAATAGTAAAAGCACACGACGTGCCCAGACTTTTGTGACCGCTTTTGGAGATTTTATAGGACTACTTTTGGGTCCTACATGAGGTTGGACCCCTGCTCCCAATCCTGCCTTAACGGAGCTGGAAGGAAGGGGATGGGATGGGGGTAAAGAACAGGACATCCCCACATATATGCCATCAAGACAGCCTGGTTTAAGGCTCTTGGTGGTTACAAGAGCCACTGATAGCTCGTAAAATGGCTTTGTCCAGATTAGAAAAAGGTGCCTTTGAGTAAAGTTACCTTGAAACATCATACTATATCACACTATATCACTAATATAATCTCTAAAAATTATCCTTGTAACACTTAATGGATTATTAATGGAAAATTATCAATTATTTTTCAATGATTCATCTTACTATATATAGTATAGTACAGTATAGTATAGTATAGTACAGTACAGTACAGTATAGTATAGTATAGTATAGTAAACTACTATAGATGTAAGCTGAAAGCTTAATAATACCATCTAGGTAAAGTAACAAGTATCAGGTGACATAAATTGTAAGATGGAGAGTAAATTTAGCAGTGCTCTAATACAAAGGGGATGGACATTTTTTTAATATGCTCACCAATCATGATTATCAGTCAACTCCTATGTGTTTGGAAGCACAAGTAAACTAAAGCACAATAAAAATAATATGATGTTAATGTACCATGCTGCTAATCATTTGTAAGTTGAATAACAATCTGAACCTACCCCATCAGAAAGACACTTTACACTCATCTATCATAATATAGTAATTTTGTTAAAGCAAGATATCTTATTGCTATCTGTTTAAAAATTATTGTAATAAACATACAGACTGCCCACCTTTGGAGACAACAAAGAAAAACATATTTCAAAGCAGCGAAGATGTCTATGATGTGAGTAGCACTCCCTTTGAACAGCACCTTTGTGCAGTGCACAGCTGAACAACTGTACTTGGTGGCCCTGGTGCTTTGCAGGCTACAGGTCTGTTGATTGTGTCCTCATCAGAGATGAGCTTGTTGTTCTAGATTTCCCCTCATCATTAAGCCTAATAGGAAATTCAAATGAAGATAGTGAAATATGCAAATTGAAGATTTTGTAGTCCCTGTGACTCTCCTTATAGATATATTCTGAGTGTCAGCAAAGTCTCTAGAGACTTAATGCCTTGCAAATAATACGGTATCAGAAAAAGAATCCATTAGTGGAGTGAACGTGTGTGGCAGGGAGATCAAGCGTCCTTTTTATTTTATAAAATATGACTGTGAAGAAAACCTTTCATTAAGCCAAGATAGATCTAAAAGTATTTATTTCTAAATCTTGAAAGCACAGCGACAAAGTGAGAAAGTGTGAGGAAGGGAGTCAACGGTCCAGTTAGAGCTCAGTGCTGGTATCTATTGTGTGTTTATGTCAGGTCTTTTTCAGGCATCCCAAAACAGTTTCCCAATGCTAGCCTGAATCTGCCTTTGATTGTAGGTGATTTAATCACCATCCCCAGACCCCAGCAATAGGCTGATGGAACAGGGAACTCACAGAGCCAGGATGCAGGAGAGCTAGGCCAAGCTTCCTCCTCCCCTAATGGTTCCCTAGGTACATTCTTCAGGACTTAATATGTTTTTTCTCCTTACATATTATGCAGTAAAAGGCAACTTCTTCCAAAAGAGTAAGCTTTGTCCCTTGTGGGCTGAGGTCCCCATAGTATGCAGAGCTGGAGTTATCATCTGGGGAGTGGTTAGCCTTCCCTTGCTTCTGAATCCAAGAAAGCCACTGCTGCATAACTGGCCTGCCCAGAACTGTGAACTTAAGAGGAAAGGGCAACATTGACTTTGTGTTTTGTGGAAGCTGCCCCTCAAGAAAGGCCCACAATTTTCCGAAGTCCTGCAGTTGCCTCAGCCTCCCTGTCCCATGATGACATTTCCTAAATCCCGTGTGGCCTAGTAGGTGGTGGTGTCTGCAGCCTGCCTGGTCTTTGTGAGACATCGATTACCTCCTGAGAGGCACTCACTTTCTGGGCACCATTGCTTCACCTCCAGACCACTCAGCAAGGCCCTTCCAGTAAGGCTGGCGCAGTCCCCACTCTTTTACTCAGTGGTCTGGACATTCTCAGATCCTCCAGGGCACTCTAAATATCCCCTGCCTGGTCTTATCAGAGACACCAATCATCTGCAAAGACCAACTCAAGTTCCATGATTTTCTCTTCTCTCATCTCTCCTCCTTCCAACTCTTCAGTGTCACCTCTTACACCCTGCTCAGCAGTGTCAGGGGGCTCCTTTGGGGAAGTACATGTCTGTCTCATTTTGTTTTCTGAGGGGCAGAAGAAATGACTTAGTTGCATCTTTACCTCTGAGAATCTCAAGGGAACACATCTTCCTCAGAAAGCACAGGGCACAAGGACACCTTTCTTTGGATCTCTTTTGTGATGGGCTCAATTGTGTGTCCCCACATTCATATGCTGAAGGCCCAGCCCCCAGCTCAGAATGTGATGGTATTTGGAGACAGGGTCTTTACAGAGGTAGTTAAGTTAAAATGAGGTCTGGGATGAGCCCCAGTCTACTATGCGTGGTGTCCATATAAAAGGAGATTGGGACACAGACAGGCATAGAGAGGGGATGCCATGTGAACATGAAGATGGCCATTGGCAAGCCAAGGAGAGAGGCTGCAGAAGAAACAAACTAACCAATACTTTGATTTGAATGTATTCAATCAAATCAAGCCTCCAGAATTGTGAGAAAACAAATTTCTATTGCCTAAGCCACTGAGTCTGGGATACTTGGTGGCAGCCTTCGCAAACGAATACACCTTTATCCCTAGGATGAGCCTTGTTTTGACCTGTACAGCCAGAGATCACTACTAATAAAAGGCTCCCATATGTGAAAAAGAAGACATAGCAAAATAGTAATTGTAGACTGTAGGTAGTTAATGCATGGGTATGTTCTTCAGAGTCCAGTCAGGAGACAGGAACCACACAGCTACCTGAACTGGGAAAGTTTTATTTTATTTTATTTTTAATTTTTTTATACTTTATTTTTTCTTGAGACAGCGTCTCGCTCTCTCGCCCAGGCTGGAGTGCAATGGCACGATCTCGGCTCACGGCAACCTCCACCTTGTGGGTTCAAGTGATTCTCCTACCTCAGCCTCCCCAACAGCTGGGATTACAGGCGCCCGCCACCACACCCAGCTGTTTTTTTTTTGGTATTTTTAGTAGAGATGGGGTTTCACTATGTTGGCCAGGTTGGTCTGGAACTCCTGACCTCAAGTGATCCACCCACCTTGGCCTCCCAAAGTGCTGGGATTACAGGCGTGAGCCACCACGGCCAGCTGGGAAAGTTTAATATAGGGAATGATGACGAGTAACAAGGGACTAGGTACTAATGGGTAGATACTAAAGAATAGCAACTGCGGGGAGCAGCCTCCCTGCACCAGGGCTGAGGCAGAGCACCAGGGAAGGAACAGACTTGGAAGGGAATCTCCATGGTGGGAGGGCAGGTGTGGCCCACCGGATGGTGGAGACGTTTGCCGAAGTGCCACCAGCCAGTGCTGGTAAGCAGGGAGCTGTGTCCTGGGATGCTGGTGGAACTCAGTGGGAAGCTGCCCACAGGCTGCTGCTGCAAACTGCTGGGTGGACACCACTGGGTGTCCCTCATGCTCCTGGCCAACGCGTGTCCCAGGAGCAAATCTGGGAGAGCATCGCAGGACTAGGCACAGAAGCACTTTGCTCCTCTAGTGTCCTCCAACAGCCTCTGTTGACCAAGCTTGGCATCATGCCGCCTGGCAAGGCCACATGTCCACAGGGGACAGCTCCAGGATTACCAAATGTGGCCAAAGGGGGTGAATTTGGAGCTGAGAGACAATAAATGGATAACTGGCACGAGGGGTGTTTGATGGACTCATGCCTGACATAGTCAGCTCTGGCGAATGCTTTTTAAATTTCTCTGAGGAGGGGAAGGGAGGGAAAAAGATCAGGGCTTTACAGGAAGATAAGCTGCCACCACATCCTTTTGTCATTTCAGGTTAGACGGTTTCAGCTTCAGATCCAACCATCTTGAGCATTCTCTGGGTTTCTCAGGAGGACTTTAGCCTTCATCACTAGAGTATTTGAAGGGCCCTTGCTGCACAGTGAACAAAGCTTGCCAGAATATTCCCTTGCCCCTCAAGGCCCCTAGGAAGGGTGAGGTCTACTAGGAGTGGAGGGTCGGGGGGGCATGAGACGTAGATGGAATGGGATAGTCCAGTCCCACATTTTCCTGACGTGAGGTCAAAGGGTGGAGCTGTCCTAGGCTCCTTGCTCATGATGGATGGACTCATGGTGCCCTGGAGCCCAAGGAGGGTGGGACACAGAATCCTAGACTCCCAGAATGGCAGGGCTGAGAGAGCCCACAGGAGTAAGCACCTTCCTTTACACACACCCAGGGAGGCCAGTGATGGACTAGAGGGACATACGATCTGAAGATTTCCTTGGAGTTTCTCATAATTAATTTAAGTTTCTGATGATGAGTCAAATATTGTTAGGGTTATGAAGAAATCAAAAGAAAAGGAGTGCTTCTGAAAATATCTTTAAATTTTCTCTTCCTGAGCAAAGTCAGTCTGCATCCAGCCTTTCCTGATGGCCCCCCATCCAGCTGATCCAATTCCGATGTTGTCTCCAGCTTCCTAAAGGTGTGACACAGGTCGTGCTAGTATAGCCGAGGGGCCACAAGGTACTTCCTCTCACTCCCCCTGGCTTCAAACGAGACTTCTCCTACCATTCCAGTCTTCAGTTCTTTGCCTTCACCACTGTGAGACTTTCTAAATGTCCTAGATAATAGCTAAAAGCAGGGGATTTTCCCACTCAATTTGATCCAGTGAGCCTAATTCCATGGCTGCGTAGTTGACCGAATAGTTGGCTGTGACCTCTCACTTACTGATATGGTTTGGCTGTTTGTTCCCACCCAAATCCCATCTCGTATTGTAATCCCGATGTGTCAGGGAGGGACCTGGTGGGAGGTGATTGGATCATGGGAGCAGTTTCCCCCATGCTGTTCTCATGATAGTGAAGGGAGTTCTCATGAGATCTGATGGTTTATAAGTGGCAGTTTCCCCTGTGCCCGCTCCTCTCTCCTGCCACCTAGTAAAGAAGGTACTTGCTTCTCCTTCTCCTTCTCCTTTTGCCATGATTATAGATTTCCTAGGCTTCTCCTGCCATGTGAACTGTGCGTCAGTTAAACCTCCTTTCTTTATATATTACCCAGTCTCCAATATGTCTTTATAGCAGCATGAAAACAGACTAATACACCCACCTTGTAAACCGATTGTCAATCCACCTCATCTGCCTATGGCTTGGGAACCTTATCTCCCTTAGAACCCGGAGCTCAGGGGCAGGGGGCCCATCAGCTGGGAGCTTAGCCATGTGGGTTGAGGTCATCTTAACCCATCCTGAATCTAAGGAAATCTAAGACCTGGGACTGGTAGTGAAGATCAGATGCTCTCAGGAGGTCATCCTGCCTGGTTCGTTTTCCCCCTTCTCTGTGCTTTTCAGAGACATGGGGCTGAGGCTGGGTAGCTCCATCACCCCTCGGACTCAAACTTTTGTTCTCAAATTTTGGTGAACCCAAGAAACACAGTGGGGGCTTTGCAGCAATGCAGATTACTGCACTTTTGGTGCTGCAATTTCCATGCCACACATCTGGGATGCGGCCCGGGAATGTGTCTATTTCAAAACTTATTTGTCCAACAAACATAAACTGAATATGTACTCTATGCCAAGCAATGGTCTAGCCCTAAGCATATATCCAAGAACAAAACAAAAATTCTTCACCCTCATGAAGCTTCCATTCTAGTGTCAGGGAAGGACGGAATAAGGATATCAGGTTAAAAGGTGAAAAATGTTATGGGAAAAACTGAGCACAGTGATGGGGATTGGGAGCAGGTGCAATTTTCAATGAGGCCGTGAGAGTAGGCCTGACTGAGAAGGTGATCTTGAAACAAGGTCTCAAAGGAGCGGGGAGCAAGCCTCACAGATACCTGGGTAGAGGCTCTGCGGTAGGGAGGGGGATAGCTCATTCTAGGAGCAGTGAGGACACCAGAGTGACTGATTAGAGTGACCCAGGGAAAAGCTGTAGGAGATGTGGCCAGAGAGGAAACACTGGGCCATTTCCAAGTCTGGTGGCCTTGTTGGCACTCCGGCATGAACTCTGAATGATTCAGAGCAGCTTTACCTGAGTTTGCCACCCTGAATCCAGTGCATCAGAGTCCTAGGGAGGGATATGTGTGAACCACATGTTTTAGCCTTCCCATGAGTAGCTTAACCCGGTCCCCATCCTGACACAATTTCTATTATGTTCAAGAGAATCACCAAGGCTACTGTGTTGAGGATAAACTATAATGGATCAAGGATGGCAATGAGGGGAACTTTAGGGGGCCATGGCAGTCACTCAGGGAGACAAATGGGAAGTCTGGAGTGGTGGTGAAAGGAGATGAGGAAGACTAAGAATCTGCAGGTGGTTCTCCAGGGGATTCCAAGTTGCTGCACCTGTACACTGGCTTAGAGCTCGTGGAAGCAAAATTTAGGGGTGGGTGCTGCTGCCAGCCTTGCCTAAGTTTCCCCTGCTGCATCCAGGGTGTCCTGGGGCAGAGTGAAGAGTGTGGGGATGAAGCAGCATGTTTAGCCCTAGCAGAACCCAGGAGCTTACCCCATGCCCAGGCCACCCACATGCTTACAGCAGAGTATTGCTGGCAATTCCTGGTCATGCTGGTGCATTTCCTCTTGGAGTCAGACATGTGGGTTCTGTGATGATTCTCTGAGTCCAGGATTTATCCAGCCCAATGGGTACCTCATTAGCACCCATGTTATTTTTGGGAAGAGGTAAAGTCAGGAACTGATTTAAAGATATCCAGACCCTCTGTTGCAGGTTGAATTGGGTCTCCCCCAAATTCCCAATACCTCAGAATGTGACCTTATTTGGAATAGTCTTTGCAGATTTAATTAGTTAAGATGAGGTCACACTGGAGTAGGGAGGGTCCCTACTCTGATATGACTGGTGTCTTCATATAAAGGGGAAATTTGGAGACAGCCATGCACACAGGGAGAACGCCATGCAAAACAGATAGGGCTGATGCATCTACACCAAGGAACACCAAAGATTGCTAGCAAACCGTGAGAAGCCAAGACAGAGGCTTGGAACAGATTCTCCCTCACAGCCCTCAAGGAAACAAACCTGCAGAGACTTTGATCTGAAACCCCTAACCTCTAGAACTGTGGGACCATAAATTTCTATTGGTTAAACCACCTGGTCTGTGGTACTTTGTTGCTAGGCAGTCCTAGCAAACTAATACGCTCTCATTATCTGAGACCAGAAACTCCCCGCATCCCCCACCATCTCCCTGCACTGGTTCCAGATCTGCTGGCTCTTGCAGATGGCAGCCTACCCATCTGAATGAGAGCAGGATGTGGTAGAAGGCTCCAGACTCCGCATCGCTGCTTCAGTGAGAAGGCTGTTCTGTGTTACTTAGAATAGGACTGCTGTGCTCTGGTATTTTGTCAACAGCATCTTTCAGGACCCTCTGGAGAACTCGGTGCTTACGCCCCCACTATGATGTTTTTAGAGATGTGTTTAGCCTATCATTCATGCTTGGCTTTCTTCTTTCACTATGTACATATGATGAGCTATAGAAGTATGCATTTGGCATGATGAAAGTAATTTGAGGTTTATCCATTTAAAGATATTTCCAGATGGGTCTCTGCAAGGCTGAGGCCACAATTAACTGACAACTGTCCGCTGGCTATAAAAATATCCAATGCATTCAGAAGTTTTTGAGGGTATTGCTGGTATTCATTCTCACTTCTCTCTCAATAAGAACACTCCCTCTCATCTGTGTATTAGAACTTTGTTCTACAGTAGCAGCTGCTCAGCATCCTTGGGAGGCCTGAAAGGAAGGTTGCAGCCACAGAGCCTTCTGACACTCGCCGACTACTCAGCACCCTTCGTGCTTTTGAAGCAGTGTGGCGGGAGCATTCTGCAAGGGGGTTTCTCTAGACCCTGGACCTGATGGGGTAAAATCAAAAGTGATGGTCAGACATGTCCACTAGAGCAGCTAGGGTTAAAGAGACTGGAGATAGCAAGTGATGCAGAGAAACTGGAACTCTTCTACATTACTGGTGGGAATGTAAAAGGGTTAGCCCTTTTGGAAAACAGTCTGGCAGTACCTCATGAAGTTAACCAGACATTTACCACATGCCCCAGCATTCCCACTCCTTAGGTGTTTACCAAAGACAAATAAAAACCTGTGTGTACAAAAATGTATAAAATTGTTCATAGCAACTTTATACGTAAAATTCAAAAACTGGAAACAACGCAAATGTCCACCAATTTGTGAATGGATAAACAACTTGTGGTATCTCCATACCCTGGAACAAGACAGAAGACACACAACAACGTGGCTGAATATCAAAACATTATACTAAGTGAATGATGCCAGATTTAAAAAGACTGATTCCATTTGGAAAACTTTCTGGAAAAGGGAAACCTAGTAACAGAAAGCAGCCGAGGAGTTGCCTGGGGCTGTGTGGTCACAGCAGATGTGAAGAACAGTGAGGTAGGAGGGAACTTTTAGGATGATAGAACTGTTCCATGTTGTTTATGATGGCAGTTAAATGATTCGATACAATTACCAAAATTTCTCAAACTGTACACTTAACCTTGGAAAATTTTATTCTATGTCAATAATCCCATCAACAAAAAAAGAGGGGTGGAGGATAAAGTGTCAGCCGGCAAAAATAGCGACCAAAATCAGGCTATCAAACCAAGACCCCACCACAGTCCAGGGCTTGAATTCCAAGTGGCAGGAACCCAGTCTCTTCCAGCCTCTCCCGCTGCTGAAAGTGGGAATTCAGCCCACACGCCCCGCTTTTGCGAACCCGGCAGTGCAGATGCGCCTTCCTGTGGCCAAAGCTGCTACCTGCAGATGTGCTGGCGGGGGCCTGGCGCTCTGAAGGTGGCTGCCACCTGTGTCACTGCCATTTCCCTGGGGCTGCGGCACTGGGCCTCACCGCCCACTTCTGGGCGGTGTTTTGGGGGGTTGGGGTGGAGATTTCCTTCTCCTATGTCCCACCCAGGTGCCTTGCTGAGTATCGTACCTACGCTCAGGTGCCAAGCACCGCTGCCCATCGCACAGGTACCTCTCCGATGCGCTCCCTCCTCGCCCCGCTGGAGGGTTAGGGACTAAAGTAGGCTGGGGGGCAACCAGAACCTTCTCAGGCTTTCGCTCGGGCTCTGTTTGCCACACACCCCCGCCATCACCACCACTACCTTCCTGCCGACACTAGTCTTGCCCGCTCCTAGCCCTTGCAACGTCCTGCAGATGCAGCGCCATCGCCCCTCTCCATCCCCCACTCCGAGGCCAGCACAGTTTATTTTCCTTCCCTAGCCCAGGGAAGGATCAGCCGCTGTTCTGTCCCTTCTCCCAGGCTGGCTTGCGGATTCCCGCCCCCGCGGCAGCAGGCGAGTCCGCTCCTTCGCCCCCGCCCCTTTTGCTCGCTTTCTCCCACTTCCCACCGCTGACGCCTCCTCCGGAAACCCCTCGCTATCCCAGGATGAGAAATGGACGGGCTACAGCCGTACATATTTTCCTCACCCCACGGCCACCACGGCACCACCTGGGAAAGGGGCCTGACCGTCGAGATAGTTTGAGGCTGTGCTTGGTACCAGGCTCCACAAGGAGGAGGTATTCGATAGACATATTTGGGCAGTGCCAGATTCAACCATCTCTTTTACGAATTTTGAATTTGAGACATCATTATTTTATTCTTTTAAGGCAAACATAGGCAGGTGGTACACTGAAGCAGTTTAAACGGGTATTCAACATAGGCCAGTCTCACTCCTTGCCCACTGCCCAGGAAAATCATTTTCAACCTCGCATTTCCTTCCAGCCATTTCCCAAGCATGAATAAGTTTGTCTACATAAGCAAATGAGACCAACCTATCAGTCTTCCCTTTGTTCCTTTAAGGTACTGTGTCTTGGGAAATCTTTCTACATCAATACAGAGAGGGTTACCGCATGCCTTTAGAGCAAAGGCTCTTTAAGTGTGGTGGCCAGGCCAACTACACCAGCATCTCCAGGGAACTCGTTGGACATGCGCATTCTTAAGCGCCATTCCAGACCAGTTGAATCAGAAACTGGTGTGAGGCTTGTTGGTTCGTGTTTTAACAAGCACCCCATGCTCAGATTTGGGGTGGGGTGAGGAAAAGATTTGCTCCATTTCTTATTTCATTGTTTTGATGTGCCATAATTTATTTAGCTCCTTTTTCTTTCTTTCTTTCTTTTTTTTTTTTTTTTTTTTTTGAGACAGAGTCTTGCTCTGTCGCCCAGGCTGGAGTGCAGTGGTGCGATCTCGGCTCACTGCAAGCTCCGCCTCCCGGGTTCTCACGCCATTCTCCTGCCTCAGCCTCCAGAGTAGCTGGGACTACAGGCACCCGCCACCATGCCCGGCTAATTTTTTTGTATTTTTAGTAGAGACGGGGTTTCACTGTTTTAGCCAGGATGGTCTCGATCTCCCGACCTCGTGATCCACCCACCTTGGCCTCCCAAAGTGCTGGGATTACAGGCATGAGCCACCACACCCGGCCTATTTAGCTCTTTAAAAAAAGAGTTTTGAATTGTGTTTTAAGTAATGAATCTGACAGTCACACTATTTAAAGATTATTTTATTTACATAAGCCAATAAAAGGAGAAAGTCAAAATGAAGAACCATTTTTAACTCCAAGAAAAAATTCACAGGTTTCCTGTGGACTTGTTTATTATTACAAGACCCAGGAGGTCATATTTAGTGATTAAGTGTATTCTGGTTGATGAGCCATTAAATCTCTTATGCAAACACAGTTTTCAAGAGAACAAATGAGATCCTTTAAAATAGGCATATGTGCAGTTTCCAATAACAAACATACATGTTCTCAAAGTTATGGGTCAACAGTCCGTTAGATAATTGTGAAAACAAACCTTTACATATTAGGAAAGCTTTTGGCTCTTTTTAGTAAACTGATTTTGACAGAAAATTAGCTTCATCTGCACAAGGTACAGAAAAAAGTATAGACTTATTTTAATGTTGCAGTAATTGGTTGGTAAATATTCTCTAACTTTTCCCTCTAATCTTTCTAAACAATGGATCATGGCTAACCAGAAGCCCTACTTGTATCTACCAAAAGCACTTGTATCTACAACTTTTTCATTCAAAGCTGTCATAATACCATTGAAACTTGTGGTCCATAGTTTCAAACTGTAGTTTTAACCAAGAATGAATCAAAGTATTCTGGCTTACACTTTTCTACTTCACTCAGTCCTCTAAATAATGGGCATTTAGACTACTTGCAGTTTTTTGCCTAACGAAGTCATTGCTTCAGTGGTCTCTTTCTACACATGTACAATTATCGTGGAGGATAGGTTCTTAGAAGTGAACTATTGTGTCAAAGGTTATGTGCATTTTACATTTTATGAGTATTGCCGAATTTTTAAAAAGAGGTTGTTGCAATTTACATGATATATTTTAATGTATGTTTTCCACATCCTTGCTAACATCTTGTGTTTTTTTAATTTTAAAAACTTTAAAATATTTTGCTTAAGTGCAAGGCAAAGGAGAGTGGTTTCCTATTGTCATCATTTCATTTCTTTAATTATGAGCCATATAGGTGTCTTTTCCCATTTATGCTTCTTTCCCAATCTTCTATGGTACAGAAGGTTTGTTTGTTTGTTTGTTTTTTACTAATTTGCAGCTGCTCTTTATATGTTAAGTAAATGAGTCCTCTGACATCTGTGTTGCAAATGACTTTTTTCTTAGTTGTTTTATCTTTTCACTTAATTTTTTCATCCAAAAAACTTTAACTTTTATATAGTCAAAATGGTCAACCTTTGTCTTCGTGGCTTCTAGTTTTTGATGATACTTTGAAAACATTTCCTTTCCCTAAGGTATAGAAAAATTCTTTCATATTTTCTCCTGGAATTGGGAGGCTATATGACATAGTGATTAAGTGTATGGGCTTTGGAGTTAGGCTGCCTGTGTTTAAATCACACGTGCTGTGTGATCTTGGCTAACTTAACTTCTCTGGACTCAGATGTGTCATTTGTACCTATCATACAGGGATATTGCGAGGTAATGCCTGACATAGGGTAAGTGCTCAATCAATGTTATTGTTATTTTTAATCCAGTGCCCCTATGACTTTACTTAAGTTTTTATTCATTAGGAGTTAGTTTCATGCAAAGAGTAAGCCAGGGATCTAGCAATTTTTTCCCAAATTAAACAGTGAAAAAGAAGAGGCAACATTATTATTTGTAGGTGTCATTGTACTCCAAATGAAAAAACTAAAAAACGAAAGCTAAAAAAAAAAATAAGAGATGGTGACAACGTGGCTTATTACAATAATTAATAAATTTTCTACTACAAAAAGTAGACAGAAAACTAATGGAAGAAGTGTCTTCTTAATGTCATTTGTTGATTAATCTCTTTTCTCACTGATTCGGAATGCCAGCTTTATCAGACACTAAATTCACATTTGTATTTGAGCCTGTTTATTAACTTTATATTTTTTATTGGCTTAACAATTCCTTATTAAACACTGAACTGTTCAATTATTTAGCTTTATAATTCATTTTAATATGTAGTAGGGTTAGTTCTTTGCATTATTCTTTTGTTTCATAATTTCCTGTCTATTATTACATGTATATTTTTCCATATGAACTTAGGATTTTAGTTAAATTATAAACTAATAGGGAAGAATTGACATCTTTACATTATTTGTTTCTTGTATAAGAACAAGATATTTTCCTTAGACCAGTCTTCTTTTATACTGCAGAGGAAACTTAAATTTTTCTTTATTAAAGGTCTGCACATTTCATGTTAGTTTTTGTTCTTGTGGCTGTTGTCTATTGGTTCTTTTCTTTCATTAGTTTTCTGTCTACTTTTTATATGTAGGAAAATGATTAATTATTGTAATTTAGCCACTTTGCATTATTCTTTTAAATGTTGGTAGTTTCCCAGTTGATTCTTTTGAAGTTCAATGATATCTACAAATAATAATAACGCTGCTTCCTCCTTTCCAGTGTTTAAACCTTATTTTGTTTCTTTTGTCTAACTGTATTAATAGAGCCTCCAGAGTAATGTTAAATCATGGTAGTGATGGGGGCATTCCATATGGGCTTCTGAATTTATATATCTAGGGTTTTGCCATTCAATATGGTGCTGGATTTGGTTTGAGAGATTTCTTGAAATTGTGGGCATTCTCTGGTGGCCTTTCAAGTCTCTATTTCCCTTTTATGTTGCCAATAGTCCCCAAATCTTGCTTTGGGAGTGACTATCATTTCTTATTCTCAGTCCTGTGGTTCTGGTAAGAGGGGCCCCACTTGTACCTGTGGAGAAATAAGTCTCCCCTAGATTCCTCAGTGCTCCTATCTAGAAGCTGTAGCCTCCTGAGACACAGAAATGTGTATAATGTAAAGATAAAGAATGTTTGCCTTCTCCTAGCAATGTTTTACTTTTCATATACTGTGAGGATTAGGTCTGTAGTCATTTGTTTGATTAATTGCTCTGATCAAAAGGGATAATAAAACTTTTCTTATCTCCCTAGGAAGGGCAAATGGTTACAGTCCAGACTATTCCCCTAGGTTAGCCACAAAGTGCGGAGTACTAGCTCCCTAGGGATGCACTGTTGCTTTTGATTTACAATTTTGGCAAAGAAGTCAGTTCCAGAAGAGTTCATTTGGCCCTTCCAGTTATAATAGCCCTACTCCACAGATCAGGGAACCAGTGCGGACATTCTGCCAGTTGCAAAGTTTATTCTTTCTACACACCCTGAAATTGAGGGTATAATCACAGTGAGGGTCCATGTTGGACCCAATATAAGAGGGACTTGGGCAAGGAAGATTCAGCACTTGATCTGCAGGAGCTCCCATACTGCAAGGTGGTCTCTGAAGACTCATGTAAATTAAGAGACAGTATCTAATAACTCCTGGGAGATTTGTATATTCCCCTCTCCCACATCACAGTTATCAGGGTAAATGGCCACTGTTTGCTCTGGGAAAACTTTGGGAGAAAATTCGTATCATACGCTATGACTGCTTTGCAGGGTCTTCATTCTAGGGCTCCAGGTCTGTGAAAGAGGTTATGCATCTCCCTAGGATGACTTGATTTAGACTTCTGCCCATGAATTATTTTTTTTCTCCAATACATGTCAAGCAGCCAGCTGCTTAGTAGGCTACCTGCTGCTTATTCCATTTCTAAGGACACCATAATCAGTCATAACCACAAATTCCTGCAGCACCATTGTGTTCTCGAGGCTTAGTGTAGTAATTATGGCCACCATATCACTATTGGGGAAGTGGTGCCACCTGGGCTCTACCACAGCAGAATTGTGTTATTCTCCTTGATATCAGGGAACCTGTTCCATCCAGAGCTTTCCAAAGAACTCTGTGCGATTGGCCCATCTCCAATATGTTTTTCAAAGCTTTTGTGTGTGGAGATTACTCCAGGATCCTCCAGTGGGGTCAGTTGAATGGGGATGGTTGGGGAGGGGGCTGAGCAGGTTGCACATAATAGATTCATTCTACTGTTCCTATTTCTCTAAGCCTTTGCGGGGGGTTCTGGGAATGCACTCTAGCTGTAGGCTACTGTGGTAGGCAGAATAGGAGCTGACGGAATTAAGACTGCTAATCCGTGGAGTTATGCAGGTGGTCCCAGTGTAACCACAAGACTCCTTAAATGAAGAAGCAGGAGGCAGGAGAGCTAGAATCAAAGAGCTGTCATCAGGAGAAAGACTCAACTGGCCATTGCTGACCCTGAAGATGAAGGAAGGGGACTCAAGCCACGGAATATGGGCAATGTCTAGATGCTGGAAGAAGTAAGAAAACAGGTATTTCTCTAGAGCCTCCAGAAAGGAATGCAGTCCTGCTGGCACCTTCATTCTAGCTAAGTGAGACCCATTTTGGACTTCTGACCTCCAGAACTGTAAGATAATAAGTATATGTTGTTTTAAGCCATTTCGTTTGTGGTAATTTGTCACAGCGGTGATAGAAAACCAATACAGCCATCGAGTCCAGGTTTCAAATAAAACATCACTCCCAGGTTTTAGAGCCAATGTTAGATCCTGAATCTCAGAAGATATACTCATGAAAATAAATTTAGCCTTATCAAGCCTTATAGTCACGGCTATGCTGGTGTTTAACAAGCAGCTCTCCAGCGGTTAAAAAAAAAAAAAAAAAAAAAAGAATAAAGCCCTGGCTTACAGTACTTTCTTTTTTGTTGTTGTTCATTTTGCTTTTAAAATTTTAAAATTTGTATTTTATTTCAATAGGTTTTTGGGGGAACAGGTGGTGTTTGGTCACATGGATAAGTTCTTTAGTGGTAATTTCTGAGATTTTGAGGCACCCATCACTGTACCCAGTGCGTAGTCTTTCATCCCTTGCCACACCCCACCCTTTCCCCTGAGCCCCCAAAGTCCAATGTATCATTCTTATGCCTTTCTGTCTTATAGCTTAGCTCCCACTTATGAGTGAGTTACTTCACTAGAATAATAGTCTCCAATTCCACCCAGGTTGCCTGACTCACAGCATTTTCTGACTTCAGTTTGCAAATGCTCTCACCACAGCTCACTTCGAGCTGTAGACATCTAGCTGAACATGAGTTGAGACCAGAGGCACAGTAGCTACCACTGTGTAGTATTCCCACTATATTGATCCGAGAGGTACATAACCTCAAAAATAGAATAGTAAAAGTAGTGATAATAACTAACAGTGAGTTTGGAGTATTTATTACCTTTATTTTCAGTATACCTACTTACAAGTGTATGCGACTTAAGTTTTAATAAGGGCGATTTTTAACAATTATCTTGCAACATTTCTAAATATTTAATAATCGGCTGTCATGAGCCAGTCCAACCATGTCCAGCACACCACTGCTAATATCTCATCCTCTTTTGTTCGTCACCCTGAGAATGCATTCTCATGTGCTCCTGGACCCCTTCCACACAGATGGATGAGGTCAGAGCAGGCCTGGTGTTTTTTATCTGGGCTACATTGGGATCTAATTCTTGTGGAAGGCCCGGGAGTAGAATGAATTCTGAAAAGAACTGGCACCTCCTTATGAGCAGCTGCCTGGTGCGCAGTCATGGAAAAGTTTTAGCGGATGTAGGTAGTTTCCTGGGATGGAAGAGGAGCTGCCTTTGAAGACAAGGCAGATTTCAGAAGAATTTGGGGATTTAGAATTCCCAGCTTCATCCCTGTCTGCTCAGAGTCCCACCCCTTTCTCAACAGCACTTACCTTAGTGTGGTGATTCTCAAAATCTAGACTGTGTCAGAATCCCCTGGAGGAATTGCTAAAACGGGTGCAGAACCCCACCCTAAAATTCTGAATCAGTAGACTGAGAACTTGAATTTCTAACAAGTCCCCAGCGGACATTGTCACTGCTGGTGTGACAACTGCTGTTTGAAACTGTCTTAGTTTGAGAAACCCAGTGGGCTTTCTTATTTGTGGCTGCAATTTTGCAACCCCGAGAACCAGGTGTTGGGCTTGGTTCCCAGCCACATCTGCCTGAGGTTACAGAAGGCGCAGGATTCCCTCAGAGCTGCTTTAAAGGCTGCCACCTTTCCAGTGATGTCCTCGGTTGGACATTCATGGCCTTCAATTTCCCTTTTCCCTAAAGCCAGTCTACCTACCACCTTCATAGTTACTATTGCAGTTTGCATTTGAACATAATCAACTGCTCTCAAACATAATAGCTTAAGACAATCACTTTATTTGCTCACAATTCTGTGGGTCAGCTGGTCACCTTCTTTCCCCTTTTTTTTTCCTTGCTCAGGCCAGGATCAGGGTGGAGAAATAAACTCCACCTCTTTGTGGGAGGATATGCAACATACTGTGTTCATTTTTTTTTTTTTTTTTTTTTTTTATGTATCACAGTCACTATCGTCGCTATAGCAAAGAAGGGCCATAGTTACTTGGTTCCCTTTTTTTTTTTTGAGACGGAGTCTCACTTTGTCACCAGGCTAGAGTGCAGTGGCACGATCTCAGCTCACTGCAACCTCCGCCACCCAGGTTCAAGTGACTCTCCTGCCTCAGCCTCCTGAGTAGCTGGGACTACAGGCACCTGCCACCAGGCCCAACTAAGTTTTGTATTTTTAGTAGAGATGGGGTTTCACCATGTTGGCCAGGATGGACTCGATCTCCTGACCTTGTGATTTGCCTGCCTCGGCCTCTGGTTTCCCAATATTTTACACTCTGTCTGGACTTTATCCCACGCAGCCACTGCTAAGTCATTTGGTTAGTCCTGATGCCGCTGTGTGCCGTAAGTTACCTGTGTTCTGTTTCCCTCAAAAAAGAAGTTTATCTATGATGTCATCAAATATGAGTGCAAAATAATCTTACAACTGCATTTTGAGGCTGCTTCTTGGACCACCTCGTAAACTAATTACTAAATGAGTCTTGACAGGCAAAAGATGGCTTACTCAAAGTGGATATTTTGAGGGATGTTTACTGAAGAGACTGTTTGCCAAGGTGTGGGCAGAATTCAAGCAAATCAGTCATGTTTAGTTCAGTGTCTTGGAGTTAGCTCCTCCAGGGAGACTGTTACAACCTAAGCCTGGGAGGTCAAGGATGCAAAGATTTCTGGAATCCCGATAGGGTAGCTGTATGAGGACAGTTGCCTGGCAGTAGCTGAAGCCTGCTGTAGATGATACAGTCAACTTCTGGCAATCCAATAGGACAGAGCCAGAGGGCACTCTCCTCCCATTGGTGCCTCCTCTTAGCCCATCCTAGTTGGTAGCAAAAGGCCATTGATGTGTCCCTTCCAGATCAACCTTCCAAGGCATAGAGCAAGGCGGTTGTAGGGTCACATAGACTGGGCTTATTCTGGGTAGGTCTGGCCAATCTGTCCCTGCCTAGGAAAAGTCATACTTCTTGTGATAACACTGTGCAATGGCCACCCTTTCAAATGTATAGGCCACGTTCACATGCGTGAGCTCACTGAGGGGCATGTCAACTCTGAGGAGGTTGGTGGTGTTTCCATTTTATAGACAAGGTGACTGGGTAACTAAGTTGCTGAGATTCTTTGAGCTCTAAAGTCCCACAGCTGGTATGTGGGATTAGAACTCACTTATGTTCTTCTGGTGTGTCACAAATCTTTCCAGTTGAGGCTACAATGTAAGTAGACAGCAGCCATAACTAGTGCCGTATTAGTGCCCTAGGACAGCCACAGCAACGTACCACACACTGCGGCTTAGAACAACAGAAATCTGTCTTCATTCTAGAGGCTGGAAGTGTGGAATCAAGGCATTGGCAGGGTTGGTCCTTTTGAGGGCTGTGAGGGAGAGCCTGTTCCAGGTCTGTCCCTATGACACAATTACTATTGCCCTGAAGGAGAAATTAATTTTTATTGTAAACAGAAATACTTAAAAACATAGTTAAATGTTTAAACATCAGTTTAAAGAACAGATTAAAGGAAGTGATAGTTAAACCAAAACATTATATAGTCCAGCAAAGTAATGTGAAAAGAGAAAATATCCTCCCACCATTCTAAGCACATTAAGAGTTTTTCAAAGAATTTCGTTCACTTTCATTTCAAGAACCAAATATGAATGTTGCCAATATCTCACTTCACTTCCTTGCAGCCTAACCACGGATAGCATCAAGAAAGCATTGCTTCCAGCTCATCATTCTCCCTCCCTTAGATACATTAAGACAATTTTGATACATCAACAACCAGAGACAATGTAAAATAATGTCAGAGTTAAAAATCACAAGGCTTTGGGAGGCCAAGGCGGGCGGATCACGAGGTCAGGAGATCGAGACCATCCTGGCTAACACGGTGAAACCCCGTCTCTACTAAAAAATATATACAAAAAATTAGCCGGGCGTGGTGGTGGGTTCCTGTAGTCCCAGCTACTGGGGAGGCTGAGGCAGAAGAATGGCATGAACCCAGGAGACGAAGCTTGCAGTGAGCCAAGATGGTGCCACTGCACTCCCGCCTAGGCAACAGAGACTCTGTCTCAAAAAAAAAAAAAAAAAATCACAAGACTACGAGTAACTTTCGGCATTTATGTGGTACATCCTCCACCTCTGATATAATCATTTACACCAGCGGTTCTCAACCTTGACTCCACATTGAAATCACCTGAAAAGCTTTAAAAATTCCGGTGCCCAGCTCTAAACCTTAGAAATTCTAATTCAATTGGTCTGAGGAGCAGCCTCAGCATCAAGATTTTTAAAACCTCTCTAGATGTATTAGTTCATTCTCACAAAGAAGCTTCTTTCTAATAAATTAATATTATATTTAAAAATCCTAAAAAAAAAAGAACTCCCCAAGAGCGTAATTTATAAAGAAAAGAGGTTTAATTGACTCACAGTTCTGCATGGCTGGGGAGGCCTCGGGAAACTTGCAGTCATGATGGACAGCAAAAGAGAAGCAAGTACCTGCTTCACAAAGTAGCAGGAGAGAGCGCCCGAAGGTGGAAGTGCCACACTTTAAACCATCAGATCTCGTGATAATTCACTCCCTATCAAGAGAACAGCATGGGTAAAACCACCCCCATGATTCAATCACCTCCCACCAGTTTCCTCCCCTGACAGGTAGAGATTATGGAGATTACAATTGGAGATGAGAGTTGGGTGGGGACACAGCCAAACCTTATCACCAGATGATTTTAATATGCAGCCAAGTATCAAAGCCCATCAAATAAAGACCACCAAGAAAACACCTGTAGTTAAGCAACGAGGCCTGCTTACCTTGCTGAAACTCCAGGGAAACATTGAGGGCTTCTCAGTAAGAGTCAGAGGGTGGTGGGTGGGGGGATTTTAGTAGATTATTTTAAGGAGTGATTAGGGAAGCAGGGAAAGTTTCTGGATTGAATAACATCAAGAAATTGGGGAAATTCTGTGATTGGGTTCCTCAATCGTCTTCATCCAAGAGCAGTGCTATCATTGATAAATAAGCAGAGATCATCAAAAAGGCAAAGTTGCTGGCAATGAGGGGTGTTAGTCATTTTTGTGGTTAAGATGTAACCTAACCATTGTCCTATTCTAAATATGGTTTATTTACGTTCTTTGGTGAAGATTTTGGTCTGGTTTTTGGCAAGGCCAATTTTTTCTCAGTCCAATTGGGCCAATTTTTATGCTATCAGAAGGTTGAGAACCACTGATTTAAACAAACTACCTAGCTGAATATGAATGCTGCCTGATTGTGACATCTGTCATTCTTTAGATTCCAGAGTTAAAGTTAGCAAATCTGGCTTATTAAACATGTTTTTTTAATTTCTCCCCAATTTATCCAAGTGAAACTTTCCCAAAGCTGAATCTTCCCAGAGAAAATTCTGTTCCCTTCCCTTGATACAATACATAGTTAGGCCCACAAGTTTAATTTGCAAGAGAATACATGCTACATTCTAAAGAAAAATCTAATTTAAAATTGCCCCTTTTGGTAAATCATCTTTAAAACACTAGTTATGCTGTATTTAAAACTCATTTTCTCCTTATTCTGTTCTTGATGGAAGCTATTGTTAATTTTTCACAAGTATTGGCTCAGGGCTTTCTTGATACGGTACTACCCATGAAAGATGGGCCTCCTTACAGAAATGTTTTTGACAATGTTTTGAGATTCACCTAATGTTCTGCTCTATAACAAATCAGAAGGTTGCAATCATTTATGTTTTATGCCAAGGATCAATATGTATATTTAATAGAAATTGGGATATTTAACTATTCTTTGGCGATCTGAAATATCTGTTTACTGTCTTAGGAAGCCTGCATAATAGTAGGTCATGTCTGCCTGAAAATAAGATACTTTCAGTGTTTTACATGTGTCAATACAGGGTATCATTTTTATTTCTTTATCAGAGCTAGACAATACAGTACCTTCTGATGGTATAGCCAGACTACCTGGTATTCACTGAGAACCCTACTCAGGGCTGCCTATTCTTATTTATTCTACCTACGCCTCGATGGGATACAAGTTTCTCTCACCTAGGCAGAGTTATATCCACTGCTGAGATTTAAAGGAGTCTGGAAATGGCACTATTATTTCTCTACTTGAGTTCTGAACCAGTTAAGAAAACCAAATATTAACATTAGCAAAAAGATATTTAAAGCCCTAAACCAAAAGAGGCCATATCATAGGTTGACTCCTCCAGGTGCATATACTGAGAGAGAGTTGGTGTTCAAGACATATATAAAGAATCAAAGGAAGGGGAGGAAGCAGGATGGAGCAGAGAAAAAAGTCAAACTGTGATGCAGACCCAAAACAGCCTTGGCCAACCTGGCAGGAAGCTCTAGAGTGAGACTGCCCATTAGAGTCATCTCACGGTTGATTGAAATGGCTGGGCCTTTTAATCTTGTCCCAGTTCAGTCACAAGATGTGGGATGCTCTGAAAAGGGCATATCCTTGAGCAAAGACATCCATCACTTTGCAGCTGAGGCTGACCCTAAGAAAGCAGGCAGCTGGAGACATTCTGCTGACCACCCTCTCCTCAGCTGGTCAGTGAGTTCTTTCTTGGAGGGGCTCTGGGTAACACATGTTCATGTCTACCACAGACCATGATGGGGAACATAGCTAAGGAGTTCAGCAACAAGAGGTTTCCCAATATGATATCCAGCACTAGATTTCCATCTAGACACAGGCAGCACTGAGCAATCACAGACCATCTGCTGAGATGGGCAATGGGAAATGAGCAGAGATGCAGGCCTAGAAAATGCAGGTCTCGGGCCGGGCGCGGTGGCTCATGCCTGTAATCCCAGCACTTTGGGAGGCCGAGGCAGGTGGATCACCTGAGGTCAGGAGTACAAGAGCAGCCTGGCCAACATGGTCTCTACTAAAAATACAAAAAATTAGCTGGGCATGGTGGCAGGCACCTATAATCCCAGCTACTCGGGAAGCTGAGGCAGGAGAATCGCTTGAATCTGGGAGGCAGAGGTTGCAGTAAGCTGAGATCACACCATTGCACTCCAGCCTGGCCAACAAGAGCGAAACTCCATCTTGAAAGAAAAGAAAAAGGAAAAGAAAGAGAAAAAGAAAAAGAAAAAAAGAAAAGGGGAGGGGGAAGGAAGGAAGGAAGGGAAGGGAAGGAGGAAAGGAGGGAGGGAGGGAGGGAGGAAGGGAGGGAGGGAGGGAAGGGAAAGAAAGAAAAGAAAAGAAAAGAGAAAATGCAGTTCTCCCAGGCAAGCTGACTCCTGAAGAAGAGAAACACAAAGAGCCTGAGATATGTGTATGCCAAATTTTTGCTCCCACATTTCATTAAACAGATTTTGCTCCATGAGAGGGAGTTTGAGAACAGGATACAGAGACAGGCCAGGAGCGATATGCTAATGGTGACCCTCACCTGAAAGGAAACACCATGAGAGAAAGGTAAGTGGTCTCCTCTGTCCACCTGAGTCACAGATGGTCAGTTAAAGGCAGGGCAGTGAGGCTTATTCTCATTTCCAGATGTCCAGATTATCACAGTAATTCAAAGCTCTCATGTATACAGTAATCCCTTTTCTACATACTTATAAATATTATTCCATTTGAAAATTTAGTTACTCGGGAGTTGGTTTGGTTGGTTGGGGACTTGGAAGCTGAATTTTATACTTGTTGTAGTTGCATACAAAATAATAGATTTATTTTCCAAGTTCTACATAACATTAATTTTTTTTTTTTTTTGAGATGGAGTCTCACTCTGTCACCCAGGCTTGAGTGCAGTGGCGCGATCTGGGATCACTGCAACCCCCGCCTCCCGGGTTCAAGCGATTCTCCTGCCTCAGCCTCCCAAGTAGCTGGGACTACAAGGCGCCTGCCACCAGGCCCAGCTAATTTTTGTAATTTTAGTAGAGACGGGGTTTCACCATGTTGGTCAGGCTGGTCTTGAACTCCTGACCTCAGGTGATCCACCCTCCTCGGCCTCCCAAAGTGCTGGGATTACAGATGTGAGCCACCGTGCCCGGCCAACATTAATATTTTTTAGATGCTCTGTACTCTTTTATGTCTTAATGCAAAAATCACAATGGTTATTTTAAGAAGTCTGTGGCAAAGTGATGTTGTATATACTGCAAGTGGCAATTCAGGAGTCAGATTTTTTTATCCTCATTCCTCTTTCAGCTACGCAGGAAAGGGAGTGCTTTGGAACTCAGATCAGGGAATCACAGTAACACTCAGAGCGCAGGAATCAAGTGCAGCCATGGAGACACCCACTTCCTCAGTGAGGTGTTGAAGGTGACTCTAAGAGCAACCACAGGTGCAAATCAGCTTTTAAAGAAGGAGCATGGGATAGGTCAAGGGCATGTCAGTCTTTCTCAGCCAGCCAAAGACACTTTAAGTAATTGGCTAGTCCTTCCTCTATAAAAGCATGATAACGAGATGTTAAGAAATTTTATTTTTAAAATATTGGCCAACTGTTTAAGTAAAATTCCATGTCACAGAGATTTGCTCACAAGATAATATATGACAAGGTGTTAATTTCCGTATGTGCAGTTAAGACAAGTCAGTCTTTTGAAATCTATTTCAGACTGATGGTCTAAAGATTGCCATAGGACCATTTCCTAAAACCACCTCCAACTCTTTAGAATATCTGCCTGAAATAGTTGAAACACAGCCAAATTAGAGAAAACACAAATCTATATTGGATCTGCCTGAACCCACACCTTTAACGATATTTAACAAAGTGTGGTCCTATGAGCACCTTACACAAATACTTCAAGCACTTACTAAAAACCCAGATGGCTGGACCTTACCTACTGAATGAGAATATCTAGGAAGTATGGCCCAGGAAGGAGTCTGCATGGTCTGCTAGTTCCCCCAGGTGATTCTAATACACACTCTAATTTGAGGAAACCTGTTAGAAATTCAGGCTGCAAAAGGTCAGACATGAAGTCCAGAATTCAGGCTCAATGAAAAAACTCAACAGAATTCATTTGACATTTATTTGGGAACAGTATTTTTCACAAGAGAAAACTAAAACTCTTACTTATTCATTCAATAAATATTTTATTGTGTTCCTGCCTCATCTAGACCCTGTGCTAAATGCAGTAGATTCAAAAATGAAATGCATAGATTGTAAGAATGGTCTAGAATCATCACACATTATGACTCCTTTCATACTGAATTCAGACCTCGGGGTATGTATATTACTAGCATTTAAAATGAGAATTCCGGGGAGAAAATTAAACTTATGCTCAAGTAGAACTATCCTAAGGAAAGAAAAACATTAAAAAGTTTACAGAGAATACAATTAAATGTATCCATTCTTCTGTGGAAAAAAAAGTGGGGTGTGGTGGGATGAACAGACATGCATGTCACTATTTTTAAATAAAAAGTTATCTTGAAACGAGATCAGAGCTTAGAGGATGATTCCTACCCCAACCTGAATCACTTCTGTACTTCTGTATAGTAGAATCAGAGAGTTGATGAACTTTTGATCTGTCCTTTCTTTCTCTGGAAACATACGTAGATCTAAAACCTGGTTATCAAAAAAGGTCATGAAGAGAGGATAAAAGGATAATATATAAAGCACTGTTGATTTTCCATAAAGTATCCATGAAACCTGCAGAAAGAATCTTCAAACACTAAACCCACTTCACACACACTACCACAATTCACTAGAATATTCCTCCTTGCTTGCTAGAATAAGCTAAGCTTGCTCAAGATTGAACACCTGAAATGGTTTCTACAAAGTGTACACAAATATGGTTATGGTATGAGAAGCACATACACGTAACTCCATTTGACCCTCATAGCTTTTGTTTATAAAAAGATTTCACCAAATATTTGTTTATAATTTTGTCCTATGATCAAACAAAACCTCATCTGATGGTTTTGTCCACATCTTATCAAAATCAAAACAAAGAAAGGCATGCATTGAAAAAAACTGGAAAACATTTTAATATTAAAATTAAATAGAACTATGGTTTATTTTTCTACAGTTCCTAAATATTTAATAGTGACAATGTATTACTTTATAATAAAAAGCATTTTAAATTAATTTTTTGATAGGGAGTTTTATTTTATGACAAAATATACTTTTTATTTTTATTTTTTTATTTTTTTTAATTTTATTATTATACTTTAAGTTTTAGGGTACATGTGCACAATGTGCAGGTTAGTTACATATGTATACATGTGCCATGCTGGTGTGCTGCACCCACTAACTCGTCATCTAGCATTAGGTATATCTACCAATGCTATCCCTCCCCCCTCCCCCCACCCCACAACAGTCCCCAGAGTGTGATGTTCCCCTTCCTGTGTCCATGTGTTCTCATTGTTCAATTCCCACCTATGAGTGAGAATACGCGGTGTTTGGTTTTTTGTTCTTGCGATAGTTTACTGAGAATGATGATTTCCAATTTCCTCCATGTCCCTACAAAGGACACGAACTCATCATTTTTTATGGTGGCATAGTATTCCATGGTGTATATGTGCCACATTTTGTTAATTCAGTCTATCATTGTTGGACATTTTGGTTGGTTCCAAGTCTTTGCTATTGTGAATAATGCCGCAATAAACATACGTGTGCATGTGTCTTTATAGCAGCATGATTTATAGTCCTTTGGGTATATACCCAGTAATGGGATGGCTGGGTCAAATGGTATTTCTAGTTCTAGATCCCTGAGGAATCGCCACACTGACTTCCACAATGGTTGAACTAGTTTACAGTCCCACCAACAGTGTAAAAGTGTTCCTATTTCTCCACATCCTCTCCAGCACCTGTTGTTTCCTGACTTTTTAATGATCGCCATTCTAACTGGTGTGAGATGGTATCTCATTGTGGTTTTGATTTGCATTTCTCTGATGGCCAGTGATGATGAGCATTTTTTCATGTGTTTTTTGGCTGCATAAATGTCTTCTTTTGAGAAGTGTCTGTTCATGTCCTTCGCCCACTTTTTGATGGGGTTGTTTGTTTTTTTCTTGTAAATTTGTTTGAGTTCATTGTAGATTCTGGATATTAGCCCTTTGTCAGATGAGTAGGTTGTGAAAATTTTCTCCCATTTTGTAGGTTGCCTGTTCACTCTGATGGTAGTTTCTTTTGCTGTACAGAAGCTCTTAAGTTTAATTAGATCCCATTTGTCAATTTTGTCTTTTGTTGCCATTGCTTTTGGTGTTTTAGACATGAAGTCCTTGCCCATGCCTATGTCCTGAATGGTATTGCCTAGGTTTTCTTCTAGGGTTTTTATGGTTTTAGGTCTAACGTTTAAGTCTTTAATCCATCTTGAATTGATTTTTGTATAAGGTGTAAGGAAGGGATCCAGTTTCAGCTTTCTACATATGGCCAGCCAGTTTTCCCAGCACCATTTATTAAATAGGGAATCCTTTCCCCATTGCTTGTTTTTCTCAGGTTTGTCAAAGATCAGATAGTTGTAGATATGCGGCGTTATTTCTGAGGGCTCTGTTCTGTTCCACTGATCTATATCTCTCTTTTGGTACCAGTACCATGCTGTTTTGGTTACTGTAGCCTTGTAGTATGGTTTGAAGTCAGGTAGCGTGATGCCTCCAGCTTTGTTCTTTTGGCTCAGGATTGACTTGGCGATGCGGGCTCTTTTTTGGTTCCATATGAACTTTAAAGTAGTTTTTTCCAATTCTGTGAAGAAAGGCATTGGTAGCTTGATGGGGATGGCATTGAATCTGTAAATTACCTTGGGCAGTATGGCCATTTTCACGATATTGATTCTTCCTACCCATGAGCATGGAATGTTCTTGCATTTGTTTGTATCCTCTTTTATTTCCTTGAGCAGTGGTTTGTAGTTCTCCTTGAAGAGGTCCTTCACATCCCTTGTAAGTTGGATTCCTAGGTATTTTATTCTCTTTGAAGCAATTGTGAATGGGAGTTCACTCATGATTTGGCTCTCTGTTTGTCTGTTGTTGGTGTATAAGAATGCTTGTGATTTTTGTACATTGATTTTGTATCCTGAGACTTTGCTGAAGTTGCTTATCAGCTTAAGGAGATTTTGGGCTGAGACAATGGGGTTTTCTAGATATACAATCATGTCGTCTGCAAACAGGGAAAATTTGACTTCCTCTTTTCCTAATTGAATACCCTTTATTTCCTTCTCCTGCCTAATTGCCCTGGCCAGAACTTCCAACACTATGTTGAATAGGAGTGGTGAGAGAGGTCATCCCTGTCTTGTGCCAGTTTTCAAAGGGAATGCTTCCAGTTTTTGCCCATTCAGTATGATATTGGCTGTGGGTTTGTCATAGATAGCTCTTAATATTTTGAGATACATCCCATCAATACCTAATTTATTGAGAGTTTTTAGCATGAAGGGTTGTTGAATTTTGTCAAAGGCCTTTTCTGCATCTATTGAGATAATCATGTGGTTTTTGTCTTTGGCTCTGTTTATATGCTGGATTACATTTATTGATTTGCATATATTGAACCAGCCTTGCATTCCAGGGATGAAGCCCACTTGATCATGGTGGATAAGCTTTTTGATGTGCTGCTGGATTCATTTTGCCAGTATTTTATTGAGGATTTTTGCATCAATGTTCATCAAGGATATTGGTCTAAAATTCTCTTTTTTGGTTATGTCTCTGCCAGGCTTTGGTATCAGAATGATGCTGGCCTCATAAAATGAGTTACGGAGGATTCCCTCTTTTTCTATTGATTGGAATAGTTTCAGAAGGAATGGTACCAGTTCCTCCTTGTACCTCTGGTAGAATTCGGCTGTGAATCCATCTGGTCCTGGACTCTTTTTGGTTGGTAAGCTATTGATTATTGCCACAATTTCAGATCCTGTTATTGGTCTATTCAGAGATTCAACTTCTTCCTGGTTTAGTCTTGGGAGAGTGTATGTGTCAAGGAATTTATCCATTTCTTCTAGATTTTCTAGTTTATTTGCGTAGAGGTGTTTGTAGTATTCTCTGATGGTAGTTTGTATTTCTGTGGGATTGGTGGTGATATCCCCTTTATCATTTTTTATTGTATCTATTTGATTCTTCTCTCTTTTTTTCTTTATTAGTCTTGCTAGCGGTCTATCTATTTTGTTGATCCTTTCAAAAAACCAGCTCCTGGATTCATTAATTTTTTGAAGGGTTTTTTGTGTCTCTATTTCCTTCAGTTCTGCTCTGATTTTAGTTATTTCTTGCCTTCTGCTAGCTTTTGAATGTGTTTGCTCTTGCTTTTCTAGTTCTTTTAATTGTGATGTTAGGGTGTCAATTTTGGATCTTTCCTGCTTTCTCTTGTGGGCATTTAGTGCTATAAATTTCCCTCTACACACTGCTTTGAATGCGTCCCAGAGATTCTGGTATGTTGTGTCTTTGTTCTCGTTGGTTTCAAAGAACATCTTTATTTCTGCCTTCATTTCGTTAGGTACCCAGTAGTCATTCAGGAGCAGGTTGTTCAGTTTCCATGTAGTTGAGCGGTTTTGAGTGAGATTCTTAATCCTGAGTTCTAGTTTGATTGCACTGCCGTCTGAGAGATAGTTTGTTATAATTTCTGTTCTTTTACATTTGCTGAGGAGAGCTTTACTTCCAAGTATGTGGTCAATTTTGGAATAGGTGTGGTGTGGTGCTGAAAAAAATGTATATTCTGTTGATTTGGGGTGGAGAGTTCTGTAGATGTCTATTAGGTCTGCTTGGTGCAGAGCTGAGTTCAATTCCTGGGTATCCTTTTTGACTTTCTGTCTCATTGATCTGTCTAATGTTGACAGTGGGGT
Source organism: Homo sapiens (assembly GCF_000001405.40). Lineage (NCBI taxonomy): Eukaryota > Metazoa > Chordata > Mammalia > Primates > Hominidae > Homo > Homo sapiens. The sequence goes on along the minus strand of NC_000007.14, from coordinate 22,530,723 downwards.
GTTAAAGTCTCCCATTATTAATGTGTGGGAGTCTAAGTCTCTTTGTAGGTCACTCAGGACTTGCTTTATGAATCTGGGTGCTCCTGTATTGGGTGCATATATATTTAGGATAGTTAGCTCTTCTTGTTGAATTGATCCCTTTACCATTATGTAATGGCCTTCTTTGTCTCTCTTGATCTTTGTTGGTTTAAAGTCTGTTTTATCAGAGACTAGGATTGCAACCCCTGCCTTTTTTTGTTTTCCATTTGCTTGGTAGATCTTCCTCCATCCTTTTATTTTGAGCCTATGTGTGTCTCTGCACATGAGATGGGCTTCCTGAATACAGCACACTGATGGGTCTTGACTCTTTATCCAATTTGCCAGTCTGTGTCTTTTAATTGGAGCATTTAGTCCATTTACATTTAAAGTTAATATTGTTATGTGTGAATTTGATCCTGTCATGATGATGTTAGCTGGTGATTTTGCTCGTTAGTTGATGCAGTTTCTTCCTAGTCTCGATGGTCTTTACATTTTGGCATGATTTTGCAGCGGCTGGTACTGGTTGTTCCTTTCCATGTTTAGCGCTTCCTTCAGGAGCTCTTTTAGGGCAGGCCTGGTGGTGACAAAATCTCTCAGCGTTTGCTTGTCTGTAAAGTATTTTATTTCTCCTTCACTTATGAAGCTTAGTTTGGCTGGATATGAAATTCTGGGTTGAAAATTCTTTTCTTTAAGAATGTTGAATATTGGCCCCCACTCTCTTCTGTCTTGTAGGGTTTCTGCCGAGAGATCTGCTGTTAGTCTGATGGGCTTCCCTTTGAGGGTAACCCGACCTTTCTCTCTGGCTGCCCTTAACATTTTTTCCTTCATTTCAACTTTGGTGAATCTGACAATTATGTGTCTTGGAGTTGCTCTTCTCGAGGAGTATCTTTGTGGCATTCTCTGTATTTCCTGAATCTGAACGTTGGCCTGCCTTGCTAGATTGGGGAAGTTCTCCTGGATAACATCCTGCAGAGTGTTTTCCAACTTGGTTCCGTTCTCCCCGTCACTTTCAGGTACACCAGTCAGACGTAGATTTGGTCTTTTCACATAGTCCCATATTTCTTGGAGGCTTTGCTCATTTCTTTTTATTCTTTTTTCTCTAAACTTCCCTTCTTGCTTCATTTCATTCATTTCATCTTCCATTGCTGATACCCTTTCTTCGAGTTGATCGCATCGGCTCCTGAGGCTTGTACATTCGTCACGTAGTTCTCGAGCCTTGGTTTTCAGCTCCATCAGCTCCTTTAAGCACTTGTCTGTATTGGTTATTCTAGTTATACATTCTTCTAAATTTTTTTCAAAGTTTTCAACATCTTTGCCTTTGGTTTGAATGTCCTCCCGTAGCTCAGAGTAATTTGATCGTCTGAAGCCTTCTTCTCTCAGCTTGTCAAAGTCGTTCTCCATCCAGCTTTGTTCCGTTGCTGGTGAGGAACTGCGTTCCTTTGGAGGAGGAGAGGCGCTCTGCTTTTTAGAGTTTCCAGTTTTTCTGTTCTGTTTTTTCCCCATCTTTGTGGTTTTATCTACTTTTGGTCTTTGATGATGGTGACGTACAGATGGGTTTTTGGTGTGGATGTCCTTTCTGTTTGTTAGTTTTCCTTCTAACAGACAGGACCCTCAGCTGCAGGTCTGTTGGAGTACCCTGCCGTGTGAAGTGTCAGTGTGCCCCTGCTGGGGGGTGCCTCCCAGTTAGGCTGCTTGGGGGTCAGGGGTCAGGGACCCACTTGAGGAGGCAGTCTCCCCGTTCTCAGATCTCCAGCTGCGTGCTGGGAGAACCACTGCTCTCTTCAAAGCTGTCAGACAGGGACATTTAAGTTTGCAGAGGTTACTGCTGTCTTTTTGTTTGTCTGTGCCCTGCCCCCAGAGGTGGAGCCTACAGAGGCAGGCAGGCCTCCTTGAGCTGTGGTGGGCTCCACCCAGTTCGAGCGTCCTGGCTGCTTTGTTTACCTAAGCAAGCTTGGGCAATGGCGGGTGCCCCTCCCCCAGCCTCGCTGCCGCCTTGCAGTTTGATCTCAGACTGCTGTGCTAGCAATCAGGGAGACTCCATGGGCGTAGGACCCTCTGAGCCAGGTGCGGGATATAATCTCGTGGTGCACCGTTTTTTAAGCCGGTTGGAAAAGCGCAGTATTCGGGTGGGAGTGACCCGATTTTCCAGGTGCGTCCATCACCCCTTTCTTTGACTAGGAAAGGGAACTCCCTGACCCCTTGCGCTTCCCAAGTGAGGCAATGCCTCACCCTGCTTCGGCTCGCACACGGTGCGCGCACCCACTGACCTGCGCCCACTGTCTGGCACTTCCTAGTGAGATGAACCCGGTACCTCAGATGGAAATGCAGACATCACCCGTCTTCTGCGTTGCTCACGCTGGGAGCTGTAGACCGGAGCTGTTCCTATTCGGCCATCTTGGCTCCTCCCTCGAAAATTCTTAATAAGAGAAATATACGGACATTTTCAAAAGGACAGGTATATATATAACTTCATGCACAAAAGTCAAATTTAAATGGGTCAAGGACTTAAATGAAAGTAAAGTGTTTAAAGTCTTAGAAGCAAATAGGGAAATAAAGATTAAAACCACATGGTAACATTTACATGTCAGGTAAGAATTGGTGAGGACAGGGTGCCACAAGAACTCTCATGAAATTATAGTAGGAGTGTAAATTGGTACAGCCACCTTAGAAAATAAGTTGTTAATTCCTAATAAGTTTTAAAGTATGTAGTCTCTGCAATTTATGGTTTCACCCTAAAGAAATGTTGTTACAAATATACCAAGGAAACCAATTACAAGAATCTTCATGGAAGCATTATTTGTACCTGAGAAAAAAAAGCTGAAAACAACTCAAAGGCCCACCAACAGAATGGATAAAATGAATATTTCCATACAACATAATATTGTAAAGGAATGAATGTGATCTACAGTCACAAGCATCAGTGGGAACCAATGTCAAATAGACTGTTAAAGATAAAAAACTAAGTCATCAAAGGGGATGTGTGTGCATGTCAATATATATGCCATTTGCATTGCATATATATTGGCCTAAAAGCAAACAAGACAATATTATAGAAGATATAGTGTGGCAAAACAGCGAAAGCGTAGGCATAATTAATTCAAAACATAGGCTGGTGATCACTTCTAGGAAAGAATGCAATACAGGAGAAGCCCTGGGTGCTTCAATGTTAATATTCAATTTCTTGGTGTTAAGTATACAAGTGTTCATTTTATAATTCTTTAAAATGTGTGTTTATATATGTATATAATGCTTATGTATTTATACTCTTCAAAGTAGGGCTTTGATTCCTCATCAGTGGTTCTTAAACCTCATGTTCTCTTTAGGTAACTCTGGGAGCTTAAATAAGCATCAAAAGTTGTTCTGATGACACGTCCAGCTATTCAAATAAATGTTCAAATTGTAGATTTTATTGTTTCCATTTGTGCAATGTATTTTTTCCTTCCAACTTCTATTTTAGGTGCAGAAGTACATTTGCAGGTTTGTTATATAGGTAAATTGCATGTCATGGGGTTTGGTGTACAGATTATTTTGTCACCCAGGTAATAAGCATAGTACCTGATAGGTATTTTCTCAGTCCTCACTCTCCTCCCACCCTCCACCCTCAAGTAGGCCCTGGTGCCTATTATTCCCTTCTTTTTGTCCATGTGTGCTCAGTGTTTAGCTCCTACTTATAGGGAGCACATACAGTATTTGGTTTTCTGTTCTGTGTTAGTTCAGTTAGGATACTGGCCTCCAGCTCCATCCATGTTGCCACAGAGGACGTGATCTCATTTTTTTATATGGCTGTATAGTATTCCATGGTATATATGTACCACATTTTCTTTATCCATTCCACCATTGGTGAGCATTTAGGTTGATTCCATGTCTTTGCTATTGTGAATAATGCTGCAATGAACATACGTGTATATGTGTTTTTATGGTAGAACAATGTATATTCCTTTGGGTATATATCCAGTAATGGGATTGCTGGGTTGAATGATAGCTCTGTTTTAAATTCTTTGAAAAATCTCCAAACTGCTTTCCACAGTGGCCAAACTGGTTTACATTTCCACCAGCAGTGTATAAGTGTTCTCTTTTCTCCACAACTTCACCAGCATCTTTTTTTTTTTTTTTTTTTTTTTTTTTTTTTTTTTTTTTTTACTTTTTCATCATAGCTATTCTGACTAGTGTGAGATGGTATCTTACTGTGGTCTTGATTTGCATTTCTGTAATGATTAGTGATGGTGAACATCTTTTCATATGCTTGTTGCCTACATGTACGTCTTCTTTTGAGAAGTGTCTGTTCACACTTTTTGCCCATTTTTAATGAGGTCGTTTGTTTTTGCTTGTTGATTTAAGTTCCTTATAGGTGCTGGATATTAGACCTTTGTCAGATGCATAGCTTTTGGGTGTTTTCCCGCATTCTCTAGGTTGTGTGTTTACTCTGTTGATAGTTTCTTTTACTGTGCAGAAGTTCTTTAGTTTTATTAGATCCCATTTGTCAATTTTTGTTTTTGCTGCAATTGCTCTTGGCATCTTCATCATGAAGTCTTTGCCAAGGCATATGTCCATGGCCTTTCTTGTTTTCTTCTAGGGTTTTGATCGTTTTAACTTTTACATTCAAATCTTTCATCCATCTTGAGTTGATTTTTTTATATAGTGTAAGGAAAGAGTGGTACAGTGTCTTAAAAATTACCAGATTGTGTTTCATAGGATTTTGAAAAAAATATGTCATTCATAGAAATTGCATTAAAATTCACATCTCTCAGGATGTGTTTCTTCATCTGTACCTAGGTGATAATACCTACCTCATAGAATTATGAGGATCAAGCCAAGTGTTCCATGTCAATGTGCATTATTAAGGGCTACACATGTGATCCATTTTAATACCACCAGACAATAGGCCAACTTTAAATTGGATGTTAATAAAAAAGCTGTGATGTATTCATAATCCAAAAGAGCAAATAAGATTATTTATATTTGACTTTGAATAATTTTTTGAGGAGCTTTTGCAGCTACTGACTTCTTTAGTATGCTTGCCTGAGATTAAAATAGATATTGACTTCCTTATTGTGCTTTTCTGAGATTAAAATTCTTTCATATCCTTTGAGCACATATAGATAATGGCTTTTACTTTTAAAATTTTCTTCCAAGAGATACATATAACTTATAAGTAAATATTGAGATTATTCAGATGAAGCTGCAAAGCCATTTCACAGAATATACTGGATTGAATCATATCCAAGAACCTATGAATTTTATTTAAAAAGCACCTCAGCTACTGAAAAGAGCAAGACTGTTTACACAGCTTCATACAGACCTAAGAAATACAATGGAGATCATACACGAGAGTTATTTCTTTAACATGGATGGTGTGGCAGCCACAAAAGTCCACCACCTTTAGGGTATTCCTCTGAGAACCTGCTGTCCAGCTGCAGGGAGCACAGGTAACTGACAGCCTTCAACTGTAGCGCCATCAGCATCTGCATGGCATTCACTCTGGGTCACATTCTTCCTGGGTAACCCCCAGCCAATGACCGAGCAAGGAAGATATACTAGTCTGTTCTCACATTGCTATAAGGAAATACCCAAGACTGGGTAATTTATAAAGGTAAGAGGTTTAATTGACTCACAGTTCAGCATGGCTGGGGAGGCCTGAGGAAACTTACAATCATGGCAGAAGGTGAAGGGGAAGCAAGCCACCTTCTTCCCAAGGTGGCAGGAAGGAGAAATGAACGCAGGAGAAACTACCAAACACTTACAAAATCGTCAGCTCGCGTGAGAACTCACTACCACGAGAACAGCATGGGAGAAAACACCCCCATGATTCAATTACATCCACCTGGTCTCTCCCTTGACATGTGGGGATTATGGGGATTACAATTCAAGATGAGACTTTGGGTGGGGACAGAGCCAAACCAGATGAGAAGGATACTGTAGGGCCTGGCTGTTTTGGCCCAATGCTAAACTGCTTCATCAGGCAATCTTTGCTCTGAAGCTGCTCACTGAGAAAGCCAAGCCCTGGTCAGCCGTCCTTTGCAACTGAAGTCTCTCCCGCTTTCTTCCTCTTTCATAGATGTCAACGGGCCTCACAGCTGAAGGCTTTACCCACCCAGTCCTGCTCCCCCTCCTCTAACAGCTATGACACCTTCCTAGTTTCACCCCTTCACCCGTTCCAGTTTTACATAAGTTTTCCTCACTACACAGAGATGGTGCCACCAAGACCTTATTCATTTTACAACCTTACTGGGATCCCCTGATGAAATCCCTCTGAGACCATAGCACAGTAGACCCTGGCAGAAGACAGGACCCTGTACCTATAAGATGCCTTTCCTATCTCACAGATCCAGACCATTGTCAGATTTTAGAGTTCCTAGTATGGAGAAAAGTCCCTTGGGAACAGTAGAGCCTGGATTGAACTCTTTTAAAATAAGTAGGAGGTAGGCGCCTGTGGTCCCAGCTACTCGGGAAGCTGAGGCAGGAGGATTGCTGGAGCCCAGGATGCAGAGAGACACGATTGCGCCACTGCACTGCAGCGTGGGCAACAGAGTGAGACGGTCTCAAGAGAAAAAAAAAAAAAAAATGACAGTGTGCAAAATGTTCATTTTATGTATACTTAGTGCCATCTGCTGGCTATGAAATATGATAGCATTTGTTATGAAATTACAAAAAGTGTTAAGGTGCTAGTTTGCACGTTTTCATGGAAAATGGGAGAAAGCAAGAGAACTCAAGGACATGCACTACATTTGTCTTAGTTTTGTTTGAGTTGTGATGATCTCAGTGGCTCTTCTCTCCCTCACCCACCCACCTCTCCTATTTGTTCAATCTCTCTCCCTCGTCTGGTGCCTTAAAAGGGTCTCCATGCTTTGCATCCGTCCTCCACTCCACGATCAGGGACCCGCCCGGTATCACACGTTCTGCTTCAGCAACAATGAACTGCTGGAAATTTCCAGCAACTCTTTTTCCTGCCAGTGCTCACACTGTACCCTTGCCTGTTAAGGTCTTACCTGTCTTCCTCCCACACCCCTGCCTCTCACCTGCTCAGATGTCCCCTCCTGCCAGCAGCCAGTCCTGACCATCCCCTCTGTGATCCGCTAATGCCACTCCAGCTGTCACATAGTTCGATCATTTAAAAATGATCTGTTTTCCTTTGAAGTCTTTCACTGAACTCTGAATTACTTAATAAAAGGGTTTGTATATTATTTATTCCTGTTTTCCACCCGACACAGTACCTGGAACATAGTAGATGCTCAGCAAATATTGCACAAAAGAATAATGTGGAAAATAAATGGTTAAAACATAGAAAAATTTTAAAGATGGGGTATTTGGGTCACTTTTACTGTTTTCTGTCCCTACAATATGGCTGAATCGTCCCCCATATGGCTCAACATTTTCTTAATTCTTTTAAAAGTACCCAACAGTATATTGAGTGCTCTGGGGATCAAAATAATAGTATATATATATTAAGGCTGGGTTTGAATCTCTGCCCTACCATTTACTAGCTGGGCAATTTATATAACATTTTAAAATTTCATCATCTGTAAAGTGGAAATATTAAACGTATCTTCTTCAAAAGTGACATTTGGAAGAAAAAAATAAAGTAATACATGTAAAGCATATGAGATTCAGTAAGCACTCGGTTAGTGGTGAGTTGGTTTTGTTGTTATTGCTAAGACCCAGGAACCCATTGTTTGAAGATCAGCATAGAGCACTAACTGGTTGGGTGGAATTTCTATTCTCTACTCAATGATTTGTTTATTCTTTAGAGACTGTCTGTCCCATCTAGAGTCTATTATTAATATTTTCTTATGCCAATTTATGGGAGTTTTACTATTGTGCTGTTTCTCTAATAATAGCTAATTTATATTTTTAATTTTTAAAAGCCATTATGCTGGAAACAGAACATTCATACAAACAATACATGAATGAATGTAGGTTATACTGCAAAATAGCTGGTTACTATAATGTAGTTGTATTCCATGGCTTTAAGTTTAAAAATAACTTCGCATTTACTAGAGTGGACTTACCCTCCAGGCATAAAATTTTAAAACTCAACAACTCCAGGCCTCCAGAGTCTTTACTTCCCACTAATTTCTCACCAGTGAAGGCGAAGCTAATGAAAAAGGATAGATGACTGCTTCTCAATTGGAAATGGATCCAAATACCATCAAGGGAATTGGTGTTGGGTATACAGATTTTACCTACAGTCACAGCCTGGTTGGGTGGAGGATGGGGAAGGTGGTGGTATCGGTCTACTTAGAGTTTTAAATGTTTCTCTGAATTCCTGTAGCAGATAATTTTGAGAAAATTTTGCCTAGAGAAAGAGTCTGAAACCAAAAAGCTAATCAGAGGCAAATGTTTGCAGCTTGGATCTTTAACATTAATAAGTCTATTGCTTTTTCCTACCTCCCACTCCTGCTACCTGAAGAAGATGAGTAGGAGGGGAGGGATGGTGAAAGAGGAGGGATGTGGAGGGAAAAGGACATAAGTGGTGGTTGGGTAGATGACAGATAGTTGTTGTCTGCCTGCCACTCATCTAGGTATGCCTCCACGGGTGGCCTCTGCTTTTGCCCACAGGGGACTCATTCATGCACAAAGGAAGATGACAGACAATTGGCCAGAACATAGAGCACTGAAATGAAACACAAAGGCCACTCTTGGGCCTCTGTGTTTCATCACAATTATGTTAGTTTGCTAGGACGCCACCACCAAGTACCACAGACAGGTGTCGGAGATCAAGGTATCTATCAGCAGGGTTAGTTTCTTCTGGGATCTTTCCTCTTGATTTGCAGATGAGTGTTTTCTCCCTGTGTCTTCACATGACCTTTCCTCTATGCCTGTTGTGTCCTAATCTCCTTTTCATATAAATTCACAATTGAGCACATAACTCCTATTTAATACCATATGTTGGAATAAAAAGCCTTATAGCAATGCATAGGATAGAAATTCTTTTCTTTAAAACTTAGTTTGAGTATTTTGCAGTAATGAAAAATGGTCCTGACATACAGAATGCCATCTAGCTTACACCTGCATGGGGCATGCATGGCATGAGGCATGCAGAAGAAAGAGATGAGCAATCCTTACCTGAAAAGAGGCCACCCTCTCCTTTAATGGGAGGGGAAATTAAAGAATAATTTAATGGGAAGGGAAGTTAAAGAATAAAGCCCATAGTTTGCTGCAAACACTATTGCTCAATTTAATACTGTAATGGAATCTACAATGTGTGTACGATCATTGTTAACTATACCTTTATTATCTTTATAATGTTGAGGTAAAGAGCTTTCTGCTATTATGCATTAATAACTCCATCCCTAATGCCATCATGGTTCTAGTGTCCAGGGAAGGAGTCTGTATTAGTCTGTTTTCACACTGATATAAAGAATACCACCAGAGACTGGGTAATTTATAAAGAAAGGAGGTTTAATTGACTCACAGTTCTGCATGGCTGGAGGGGGGTGCTCAGGAAATTCACAATCATGGTGGAAGACAAGGCGTATCTTACATAGCAGGTGAGACAGAGAGAGAGAGAGAGAGAGAGAACGAACCAGGAAATGCCACACTTTAAAACCATCAGCTCTTATGAGAACTCACTCACTATCATGAGAACAGCATGGGGGAAACCACCTCCATGATCCAATCACTTCCCACCAGGTTCCTCCCTTGACACCTGAGGATTACAATTTGAAATGAGATTTTTGTGGGGACACAGAGACAAACCATATTATTTCACCCCTGGCCCCTCCAAAATTTCATGTCCCTTTCAAGTTTCAAAACCAACCATTCCTTCCCAACAGTCTTAAAGTCTTAACTCATTCCAGTATTAACCTGAAAGTCCAAGTCCAGAGTCTCATCTAAGACAAGGCAAGTTCCTTCTACCTATGAGTCTGTAAAATAAAAAGCAAGTTAGTTACTTCCAAGGTACAATAGGGGGCCAGGTGCAGTGGCTCACACCTGTAATCCCAGCACTTTGGGAGGCTGAAGCAGGTGGATCACCTGAGGTCAGGAGTTCAAGAGCAGCCTACCCAACATGGTGAAACCCCATCTCTACCAAAGATACAAAAATTAGCTGGGTGTGGTGGCCGGCGCTTATAGTCCCAGCTACTTAGGAGGCTGAGGCAGGAGAACTGCTTGAATGTGGGAGTTAGAGGTTGCAGTGAACCGAGATCGCACCAGTGCCCTCCTGCCTGGGTGACAGAGGGAGACTCCATCTCAAAAAGAAAAAAAAAGATACAGTAGCGGTACAGCCATTGGGTAAGTATTCCCATCCAAATGGGAGAAATTGGCCAAAACAAAGGGCCCACAGGCCACATGAAAATCTAAAACCCAGCCGGGCAGTCATTAAATCTTAAAGCTCCAAAATGATCTCCTTTGACTCCATGTCTCACACCCAGGGCACGCTGATGCAAGAGGTGGGTTCCCATGGCCTTGGGCAGCTCCACCCCTGTGGCTTAGCAGGGTACAGCCCCTCCAGCTGCTTTCATGGGATGGCATTGAATGCCTGTGGCTTTTTCAGGTGCAAGGTGCAAGCTGTTGGTGGATCTACCTTTCTGGGGTCTGGAGGATGGATGGTAGCCCTTTTCTCACAGCTCCACAAGGCAGTACCTCAGTGGAGACTCTGTATGGGCGCTCCAACCCCACATTTCCCTTCTGCACTGCCTAACAGAGGTTCTCTATAAGGGCTCCACCCCTCTTGTAGACTTTTGCCTGGACATCCAGGCTTTTCCACACATCCTCTGAAATCCAGATGGAGGTTCTGAAAGCTCAACTCTTGTCTTCTGAATACTCACAGGCCCAACATCATGTGGAAGCTGCCAAGGTTTTGGGGCTTGCATTCTCTGAAGCAATGGCCTGAGCTGTACCTTGGCCCCTCTTAGCCACAGCTGGAGCTGGAGTGGCTGGGATGCAGGACAGCATGTCCCAAGGCTGCACAGAGCAGCAGGGCCCAGGGCCCTGAGGACATTTTCCCTCTTAGGCTTTTGGGCCTGTGATGGGAGGGGCTACTTTGAAGATCTCTGAAATGCCCTGGAGACATTTCCCCCATTGTCTTGGTGATTAACATTTGGCTTCTTGTTACTTACGCAAATTTCTGCAGCTGGCTTGAATTTCTTCCCAGAAAAATTTCTACCACATAGTCAGGCTGTACATTTTCCAAATCTTTATGCTCTGCTTCCCTTTTAAATGTAAGTTCCAATTTCAAACCATCCCTTTGTGAGTGCATGTAACTGAACGCTTTCAGAATCAACCAGATTACCTCTTGAATGCTTTGCTGCTTAGAAATTTCTTCCGCCAGATACCCTAAATCATCTCTCTTAAGTTCAAAGTTCCACAGATCTCCGGAGCAGGTGAAAAATGCTGCCAGTCTCTTTGCTAAAGCATAGTAAGAGTGACCTTTACTCCAGCTGCCAATAGGTTCCTCATTTCCATCTGAGACCATCTCAGCCTGGACTTCATTGTCTATATCACTATTAGCATTTTGGTCAAAACAATTCAACAAGTCTCTAGGAAGTTCCAAACTTTCATTCATCCTCTTGTCTTCATCTGAGCCTTACAAACTGTTCCAACCTCTGCCTGTTATCCAGTTCCAAAGTTGCTTCCACATTCTCAAGTTATCTTTATAGCAGTACTACACTACCGTGGTACCAATTCTCTGTATTAGTCCGTTTTCACACTGCTATGAAGAATACCACCAGAGACTGAGTATTTATAAAGAAAGGAGGTTTAATTGACTCATAGTTCTGCATGGCTGGGGAGGCCTCAGGAAACTTACAATCATGGTAGAAGGTGAAGGGGAAGCAAGGCACATCTTACATGTGGCAGGAAACAGAGAGAGAGAGACTGCAAGAGAGAGAGAGAGAGAGACAGAAAGCGAGAGAGCGAGAGCGAGCATCAGGAAGTACCACACTTTAAAACCATCAGCTCTTGTGACAACTATCATGAGAATAGCATGGGGGAAACCACCCCCAAGATCCAATCACCTCCTACCAGGTTCTTCCCTTGGCACCTGAGGATTACAATTCAAGATGAGATTTCAGTGGGGACACAAAGTCAAACCATATCAGAGTCTTCCTCTTAAAATTCATGGAAAGGTCATCTCTATCTAATCTCTCTCTGATGCTTCTTTTGGCAGTATCACTAAAGACATTTCCATCCCAGAGAGTAGATGTGGAGGATGTCAGATTCAGAGAGAAAAAATTATTTGTCATTGGTTACAACCACAAAACCATTTACTATAGTTTTAATATTGTGAATATCTGTTCTGATCCCAAGAGATCATCAGTCAAATAGAGAAAAATAGGACAAACTATTTCTAGAGTGTCTAAAGCATTCATTCTATCATTTTAGTAGATGATATACATGACCATCAACTTTCAGTCATTTCATGAATAAGACAAGACATTATAATTTACCTTAGAGTGAAGCTGTTCTCATAGAATTTACATTGTGCAATTTTGCTTCTTCACATGAATAAATTAGGGGCTCAGGAAGTAGAAGGACAAATAAGGCAGAGAACAAGCAGGAAAAATAATTGAGGTAGGACCAGTAATCCATGGAGGATCCCCAAGTTCAGGTGAAAGCATAGAATATATCTGAATGTGAGAGTTGAGCCAAAGATAGACTCATTTATCCATGGACTAATGGATAGTCAAATACTAGTAAAAATAATAATAATAGCCATCATTTACGGCTTACTCTTTTCTAGACTCTTTATATATTATATAATTTAATCTTTAGGACATCTTAGTAAAACTGTTCTGCAGATGAGAAAATTGGGTCTCAGAGATGTCAAGTGCCTTTCTTAAGGCCCTCCAACTAGACAGGGGCAAAGCTTGCAATTAGATTTGGGCCTGTCTGATCCATTGATACAATCAAACAAAACCACTGTGCCCTGGATGGAAGTCATTAATTTAAGGGGAAGTAGAACTGGACACCTAGAAACTAAGAGATCCAGGAGTTCTCATTGTATATTTGGGACTAGGTGGTAAAGGACATGAAGAACAAGGAATAGCTGGCTGGGAATGAAAGCACCGACCCTCCTGCAAGAGAAAAGTAAGACAGAAACCGTGTAGTTGAAGAACCCAGATTCCAAAGGTTATCTCAAGCATTGTTTCAAAAATTGTTGACCAAGCAAATTACTCAGCTCTTCTCATCCAAAACCTTCTCGGGCTTGGCGTAGACCTGGAATCCAGGGCAGGACTGAACCTCAGGGATGGGGACCAGTGTCCACCAGTGCACATGGTGGAGAGGGGAAGGGAAGAAAGCCAAAAGGCCATTAATTAAACCCAGGGACTCCTGGCTCCCAGCAGGATCCTATTCTTTCTCTTCCCACAGTAAGAAGCTAGTGGGGAGATACAGACACCAGGTGAATCCCTCAGCTGACTAGTCAGCTGTAGGATAACTGGGAAAGTGAGAGGATCCTGCATCCTCTTGAGGAAGTGCAGCTTTCTGCTGTCCAGGCTCTGGAGTCCCTGCTAGATTTGCTCACACAAAAGACTTGCACTGGGCAGAAGTGTGTGGCACATGCCTTCAAAGCATTCCATTAGCTGGAATTTAAAATTCTCTGATGGAAATCAGAATCCTGTCTGAAGGCAATTTTGCAACAGTGTGAGATGTGCATGAGGCTCCTGAGGGCCATGGAGCTGTTCCAGGCAATTCGATGAATGGAGCGTTCAGCTGGACAGGGCAGGCACTCAATTTAAAACATGTAGGTGAATGACTGATGGGACCTCTTGCTCACACATCTCGAATGCATTTTGCCAGGCTCTCCGAGTGTGTAAAAGTCTTGGAAAATAACATGAAATTGCCTTGACTGCACTCATAAAATGGCTGGATGTAAATGCCCTTTAAAAATAAAAAAAAAACTAAAGAGCATTTTTAAGGCTTTTGCTTCACAATAGGATGAAAATGATTTGAGGTGGGAGCACAATGATGTCAGTGAAGTGTGGCTCAGCCACGCTTTTGGTAGTTAATGCAGTCAGAGACACAGAGGAAGTCAGAAAACCTATTCTAAAATTATGTCTTAATGCAAAAAGAAAAAGCAGTGATGTGTAAATAGATACTGAGTTGTGTATTCTATTATGCAGTTGAAGGAAATTGAGATCAGGACTGCCATTCTAAGAAAGAGTTGACACAGATTCTCCATTGCAGTTTCTTCGAGGTGTTTAATAATCTGAGGTTGAATACAAAGACACCTGACTTTCCCGTGCCTTGATTTACCTATCTCTGAAGCAGAGAAGACACAGTTTGGCCACTCCATGATACTCTTGTGTGTAGTGTTTACCTTTCTCAGGCATGAGAAGGGTGCAATTACAAGATGGTTCTCAGAGATGTGTGGGGTATTTTTATCATACTTGTTTAAGAAAGGAAAAATGTTATCCCTCATTCCAAGAATATGAAATTCAATTTTAAAGCAAGGTCACAACTTTAAAAAAAAATTATTATGTTCCTTCTATGTGCCAGAATTTGTGCTAGGAGCTCAGAAGGCAGAGAACATTCTCTGTCCTTAAGGAACCTCAAGGAGACAGACATATAAACCAGCAATTACACTAAGTATCGTAGATATAGGTGGCAGTAGTAGTACATGTTTCCAGAGTGTGAACATAAACATGGGATACCGGATCAATATGATTTGTGTGAGGTTGAAGCTATCAATATGAAAATGAGTCCCAAGTAGATGCCAGAAAATGCTTACCTAACAAAGCTGTTCCCACCTCTCCCAGTGAAAACAGAAGTCAGCCCACAATGTCTCTAAAATTCCCACTATCCAGCATTCTTAAAAGCCCTCCTAAAGAGGGTAGGATAGGAGATGCGAGTTGTACATGGAATTCAATAATTATTAGATGTTAAATATTACTGAGACTGCCATTGCCGGCCAAGATAAAGTCAGCCCTCTATAGTCTGTCTCTCTCACAGATTACAGCTAAAAATGAATACAGAAAGCAACTATTTAAGGACTCTGAAAAGTAAACACCAGAAGATAGTTTGAAAGTCAAAATTTGAAGAAAAACCAGTATTAGGATGAGAATCCTGAGTTATTTTTGCTTTTGTATCTCACTGCTTTGAAATGAAAATGGCCCTAATTATGGAACTGAGCAGTAGGAGCAGACATCAAAACTCAGAGAAATCTCCTTTGTTGAACCAAACAGATACAGAGACTTCTGTAAGCTGAAAAGTGTAGAATATATTCCAAGGCTTTTTTTTTTTCTGTTTTTCCCCTCTTTTTTCCTCCTATCTCTAAGCGAGGAGTGGCCACAGTCTAGAGCTTCTCTGCAGCAGTTGTGGCATGAGCACCTAAAACACTGAGAAAGCAAACAAACAAACCACTGTCTCTCTGGTCAGAGGATCTTCAAAAGAGTTCCCTATCATCCCAAGTGGATGGGGGAAAATTTTTGTTTTCGTTCTCTTTGTCTCTCCAGTTGTGTGGAACTGCATAACAGGGTGGTCATTATGGAAAATCAATATTCTCTAGAGGATTTTAACAGGACTCAGAGTCTCACAACATAATATCAGATTGTCTAAAATACAATCTGAAACTACTTAGCATACAAAGAACCAGCAAAATGTGACCAGTAGTCAAGGGAAAAACCACTAACAGGTGCCAACCCACTCCAAAACAGCAAAACACATTCTTTTCAAGTACCTATAGAGGACACATTCTGAACCATTAAATAAACCTTAACAATTTTAAAATAATTGAAATCATACCAAAAATGTTGACAATAATATGTATGACCATAAATGGTTAAAGAAAAAAATAAAAAATCAAGGATATCTAGAAAATACCTAAACATTTGGAAGTTAAACAACACGATGTAACTGTGTTAAACAACACAGTTCTAAATAACCCATTGGTCAAGCAAGTTTCAAGGGCAATAATAAAATATTTTAAAATAATTAATAATAAAAATACAATTTATAAAAAACTGTGGAAGTGCTTAGAGAGAAGAAAATTATAGCACTAAATGCTCATATTAGAACAGAAAGTCTCAAATCAATAACTTAAGCTTCCACAGTGAGACATTAGAAAAAAAGAACAAACAGCTGAGCACGGTGGTTCACCCCTGTAATCCCAGAACTTTGGGAGGCCGAGGCGGGTGGATCACCTGAGGTCAGGAGTTTGAGACCAGCCAGGCCAACATGGTGAAACCCCTTCTCTACTAAAAATACAAAAAATTAGCTGGGTGTGATGGCAGGCGCCTGTAATCCCAGCTACTCGGGAGGCTGAGGCAGAAGAATCTATTGAACCCGGGAGGCGGAGATTGCAGTGAGCCAAGATTGTGCTATTGCACTCCAGCCTAGACTAAGAATGAAACTCCATAAAACAAACAAACAAACAACAACAAAAAAAAAAAAACAAAGAAAAAAAGAACAAACTAAACCCAAAGCAAGCAGAGAAAATGAATTAACAAAAATAAAAACAAAAGTCAATGAAAATGAAAGCAGAAAAACAGTAGACAAAGCCAATGAAATATCAATAAAATGCATAAATCTCTAGCTATACTAAGCAAGAAGGAGAGAGAGAGAGAAGACAAAAGCTATCAATATCAGGAATGGAAGAGTGGATATCACTATAGAAAAACAAATGACTGTATTACCACAAATTTGTGTTTAAATCAGGGTTAAATCAGGGTTAAATCAAGAATTAAATGGACTAATTCCTTGAAACATACAAACTACCAAAGCTTGGTGAGGAAATTAGATAACTTGATTTGTCTCATATCTATTAGAGAAATTGAATTTGTAGTTAAAATACTTCAAAAAAGAAAACTCCACATCCAGATGGTTTTACTGAGTAATTCTCCCAAACATTTAAGGAAGAAGTAACAAATCTATATAATCTTTTCTCAAAAATAGAAAAGAAGGAAATACTTTACAACCCATTTTATTAGGCTAGAATTAGACCAGCATTAAAACCAGACCAATATCCCTTATGAACATAGGTGAAATAATTCTGAACAAAATTTTAGTGAATCTATTCCAGCAATATTTACAAAGGATAATGTACCATGACTAAGCAGGATTTGTCTTGGGAATGTAAGGCTGGTTCAACATTTGAAAGTCAATCAATATAATTAACTATATTAATAGGTTAAGAAGGAAAACCATGATTGCTTCAATAGATACAGAAAACACATTTGAAATTTTCAATATCTATTCATTATACAAATTCTCAGCAAACTAATAATGGAAGGAAATTTTTTTTAAACTGATAAAGGGCATGTAGAAAAAACTGTATAGTTGATTTCACACTTAATGGAAAAAGACTGCATTCCCCTAAAATAGGAAACAAGAGAAAGACTTTTGTCCTTACCACTTTTTTACAGCATTGTTCTGGAAGGCCTAGCCAGTGCAGTAAGGCCAGAAAAAGAAATAAAAGGCATTATGTAGAGAATTCCAAGGAATCTCTAAGAAAGCTCTAGAGCTCATGATCATAATTGACTAACAAGATCAATATATAAAAATTAATTTTGGCCAGGCATGGTGGCTCACACCTATAATCCCATCATTTTGAGAGGCTGAGGCAGGCAGATCACTTGAGGTCAGGAGTTCGAGACCAGTCAGGCTAACATTGTGAAACCCCATCTCTACTAAAAATAGAAAAACTTAGCCAGGCGTGCTGGCACGCACCTGTAATCCCAGATACTCGGGAGGCTGAGGCACGAGAATCACTTGAACCCAGGAAGCAGAGGTTGCAGTGACCCAAGATCATGCCACTGCACTCCAGCCTGGGCAACAGAGCAAGACTCCATCTCAAAAAAAAAAAAAAAAAAAAACGAATGTATTTCTATATACTACCAATAAATAATTTATATTGAAATCTTACATTATGCCATTTATAATAGTGCCATAAAATAAAATATTAAGAGTAAATTTAATATCAGCAGGATCTATATGTTATAAACCCTGATTTAAAAAAAAAATCCCAAAGAAAGGCCAAATAAATGGGAAGATATACTGTGTTTATGGGATATTCACAAGATGTCAATTCTCCCCAAATTTATCTATAGGTTCAATGCAATTATAATCAAAATCTCCACAAAATTATTTATATACATTGGCAAGCTGATTCTAAAGTATATAGGGTAAAGCAAAAGAATGAGAATAGCAAAAGAAATTTGAAAAAGAGCAAAGTTGGAAAACTCATACCACTTTATTTCAAGTTAGTGTAATCAAGCGTGATATTGGCAAAAGGATGAAAACCTAAGTCAATCAAATAAAATAAAGCCCAGAAATAGACCTATATAAATATGGTCAACTGAATTTCTAAAAACATACAAAAGGTAATTCAGCGGAGAAAGGATAGTCTTTTTAACAAAATTAACTCAAAATGAATCATAGAGCTAAGTATAAAATGTAAAACTATAAACTTTTAAAGGAAAATATAGGAGAAAATTATTACATCCCTAAATTAGGCAAAAATTCTTATATTAATAACACCAAAACAATACTTTCAAGGAAAAAAATTGGTAAATTAGAATTCATTAAAAATTAAGAATTTGCTTTGCAAATGACATCGTCAAAATAATGCAAAGAAAAGCCACAAACTAGGAAAAAACCATCTGTGAATTACATATATGACAAAAGACTTGTATCCAGAATATAAAAAGATCTCAAAAATGCAACAATAAAAACACAAGGAAATTTTTAAAAGAATCAAAATTTTGACCTTTTTCGCAACGGGTTTGCCGCCAGAACACAGGTGTCGTGAAAACTACCCCTAAAAGCCAAAATGGGAAAGGAAAAGACTCATATCAACATTGTCGTCATTGGACACGTAGATTCAGGCAAGTCCACCACTACTGGCCATCTGATCTATAAATGCGGTGGCATCGACAAAAGAACCATTGAAAAATTTGAGAAGGAGGCTGCTGAGATGGGAAAGGGCTCCTTCAAGTATGCCTGGGTCTTGGATAAACTGAAAGCTGAGCGTGAACGTGGTATCACCATTGATATCTCCTTGTGGAAATTTGAGACCAGCAAGTACTATGTGACTATCATTGATGCCCCAGGACACAGGGACTTCATCAAAAACATGATTACAGGGACATCTCAGGCTGACTGTGCTGTCCTGATTGTTGCTGCTGGTGTTGGTGAATTTGAAGCTGGTATCTCCAAGAATGGGCAGACCCGAGAGCATGCCCTTCTGGCTTACACACTGGGTGTGAAACAACTAATTGTCGGTGTTAACAAAATGGATTCCACTGAGCCACCCTACAGCCAGAAGAGATATGAGGAAATTGTTAAGGAATCAGCACTTACATTAAGAAAATTGGCTACAACCCCGACACAGTAGCATTTGTGCCAATTTCTGGTTGGAATGGTGACAACATGCTGGAGCCAAGTGCTAACATGCCTTGGTTCAAGGGATGGAAAGTCACCCGTAAGGATGGCAATGCCAGTGGAACCACGCTGCTTGAGGCTCTGGACTGCATCCTACCACCAACTCATCCAACTGACAAGCCCTTGCGCCTGCCTCTCCAGGATGTCTACAAAATTGGTGGTATTGGTACTGTTCCTGTTGGCCGAGTGGAGACTGGTGTTCTCAAACCCGGTATGGTGGTCACCTTTGCTCCAGTCAACGTTACAACGGAAGTAAAATCTGTCGAAATGCACCATGAAGCTTTGAGTGAAGCTCTTCCTGGGGACAATGTGGGCTTCAATGTCAAGAATGTGTCTGTCAAGGATGTTCGTCGTGGCAACGTCGCTGGTGACAGCAAAAATGACCCACCAATGGAAGCAGCGGGCTTCACTGCTCAGGTGATTATCCTGAACCATCCAGGCCAAATAAGCACCGGCTATGCCCCTGTATTGGATTGCCACACGGCTCACATTGCATGCAAGTTTGCTGAGCTGAAGGAAAAGATTGATCGCCGTTCTGGTAAAAAGCTGGAAGATGGCCCTAAATTCTTGAAGTCTGGTGATGCTGCCATTGTTGATATGGTTCCTGGCAAGCCCATGTGTGTTGAGAGCTTCTCAGACTATCCACCTTTGGGTCGCTTTGCTGTTCGTGATATGAGACAGACAGTTGCGGTGGGTGTCATCAAAGCAGTGGACAAGAAGGCTGCTGGAGCTGGCAAGGTCACCAAGTCTGCCCAGAAAGCTCAGAAGGCTAAATGAATATTATCCCTAATACCTGCCACCCCACTCTTAATCAGTGGTGGAAGAATGGTCTCAGAACTGTTTGTTTCAATTGGCCATTTAAGTTTAGTAGTAAAAGACTGGTTAATGATAACAATGCATCGTAAAACCTTCAGAAGGAAAGGAGAATGTTTTGTGGACCACTTTGGTTTTCTTTTTTGCGTGTGGCAGTTTTAAGTTATTAGTTTTTAAAATCAGTACTTTTTAATGGAAACAACTGGACCAAAAATTTGTCACAGAATTTTGAGACCCATTAAAAAAGTTAAATGAGAAAAAAAAAAAAAGAATCAAAATTTTGAACAGACACTTCAACTAAAATACATATGTATGGCAAGTAAGCACATGAAAAGACAGTCAACATCAATAGACATCAGGGAAATACAAACTGAAACCACTACCTGCCAATTAGGAAGGCTAAAGTTTAAACACAATATGACAGTACAATGTATTAGTGAGGATTCAGGCCACTGAAATATTTGAACAACAGTTTGGTAGTTTCTTATAAGAAACTTAAATACACACTGACGATCTGATCCAGCAATCTCATTTTAAGGTACTTATCCAAAAAAATGAAAACTTATGTTCATATAAAACCATTATGCAAATGTAATATGGCAGCTTTATCCATAATCACCCAAAGCTGGAAACAACTTAAATGTCCTTTAGTGAATGGATACACAATGAATAAGAAAAATTCAGCCATAAAGAGGAACAAACTATTGATACATGCAACATGGAAGATTCTCAAATTCATTATGCTAAATTTAAGAAGCTAGGCTCAAAAAGCTACATATGGTAATCCGTTTCGCTACCCTGGAAAAGGCAAAACTACAGGAAAGAAGAACAAATCAGTGGTTGCCAACAGTTTGGAGTGAGAGAAGTTGCCCCAAATGGGGGGCAGTTAGAAGGAACACTTTGGGTCATGAAACTTGATTGGGGGCCAGGTGTGGTGGCTCACGCCTGTAATTCCAGCACTTTGGGAGGCTGAGGCAGGCAGATCACGAGGTCAGGAGATCGAGACCATCCTGGCTAACACGGTGAAACCCCGTCTCTACTAAAAATACAAAAAATTAGCCGGGCGTGGTGGCAGGCACCTGTAGTCCCAGCTACTGGGGAGGCTGAGGCAGGAGAATGGCGTGAACCCAGGAGGCGGAGCTTGCAGTGAGCCGAGGTTGTGCCCCTGCACTCCAGCCTGGGTGACAAATCGAGACTCCATCTCCAAAAAAAAAAACCAAAACTTGATTGGGATCCAAAATCATACAACTATACACTAAAATCGGTGAATATTACCTTATGTAAATTAAAAATTAGGAAATCAAAAGAAAAGCATACATATAAAAAATAGTTTTTTCTAAGCATTTCTCATTTGTAAGGTGTTTTAATTATGTTGTATGTTGTCTCATTTCACCCCCATAACAAATCTATGAAAGAGGTACTTTTATCCCCATGTTAACGTGAATAAACCCAGGTTTGGAAAAGTCGAGAAACATACTTACTGTCATATAGTTAACAAGTGACCGAGCAGGGATGTGAAGCCGGATTCCTGACTCCAAGTTCTGAGTTCTTCCTCCTGCACAGTGGTCAATTGGCTAGATCCACATAAGCAGCATGCACAAACTCACCACTCACACATACATACCCACAGACACACACCACACAGGATGGGATACATCTCACAATCACATATATGGAATGAGTGATATGCATATATAAAATTGCATTATTTTTATATTATTCTTATTTTATATAAATCCTACCACGAGGCATAGTCTGTCTCATTCATTCATTCATTTATCCATCCCTTCATTTATTCCCTCATTTCCTCAGGAAATAGCTTCCTTTGTGGCAGGTGCTATTCCAGACTCTGGAGATACTACAGTAAACAAAACAGAATAAACTCAAAAACTCTAAAATGCAACAATAAAAAACAAGGAAATTTCAAAAAGGATCAAAGTTTTGAACAGACCTTTCAACCGAAATATATATGTAGTTAATACACACAAAAAAACAAGTAAATAACAAGTGGGATATTTGGTAGTGACAAGTGCTATGAAGAAACACTAAAGCAAAGTAAGAAGAGTGAGTAAGAGGAGGAACTGTTTTAGAGACAGTGACTGGGGAGGCCTCTCTGCGAAGGGGAATTGAAGCAGAGAATGGGTGGAAGAGAGGCAGGGAGTATTGGGAAGGTCTGGCAGAAGGTTTTTCCAGGACACAGGAATAACCAGGAGAAGCCCCTGAGGTAGGAGTCGCTTGGCACGTTTGAGGTACAGCCAGTGGGCTGCTCGGCTTGGGTGAGCTTGCAGGGCTGAGAGTGGGAGGAAGCCAGGGAAGCTGTAGAACTTTCCTACTTACAGTGCGTACTTGTAGCTGTTCTTCAGTTCTCCAGTGTAAGTGTATCTCCCTGGTTAGTTGCAAATTATTTACAGGACCATGCTTTCTATTTTTTAAATGAATCTCAGTCTGTACCTGGCACTTCACGGGGCATGGAGCTAATGCCAAATAAAAACGTGATGGTTGATGAGTGCTGTTCATACACATTTCCCAGTGGTTCCACCCCTGGAAGGCAGCTATGTGATCAATAAATAGGATGCTAGGAGAGTGGGAATTTCCAGCAGTGCTTCATACTGTCACCTTTGAGACCTATAGAGAGTTCTGCTGAGGGCAAGGTTTTGTGGTATAGGAGGTCATCCTGATGAGGGTTTTTTGTTTTTTTTTTAAAATGGTGGCTTTTAGCGTAAATTGGCAGGGATTGATCAGGTGTTTCCTCTGGGCTAATGCTCCTTGGGGATCATGGGATGTGGTCTGCACACTCATCTGAGAAGGTCCAGTAATGGCAAAGCAGTCACCAGGGGACCCATGTCCTCAGAGGACCTGGCTCCTCAGAGAAACTGCAGGTTCACTGGGGGAGATTATCAGGACTTTAGACCTCAGGATGAAGAGCCACACTCCAGGAGGGGCTGTGGATAGTTACTATGGTGCCCCAGAAAGGTGTCAGGGTAGTGCATGGGGAAAGCCCCCCAGGGTCCTGGCCAGCTTAGAGGCAATGGGGAGGAGCATGCTGGGCAGACTGTGCGGGGTCCATTCATGATCAGCCTAGCTCCTGAGGAGATTTGCGTGGCACAGGTGTGAGGATAAGAGCAAAGATTCCAGTAAGGAACAAAGAGACAGTGAATCTCTAGGAAGCCTGGACTTTTGATTTAGCCAGACTTGGGTTTGCAGCCTGGCTCCTGCCCAGGGTAGAGTAAGCTTCTGTCACCACCACCGCCATTACAGGGGAATCCTAGCAAATCCATGAGAGCCAGAAGCTAGACACAATGCCTGGTGGTTAGTGCTCACCATATACTTGTCCTTGGATAGCCAATATCAAGTTAAATTTGCCAGAATTGTCACTCTGGGCCAGAAAGAGCTGTGTCCTGGCAATGGTGGCAGGGAGTCACCAGCAGGATCGGGTAGGACCCATGGTCACCACAGTGGCTAGTGCTGTGAGGAGGATGGAGATGCGGGAGAGTTTGCTCCCATAGATGAGCACCATGGTCGGGCCACTGAGACAGAGACCAGCGCACTGAGGGCTGGGCCTGGCAGTGGCCCCTTTGCACAGGCAGAAGAGCCTCCTGGAAGAGGACTCAGTCTGGGCCCACTATGGGGGCTGACTGCTTGTAAGGAACAGAATAGACCACCAGGGGAGAACACCTCCCACATGAGGTAGTGCCAGAGCAAGACGCTGGACCTGACAACAAAGTCTTCAGTGGTGAAGACAGCAGAGACTCCAAGCTCCCTGTGAAGGAAGTGACTCATCCCGTCCCTAGCCCAGCTCCTTTCCTAAGGAGGAAAAAGGTGAGAATTCCAAAAAGAAAAACTCTGTCAGTAAATTCTAACATGCGAGGTCTCAAGGAGCCCTACTCGGCCCCCGTCCGACAGCCAGTAACACAAAAAGCTGTCTGCTCAGAGACCACACCACAGTCTGTTCTTAGGACAGAAGAGCAGATGGGTGGCACACAGTCCATAACCACCAACATGGAGTTGCTGTTCCAGGTGGAGCCAGGGCCTCACTCCTGCACCCCGTGGAGCTGTGACAGCTGGTGGCGGGCATTCTGGTGACAAGTGAGCCATGAGCAGGCTTGTGTGGCACAGAGAGCGGACTCATTCTTACATACCCATGAGACACCCTCTGGAGAGTCCCAGAAATACTGGCCTGGAGCTTACAGGTGGAGGATGTGTGAAGGTCTGCAGGTGCAAATGAGGCCAAGCAATCAGTGAGATTTAAATTGGTCCTGTTAACCTGACCTCATTTGTATCCTCAGTATGGAGGCGCTTTGGGAAGATAAGGCAAGAATAGTGATGATCAGTAATAGCATCTATTTGTTGAGCACCTATTGCAGGCAGGCACTAGGCTTAATACTCTAAACATATTTTTTTTACTCTTTATCCCAACCCTGAAATAAGGACATTTGAGACAGAAGGAAACTGAGGCTGAGCATTCATGTAAAGGTTGCGGCAGCATCTGGGAGAGGTGTGGGAAAGCACAGGAACAGGACCCAAATGTTCACAGCAGAAGCAGTCCCTAGCAGGAGCCCTTCTCTGGCATGCTCGCTGCTCCTTCTGGACTCAGCAGGAGTCTCCAGACTCCAGGAAGGACATGGGGCAAAGCTCTGCTTTTTGACCTGGGCATCTCCTTTTGAGGGAGTGGTGAGTTAGCCAAATGGGGCATGGAAATGACTGTGAAAATGGAATGGCAGCTGAAAGAAGGTCATGATCCAGGAAAGGGCATGAGGAGGGCAAACTGCAAAAGCCTGAGGCACTGCAGGGATGGGAATGTTGAATGGTATAATGGCACATCAGGGTTTCCATGACTTTGATGCAAGGGGAAAGCGATTTTCACCTCAGACTCAAACTGGAAGTTTTTCTCCCTACCAAAAGGCAGGATGCCAGAGAAACAGACCTTTTCCCTCCTGGGTAAGAGTTTGGTGTTTCTCCAGTGCTCCACTCTGACCTAGCAGGGAGCTAGCAGAGACCATCCCACAGTCACCTCATCCAGCAGAGGATTTTCCACATGTGCCATGGGCTCTGTTCCTCAGCGACTTCAATAACAGAGGTTCAGCATCTGGGGGGTGCCAGGCTAAAGGAAGTCAATCAAGCTTCTTGTTTTGTGTTTCATTTTGCTTTTACCCTAGCGTTTTCCAGAGCCTTTAACATGCTAAAACGAATTGTCACTCACCAGAAGTGGAGATGCAGCCAGTCCTGAATTTATCTGAAAAGTGAAAATCTTTATTTGGAAAATGCTTATTAACATCTTAGTGAATTGGCGTTCTGGGGAAGATGATTTAGGAAAATCTGCTCAATGCATGTCACTGCCTGCTTCATGATTGCTTACTGCTTAATTTGATGCAACTTTTTTTTTTGTAACCAAAAGTCAAATAATAACCCAGGTTTACCATTTGCAAAGCTTCTCCCTACTCCCAACACACACACCTTCCTCCTTCTTCCTCTTCTCCCTTTCCCTCTCCCTCTCCTTTTCCTGCCCTTTACTGTACAAGAATGCCTTGAATAAAGAAAACCTATAAAACAGAAATATAAATTTGGAAGTGATTATTTAATTGGCCTTTGATTTCATGACAGGCAAAAATAAGTTGGCCCTCATATATATATTGCAAAAAATGATACTTTAAATACTAAAGGATTTAAAGGATACTTGGTAAATATTTGTTGGCTTAATTCATGAAACGTGGATGTTATGTGAAAATACATTATCTGTATCCCAGAAATAAAAAAAAAATATATCCTTTTTCTGGCCTAGAGCATAATACTTCGGCCCTGGGGACCCCGCTCACCTGCTATTCTATGTATATGGTGCCCCCTGCAGCAGCCCTGGGCTCATTACAAGTAACACTGATTCTTAGGTGTTTTATGCCTTTTTACCAATCTCTTTAGAGGAAGCAGATGAACATTTAGAATTTTAACAGGGAATGTTTACCTGAGGGCAGAAGCTAGATGAAAAGATCAGCTGGCACCCAGAACACATATTTTTCCTGACAATCCAGCCAAATGTGAATCCAGGGACTTGGTGTAATTCATCAGAACAAAGCAACACTGCAGGCAGGTTGTGTGGTACCCACTTGCCTTTGTAATACCGCCATGCTCAATTCCAAACACAGTCTATCAACTCATCAGAGCCCGACTGGTGAGAAAGCCAAGGCTGGCGGCAGGTTTGGTGCCACCTCTTGGTGCCAGAGCCACCTGCACACAGCATGGAGCAAGGGAATAGCCAGGGTGCCCTGGAGCCAGTTCCTTCCAGAAGCCAGCAGCCCTAGGGCTCCTCTATCCCACTCCCAGCAAGAAGAAGCTGCCATGAATATGAAGGTAGGAAGAGGAAGCTCAGACCAGGGCAAGGCTTGGGCTGTGTCTTAATTCTTCTCTGGTCCCCAGGGCCCAACACAGTTGTCTGGTTAATACTGCATTAAATGCAGCGAATTGATTCTAGCCCCAGTTCCACTAAGAAATTCCTGAGTGCTCTCAGAAAGTTACTTCTCTTGGAGCCTGCAGCACAACAAACCACTCAGAACTTGGTGCTATAAAACAACAGCAAGCATTTGTCATTATTATCTTTCACTTCTTTAGGGGTTGATGGGGCTCAGCTAGGCAGTTTTTGGTCCTCATGCAGTGACAATCAGACAATGGCTGGGGCTAGAGTTCCCTTGAAGGCCTTTCCATTCATACTCTCTGGTGCCTGACTTGGGAAGACCTAAATAGCCGGCGGCTGGAACAGCCGGGGCTCCTCAGGCACCTCTGTCTGTTACAGTGTGCTCCCTCCATGTGGACTCTCTGTCAGGGTAGTTAGACTTCTTACATGAAGTCACCTGTACCCGGAGACAGGCTGGTGGAAGTCAATAACCCATTGTGATCCAGCTTCACAAGTCAAGCAGTGTCACTTCCACCATATTATATGCACGGAGACAGTCAAAAGTGCTGCCCATGTTCCAGGGCAGGAGATAGGTCTCTCTTCTTGATGGGAAGAATGTTAAAGAATTTACAGACTTGCTTTGAAACAGAGCCTTAATTTCTCCATATCCTCTAAATGAGGATAATGATACCTTCTTTTTTCCCTAAGGTATAACCCCTTCATAACCTTCTATTATAAGTGTTCGGTATGCTGATATTTCTTTCTCCATGCCAGAACGTACTTTCAGAAGAAGCTGAAATATTCTTTATAGTAGGATGTAAATAACTGATAAGGCTTAATATGGCACCATTGCCAGGAACTTTAGTCTTTTCATAGATCGCAACATATTTAAAGCCAATGGAATATATCACAGCATTTTGAACATCACTGAACAGTACTCAGGCAGAGATCTGTGAGCTTGGAAATGAAGCACCTACTCTTACAACCTACCTGAAAAGATGTTTACTGTTGCCTGTCTTGGTGAAAGAGCAATAAGGGACTTTGAGTTTGGGAGAAAGAATTCAGAAGAATAGTTAAAACCTCCAGTCCCAAGAACAGACCTCCTCTCTACCCCCAACCACTTTTAAACGCAGACACTAGGGACAAACTGACCACATACTTTGAAGATTACAGTAGACCTTGAACTAGTAAAGAGAATGTATCATATGAGGTTAATAGAATCAGAAATTTTGGCGAGTGAAGCCTTATCATGTCTGTCTTAAAACAATCATTTGGACCAAATATTTCTTCTTGAACTTAGGTAATTTTTGCAGTCGTTTCAAATAAAAGTCTGACCATTCTTCTTTCGTAAGAGGCAGACTTGGAAATAGTGTTGATCATTACTTAAATTGCTGTCCCCTCAGGAGTTAGATTTCCAAAGGAAAAAATATAATTCTTGTCATTCACTTAAAATTTACTGTCTATTTCTCATTGTGATTATCTTTAATAGTATGATATTTTTTATTTTATCTCTCACACCATAGTATTTCATTTACTTTTAAAGTGGTCGTCTCATCAGGTTCTAAGATCAGGTTGCTTATTTGTCAGGCAAAAATACTCATGGATTCTAAATTATATTTTCTCCACAGCATGTTATTATGAAGTCACCAGTTTAGTATTTGACCTCAAATGACACTGAGGTCCATTATGTTAATATGCGCTCTCACTATAGTTTAAGTTTATTACAGAATATTCTGAAAGATCTAAATTTATTTGTAACTCGTGGGCAAACTCCCATTTTAAATCCTCTAGTTGTTTAGAGTCACAGCAAAACTAGCAACTTGCCTTTCAACATTTGCAATAGCATAATGTGGCTTTCCACAAGCCACACTTGTTTTTAAAAGTATGTGCTAAAGAGGCTGACTCAGCATTCTGAGATGCTCTGGCATTGTATTACCCGCCCCCCCCACAAAAATTTTTTTTCTTTATCTCATACCTCAAATTACAGGTTATTTGTATGCAAAAACTGCAGCTAGTTCATCTGTGATACTAACTGCTGGCGACTCAATAAAAGCTTTTTAGTAACATGTTTTTCTTAATCGAATATTGTGTTGCTTTTATAATATCTACAAACTAATTGATAAATCTCACACTTTTAATCATTTCACTTTGGAACATACTCTATTTATTCTCCACACTAAAATATTGGGCAAAAAAAACTTTTATAAGAAGTGCAGAAATAAAATTGCCAAAGTCTAATTATAAAACAAAAATATTTGGGGTTTGATTTTAAATGTTTTAATTAGAAAAGGAAAAGCAGTTTTAAGTGCAGCTTGCTATATAGCCATATTCATATCAATATATATTATTATGTTAACACAATAATAACTCTTTGCCCTTTTCATATGGAAAATATATTGTGAAAAAGAGAATGACCTTTGTTCTACCAAATGTTAAACAATAAAAGCATATCGTTTTGTCTGACCATTTAAGACCCATGATCACTTTTAAAACTCAACAATGCTTGGTTAAATAGTCTTAATTCTTTGTAGTCTGTGCTACACATACAAAGATTACACAGATTTCTTTTCTAAAACTTTAAAATTATTTTCTAGTTTCACTAGAAACAACAGGTGTAAGATTCTATTTCCACCACAAGGTGTCAGTCCACGGTAATTTAATCTTCAAAGGGCTTTAAACTAATCCATGGAAAGTCAGTGACTACAGAAAATGCTTATATTAAAACATGAACAGTCTTCGGTGCCCTAGCTGTGAATAAAAAACAATCATGGAAAATGTGGTTGCGCGTTTATTTTCCTTTGTGTTTTCTACTCAGCTTAGTCCTGAGAATGTTGTATACCAAATCCCCAGAATTTTGCAATTCATGTCTCAGACCCTATCTCGAGGCTGGTTCCAACGGAGAGAAGTAAATCCCCTGCTCAAGTTGTCTTTTTCTAAAACCTTGGAATATTAACAGTTAACTTTACTTTAGGTTTGGAATACTTCATTGAGCTAGGATATGGGAAGCTGCACTTAAAAGCTGAGGCAAGGAAGGGAGGGACGGAGTAAACATGGGGTTTAAGGGTTTTTTTTTTCGGCTGGGGAGCAGGGTTTGTGCGATTAAAGGTACACAATTTGAACAATTCAGGGAGCAAGTCACTCTCAGAAATTCAGCTTCGGATTCCTCAAACTGTCAATCACAGCCACTTCAGGACCGGCTGTTAGGTTTTAAATAAGGTGGCTGGGCGCGGTGGCTCACGCCTGTAATCTCAGCACTTTGGGAGGCCGAGGCGGGTGGATCACGAGGTCAGGAGTTCAGGACCAGCCTGGCCAAGATGGTGAAACCCCCGTCTCTACTAAAAATACAAAAATTAGCCGGGCACAGTGGCAGGCGCCTGTAATCCCAGCTACTCGGGAGGCTGAGGCAGGAGAATCGCTTGAACCCGGGGCCGGAGGTTGCAGTTAGCCAAGATCGCGCCACCGCACTCCAGCCTGGGCAACAGACTGAGACTCCGTCTCAAAAAAAAATAAAATAAAATAAAAATAAATAAGCTAACGTGTGGGAGGGTTTGTAAGCTCTAAACGGTCTATCTCAAAGTGTGATCTGGGAATGCTTCCATATCTCATGGGAACTTGTTAGAAATGAGAATCTCAGACCTCATCCCAGACATACTGAACCGGAAACTGTGGGTGGACAGCCCAACAATCGGTGTTTTAATATGCCCCCGGGTAATCTTATACACGCTGAAGTCTGAGAACCACTGCTCTAGAGAAATGCACAAACGTTCCTTAGTGGAGATTAAACAAAAGGCGAGGGGTTGGAGGGCGCGAAACGGACCTCAAGGGCAGGGCAGACGGCATTTGAGAGGAAACTGGGAGAGGCCGGAGTGCGACTTGGGGAGTCTTAGCCTCCAAGGACGTTCCCGAACCCTGCGGACGCGGGGCGCCAGCAGGTGGCGCTGGACGCGCAACTGACAAGGAGGCGGGGCCTGCAGCAGGCTTGGAGGCTTCGCGCTCTGGAGGCTCAGGCGCCGCGTGGGGCCGGCACCTCCCGGCAGCAGCGGCAGCTGAGACTCACGGTCAAGCTACGGCGAGGAGTGGGTGAGTCCCTTGAATCGTTCTCACTGGCCGTTTGCTCCTCGAGTCCGCCTGCGTGTCCCTGCAAGGCTGGGCGCCCGCTCCCAGTCTTGGGAGGGGTGTAGCGGGTCGCAAGCCTTCTCGTGACCTGGACGGCGGCCCTCCTGGGCGAGCGGTGCTCAATTCTTCGCTTATGCGCGGCTCTGGGGCGCCCTGTCTTCCAGCCCAGCTGGGTTGTGGCCGGGCCGGGGGCTGGGGGGAGCCAGGGACTCAGAGGAAGCCTTTTCGCTAGGGGCTTAAGGTTGTGGTAGATTATTAAGTTTGTGCTCAGGTTGGATTTTGATGGCAAGTTTTTTAACGTGGCAAAGTCGCCAGAGTTTGCTGTGCATTGACGAATGACTGGTGCACAGTACTTAAAATCGTGCTACTTCTCGTCTTCGGGTTTCCTGGTAACAGAGGTTTTCATTTTCAGTCCTTAGAACACTGGCCCTACTCTTTCAGGATCTGGGTGGGGTTCAGGTTCCCTCCAAAATAGTCAATCAAGGCTTTAAATATGTAATTCTGGTCAAATCCACTGGAAGGAGTTTGTAGACATAAATTTTTTGTACACTTCCAAATTTCTTACTTTGTTACTTTTGTAAAATACATTTCCCTCCACATCCTGACGTGTAATAAAAGGTTATTCATTTAACATGAATGTTAAGCACAGAGGGAAAGCAATGCTTAAAAAGAAAAACAGCACAGTGAAAAAAAAACCCAAAAAACTCGACTTCACTTAGTTAAATGTAAAACAAGTGTGCACTTGAAAGTATAAAAGGTTGGAAATGCAGTGCAACCCACAATGTATTCCAGGCATTGGGTTTCTTCATATTCTCAACTGCGGGACATAAACATGAGTCAGTTGGGCTGTGCCAACATTTAGGAACACCAGGGCAGCCATCTTGGTACAGCAAAACAGCAGTCGCATTAGAAATGTGCTCCACTTTTTTAAAAGCGGGTGAAAGAGAACTTTGGGTCGAATTCTGGGGTTCCTAACATTTTAACACTAGGTTGTTTTCTGTTATTTTTCTTTTTATGAAAAGATTTTACTGTAGAACTTAAATTACATTTTGGTTAATGTCTGATGAAAACCAACAAATTTATTTGACTCATAGTTTATTTTCCTGGCTTATGGGCATAGAGTTGAGTGTGGGCCACACAGTCAACAAGCTTCCTCACTGTCATGGGCTTTTCCTTGGCTTCGCTCTTGAGTGTGGTCTCCTTACCATGCAGACAAATGGCTGGGTAACTCTCCAGGGCCACTCTGGTTTTCCACCCAGACTCTTTGTAGTGGCAATCAGTCAGCAAACACTGCCAACCTGCTAGCTACCCCAGGACTGGGTCTAGAAGACAGCGCTGAGCCTTTTCCTCTACTTCCCTTCCCATGCCACCATCTGCCTATAAAACTTTATCCTCTTCTAGGATACATCGCTCTACCATGCAGTTGAAATGCCTGCCTTCTCTCCTAGACCTCAAGGTTTTTCAGAGCAGAGGCTTTATCTCATTTAACTTTGCATTCCTCCTGCCTTACATTGTTGTTCACAATATAGTTACTGAATTCATACTGAATAAATGTGGGTGGATTTGTTAGCATCCTTACCATCCTGCACCTCTCAAAGTTAAAAGATCTTCTAAACATAGTGGATTATTTCTTACATTTGATTATAGTAGGTGACACTTCCATTCCTAGCACCTCCCTCCCCCACCCCACAAACTATTAAGTTGGTGATATGGTTTGGAGCTGTGTCTCCCCCTCAGATCTCATGTTGAAATGTAACCCCCAGTGCGGGAGCTGGGGTCTGG
This sequence comes from Homo sapiens, assembly GCF_000001405.40. Classification (NCBI taxonomy): domain Eukaryota; kingdom Metazoa; phylum Chordata; class Mammalia; order Primates; family Hominidae; genus Homo; species Homo sapiens. Next base: position 22,498,295 of record NC_000007.14, on the reverse strand, counting down.
TGGGAGGTGATCGGACCATGGGAGCAGTTTCTCATGGTTTAACACCATCCCCCCTTGGTGCTGTTGTCACGTTAGTGCAGGGGTCCCCAACCCCCTGGCCGCAGACTGGTATCAGTCAGTGTCCTGTTAGGAACTGGGCTGCACAGCAGGAGGGGAGTGGCAGGCCAGCGAGCATTACTGCCTGAGCTCCACCTCCTGTCAGATGAACGGTGGCATTAGATTCTCCTAAGTACATGAACCCTATTGCAAACTGCACATGCAAGGGACCTAGGTTGTGTGCTCCTTATGAGAATCTAACTATTGCCTGATGATCTGAGGTGGAACAGTTTCACCTCAAAACCCTATCCCCCTTCCCCTACTTGGAAAAATTGTCTTCCACGAAACCAGTCCCTGGTGCCAAAAAGGTTGGGGACCACTGCAATAATGTAAGACGCCTGCTCCCACTTCACCTTCCACCATGACTATAAGCCCTCTGAGGCCTCCCCAGAAGCAGATGTTGCCATGCTTCCTTTACAGCCTATGGAACCATGAGCCAATTAAATCTCCTTTCTTTATAATAATTACCCAGTCTCAGGTATTTCTTTATAGCAGTGCGAGAACAGCCTAATACAGTTGGTTAAGTCACCAAATGACTTGGAATAATGCTGTTAAGGAGATAGAGTGTCATTTCCTCCAGAGCAGGCATGAGTGTCATTTCTATTTTTCCTCTTTAATGTTGGTCACAGAGTTGGGTTCATAAATACTTGATGATTGGCATATGCTTTACTCAGAATTCTTTTACATGCCAGTGGTGAACACCCAAATCACACTAACTTAAACCAAAAAAAAAGGGAATGTGTTGACTGTCTAACTGAAAAATTCAGGATCTAGTTTCAGGGACTCTAAATACTGAAATATGCCACCAGGACTCTTCTGTGTCTTTCTCTGCTCTTGTTCTGCTTCCATGTTGGCTTTCTTCTTTTCTAATGAAAACATCTTCCTTCTTAGAGCATGGAGAAAAAAGCATGGCAGGCTTATACTGTGCTATCTTAACAAAATGTTAAAGACATCTCATCTCTCTCTTCCACTTCCATATATAAATATCAGAGAATGACCATGCTTGAAGTAGGTTCTGTGCCATCGCTAAGCCAATCAATGGGAGAACAGGAAACTGATTGCCCAGGCCTGAGTCATATACCCACTTCTGTGACGAGGGAATGAGTGTTACTATTTTGCACAATCTCCCAAAATCACATTGGAGGGAGGAAGGGCATTTCTCCAAATGGAGGAAATGTTTTAAATCAGAAAAGAATGTGGGCAAACTAAAACAACAGATATCTTCATCATGAATGTTCTGTAATTTTGAAATAGATAATATCTGGAAAATATTCTAAGAGTACCTCAACAAAGTAAATGTTGGCGTATATAAAAGCATCTCGTTATCCTTTGTTATAGTTAAACCTTTAAAACTTGGAGAATGTTTTAAGAACAGTCATGTCTCTTCATGACAGGATACATTCTGAGAAATTCATTGTAAGGCGGGATTTCATTGTTGAGGAAACATCATAGAGTGTACTTACATAAACTTAGATGGTACAGCCTCCTACATACTTAGGCTAGATGGTATAGTCTCTTGCTCCTAGGCTGCTAATCTGTATAGCATGTTACCGTGCTGAATACTGTGGGCAGTTGAAACACAATAGTAAGTATTTGTGTATCTGAACATAGAAAAGGTATAGTAAACATACATATATCGTATAAAAGATAAAAAATTGTATATTTGTACAGGACGCTTGCTATGAATGGAACTTGCAGAACTGGAAGTTGTTCTGGGTGAGTCAGTGAGTGAGTAGTGAGTGAATATAAAGGCCTGGGACATTACTGTACACTACTATAGACTTTATAAACGCTGTACACTAAGGCTACCCTACATTTATTGAAAATTTTTTTTCTTTAATAATACATTAACTTTAGCTTACTGTAACTCTTTTACTTTATTAACTTATTGTTTTTACTCTTTTGTAATAACACTTAGCTTAAAACATCGTCACATTGTACAGCCATACAAAATATTTTCTTTGTTTATATACTTACTCCTTAAGCTTTTTTTCTATTTCTAATTTTTTTTCTTTTTAGACTTTTTTGTTGAAACTAAGACACAAACACACACACATTAGCCTAGGCCTACCCAGGGTCAGGATCATCAGTATCACTGTCTTCCACCTCTATATCTTGTCCCACTGGAAGGTCTTCAAGGGCAGTAACAGGCATGGAGCTGCCATCTTCTCTGATAACAATGCCTTCTTCTGGAAGACCTCCTGAAGGACCTGCCTAGGGCTGTTTACAGTTAGCTCTTTTTTTGTAAGTAGAAGGAGTACACTTCACAATAATAATAAAAAGTATAGTATTGTAAATATTAGGCAATAGGAATTTTTTTGCTCCATTATACTCTTATGGGACCACTGTTACATATGCAGTCAGTCGTTGACCAAAATGTTATGTGACACATCACTGTATTTTAAACTATTCCTGGAAACAGCTTTCCACCTAAAAAAGTACTACACGTGGTCTAAAATTCAGAAACACTTGGGATGTTTTCTGTCAATCAAATTGTTGTATATCTAATCTGTTTTTCTCATTGAATTTCATAAAGTGTAAATTAAAGATGTGTTCCTCTGGAAATAAATTCAGAACTAATAAAAACAATGAATAGTACTGTGACATATGTTTTCTTTCCCTAAAAAATGTTACACCAATCCTGGATGAGGATCTGTGAGTTTGCTAAGGAAAAGCTTCTTTTATCAAGTGATAAATTTGAAAAGTTGTTTTTCCACAGGGTTGACCAGAAGACTGGGCACATCATTAATTCAGCACAACTCACCATTCCCACTGGAAACATACTGGCAATTCACATCTTCCAAACAAGGACCAACCTCTTACTCCAAAAGAAAAATGGTACTCTGAAAATACTGTTTCAGACTCCAGTGTCAACCCCAAAATTCTGTTAAACATAAATCTTATATCAGCTACCTCCAGCCTCCATTGATGACATTATTACTCTCAATATAATGCATTCCTAATGATATTTGCCATTGAAAGGAGTTGGCTTTCCTCCAGATGGAAACCTGAAGTTAAATCTTCCTAAAGTAAAAGGCAACATGTGACCCTTTGTAATCCATACAGGCACCTGGGTTATTCATTGAACAAATAAGTGGATAAAGAAGAGCAGTTACTGTTGATAAGAGGGCATTGGTTTGAAACTTACAGATTATAATATGAAGTTAAATGTATAAATCAGTCACTATTTCAATTTTTATTGTACTTTATCTGCCATTCTAGTCTTTAAGCAAGTAAATTTTTTATATTGTTACATCAGACATTCACATCATAAGTAGAATAGACATGAAAGTAATTATTTTTATTTTTACAGGTGGCTGAAGCCATACTATTTTATAGAATTAATGGAAAGCAGAAAAGACATCACAAACCAAGAAGAAATTTGGAAAATGAAGCCTAGGAGAAATTTAGAAGACAACGATTATTTGGTAAAATATTAATAATGACAATAATAAATAATAATTTACATCTTTAAACATAATTCGATGACATTCTGTATCTCCTAGTGTTATGAAAGTGATTTTTCACCCTAGTCTGCTGATATCTGGACTTGGATTACTGTCACTGATACTGTGAAGGACAGAGTAGCATATGTGAGAGAAATAGTACCTTCACTGATTGTCAGGGACTTAGCTGAATAACCTTGAATACGTTACTGAAAATCTGGGGTCTTAGTTTGTTTATACCATGAAAGCCTTGGACCAGATCATCCCCAAGGCCCTTCCAATTCTTTCTAACACTCTATAGTTCTAAGTTAAAAAAAAAAAAAAGTCATCAATGCCCATATAACAGTAATTTTGTAAGCAAGCATTTTTGTCATAGACACAGTGGCAGCTTACCAAGAGATCATCTAGTAAATTGACGATTCACTGTATAACCAAATAAATCTACTTTTAGATAAGAATCACTTTTTCCACTTTTGGTCAAACACAGGATTAAGTGTTTCTTACTACATTTTTTGACTGAAAAAGTGGCAGAAATTTTGGTTCCAAACTTCCAAATTATCTCAATGGAAGTTTTAGCAGAAATTATTTATTTAATCTTAATAATTTTAATAGGGAAAAGTAATTAATAAATTACAAGCATATACTTTATAAGAGTAACAATGTGCATAAAATGAAATAATTTCATTTTTCAAGTTAACTGTCTTACCTGTCTGAAGCATGTATTTCTTTTGTCCTAAAGACAAAAGTCTTTCAGTGCCACATAGACTATGCTATCTTCAACTAACCAGTATTCAAAAGCAAGATTCTGAATGCCCTTATTCAATGAGAAGCACAATGATTGAGCAATAAGTAATTAGTTCAAGAGATATCCCATTGTTTTGTTCAATTTTAAGATGTTAATTTTCTTTCCTTTGTAGCATGAGGACACGGGAGAGACCAGCATGCTAAAAAGACCTGTGCTTTTGCATTTGCAGCAAACAGCCCATGCTGATGAATTTGACTGCCCTTCAGAACTTCAGCACGCACAGGAACTCTTTCCACAGTGGCACTTGCCAATTAAAATAGCTGCTGTTATGGCATCTCTGACTTTTCTTTACACTCTTCTGAGGGAAGTAATTCACCCTTTAGCAACTTCCCATCAACAATATTTTTATAAAATTCCAATCCTGGTCATCAACAAAGTCTTGCCAATGGTTTCCATCACTCTCTTGGCATTGGTTTACCTACCAGGTGTGATAGCAGCAATTGTCCAAGTTCATAATGGAACCAAGTATAAGAAGTTTCCACATTGGTTGGATAAGTGGATGTTAACAAGAAAGCAGTTTGGGCTTCTCAGTTTGTTTTTTGCTGTACTGCATGCAATTTATACTCTGTCTTACGCAATGAGGCGATCCTACAGATACAAGTTGCTAAACTGGGCATATCAACAGGTGAGATGACAATGATGTCACTGTTACTAATAAAAAGTCTAAGTCACCTAACAAATTAATCATTTCTCATTGTAATATCAATACCCCAACCCTGTTGAAACTCTGTGTTGAAAAAGTCATCTATTTTAAAATTTTTCTTATAATTACACTAGGGCTTGGTTGTCAGTCGGTTTTATATTGAGAAATGTTTTTTAAGCTGAAAATAAGGTACAACTTTAGCAACATAAGAAACATTTTGTTCATGGACAAGGCCATATTTCAAACTTCTACCACCCTCACAAGATTACTTTTTAATATTGTTGTTCTTCTCCTTGTTTACCACATATGCATGCACATTACAGTTCTATCCAAGTAAACCATCAAATAATTATTAGAAAATTAATAGATTATGGAAATGTTGCATTCAAGAAAAAAAGTGATAGCTCCTATGTCATTTGTCTTAGAGGAATGCAAAAAAAAAAGAAAAAGTCATAAATTTGTGGAGACCTGTTATCAGGGCTTCATAGTACACACAGGGAAGAGTGTAGAAGGAGATTCACATTCAGGAAATAACTGTTGTTTGCATTTCTTCTTTCTTTATTTACCTTCTGGTAGGTCCAACAAAATAAAGAAGATGCCTGGATTGAGCATGATGTTTGGAGAATGGAGATTTATGTGTCTCTGGGAATTGTGGGACTGGCAATACTGGCTCTGTTGGCTGTGACATCTATTCCATCTGTGAGTGACTCTTTGACATGGAGAGAATTTCACTATATTCAGGTAAATAATATATAAAATAACCCTAAGAGGTAAATCTTCTTTTTGTGTTTATGATATAGAATATGTTGGCTTTACCCCATAAAAAATAACAAATGTTTTTCAACAGCAAAGATCTTGTACTTGTTCCAGTTAATAATGTGCTCTCCTGTTGTTTTCCCTATTGCTTCTAATTAGGACAAGTGTTTCCTAGACATAAATAAAAAGCATTAAAATATCCTTTTTTTTTTTTTTTTTTTTTTTTTTTTGGAGATGAAGTCTCGCTCTGTTGCCCATGCTGGAGTATGGTGGCACGATCTCGGCTCACTGCAACCTGCGCCTCCTGGGTTCAGGCGATTCTCCTGCCTCAGCCTCCTGAGTAGCTGGGATTACAGGCACCCATCACCATGTCCAGCTAATTTTTGTATTTTTAGTAGAGACAGGGTTTCACCATGTTAGCCAGGATGGTCTCGATCTCCTGACTTGTGATCTGCCCGCCTCGGCCTCCCAAAGTGCTGGGATTACAGACGTGAGCCACCGCGCCCGGCCTACCTATGGCTTTTGAGGGCAAATGGTGTCATCTCCACCTGAATCACTGAATCAGAAAAGAGGGGATGCTGAACAGAAATACTACATATATCCTCTATTCTACTTCACACTTCAGCTGCTTTCTTGGTCTTCTAAACATCCTCATATTACTGTCTCTATCTTCCTTTTCAAACAGAACATAGCTGACAAATTAACTTCAGTAAAACTCAACTTGGATCATATGTTTTCTTTTCTCAAAATCTTCCCTAAATGGGTCCTCACACTTAAAAGGTAAGTCCTTAGTCCTTACCTGGCATTCACACTTTTCTATAATCTCAACCCAGATTCTTCTGGTCTAATCAACAATTTTATACCTCCCCAAAAAAGTCAATTTACTCACTTTCTTCCTAAAATGACTTTGACTCCATGGCCTTGTTCACATTGTTCACATTCTTTATTCACCAAGAATACCTTTTTTCTCTCTTCTTTCCTCTTCAAAGTCTACCCATTCTTCAAATGCAAGACAGAGTTTACTTCCATATAGATTTCTATAGTCATCCCAGCCTGAAGGAACTCCTTTCTCTCCCTTTCGCTCTCATGATATTTTTGTTGTATCATTCTTAAATAATGATGAACTGCTTTATTCTATTATGAATTCATATTTCAATAAGTAACACATATTATCTAGCCATCCATACTGCAAACTTCTTAAAGGCAAGGACAATGGCTTATATTTCTTTTCATCCTGTGAGAGACATAGCTTGCATTTAATAAACATTTATTATATATCTGGATAATTATAGATATGAATATAGATATTAGTGTCACTATACTATGGCACTCAGTTTTAAAAAGAAACCTTCAACACACTAGCTTCAACCAAAGTCCACACCAGACAAGAGCTGTTCAGTAATTAGAAAGATACTCCAATTCTAAAACGATGTGCACTTACTACTACATATCTGCAGAAAATGAGTTGCTACTTTTCAAAATGAACGGAATTGCTGAAGCAATAATCTAGATTATTTTAACCAACAGTTATATACTCCTACTTCAAGATAGCTATCTACAATGGTTAGATATATCACGTACTGCTATTTTGCTCTTAAAGGAGTTTGTTTGAACTGAAGCATAGTCAGCACAAATTACTTCTAGGAAACCATTTCTGAGAGAATTTGGCTCTTTACATCTTTGGCCAGAATTCCTTGACTTTTGGCTTCCAGTCTGTATTTTGCTTTCCTGGTAGAAATGTGTACTCCTAGTATCTTGCTGGCAAGGATGCCTCTGCCAAAAGGAAATACACACTACTTTCTTCATGAAAGAACGGGAACACTCTCAGGTAGACTATTGGCATGTAGTCTAAGTGAAATGAGCCCACCCATCATTACAACCTTACCAAATATGTAAGACGCTTCCAAGTATTGTGGATAAACACTCCTAGGTGTTGTGCATATACAAAATCATCCAGAAGTTACCCTAGAAAGGACGGTAATACAAAATAGTATGCATGTTCCAAGAGAATAATAATGTGTCATAAATAATTACAGAAGGTAGAGTTTTTTTGAGTTTGGAAAGCTCAGGAAAGGTTTCAAAAGGAAACGGATCTAACCAATGGATCATTTAGTAAACATGGACCATTTAGTAGAGTCCCACAAGAGACAGGACTAAAAATGACATATTCTAGGCCAATAGGATAGAAAAAGAGGGCTTACATAGAGGCATAATAAGTAAAATAAGGTAGGCAATTTGGAAATACACTAGAGAAAAGCTTTAAAATTCTGTATTTTATACTATAGACAATGGAGATTTTTGAGTTTTCAAGCACCAGGAAAATAGTGTTTTAATACCAAATTGAGATATAATTGTCAGTTTTTTAAAAAAAAGTTTTCTAAAAATAAAATAAAATCACTAAAATAATTTTGAAGAAAAAGATAAATCGAAAAAGATCTTTTGGATTGTTTTCAAAAAGATAGAAAACATTCTTTTGGAATAGAAATTACGCATAGCTTGGAATGGAATTAATAAAGCTCAAAGTCAGATCATGAATAGGAAGTATAGAATTCAAGCACTTCAGAGGCTGGACCATGAAAGGTAACATTATAACTAAAATAATTCAGCACTTTTATTCACATTTAGTGCTTTTTTCCTGATTATAAAATAACCCAGATATACGGATAGGAGGAATCAATATCATGAAAATGGCCATACTGCCCAAGGTAATTTATAGATTCAATGACATTCCCATCAAGCTACCAATGACTTTCTTCACAGAATTGGAAAAAACTGCTCTAAACTTCATATGGAACCAAAAAAGAGCCCGCATTGCCTTTTGAGGGCTGTGAGGGAGAGCCTGTTCCAGGTCTGTCTCCTGGCTTCTAGTGATTGCTGACAATCTTCAGCATTCCTAGATGCAATGCAGCCCCAGTCTCTGCCTTCACGGTCACATGCTGTTCACCTGTGTGCCTGTCCGTCTCTGTGTCCAAAATTCTCCTTTTTATAAGGAAACCAGTCCTGTGGGCTTGGGGCACACCCTGATGACTTCAGGTGAACTTGATCATCTGCAAAGACCCTATCTCCCAGTAAGGTCACAGTCACAGGTACTTGGGCTTATGACTTCAACATCTTTTTGGAGGACAGAATTCAACCCATAATGGTGCCCAATTATCAGACATATCAACTATGTTTCTTGAGGGTCTTATACCTTTTTCTATTGCTAAGGGGAGTCCATTTAATATAGTACTGTTTAAGTATGGTGCTTTGACCGTATTATGTTCTCTGAAAACTCATGGTCCATGAATGTTGTAACTACTAGTTACATTATTAGCTAGGACAGTGTCTTCCTTACTTGTACCAGGTAAATGAGGACTCCCAAAACAATCAATAGGAGGACAGACCCTAGGTCTTATGTTCTTTTGTGAAGTCACGTGCAGGCGATGCTGCCTCTATGGCGAGAACTCGGGTTTCTGGTTTCTCCCTGCCTGGTTTGAATCTATTCTGAACAGCAGGTGTCGCTGTTGCCTGCTCTGTGACTCTTCATTCCCAGTAAAAAGCCTTGGGTAGAAGAGAACTTATCCAAGGGTACTGCATCCGGTCTTTGCAACTCCTAGTCATTTTTATGGCTTCTTCAACAATTTGATCTACGTGGGGACTTGTCCGTGGCAAGATGTAAGACCTTCCTGGCTTATTTCTAAGAGCCTTCTCAGCCTCCACCTTCATGTGCACTGGCTCAAAGGCTAGAAAACTGAGGGCTGCATGACTGGGGTGTAAGGGACAAGGTCTGTGCGGTTCAGGTCTGCAATTGCATATGTCCCCTGACTGCTTCTGCCTGCTGGGTGCCAGTCAGCAGTGGTTTCCTCTCAAGGGGCTGTTGGAATTATCATCTGTAGTGATGTGGCTCCTGTGAAAACATGGCAGAACCTACCAAGAACTTTTGTTTCCATCTTCCCTTTTGTTAGGGCTGAGGTGTTTGTTTTAAATTCCCCACTGGGTCTGCATTTCAGAGTTGACTTTTTCACTTTGAAAGAAGGCCACAGTGCAACACAGCATGGGTGAGGATGAGGGTGGGGTCCACTTATTCAAGCCCTTCTGATTCCCACTGTCCCTGGGCACTCAGCCTCGAGGGTGACTAGGTAGGGCAAGGGCACTCGCCTTCTTCTGGCTCATAGACTGACAGATGGGAGGGAGGTATGTTGTTAAAGGTTGTGGCTCAGATGATAAAGCCCTTCCTCTTCTCCTTCCCCAAACACAGAATGCAGGGCTCCCGCAGGAAATCTGGGAAGGTATCCTCTGCCACACTGTGGGAAGGATAGGTGGGGCAGGGAAGAAGAGGAAACAGCATGTGCCCAGGCTAACAGGTCCTGGAGGCCATGTGGATGGGGCAGTTGCTCCTTGGGAGGGGGTGGAGTCAAGGGCCAGGAGAGAAGGGACTCGGAGGACTGGGACAATAGCCTGGCCACCTGTTTCAGATGTGGTTGGAGGTATGTGCAGCCACAGCAGTTTCTGGGGTGGCGTGTGGGGAGTAGTCACTTTTCAGATTCTCAACCTCACAAATGGGTTAGAATGCCAGTCACCCTTTATTATGGGGTGGATGGGGTTTTCTGGGGGCAGTCCTGATTTCAATTATTCAGAGATACAGATGCTAATATAATTTGCTCAGTTTTATATTTTACTTGTATTCTTTTCTCTTTTGGAAAGGCAATATAGTAAATCTATGTGTGGATTTTTTTTTTTCTTTTTTCTTTTTTTTTTTTTTTTTTGGGTGGAGTTTTGCTCTTGTTGCCTAGGCTGGAGTGCAATGGTGCGATCTTGGTTCATCGTAACCTCCGCCTCCCAGGTTCAAGTGATTTCCCCTGCCTCAGCCTCCAGAGTGCCTGGGATTACAGGCATGCATCACCATGCCTGGCTAATTTTATAATTTTAGTAGAGACAGGGTTTCTCCACGTTGGTCAGGCTGGTCTTGAACTCCCGACCTCAGGTGATGCACCCCCCCGCCCCCGCCATCCTCGGCGTCCTAAAATGCTGGGATTACAGGCATGAGCCAACGCGCCCGGCATGTGTTTTAATTTCTAGGCCTTTGCAAGACATTTTTTTTTCAAACAAATACTCATGTAACTGAAACCTTTTATCTAACTATCAAGTCTTGGTTTTTGTCATTAGGGTTAGACCTGTGATCATGGTGACATTTTAGAAAACTCTCCAGTGAATCAGATGTAAATTTCTGAGAGCAGAGATCATGTCCTCATCTTTATGTTTTTATTGTTTAGAAACAGGGTCTTGGTCTGTCACCCAGGCTGGAGTACAGTGGTGCGATCACAGCTCACTGCAGCCCCAAACTCCTGGGCTCAAGCGATCCTTCTGCCTTGGTCTCCTAAAGTGCTGGGATTTCAGGCATGAGCCACTGCACCTGGCTGTGTCCTCATTTTTATACCCACATGGCTGAGGAAGAAATAATGGTGACTCTGTAAATAAATGGTAGTTTCTTGTTACCAAGAAGGCTTTTCACCCTTTGTTTCCTTCCTTCCTCTATCTATGTGAAAAGACAAAGCAATACTTGTTAGGATGTCTCTTAACATTTATAGTGACAGCCTTCATCATACCCTGGCCTTTAGGGTGGGGAGTACAGCTTTACGGACACCTTCCTGGGGAAAGCACTGAGTGAGCTGAGAAGGCTGAGCCAGGAGTCCGAGAGTGTGGGATGTCATCATCCCCAGGGCAGCCTGAGTGAAGGCCCTGAAACAGGATCCACCAGGAAGGGCTAGTGGCCAGTGTGGCTAGAAAGGAAGGGAGGGAGCCCCTGAAGGACTTGCCTGAGAGGGAGTGAGGGCAGTTGACATGTGGTTTAGCAGGATGACCCCTTGGCAGGGTGAAAGGTGGGCAGGAAGGGATGTGGAGATTGCCTGAGGTAGAGGGACAGGCACAGGAGAAGATGAGAACTGGTCAGGACCAGAGGGGCTTTTCTGAAAACAAGTATCACTTCAGGAGGGAAGAATCAAGCTGTAGACTGCAGAAAAGTGAGTGGGTGAGGCCTGGAGAAGGGAGCATTTAGGAATCCCTCTGAGAGGGTTGGCATAGGAGGAAGTTTAAGGCGACAAAGCCAGGCTGGTTCAGAGGAGGTGCAAAGGAGGATGAAGTAGAAGCAAAGGCCTCAGGGCCTTGTTTGCAATAACTCTCTTAAACTGTATTCTGCCTCTGGCTTTGGTCCTTTCATGAAAGGCCAGGCAGGTTTATTTGGCCTTCCAGACACAGAACTATACTCCACAGTGCCAATGGGATGTCTGGTCCTTTCTAGTCAGTTTCCTTCAGCGGCTGTTAGAAATTAGTGTTCTGTGAACGCAAGCGACTTTCTCTCTAAACCACCTCTAAGGCAGTGCCTCTAAGCCATGACTGTACAATGAAATCACCTGGGGAGCTTCAAAAAGCAACGATGTGTGCCCTTGCCCCTGGGATTCTGCTGTAATTGGTCTGAGGTGCAGAATGGGCACTGGGATTTTTATAAGCTCTCCAGGTAATCTTAATGTGCAACCGAGTTTGAGAACCACTGAGTGTGGCAGGCTTACGTATGCCAGGCAGTATACTAATAGCTGTGTACGTGTATTATCTCATTCAGGCCTCTTAACCGGTGGTTCTTAAAGTGGAGTCCCCAAACCAGCAGCATCAGCATCCTCTGGAAACCTGTTAGAAATACAGTTCTTGGGTTCCTCTTGAATCAAACTCTGGGTTGGGCTCAGCAATCTATTTTAACAAGGGGAAGCCAGAGGCAGACTCATCTCCAGTTCAGAATCACTGACTTGAAGGAATTTCTCATGGTGGAATTTCACGCAAACTATGTAGAGAAATATACAGGCATACCTTGGACATATTGCTAGTTTGTTTCCAGGCTATTGGAATAAAGTGAGTTGCATGATTTTTTTGTTTCCCAGTGCATATAAAAGTTATATTTAGCTATTTGGGAGGCCAAGGTGAGAGAATCATTTGAAGTCAGGAGTTTGAGGCTGCAGTGAGCTATGATCATGCCACTGCACTCTAGCCTTAGCAACAGAGTGAGAACCTATCTCTAAAAAAATAAAAAAGTTGTTCATACTACACTATAGTCTATTAAGTGTACAATAACATCATGTCTAAAAAATGTACATATCTTAATTTAAAATACTTTATTGCTAAAAAAATGCTGATAATCATCTGAGCTTTCAGTGAGTCATCTTTTTGCTGGTGGAGGTCTTGCTTCAATGTTGATGGCTGCTGACTGATTAGGGTGGAGGTTGCTAAAGGCTAGGTGGCTGTGGCAATTTCTTAAAATAAGACAGTAATGAAGTTTGCCACATCAATGGGCTCTTCCTTTCAGGAAAGATTTCTCTGTGGCATGTGATGCTGTTTGATGGCATTTTACCCACAGTAGAATTTCTTTAAGAATTGGAATCAATCCTCTCAGATCCTGCTACTGCTTCATCAGCTAAGTTTATGTGATATTCTAAATCTTTTGTCATTGTAACAATCTTCACAGCGTCTTCTCCAGGAATAGATTTCATCTCAAGAAACCACTTTCTTTGATCATCTATGAAAAGCAACTCCTCACTTGTTCAAGTTTTATCATGAAATTGCAGCAACTCAGTCACAGCTTCAGGCTGTACTCAGAATTCCAGTTCTCTTGCTGCTATTTCTATACATCTGCATTGACTTTTTCCACTGAAGTCTTGAACCCCTCAAAGTCATCCATGAGGACTGGAATCAACTTCTTCTAAACTCCTATGAATGTTGATAATGTTGATTTCTTTCCACAAATCACAAATATTTTTAATGGCATCTAAAATGGTAAATCTTTCCAGAAGATTCTCAATTGACTTTGCCCAGATCCATTAAGAGGAATCATTACCTATGGCATCTCTGGCCTTATAAAATATACTTCAAAAAATAAGACTTGAAAGTTGAAATGACTCCTTGATTTATGGGCTGCAGAATGAATATGGTATTAGCAGGTGTGAAAAACAAAACAAAACAAAACATTCGTCTCCTTGCATCTCCATCTGAGCTCTTGGGTGACCAGGTGCATTGTCAATGAGGGTAATATTTTGAAAGACATCTTTATTATGAGCAGTAGGTCTCAACAGTGGGCTTAAAATGTGCAGTAAATCATGCTGTAAACAGATGTGTTGTCATCCAGGTTTTGTGCCATGTCTAGAGCACAGGCTGAGTAGATTTAGCATAATTCTGAAGGACCCCAGGATTTTCAGAATGATAAATGTGCATTCGCTTCCACTTACAGTCACCAGCTGCATTAACCCCTAACAAGAATCAGCCTGTCCTTTGTAGCTTTGGAGGCAGGCATGAACTTCTCCTAGATGGCATCTTCCAAGAGGGCTATTTTTGTCTACATTGAAATTCTGCTTAGTGTAGCCACCTGCTTCAATGATCCTAGCTAGATATTCTGAGTAACTCACTACAGCTTCTCCATCAGTACTTGCTGCTTCACCTTGCACTTCTACGTTATGGAGATGGCATTTTTTGTTAAACCTCATGAACCAACCTGGTAGCTGCCAGCTTTTCTGCAGCTTCCTCACCTCTCTCAGCTTTCACAGACCTGAAGAACTTTAGGGCCTTGCTCTGGATTAGGCTTTGGCTTAAGAGAATGTAGTGGCTAGTTTGATCTTCTAACAAACTTTGAGTGATCTTTGTTACTATTGTAACTGGGGACACCATGAATCACACCTGTATGAGACAGTGAACTTAATAAATGTTTGTTCTGACTGCTCCACCGACCAGCCATTTCGTGTCTCTCTGCCTCTCCCTATTCCAAGATCCAACACTGAAATTAGGCCAGTTAGTAACCCTAAATAGCCTCTCAGCCTTTAAGTGAAAGGCAGAGTTGTGGTATCCCAAAACAATTACGGTAGTAACATCAAAGATCACTGATGACAGATCACCATCACAGATACAATAATGATAATGAAAAATTTTGAAATATTGAATCACCAAAATGCGACAAGACATGAAGTGAGCACATGTTGTTGAGAAAATGACACTAATAGACTTGCTTGACAGAGGCTTGCCACAAACATCCAATTTGTTAAAAAAACAAAACCAAAAACAAAATGCAATACTTGTAGCAGAAAACGAGGAATGCCTGTGTTGGGGACAGAAAGGCCAGCTCAGTGCCCCTTGAGTCATGCCCATAGGCAACTTCCACGTTTCCTGTTTTTGTAATCTGAGTAAAAATGAACGTATGCCTGTACCCCTCATCCATATGTGGAATAACGATCTGTTAAACATAGCAAAACAAAACACTGGCGATTTTTTTTTTCTTTTCTAAGGTGACTTTTTCTCCCAGATGACAGAATGAGTAGGGTTAATTTTGTCCTGTATCCTCAGTGTGAGGTATAGAGTCGGTTGACATTTTTTCCTAGACAGTTTGTTCTGCTTGGAAGAAGGTGACGTGGGCCAAAACTTCTCTCCCTACCCCTTTTCCATCCTGGTGAAACAAAGACTGTCCTAGAAGCATGGAAAGAAAATGCCCCATCCAGCTCTCAGAAATACCCAGAGCAAACCAAAGTTGGTGGGATGATGTGCTGGCGGCACAGATCTGGCAGTCAATGGACAAGGTGCACCTCATTTTATTTTTGGAAGCCCTACTTACAAATCTATTCCCAGGGACCTGAGACAAGATCCAGGGATGTCTCCCCAGTTCAAAGCCACTCATAAACTGCTGTTGACTTATGAAAGGCCTGAGGATTGCTAGTAGGAGTGTGTGTAGGGTGGGGAGAGGTTGTGGATGACAGCATCCACAACTGTCAGAGCTGACCCCAGAGAGGCCCCACTCTGATTGAATATTGGCTGTCTGCAGCTTCCAGCTGCTCTCATTCTCTGGAGAATTGCCCTTGGCCAAATGGGATCCACTCACTTCCTTTGCCCATGAACAGCATCTGCCTCCCCCTATGTGCCTGGGGGGCAGATTGGCCAGTGACTGAATGGCACAGGAATACAGAACGCCAGGCTGCTGGCCCCATTGTGGGTCTACTATGGTGCACTGTACAATGCTGGGATCCTGGGCTCTGGCTGGGAGATCTCCTTAGCTCTCCTCTCTGCCTATCCTTCTTCCCAGGGCTACCAGACTTAGCAAACCAACATAACTAAATCCAGTTAAACTTCAGATAGCCAACAAAATTTTTTGTATAAATATGACCCATAAACAACTTAGGCCATACTTGTGCTAAGAATTATTCGTTGGTTATCTAAAACTTAAATTTAATAGGGCATCCTCTATTTTATCTGGCAAATCTATGTGTGCCCCTTCTCCTGAGAGCATACCCCCAGTAAATCATTGGAACACGAAGCCCAGTCTCAAGCTCTGCTTCTGGGAACCCTTTCAGAAAGTGGGAGGTGGTGGGCAGGAAAGGAAGACAGTTCGAGCCACTCAGTCCCCTTTGTTCAAAGCTACTTGGTGAGATGCCTGTACTCAGCTACCCTTGCAAGCAGGACTCTGGGAATCTGAGGACCAGACCCAGACATGGCTCTGCCTGGCCCCTGTGGGGAGCAGTCAGTTTCCAGAGAGAACACAGTGGCCACCCAGTCTCCCCAGAGCAGGATTCCGGCTTTCGTGGGTTTTACTTAATTAGGCATGAATCTTCATGGAAACACGTGCCAACAGACTTTGTTTTACTTACAGGATGCTTCCTCCCCACCCTCAAGGATTACAGGAAACCGCTGCTAATGTTACCTCATTGACTTTAGTCCTAAGAGCAATGATTTAGTTTCATTTCCTTGTCTTTCAACACAATCCTCTGGCTTTACGTGACTGTGTTCATCTGGGGAGCACCTGCAATGGCATAGCCCTCTAAGTGCACTGAAATGTAGACCTGTGATATGTCTGGCTTTATAAAGTAGACCGTTACGTGAGTCTTGTGTGTTTTACAAAATAATTCATCACAGGGCACTATTTTCTGCCATCAGATGGTGCTTTTCAAACTCTAATGTGCAAACCAACGCAGGGATCTTGTTAAAATACAGGTTCTGACTCTGTTGGACTACGGTGGGGCCTGATACTCTGCATTTCTGACAGCTCTCAGGTGATGCCAGGCATCAATACCATTCTCTTCTTGTAGAGGTAAAACCAGCCTCCAGGCTTCCCTTACAGAAGAGAAACTGGCTCTGGGGTCTGCTTTCTCTTCTGTAAGAAGAGGGCCAGCAAAAGGCCAGGGTCCTCAGGCACCCAGGGGTTAGCTAAAGGCACACAGGTAGTAATGGCAGAGCTCAGATTTGAATACAGGTAGTCTGGCTCCAGAGGTCTGTGCTCTTCACCATTAAATGTAAATGGGGAAGCTAAGGCTGGGTGGGCTGGACAGGTGTATATGTGAATTGACAGGACCTTGGGCCAAGGGACCCACAGAAACCCATAGCGGCGGTCACATCACCTGGATTCAAGGTCAGCCACTACTTGCACCAGCTTGAGGTATCACCTAAGTGGTTTACATTACTGTGAAACGAGGACATCCAGTGACCTCCCCTCACAGAGCCTTTGGATGTATCTGTGGCATTCTGCACATTGAGTGCTTAACACTGAGCCTGTTAGTGAACACCTAAGTGGTAACCATTATGAACATAACCTCAGAGACAATTGCCCTTGTACAAGCAAGGCATGCACTGTGAAAGACTCATTGTGGTCCCATGGACAGAGAGCTGGACCTGCGCCAGGCTTCTGTTTCTTGAGTATGGGGCTTAAGTGCTTCTGTTCTGGCCCTGCTGCTTCTAGAAGTCTGTGTAGGCATGCTGTAGCTGGCACCTAGTAAAGATCATGGTTTCTGACGGGAGATAGCATCATACCCTGAAGCCCAAACATAGCAGCAACAAACCCGCTGCACCTAAAGGCACATCAGCACTGGGAAAACGGAGGGAAACACCATAGCATGATTGGGATAATTGTTTGGTATAGACAGTGTGCCTGGAAAATTCAGCCTGGAGCCATTTTTCTCAATAGAGTGGATAGCTTAATGCTTTCATTACCTGCATCCTTATGGCAACTTTCCCTGTCTCTGAGCTTTTGCAGACTGAGTCTCCCTGGGGTGAGCTGTAAATTGCCATAAATTTAATCCATCTTGGCAGCCGGGCATTGTCAGTACCCACCTTGAGCGTGTGTCCTCACATTCTTGTCGCCTTTGTGGAATAACCACATCTTGATACAAGGCGCTGCCGCTCACAGACTGTGACTACAGTCTCAGAATAGTGTTGGTCCTCAGGAAGCAAATCACTTAAAGCTTTCAAAAGAAAGAAAAATGCTGTGTATGTGGGAAGACCTCACTTTTTACCTTTAGCCGAGAATGATATGTACAATTATGACCCTGTTTACGATTCTGTAGGATTTGGAACAGGATAAGGTTTGTTCTTGTTTTGTAAGTATAAAATAAGTTGTTGCTTACAACAACCAAAAAAGTAGTCATTTAAAATGCTTTTCTAGATGTCCATTCAATAACCTTCCTTTCTAGAACAACACTGTATGACAGAACTTGCTGCAGTGATGGAGATGTCCTCTGTCTGCTCTGCCCAGCAGGGTTGACACTAGCCCAGGGTGGCTCCTGAGCACTGGAAAAGTGGCTTGTGTGGGTGAGGAGAGAATCTTTAAATTTTAATTCTAATCATTTTATAATATAAAGAGCTGAGGCCAGGAGTTCAAGACTAGCCTGCCCAACATGACAAAATCCCATCTCTACTAAAAATACTGAAATCGGCTGGGCGTCGCCGGTGTGTGCCTGTAACCCCAGCTACTCAGGAGTCTGAGGCAGGAGAATCACTTAAATCCGGGAGGTGGAGGCTGCACTGGGCCAAGATCACACCACTGTACTTCAGCCTGGGTAACAGAGTGGGAGTCTATCTCAGAAAAAAAAAAAAAAAAAAAAAGCCACACATGACTAGTGGCTACTGTCTTGCACAACGCCACTCTAGGGGGAGAGAGGTTGATGCCTCAGAGCCTCAGGAGGCTTACAGTTAGTATGTGGGCAACTAGGGGAGTCTGAAGTCAGCAAGTTACACATAAAAGATTGGCCAGCCAGCAAGTTGTTTCGCCTACTTGCCTGCTCCATGGGAGGTTACTCTACAAGGATAATAATGTAATGAATAAAGTCTGTCTTCTTTTCTACTTACCTAGCAGAAAGAATTAGTTATTAGAGTTCACAGGCTATTAACGAGCTGCAAATTGTAAAATACTATGCAGCATAATGTGATTCTGTTAAGGGCAGGCAGCGAGGATTCTCGAGTGGGCAAATGCACTGCCTCCTTGCAGCGCCGGCATCACGTTTTGCCCCCTACCCCTATCTCCTTTTGTTTCTTCCATCTACCTCTCCCCCATTCCCCACCCTGGTTTATGATTCAGTCCCACCCAGCAAGCCCCAGGACTTAGTTATTTCTGGGTGGAAATGATAGTAATAATGTAGGATGGATGACTTCATTTCTCCTTGGGTGTGAAGAAATGTCTTTATTTTCTTGAAATCAAATTGCCAAGTGGAGCGGGAGTTTAATCTCGGGTGCTTTGGCAGGCAGCCTCCTAGGTACCCCACTCGGCCCTTCTCCTCCCAGGCCTGCCTCTCTGAGGGTGCAGCTGGGAGCTGGGCAAGGACCCCGGGCTGCAGGAGCACCTCCACTTGCACCGTGCACCTCTTCCTTCCACGGTTCCCCTCAGTGAGCTGTTTCCTGAAACCAGACAAAGTGAGGTGGTCTGTCCCTGAGGTAAGGGAACACAGTGGCCTGACCTCCCTCCTGCAAAGAGAAGCATTTGAGAAAACAAGACCCAAAGTAGTCGCATTTTAAGTGCTCAATGGATATATGTGGCAACTGCTACTGGACTAGACAGTGTGGAGAACGTCTCCATTACTGCAGTGATGACTCTGTCCAAGCCCCCCCCAAGTAAGATTTTTATATGTATAAATTCATTTAGTTCTTATAACACCAGTGAGTTAAGTATTCTCATTTTAGTGAAGAATACAGACCCAGAGAGGCTTAACATTAACCAAATGCCCAATGGCCAAGTTGAGGTTTTCTCTGATTTTTGATCACATATTACCTCAGATCTTGAGAGAACTTGAGAGACTACTTATTCCTGTGACAGCGTGTGGCTATCATAGGACTGTGTTAAAGAAAGGTGCAGAAAATCCTGTGAGAACATTACGATTAGAGCAGACAGACACTATTTAATAACTGGAAGAACCGCTTATCTTGGAGCGGTAGGCTGAGGGTGAGAGCTGGAATCTTTGTTTTCTTAGCAACAAGTCTCAGCGCCAGAGAGATTTGGGCATCTCTGCAGTCTGTCCTCATTGCCTTAAGTAACCGAAGATAAACCCCAGACTTCTTAAACAATAGTGGGATTGTTTGCCTCTGCTTTTGAGAAGAGCGGCAGTTATCTAGCAAATGGAAGACTAATTGTGACCAGGCTCAGGTCTCACCAGTTTGGTGCCTCAGCAGGGACCTGTCTGGGCCTGAGTCTTAGCAACTTCCCCTGAGCGCCCACCCCACTCTCAGGCCGCCCAGCAGCCCCCAGCTCCAGAGCTTTGCTGATTGACAGTGGAGAGGGCCCTGGGTTCAGCTGAGCAGCACAGCACCTTGGCACGGAGTAGGAAGAGTACTGTGTGTTTTTCCCTATGTTTTTTGAGTTACAAGGGAGTCTGGAAAGACAGCTTGCTTCTCCCAAGGTCAGTAGCTCGCTCATGGGACCCACAGGTCTACATAGGAAATGTGCTAAGATAAAGCAGAAAAGAACAAAGGAAGATTAAAAGGAGATAAAGCCTTTTTAAGTTAACTTTTCCCTATTTGCATGTGACACATTGGATTACACAAGAAGCATTAAAAAAAAAAACCTCTTGTTGATGTCCTGCAAACTATGTAGACAAAATTTTGCACACATATGAGGTTGTCAAAGGGCAAATGCAAGTGAGGATCCATTAAAAAGCCAAAAATCCATTATTTTAATGAATGAAATTCGTAATATTTGCGTAATACGCTTCCATTTGCAGAGTACTTTCATGCGTTATTTTAGTATCAGTCCTAATAGCTAGGTAAGACTATCACTGCTATACAGGCTAAGCAGATTTATGATTTGTGTGACCTTGGACAAGACACTTAACCTTTCTCAGAATCTGTTTCCTCAGTGGTTAGATAATATGTATTTGTCAGGCTGGATGTCACCAAGAGATTGAACTACATCATTCAAGACCATCTGGAGGGGGAAAGAGTTGGGTGGGGGCATTAATAGGAAGCCATCAGGGATCAATAATAAAAGTTTAGATCAAGTTCAGGCCTGGCAAGAGGGATCAAAGAGGAAATCTTACAGTCAATGTCAAAACAAGTGGCTGAGTGTGGCAGACACACCATAATGTGACCCAATGGGTCACCCCCTTGTGAATCTCCTTCCCTTGAGTTCAGGTGGAACCCATGACTTGCGTCTCACCAGTGGAAGATGGCAAAGGCTATGCGTGCCCTCATTAGGTTCCCTTGTATGGGGAAGGTGCGTGACGTCACTTCCTTGATTAGGTTACTCAGCAGAAAGCTGCAGTCTCTCCCTATGTGGCTTTGAAGAAAGTGCCATGTTGGGGAGAGGGCCACATAGCAAGGAACTGTGAGTGACCTCTAGGGGCTGAGAGTGGACAACAGCCAGCAAAAGGTCAGCACCCTCAGGCACTGAGCCACAAGGAGATGAATTCTCCCAACACGAGTGATCTCAGAAACGGATTCCTCCTTAGTCAGGTTTTCAGATGAGAACCCAGTACAGCCATGATGTTTGTCGTAGCCTCTGAGAACCTGAGAAGAGGGCCCAATTAAGCCATGCTCAGAATCTTGACCCAGATAATAAATGGGTTCATGGTAGATGTGCCTGATAACAATAACTCCAGCACACCCTAAGAATGACCCTGTATGGCAGATGCACCTGAATGTGTGTTTGGAGTTCCAAGCTAAGGAATCCAGAGTGGCCAACCTGGAGATACATTCCTTATCTTTGAGGAACATCTGAACCCTGTCCCTAACATCCCATGAAATGTGGACTATACAGGGGATTGAGGCCCTTTGTTTTGGGTTAAATGAAGGTCCCAGGTGGAGTCTGTTATGGGGAAGATGTTAAGTGAAAATGCTCCATAAACTGCGTGCCTCTTGCAAGCCATTGTAGTTCTCCTGTCCAGCCCACCACCCCTGGGCTACATGGTTCTTGTCCAGCCTGCTGCCACTGGGCCATCCCTGTGTATAAGTTTCCTGCTAATAGACCCTATGTCTTGTTTGCTGGCTTTGGGTCTCTTCTTTGGCCTCTCAAACATGGTACCATCCCTATTGAGGTTAATAGGGGTCTGGTACAACATCGGTGTTGCTTAAGCCACTAAGTCTATGGTAATTTGTGACATGGCAAAGAGAAGTAATACAACGGGGTTTGGGGAGACTCTGTCCCACCAACTGCCTGAAATGGGACATGAAGCCCAGCTCAGACCAGTGCAGTGGCTCACACCTGTAGTTCCGGTGCTTTGGGAGGCTGAGTTGGTGTTGTTCCAAACCCCAATTCACCCCATTGGGGGTGGCACCAGGTTCAAGAGGCCAAATAGTTCAAGAGCCAGCAAATGAGACAGGAGGTTTTACCGAGGGCTTACATACAGTGGGCAGAGTCCAGTGGTGGTGGGCTGGACAGGAGAACTGCAACTGCTTAAAAAAGGCAGACAGTTTCTACGGCATTTTCACTTAGCACCCTTTCCCTAATAACCTCCACCTGGCAACCTTGATTTGATCCAAAATTTGGGGCCTCAAGTCCCTGGATAGCCTGTGTTCCACAGGACTGGCCAGGGACTCAGATGTTCCTCAGACAAGGAATAAATCTCTGGGTTGGTCACTCCCAGATTTCCTAGCACTGAACACACCTTCAGGTGCATCTGCCATGCAGGGTCATTCTCAGGGAAAGCTCGTTATTGCTCTCAGGTGTGTTTACCATGCAGGCTGGGGGATGGCTTAAAGCCAGGAGTTTGAGACCAGCCTGGGCAACATAGCAAGGCCCCTTCTCTGCAAAAAGTTTAAACTAGCCAGGCATGGTGGCATGTACTTGGAATCCAAGGTACTCGGGAGGCTGAGGCAGGAGGATCACTTGAGTCCAGGAGTTCAAGGTTACAGTGAGCTGTGATCCTCATTGCACTCCAGCCTGGAGAACAGAAGAAGACCCTGACTCAGAACGAAATCCAGCTCAAGGCCCCACATGGACAGGTGCGTGCAGCAGGGACACGGCATTGCCTAGTGCAAGAGAGTGTGTGGCGCCTCTAGTCCTGACTCCAGGCGGATGTGACTGTATACCATGCTGTCTGAAAGGCAGGAGCTGCTAGTGTACTGGCCAGCAGGGAGATGCCAGGTGCCCGTTAGGAGCAGCCACACGCAGGCCAGGATAGGAACCTACTTCTTAGGGCAGTGACATTTTTAGGTGGGGATAAAATGAGATGCAGATGAACCCCTGCCTTCAAGCCTGGAGAGACTCAGGGATGCATTACTTTTCTCTCTGGGAGATGAGGATACTATGAGGCATGTCGGTTAATCAGACAGATATCAGGGACCTGATCTTCCAAATATATCAGCTCATTCAAAGAACATATGAGTAGCTGTTGAGTAATCAGGAGATGTTTCTCATTTGGATTCAGGAATTCAGATCTATAATGATGAGCTTTCTGTGGGCAAATGTTCACACAGCTACCTGCCTGGGTCTTAGGCTCACCACTGGAATGGGAGCTGTCCACTCACCACTCACCACTGGCATGGGTGAGCTGTCAGGGAGAGGCGATTGGAGCTCTATCCAAGTTGAGGGATGCTCAGATGCTACCAGTCACACAAAGTTCACAGCCATCTGCAGCAACTCTAGCTTGTTTGAACTCATGGCTACAGGAACTTGAGCCCTGCTCCAGCATCTCACCAAGACAGAAGCCCATCAACAGCAGCACCCTGTATACGATGACAGTTTTAGCTTATCTTTGGTAAGTACCAGGGCAGTGCAACATCAGCTGCATAAATATTTTCCTAAAAGAGCTGTCAACAGACCATTTTGAACCCCTGTAGCTGCCCTTGCTGGCCACACAGGAAGCTGGCTCTTCCCGGTTTCCCATAGAAATTACACAGGACTGTACAACTTGGGGGCTTTAGATTCCAAATAAGGCTGTGGTTCTTAAACTTGGATGCAGACTAGAATGTCCCGGCCATATCTCAGATATGTAATATCAGAATCTCTGCAGGTAGGTACCAGGCATCAGTATTTTTTAGCAAACTCCTCAGATGATTCCCAGGGGCAGCCGAGGATGAGAACCACTGAAGTCAGGGTCTTTACTGCTTTATCATCTCTAGCATGTAGGCCTGAAGTTAAATGATCATGGGACATCTATACATATTTGAATGTAAATATATAGGTATTCATATATACAATGAACGATATTTGTAGGTATATGATATATTTATTTCTTTCCCTTCAAAGCAACAGACACTGCCAGGCATATAAGTTGAACTGCAACAACAGAATGTGATGGATTTTAGCATCCCATAACTGTTTATATTACCCCTTTGACCTTTAATAATAAAACAAAGTCATGTTTGGTGACCAATAGGTTAATACACTTACCTTCTGCCTTTGGAGTTGATTCTCAACATACAGCCTCGGGGATGGGCACTAGTCAGTCCCAGGCAGGTTTTTGGCAGCGGAACGGGACTTTACTTTCCTGCTGGATCCTGTCTGCCATCACCACCATCACAGCTCCAGACTGCAACTCCTGGTGTGATCTAGCCTACAGAGGCACTCGGGAGTCTGTGGAACCTCTAGCCTGGAGTGATGCAGGAACTATCACCATGGGTCCCAGCCCTAACTTCACAATCATCTATGGAGCAAAAATATACCATCTTAAAACAGAATCCAGTCTTCCAGAACTACCAGTTCGTCGTCTCTGGGGTTGGAGACCAGGTAGTAGAATTTTTGAAGAACTCCAGAAAATCTGGCTGTTTTTGAAAAACTCAACGTGTCTCCTAAATAAATGTCTCAGTCATCATTTCAGCACTCAAGACACAGATTCCACCTTGTCTCATTCCACTTACTCGTTTGTATAAGAAGGTTGGATGGTAGTAGAAGTGGCATTGGAAGCTGACACATTAAATCAAAATCTTGTGTGCTTTCTCAGACTCACTTTTCTGTCTTTCTCCCTTATTTGGCATAACCCACCTGAGTCACTTTCTACATCTAGGCTAAGATGAAATGTAACAATTTGGGATATGTTCTCTGGTTTTCTGAGAGATAGACAGGAGCTAGAGGATGTAATCCTTGATCAACTAGAAAGGGTGTCCTTCCTCTTTCCCTTCCAAGGGCTGGTGTGAGTTGCAGTTTCTTCTCCTTGCAAAACATCTGAAGAAAATCTCAGTGTTCCTGGTAAGCATGCCTGCTTAATGACTTGCGGTGTCCTGGTCAGTGCGGTAATGCATCACGTTATATTTTTCATCTTTCTTTCCTCAATTCCACCTTTGCTTTCACTCTCACTGCCCTGGGCTTGCTTCAGGATCAACTTTCTGAAGGGCCCAATCAAAGACAGCAGCACTAGGCATAGGCACTACAGTATGCAGAGGGTGCTCTTAGAGCAGTCTTATGAGGTAGGCCCCGCCATCATCATCCTCTCCATTTTATGAATGAAGAAACTAAGGTTGGATGCCAGCTGAAGCCACTGTTACTACACAGCAAGTCAGACGTAAATCTCCCGCCTCCATAGCCCATGACTCTTTCCATTCTCCTGCATAGCCTCCCAACTGCCATGACAGGGAAGGAGGGGGAGGATGGGATGTACATGTGTGAAATGTTTCTGCTGGGAGAGGGGTAGGTGCAGAAAGATCTGGACAGGGAAGGAAGACTGCTGTGAAAAGAGGAGACTCCTTTCACCACCAGAACTCTGCCAAATTCATAGGCACACCACAAGAAAAGTCAGGAAATTCTGGTTTAGAGCAACGTGTGAAAGGACGGTTTATTTTTTATGGTTAGATTCAATGTTGAATTACTCTTGTCAACTTGCCGTAAAACTTCTAAAGACTTAACTCTCAATCTCTGTTCTTACGTCATCATGGACAGGTAACACATCACTTGCCAATCACATTTTTGAGTAGCACTGACCTGCAGGACATCAAAGACGCCAAGCTGATACTTTTGACATTTGCTATTGGCCTAGGAATGACAAGGAGTGTCCGGCCTGCCTTCACCCTTCTGTGGGGCTCTGGGATTAAGGCACAAGTGCAGACTCGGGAGGCTGGTGGCTGCACATGGGGATGTAAGACTCTCATCATATACCTTCCAGATATGGGGTTTCAACTTACCACATTTGCACAGATGAACTACCACAAGCTTAGGTGTGCTCTTCTCAGGCTTAAGTTGGCCTAATGTCTGGAAAGAGGGACAATAATTTAGTTTTCTCATTCCAGAAGTCCCAACAATCCCTTGAGCCTCCAAAGATAAATAGTTCCAATATGTCATGAATCTATTAAAGGTGTTTCTACCTAGGTGGTATCTTCCTAAGTACCCAGTTCTTGTTAGTAGCGATGATTTTCCTTTTTTTGGTGGTTAACCTATTCTTCCAATAGCCAGAAACACAGCCTTTTAAAGTAGTTACCTCAAATGATGTACGTTAGCAATATGAAAACTTTTTTTTTTTTTTTTTTTTTTTTTGGAGACAGGTTTGCCCAGGCGGGAGTGCACTGGTGCAATCATAGCTCACTGCAGCCTCAAATTCCTAGGCTCAAGCCATTCTCCTGCCTATGCTTCCTGAGTAGCTGGGACTACAAGTATGTAGCACCACATCTGGCTAACTTTTAAAATATTTTGTAGAGACAGTGTCTTGCTATATTGCCCAGGCTGCTTTCGAACTCCTGAACTCAAGTAATCCTACCTCAGCCTCCCATGGCACTGGGATTACAGGTGTGAGCCACCGTACCTGGCCTTGAAAACAATTTCTGTTAATCAAAATTTGCCTTTACCTTGTGAGTTAATTGAAAAATCAGGAGCAGTCTATTTCTCGTACAGTATCTAATACCTCAGTGATGTCAAATATCTGGTAGGTGAAAAACAATTCTGCCTTGTGGGAAGATTGAAGAGGTAGGCAGCGCTATGAAATGTCATAAGCTGGCAGCATCTTTGGATGGCAGCAGATGGTTTTTACTTGTTTACTCACCAGCAGTTTACACTTTCAGGGATCGGAGTCATTTTCCTAAAAAAATGAGGAAACGGGGGACCCTAACACCAGGCCTTGCAACTCTTGAGTGAGTGAGCTTCCTCTGCGTCACTTTCCTCAGAATTCTAGAAGTGTTTTAGATATTTTAACAGCACGTGGCACCTCTAGGGAGCTCGTTTTCCCTTGACCACACTTAGAAAGAGTCAGTACAGTGCTGAGGCGCGCAGCCCACCCACTGGGCCCTGAGCTGTGTGGGAGAGGAAAAGCATCGGCTGCACTCCGTAGGAAATGCTGACTTAGAAGTTTGAAGAAGGAAAGGGGGAAAAAATAGGCTCTTTAGGTTTCCTTACTCAATTTAAAGATGAAAGCAGGCCAGGGAAATCGTTTATTGGTACAAATTGTGGAAGCCTGACCCTATTCTTAGAGGCCCAAATTGGCTCTTGAATACATTTTTTTCTTTTGCTAGAGTAAGGGATTATGAGGGTGAAATGAGGGTTTTATATTTTTTGGGTGATGTTTTATTTTTAGATAATTTTAGTCTCAGTTGCAGAAATAGTACAGAGTTCTCATTTATGCTTCACCCAGTTCCTGCTTATGTTAACATCTTCAATACCCACAGAATGTTCATGAAAACTAAGAAATTAACCTCACTACAATAGTACTAATTAAACTGCAGACCCTATGTTTTTCACCAGTTTTTCTATTCCAGGATTCAATCCTGCCTCAGTCTCCCAAGTAGCTGGGACTACAGGCATGCACCACCATACCTGGCTAGTTTTTGTATTTTTAGTAGAGATGGGGTTTTACCATGTTGGCTGGTCTGGAACTCCTGACCTCAAGTGATACGGCCACCTCAGCCTCCCAAAGTGCTGGGATTACTGCCGATTACTGTGGTGTTCTAATAGTGGTTTATTTCCCTCATTCCTTCTACATTTGTCAATTGGAATTCTTCTGAAGGGGAGACTTGTCAATTCTCCCTCATTTGAATAAAAGTGTATCAATGTAAATTTATATCAATATGGACTCATAGATATTCATCTTACTTTTTGTTACAATCTAATCACTTATTTTTGCCCCCTCAAGTCAACTTTGGCCTTTGGGGATGCTTTCAGGTGGCTCCTGTGCTCTTTCGATACGGCTACATCCTTTATATATTTGTTTTATGGCACTTCTTTACTTCCTGCACCACAAGATACTCCAGGCTCATTTTGTATTTTCTCTGCCCCAGCCCTAGAATTAACTGGTTCTCCAAGGAGACTTTAATTGGAGAATGGTATTTAGAAACCAAGATATGGGCAATGGATGTACTCATTGCTCCTGGAGTGCAATTGTGTCTAGGCTGTCTCAGTGGAGAGTTAGGTAATATAGGTACATGTAATAATTTATGTCTATGCACACCTCTTTTATTTCTGTATTTATCTGAATGTGAGTGTGCATATCTTTTTTTTAAACATGAGTCAGCATGATAACTAACTACAGTCCAGCACTGGAGTTTATTCTAGCTTTTCTCCTTTCCATATTTGTAACTTCTTTATCCAATAGTGAGAAACTGGCTCTGCAGTATGCACTCATGCATCACTTAAATGATAGGAATATATTCTGAGAAATGTGTCGTTAGATGTTTTTCATTGTGTAAACATTGTAGAGTGTACTTACGCTAACCTAGATGGTAGAGCCTATTATACATGTAGGCTATCTGCAAGCCTAGTGCTCCTAGCTACAAATCTGTTGAGCATGCTACTCTATTGAATACTGTAGGCAGCTGTATCACGGTGGTAAGTGTTTGTCTTTCTAAACAGAAATGAAACAGTAAAAATACAGTAAAAGAATAAAAATGGTACACCTGTATAAACTTTCCATAAATAGAGCTGGCAGGACTGGAAGCTG
Organism: Homo sapiens; assembly: GCF_000001405.40. NCBI lineage: Eukaryota > Metazoa > Chordata > Mammalia > Primates > Hominidae > Homo > Homo sapiens. Next base: position 22,469,504 of record NC_000007.14, on the reverse strand, counting down.
CTCTGGGTGAGTTAGTGAGCAAGTGGTGAGTGAAAGTGAAAGGTTAGGACATTCTGTACACTAATATAGACTGCATAAAACACTGAAGACTTAGGTTACACTAAACTTATAAAAAACATTCTTCAATAATTAGCCTTAGCTTCCTGTAACTTACCATATAAACTTTTTTGACTCTTTTGTAGTAACACTTAGCTTAAAACATGCTGTACAGCTGTATAACATCATTATATCCCTATTTTACAAGCTTTTTTATATATTAAATTATTTATTCTTTTTTACTTCTTAAAATTTTTGTTAAAAATGAAGATACAAACATACACATAGGCCTAGGCCTACACAGGGTCCAGATCATCAATATCACTGCTTTCCACCTCTATATCTTGTCCCACTGAAAGGTCTTCAGGAATCATAACACACACAGAGCTGTGATGTCCCATGATAAAAATTCCTTCTTCTGGAATACCTCCTGAAGTACCTACCTGAGGCTGTTTTACAATTAACCTTTAAAAAAAACTGTAAAATAATTATAAAAAGTATAGGATAATAAATAAGTAACATGGTTATTAGCAAGTATTATGTACTGTACATAATTGCATGTGCAGTGCTTTTGTATGACTGGCAGTGCAATAGGTTTGTTTATACCAGCATCACAACAAACACGTGAATAATGTGTTGCACTCTGACATTGCAATGGCTATGACGTCACAAGATGATGAGAATTTTTCAGCTCCATTATAATCTCATGGTACTGCCATCATATATGCAGTCCATTGTTGTCTGAACATCATTATGCAATGCGTGACTGTATTTATTCCTCTCAGGTATACAAATAATTTCCAAATTTTTAACCTAAGCCCCTGTGAGGATACATATTTATCAGCTAGAATATAGTGTTTGTGTGCAGGTCTTTGTCTTTAGCCTCATCGTATCAAATCAAAACACTTCCAAAAGTGTTTTGATAGGTGATAAATGGTAGGCAGTGTCTTATGTTAGGTGTATATTCAACTTTTTAAAAAGCTGCCAAATGATTTTCCAAAGTGGCTGTACCATTTTGCATTTCCACCAGCAGTATATGAGAATTCCGGTGGCTCTGCATTTTTGTCAGTACTTGGTACTGACAGATTTTTTGGGAAAACTACTCAGCCTCCTTTCCTCAGTTTCCTAATCTATAAAATGGAGGTAATAATAGTACCTCCCTTATTCGTTTATATGAGGGTTAAATGAATCAATATGTGTAAAGCACTCAGAATAGGTTTGTCAGATAAAATACAGGACACCCAGTTAAATTTGAATTTCAGATAAATTTTTTTAGTATAAATAATCCCAAATATATAATATTTTGAACATACTTATACTATATTCTAAAAGATTTATCTGAAATTTGAATTTAGCAAATAAAAATACAGAATGCCCAAGTTAAATTTGAATTTCAAATAAGAAAAAAATATTCTTTAGCAGAAATATGTCCTGAGTATTACATGGGATATCTTCATACGAAATATTTTATTTATCTGATATTTTAGGGGTCCCATTCTGGGGCTCCCTCCACCTCAGCTTAGTCTCAAGAGGATTGGAACTCTTTGCCAAAGGAATTTCCAAATATCCATGAAGAAGATGTAGGAGGAATTCAAAGGTTCTTGGGTGAGTTTGAACTATATCTCTTGGTAGGGTATTTGTATTAGTCCATTTTCACAATGCTGATAAAGACACACCCGAGACTGGGCAATTTACAAAGAAAGAGGTTTAATAGACTCACAGTTCCACGTGGCTGGGGAGGCCTCACAATCATGGCGGAAGGTAAAAGGCACGTCTCACATGGCAGCAGACAAGAGAAGAGTGAGATCCAAGCAAAAGGGGTTTCCCCTTATAAAATGATCAGATCTTGAGAGACTTAACTCACTACCACAAGAACAGTATGGGGGGAATCGCCCCCAAAATTCAATTATCTCCCACTGGGTCCCTCCTACAACACGAGGGAATTATGGGAGCTACAATTTGAGATGAGATTTGGGTGGGGACATAGCCAAACCATATCAGTATTTAACTAAAGTTTATATTGAAGTTGAACATGCATACACACACGTGCACAGCTCACAAGAGCACAGCTGGATCAGTGTTCACAGTCAGCACCCCCAGAGATCCAGCCCTTACTAACCCACTGTTCTGACTTGTAAGACAGCAGACTAATTGGGAGCTGGCAGGCTTTTAAGCAGATTTAAGAAACTGATATCTTTTCCCCCTGCAGATTACTTGGGAATTTCCTGAGAGTTTCCTCTCAAAATAGCATCCTTGGGGCTTTCTACTAAAAGTGGGTCATTATCCTTTTAAATAAAATTGGCAAAGGGAGACAAGTCTAAACCAAGAAAGGGATCTTATAAATAAGGGGTCTTCTGGCATGCTGGCAGGTGGAAATCAATTGGAACAACCTTCAATTATATTTCCTCTGAAATCTTTTTCAAAGACCAGATAAAAACAGCAAATTTGTCCTTAGCATTTTTCCATGTGCCAGGTGTTCCATTTGTTAACTTCTATAGTACTTACAGCAGCCCTGGGAGGCAGGTGTTGCTATTGTCCCCATTTTCCAGATGAGAAAATCAAAGAGAGGCAAAGTAACTTGGTCAAGATCTCATGGCCAGCAAGTGCAGGGCTTGGACCTGAACCCAGGCAGTTTGGCTCTGGAGTCTGCTTTTAACAACCACACTGCACAGCCTTACAGATCTGGTGGGATGCCCTGTCAACTGCTTCTTACTTTAAGATGGAAATGTAGCTCTCAATCATGTTTTGCTTCCCTGGAATACATCTTGTGTTACTTTTAACAATTGTTTGGACAAGTGAGTTTTGCCTGTCCTTGTGCAATTGTTTACTAGGGTTTCCAAAGCAAAATGCCAGACTGGGTGGCTTAACAGAAATTTACTTTCTCATAGTTCTGGAGGCTGGAAGTTCAAGATCAAGGTGCTGGCAGGGTTGGTTTCCTTTGGGGTCCATAATAGAAGAATCTGTTCCAGGCTTGTACACAGCCCCTCTCTTGCTGCCTCATCACATGGTCATACATGTACATATTTCAAAACAACATGTTGTCATGGACACAAAGAAAACAGTAGATACTGTGGCCTACTTGAGGGTGGAGGGTGGGGGGAGGGTGAGAATAAAAAAACTACCTATCAAGTACTATGCTCATTACCTGGGTGATGAAATAATCTGTACACCAAACCCCCACGCCACACAATTTATCCATGTAACAAATCTGAACATCTATCCCCTGAACCTAAAAGTTGGAAAGGTAGAAAAAAAACTGTTGTACACAAGAAATATATACAACTTTTGTCAATTTAAAACTAGAAAAAAGGATATTTTAGCACTGTGAGCCAAAATGTTCAATTATAGGTGTGACCTAGTGAAGGGTAAATGGAGCTGAGAGCAGTAACTTCAGCATACCCTGAGAATGAGCCTGTATGGCACACACACCTGAATGTGTGTTCTGCACTAGGGAATGAACCTGAAGATTCATTCCTTATCAATGATAAGTGTCTGAGCCCCAGGCCTGTCCCGTGGAACATGAGCCATGCGGGAGATCGAGGCTCTGAGTTTTGGTAAATGAAGACTGCCAGGTGGAGGCCATTAGGAGGTGAGTGTTGTGGTTTTCCTGCCCAGCCCACCACCACTAGACAGGCCATGCGGTTATCTCATCCAGCCTGTCAGCACTGGACTATTTCTATGCATAAGGCGGTTCTCCTGTCCAGCCTGCTGCCACTGGACTGTCTCCCCCATATGCAAGCCCCTAATAAAGCCCCATGTCTCTTTTGCTGGCTCTGGATCTCCTCTTTGGCCTGTCGAACCTGGTGCCTTCCCTATTGAGGTTAATAGGGGTTGGGCGCAACACCCAGAGAACCCCTACTGCATGTGCAAGGAAGGTCATGTTCACATCGTACATAACAATAACAAAAGAAATTGAAAATAAGTTGTAGTATTAGTAGGATGGAAATCTACACAACAGAAGAATTACCTAGACCTAGATACATATCAGTATGAACAAATCTAAAAGATAAGAGTGTTGATTGGAAAAAGCACATTGCAGGTAATCTGTGTACTCCAAAAGTGGCTGCATAAATTTACAAGTTTTTAAAAAAGCAAAAAAATCCGTACATTAGTCCACCCTTATCTGAGGTTTTGCTTTCTGTGGTTTCGCTTATCCAAGGTCGACCATGGTCTGAAAATATTACATGGAAAATTTCAGAAATAAACAATTCATAAGTTTTACATTGGGGGCCATCCTGAGTAGCAGGATGAAATCTCACACCATCCGGCTCTGGACATGAATTCATCCCTTTGTCCAATGTTTCCATATTGTCAATGCTACCCACCCATTAGTGGCCTCGTAGCCGTCTGGGTGATCAAATGAACTGTCACAGTGCTTGTGTTCAGGTAACCCTTTTATAAACTGAATAATGGCCCCAAGGTGCAAGAGTAGTGATGCTGGCATATTGTTGTAATTGTTCTATTGAATTACTAGTTATTATTGTTAATCTCTTATTGTGCCTACATATATATATATATATGGGGTTTGGTACTGTCTGTGGTTTCGGGTATCCACTGGGGGTCTTGGAGCATGTTCTGTGAGGATAAGGAAGGGCTACTATATTAGTTTGCTAGGGTTGCCATAGCAAAATACCAGACTGGTGTCTTAACAGAAATTTATTTCCTCCCAGTTCTGGAGGCTGGAGTTTCAAGACCAAGGTGTCAGCAAGTTTCATTTCTCCCGAGGCCTCTCTCCTAGGCTTGCAAATAGCTCCCTTCCCTGTGTTCTTCCATGGGTTTTTTCTGTGTGCGTGCATCTCTGATGTGTCTCTTTGTGTCCAAATTTCCTCCTCTTATAAGGACACCAATCAGATTGGATTAGGGCTCACCCTAATGACCTCAATTTAACTTAATCACCTCTTAAAGGCACTGTCTCCAAATATGGTCACTTTCCGAGGTACTGGAGTTTGGGCTTCAAGGTAAGAATGACGGGGGCAGGCACAAGTCAGCCCTTAACACCTTGTATTGTTTATTGGCCCTAGCTCAGTGTCTAGACTGATGGTATTAAAGAGTCCCCAGCCAGATGTAGGACTAAGTTAAAAAGTGAGTTAGTAGAACACACCCTCAGTAAACCCGAACAGCTGTCCAGACAGCAGTCAGGGGACAGAGTGGGGGAGAGGTGATGGGTAATGATCTGAGCCTGAGGTCTCCAAATTCACTGGAGAGGGTTTGTAGCTAATGGAGCACTGATTTCTCATTGCAGGTGATAAATCTTCCTAATGGCATTGCGAACACATTGTTCTAAATTTAAATATTTTAATATTAATTTATTCTAATACCACCTCAAGTGAATAATGAACAACACTGTCAGCTGAATTAAAAAGAGAAAAGAGTTCAATCATTGTAGATTCTGGATATTAGCCCTTTGTCAGATGAGTAGGTTGCGAAAATTTTCTCCCATTTTGTAGGTTGCCTGTTCACTCTGATGGTAGTTTCTTTTGCTGTGCAGATGCTCTTTAGTTTAATTAGATCCCATTTGTCAATTTTGGCTTTTGTTGCCATTGCTTTTGGTGTTTTAGACATGAAGTCCTTGCCCATGCCTATGTCCTGAATGGTAATGCCTAGGTTTTCTTCTAGGGTTTTTATGGTTTTAGGTCTAACGTTTAAGTCTTTAATCCATCTTGAATTGATTTTTGTATAAGGTGTAAGGAAGGGATCCAGTTTCAGCTTTCTACATATGGCTAGCCAGTTTTCCCAGCACCATTTATTAAGTAGGGAATCCTTTCCCCATTGCTTGTTTTTCTCAGGTTTGTCAAAGATCAGATAGTTGTAGATACGCGGCGTTATTTCTGAGGGTTCTGTTTTGTTCCATTGATCTATATCTCTGTTTTGGTACCAGTACCATGCTGTTTTGGGTACCGTAGCCTTGTAGTATAGTTTGAAGTCAGGTAGTGTGATGCCTCCCGCTTTGTTCTTTTGGCTCAGGATTGACTTGGCGATGCAGGCTCTTTTTCAGTTCCAGATGAACTTTAAAGTAGTTTTTTCCAATTCTGTGAAGCAAGTCATTGGTAGCTTGATGGGGATGGCATTGAATCTGTAAATTACCTTGGGCAGTATGGCCATTTTCATGATATTGATTCTTCCTACCCATGAGCATGGAATGTTCTTGCATTTGTTTGTATCCTCTTTTATTTCCTTGAGCAGTGGTTTGTAGTTCTCCTTGAAGAGGTCCTTCACATCCCTTGTAAGTTGGATTCCTAGGTATTTTATTCTCTTTGAAGCAATTGTGAATGGGAGTTCACTCATGATTTGGCTCTCTGTTTGTCTGTTGTTGGTGTATAAGAATGCTTGTGATTTTTGTACATTGATTTTGTATCCTGAGACTTTGCTGAAGTTGCTTATCAAACAAACAACCCCATCAAAAAGTGGGCAAAGGACATGAACAGACACTTCTCAAAAGAAGACATTTATGCAGCCAAAAAACACATGAAAAAATGCTCACCATCACTGGCCATCAGAGAAATGCAAATCAAAACCGCAATGAGATACTATCTCACACCAGTTAGAAGGGCAATCATTAAAAAGTCAGGAAACAACAGGTGCTGGAGAGGATGTGGAGAAATAGGAACACTTTTACACTGTTGGTGGGACTGTAAACTAGTTCAACCATTGTGGAAGTCAGTGTGGCGATTCCTCAGGGATCTAGAACTAGAAATACCATTTGACCCAGCCATCCCATTACTGGTTATATACCCAAAGGACTATAAATCATGCTGCTATAAAGACACATGCACACGTATGTTTATTGCGGCATTATTCACAATAGCAAAGACTTGGAACCAACCAAAATGTCCAACAATGATAGACTGAATTAACAAAATGTGGCACATATACACCATGGAATACTATGCCACCATAAAAAATGATGAGTTCGTGTCCTTTGTAGGGACATGGAGGAAATTGGAAATCATCATTCTCAGTAAACTATCGCAAGAACAAAAAACCAAACACCGCGTATTCTCACTCATAGGTGGGAATTGAACAATGAGAACACATGGACACAGGAAGGGGAACATCACACTCTGGGGACTGTTGTGGGGTGGGGGGAGGGGGGAGGGATAGCATTGGTAGATATACCTAATGCTAGATGACGAGTTAGTGGGTGCAGCACACCAGCATGGCACATGTATACATATGTAACTAACCTGCACATTGTGCACATGTACCCTAAAACTTAAAGTATAATAATAATTAATTAATTTTAAAAAAAGAGAAAAGAAAAATCATAGGCAAATCCTTGCAAATTCTCTAATCCAGGAGTGAAGCTAGGGGAGAGTAAAAACCCATCAAAACTCATTTCTTTTTTAGTTGGTAGTGATACTCAAAATCATAATAAGTATAAATGATGGCTAAAATTTTAGTATTGTGAGAAAGGCAACAGCTTAGCTTTCCATTTCTTTGGGAGTCTGAGTTTTGGCCATTAGTAGAGCACAGTAATGGTAACTATTACCAAGCGTTTACTACGTGGCTGGTACGTTTCAAGTACTTTGCACAGATGATCTCACTTAATCCTAACAGTCACGTGGGCAGGTGCTTTTTAATCCCCATTTTATACGTGAGAAAACTGAGGTTCCAACGACTTAACACACAATTTAAGTAAATGTTGGAATAGGTTACATCTGGTTTAACACCTGGGTTCTGAACCCCAGCCTCTGGTGATAGGAGCTTGTTTGCACCATGAAGAGAATCAAACTACCGCAGCAGAGCCTGCTTGTGTTCCCAGAGAGACAGTGGAAAAGAGAGCACATGGTGTAATCCAATATTCTGAAACTCAGAATTCTGAGCATCTCGGAAAAATGACCTGTAACTGCTTTGGGGAAGGTCAGTCAAACGCTGGAGCAGAATTGCCCAGAGAGTTCCTTCCGTGGGCCAGCCACAGTGGCTCACGCCTATAATCCCAGCACTTTGGGAGGCTGAGGCAGGCAGATCACCTGAGGTCAGGAGTTCAAGACCAGCCTGGCCAACATGGTGAAACCCCCTCTCTACTAAAAATACGAAAATTAGCTGGGCGTGGTGGTGGGCACCTGTAATGGCAGCTATCAGGAGGCTGAGGCAGGGAGAATCGCTTGAACCCGGGAGGCAGAGGTTGCAGTGAGCCGAGATCATGCCATTGCACTCTAGCCTGGGCAGCAGAGTGAGACTCCTTTGCAAAAGAAAAAAAGAAAAAGTTCCCTCAGTGACTGGAAGGAGTGAATGAGAGTACAGAGCACTGCCACCTTGAAACCTCATCGGAAACTGAAACGACCCTCTTCAGAGCTGCAATCATAGTCTAGTGTTCCTATTTGACAGCCAGAATGAGTGGTAAGCAGTTCCTTGAAGTCCATGGATGGTATGAGCAATCCAACACAGCTAGCTGTTCCGTATTGTGGAGCTGACACACCCAGGAAAGCGGCAGTTTTTCAAATGTTGGGCCTCCTGTGTCATTTATCAATGTATTGCCTCTCAGCTCAAGATGTACCCTTTAACATACGCTCTGTGATAAGCAACAAGATTCCTTTAAGTATTTCTCCTTTAAAGTCAGTAATACAATGAAAAGGTATATCTTACTTACTATATACATGTATACACATGCATATATGTATATAATGAGCTGAAAATGTGAAGCTTTTTCGGTAGAGGGCACAGGAGGGTCACTGCAGGAGGAAGTCTGCTGCTGCCTCCGGGGTGGTTCAGGAGTTGGTGTGAGTGTGATGGCTTTTGGTGGAACCTGCCCCAGCCTCAGGCCCTGAGTGTCATCCCTCTGCAAGCTTGCAGCCTTGGTGTAGCAATGACCTTTCTGCAGTGGTCTCAAATGAAAACCAGAGCCCTCACTGCCTGTGCGCTCTTAAGAGCTCCTGCCCCTGCTGGCCCTGGACTCCCACAGCATGTCCAGGCCACCAGGCCTGATGGCCCGCTCCCCAGCTTGCACACTGGAGAGTGCCCTGATTTACCCAGCAACTCCAGATGAGCTCCATGTCAACCATCTCTGCTGTCTACTAGGCTGAACCTCACCTAAACTAGGGGAACTCTTTCAAATTTGTCCTTCCTTGAATGCTCTCCCTCAGTCCCAAGGAACCATATAAAGACTTCCTTCTCTCCTTTTTTTTTTTTTTTGTTTGTTTTGAAACAGGGTCTCACCCTGTTGCCCAGGCTCAAGTGCAGTGGTACAATCATAGCTCACTGCAGCCTTGACCTCCCAGGCTCAAGTGATCCTCCCATCTCAGCCCTCCCCCAACCCTACCCCATAGCTAGGACTATGGGCACGCGCCACCATGCCCAGCTAATCTTTTTAAAACGTTTTTTTGTAGAGACGGGGTTTCACTATGTTTCCTGGGCTGGTTTCAAATTCCTGGGCTCAAGCAGTCCTCCCACCTTGACCTCCCAGAGCGCTAGGATTATAGGTGTGCGACACCACAGCCAGCCTTTCCTCATATCTTACAGTCTCATAAATTCCTCCATTTAATGATTGGACCTAAACGGCTACACGTTCCACAGGCCACCAACCTGAACCAAATTACGCTATTGTGGTGGGAAATTGGATAATGAAACTAAATGTCACTAGATATGAACCAAAATGGAAAGAGAATTGCCTGCAATGCTGAATAGGAAAATTCATGCTGCGCTCACTGAGGGTGTGGGGTGCGGTATTAATGGAGAGTCCTGAGGACGGGACCCATAACGGGGGTAAGGATGGAGTCTGGCATAAGTTTATGATACGAGTTTTAAAAAAGGATGTTGGTGGAAGAATCCTAGCAGGATAATGGCCCAACATAATACTGGCAAGTGAGATACAGACTGGCTCACTTTCTTTGTGCCAGGAGGAGAGGATATGGAAACTGTCATAAACAGGGAAAATACAGAAATCATTTACTATATGTGTAACTTTTGCCGTATTTTGTTGTTTTTGTTAAAATGGACATTTTCATAATAAGTGGAAAATTTAGACATCATTACTCAGGTCTTATGGCCGTGGTACCCAATCATAATCTGGGGCCTTTTGCCAACATAAGGTTTAGAATCAAGGTACAAAGCAGTTCCTTTAAAGTTGACACTGAAAACGTGAAGCTACATTCAAAACACTGCAAGGAAAGCCAATGACAGCTTTCTCGTCTTTCAGATGACCCTGTCTTTATCTGTTTTGGCCAGATGCAAAATCAAATAAGAAGTTTATAAGGTAAATGGGCAACAGCCCCAAGCTTAAAAGCTGAGGCCTATCCTTTGATAGAATCATGAAATTGAATCAAAGCCTGTGCCTATGCTCTAGAGGAGTGACATTTTCTGCACTAACTAAAGTGCAAATAGCTCGGAGGAAACAGCATGGAGTGTGTCAAACAGGAGTCCCCACCCTCCATGGGTCTGACATGCTGAGAGGCACTGCTGTTGGACAAGGTGAGCCAAAGTCAATTGCTGGAGGTTTTCTCTTCTTTATTATTTTTGTTCTATTTTTGGCTTTATAGGTGACTTTAGGAACAGATTCTCTTTAATCTCAATTTAGTTTGTATAAGATACTTATTTGTTATCAAGGAGAGGCATTGGTGGTTGTAAACTAGGATGTCTCAAAAAAAAAAAAAAGTTAGCGTACCACACCCTAGCTTAAAACTTCTTTGTCCACCCATCCCCTCCAGGATAACAGTAGAAACTCCTTAACAACATGCAATGCCCTCCACAATCTAGTCCTTGGCTGTCTTTCTGTTTTATCTCCTGCCATTGCAGCTGTGCACTTTACAGCCTAGAAAAGCTAAAGTCCTATAGTTCCCCTCCAAGCTTCTTGGGGCTTCCATGGCCTGGTTTAGGGTGTACCCTTGTGCAAAATGCTTTCCCTCCATCTGTCTATGGCCTACCCAGTGGTGCGCTGTTTAGTGTTTAACAACTGACTCTAGCGGAGAAAAAAGGTTGATGTGTAGAGTTTGCCTCTGAGGTATAAATATTCATACCACTGCTGACTTCAAGCTACAAATCTGGTCACTGAATGCAGAAATGGGAAAAAATGTGTTGGATCTCGCAAGCCAGTATAAGTGGCTTCAGGCCACCTTCGACTCCACCTCTCCTTTAAGATTCCACTGAGGCATCAACTCCTCCTCCTCCCTGGTTACAATCTTCTCTGGCTCCGAGCCTCTACTGGGTGCTCCCATGGCCCCCTGTGCATTTCTCTGCCATTGCACTTTAGTACACTAACTAAATATGTTTGTTTCTCTCTCTGGTTCTTCCTCGTATTCACCTCCATGGCATCACATTTTTTCCTCTGTGATTTTGGCACCCAGCACTGTGCCTGGCACATAGTTGTCACCTGATATGTTTATTGAATGAAGAAGCAGAGCTCCTCATGGTCAAAATGATGTAATTTTTTCTTCTTCAGCTACATTATATTGTCTGGTGTTCTTAGAAGTAAGCCTAACCCTAACAACTTATTGGAATGGCTCATCTGGACTTACAATAAATTAAGCTGTTGTATGTTTGGCTGGGTGAGTTTGGCTGGGATGGGAAATGGTGGGAGAGCTGGTTTATCCTGTTGGGGTTTTTTGGGGACAAAGGATCCCCAGTGCAGATTTCATTGCAGAGTAACGCCAATAATTACAATGCATTTTAACCTCCTTGGTTTTCATTTTCTAATACCATGTCATCATGTGGGCAGGTGAGGACCTTGCAGTTGACTTTGCACTTTCTATCTGAACTTCAGGTTTACAAAGTTTAAAACTTTCCCATAGGTTTTCTAGTTCTCTGTGCTTGGCCCAAGCCCTTCCAGCAACTGCCAGGTGCAGTCACATGGAAAGTGTGACTTAGGAAGGCACGCTGGCATTAGCAAGAAAACTCAGATTCAAAAATAACCATGACTTCACATCTTACAGTGCATATCATAGAACTGTAGAATTTTAAAGGTGAGGCTGACCCACTAGTGAAGCCACTTACCTCAGGAACAAATTTCCTAGTGTGCAGTTATGCTTGGTAGGCAGCTGCTCTCCTAGCCTTGGCACTAAAGGCCCTCCATTTCTCAACCTTAACCTTTTAATTACTACAATGGCTTCACCACAGTGTGTGGCACTCTCAGGGTGCAATTGGGCCACAATTGGCTAATTGTAACAATTATAGCGAAAAAGGAATACAGTTGGCTCATTGTGGCATTTTACTCAGGGTAATCACCTTTTCTGCTTCCTAATTCCTAATTTATTTTTTCTACCCCCAATTAAAAATCAGAACTCCCTTTTACAGCTTTTCTGTTTACAGTGAAAGACAATTAAGTCCTCAGTACCAGAAGCCTAAATCTACCCTGAGATCTAATGCTCACTTTGCAGCACCCAGATCTCTAATTGGTGGATCCTCTGGATTTATCCCAGGACATTTAGAGACTCGGCCTTTTGTTAACACAGACTTCAGGGTTAATGTTTGGAAGACGCTGTCCAGCTTCACATTGCTGTAGAGCAGACATTCTTGATGTTTGTCATGCATCAGAACCACCCAGGATACTTAAAAAAAAAAAAAATATATATATATATATATATAGCTGCCTATCCCACCCCCATTCTGAATCAGGTGGTCTGCGGTGCAGCCAGGGTGAATCTTACACGCAGCTGGGCTTGGCGAGTTCCGCTAAGGGGTTCCTAGATTGGCTGCTACCCTCTGCTTTGCTCTCTCTCCTAGCTAGCCATCCCTGTGGCACTACATCCGATTCCTTCTGTTCCCTTCTTGGCCTAAACCAGACTCTCTTTTCTTCCTCTCTATCAGTTTTCATCTCGAAAGGATTGGCTGGGGGTTCTAATTTCCCTTTTTTCATGACTCAAGGAGTCAGACATTTCTTTCAGATTCACATCTTTCCCCTTATCTATCATCAACACCAACATCCATTCAAAATGGGCATAAGTAAAAATTCCGTTTGTGTCTCAACTCACATCTGAAATAGATGATTACTGTGACTAAATTGAGATATTCAAGGAACATTCACTGAGTACATAGGACACACCAGTTCCTGGGCTAGCCTTGGGGTTATAAAGATGAATAAGAATGGTTGGCTCCTGCTTTCAAGGAGCATAATGGTGAAAAGGAAAACAACCAATAATTATAAAGCACCATGACAGGGAAGGAGAGTTGCCACTGGAATGCTTAGAAGCAGCATTATCACACTGTTGGTTTTTAAGCACGATTTCTTCCTTGGAAACTGAGGAAGACAATCTGATTCTAACAGAAACTGCCATAATCAATCCAAACCATGGATCTTTTCCTCATTTTCAGAAATCTTTGCAGTAATTGAACTGGTGGAGTAAAAGGAGAAGAAATATTTTAAATGGATTAGGAAGATTTTTTTTTTTTTTGAGATGGAGTCTCGCTCTGTTGCCCAGGCCGGAGGGCAGTGGCGCAATCTCAGCTCACTGCAAGCTCTGCCTCCTGGGTTCACGCCATTCTCCTGCCTCAGCCTCACGAGTAGCTGGGACTACAGGCGCTCACCACCAGGCCCAGCTAATTTTTGGTATTTTTAGTAGAGATGGGGTTTCACCGTGTTAGCCAGGATGGTCTTGATCTCCTGACCTCATGATCTGCCCTCCTCGGCCTCCCAAAGTGCTGGGATTACAGGCGTGAGCCACTGTGCCCGGCCAGGAAGATTCTTGAAATACTCGAAATACTCGTTTGCCTTTTTAGGCAAGTGCACAGATGAATTCCAAAAGATTATTTTATTCCAGTTATATAAGCATATCACCATGACTTGGTGACCATTGATATGTGAGAAATAGCACATTGGAAGACACAGTATTTTGATCTTCTGCCTCTGTGAATGTATTTGTTAAGGTAGCATAGGCAAACCACGTGTTGGGAAAAGTTATTTGCAATATATGCATCTGATAAAGGACTGAAATTCAGAATATATAAAACTACAATAAGAAAAAGACAACTTAATAAAAAACGGGGAGTGGACTTTAACGAGTTTGCTAAAGAGGGTATCCAAATATCTAACAAGTATATGAAAAGCTGCTCAACATCTTTACTCATTAAGGAAAATGCTAAATAAAATCACAATGAAATGCCACTTCATACTCACCAGAATGTCTAAAATTAGAAAAACTGACAATATCAAGTATTGGCAAGCATATGAAGCAACTGGAATTCTACATTATTTGTGAGATTGTAAATTGGTGCAACTCTTTGGAAAACTGGCAAAATCCATTAACGCTAAATTTGTAACAACTCTGACCCAGCAGTTCCTCTTCTGTGTGCATACCTGTGCCAGATCCTGATTTATGGTCTCTCAACAATGACTTGACCCTTTCTGACTGCTCTGTGAGCCTTTAAAATATTTTTAAGGCTGGGCACGGTGGCTCACGCCTGTAATCCCAGCACTTTGGGAGGCCGAGGCAGGTGGATCACGAAGTGAAGAGATCGAGACCATCCTGGCCAATGTGGTGAAACCTCATCTCTACTAAAAATACAAAAAGGGTAGCTGGGTGTGGTGGCGAGCACCTGTAGTCCCAGCTACTCGAGAGGCTGAGGCAGAAGAATCACTTGAACCCGGGAGGCGGAGGTTACAGTGAGCTGAGATTGCACCAGTGCACTCCAGCCTGGGTGACACAGCGAGACTCTGTCTCAAAAAAAAAAAAAAATATATATATATATATACATATATATATATATATATATAATATTTTCTTTGCCAGTTGGTACTGAAGCTTGGTCAGGTGAGGTTGCTGATGAGACATTGCAGGAGAAGAGTTTTGCTTCCTGGTTCCGCTGTGCTTACTCCCCAGGCTCCTGCAAGGTGCTCCTCTAGCATCCAGCTCCTGCAGCACCTGCAGCCTCGGCCGTGCACAGCTCCTAAAATACACATGGCTTCTCCAGCAACTGCAGCATGTGCAGCCTCTCCAGCAGCCAGCTCCTGTAGCACTTGGGGCTTCTCCAGTTCTCAGCTCCTGCAGTGCATGGCAGCCAGCAGCATCCAGTGGCTTATAGCTTCTCTGGGTTACTCTTTCAGTCAGTTTTGTAGTAAGTGTCTCAGGTACAACAATGCCCTCTGAAGAGCTGTCTCTGGCACCCTAGATGATGAATTTCCAGAAACTTCCAGAGGGCTATTCCAGAAGATTCCACCAGTACAGCACTATAGTGACTTCTCTATTATTCGGCGAACAATGGCTATGCACTCTCCAATAAGATCTTTGCAGTAATTGAACTGGCGGAGTAAAAGGAGAACAAATATTTTAAATGGATTAGGCCTGAGGCAGGGGTTGGAGGTGGGTCTTTCTTGAGAGTTCTCTCTCATCCCTAGGGCTGGTAATTGCTCCTTATCTCTGTTCTTCCTGCATTCTTTAGCTTTCTCTTTCTTACTAGCCAATCCCTTGTTATTCCTGTTATAAACATTTGTTATATTAAACTTTTCCTATTCAAGTTATTACATAGTTTTGCTCTTCTGATTGGACTGATACAATACCCAAGAAAAATGTATGTGTCCACCAAAAGACATGTCCAAGAATGTTCATAGAATCTTTATTCATAATAGCCCCAAACTAGAAACTACCCAAATGTCCATCAACAGCAGAATGGATACATTGCTGTATATTCATACAGTGGAATACTACTCAGCAATACAAAGGATGGAACTACTTGTTGATAAATCTCATAGACAGTATTAGGTGAAAGAAGCCAGATACAAAAGGGTATATACTGTAAGACTTCATGTATACAAAGAGATACAATTTGAGAAGAGATATAACAACTCTATGTCAATGGACGTCAGAATAGTGGTTACATCTAGGGACAGGGATGTATATTGACTAAGAAGGGACACAAGGGATCTTTTTGGATTATTTGATGTTGTGTTTTGATCAAAGGTTGTTACATAGGTATATATTTATGCAAAAAGGTCATCAATTTGTGTATTTTATATTATGTCCTAATTTTAGAACTAAAACTTCAGAAAGTAACATAAATTAAAAGTCACAGAAAAGAGCTTCAGGTACAGAGCTGTGTAGACTAGAGCTGCCCTAACAGATTCCCTTGGTCCTTTCCATCTCAACGACATGAATATGGTACTTTACAACCTCCCTGAGGCCAATGACTGCAAAGGGGTCTCTGTAGAGTTCAGGGGGAAATGCTGAGGGAGGCAGTAAGAAACTGAGTGATTTTTCTCATGCACATAGCACAGTTGGTGCTGGAAATGGAAATGCCTCAGCCTTCTACCCTAAGCCAGTGTACTTTCTGCACATCATGAGACCTTTCAGAAGGCTTCTTTCTAAAGATGGTTGAGATGGGTAATGGAGTGTTTTATAGACTATGGCAGAGAGTTTCATACGAGGAAAGCCAACAGAATGATTTTTGAAATAAAATCCTGTCGCAGTTGGTTGGCACTGACACGAATTTTTTAAAATAATGTCTTCCTGACTGCAGTGAGAAAGACTGCAGGGGAGTTGGTGGAAGGGGGAACATGTGCCAATCTGGGGGCTGTATGAAATTGTTTCACTTCAAAACAGAGCAGAAATATGAGAAATCAAAATAGTTTATCCCCTGTTCCCTGCCTTCCTACTCTTCTTGGGCAGGATTCAAAGGAGAAAAAGCTCAGCAAAAAAGCAATCTCCAGGGACTGGTATTGGGATTAGCAACTGCCAGGAAGACAAATAATTCTCACCTTAGAAATCCTGGTTGTTCTTCCTGAACACGTGAGAAAACGGGCTCCCTGTGCTTGCATAGAAAAGTGAAGATTTCTCGAGCTTGGGGTAAGATTCTCAGCCCTGGGCATCACTGCAAGGGAACCATGTAGTTCCTGCTTACTCTGCAGTTTTTACCCCGAGACTGAAGGAGTTCGCTCAGGACCCAGCCTATCAATCTATTGATTTGGGGAGAGGAGAGAGTAAAAGTCATTTATCCTTTCTCTGTAATCCTTTAACTGTACTTTTCTCTTGACGTTTGTTCCAGTTGTTAATTTATTGCCTTGCAGCTCCAAACCGTCCTTTTTGTCTTGCTTTGTGATCCTGAAGCTAGAATCTGCACATTACCGCATTACCGGCTCTTCTTTGACCGGCGGGTTTGGGTTTGGTGTATGGCGCGGGGAGGGGGGGGATTGTCTGCCAATAGAGGGCGCTGCAGGGAGCCTGCAAAGCTGAAAGGAAGGGAGGGGTCACTTTCTTTCCGTTTCTCACACAAATATGAGCAAATTGGAGTGTGGAGGGTCTCAGGAGCGTTCATTTCAGTGGTGACAGTTCTCAGGGTGCTGTGACGAGCACCCTCTGGCAGCCTGTTTCTTCTTTCCTGCAGTAGCCACGCCCTCGCTTCCAGAGTCTTTCCTTACTTACCTTTCCCTCAGTCAAGGGTGGTAGCAGCCTTCTGTAATTTCTACCTCAATTATATCTTAAACTTTTCCTTTATGCTTTTTAGGAGTTAATCATCCTTTGTCTGGTTATCAGTTCTTTATACTGGATTTCCCCTGTTTAAATTACTAATGAATCCCAGTGAAGAAAAGCCTGGGACCCAATGGCTTCACTGCTGAATTCTACCAAACATTTAAAGAACCACTAATACCAATCCTACTCAAACTAATGCAAAAAATAGAGAAGGAGTGTACTTCCAAACTCGTTCTAAGAGGCCAGTATTACTCTGATACTAAAACCAGACAAAGATACATTTTTAAAAAACCACAAAACACTACAGGCCAATACCTATGAATATTGCTGCAAAAATCCTCAACAAAATAATAGCAAACCAAATTCAACAATATATTAGAAAAATCATTTGTCATGACCAAGTGGGATTTATCCCTGGGATGCAAGGATTGTTCAACATACACAAATCAATCAATATGATACATCAACAGAATGAAGGATAAAAACCATATCATTTCAATTGATGCTGAAAAATTATTTGATAAAATTCAACATGCCTTCACGATAAAAGTCCTCAAAATACTGGAGATAAAATATACCTCAACATAAAAAAAGCCACGTGACAGACCAACAGCTATATTATATTAAATGGGGAAAAACAAAACCTTTTCTCTAAGATCTGGAACATGACAAGGATGCCCACTTTCATCACTGTTATTCAACGTCATACTGGAAGTCCTAGCTAGAGCAATCGGATAAAGAAAGGGCATCCAAATTGGAAAGACAAAAGTCAAACTATCCTTGTTTGCAGATGATGTGATCTTTTATTTGGAAAAACCTAAAGACTTCACAAAAAAAAAACTATTAAAACTGATAAATTCAGTAAAGCTGTAGGATACAAAATCAACATACAAAATGCCAACAATGAACAATCTGAAAAAGTAATTTTCTTTTCTTTTTTTTTTTTGAGACAGAATCTCTGTCGCCCATGCTGGAGTACAGTGACGCAATCTCAGCTCACTGCAATCTCTGCCTCCTGGGTTTAAACAATTCTTGTGCCTCAGCCTCCTGAGTAGCTGGGATTACAGGTATGTGCCACCACACCTGGCTAATTTTTTTGCATTTGTAGTGGAGACAAGGTTTCACCATGTTAGCCAGGCTGGTCT
Source organism: Homo sapiens (assembly GCF_000001405.40). Taxonomy (NCBI): domain Eukaryota; kingdom Metazoa; phylum Chordata; class Mammalia; order Primates; family Hominidae; genus Homo; species Homo sapiens. Next base: position 22,450,993 of record NC_000007.14, on the reverse strand, counting down.
TGAACTCCTGACCTCAGGTGATCTGCCTACCTTGGCCTCCCAAAGTGCTGGGATTGCAAGCATGAGCCACTGTGCCGGGCCCCCATTTTCAGTAGTCACAAAATTAAATATCTAGGAATTAACCAAAGAAGTGAAAGATCTTTATAATGAAAACTGTAAAACACTGATGAAAGAAATTGAGGAGGACACCCCAAAATAGAAAAATATTCAATGTTCATGGATAGGAATAATCAATATTGTTAAAATGTCCATACTACCCAAAGCAGTGTACAGATTTAATTTAATCTCTATCAAAATACCAATGACATTCTTCACAGAAATAGAAATAAACTAAAATTTATATGGAACCACAAAAGACCCATGGCCAAAGCCATCCTAAGCAAAAAAAAAAAAACAAAACTACAGGAATCACATTACCTAAGTAACCAAAAGAGCATGGTACTTGCATAAAAACAGACACATAGTCCAGTGAAACAGAATAGAGAACCCAGAAACAAATTCAGACACCTACAGTGAACTTATTTTCAACAAGGGTGCCAAGAACATATACTGGGAAAAAGTCAGTCTCTTCAATAAATGGTGCTAAGAAAACTGGATATCCATATGCAGAAGAATGAAACTAGACCCCTATCTCTCACCATATACAAAACTCAAATCAAAATGGATTAGACATTTAAATCTAAGATCCCAAGTATGAAACTACTACAAAGAAACATTGAAGAAACTCTCCAGGACATTGGTCTGGGCAAAAGTTTCTTGAGTAATACTCCACAAGCACTTGAGTGATACTCCACAAGCACTTGAGTAATACTCCACAAGCACAGGCAACCAAAGCAAAAATGGACAAATAGGATCACATCAAGTTAAAAAGCTTCTGTACTGCAAAGGACACAACAAAAAGACAACCCACAGAATGGGAGAAAATATTTGCAAGTTACCTATCTGACAAGGGGTTAATATCAGAATATAAAAGGAGCTCAAACAACTCTATAGGAAAAAAATCTAATCCAATTTTCAAATGGGCAAAAGATCTGAATAGACATTTCTCAAAAGACGCACAAATGGCAGACAGGCATATGAAAAGGTGCTCGACATCACTGATCATCAGAGAAATGCAAATCGAAACTACAATGAGATGTCATCTCACCCCAGTTAAAATGGCTTATATCCAAAAGACAGGCAATAACAAATGCTGGCAAAGATACGGAGAAAAGCAAACCCTTGTACCCTGTTGGTGGGAATGTAAATTAGTACAACCACTATGAAGAACAGTTTGGAGATTCCTCAAAAAACTAAAAACAGAGCTACCATAGGATCCAGCAATCCCACTGCTGGGTATATACCCAAAAGAAAGGAAATTACTATATCAAAGAGAGATATCTGCACTGTCATGTTTTTTGAAGCACTGTTCACAATAGCCAAGATTTTGGAAGCAACCTATGAGTCCATCAACAGATGAATGGATAAAATGTGGTACTTACATACAATGGAGTACTATTCAGCCATAGTAAAGGATAAGATCCTGTCATTTCCAACAGCATGAATGTAACTGGAGATCATTATATTAAATGAAATAAGCCAGTCACAGAAAGATAAACATTGCATGTTCTCACTTATTTGTGGGATCTGAAAATCAAAACAATTGAACTCATGGAGATAGAGTGTAGAAGGATGGTTACCAGAGGCTGGGAAGGGTAGTGTTTGGGATGGAGATCAGGGGGTGGGGATGGTTAATGGGTACAATAAAAATAGAAAGAATGAATAAGACCTACTATTTGATAATACAACAGGGTGACTATAGTCAATAATAATTTAATCATACATTTAAAAAATCTGAAAGAGTGTAATCGGATTGTTTGTAACACAAAGGATAAATGCTTGGGATGGGTACCCCATTCTCCATTATGTGATTATCACATGTTGCATACCTATATCAAAACATCTCATGTACTCCATAAATACATACACCTACTATATACCCCTAAATTAAAAACTTAAAAAATTAAAAAAATTACAAATGGTACTTGTCTCTTACCTTACCTAGTCCCTACCAGATACAATGCTTGGCATGTCTAACTTGCTCTTGCTTGCTTGTTCGTGTGTCCCATGGCCCCTCAAGGACCTTCTGTGCTTTTGGCTCCCAGGGAAGCAGCCTTCCAGCTGGGATATGCTAGATTGGGTGTATCTCAGAGAATTAATTTCCATATCCCAGACTTCCACATGTACTCTTTCCTAATAAGATTGGCCTCAGAACATGCCTGCAGGGAGATATCATGAGAAACATTCTTTTTTCCCATCTTGCTTTCTGTGTTCAAAAAAAAAGTATACCTCTCCTGATTTTATGCTGCATTGTCTAAAGTTGTCATATTTATGTTGTTCTGAATAATTTCTTCATAATTTTAATGATAAGCCAATCCAGAAGAAAAATTTTAACATCTAAAGTCTTAAGATTATAGCAAATTAAAAAAATTAATTTGACTAATATTATTACTACACAGAATTATAATAGAATGATAACATATTTTTAAGCGTGAGGTCCCTTAAAAATGAGGTAATATTGGGGAAATGAAATGGAAATATGAGTTCAAGGAAAAAAGTTCTATTAAAAGATCATTCATGTATTTTAAAATTTTAGATGATAAATATATCATTTCTATCTATATTCCTTTGGATAATGGAAAAATATAATTGGTATCTATATTCCTTTGGCCATATAGAAATGCATTCATTAACATTTTGTTGTAAAGTGTCAATATTGACTACGTGCCATAATTACATCTTTGCAACTATTTTAACACGGGAAGGGAAACTTGAAGTCTCATCTGAAAAAGGTTCAAGAGGATATGTAGGTTTCTAAAATTGTTTTAGGAGATATGAGAGTAAACAATGTTGCCTCGCTATGATAAACCATAGATGAATAATGACTAGATGAATGAATAAGCAAACCAGCAACTGAAAGCAAGAAATCCCTTCTAGGGTAAATACAACTGAAAGCAAGAAATCCCTTCTAGGGTAAATGAAACCAATATGGGTTGCATGACGTTTATCCAATGCCTTCATGTCTTTGCATCTCAATTGCTCATCTGTAAAAAGGAGATGGTGATAACTGTTTGTGAGCCTTAGATGAGGTCATGCATGTAAATGTGCTTTGCACCTGGCAGGTCCTCAGTAAGTGTTTGCCGAAGTACTAGGTGGCAATGCAATTTGGGTATATCCATCTCTTCCTGTCCTAAGGGATGCTGGTCAGTGTACCAGAAGTAAAACAAATTGGCTTCTATGGCTGCACACCAGGACAGGTCTTGATTACATGAAGGACCTTACTAAACACCCTTCCATCCTAACAAAAATATGTGGAGCATTTGACCATTGCACAGGGATGAGTTCCCACTTTACTCCCACAAATGTGATTTGTGTCAGCTTTGCCCTACAAATGATGTGTTTGTGGACATTCCATCTTTGGAATCTATTAAAACAGTCATTGTCAAGTATTTATTTAGAGTCAATAGAACTACTATGTATTATATAAAATATAAAACACAGGCAGCATGCTTCATGCCAAAGTGGTTACTGAATCTACTCTTTTATAAATATACAATATTGACTGATCTTCCAACCAACTGAATTACAAGCTGACCAGTACACACACAAGAAGTCATTTCTTTATAACAGTTGATGACAGGCCTCTGTCACCAAACTGTATTGGAAGTTGGCCTGGCATTTAATAAGCAATGGTGACCAATTAAGGAAGTGAAATGCTTGTGCAAAGTGCCTAATATAATAAGGTTTTTGCCCATTACTGAGACATCAGTGATGTCCCAGAAGAGAAAGTGACTCTGGTTACAAAGTGGAACCAGGCCATGCTAAATTAGAGCTGCTTCTATACTAAGGCTACCAGTCATCTTTAACATCAAGAGTGCTCACTGAGCTCTTCAGACATTTACCCTAAAACAAGAGATGAATTTTAAAATGAGTCTTTTGATGCTCTCTGGAGAGCAAACCCTTAAGCTATATTCCTATAAAAATTAAGAATCTCATTCCAGACCCCAATTAAACTAAAAAATATTGTAGAGAGAGACAGAAAAATCAAGTTTCTACAATGTGCCAGCCACTGGCTAAGTGTTTTCCCAGATACTGTCTCATTACTCTTCACAGCACCATTGTGGGGTGGGCAGCATTCCTTCCATTTCACAGATGAAAATACTGAGGTTCAGGGAGGGTTCAACTTGGGACCAGGCTTGAGTCGTTTACCTGAAACAAAACCCACATTCTTTCCCCTTCACCTTATTAACTCTAATCTTGGCTGAAAAAAGTGAGTGCTCAGAAAAATAAGGGTTATAGAAGTGAGATTAGCATTCATATTCCAATGGAAGTGTCCATCAGAGTGGTTCTAAATCTTGGCTACGCATTGGAATTGCCAGTATTCCAGGGTTTGCACAACTTGCTTGTAAGAAATCTTAGGGCAGTGTTTATCAACCTATAGCAGGCTTCAGAACCACCTGGAGGTTTGTTAAAACAGATTTTTGGGCCCTGTCCCCAAAGTTCCCGATTCTGTCTTTCTGGGGTTGGCCTAAGAATCTGTATTTCTAACAAATTTCCTGTGGCTCCAGGTTGGGGACCTCACTTTGTGAACCACTGGCATAGGGCATTGTCTTGCAAAGCGCAGTCCTGTCCCAGAGTATCCAGGTTGGAATTAGGGACTCAAATGCAGGTTCTTGGCCCTGGCCCAAATCTATAGGATCAGATCTCAGAGGGTAGGGACCGGGGATCTGCCTCATAAACAAGTGTTCCAGATGATTCTTTCACTTGCAGAAGCATGAGAACTGTCATCCAATGGGTCTTTGAACTCCTTCATCTCATATACAGCCCAGCTTTTAAATACTGTCACATTTTGAACGACAACTGCACAGCAGAACTGCATTTACAGTTGACCATTAGCTGCTGCTGTGACTTGCTTCTGGTTATTTAAAATGCCCACAAGGGATCTCTTAGCCCATGCTTCATAAATAAAGCCCAAAGAAGAAATATTTATTCATTCATTTTTTTAAAAACTCTCCAGTTGTCAAGTTTCCGACTCATCAGGGGGAAAGACTGATTAGTGGTTGTTTCATGCTTCCCCACACAAGTGAAATCAGGAGGAGAAAAGCATTCTATAAAAGAGCTTATTTCCCTTCCTCTTCGCCTCTCCTGCCTCCTCATTTACCCTTAGCTATTCAGTTTCATCAGCCCTTGTGAGAATATAGCTCTGACTTTGAGTTTAAAGGGGTTGGGCTGCTTGGAGAGCAGTGCCCTCCCTGCTGCTCTTGCATCTGGGAAGCTGGATCACCACGGGGACTTCCCCCAAGCCGGAAAAGGTCGACCAAATCCCCATTCAGAGGTGGAGGGCGGGAAGCCAGGCCCAGGCTCGGATGTACCCTGAAGAGGTGCAGGTGCTTCCCGCTGGCCTCCGCCCCTCAGCTGTGGGCTCCCAAGTGAAGCTGGCTGCCAAGAGGAGTATTTATAGCTGCCTTTGCTGGCCAGTTCCTGCCCGGTTCTCACAAGGCTGCCGGCAGATCCCAGCACGACTGGCTGACAAGACGAGGGGAGGATGGGAGGCCCAAAGGGGCATGGCCCAGCTGTCCTCCCTGAAGAGTTGCAGATGTCAGTCCCCTTGATCTGAAGTTAGAAATACAATGCGGTTTACAGGAGGAAGACATGAAGGTCATGTGAAGAGATTTCTCGCTGTTCTTCCACGGCTCCAAATCTGCTGTTGGCCCAAGAGAACCCACCACAAAGAGGTCTGTGCTGTCATCTGCAGAGCTGATTTGTAATTACTCTGCTCATAATGCAGAAAAGTCTAGAAGCTCCCTCAGCCCCTGTTCCCAATGCCAACCCTGCCCAAAGGCCCTTTAAACTGAAACCGGCATCATTGTCCAAATTCTTCAGGTGAACCTGTCTTTAGAAACAATGGCCCTTTCTCTTTCTCATCCTCTCACTTAGGCCTCTGGGTTAGAGAAGACGACTGATCTAACAGCTCTCCTTGTGCCACGCGGACAGACCCAGAGCTCGCTCTGGTGACAGCAAATGCACACCTTGTGGGGGTGTCCAATTGTTGGCTTAGTGGGTCTCCAAACTCACGAAATAGAATACTGGGGAGCCCATGAAATACCTGATTGGTTTTTCACATGGGTAGGCTCCATACAGAGCACAGCTCATCAGCTAAAACCTCCAAGGTGAAATCATTAAATCTCCAGGGGAAAACCAACAAAACAGCAAGTGTTCCGGAAAGGGTTTCACTTCCTAACTGGCAGCGAGCCTGAGATCAAAACCTGTTACTCAGTGACAGATGAAATTCCTGCAAGAGGCACAATCCATGCTATTGTTCTGTCTGAGGCCCTTATTTCTCCCAGGGTTGCTGCGAGTGGCCAAGGCAGAGGCTCCCGGGCAGCCGATGGGACATTTTCTCCATGGGTTTGAGTAGTGTGTCTGCAAAGAGTCCATGGTCCCTGGAATCCCCATGATGGGTATAATTTCAGAAAATTCATTTCTGAAAGCAGAAAGGAATTTATATTTTCTTTTTACTTTTTTTTTTTAAAACAGGGAAACAGGCAAAATAGAAGGACGCATAGTTAGAGGTGATTGAAGTCAGGGTAACGGCTAGAGCCAGGCAAACAAGAATAGTCCTCACCAATCCTGCTCACGCCCTCTCAAGCTGCCTTGCACAGTGCTGTGTGCTTTCCATATGTTATCTCATTTAGTCCTCACAATAGCCCAATGAGGGAGGTACAGGTACCCTCACTCCTTTGCAGCAGAGGAAACTGAGGCCTAGAGACGTTAAAGGTCTTGCTCTTTGTCCTAGGATGAGGATGGCAGATTTGGAATTCAAACCCACTCCCTCTGCAGGGATCCTTTAACTAAAGCCCTGAGCGTGACTCTGTGGAGAGACAGGCCCACTGGCTCTGGGCTTCTCCAAGAACTCATCAGGCTGTGGTGGTCTCTGGCTTCCTTATATCACACAGATGTGGAGAAACCAGGGCAGTGGGACTCAGCACCCCCTGAGGGTCAGTTTATGGGGACAGCCTCTTGGGCTGGACATCACCTTCAGCTGGACCTCAGCTCCTTCTCTGGCCCAGAGCTTGTTCAATTGGGTGATTTTTGTGGCACTTTATGTAGGTCAAAGTCCTGGTGGCTCCAGCCGAGTGGAAGTGTTTTTGCCTGGCTCTTAGGTGATGGGGCAGGAGGGAGCTGAATGCAGAAAAAGGAGCTGGCATGTGCCAGCTACCATGACAGCCAGCAATGCTGTGCTGTTGTCCTGCCATCCACGTGCAGTTTCCTTTCTCCGATGACTCCTGGTGGGAGGAACTGACTATGTACAGTGTGCAAAGGGCATAGCAGTGGCGGAAGTTATGTTTCTTGTAATTGGAGATCTTTGTGGTCTGGAATGATCATTTTGTGTGTTTTCTCATCAGATAGGATAGATTGCTTTAACGTTCAGCCACACCCAGAGACAGCTTTTCCTTCCTGGACTACCCATGGTCTTTCATTTTACAAGTTGCTTAGATGAGATTTTCACTTACGTCTTCCTTGTTTACTGTTATAGCTCTAAGGTCCAGCACAGTTCCTGGCATACAATGGGTGCTTAATTAATACCTATTGAAGTGATTGATTAAATGAATTCCTGAATAAGTGAATCAGTTACCAATTAATCTTGGGTCCTTGATTCCAGAACATACCAAAGAACATGATACTAGGATTTTCTCTGGGTCTTTAAAAAGGAATGTCACTTTTCTTGTTGTTGGGAAGCATGTCAGTTTGGGTCCTGCAAGAAGCAGATGGTAGAACAGAGTTGTTCCAGGAGATTTATTGTGGTAAACACCTGCGAAAGATGAGGAGGAAGCAGGATTAGGAAAGGAAGATCACTATGCAGATCTGACACTGGCAAACATGGGAAAGACAGGCAGGAGCGAGTGGGAGGGAAGGAAGGAGCCTCAGACTGAAGCACACTGGCTGTCCCCAGGGCGTGCTGGAGCTGCTGGAGCCATCAGCTTTTTTGATTGCCAGGGAAGGGGGTAGGGGTGAGCCTGGTGTGACAATGGTTGTTGCTATTTCTTCTCCAAGTGATGTCTTCTCATCCTGTGTTCCTTCCATCCAGGGGGCAAATGTGTCTCCATCACTCCTATTTCTTTCTGGGAGCACTGCCAAGTCCTCCTCATTGTCATGGCGGCAACCCAGGACACCCTGCCTCTCTCAGCCTTGCCTCATTTTCTCTTTTTAACCCCTTTCTCAATGTCTCAAACTCAGCAAGCCCAAAGTCACTGCAATGTGTTCTTTCCCCTGAAAATGTTCTAAGATTCCAACTCTGTCAAAGGCATCGTCAGGTCCTTTGTCAGATCAGCACCCAGCATTCCTTTACACCCTCCCCCGCAGTTCCTCTGCTGACAGCTCAGCCACTCCACCATCCCCACCTCCAACCCCAGGTATTTGGGAAAGAGCTCTTCAAGACTTGACTCCTGTCCTTGAGGCCCAACTTGCAGGCCAGGCCTGCCGTCAGGGCCTAATAGGACAGGTACACAACATCCTGGTTTTAGCCAAAGAGAGTATCCGGTTTTTAGTGGCTGAGTAAACAGCCCAGATGAGGAGGCCACTGTTATTAGCTGGGAGAAACACGTTTGTCGTCTTGACTTCTTGCATCTGGCAGTTGGTGTGCTGTGTAAAGAATCATGTTTACTTAATGTCAGTCACTTTCCCTTGAAAACTGCTGGTTCCAACTCAGAACCTTTCAGTCCTGGGCTATGAATATGAAGCTGTGTGGTAGGCACTTCCGCTCACTGCAGTCTTTTTACCCATCATTGTTGCAATGAGCACCATTGCCCTCTTCATCACTCATTCATTCATTTGGGTTTTATTCATTCCACAAGTACTTACAGAGAACATTTACCCAGAAAGGGCCATATGGGAAGTGGGTAGGAGCATAGGAGCATGGACTATCCAGCCAAATCCCAGGGTGGCCAAATCCCACCCAAATCCCATGGTCTAGAATTTGGGACCTGCTGACTAAAGAAAGAAAAGTCAAGCTTTTAAAGAATTAAAGCTAGTTTTATTCAAAAGTCTTACTGAGGCCTGTAGGCCAGGAGCACATCTGTCAGACTGCTCCAAAGCAGTATTTCAGTTCACAGTTTATATACAGGTGGTGAAGCCGCAGTATGTGCAAATTCACATCACAGTTGGGGTGTAAGAGTACGTCTGGTTATAGATTACTAAAAAACATTTGGTTATACATTGTAGAAGCATAACCACTAACCCCATCAGACATTATTTTATGTGTAGGAAAAGGCAAGGACTAGGGCCATTTATTTTAAGGAATACAGTGACTCAGGCAAGAGATGTGGGGGGCCATGTGTTCTATCCTGTTTTGTCTTCAAAGCATCTTTTGGAGAGCGGTACAGAGTCAGGGGCTTGTGAAATTATGCTGGCAAACAGAAATGAGCAAACTTCGCTTCTTACATTTGCGACTTTGTCTCACAGACTGTAATTGAATTACTTTACCTCTTCCCCATCTCAATTTTCTCATCTGTAAATGGGGGTAATTAGAATGTTCAACACAGAGGTTAATGAGGATTAAAATAGTTCAACAGTGCCTGGCGCATGGTAAGGGCAACTGAAGGGATACAGAGTCAGGAAATTGAATCCATGCTCTCAAGGAAGTCCAATAGGGTGGGAAAGAATGATGCATAAACAATCTGACACAGGCTGCTGTGAGCTGTGGCCAGGGTAAACCTAGAATTTATCCAACCTGGGACACTTGAGATAGGAAGGGAATACTAAAATAATACAAATTATGGAGTTTTTGAAACTAGGAATTGACTAACAAATTAATTCCAGCATAGTGGTAAATTATAAATAGTTACATTAAAAATATAAAAATAAAACTCTTTTTAAAGATAGAAAATAACATTTTCTATTTAGAAAAAAATTTTTATTAAAAATATTTTAATGTCAAATATACTAAATATTAAAATATACAATTTAAATAAATTTTAATATATAATTTAACATATATTTTAATATTCTACTTTTTAAAATAGAATATTAAAGCACAATTTTTAAATGAATAATTTTAAATTAAGAAAATATAAGTGGAATAATTATTAGTATATAGTCACATAGTATAATCAGTTTCTTAGTCATATCTACCTGTAATGCAGTATGTCACTAGCATATTTGAAGAATGTTATTTCAGTGTCTTTTGCTTTTAATTTTTCTATTTTTTAAATTCCTTTTCTAAGCCACATTCTGAAAACAAGCTTTTAATTTTTTAAATAAAACTGTCTGCCATATTATTTTTGTAATTTGTGATTAATAAACTTGAAATTGACCTTTTTTGTGGTCCAAAATATTTTTAGTTGAGAAAATACTCTCTCTACAGATGCTGAATTATTTAGTAAGCTAAGAGCAAATGCGGCTAAATGGGGAGTATTCTCAATTTTAACATTTTTATATTGAATTGTGTTAATATTTCAGCCTGAATAACTTTACAGGGTATGTATTTGGCCCCCATTTATCTTTATTCAACAAATATTTTTACAAGATACCCCATCAGATATTACAAAATACAGCTTGTCAAATAATTTCTACCTAAGATTATTCTTTTGAATGTTTCACCCAAGTTAAATGTTGTAAAATTGAAGGACTTTTAATTATATTCCATTTCAGTACAGAATAGAAATTGATCCAATTAAAAGTAGAAACTTCATCAAAAGATCCTTCCCACAAGTCAAGGTAGCATATACCTCTGAGCTCCCACAGTTTAATTTGTTAATTTCCCCCCTCGATCTGGTAGAAACAATTTCAAATTGTCCCTAAGTAAGCTCGTTTTAGATAATTGTAATTCATAAAAAGCTCCACAACCTGAAATTTTTGTACTCCATTTATTGAATAATTTATCAAAATATTCCAATTAATTTTCATCAAAATGCAACCAACATTTAAAGAATTATTTCAAAAGGCGTAGGCTGATTTGCCAAGTAGTTATTTAAAGGCTCAAATGTTTCTAAAATCAGATTACTGATGAGCAACAGAAAATGTGTACGCCCAAGCTGAAGTTTCTATTGTTATTGTTGATGCATGAGGTTTTTTCATTTGATTGATACTGGTGTTTTATTGGGGTGTAGAGGGTGGTTGGATACTTCATATAAGCTCTGCCACAAGAATTTCATACTATAGTTACCTTATATGTAGAAATATTTGTAATTTTTGATGATGATAGTTTCTATTTCCTTTAGTGGAATATCAATCACAGTGGATTGGACACATTTATGAATTATGTGCCCACAATCACTTCCAAGTTCTGGTCTGTTACTTTATGAATTTAGTAAGAACATTATTTTTCCATGAACCTGTGCTCCCCCAAAATTTTGTATTCCTATTACTACTATAAAAACATGTCTTCAATATTGACCTTTTGAACAATATGGAACTTTTGAACTGAATTTATAGCAGCAGTCCCAACAATGTCAGACGTTTTACCTGAGAATAAGCTTCCAAAAGTTTTACTTTGATTTCATGACTTGTATGAAAAAAAAAAAATCTTCATTGGAACTAGCTGATAATCTGAAGTATCAGGATTCTAATAGCAAAGGGCTTCATACAGCTATGTGGCAGCTCTTTTGCTAATGTAGCCATCACATGTGCAGGTATCAGTTCACTTTTTGTATGTACGGACTTGGAATAAGAATAGTCAAAATTAATTTAAAGAATTATTGTTTGATCTAGATGAAAAGTCATGCTTCACAGGATGATATGTAAACACACCTTCTGCAGCTGCACAAGTGAAACTGTTTAGGGGCACGGCATTCTTAAAACAGTTCTGATGTGTGAGGTAGAAGCTGGTGCTTCTTTAGTAGATTAGGGTCTGGTTTTCACGTGGTTAGTGATATCACCAGGACCCCCCATGTTGGATAGTAAATGTCATCAAACATTTACTATCATTTACAAGTTACATATTGGCCAGATTTCTTATTACATGGAAATTCAGTACTTAGTTTTTCATTTAACATGCACTTTTTTTTGTTTTATTCAGCTGCTGCTGAAAACATTTATTACCAAATAAAAATGTCACCAAATAATAAAATAGTTGAGATTTTATCCCATTTTATAAATGAAGGAGAGTATTCAGTTTTCTCATTATACACTTATCACAGGGCTTTTAATTCCCACATACTTTACACAGGCACCAAATGTATCATTTCTTTTCATTTTCTAGGCTATACTGACTGGAAGCCTGGTAGCTTTGTGCAACTTTCAGGCCACTAAACTGGCCAAGACACAACTGGTAGGCACACCAAATTTCTGGCAGGAGCAGCAGTGTGGAATCCATTTCCCACCACCTTCCAAGACTAGGAGTTATATATACTTCATTTTATCAGCAGCCAGCCCTTCAAAGGGAAATGTTAGCTCTCACATGTTTCAGCTTCATCTAGAAAATCTCAATAAAAAAGACAAGTTATTGCTGATCATCTTTCAGATTTAAGCATGCATGAAAGTGAGAACCTTGTTCCCTGCTCATACATCTTACATACTTGCAGACCAGACCATGGTAGAAGCTGGAAGTACAAAGTGGACATCTACCAAACTTACTCCAATTATTTTAATGCAATCTTCACTAACAGTATTATGTAGAAAAATAAAACATGTGGGACAAGTGCGAAAAACTGCATAGGACACCAAGCATATACTGGAAGTATTTCAGGAGAAGCAGTGCGTATGACTTTGTTGGCCATGGGAGAGCTCAGGATGCTGTTCCTTGGGAAGGGAACCCAACAACAACAAGGGAAGAAAACGTGGGGGAGTTTCTCGGGACAGGAAATACCTGAGCAGAACCTTAAAAGATGGGTTGAAAATTGTCAGGTAAAGTAAAAACCTTCTGCACAGCAAAAGAAACGATCGACAAAATGAAAAAGAAACCTATGGAATGGAAGAAAGTATTTGCAAATCATATACACTGATAAAGGGTTCATGTCCAATGTATGTTAGAGTGTGCCTACAACTCAATAATGAAATAACAAAATCTGATTAAAAAATGAGCAAAGAAAATGAATAGACGTTTTCCCAAAAAGATGTACACTTGACCAATAGATATATGAAAATATGCTCAATAATCACGTCACTAATTATCAGAGTTACGCAAATTAAAACCACAGTGAGATATTACCTCATGCTAGTTAGGATGGGTATTACCAAAAAAGCAAATAAGAAGTGTTGGCAAGGATGTGGAGAAGAGAAAAACCTTTTACACTGTTGATGGAAATGTAAATTAATACAGCCATCATGGAAAACTGCATAGAGGTTCCTCAGGATTTAAAAAGCAGGACTGTCATATGATCCAGCAATTCTACTTCTGTGTACATATCCAAAGGAAATGAAATCAGTATGTCCAAGAGATATCTGCACTTCTTCCATGTTCATTGCTACATTACTTAAAATAGCCAAGACATAAAAGCAACCTAAATGTCCATTGACAGATGAATGGATAACGAAAATGTATATACCCACAATGGAATATTATTCAGTCTTAAGAAAGAAGGAAATCCCGCCATATGTGACAACATGGATGAACCTGGAAGACATTATGCTAAGTGAAGTAAGCCAGACACAGAAAGACAACTACTGCATGATACCACTTGTTTGAGGAATCTAAAATAGTCAAACTCATAGAAACAGAGAATAGAATGGTGGTTATTAGGAACGAGGGAGAGGAGGAAATGGAGAGGTACTAGTGGGTATAAAGTTTCAGTTATGCGAGATGAATAGGTTCTAGGGATTTGTACAGCACAGTGCCTATAGTTTATAATGTATACTTTAAAATTAGCTTGTGAATTTAAGTTCCTTATAGATACTGGGTATTAGACCTTGTCAGCTATACAGTTTGCAAAAATTTTCTCCCATTCTGTATGTTGTCTGTTCACTGTGTTGATAGTTTCCTTTGCTGTGCAGAAGCTGTTTAATTAGATCCCATTTGTCAATTTTTGCTTTTGTTGCAATTGCTTTTGTTGTCTTCATCATGAAATCTTTGCCCCAGAAATACCATTTGACCCAGAAATCCCATTACTGGGTATAGACCCAAATGAATATAAATCGTTCTATTATAAAGACACATGCACCTGTATGTTCACTGCAGCACTGTTCACAATAGTAAAAACACAGGAACAACCTAAATGCCTGTCAGTGATAGACTAGATAAAGAAAATGTGGTACGTATACACCATGGAATACTATGCAGTCTTAAAAAGGAATGAGAGCATGTCCTTTACAGGGACATGAATGGAGCTGGAGGCCATTATCTTAGTAAACTAACACAGGAACAGAAAACCAAATACCACATGTTCTCACTTGTAAGTGGGAGCTAAATGATGAGAACACATGGACACGAGGAGGGGAAAAACGGACACTGGGGCCTATTGGAGGGTGGAGGGTGGGAGGAGGAAGAGGACCAGGAAAAATAATACATAGTAGGCTTAATACCTGGGTGATGAAATAATCTGCATAACAAGTTTACCTATATGACAAACCTGCACATGTGACCGTGAACTTAAATTTAAAAAAATGGCTAAGGGATAGATTTTTAGTGTTCTCATGACACACACACACAAATAAATGATGATGGGAGAAATCTTTTTGATGTGATGGATGTTTATGGCACAGATTGTGGTGATGGTTTCATGGATGTATACTTATCTCCAAACTCACCAAGTTGTACACATTACATATGTACAGCTTTTTGTATGTCAATACTTTAATAAAGTTGATTTTTTTAAAAAAGTATGAAAAGTGGAAAAAAATGATTTCTCTGTATAAGCCTTTTATTTATCTAATTTAATTCTCACCAAAAAACCCTACGGCTGGATAATATTATTACTCTCATTTTACACAGTAGGAACAAGGCTTAGAGATGTTAAGGAATTTGCCTGAGTTCAGCCACCTAAGGATTGGTGAGGCTGGAATTCAACACAAGTCTGCACCTCCAGAGTCCGGGCATGCCAGGCGGGTCCACCAGACCGTGTTCTGCCCACGCAGTGGCTCAGCTTGAGAGATGGCAGGTACATTAGGAAACTGCAAGTCATTCTGGCAGAAGCAGGAGTAGGGTGGAGCTGATAAAGGATGCTACTGCAGGCAGATGGAGGCCAGGCTAACTTGAATTGAGTCTTATATCACACCTGCTGGTCTCCATGAAGCCCATCCAGGTGAGAGCAACCTACGCTCACTTCTCTCTTTACCTCTCTGCCCACGGTGCGTATCGTGCACAGGTGAGCTTTAGATGTGGCTAAATAAATACAATTGAGTGCTTTACTGAATACTGTCTTGTCTCAGTTTCTCACGATTTTATGTGTATGCATTTGGTCTCTCAAGCAAATTTTAAGATTCTTTAAGGTGGAGACTGATGTTACTATAGACTTCTTAATAACCACCCCCCTTGGTGCTGAGCCTACAGAAAATGTTCAGAAAAAATTTACTGATGGAGGGTTGTCAATAAATGGCTTTTGGATTAGATTCTACTTATTTTTCTAAAATCTCAAGTGTTTAAAAATTGGACTTGAGCTTGAACTTGCTTTTATTTTCGTTTTGACACTCACCAGCTTCGTGCTGTCCCTCCAGCTTTTCTCTGTGGTTTGTTTGTGCCTGGTGCTTCTGTTTGAGCTGCTTGACCTTGCCTTATGGTTACACTTTCCACCTCCTTTCCTGCTGTGTCTAACAGGCTCGTTTTCTTCCAGACATTCAAGGTTGAGTGGGTGCAGGTGGGCAGGCAGGTGATTCTTTCTTGAATGGTTCATTGGCCATTCACATTGGTGTGTTGCTTGATTTTAATCACAATTGATTAACCTTCACTTGTTTCGGTAAATCTGGCCAGATCTATCTGGGACTAGAACTCTGGAACTATGTTAACCACATGTGGCTATTTACATTGACCTGAGTTAAAATTAAATAAAATTTAAAATTCAGTTCCTCGGTCACACTAGTCACATTTCAAGTACTTCTGGCCACATGTGGCTAGTAGCTACTCCACTGGACAGCATAGATTTAGAATCTTTCCACCATTGTAGAATGATTTGGGCTGAGAATATTGAATAAATTAACAAATTCTAGGGCAAAACTGAGCAGTATAAAAATAAATTTTGATAAAGGACTCTTATTTTGACTATTTATTATTCCTTGTAATATTAGCAGAATTCCCAAGGATAAAATTACATTGTAGAACTTATTATATAATCATTTGTTTAAGTATCTATGACTTCTAACAAATCTATGTGCTCTTCGAGCATAAGGAACATTTTATCTTTCCGTCTCTGGACTTGGAGTTGTGTCTGGCATAGAAAGGGCTCAAAAACATTTAGAGAATAAATACATAAGTGCTTAGAAACCTCATTTAATTTTCTTTATTGCAAACTATAGCTATTAGTCTCACATATTATCTTCTGAGATGTACCAATTTTTTTTTACCTATTCTTACTAGTCTTAATGTATTTTTTGAGAATATGAAAGAAAGGAAACATTCAAGAATTACATACAAATCTGTTTAAATGAAAATATGAGAAATCTATGGTGAAGACCTAGAAGGAAAAGCCCTCTATGGGGCCCATGTGGGATCAGCAGAGTCATGACTCTGGGGGCGATGTGACACTCATTTGCCTTTCTTGTGGAGTTGGCGGGAGACAGCATGGGGCATCATGACTTGATGGCCACAGGTGTCCTATCCTTCCCAAGGAAGGCGGTACAGACACGGAAAGCCGGCTTCCTGTCCCCTTCCTGTCCCTGGAGGGGCCCTCTGCCAGAACCCTGGGATGCTTATCTGGGCTCTGCAGATCTTTGGAATGAGGTCATCCAGGAAGTTGAATCCCTTTGATGCAATTATCTCTGCATCCTTGGCCTTTTGTTCTCATGGAGAGTAACCGGTGACCCTTGTGCTTCTTACGTGGTTAGAACAGCTGTTGTGAGGTGGGTGCCAGATGCACATCCCTGGGTGGCTGGACACATCCTTCCCAGCTGTCAGGATGGGTCCAATGGATGTAGGTGCCTCCCTGCTCCCGCCATAACACTGTTGTGAACCTGCAAAGGAGTTGAGAGGACAAAGGAGAACGTGATCGGTGGTGGATGATCTTACACACATACGTATACACACATGTTCATCATGACAAAGCCCAGCAGTTTTGTTCTTTAATTCATCTCAGTTGACAACCAGTTATACCAGTTCAAGGACTCATTCTTTCCTGAATGAGTAGTGGTGGGTAGCTTTTTGGAATAGCACAGTCCTAAATCTGTCTATCCTTTCACATCTTCCAATATACGCTTCCTAATTGTATAGGTATACTTTGCAATCTTTCCTGCCCAATAGAAGTTCTCCTATGTGGCAGGCCCAAATATCCACAATTTGGGTCCCCTTTCCTACATAGATCTCCTCTCCTTAAAACTGGTTTGGCCTAACCTGTCTTTGTGCTTTTGTGAGCAGGAAAATCCTCTCTCCCTGGGGTTACAATGAGTCATTATGTGGAGGGGGTGGAAGGGCTTGAAATAGTAAGTTGGGGGAAGGTGTCCTGTGGCTGTTACAATTTGGGTCCCCTTTCCTACATAGATCTCCTCTCCTTGAAACTGGTTTGGCCTAACCTGTCTTTGTGCTTTTGTGAGCAGGAAAATCCTCTCTCCCTGGGGTTACAATGAGTCATTATGTGGAGGGGGTGGAAGGGCTTGAAATAGTAAGTTGGGGGAAGGTGTCCTGTGGCTGTTACAGAAGTCTGGTCAAATTACCAGGTTCTCTGTCTTTTGGGGTGCAATGAATGGGAGCTTGCGAAGTTTGCTTTTTGATTTTGGGTTTTGTTTTGTTTTTTTTTGGTGAAATAACTCATTTAGGTTCTGTTAGATTCTGGGATTCTCTTTCTTCTCATTCTTCCCCCTGTGTTTTTCTATTTTTCATTTTCCAGTTGATTACTGAAATGTCCTATGAGCAGTCAGGCCGCATTTGCTGGCAGGAACGGCAGAGCTGAAGGGCTGAGTATTTTTCTACCTGAGGTTGAGCTCATGAAGCAACTGGCAGTTCTTTGCTGTCAGGGAGTTATGAGAGCATTTCTCTAACAAGAGACGAGGCTGCTATTGTACATGTGTGTGCTTTAATATTGCTTACCTATGTAATCCGTAGTGGATCATGGTACACATTTGCTGTTTTTTTGGCTACCTAGTGTCCGTTCTCCTTTCTTCTGGGTAGTAATTTCTCAATTTTCATTCAGGTATTGTACTAGTCAAGGTTTAGGAAGGAAACAGACGGCAAATCACATAGTTTAATGAAGGGGCTCATTACAGAGATATGGGTAGAATGAAGACTGTCCATTTGTTCAGGCTGCTATCACAAAATACCATAAACTGGGTAGCCTGTAAACAATGGAATTTATTTTTCCTTAGAGACAGAGTCTCACTCTGTTGCCCAGGCTGGAGTCAGTGGTATGATCTCAGCTGGCTGCAACCTCTGCCTCCAGGGCTCAAGCGATCCTCCCACCTTAGCCTCCCAAGTAGCTGGGACTACAAGTGTATGCCACTACAGCTGGCTAACCTTTTATTTATTTATTTATTTATTTATTTATTTATTTATTTATTTATTTATTAGGTATAGGGTTTCTCTATGTTGCCAAGGCTGGTCTCAAACTCATGGCCTCAAATGATCTTCCCACCTCAGCCTCCCAAAGCACTGGGATTAGAAGCGTGAGCCATCACATCCAGCCCAGAAATTTATTTCTCACAGTTCTAGAGGCTTGGAAGTTCAAAATCAAGGCACAAGCAGATTTGGTGTCTGGCGAGGATCTACTTCTCATAGACAGCCATCTTCTCACTCTAACCTTACATGGCAGAAGGGGTGAGGGGTCTCTCTAGAGTCTCTTTTATAAGGACACCAATCCCACTGATGAAGGTTCTACCCATGATCTAATCATCTCCCAAAGGCTCCCTCTCCTAATACCATCGCCTTGGAGGTGAAGATTTCAATATATGAATTTTGGAGAGACGCAAACATTCAGACCATAGCAAGGACCAGCAAGGAATGCTGGAGCAGCTAGGGACTGGCAAGAGGAGGGAGCTGTTACCACCTCTGGGCCAGATGGGATAAGGGAGGGAATAATGTTACCAGAGCCTGGCAAGAGCTGGAGCTGGAAGGGTGGCCCAAGTGGAGTCGCCCTTCTAGAGGAACACAGCCACTGTCAGAACCACAGCAAGGCAAGGAGCCAGCTGGGGAAATAGTTGTCCTGATCCAGTTTTCTCTCCACCCTCTGATCTTCTGTTGGTGTTCCCAAGATCAAATTCAGCTATAAGTCAGAAATCAAAAAGCTGGAGTGATGCATTCTGAAGAGTTAGCTTCTTAGGGCAGAGAGTGGAGCAAAGGTGAAGGTCAAACAGAGCACAGGTATCATGCCTCTTCTACCAGCCTACATGCTCTGGGAGGAGACCTCACTCCATAAGCATAGTCCTAGGTTCTGATTAGCTGATCTTCAATCAACATACTTCATCGCCAGGCCACAGCGCTTGGTTTAGAACACACAACCCAATTCAGACCAATGAATCAAGAGAAACTCTTTCCAGAGACTTTTGGAAAAAAAGATGTTTCACTTCTGAGAGAGCTATTGGGAGAGAGATTTTTTTTTCCCACTTCCTGCTGGACATAATTGAGGAAACAAGCAGTCCCTAAAGCTGCTTCCAGCCATTTTGCAAACATGAAGAGAGTGAGCCTTAGGGTGAAGCAGGCACCATAGAAGAGAAGAGGAGGAGAAGCTGTATCTTTGGTGTTGTCACTGGGTCACCAAAGCTTCCTCTATCACTGTAGTTTTTCGTTACTGCGCCAATACTGTCTTTGTATTATGTAGGTCAATTTGAGTTCAAGTTTCTGTTACTTGTAGCCAAAAACATCTTAAAGCCACTAGGATTGAGCCTGGAACCAGGAAACATTTTCCCATTCATTGCACCCCAAAAGACAGAGAACCATAGGATGAGACCAGCTATCGTTTGATAGGAATAATTGCAATGTCAGTGACAGGGAGACTAAAGCAGGGTCAAGTCCAAAATGCCTGATGGCAGAGAGACGCTGAGAATCATAGAGCCAAGGGTTCCATGTCTGTTGTAGACCAGATTGGGAAAAATGCAGGTCATGAGCAAATGAGGAAGACCCAAGTCATGGTGAGAAATGTGTCTGTCTGACGGGCTTAGAAGGCCTGAGGCAGGTTGGACAGTCAGTTTTGAATGAGGTAATCACATTCTTTAAGCAGCAGGAAACAGCTTTCTTCACATTCCTTGAGAAAAACGTGGCTGTTGAGGTAAAACCATGGGGCTGTGTTCTCAGCATTAGCCATCATGACTCTAACGAAAACAAGCCTTTGGACTCAGCCCACGGTTCCAGTCAGAACCAAGCCAGCTGCAGGGTGGAGCGAAAAAGATGTACTCACTTTGCTGCAAGCATCTGAATAATGTTGAAACCTGGGAGTCCAACAGTCCAAGGTCCAATGATACAAGATATTCTTTGACAACTTCTTTCTTTGTTAGGGATTTTAATAATTCCTTGCCTCAGTCGTAAGATTAATGATGCACTTGTGGTAGTCCTGGTGGTAACAAGGAGGAGAATAGTTGTTCTATTAGTTCCATTCATTGAGCACTTCATATATGTCTGGTACAATGCAAGCAGTTTATGTGCCCTAATTAATTTCATCTTTACAAAATCCTGTGAGAACATTATTATTTTCCAATAGGCAGGTGAGAGCAGTGAGAAGTCACACAGGTTGAATTTCAAGCAATAAGAAGGGTTTTAGTTATTTGGTCAACCCACTGTATTTTTAAAACTTTCAAATACAATATTCACAAAAAATAACGTAAACATATATGTCTGTATTATAAAGAATGCATGCCCACATATCCACAACCAGTTTAAGAAGTGCTACACACCTGGCACTGTTGAAGATGCTAGTGGGTCAGTTCCCCAATCTAGTCCCTCATGCCCTCTGCCCTCAAGGGTAAATCCTCAAGGTAATTATCTCCATTACCTCAAGGTAAATCTTTGGCTGAATTTTATTTTTATCATTTTTTTTTGTAAGGTTTTACTACAGATATAGATGCCCAACCTGTGTCAGGCCTGTTAAGCCCATTGGACACACTACTTATAATCTTAAACAATATGACCATTTAGATTTATAAGTTTTTGAAGTTTATACAGTCTTTTCCCCCATCCATGGTTTGTTTTCAGGAGTTTCAACGACTGGCAGTAAACTGTGGTCTAAAAATATTAAATAGAAATTTAAAAAAATAAACAATTCATAAGTTTTTAATTGTGCACTGTTCTGAGCAGTGTGATGAAATCTTGTGTGGGCCTACTCTGTCTGGCTCAGGATGTAAATCATCCTTTGTACGGCATATCCACACTGTATACATCACCTGGCCATGAGTCACTTGGTAGTCCTCTTGGTGATCAGGTCAAAAAGCTATAGTATATATAGGGTTTAGTAATACCCACTCTTCAGACATCTACTGGGGGGAACCTATTACCTGTGGATAATAGAAGATTACTGTAAATTGTATCATTCTGTATGTATTCTTCTGAAAAAAATGCAACATGATGTGAGGTTCATTCATGTTGATACAAGTAGCTCTAGTTTATTCATTTTTCAGTGAAATGTGATCTCCTTTGATGAGTGTACCACGCTTTATTTTTGTTGTTGTAGTTGTTGGACATTTGGATAGAGTTCTTGCTCTTACAAACTTTGTCTCTTTGTATACTCCTGTATTTGTCCTTTAGTGCCCTCAGAAAAGAGTTTCTCCAGGGTATAAACCTATGAGTGGAGGGCCAGGGTTGTAGGGTATATGCACCTTCAGTGCCCTGGATAATGATGAGTTGTTTACCAAAGTGATTGTGTCCATTTATATTCCCACAAGCAGTGTATAAGGTTTTCTGTTACACCGCAGTCTTGCTTACCCTTCATACTGTCAGATCAAAAAAGTTTTGGGGTCAATTCAGTAGGTTCAGACTGATATTTCCCTGATTTGTTAATGAGCTTGAACACCTTATATATGTTCACCATTTAAGATTTCTTTGTGGTGAAAGGCCTATTTACACCTTTAATTGAGGTAAATTACATTAAAAGATTTTCTAGCATTAAACTCACCTTAGTCATATGTATTTTATTTTATTTTATTTATTTTTCATATATATTTTTTGAGACGGACTCTCGCTCTGTCACCAGGCTGGAGTGCCGTGGCTCACTGCAACCTCCCCCTCCCGAGTTTAAGTGATTCTCCTGCCTCAGCCTCCCAAGTAGCTGGGACTATAGGTGCGTGCTTTATTTTTTAAATATTGGTAGATTTCATTTGCTAATATTGTATTTAGAATTATTGCATTTGTGTTCATGAGTGAAATTATTATATAATTTCTCTTGTCTCCGTTTGGTACATTAGGTTTATGACGTTAGTTGGACCGTTCATCTTTCCTCCTTTCTCTTTCTCTCCCTCATCTTCCTCTCCCTCTTCTTGTCCTTTTTCTTCTCTTAAGAGCTTGTATGATGCATGAATGTTTGTAAGAGCTTACTGATGCTTTCTTTGTGAGAAGACAAAATCTACAACCATTGATCGAATTCATTTTAAGGTAATGAGAACAGTCAAGTTTTCTGTCCTCAAATCAGTTTTGGAAAGTTATACTTTTGGGGAACTTGTCTATTTTATCAAAGCGTATTGGCATAACACTCGTAATTGATAATGGGTTGTGCTCCCTAGACACTCTCTCAGCACCCCCAGGACAGAAGCACCCATTCCTTCTGATTCCGGGAGTACTGGTGGCTGACAGCTCTCTCAGGATTGCCCTTGGCTGCCGTGCTAAGTTCAGGCTCACTTCTCAGGGCAGATTCCATCCTATGTCTGGCCAGTGCATGAGTTTAAAGACCCAGTTCTTGCCTCAATTCTGGACAATTCTGTCAGGCCAGCCCATCCCTACAGAAGCTCCTTTGTAGGACTGGCTGAGATCAGTGTTGCCACTGTTCCCCAGTTCAGCATACAAACCTGAAAGTGTCAGAATTTGCCTCCCTTAGAGCCAGATTTGCAGTAACATGCATGGCTTTCTTTCAAATCATTTGTTGTGTTCTTTGATTTCTACTATTTCTCTACTCGTACCTTTCCTCATTACCTTGGCAGTCTTGCTGGAGGTTTGCTAATTTTACCAGTTTCTTTTCAAAGATTGAACATTAGTTGGATCGAGCCTCTCAAAGGTACATTTATTACTCACTTCATTCCTTTTGTAAACATTTCCTGCCTTCTACTTGCTTACATTAATTTCCATATCTACCTCTAATCTCTTAGGTTGGATGTTTAGTTCATCTGTTTTTCAGTCTTTCTTCTATGCTAACATGAGCCTTTTACGGCTTTAGATTTTCTTTTAATAATTGTATCTCCAACTGTAGCTCCATGATGCTGTCAAAGTGAATATGTCCACGCCTAAACTAGGGACCTCCACCAATTCATCTACCTATTCTTTTCCACCCTTTCCCATCTCAGAGAAACCAGCTGTATTCCAGTTAGCCAGGCCATGATCCTGAAGTCACCTTTGATCATCTCCTTCTCTTGAAACCCACTTCCAATCAGTCAGGATGTCCTTTTGGCCCTTCCAGTTAGGCCAGGTTGTCATCTCCATGACATCAAGTTGTGTCAGTCATAAATCATTGCCTCTTGCTTGGCCTATTGTCCATAACTGCTGTTCTGTTTCCTCTCCTGCTCCCCTGCAGTCGGTTTTCCACACAGCACTCAGAGTGAGCCTTCTACACGTTAACTCATCCTGCAAGGTCTTTTCGTCTCCTTAGAATAAATTCCAGGTCACTGCATGGCCCACTGGGTCCTCTGTGGCCTGGGCCTCTGCTGTCTCTGTGACCCTCTCTTCTCCCTCTTCTTTGGTTCACTCTGCTCCAGCTACCTCTCTATTCCTCAGGCAGGCCTGGTGTAGGGGTGTTTGTACTTGACGTCCCCTCAACACCTGCATGGATCACTTTCTCACTTCCTTCAAGTCTTACTCAGATGTTACATTATTATCCAGCAGTCCTTCCTTCACCAAACCGTGTAAAATTTTACACCTGCCCAGCCAGTCACTTATTAATAGGCTTACCCTTATTAATGTTTCTTCTTAGCATGCATCATTGCCTGACGTATCCTTTTTGTTTGCTTCTTGTCTGTCTTCCACTGTTGGAATATAAGCTCTTTCAAGGCAGGGCTTACTTGCTGTGTTCACTGCTCTATGTCCAATGTCTAGCTCACAGACAGGCACTAATAGGTGTTCAGTAAATACTTGATGAATGAATGCATGTGTATTGGCTTGAAGTTCCTAATTCTCCAGGGGACTACTTCCCCTTTTACCCAAAGCCACTGCCCCATGTGACAGTTTTGTTCTCGTTTTTGCTGTTATTTACCTTTTCCCTGAAGCTGTAGGTAGTTTTTTGGAAGATCTAACTTAACTTATGAAGTTGGGGTGGAGAAAGGGAGTGTCTGCCTTTTGATTTTCTACCCTCAAGGGCCCAAGGCCTCATCTTTTGTCTTCCTGCTGAGTGAATACACTCAAGTGTTCCCAGGGCTACCTTGCCTTTAACATTTTAAAAAAATACTGAATTCATGCTTTTACTTCATTTTTTTTTGTCCTTTGAGGATTTACTTTACTTTCTTGTGATGTTAACTATACATTTCAATCAATTATTATTTTGTTTTGTATTTTATGGAAGAATTTCAGATGATCTGGTTTGCCAAACTACTGAATATTAAACTATTCAAACTTTTCATTTTTTTATGCAGTGCCCAGGAGACAAAAGGATTGACTTAACCAAAGTTTTACTGTAAATGAAATTGCTAAGACCAGACCCTAGGATTTCTGACCTCCAGGGCAGTATTTGATGGCCACATTGGGCTGGTGGCTGCCCCACTTCCTTTAGAGAGTCTAATGGTACAGATGTTCCTAGTCTAATAAGTATCTCTGGGCAGAAAGGACAAAAAAGAAGAAAAACAACTGTAGCAACATAACAGTCTCCAGGGTTCCAAGGAAACTTTTGTAGCCACTAAGGGCTGTAATAGCCATTTGTGAATATGTAATGGGAAGTAGTTCTGGGAATTGTAGCTGATTTCAGCAGGATAGCGTTTGTCAGAATCTGCCCCTTTGCTATTTTTCTAGAAGTCAAATCTGAAAGGCCTATTTTCTTAAGGATTTCTGCTGGGTCTAAGGCAGGAGGCCATTTCCTTCCAATTCCTGCAGTTCATTTAGGCTGCACCTTGGGTGGTTGTCAGTTGGAATATAAACATTGGTACCTTGATAATTATAGAAGATTTTTTAAAAGTTATTATTGGCTCTGGTGAAATAGTGTAACAGGAAACAGTCTGTACTTTAAGCAAAATGGCTGCCAGTTACAGTGTTCAGAGCACTATGCAAATCAGTTGAAAACTCAGAAGTTCAGTCAATCAGTTTTGCTTCATATGATGCCAACTGACTGTTTTTTTAATGAACCTTATTTGTCTCATTGCGTTGACTGACTTTGGGCCTGAATTGACTTAATTGCAGGGTTGCTTTTGATATATGGTAGCAATTGCTCTGTTGGGCTATGATCAAATGCAACAAATATAGGCCATGGATAATACTGGACGGCCCCAGTTGGTGGATGCCTTGCTAACTTTGTCTTGCAAAATAACTTACTGCTGCCAATCTAGCAGTTAGTTGTTTTAAAAAGTATATGAACAGTACAGAGTACAGCATTCTGTTCCATGTGTTAAATTTTAATGTATCATACCAAATCATTGTGACACTTCACCCAGGGCAGATTTTTGATAGGTAAGGTTATGATGACCTTAGAGACACAGGCAATGAGCTATTCTGGAATACCCACCTTTGGTCTTTTGCTTTGAAGAGTTCCATTTTAAAAAGAGCATTAAATTATGTGTTATGACTGTACAAATATTATTATAATGAATATTTGAAAATCTCACCTACCCAGAGGTGGTGACACTTAATACTTTAGTCTAGTTCCTTCTAGCATTTTTTCTACATATTTTTTATTAATTGAAATGATCCTGTATCCTAATGTGATTTTTTTTTTTTCACTTAACAATTTGTACTCTGGTGATTTTTTTTCTTTACTGAATATGATAACTCAAGTATTTTCCCATATTATTATCAACTCTTCACAGACATTTTTAATGGTATTCTTTGGTATGAATGTTGAAGAGTTTACTTAAACGTTCTCTGATAATGAGACATGTAGTTCCCTATTATTTATTATTATAAATACTCCTCAATTGAACATCTCTGTACACTGTTTTTTCCACATCCTAAATTATTTTCTTAAGCTAGTGGAATTATTTAGCCAAAGGTGGTAGATATTTTTCAGGTATCTGGGACAAATGGCCAAATTTTATTTCTAAAATGATGTCCTCCTTTATGTTTAATCCAACAGCATACAAGGAGATTTGTCCCACCATGCCCAGATGAGTATGAAATAATGTTCTTAAAATATATTTCCTATTTTAATTGGTGACAATTATAGCTCTTTAAATTTACATTTTCTGATTATTCTTAGGGTTGAATATATTTTCCTTTGTTTATTCGTCATTTTTCAAAGGGGTGGTGAGCTAGTTTGTTCATGCCCTTTGTTATTTACATATTGAGATCTTACTATGTTTTTATTATAGATTTCTATGAAGTCTTTACAAACTAAGTAAATTAACTTTTTGCCTTACGTATGGCAAGTGTTATTGTCAATTTATTCTTTGTGTTTTATTTTATTTTGTGTTACAATGTGTAAAATCGCTATCTATCATCCCTTTGTTATTTTTCACATTAAATGTAAGTTTGGGAACCAGAGATCGATAGAAGGTAGTCAAGGTATTAGTACTTATTTTTAACAATGTTATTTAGGTATAACTTGCATACCATAAATTCACTTATTTTATTATTTTTCCTTTTTTAGAGATAGGGTCTCACTCTGCTGCCCAGGCTGGAGTGCAGTTGCATGATCACGGCTCACTGCAGCCTTGACCTCCTGGGCTCAAGTGATCTTCCCACCTCAGTCTCCTATTTAGCTGGAACTACAGGTGCGTGCCACCACACCCAGCTAATTTTTGTATTTTTTGTACAGACAGGGTCTCCCTGTGTTTCCCAGGCTGGTCTTGAACTCCTGGACTCAAGCGATTTGCCCGCCTTGGCCTCTCAAAGTGCTGGGATTACAAGTGTGAAACACTGTGCCTGGCCTATTTTAAATAGACAATTCAATGATTTTTAACAAACTTGCACAGTTGTGTAAACTCCACCACAATCTAACTTTAAAACATTTTTATCACCCCCTTCCAAAAAAACCTCATGCTCAATTGAGTAACTACTCTGCATTCCTAACCCCAGCCCTAGGCAAACGTCAACTTTCTGTCTCTATGGATTTCCCTATTCCTGGACGTTTCATATAAATGGAATCACACAATATAGGGTCTTTTTTGACTGAGTCCTTTTACTTAGTACAATATTTTTAAGGTTTAGACATGTTGCAGCATGTATCAGTATGCCATTTCTTTTTATTGCTGAATAATTGTCCACTGACGGATGTGCCATGTTTACTCACTCGTCCATTGATGGGCATTTGGGTTGTTTGCACCTTTTGATATTATGAATAAGACTACTGTGAACATTCATGTGCAAGATTTTGAGTGGACATATATTTTTATTTCTCTTAAGTAGATACCTAGGAGTGGAATTGCTGGGACATATGGTAAATTTATGCTTAACGTTTTAAGAAACAGCCAATTATCTTCCAAAGTGGCTGCCCCATTTTACACTCATCAGCAATATTCCAGTTTCTCTATATCCTTGCCAGCACTTGTCATTGTCATTGTAATTTTTCACACTGAGCTCCTTCACTTGTCTCTGTTTTGTTTTGTTCTATAATGTAAGGCAAGGATTTAAAATAATTTCCCCTTATCCCATTTGTTTGTGATGTCTTTTTATTGTATCAAATTCATATTTAAATGAAGTTTTTTATGATCTCTTTTCTCCAAATATCTCCGTTCACACCCTTCACCGTAAGGCTTTGTCTTTTTTCTTCTCATCTGAACAAAAATAAGCATTTCCTAGAGATTTTGTCATATGAAATGCTAGGATAAACTAATGTGACTGATTTAAACTGTCAGTGACTGCTTCAAATCTTTTTGAAATAGTGGGATAAAAATCCCCTTTAAAAAATTACGCAAATATTTAGGAGGCCGAGGCAGGTGGATCACCTGAGGTCAGGAGTTCGAGACCAACCTGGCCAACATGGTGAAACCCTGTCTCTACTAAAAATACAAAAAATTAGCCGAGCCTAGGGGTGGGTGCCTGTAATCCCGGCTACTCGGGAGGCTGAGGCAGGAGAATCACTTGAACCTAGGAGGCGGAAGTTGCAATGAGCCAAGATTGTGCCATTGCACTCCAGCCTGGGCAATAAGAGTGAAACTCTATCTCAAAAAAAAAAAAAAAATTACACAAATAAGCAAGTTTATTTTCCAAGGACTCACCTTGCATATTCCAGTGACGTTGTTGCTCAAGCTATTTGGGGAACTATTCTTTTAGAATTGCCCTGCAGAGCTCGTAGCATGTTATTTTGGCTCTCCTTTGCGGTTACAATATTTGTAGCAGGTGGATTTTACTTTTAGAAAGAGCACAAAGTCATGGGCAACTAAGCATACTCAGTAAGGTGGCTGATTGAATAGAACCAGAAATATGGACTCCACAGTAACAGCCACACACACACATGCACAGGCCCAGGCACATACATGTGCACACATGCACACACACTAGGTTGCTTTTTCTGCACATTTCCTAGATTAAACCAGAAAACAACTCTAAAATTAGAGCCATCAATATTTTTAAGTGGTAACACAGTTGAATAAGAGAATAATCTTCAATGGTAACATCATTAAAGATAAAAACATTCAAATGAGAAATACAAGTTCTACCATATTTGTTGAAAAGTGCATCCAGCTATTTGATAGTGACGTTTAATTTCAAAGTTAATTGTGATAATTCTAAATTCAAAGTTTTATCCATACTGCAGATTTTCCCATGGGAGGTTCTAGTAACAAAGTGGGGTATACATTGAAAGAAGAGGTCCTCACCTCGGTTTTAAGCTCCTTACTGAGTACCTAATGAGTTTCTGGTCTCATTGGCACCATGTGTTAATCTGAATGAATAGCAAGGATGTCTATGGTGGGTAGCCGCCTTCTGAATGCTAATGATTCATGTTTCTTAAAAAAAGTTTAGAAAAATCTTTTTACTTTTGATTTACTGGGCTTCCCCTCATTATATCTGTATTCAAAAGGGGTGTTGGATTGACAACACCAAAGCTCTCCTTGAGGCCAAAAAGTAAATATACAGAACTGAGCTAGAACATCCATGGAACTGCTTAGCTGTGCCTGCAGGCAACAGGGAGAAACCCCAAAGGGCCTAACTCTGCTGCCTTGCAGACAGTATAGATGAAGCAGCTTCCACTGTGAACTCCTTGACATGCTGTGTGGCTTCTGACACCTCCCCACGCCTCAGTTTCCTCAACTGCCAAATGGGTACAGAAGGACAAATATTTGTCTCACAAGACATAGCAAAGTTGAAACACAATGTTGCTCAGCACAATGTGTGGCACATATTAAGCATTCAAATAATGATGACATTGCCATCACCATCATCACCCATCATTATCATTGCCTTTATAGCCCTTTCAGCACCCGCCACAGTGCCTATTTCATAAAAGCACAATAAATGTTCTCTCATATTACTGTCATCCTTGTATCCTTTTCATCACTTAGCACAGAGCTTGGCATGCAGCCAGTGTTCAATAGATTAATATGAAGCAAGGGCAGGAATCCACTTTTAACAATGTGCTTGCCAGACATAACTGATGTTGGATATTCAGAAAAGTGACATTTAACATTATTTTTCTAATTAATTTAAACTTTCTTATTCTTCTAGTATGTTCTCTAAGAGAGAGGCAGTAGAGTGTGGTTACAAGTACACATGTGAGAGCCAGACTACCTGGGTGCAAATCCTGGTTCTGCTTCTTGTTTGCTGTGGGGTCTGGGATAATTTCCCTATTCTCTCTGTGCCTCAGTTTCTTCATCTGTAAGATAATAGTGCCTTCTTCACAGGGTTGTTTGAAGGATTAGAGAGTTTATACATGTAAGTGATTAGAATATGCCAGGCAAATACCAAGTGCCATGTAAGTATGTGCCCAGGAAGAGAAGAACTTTAAAAAGGGTTGAGGCAGAGCCCTCCTTCTCAGAGAAGCTCTCAAGTCCTCAAGGATCCAGGTATGCCTACAAGCCATGCAAGAGCATGAAGGAAAAATCAATCTTATGTGAAGAACTGAGAGCAGAAGCCATGATATGCCGGGAAAGTTTTAATAACCAGCTCTCTGGAAGAACAAAGCCGGATTTGTAGCTTCACCAATTGCTCTGGTGTAATTACTCCTGCCATGGCTGACTTCAAGCCACCCCTGTGACTTCCCTGAATGTGAAGCTGAGAAAAGATGCATATGATTGGTTCTTACAGGTTGATATGAGCAGGCTGTGGGATACTATTGGGTGGAAACTTCAACAATCCAAGGGAGAACACCATGGATTGAGGATATGGGCTGAGTGCTTTATCATCCCCCAGGCTGGAGGACACCATCTGGTTCTAGGGACAAGATAGTAGGCCAGAGGGAGAAGCCACTTTTACACACTTTCTTTTACTGTGCCTACTGTTTAAAAGATCCTTTTGTTACCCAATTCACAAGTTCAGCCAGTGAGTCACCATCATTGATCAGTCAATCCTTGCCCCTGAGCTTGCCAGTCAACAGAACAATTATGAAGACAATTTAAGTTTGTTGTGTTTGAGAGAGAGATAGTAATGGGGTGGGACTCTCATTGCCCCACAATGTAGTCTTCTTTAGATATCTCAGGGAGAAAGACCACACCGGAATTCTAGGCCCGAGGAAAGACCACGCCAGAATTCTAGGCCTAGCTTTGCCCTGACTCCCTGGTGACTTTAGAAAAGCGTGTATACTTGCAATTTCTCATGTTTTCCATAATAAAATGGACGCAAATTAATATAGTGATAGTCACTACTTCTATACATCAACTCTTTCTTGCTGTCTGCCTTCCAGGTACATGGTAGGATCAACTTCCTGACCTTGTGACAGATCCTGCCAGTAACATGAGAGGAAATGAGAACGAGGCTTTGGAGCACAGCATTGGATTGCTCATGCAGAACACCACCCAGTGCCCTTTCCCTCTGCCACAATGAACAGCCATGCTGCAGGTGACGGCTGCTCTGTCAACATGGATCCGGCAGGGCAGATGAGTGGATCCCCCAGCGGACTCATGAGAGAGCAAACAAAAAGTCCATATGTGTTGTGCTAATCCACTGAGATTGTGTTGGTTGTTACGGAGCCTAACCTAGCCTATCCCGACACGAGGATCAGACATGATAATCAAATGTGTTTATAAAGTGTTGGATGGAAATATTCTGACAACATTAAAAGACTCTACCCAAGGAAGGAATTCGCATCTCTTAATTATCAAGTAGATGCAACAATTTGAGAGAACTCATTCTTTGAAAGTTACTGGCAATTTTATTTCTTTGAAATGGAAACTGAACTCTGAGGAACGCATCTGATAGCAAGATTTCACAGTGGGTCACATTTGCTTTTCACTTTCCTGGCACGATGCTGGAGAGCAGCCAGGTACAAGCCCTTGGGGTTGTTTCCAGAAGTGTTAGGAGGGGAGATATTTTTCATTCCTGTTTAGAAAAGGAAGAGCTACCATATAGCAACAGCATCACTTTCCCAGCAACAGTAAGAATGGTCATTTCTTGACTGCCTATTTACCAGGACTTCAAATGCAAAGAAATTTAACTCTGTAACACCTCACCCCAATATTCTGAGAGTTAAAGCGTGTCAAATGTCATATGGAATGAAAGCATGGGAGCCAAAATTCAAACCAAGTCTGTCATAGACTCTTAGTTAGGTTTTCCCGGGAGGACACCCTGAGATAATGATTCAAGTGGAGGCAGTTTCTTGAGCAGTGGGAAGTGACTCAGGAAAGAAAGGCAGCCAGGAAAGGATGCATTGTTATATCAGCTGCTTGTATCAGCTACATACAACTGTGCCGAAGTCCCAAGTGAAACAGTATAAAACTCATATCCCAGAATTATTCCACTCAAGTGCTGAGGCAGCTGGGGTATTTTTATGCCAACATCTGAGAGTCAGTGGTGGAGGGCTGCCCCAGGGTCACAGTGGCTTCCTGGCTTGGGGAGCAAAAGCCCTCAGGCTCAGAGCTGTAGACTCCGGTGACTGGAGGTCATCTCTTATACATGAATGTCTAAGGGATATAGGTGGGGTTATGACAGCATTTGTTCCAGGTTCCAAAGCCTGTGGTGTCTCCGCCACTCCACTCTGCTCAACTCCCTCGGTCCCTAGTCATGGCAGGCTCCTGGGCACATTTCCCCACCCACCCCTCTAGGGACAGGAAAACTCCCTGTGGCTCCAGAGGGTAATTCTGGAGACCATCTGGTGCCCAGTGAGTAGAGCAGCGAGTTCTTGGATGAGACCACTTTAAACAGAGATGATGGTGTCCATCCACCTCACAGGGTGGATGGGAGAATTAGATGAGGACATGTGGCATTCTTAGAATAGTGACTAGCACATAGCATACAGACAACACACATTAGCTGAGATGGCATTGAGGACAACATGTTGAGTAGGAGAGGATGAAGGAAAGAAGTCTGAAGTGGGGAGGTAGGGAACACCAGGAAGAGAAGGGGAGAGAGGGACAGAGGAGCAGTTGCAGGACACAGAGATAAAAAGGCTTCTGACACAATGCGTCCTTCACACTGGCCAATAGCGCCAACAAACCATTGTTCTCTTCCATTTTTTCAAGGCTTGGGAGTGGTATACCTCCTTATCAACTAGACCAGTCTGAGATAGCTTCCTGCAACATCCATAGCTCTCGTTCCTGCTCAAGGGTGCGTTCCTGATGTTGCCACCACTGAAATGAGTGAGACGAACAAGCTCTGGCTGTAATTCTGTGCTTCAGAACAGCCTAGGTGGGCTTTCTACATGGCAACTTCCATTAACCTTCAGGCCCAGAATTTAATGTTTGCTTATATGATCTTGCCTGTGTAGAGAGTCCTGAGAGTGTGTGTGTGTATGCATGCATGTATATTTAACTTGCAGGATGTATATCATTTCAGATATTCTGGAAAACAATTGCTCTTGATTAGGACAAATGGCAGTCACCATTTCCTACTTTCACTGCAAGTTACAGGAGAAAAGCAATGGCTTAAATCACAGCACAGGTGTTTCGGATTAGGCATAAGGAGAAATTTCTCTTTCAGATGGATTTGATAAACCCTGGAATGGATTTCCCAGGGAAATTTTGAAGCCTCTTTCTCTGGAAGCTTTTAAAAATAGAATAGATGCTCATCTGCCTGAGACAGTTGAAGTGTAATCCTATCCGAAGTATGGCATGATGGATTGGCTGCTGGGTGGGAATGGAAGAGAAAGGAGATTTCCTTTCTACTGAGATCTGCTGATGAGTATTTCATTTCACTTGCCAGGGCATTTCAACATTACCAGTCTTATCTGATTTTAAAAGTCACTACTGTTCATTATTTAAAATTCAAAGAAATACGGAAAAATATTAAAAAGTAAAAATTAAACAAAATCCTGTAATCCACTGGAAACAAATAATGACTTAGTTTTGGTATACATATTTTTTCCAGACTTTTTATGCAGAAATGCAGATAGAGTATCCAAAAATTATATCATACATTGCATGCTTTTGTAATCTAGCTTTCATACTTCATGTATTGTACGCTCATTTTCATGTCAACAAATGCTGCTTTACATTATTTTGGGTGGCTAAAGAATATCCCACAGTATGCATGTAGCATAATTTATTTAGCCAGTTTTCTATGGTGGAGGTTTGGCTTGCTTTTCCTGTAAATCCTTGTACATATGTCCTTGCGGAGTTGTCCAATTATTTCTTAAGAATAAGTTTCTGGAAGTGAAGTTGTTGTGTTATGGAACAGCTTTTTAAAATTTTGTTACCTATTGCTAGATTCCCCTGCAGAAAGGTCCTATCAGTTTATATTGCCATCAGTAACGTATGAGAGAGTCTGTTTCCCACTTTCCAAATAACACTGGCTACTGTCTATGTTCACTGGCTACTCTCAATATTCTAACCTACATTTCTTTAAATTCTGGGAAGGCTGAGGTTTTGAAGGGTTTCAATCATTTGTATTTCTTTTATTGCTTGTCTTTTGTGTCCTTTACCCATTTTTTTATTGAGGACTTTGACATATATGTGTTGATACACACACACACACACTTTCCAAGCTGTCTTTTAAATGTACTGATTTTGGATATGTTGTACAGAAGTTTGCTATACAGAAGGTTATTCTTAGGGCTACATTAGTTATAACTAGATTACAAGGACCTTTTAGAATCTTGACCATAACTGTATCACCTGCTTCTGGGCCAGATGAGGTCTAAGGTAAAGTTATCACACAGTACAGTGCAGAGTATGGGTAGCTAGGAAGGATATACAGACACGGCCAGTGCATATTCTATGGAATCAGGCCGGGGTTCCCTGTCATGAACAAAGTGAGAGCCACTGCATTTGACAATAGGTCATGAACCAAGTCTTCAACACATGGAGCACATGGTGGTGGGTACAGGCAGAGATGACAGACAGAGAAAATGTAGAGAAAATGGTCCTTCCAGGCTAGTTTCTTGGTTCCCCTCCATCTAAAGGTAGCGGTGTCTTCCCATTCTTGGTACCCACTCCTCGCCTCCCCTTCTCCACACAAAGTGCATATCCTAAGAGGCTTTACTAACCAGGGCTATTGTTGGTTCTTTCTTTTCCCTTTCTCCAGGCTAAGGAGAAGAGGGACATGAACATTTTTTATACTTGATGACTTAAGGCAAGACCTAACTGCCCATAGGCAAAGCAGACAGAAGGGAAGGACCGGGGCATTCTTCCAGGGATGGGGATGCTTCTAGGTGGAAGGACTCTGAGGCAGGTGTAGGGGAAACAGAACTTTGCATCATGCTTTGGTTACAAAGATGGATAGAACCAGGACTGCATCCCAGTTTTCCTGACCAGTTTCTTTCTGCCCATCTCTCATCATCTTAGCTGTTTAGATTGCAAGTGTTGTGAGTTTT
The DNA here is from genome assembly GCF_000001405.40 of Homo sapiens. Taxonomy (NCBI): domain Eukaryota; kingdom Metazoa; phylum Chordata; class Mammalia; order Primates; family Hominidae; genus Homo; species Homo sapiens. The sequence continues at coordinate 22,415,774 of NC_000007.14, read as the reverse complement.
TAAAAATAGCAATTATCTTCTTCATTTCCCTCAAAGTAAAATCCAGATTCCTTATCTTAGTCCATTTTGTGTTGCTATAGAAGAGTACCTGAGACTGAACATTTTTAAAGAAAAGAGGTTTACTTAGCTCGTGGTTCTACAGGCTAAGAAGTTTAAGGGCATGCCCCTAGCTTCCGGTGAGAGCTTTTATGCAGCATCACGACGTGGTAGGAGATGGTGAAAGGAGAAGTGGATGCATGCGAAGAGAGGACGATGGCATCCTGGCTTTATAACAACCCAATATCATGGGAATAAATCCATTTCCCTGGAAACTAATACAGTCTTATGAGAGCAAGAACTCACCACAGCAAGAACAGCACCAAGACCTTCATGAAGGATCCACCCCTGTAGCCCAAATACTTCCCGTTAGGCCTCACCTCCCAACACGACATTGGGAATCAAGTTTTCAACATGAGTTTTGGTGGAGACAAACTGTATCTAAACCACAGCAGGCTCCATGCAGTGTTACCTCGACTACCTCTTCTATCTCATTTCTCATCCCTTGCCCTGGATCATTCTATTCCAGTCTTTCCTTGAAGGTGCCAAGTGCATGCTTACCCCTAGGCTTTTGCACTTGCTGTACCTCTTGCTATCTAGGAAGTGTGTTTTAGAAAACAGGTTCCAGATGTCAGGGTGGGTTCCTGAGCTGGACCCCAGGACCAAAACAGGGGTGACTGACAGGAAGGAGTGAACCCAACCTCTAGCAGGGAATGCGGCCAAGCAGCTCACCAAGGCAGGGAGTTGGCACAAGGGCCCAGGTGAGGATTCAGTAACTGGGACTGGATTTCCTTAACTCCTCCAAGTGCACCTGTCCACTGCAAGGCTAGCCCCACCCACAAGTGGCATCCTTTCTCTGTCCACAGCCTCACTTCTGAGCTCATGCCCCGAGCCCCACTGTGCCAGCCCCCACACCTGCTCCCTTGCTCCTTGTTCCTCCATCTCCCTACTCTGACCCCTTCCTTACCAATATTCACATCCCTCTTCATCCCATACTAACTCTTGCTGACCAGAGAAAATCTCTGTTCCCTTCTAGGTGTGTGGTGGGCTGTGAAGCACCCAAACTCAGCCAAGTTCCCCAGGCAAGCACATCCACTGGGTACACCCCCGCTCTGGGAGCTGGCTGGGCAGGAACACAGTGTGGGAACTTGGCTTCAGAAACAAGACTGAAAGTTAGTTGCTAGAGCTGGACTGCAAGATCAGAGCTGGGCTGGGAACAAGTGTGAGCTGATACTGATTTCGAGAGGGCTGGACAAAATATTGGAAATCCCTGCATCTCCTGGATGGGATTATCCCAGAGCACAGGACAGTGTTGAGTGGAAGGTGGTGGTCAGATGGCTCCGGGTCTGGATGGAGGAATGAAGTGGGCAGGGATGCTAGTCATGATATTTACCAGTCCAGCACAGGCACCGACCAATCCAAATCAATGAAACTTGCCCTGGAGCAGGTCTTAGGGGCCCCCTATTGAACCAGGTGTACTCCTTTATACTATAGGGAAGATTGAGGGTAGCCAGAGCAGTTGCACAGTGCAGTACCTGGGGGTGCAGCTATTGACTATGTGGCCTAGAAGCATTTCCCCGTGTGAACATCAGGTTCTGCTGTTCTGGTGTCAGCCTGGGCCGAGGAAAGAGAGTCAGACAGGGAGAGCCACAGCAGCTTCTCCCGTGGTATGCAGGGCTTCTCAGAATGGAGCAGATTTTTCCTAAATGTAAATGACCAATTTCTTTGCAAAGAATATATGGAAAACCAACAAAAAGATCACAACATTGCATAAAGCAAAGCCTTCAAGTATCAAATTTCTGTCTAAAATGTTTTAAGAGAATTAAAGATCTTAGGATGAGGTCTTATTTTCTCAATAAAGTCATAATTAGCAAAACCCAAAGAAACATCTGAGCAAGCACATCTGGGAACACCAAGCCTCACCGTAAACATCCACAGGACTGTGGAAGAAGGCCCGAGGGTGTGATGACGTCCAGCACTGACTGGCTCACAGGGCCACTGTGACTTGCCTGGCCCCATGGCCAGGACTGACCGTGAAGCATTTCATGGCTCGTCCGTCCCCAGCAGTGAAATTTGCTGCAGGTATGCTAGGCATTATTGGTTGCTGCTGTTTTAGAAGATCCACCAGGCTCAATTTTTCTGGGGTGCTATTCAGCCAGCCTGTGGACATGCTAAGGGATTTCCCCTTAGGAGCCCACTGGTCAGCCAAGGAAGGATTTTTCAGAGAGCTGCAAATTCCCAAGCCCTAAAACTCCCTGGATATGACATGTTCATTTAGGAGATTAGTTTAGGAAAGGAAGATAAGGAGAGAGAGGCTTATGCAGTACCCCATCTGCCAGGCTACCAGAGGCTTCTCCTCCCCCACTTGAAGAAGAAGAGCGCAACATCGGAGAAAGAGAGAGATGGAGTTTACACACACTAGTTTGGTTATTTTGGCTAAAAAACACACCTCTTCATTCATAGTTGATGGGTCTAATTCCTGGCCCATACCAAATTTTTCTATTTATTTAGTCTAGGATAGGACTGAGAGATTGTTTTAAAAGATCCCTAGGTAATTACTGGCTTTGCTCCCCGTAATATTTGATTGTCCTCTGTGTGCCAGGCACTGTGCTGCGCCTAAGGATGCAGAGTGATGACATGATCGGCACTGATGGGATGGAGCAGTCAATTCAATCAAAACGCCCAAGTTGATAGTGTGTGACGGCTCTTTGAATACGATATTAATTACTTGAAAAGGAGAAAATTCAACTAGTCAACCAGGTGTTATATCTACACAAAGCCAGATAATCAGATTGATCTGCTTTTCCTGTATCGACAAATTAATGTTTTTGTACCATGTAGAGATAGTCTGCTCCTTTGGAAAGGTTGTTTCAATATAAATTCCTGGGTCCCCACCCCAGACCTCCTGAATCAGAATCTCTCTCTGCCAGATTTTTCCTCAGCAGTGGTTCTTAACCTTGGCTGCACCTTAGAATTACCCAGGGGGCTGTTAAACAGCCCAGGCTGCACCCTAGACCCACTAAATTAGAATCTCTCAAGAGGAATCTGGGCATCAATAATTTAAAAAGCTCCCCAGGAAGTTCCAATGCGTAGCCAGGGTTAAGAATCACTGTGTTAAGTTGCATGGGAGGAGGCAGGCATTGGGATCTTTGAAAAGCTTCCCATAGGTTTTATTGTGCAGAAATTACAGAGCATGCCCTCGGAGCAGTTACCTATATGAAGGACATGTGAGCATTCCTTCTGAGTTCTTGGAGCTGTTTGCTGCGGTAGTGATTCATGGTGAGGTTTTGCCCAGCAAATAATTTTTAAGGAGAGGCTAGCAGCCCTGTGCCCATTTATGTTTCTAACAACAGTCAGGAAATCCTCACTGACCAAATCCTTAGTTTCTAATATTTGTCTTGGTTGCATGTCATGATTGACAAGGATGAGTGTTAAATGCTCTCCTCCTCCCAGAGTATCCCCAAGTGCATCCTGACTCTCTTCTCTCTGCCTCTCTCTCTCTCTCTCCCCTTGCCCTTTCTCTCTCCCTCTCCCCCTCTCCTCTACATTCTCTGCCAGAGCTCAGGCCCTCCTGGGCTTCACCCTCAGGGCGTTGTGAGAAACTGCTATTCAAACCAATCAATCCTTATTCACATAAAACTAAGGGAATCATTGTCTACTTTCCCCAGAAAGCACTTGGGTTTTAGGAGGAGTGTTTGGAGAGAATTGTTTTAAACAGACAAGGCAAATCTTACCTCCAGCCCAGTCTTGGTCTAGAATCCATCTTTATATAGCACTACAGGCAACCACAAAAAAACAGAGCACAGTTCTGTGAGTTGAAGCTTTCTTGTTATCACTGCCTTAGAACAAAGCAGGATCTCCCCTGTGATCCTAGTCATTGTGGCAAGTCCAAAGGAAGACAACTGGGGGCTGGTAGGACTTCCAGTGGCCTCAAGCTATATCCACTGGTGGAGATGACCCTGCTCTACCATTAGAAAGCAAAGTCAAAAAGCACAGGATTAACAATGGCAACGCTGAAAATGAGAAAACTATTCTTGTTTATTTTTCCTACTTCCATCCCTGCGTTTGGTAGAGTTCCATCTTTCCTAGATAGACCAGACCTTCTGAGGTTAGTGCCCTGGTCATGCTCTGGAAGGGAATATTCTGAGTCTGTGACATTTCTAAGTCAAAAAGGACCTAACACGCTCCTCCTCTACTGTAATTATTTTATTCAAGTCAACCTAATTTGACATTGTTTTGTTTTCTTCTTCTTCTGTTTTTTTTTTTTTTTTTTTTGTATTTTTTTTGTTGTTTTTTTTTAGCTATGTGATTTAAACCTTTCCTGGTCATGGATCTCTTTGAGGAATTTGGTGAAATCTCTGGCCCAGTATCCCCCGAATCTACCAAAATATTTAAAAATCTGCTTTCAATTTCAAAAATTCATGACCCTCCATACCCATCCATGGACCTAAATTAAGAATCCATATATAACAACAGCCCACAGAGAAAAGCAGAGATTCCCACTAGGCGCCTATACCCCCAGGCTATTCTATTGGTGTTCATTGTCCAGAACACTCCTTGTACTTGCCCACCTCCAATTAAAGAGCACTACAGACAACCCCTAAATAGAACAGACTTTGCACAGGAAATGAAACTTTTTAATCTCCACTATCTTAGCATGGAGGAAAAGGACCCATGGTAGACCAGGCATGGTGACAAGTCCGGTGGGTTTGGAATGGCCTTTTCTGCCCCCGCCATCACCCATGATCTCTTCTTCTTAAAATGCTACCCATACAAGTCCAGCTGAAATGTCACAACTTCCCAGAGAGTCATCCCAGCCCTTCTCTGCACTCCCTGCCTTTCCTTCCTCTTGGAATGGGATGGTCCCCATTATCTTGCCCTCTTTATTGTAAGATTAATACATTATGGGGAGAGATTGTCTTACCTTTGTATCCTCTGTAGTACAAACTTTATTGCCTGGACTCTAGCAGAAGTTGTTTGTTGTCGTTTAATTAATAAACTTAGAAATGAAATGTGATGTGGCCACTAACTGCCTCCATTCTCTTCTAATTCATGAGATATAAGGAAGCATTCCCCATTCAGCAGGAGCTCTGCCCAACAGTCGAATTGTAGAGTTTGCATAGCTCAGCTGACTGCACTTGGAAATTACTGGCCAGAAACAGAAAAGAAGCTTGGAATTCTAACTAATTTATAGGTGGATCATAGATGAGTGTGTCTGGTCACCTTGGCCACCAAAGTGACCATCTAGGAAGATTATCACTTAATCATGTTTAGGCTGGTCAATTCAGTGGGTGGGTATTGCAGGTCCTGTTGGTGTACCCGGCATACTAATGAGTGAACTGACATAGAACTGGACCACAAATATCGAGTCATTCGCCTAAGAAGGCCTCGTTTCTGGAAGGGACTGGATCCTTTGGAAATAGCCACAAGGATTTAGTAGCTGATTTTAAATGAAAGAATACTTAATACATACCATAACTTGCCTGGTAACTTCTTCTAACTTGTCTTGTCCACAACCCCTTGCTCCTTAACCCCATCTGTATATAACCCATCAGTTGAACAAGCAGTACTCATGGGACAGAACCAGAAAGACAATTTTATTTTTGTTTCCTGCTGTCCCTTTAAAACCTGTTCAATGGGGTTGCTTTCCCCCGTTCCTCCATGAAAATTCAGAACAATACCACAACTTTTCTGGTCACTCTCAGGTAGAAATCTTGCGGTGACTTTGTCACAAGTAGTCTCAATTCAGACATGAATTTCTTCGGCTCCCTCAGTGACCCAGGAAGGAGCAAAGATTGGTGGTTTGTTTCTTTCTGTGTCTGAAACTAGTGTTTTCCTAAGATGGCATCACGTTCTCTAGACCTTTCTCTTGAAGTTGCTTTCCTAGGTTTTCCTGGGCCTTTCTGAATAGTCTCCCTGATTTTGATAGTACCTCTCCTTTGGCTGGCCTCTCCTGATCCCCTTCATTGTCTCCCCGCCTGTTATGACACCCCCTAACCTCTTCCCCTGGGACTCCACCACCTCAGGCAGAATGCACAAGCCAACATTCCTACTAGTTTTCACTTCAGACCCCCAGGACTCATAGGCCTTGAATGGGCTGATAGGAAGTTACTTCCTAGATGTAGTTGTTTACCCTGCTGCCACAGACCATGTAGGCTTTTTCAGATGTGACCAGATACCAGTCCTCTGGGTCCCTGTAGAGAACACATGTTAATCTTTCTGAGTAGGGATTATCATATGGCAGCTCCATTTGTAGTTTTTTTGAGGAAACTCCATACTCTTCTTCATTGTGGCTGTACTAGTTTACATTCCTACCAACAGTATATAAGAGTTCCTTTCTCTGCATCCTTACCAGCATTTGTTATTTTTTGTCTTTTTGATAATAGCCATCCTAACTGGGGCAAGATGATACTTCATAATGATTTTGATTTCCATTTCCCTGATGACTAGTAATGTTCAGTATTTCTTCATAGATTTCTTGGCCATATGTATATCTTCTTTTAAGAAATGTCTCTTCAGATTATTTGCCCATTTTAAAACCAGATTGTTTATTTTGTTTGCTGCTGAGATGTTTGAGTTTCTCATATATTCTGAATATTAATCCCTTACCAAATAAATAGTTTGCAAATATTTTCTCCCTTTCTGTAATTATCTTTTCACTCTGTTGATTGTTTCCTTTGCTGTGCAGAAAAATTTTAGTTTGATATAATCCTTCCTAATTATAATCCTTATTAATAATCATATATAGTTCATATATAATAGTTATAATCCTTACTAATAATAAATAATTAAAATAATAATGCTTATTTTTGCTTTTGTTGCCTATGCCTTTGAGGCCTTATTAAAGAAAATCTTTTCCCAGACCAATGTTCTGAAGCATTTCCCCTGTGTTTTCTCCTAATTGTTTTATAGTTTCAGATCTTACATTTAGGTCTTCGATCCATTTTGAGTTGGTTTTTGTATAGGGTAAGAGGGGGGTCTAGTTTCATTATTCTGCATACGGATATCCAGTTTTCGCAACACCATTTATGAAGAGACTGTCCTTTCCCCAGCAAGTATTCCTGGCACTTTTGTCAAAAATCAGTTGCTGTAGATATGCGGATTAATTTCTGGGCTCTCTATCCTGTTCCGTTGGTCTATGTGTCTGTTTTTATTGCCAGTACCATGATATTTTGGTTACTACAGCTTTGAAGCCTGGTAGTATGATGATTCCAGCTTTGTTCTTTTTGCTCAGGATTGCTTTGGCTATTTGGGGTCTTTTGTGGCTCCCCACAAATTTTAGGGTTTTTTTTTCTGTTTCTGTGAAGAATGACATTGGTATTTTGATAGGGATTATATTGAATCTATAGATTGCTTTGGGTAGTATGGTCATTTTAACAATAGCAATTCTTTCTATTTATGAGCATGGAATGTCATTCCATTTGTTTGTATTCTTTTTGATTTCTTTCATCAGTATTTTGTAGCTTTCCTTGTAGATGTCTTTCATCTCCTTGGTTAAATTTATTCTCAGGTAAGTTTGTATTTTTTATTTATTGTAAATGACATTGCCTCCTTAATTTCATTTTTAGCTACCTTGTTGTTCATGTATAGAAATGCTGCAGGTTTTTGTATATTGATTTTTTATCCTGCAATTTTACTGAATTTGTGTATTAATTCTAATAGTTTTTTGGGGTAGAGTTCCAAAGAAATACTTCTGCAAAAATCCTGTCTTTACTCTTTGTCCTCCTCAAAGTGAGTCTGAAAATACTCTAGCTGTGCTCAACCACCTGTTTGAAAGTCATGTGCCACATAACAATGTTTAGGTCAACAATAGAACATATATAATGGTGGTTCCATAAGATTATAATACCATATTTTTACTGTACCTTTTCTATGTTTAGATATGTCTAGTAGATAAATACTTACCGTTGTGTTACAGTTGCCTACAGTATTCAGCACAGTAGCATGCTGCACAGATTTGTAGCCTAGGAGCAATAGGCTATACTGTCTAGGTTTTTGTAAGTACACCCTATGATATTCACACAATAACAAAATTGCCTACCAATATATTTCTCAGAATGTATCCCCATCATTAAGCAACGCATGACTGTATGACCACTCATTTTGACATCTAGTATCCATAGTATCTTAGTGTCCCAGTTGGTACTTCCAATGGTTCCGTGTTATGGCCTTTCTTCCTCATCCATAGCTGAAGAGACCAGGAGTAAATTCCTAATCTGAGGCCAGCCAATTTGTTGGTTGATCGAAGACCTATAATTTAGGTGTTCCAGCTCAAATAAAAAAGCAGAGATGATCAAATTTTAGTGAGCTAATTTGAACGAAAGTAAAATATTGCCACCAATTTGTGGTAGGAATTTGAGCCAAGGAGTCTCAATGCCTTGGAAAAAGCAAGCCAGAGGAGGAAGCAAGTGAAACCAGTTGAGAGAGACAATGATTAGATCAAAGGCGCACAGATGAGAGAAGTCGTGTGGAGTCTGGGAGGAGGAGGAAGTCCTCTCTGCTCCTTACTACCCAGGAGTGTTCTCCCTGTGGTTGTGCTGGGCCTGGCCTCAGGACCTTCCATTTCCATGAGCTTGCCTGTTGTATCTTCCTATCCCATCGTCTTTATTTGGGCCCACATAAGCAAGCTCCTGTTTCTTGCAACCCAAATGGAACAAATAGAACGGAAGGCAGCTGAAGTTCTGGGTGTCTTGAGTACCAAAACTCTGAACCTGATTTCTTTCGGGTCCCTCCTCTCCCCTCCCTGCAGCAGATGGGTTAAATGCTAAAGCAGATCAGCTGCTCTGTCCATGGCTTGAGTAAAAAATGCACACTGTCAGCCCAGCTGTCATGTCAGCATAATGCAGCCTTGGTTTTTCCCTTGGTAGTTTGAATGCCACCTTCCTGGAGCTAGGAAAGGATATTGGCTTACGGGAATCTCACACCCTGTTTTTGTTGTTACCAGATTTGGGAAAACTTTGGAGTATTAAGCAGGTAAGCATCAATTTGAGGCCAAGAGTGGAAGAGTAGTTCTCAACCCTGGCGGCACACATTAGACTCACCTGACAAGCATAAGAGCCTATCAGTGCTGGGTCCCACCCAAGCCATGTAAATGAGAAACTAGGGTTACAGCGTGGGCTTGGCACCTTTTCAGTTCTCTCCAAGATATTTTAATGTGCAGCCAGGGTTGAGGATCACCCTGGGGAAATCCAGGGGAAAAGGAGAGAGTGGTGGAAACGGAAACTTACATTTACTGAATATCTAGTATGTGCTTGGCAATGTATCTCATAGTAGCTGCTATTTATCGAGTGCTTACTGTACTAGTTAGCTAAGGCTGCTATAACAAAGTATGACAGACTGGATGGCTTAAACAAGAGAAATGCATTTCCTCACAATTCTGGAGGCTAGAAGTCCCACCATCAAGGTGTGAACCGGATTTGATTTCTTCTGAGGCCTTTCTGCTTGTAGATGGTTATCTTTTCCCTGTCTTCACTGACCTTTCCTCTAGGTTTGTGTTCTAATCCCCTCTTCTTAAAAAACACCAGTCATGGCCAGGCACAGTGGTTCATGCCTGTAATCCCAGCATTTTGGGAGGCCAAGGCGGGCAGATCACCTGAGGTCGGGAGTTCAAGACCAGCCTGACCAACATGGAGAAACCCCATCTCTGTGCATGCCTGTAATCCCAGCTACTCAGGAGGCTGAGGCAGGAGAACTGTTTGAACCTGGGAGGTGGAGATTGTGGTGAGCCAAGATCACGCCTTTGCACTTCAGCCTGGGCAACAAGAGCAAGACTCCATCTCAAAAACAAACAAACAAACAACAACAACAACAACAACAAAACCACCAGTCATACTGGATTAGGGCCCACCCATATGACCTCATTTAACCTTCACTGCCTCTTTAAAGGCCCTAACTCTAGACATAGTCACATTCAGAGGTACTGGGGTTTAGGACTTCAATATAAGAATTTAAGGGGGTGTATACTTTCACCCATAACACTTATGAGTAAGGCGTTGTTCTCAGAGCTTTCTATCTATTGATTTAATATTTATAGCAATCATGTAAGACATCGTCTTCATGTTATAAGTGAGGAAACTGAGGCCCAGGGCAATCAAAAAGCTAATGAATAACGGAGCTCAGTTTCAAATCCAGGCAGTGTGACCCCAGAAACCTTGTTCTTTACTGCTACATTTTACCACCTCAAAACAACCCCAGTTATTAGTGAAGGTGGGCTACATTATGCTGAGTGGAGGAAGTAACCTGGAAATCCCTTGACACAATAAAGACTTTCTTATTCATGCTCTCTATTCATTAAGAGACCATAAGGGTGAGGGGAAGTGAATGCTGTGCTCCACAAAGTCACTCAGGGACCCAAGCTAAAAGAGGAGTCCCCGTCTTGTAAACTGCACCATCTGAAAAAATGTGGCCTTTTCAGTCTCTTGGACTAGGGGAGAGAGAGATGGGGTAATCACGCATGGGCTTTTCACGGCCTCAGCTGGAAGTGAAGCATCATTTCCACTTATCTTTCATTAGCTAGGCTAGTCACCCAGCCCTGCCTAGCTGGGCATGGTTGGGAAATGCAGGGGAGCAATGGAATGCTTATGGGCTTTAATTTCTTTGCTACCCTCCATAAGGTGGCTGTTATTCCTGGTTTAAGAAGCAGTCTCAGAGAGATTAAGACATGTGCCTAAAGAGACACAAAGTTTAGAGTTGGGCCTCACACTCATGTGGTCTCACTTGAATTCTTCCACTCTTTCCACCTCGGTGACTGACTCTGAATGCCTAGAGGGGATATTCTTTGCACCATTTACCATTTATTTATCCTGGAAGGCATCTAGTAAATGCTAACAACACCAAACATAAGGTGACACTAGAAATTTCCAGGTTGTAAATATAGATAATTGTGCTATTTTTATGAGGTGTGCTCATTAAATTATCAGGTGAAGTATCTAATGCAAATCTGGGAATAGAAGACTCATGATTGGTGACTAAAAATAACTGATTCATTGTGAGTTGCTAATAATGTAGTTTCAAAAAAAAAAAGCAGTCACAATGTTCATGTAAAAGACTACATTTACACTGTTAATGGCAGCTTTTTGCTGTTTCTGGAGCTCTGCCATCCCAAATCGCTCCAGGTACAGAGTTGACAGGTTGCAGGAAAGTTGTTTTCATTCCTTCCCGCTCTCTGTGGTCAGCTATGGCTATGTTGTTTGTTAACCCTTAGTATCAACAAGAGTAAGGAATTCACTAAGCTGAAAACTCCACACTTGCAACTGAAACTTGGCAAGTGATAAAATTTCTCAACTTATCCAATTGCTTTGGGTCCATTGTTTTGATAATTGCATCTTAAAATATTGGGTATTTTCCAAATGGCCAGTGCTATGGTCTCAATGTTTTTGTCCATGCCCCACCTCCAGCCCCCCAAATTTATATGTTGAAACCTAATCACCAATTTGATGGTATTAGGAGGTGGGGGCCTTTGGAAAGTGATTAGATCATCAGGACAGACCCATCGAGATTGAGATTAGTGCCATTACTAAAAGACCCCAGAGAGCTAGCATGCCCCTTTCGCTATGTGAGGACAAAGCTAGAGGGCTCCATGTGTGAACCAGAAGGTGAATGCTCACCAGACACTGAATCTGCCAGTCCCTTGCTTGGACTTCCCAGCCTCCAGAACTGTGAAAAATAAATTTCTGTTGTTTAGAAGCCACCTAGTCTATGGTATTTTGTTATATCAGCCAGAATAGGCTAAGACAGCCAGCCCTATAGATGGGAAAGAAGAGTGTGACCTGGGTCAGGTAGCCTCTACATATGCTGGCCTTGAGGTGGAACTGCTTTGTCCCTAGTCACCAGCAGTAGACACAGTGATAGGACCCAGAGGTGCCCCATGCAGTTGTGTTGTACCACCTCTGTCCTATACCTCTGTGAGGTGCTCACTGGCACATTATTGCCCTCATAGCTTACATGCCATGTTAGGCATTGTATCTGAATAAAGACTGACAAGCCCATCCTAAATCTCCCTCTCTGAGCAGGTGACAGTGCCCGAAGGAAACTGCACTTCCTTCAGAAAGGGGCACAAAGCAAGAGCTCCTAGGACTGCGTAATAGGCCAAAAAAAGTCAAACAATGATAAAAAAAAAAATAGCCACCCTTAGTTATCTTTACCATATGCAGGGCACTCTTCTAAGCACTTTTTATATTTACTCATCTAATCCTCCTGACAGTTCTGTGGAGTAGATACTACTAGGATCCTTATTGTACAGATAAGGGAGCTTGAGGCACAGAGAGATTAAGAAACTTGCCTTGATTCTCACAACTAGAAAGTGGCAGAGGCAAGTTCTGGACATAGGCAGAATGGTTTCAGAGTTCAGGGTCTTAACCAATGAAGAAAATTAAAAGAAGAAAAACAGCTTTGGAGAAAAGAAAACAACGTGATGAACAAGAGGTAATCCATGAATCTCTCTGCCGTGTCCATCTTGTTGCCTTCCATGAGGCCCAGCGTGAGCCTGGGGTTACCTTCCCAGCGAGATCAGACCCAGGTGCTGGCGGTTGTTCCACAAGGATCTGGTCCGAAATGGGGCTGATCATCAAAAACACTTGGAGAATTTCAAAAGGCAGCTATTCAGATCCTGCTCCTCAGCTACTAAACTGGTCTGGACCCCTGGAAATAATATTTTGCATTCAACTCCTTCAGGTGTTCCTAATGGCAAGGCAGGTTTTGGAGTCCTTGCCATAGCAAAATCAAACTGTTCCCAAACAAAAGGTTTGGCCAGAGCAGGCCTGGGGTGAAGGAGGCGGGCCCAAGGCAAATCACCCAGTAATGCTTTTGTGCATGGGAGGTGTCTTAAAAACAAGCATCAAGGCTAGATTTGAAGGGGTAAAAGTAGTCAGCGTTCCAAATGGGGAGTGTGCGGCTGCAAAGTCTGGTGATCTGTCTTCCCCCATCAAAAAGAAATGATTGAAGGTGTTTTTCAAAGGACCCCAGGCCCATTATTTGCCTTAGAAATGGGACTGGGGTCCTTTGAAAAACACCTTTTATCATTTCTGGGTTGTTTTTTTTTTATACAGTTAATACATAGCACTGCAGAAAATGTGCATCGATGAAAAAAAAATAAAACCACTGGCCTTCCTACCACCCAGAATTATACTGCTAATAACTTGAGTGTACAGAACCACTTCCTGCCAAGACAAACTTCCTGTCTGTTTTTAGGACAAGCTGGTGGCACACCATTTTGTCATCTTCCCATCTGTGGCCTCACTGAGTGAGGCACCAGCCAGGCACCTTGTTCCTTCAGTAGGGTGAGAGTTACCAGAGCTTGAGGCCTAGGGCCTCCCTCCAACGAGCTGAACTAGGGTCTGCAGGCCTGAGCAGTGGCTGCATTTGGTTTGTAGAAGCTGTGCCACTAGTTGCCACAACTACTGTCGCATAAGCAGCACCACAACCACCAACTCACAGTCACAGTGTCCAACTTGGGAGTGACTTCAGAGAGCACCTGGTGGTTTTTTTGTTTTTGTTTTTTGTTTTTCTTTTTGAGATGGAGTCTTGCTCTGTCGCCAGGCTGGAGTGCAATGGCATGATCTCGGCTCACTGCAACCTCCGCCTCCTGGGTTCAAGCGACTCTCCTGCCTCAGCCTCCCGAGTAGCTGGGACTACAGGCCTGCGCCACCAGGCCCAGCTAATTTTTGTCTTTTTAGTGGAGATGGGGTTTCACCATGTTGGCCAGGATGGTCTCAATCTCTTGACCTCGTGATCTACCCACCTCAGCCTCCCAAAGTGCTGGGATTACAGGCGTGAGCCACCACGCCCATCCCTGGTGGTCGCTTTATAAAGACACTGACACTTTGAAAGATGAATGTCAAGCCCAGAGCGTCTGTCTGCCTGGCTGTGAGTTCTAATATTCTTGAAACATAACTGTGGTTCTGGCAAAGGAATCGGGTGACTCATAAGGAATATGATTAATGAATGGGCTACAGAAAAACAGATGGGCAAAGCTCAGTAGAGCTTGACTTTGTTGTAAATGCTTTATGACTACTGGCTCACCTGTTTGTATAACCTAACTGTGGCTTGAGAGAAGTCCATCTAATAGGGCCAATAATGGTTGTATTCCTGCAATTTTTGTGACAACACCCCCCACATGCCCCTTCCTCCCTTTCTGTACTATCTCTCCTTGCAATGTGATTGGTTAGGTTTTGTCAAGCCTGAGACTGTAATTCGAAAGTATCTTAATAATAGCTATTTTAATGAATTTACTTTAGAAAGATATTTGTGGTATACTGCAGTGTTTAGGTTTTGTGAGATACAATGTCTCTGTTGCAATTTCTCAACTCTGCTGTCTTCACACAAAAGCAGCCATAGACAATATGTAAATGAACGAGCATGACTGTGTTCCAATAAAACTTTATTTACAAAAATAGGTGGCCGGGCTGCCAAACCCCTACTTTATTAGTAATCACAGCCTATCTGAAAAGTTTTGATTATTTGGTGAGATGCTGGAAGAGAAATCACTGAATCTTTAGAGTGAGTGTCTAGTCAAATCTGTTCATCAAAAAGCTCACTTTGTTCTGAAAACTTTATTTTTTCTGCATTTTAATGACTGCCAGAACAATGTTCTTGCCAAACATATGTCAGTGACTCCATGTGAATATATCCATACTGCAGAATTATTTATGCTCAGACTACACAGTTTATAGGTCTCTAAGACATTCAGACAGATGAAGGATGGAATATCAACCACCAATGCTAAAAGTTCAGTCCATTTAAGCAGAAAATGCTCTCAAAGTAGCTAATTCTTTGCAGGAATGTATTATGGTTGTTTTCTGTATCAGTTCATTGTGAAAATAAACCATCCCCAAACTAAATGTCTTAAAACAGCAATCATTTATTTAGCTCATGAGTGTGTGGATAGCCTGGGTGGTTCTTTCAGTCTTGAAGGACTTAGCCTGGGCTAAGGTCTGCAGTCAGCTGGCAAATCAGTCGGCGGCTGGCTGGTCTAGGATGGCCTTACATGTCTGGCGGTTGAGTGGCTGTCAGCTAGGGCAATGGTGGGTGGAAAAGGAGGTACTGAATCTCCTGGCTCTCATTCTCCAGCAAGCTAGCCCAGGATTGTTGACAATGCAGCGCCAGGGTCCAAGACAGGTGTGGCCAATCATAGCCATTACTGTCATCAACCTACCAGAGTTTCTATGGGAACGGGCAGAATAATTGCATTTCAAAGACAGAACTAAAAATCTTATTGGCAACGTCATTCACATGGTTGAGATGAAAACAAAACCAGCAGGACCAACATATATTTTCACAGCGTGGGAACCTACTCTTATTGTTGAATGAATCTAAACCATGTCTCAGGTTTTATTTCCATTCACCTCACAGGCCTGTCCGAATTCCAACATTTTTCCTAGTGTGTGCAATTGTGCTCTGCCTTAGGAAATCTCTGGGTATGAACGTTCAAACTGTCAAGAGAGAAATTGGAATGTTATTCTTTGATTGACAAGAATTCTTTTAATTTTTAACAGGAGGTTTTATTATGGAGTTCCTCAAAATAGTGAGTTCTTTATTCACCATGTAATTTACTTCATAGAAATTTGACATGAAAATTTTCTGGGCGCTGCTATCATATGAAAGCTGACATATCCATATTTCTCTCAGGACTCCTCACATATCAATACTCTTAGTTTTGTTATCACCATGTTTATATCTATGAAAATGTCAAATATGCAACTATAGCATCTCTTTTCTTTTCTTTTTAGGGGGTAAGTTCACATTGGGGTGGGGAGAAAAAGTCGTGGAGAGTCAAGTTCAGCAGCTGTGAATTGTAGCCTCAGTTCAGCCTCTGGATGGCATGGATACTAGAGAACAGCAGGCTTGGAGCCAGGAGATCTGGGTTCGGATCTCATCTACAAATATTTTCTTTGTTACAACACAGCATTTAACTCTTTTTGGCTTTGGTTCATTAGGGCAGATACCTCCAGCATCTATCAGTACGTGATTCTGTTCTTTGATTGTGTAGCTTCTCTGGGTCTCAGTTTTCTTATCTGTAAAGTGGGGCTAATGGTACCTACCTTGCCAATTTCACTGGATGCTAAGGATCAATTTTAAAACATCAGAAGTGAGTCTATCATAAAGCTTCTAAATATTGAACTTTAGTTATGCATGATGCTCACTTTTATGGCTTTCTTCTAAATATTCTTTTATATCTAATTTTATATTTATAATTTTGATTTTTTTTCTTAAGGCAGGTCTTCAATATTGACACCAAGGATTCCAAAACCTGGATATGCCTCCAGAAATAGTATATGAAGAAGTACTTTATTAGGGCTCTATAGCTCAGAGCTGGAGATCCAGTTCTTTCATTTAAGGCTTCAGCTCTAAATGCAAATACTTCTGGAATGGGTAGCATGCAAAGCTTTAGTCATGATTTACACTTTAATGTGAGTGAGTGAGAGCTTTTGCTGGGAACAAATTTTAACAGACAGGGAAAGAGGAGAGAGCATAAAGTGGGAAACTTTAGAATGAGTGGGAGTGAACTCAGAAAGAGAAAGTAGGGTGACATTCAAGGCAAGACTCAGGCAAAGACCAAACAGAAAGGATGCCAGCCATAGTCCTGGAATAGCATCCTGGAAGACTTCAGTTATTAGATCCTAGGGGAGGTCCAGAGATACTAGGGGAAGGGTAGGAAAGTCATATACCAAAATGTTGACGGAGCATTTATCTTTGGGTGGCATGAGTTTTGTGCATCCTCAACCTCTCAGGCTCAAGCGATCCTCTCACCTCAGTAGCTGGGAGGCTACTGAGGCTACCTACAGGCGTGTCCCACCACATCCAGCTAATTTTTGTATTTTTTGTAAAGATGGAGTTTCACTATGCTTCCCAGGCTGGTCTGAACTCCTGGGCTCAAGCAATCAACTGCCTGGATCTCCAAAAGTGCTTGGATTACAAGCGTGAGCCACTGCACCTGGCCAGCCACAGGTATTTTCATTTTCTTTTTTGTGCATATTTTATTTTCCCCCAGTCATAAGGTTGACATAAATTCTCTGTATCAGAAGTTTATTTTTTAGAGATGGGGTCCTGCTCTGTCATTCAGGCTGGAGTGCTGTGGCATGATCCTGAATTTTTTTAATATTTGAAAAATTACAAAGCAAAGAGTATTAATGGACCAATGCTAGACTGAGTTGCTTAGGGCTTAGTCAGATGAAGGCCTTTTCTACTGGTTTTATATTTCAGACAAACTTACCTATTTGAAAGAAGCATTTGCCTTCTTGAAGCTGATTCAAACTAAGTAAAATGTTTTAAAGCTACATAAAATTGAGTCTAGTTTTCTTATAGATGCTATTAAGAAACTATTAGGATAGAAACCTTTCCCAGGGCTCATTTAATTTAACCCAATTGAATTCTACAACCATTATTTATTGAGTGCCAGTATGTGGGAGGTCTCAAGATGAGTAAGACTTGATCCCTGCCCTAAAGATGCTTAAAGCCAAGCGAATGAGACAGGTGCAAAGACAAGACCCATCAGTCTGTCTGTGATAAGTGCTCTAGCCCTATTAACTCCAGCCACCTCAATCTAATGGTCTTAACCTCAGAGACACAAAGAATTTTGGACAGCATTTCAGATGTAAGGCAACTTCTCTCTATCGCTGTTCGTTAGTCATCACCACCAACACAGACACAGATCAAATTTCAGCTCTTTCCATAACGCTGGATTTTAAAACCTTGGTCCCAGTCTCTGGCTCTCCCGTAGAGATCTCATCCCAAAGGATGCTGGAATACACTGGAACATATTGTCTTCTTCAAACCCACTGGCCTTTCCTGCTTTGCTGCTGCCAGGTTTCAGTCTCACAAAATCACATTCCCTCCTAACAAAACAGGAGTGAAATTCAAAACACCTGTATGCGATTTGCCCTAGTTTCTTCTAATTGCCCCCAGAACCTGCTGCCCTACCCCTTCTTACCCCATCTTCTTTTTTTTTTTCTTTGAGACGGAGTCTTGCTCTGTCACCCAGGCTGGAGTGCAGTGGCGTGATCTCGGCTCACTGCAAGCTCCACCTCTCGGGTTGACGCCATTCTCCTGCCTCAGCCTCCCTTGTAGCTGGGACAGGTGCCCGCCACCACGCCCGGCTAATTTTTTTGTATTTTTAGTAGAGACGGGGTTTCACCATGTTAGCCAGGATGGTCTCGATCTCCTGACCTCATGATCCTCCTTCCTCGGCCTTTCCCCATCTTTCTAATAAATCCCACAAAATAGAAGCACAGAGTGTGAGGAGACTGGAGGAGGGGAGATGAATTCCGGTTGGGATGGGCCATCTGAGGAGGCTTCCTGGAGAAGATGCCATTTAATTTGGGCCTGGGAAGGTGGGTATGATTATTTTCAGAAGGTGAGAATGATACTTTCCGGTAGTGGGATCTCTGTAAGGAAGGAGCCTGAGGTGGGTAAACAGAAGATGAGTTTGAGGATGGTGGATTTGGGTCTGCTCTGGAATAGGAGCACGGGTCTTGGAGGGATGCCGCTGAGGGGAGTGAATTAAAGAGGGAGAGATGATTGGCAGCTCTTCTGCAAATGGTCTTGCATGCAGTCTAAGGAGTTTTAAATTTATGTGTACAAAGGAGATAACCCTAAAATGTGGTTGACGGGGGAGCAGCCATGGAATGATGTGTTGAAAGTGAGCACAGAATCCCTCTTTGAAAACCTCTGCACACAGCCTGTATTCTTAGATACTCTCCATAGACCAGCTTGCCTAGAACGAGGCTTTGAAGGCAATGCTCATATAACACAACTTCATAATCAGCCCCCAGAGGCCTGCAAAGGTGTATGCTTCCATAGTAAAGAGTTATTTCCTCCTCTTCTGCTCTATAAAGAAATACTTATTGAGACTAGGCAGATAGATCGACGGGAGTGCACTAGTAAGCCTCAAGACATCAAAACTTTCCTAGAATCTCTCCGTGTGCAATTTGAACATAGGAACCCAGGAGCCTGCACTGAGCAAAAGAAACATGTCATGAAAAGTAGATTTTCTATTTTGTTGCGAAAAAGACTAGATATTTACACTCACCAACCTCTATCACAAGACTGAGTCAGTCAGATTCAGCTCAAAATGAGGTAAAGAGGCAAGTTCCTCTCAGGGAAGAAAAGCATTAAATAAATAATCCCTCCAGAGTCATTCTGAAAAATTGCCTTTGCTGATCCATGATGGAAAAAACAAAGAGCATTGGATGAATTCAGCCAAGTAAAATCCTGGAAAATGATCTGAATTTTAAAAAATTTCAAAGAAGAGCTTAAAAGCATTTGTCTGGGTTTTGTGAGTGGGGAAAGAGCTCACACACACGTGTGTGTGTCTTAATGGTGTCTAAGATAGTGCCTCTAACCTAAAGGAGTATCATTTATTGTTCATTTCCTACAGGGAGAGGGAAGTGGAGGGTTAGTGAGGTATGCATTTTAAAGCACTCTAGGAGCGAAAGAAATCATATAGTCTTTTTCACTGGAAGGAATCTGAGTCCCTTATGTTTGTCATTATTGAAAAAGTTGAAGTATCAAGCCTTGTGGATGGGATTTAATCTTGAATTTGTATGGCTATGTCTTACGCATAGAGCAAGGACAGCTGAGATACCTTTGGGGGGCATGTGCCCAGGAGTACAAGCAGAATTCTTACCATTTTACCTTTATGTGTTGTGTGCTCTCTGTTCTTGGAACAAGCCATGAGAGGTTTTGGAACAAAGAGGATAATTACCCGCTCATTCCCTCCATGCCCCTGCACTTCTTGCTGCAACATCTGGCCCGGGTGTGACAGAGATCTTGCACCCATTGGCCCAGGGCTTCATGGAATCCAGGCATGGTAGAGACTTTGGGCATCCATCTCCACAGATGGGGCTTAGGTGAGGCTGACCTGCCTGCTGCACTCCTAGAATCGGGCTCAACAATGGCTACTGCAGGACACAAGCAGCTAAGGGCCTGGGAGACAGGTGAAGCAAAGAGGCATACAGGATGGGTCTGATACAGGGAGGAGCTGAAGATGATTACACTGGATTATTAGAAAGACCTGCACTTCTGGCCAGATTACATAACAATCTTACGCAGGTCAGAAAACTGTTGACAATGTTTCTTAGTTGATTGGGTTACAGGTGCATCATCCCATTTGGGAATGTACACAGAGACTGTAATCCAAGTGTATGAAGGCAGGGAATTATTTTTAAGAACTTGCTTGATGTCGTCTCTTGCTAGAATGTTGCACCACCAATCTGTCTGTGTCTGGAGTTCCACCGGAGTCTTGTTTGGCCCAGAAAAAGAGCCCTAATCAGAGCAGGCCCAAGAGACTGTTCCAGCATATGCACTGGACTTTGAGCAATTACTAAGTATCCGGTCGTGTAAGAGAAGAACATGCAAGGAGAAAAGCACACAGAGCCTGCTTTTCAGGCGCTGGAAACTTTGTAGAGTGGGAGGTCCTTTCCAGACTGATTGACTCACATGGAGGAGGGCCCAGGGCTTACATTCAGTACGCCCAACATCTACTCCTGGAGGGGGCCTCACTCCCAAGTCCTTTCTCAGATGTCATCTTCTCAAGGAGGCCTACCCTGAGTGTTACTGAGTGTCAGGGGTTCAGTCTAGGTCTCATGCTCACGGCACAGAAAGCCAATTGCTGAGTATTGCCAGGGAAGAAGGCTTTACTCAGGCCACCTCAGCTACAGAGATGGGAGGCAAGCCTCAAATTCATCCTACATTTCTCTCCCCTGTTGGCTGTATATATAGCCAGGAAGGAAAACAGGTGGGGCAAGGAAGATAAGTTGGTCAATAGACAGGAGGTGGTCAAGTGAAGGGTCTGATGTTTCCTGGTAACCACAGGTGGGAAAACAGAAATTAGGGAAGGATAAGGAAGAGGAACTGGTCAACGAGCAGCAGGTGCGTTTCATTGTACACATGTAAGTTGCTCAAGCTTCAGTTCTATGTGCATCTAGCTTGTTGGAAAATTGGGCTGATTTCATGAGCACCCTATTTTTAAATGGCCATTCCCCTGATTCCCTTACCGTACTCTACTTTTTTCAT
Organism: Homo sapiens; assembly: GCF_000001405.40. NCBI lineage: Eukaryota > Metazoa > Chordata > Mammalia > Primates > Hominidae > Homo > Homo sapiens. Next base: position 22,394,729 of record NC_000007.14, on the reverse strand, counting down.
TTCCATACATGCTTCTTCAGACATACCATACAATTTTCTTAGTCTTCTGAACGTTATTTATCTTCCCCCAAGAATGTCAACTACACTAGGCAGAGATGTTTGCTTGTTCAGTTCACTATTTTGTTCACTGATGTTCAAGTACCCATTGGTAACCAAGTGATAGAATAACTGTGGTTACATTCCTGGGTGCCCTGGGTCCCTGGGTTACGCTAGACTGGGGCTGGGCTGGACCCCTCCTTGAGCAGGCTCCTGGATTGCACCGAGCAATCTGTTTTACAGGTCAGATCACTGCTTTCTTTTCCTCATTTTATGAAAGAATATTGATTACTTTTTAGGAGTGAATAGAGGGATCTGCGGCTAAATCTTATAAAGCTGTTTCTAGGCTGGGAACAGAAACCGTTTCTCATTTCTGTCTTATCTCTGATCACAGCGCCTGGGATTTCGTAGTGCTCAGTTAATGCTGATGGATTGAAATGTAATGTAGTCCCTCCTTTCTCAAACATAGATAGAGACCTATTGCACACTGTTTTTATCACCCAGGATTCAGCTCTGTGTGTCTCCAAACACGGTCATGTGCAGGGAAAGGCTGGTTTGGTGGGGGCCTGGGGGCGGGGAGTAATTCTTGTTCCTCGGTATAAGTTTGCGCCACAGCTTCTCCCTTTTCTGTTCCTAAAATTCCTCCCTAACGAGTTGCCCAAATCCTTGCAGATGTCTGCTCTCCTTGCTGTCCTCGCCTGCCATCTCTGAGTCAGCCTGGATTTAATCATGCCCCCTCCTTGCTGATTGGATCCCAGATCTCCACAATCAGAAACATTATTTACATCTCTCAGCTCCTTTCTAGGTTACCCAAGATAAGCAAGGGAAGAAAGTAAAAATCGGGCATAAAGGGCTAGAAATGCTTCAACAAACTCAGGTGGTCTTACTGGGCCAAGAGTCAAGTCTTTCTGATTTTCTCTTGATGGTGGGTTCCTTTCTGAGTCAGCAGCCTGCACCCAGCAAGGTGAAGCATCGCAGCAGGAATTCTGTATAGTTGCTTTGGTTCTGGAAGGCTAACTGCAAATCTGTCCATCTGCTTTTCCCCCCTTGTCTGGGGCTTCTAGGAAGTGTGCAGAAAGTCGGTGGTCCTGCACAGAATCTCTCTGTGGCTGTGAGGCAAGAGCTTGTGCATGGAGAAGAAACCCTTTTTGCCAAACTAGATCCCTTCTCTGCCCCCGAGACAGGGCCACAGCGAGGGTATCTGGCATGAATGTTTCTTTTCTCATTGTTATAACCAAGAGAGGGAGGCCAGAAAGAGGAACATCATTTCCTCCTACTGTAAAGTATCTTACAGCTAGAGAGCCAGATCAGGTGCGGTTGAACCAGAATGGGAGGGCGAGGAAGGGAATCCAGGTCCTTTTAATGGGAAAATCCAGGTTCTTCCTGGTACCAGGATTCCCTAGCTTTGGGACTCGTCTGCTGTGGCTATCAATGAGTCTACTGCTTATTTGGAAAGTGGATGGCTGTGGGGGGTCTGGATCCCTGTATTAGCTCCTAGCAAATAATCAGGTCCTTTGAGAGAATGAGACAAAGGCAGTGAGGTAAGGGAACAGGGGCCCTGGTCCAAATGGTGTGCCCTCTGCCTTTTCCTCAAGTTTGCCTCCTTGTCAGGACATTGTCCGTACCTCTGCCATCCTGCTCACTTCCACCCCATCCTGCCACATACACTTTCTCTAACTCCAACACAATAGGGCAGGAAGAGGTCATAGACTCCACCTGGAGTCTCGGCAGGAAGGGAAGTCAGTTCCCCACCCCTCCATCTGAAGCTGCCCCAAGCGCTGCTTTTTGTCATGCCCAAATAGAGGTGTGGCAGGGCTGACCCACTGGCAGCATGATGCTCGGAGTCCTCAGAGACTGTCACCACCATTGGGTAGCCCTGCATAGTCATCATTTTCCTCGCCATTTTCCAGCATCATTGGGATGGGGATGGGGGGAATGGATAGGTGGGTATGACCAATTTAATTTTTGCCAGGGCCATGGTTCAATTGAGCATGCCAATGATAAAAACCAGTGTTATCTTACAGAGAATGAGGACAGGTTAAAAATCAAAAGAAAATAATAAAAACCCTGAATGTTTCTGCTGATGTTTGGCTTTCCATTGTGTCCGGAATGGGGATATTTAACTCTATACCAGGTACTGGATTTTGGCCTGTGATTTGGTCTGATTCATTAGGGTTGAAATTATTATTATTATTTTTATTATTTTGAGATAGAGTCTCACTCTGTCACCCAGGCTGGAGTGCAGTGGCATGATCACAGTTCACTGTAGCCTTGTCCTCCCAGGCTCAAGCAATCCTCCCACCTCAGCCTCCTGAGTAGCTGGGACCACAGGCACACACCACCATGCTCGGCTCATTAAACTTTATTCTTATTATTATTTTGTAGAGACAAGGTCTCTCTATGTTGCCTAGGCTGGTCTTAAACTCCTGAGCTCAGGTGATCATCTTACCTCAGCCTCCCAAAGTGCTGAGATTAACAGGCATGAGCCACTGCACCTGGCTTGGAATTATTTATTTGTTTATTTTTTGAGATGGAGTCTCGCTCTGTCGCTCAGGCTGGAGTGCAGTGGTGCCATCTCGGCTCACCGCAACCTCCAGCTTCCCAGGTTCATGCCATTCTCCTGCCTCAGCCTCCCGAGTAGCTGGGACTACAGGCTCCCACCACCACGCCTGGCTAATTTTTTTGTATTTTTAGTAGAGACGGGGTTTCACCGTGTTAGCCAGGATGGTCTTGATCTCCTGACCTCGTGATCCTCCCGCCTCAGCCTCCCAAAGTGCTGGGATTACAAGTGTGAGCCACCACGCCCGGCCGGAATTAATTTTTTAAATGTCTTGTATGATAGCATAAATAGAGACTCTCACCTATGGGCATAATTGTAAGTTACAACTACCTGCTGTGTCTGGAAAGTCAATAAAATCAATACTAACTGAGGCTTTGCTATATGGTAATATTGTTGTCTATGTATTATGATTGTTTCTAAATATTTGTTGCAGCTCCTGTGAACAATATAAGGAGCTCACAATAGGTAGAAATCATGGCTAAATACTTCTCTTCTTTGTTATTGCCCTTCACTGATTTCAATTCTTGGCCAAGAGGCATATTTAATATGTTTTGCTATTTGTTTCCTACAAGTTCTTTGTAAAACAACTGACTTCTCCATGAGTCATGTTTGGCGATATCACCTGTTTGGAAATGTATGTTCACGCACTTCAGGTGGAGAATCTTCCTTCCTAGCAAACATTTAAAAAAGAGAAAGCTGATTGAAAAGGCAGGTAAGAACTGACAGTATTTATAGTATGTTTTCTGAAATGGCCAGCCTTACCCCAGGGAGTGCCCTGCATAGCCTGAGAGGGATTAGAGAGAACAAGTCCTATTTCATTTGTTTGCTTCCCCTTGGATGGCTGTCCCTTGACACTTTGAACCTTTGGACTGATGTCTGGGAGAAGAAACATTGAAGGATTGAATGAAATGTCAGTTAATTATCTTATGCCATTTATTGACATCTGGCTAGGCTCAGTCTATCCCCAAGGAACTCTCTACAGGAGAGCATGTTTGATGGGAAATATAGATTGTGTAGTCCTAACAGTCCAACAAAGGTAATCACAGGTCTTGGGGTTGACAATAGAGGATGTCAATCTGAGAATCAACAGAACTGGATAGAATCTTGTTCTTCCTCTATATGCCATGCTCTGTGAGCTTGGGAAAACGCGTAAAGACTGGGTTCAGGTTCTGTAATTGGAGGATTATCCACAGGCTGAAAATTACACTGGATAGAAGACCTGAGTTCAGATGCTCTGTTTATCAATTATCAGTTCACAGCTCCCTCTAGCCTGCAGTCTTCCATCATAAAATGGTGATAACCATAGTCACTTCCTGAAAACACTTTAAAAACTGTGAGGTGATATTCAAATGTAAACCATTCTTATGACAATGACAGTGTGCCCTATTATGCTACCTTTCTTCCCTTCTCTAAATAGTGCAACAAAAGTCTGTCATTTCCTGAGTTATTTGTCATCATGCTTCTGCTTCCTCTGGCCTGTTAGAGAGCAGATCTTCTGAGAGCCACGGGAAACTGACCACCTCAGCTATGTCTTTTAGGGATAAGAAGCCAAGGGGACACTGATATTGCTCAGAAGAGTTGAAGGATTTTCCACTCTTAAAAAAATCTAGATTTGTTACCTGCCTAATAACCCGCTCAAGGTAAATCCCAGCAGGAGTAATTAAAGTAAAATCAACAATAACATCTTTCACTGAACTTCCAGAACTGTATGGAATTTGGTGTGATTTTAAAAGAATCTCACTCAGTGATTACATTCATCCATCAAATAATGTCAATTAAATTATTGTGTTCCGTTTTTATAGCTTATTCGGGGAAACAAACCATTCCATCCCAGCCCGAATGTTGGCACATTTATGAAATCGAAGCTTCCTCATTTCATCATATCAATTTTGATAAGTGATAATGAGTTTCACCAGTCCTGCCACAGGATGCATAGGTGTTGCAGTACCAGGTAGCTAAGGTGAGGCAGTGATCTTGACTTGCAACGGTTGGACAACCCAGAAGGAAGCACAGCTTGGTTATTGCAGGAAGCTCATACCTGTCTTGGTCATCACAGGTTTTTATGTGATTAAGATCAGTTCAAGGACTTGAAGTTCAAGTCCTAGTAAGCTTGGAATGCAGACTCCTAGATTTAGAGCTAGAAGGTACTTAATCTAAACTCTCTATACTCAAAAGTGTGGTCTGAGGGTGGGCAGCCTCAGCATTACCTGGGAGTTGGTTAGAGATGCAGAATCCCAGGCCCTGCCCCACACTCCTGAGACAGAGTCTGCAGGTAACAAAGTTTTCAGGAGATGGGAAGGCACATGAAAGTTTTACATGCACTGGTGTAACCCATTCCTCTGGTTTTGCAGATGACCAAACAAAGTCACAGAAGGTCTACGTGACCTGTTAAGAGCAAATAGCAGGTTACTTACTGGCAGAGCAGGAGCCAACCTATCTCATCTGCTGGTTCTTACCTCTGTGATTTGAGTAGCAGTGAGTTATGGGCCTGGTCCCAAGATGGAAGGTGGGCTCTTCCAGTGAAATGGGCAATAGTGACAATCAAGCACTGCTTATTCAAGGAGTCATTTCTCATGCTTGCTTAAACTAAAAATTCTACATTACTTGTAGAAATGGGTGAGTTTTCACCTAAGGACCACAGCTCTTCTGGCAGCAATTTAATCTGATTGCAGGTTGAGTACTTAAATGCCTTGAACACGGAAACTATTGAAAGGACAGCAAAGAGGCCTGCAGCCTGACATCCACTGCATGTGGTAAGAGGGCTCAGTGTTGAGATGGGGTCTATTCAGGGCCTTTCTCTTACTGTTCCCTCTGCCTGGGTTACCGCACCTCTGCATCTTCACATGGCAACTCCATCTCACCATCCAATCCCTTCTGGGGAGAAGCTCTCCTTGGTCACTCCATCTAGAGTCAACTTTTCTCCCCATCCTATTCCCCTCAGTCACTCTCTATCCCCACTCTCTCATTTTGTTTTATTTATGACAATTGTTAAAGGAATTATTTAGTTGAACAATGTATTGTGTTTTCCCTTTCAAAGCATGTCCATTTGTTGAGAGCAGGGATCTTGGCTCGATTGTACACTGCCACATCCATATTGACTAAAACTGTGCTTGACATATGGTAGGTACTCAATAGTTGTTTGCTAAGTGAATAAGTAATTTAGAATAAAGTTCGTTGTGCTCATAGTTAGAATAATCATAAATAAGAGCTAACATTTATTGACTTTTACAGTGTGCTAGACACAGTGCTGCATGCTTTAAGCACACTGTTTTATTTAATTTTTTTTTTTTTTTTTGAGACCGAGTCTCACTCTGTTGCCCAGGTTGGAGTGCAGTGGCGTGATCTCAGCTCACTGCAACCTCCGCCTCCTGGATTCAAGCAATTCCCCTGAGTAGCTGGGATTACAGGTGCGCAATACCACACTCGGCTAATTTTTGTATTTTTAGTAGAGACGGGGTTTCACCACGTTGGCCAGGCTGGTCTCAAACTCCTGACCTCAGGTGATCTGCCTGCCTTGGCCTCCCAAAGTACTGGGATTGCAGGGGTGAGCCACTGCACCCGGCCTTGTCTTATCTAATTTTAATGACTTATTAACATTTTAAAAAGCAGGCAGCTTAGAAGTTGTGGCATTCTGTGCCTCCTCTTAAAACTGAGGAGACTCACTGAAACATGGACTTGACTTTAGGAACATTTCCTAGACGAAAGCACTGGGTGGCCTTCTTCACAAATTGGTCCACACTGGCTGAGCTTCTCTAGGGTCCAAGCTGAACTGGTCAGACCAAGGAGATCGGTACACCCCATACTATGTTTTGGGCCCCATGCCAACTTTCCTTTGAGTACATGAAAAGGGACAACCAGACTTAGAGGGACAGATTGAAATGAAAGATCCTGATGTACTTTCCAGAGTGACAACAGAAAAATATTAACTCTTGCCCATTACCCCTTATACGACCTGTAAAAACCATTTGTAACAGAAAATAACTGTGCACAGAGGAACGTGATGCCAACCAGAGGACGATCCTTGGTATTCTCATTTTTCTCCAAAGAAACAAAGCAAATAGACCAATTTTGGCCTCAATCATCAAATACATTTTGTGATGCCTACAGAGAGCAAATTGCCCTCACAGCAGCAACTCAGTGCTTTCGTTCATTTGTGGTTTTTTTCCAATTTAAAATTTTCCCAAGTGCTCAGTCTCCAGCCTACTCTCCATCCTGGTTTCCACCAGCTCCACACACTCATACTCAACAGTTGCAGCCGGGTGACTCAGTAGGACTGGGCCCACCAACCGATCAGGAAGTCAGCCAGCAAGGCACGTCTATAACAAGAAGCAGGAGGATGGGGAAGAACAACTTGAGTGAATGCATTTCATTCCAGAGAAGAGCTTTTTAAAAAGCTGTTTAACATTCAAGGTTCTATTATTATTTTTGGCAGCATGTTGAGTCCCTGTCTCTTTTTTTGGCTACTTTTCTAGTACTTTATGTATCTAAGATTTGCAACCGATTTCAGTAACACTGGGAAACATTTTTCAGTGTAATTATAGGAGTTACTTAAATGCTATTTAAATGTTATTTTATATACTCATCAGACAATAAGCATAACATTAAAATGACTATATATAATGACCTATAAAATAATTTATGCTTATACATCATAGACATAGAAATTGCCTTAAGCATTAGACTTTGTAGAATTGTATAATTAAAAAAATTAAATTTAATAACAATTGCCCATAGATCTCAAGTTAATTACCCAATGCAAAAAATAGATGGATAAATAAGACTATAGGTGGTCCGTTCCATCACACAGTCAGTGATGAGGCCTGGTATGTTTATCTGAATCAACTTTTTATTATGGAACATTCTAAATGTACATAAATTTAAAGATTATGTACCCCCCCCCCATCGTCCAGTTTCAACAATTATCCATGTATTGACCCTGTGGACTGATGGTGAGAGGAGGGAATTATGGCATGGGACTCATAACTGCTGGAAGGCAAAACAATTGTCTGTCATGGCAGGGGTGATTCTGTAACTGGTTACCCACATTAACCATTTGAAACTGTAGGTAAAGTAGGTAGTTCACAGGCTTAACCCCAACTTCTGCTTTAATACATCTGGCAAAAATATATTCTAATACATAAGTATTCATGATCTACCATGAGCCCATGATTGTCCTAGATATTGTGATGGATATATAGCAGTTGTTAAAGTATTGGAATGGTGGATAGTTTCCATTTTCCCTTCCAGATATAGTCTCCCTATTACCTCACCCTGACCTGCATCCTGGGATGCTGAGCTGCACTATGCCAAAATCCCCTGCCTCTGTAGGGGTGAGCCAAGGGATGGCACAGAAAGGCCCCCCCTCAGGAAAGATGGAGAATAGAAAGCTAAGCAGAGAGGGTGCTCATATAGGATGTGACGCAGTGCTACAGGGCACTGACTATCCAGCCAAGGAGTGTTAGTCAATTCAAAAAGCAATAGAATACTCAATATCACTCATCATTAGGGCAATGCAAATCAAAAACCACAATGAGACCACTTCACACCCACTAGAATGGCTATTATTGAAAAAATAGAAAATAATAGTGTTGGCAAGGAAATGGAGAAACTGGAACTCTTGTGCATGGCTGTGGAAATGTAAAATGGTACAGCCACTGTGGAAAAGAGTATGGCAGGCAGTTCCTCAAAAAAAAATTAAGCATAAAATTACCGTATAAGCCAGCCACTTCACTACTGGCTACATAACAAAGAGAACTGAAAGCAAGATCTCAAACAGATATTTGTATACCAATGTTCATAGCAGTATTATTCATAATAGCTAAAAGGCACAGCAACCCAAAAGTCCATCAACAAATAAATAGATTAACAAACTATGGTATACACAGACAGTGGAATATTATTCAGCCTTAAAAGGGGATGAAATTCTGACACATGCTACAACTTGGATGAACCTTGAAGACATTATGCTAATGAGATAAGCTGATCACAAGAAGACAAATACGATACAATTCTACTTTCATGAGACACCTAGACATATTACAGAGAGAGAAAGTAGATCATAGGCTATCAGGGGCTTGGGGGAAGAGGGAAATGGAGAGTTGGGGTTTGTGCCCTAATTCAATTAATGCCACTGAACTGTACACCTAAAAATGGTATACATTGTAAATTTTATGTTATGTGTATTTGACCACAATAACACAAAAAGCAATAGGTAGACTTTGCACCCACAAGCAAAGCCTTGAAAATTTGACTGGAGAAGTAGTGTAACAGCAGTACACAGGATTCAACTCTGCTTCCTGCCCACCCGCTACCACCGACCCAGTAAAAATATTTTCTTTGTTACAAAATCAGTCTTTTTAAAAAATTAGAACCTTTGTGTATGTAGACATAGTTCAAAAAGGAAGGCAACATCCAGGAAGCTGACAACAGGGTCGTCTTTTCTGCAGGGAGTTAGGGCAGCCCCAAAAAGAGGCAGAGAAGGAAGGGCAGGGAATTGCAGGGCTGTGATCAGACTGTCCCCAGATCTTTTCAAGGCGTGGTGGGGGGCAGTCTAATTTTTACCATCCTGGATACCTCTGCATTTAATTGTGAACTATGGGTTATTTATAGGGTTCGAACTATCAATATTAGTCATAACACTGGTTGCTGTAGGCAAAATTTGCATCAAGAAGAAGGCTTGATAACCAAATCGCACAAAAAATCTGCAAGTTATCTCTTCAATAACAACCTGCTACAAGGGTGAGGCCTTAAGAATGATATTTTTGAAAGGCACATACCACTTAAAATGCCAAAATAGCAGATATTTTCTCCATACCCATGGGATAAATGTCAAGTTAATCTAATAAGAAGTCTGACTCTGAATACTGAAAAGGGAACTAGATCTGAAATTACAAGACCTGAGTTTGAATCCCAGATCCTCAGAAAACTAATATGCAAATATACATTGTCATTATTACTATTACAAATCACTTGCACATCTCAGTTATTCTTTATATTTATTATTCCCATGTGGAGAAACTGGAGCTGAGAGAGATTAACTAACAGGAGGAGTAGTTATCAATTGGAAGACCGATCTTGAACCAAAGCTACCTTCTCTAACTCCAGAGCTCTTGGGTTCCATCAGAGCTTCAAAAGGCAGGCAATTATATACATACATTTTCTAGGAGACATGATCAGAGCATTCTGGTTCCTTGAGTTGTCTTTAGGATGGGAATGAGAGTGAAGTATTGTGCCAAGACATCAGTCCAACCACACTATTTATTTCTTACTTATATTTCTTGTTTACCTTATAATTTTTAAAGGTTTTCATGTCATGACCATTTCAATTCATTGATTCTCATAGAACGCTGGGAGGAAGGTAGAATAGATAGATTTAAACCCATTTTACAAATGCTTAAACTGAGATACAGAGAGACCCTGACTTGTCAAACGTCACACTGTTAATTTGCTTGTGGCTGAACTGAGGCTGTATCCCAAGATCCTTATATCTGGGCTGCTGATTTTCATGAGCACATAGAGGTAGCTCTATAGTGGGTTTTAGGTATAATTAGAACACTGACCTAGGCTGAGCACTACAAAAAATACAACCAGGCTGGGTGCAGTGGCTCACGCCTGTAATCCTAGCACTTTGGGAGGCTGAGGCAGGTGGATCACTTGAGGTTAGGAGTTTGAGACCAGCCTGGCCAACATGGTAAAACCTCGTCTCTACTAAAAATACAAAAATTAGCCAGGCATGGTGGTGGCACCTGTAATCTCAGCTACTTGAGAGGTTGAGGCAGGAGAATTGCTTGAACCCTGGAGATGGAAGTTGCAGTGAGCCAAGATCCCACCACTGCACTGCATTCCAGCCTGGGACAGAGCGAGACTCCATCAAAAAAAAAAAAAAATTTACAAAAAACAAAAAAAAGACCATTGCATGCTCATATTTCACATACACAAGTTGTAGTTGAAAACAACAATTTTTAAGGAAAAGTTTTTGGAGAAAAACTCAAAATTCTGCAAAGGGGGGAAAGACCATAGTTAACTGAATTTAAGAATAGTTCAGACATGCAGATTAAAACCTCACTGCTTTTGCTTCTACAGCCTTTCCTTTGCCAGCCTGCATTACTGTGAGTCAGTTACACTTAAAAGGGAAATCTCTTTTGAAAAGCAAACCCTCCCAAGAGATTAATATCTATTAGGTGTCAACGGCATGTCTTTTAACAGTTGATTCTAACTGCCTCTTTATTCCCACTTCCCAAACACAAATGTCTAATGCACACAGCTGAACCTTGTCTTCTAACTTTATTCAATCAACAAATATTTATTGAGCATTTAACACATGCATGCACTACCCTGGTCTCTTGGGATATGTCAGTGAACAAACAGATAAGAATCCCTGTCCTCTAGAAACTTACATTCTAGCAACTTAAAGGAAACTTACTATTCAGATATTAATGTCATTAAGCATGTTGATTTCTAAGGAAAGTCGAGTCCACTACAGTATTGTGATATAGTGCCGGTTTCTTTTTTTCTTTTTTTTTCTTTTGAGAGGGAGTCTTGCTCTGTCTCCCAGGCTGGAGTGCAGCGGCACAATCTCAGTTCGCTGTAACCTCCGCCTCCTGGGTTCAAGAAATTCTCCCACCTCAGCCTCCTGAGTAGCTGGGACTACTCTGGCATGCACCATCACGCCTGGCTAATTTTTGTATTTTTAGCAGAGATGGAGTTTCGCTATGTTGACCAGGCTGGTCTCAACCTCCTGACCTCAAGTGATCCACCTGCCTCAGCCTCCCAAAGTGCTGGGATTATAGGCGAGAGCCATTGCGCTCAGCCTATAGTGCTACAGTGCCGGTTTCTAATTACAGCTTTTCAATGACCACATCTGCTGGCAAATAATCTGAGTAAGGAATATTGAAAGGAAATATTCTTATAAACTCAACATGTGCTTTGAATGCTTCTGACATTTGGGCCCTACCTCAAATGAGACAGCTAGGAGCCTGATAGAAGTTATGGGATAGCATATCCCATAACTTATGGGAACCCTTAAGCAAATAATCTTTCTGTAGTGGGGCACAGCGTTAAGATTAAACCAGATTCAGAGAAGTACCTCCTTTATAGCAGCCAACTCCAAAGAAATATTTCCTTCACCTCCTTACTCTAAGCATTGTACTAACTATTCATTGCTTGTGAATTTCTGACATATATCTCGTTTTTCTGCATAGAGCTCAGTAATGGTAGAGAAACAAATGGTTCCAGGTGAAAATAAGGCAGAATGATGAGGGAGAGGAAGGGATGACAGAAAAGCTTAGTGGCTTGTGTCCTAAGAAGTGTCAACAAGTACAAAACTGCATCGTTTCATTGTCTTCCACATTGCTTCCCAATCTAGCCTGATCTTTTTGAAAAGTAATGCAGCCTTGAAACTTTCAAGAGACTATTTACAATTCAAGGGAACCAATAATCTCAAAGTGTTAGGTGATGGGGGAGTAGTGTGGCTTATTATTTCCTTTAGAAAATGTCTCAAAGTGCAGGTATAAATGAATTCAGTATGTTCATTTTAATAAGCAAATGTGAAAAGTGTTGAGCTTATATATTTATAGGTTTAAGTTCATGAAACTCTGGCTAGTAAATTAGGGTTTTATGTGTTTTTTTTAATTAAAATTGTTATTTTGATATAATTGTAGATTCTATGTATTTTTTAATTTACCAATTCAGCATATTCCATGGGTATTTGGCACTTCCCCTTTTGCCCATCATTTATTTATTTATTTTGTGGGGACAGGGTCTCACTTTGTTGCCCAGGCTCAGCCTCCTGAGTAGCTGAGACTGCAGGCACAAGACACCACACCTGGCTAATCTTTTTCGTGTATTTTTTATAGAGATAGGGTTTTGCCATGTTGCCCAGGATGGTCTCAAACTCCTGGGCTCAAATAATCCACCCGAATCGGCCTCCCAAAGTGCTGGGACTACAGGTGTGAGCCTGCCATCATTTAAATTGTAAAAAATTTGCTGTTCATTAGGCCCAGCTATCATAAGGAGTTATAATATCTTGGTTTTCTTTAAAAAAAAAAAAGACATTTGACATTTTGTGACTTTAAATGTGGGTGGGAAGATGACAAATAGTTGAATAAAGATCATTAGGAGCCATCAAAGAGGATAAGTTAAACTCTGGAATGTGTCTTGGGGATGGGAGCAGGAATGAGGAGGAAGATTTCTTAGTAGAGCAACTGCTGAGCAGAAAGCCCTTTGCTGACTTGCTGAAGTACTTAAAAAGTGCTTCTATTCTGCTGTATGTTTAAAAGGATTGCCCTTGCTCAAGGTAAGGGAAAAAAGAAGATACCTAATTAGGATGAACAAACTAGGGACCTCCTGTGTGAAAATCTGCATTATTGTAACTGTTTACCCTAAAAAATACATTTTTAAATGAAATTATGCTTCATGCTTTCCTCACTGATGAAGACTTTTCCTGTCGTGAAACTTCTTGCTTTAATCTAGATAGGCACTTCCATTTAATTAGTATACAATCTCTTTAGCTATACACGAGAAGTATAGCCCTTCGCAGGTTACATTTTAGAGAGGTTTGCTTAACCTCTGTTAAATGCAAATTGGGAAGATTATTGTCTGTCTGCAATGCTGAGATGTGGGTAGATAGAAGTCATATTCATAAAGAGATAGAAAGGCAGAGAGTTGGCCTGAGTTATCTTATTCAGACAAGCTTAACTTGTGTGTGTGTGTGCTTTTTGTTGGGGGGATGGAATTGTTCAGATGAAAAATCAGCCAGCAGTGGAACTACAAGTCCTCCATTCCCTGTATAAGTTTGGAAAATTGAGTTTAAGGAGGTATTGAGTGGATGCAAAAAGGGTGAATTATGGATCATCAAGACCCCTTCTTTAATTAGTAGCCTTGCCAAGGGCCTTGGTCTGGACCCCAAGGGACAAATTAGGGGACAGTTTTGTCCACAGTGAAGCCTTGTGCTCAGTCCCTTGCCACCTTCCTCTGCAGACCCTCAACCCTCTGGGCCAATAAATAAGGTTGCTCCATCACACTCTGCAGTAGATCAGCCCCGTTTTAAATTCACTACTGTCCCTTCTCAAGACACTGTCCTACATGTAAATCAGTAATGCCCTGACATTTCTGGATGGATGGAGAACAAATAGTACTAATTTGAATGGTATATTAGGTACGCCACAAAAACTTTCTGGCTCTCCTTTAGGAGCCTGACATTAACATCATTAAAATTCAAACATTACTGTAAATGTGCATGCAGATCCCTAGTTTTAGTCTACCATTTATTACATACTCTCATACTGGAAAAGCATCAAATGTCAAAAGACATAGATTTTTTTTAACAATATAGAAAAGATGCATGAAAAGCCTAAATCTTCATGAGAGCTGAGATTAAAATCTTTGGTCAGGAAACGATTTTCAATATTCCTTGGGAATAATAATTGGTTGAAGTTGAATACTCTTCCCTTGAGTCTAACACAAAATCATTGATTGAACCCCCTTTATTTGGTAAATTGTAGAGATTCCCTCCTCATCCCACCCGTCAACCATTGAAAGCTCACAGAGCCTAAGGGCTGGGAAAGCTTATGAGCCAAACAATCCCTCCCTATAGAGGCCATGGTGTGGGAATGAAAGAGGGCACTGAAGTCCTGGTAGGTCAATCTAACACCGGGGGCATAGTAGAACTGATTCAGCAGCTGTCCAAGGACAAACATTGTCATGGCTGTCCTTCTTGTCTTTTTGGAGGTAGGCCCACCTGAATCTCCATCTTCTGAGAAGCCTCAAACCTTGTCTGCCTTCACTGAGAACCCAATATAGACAATGCATAGTTGGAAATGACTGGCCACAAATTAGATTGTAGAGATACATTGGTGGAGTGGGGTGGTTAGTTGAGAATATGCAGAATGCTTTTCAGAAATATTGCCTCCTAACTAGGCTCGATATCAGGGTTTATCAAGAATTCAGGATCTCTATTGATGGATGTATTTATGATTTATGTACGGCAGGCTCTTTTTTTTGTGTGTGTTTTTTTTTTTTTTTTTTTTTTTTTTGAGACAAGGTCTTACTCTGTTGCCCAGGCTAGAGTGTAGTGGCACGATCTCAGCTCACTGCAACCTCCACCTCCCAGGCTCAAGCCATCCTCCCACCTCAGCCTCCCAAGTAGCTGGGACTACAAGCACTTGCCACCATGCCTGGTTAATTTTGGTTTTTTTTTCTCTTTGCAGAGATGAGGGTCTTGCCATGTTGCCAGGCTGGTCTCAAACTCTTGAGCTCAAGCGATCCACCCTCTCAGCCTCCAAAAGGCATGAGCCACTGTGCTCAGCCAAGCTCTCTTTAAAGATCTGTATTTTCTCTGGGGGTTTACTGTGTAATGGGTATTATGAATAACTCACACACCAGAGGTCCCACGCCTTCTGAGAGAAGAATCTACTGTCCTTTTCCCCTAAAAGCTTTGAGGTGTAATCTGAAACAATAAATGAGATGCACACAAGCATCACAGATGAATCTTAAAAATATGATGCCAAGCAAAAATAGTTTGCAGTGAAAAAGAATGAACTGAAATGAGATTTACAGTACAATATAATTTATGTACGTTAAAAACATGAACATACAACTAACAACCACATTTTATAAGAATACATGCATATCAAGCACTTTAGAGTAACATGCCTAAGCAGGGAAGTGAAGGAAGCTGAAGAGGAAAAGGTCGAATGAAATAAAGCAAAATAAGCAAGCATTGGCCGGGCGCAGTGGCTCAGGCCAGTAATCCCAGCACTTTGGGAGGCAGAGGCAGGCGGATCATGAGGTCAGGAGATCAAGACCATCCTGGCTAACACGGTGAAATCCTGTCTCTACTAAAAATACAAAAAATTAGCCAGGTGTGGTGGCACACACCTGTAGTCTCAGCTACTTGGGAGGCTGAGGCAGGAGAATCACTTGAACCCGGGAGGTGGAGGTTGCAGTGAGCCGAGATCGCACCACTGCACTCCAGCCTGGGCAACAGAGTGAGACTCTGTCTCAAAAAAAAAAAAAAAAAAAAAAAGCAAGCATTGGTCCCAATCATATTGCACCATGGACTGAGGAATATAATTTATTGACCTCTGTGCACCCAAAGGTCAAAGGTAAAAGAAGGATAAAAGAAACTTTGTAATTCCTGTGGTAGGAGTGAGGAGGGATCCCTTTGCACAGAGAAGAGTAAATGAACCCACTTAGGTTATGCCTGCTCCTCCATCCTACTCTCTACCAGGCTTCCCAGTGAAGTCTGGAGAGGGGGCCATACCCCGTGACAGGGCCAGCAAGCTTCTTTTATAGAGGACCGCATAGGAAATATTCTAGGCTGTGCAGGCCAGACAGTCTCTCTAGCAACTACTTAACTCTGCACTGTGGCATAAAAGCAGCCAGAGACAATCTATAAATAAAACTTTATTTTTAAAAAAAAAAGCAGCAGGCTGGATTTGGCCTGTGAGCTGGAATTTGCTGACCCCTGGCCTCAGGAGCTGGCTTCCCAGAGCACAGCCTCTCAGATGATTCTGTCATTCAAAAAAAAAAAAAAAAAAATATATATATATATGACATATGAGGACAAATGCAAAGGTACCAGGCTTATTTACATTCAGAGAAAAAGAGCCCAAGGCCCACGGGGACTTCCATGGTAGTAGAAACTCAGACACTCGGAGCATTCACTGCTGGGTAAATAACCCATGGGCAGAGTTCACATCGTTTTTCATTTGATCAAGTCGAGAGCATGTTTCATAAGCAAATGCAATGCTCAGGAGCTTCTCAGCGTTTGTAGTGAGTGGCATGAATTTACATTCCCAGTCTCCCAGTAGAACTGTGGAAAGGACTCCCTCTCTGCCTTTCTCAGACATCCTGGTTAAGTCCTGGGAGGTTCCTTCCAAGATCCCCCATGCTGGACAGGAGGCTGCCCAGGCAGTAACTAAACCCATGCCTGCCGCTTATATTACAGGAACTTAAGACAAAAGTATAAAGCCCTCAAAACTGTAATTGCTAGATGAATAGGCCAATCAAGCCCTGTAGATTCAAGTACAATGATCATCAGTGTGATTTTCAGAAAACAATAGGAAAAGGTAAGCAAAATCAAGTGCCTGGGCTATTTTTTCCTCTTCCCTGGTCTGTTCACTTCTGGTTGCTAATTATTGTCTCTAGAGGTGCCTGCTTCCCTTCTTGTTGTCCAGCAAGCGTCTCAGCCTCTCTCTCATTACTGAATCCCTGGCTATTTCCCAGCAGAGGGACAGCTTCCTCTGGCAGGGGAAGGACAGCCTGTACCCAGATTCAGCTGACATCTTAATTCAGTCCTGTAACAATGCCCTTATCTAAGATGATCCATTTGCTCCAAGTTAGATTTCCCAAGGCACCTCTCCCCTGCATTTTACTCAAGTCTATACTGCCACAGCCCCGATGCTCCAGTCTCCTGACAAGAGGCTGCAAGGCAGAAAAGGACCCTTCTAAAGCCTGTATAAATTAGTGTCAGTCATAAAATTTACCCACCAAATGGCCCAGGAGTCCTCAGGTTAAGAGAGAGGTGAGGAGAATCATCAGCTAGGCATGCATGTCTGTTGGGGCCCATCAAGATTTCAGCTCCAGGTTCTGTACCTCCTGATCATGACAGGGAGGGAGTTCTTCAAGCTGACTTCGGGAAAAAAAAAATTAACAAAGTCTCCATGGACCTATTATTCCCATGTCTGGTTGTAAATCCAGAATATTGAGATATTGAAACTTGCTCACGAATGAAATACATTTTGTTAATTTCCCCCTAAGTCATAGGAAATCGTCCTCGGTAGGGTTAATTTTACCTGATTTGAAAGTTTATTATTAGTTGAAAATGCTGAAATGTTAATCTGACTGCATGTGTTCCTACAAATAAATGTTACCTCAGTAATTCAAAATGATGCTAAAAATGTTCATCTTTGCTCACCCATATGAAGCTTTGGGTACCCGATAATGACTACAACATTTGCATCTTCTGCATTTGCTGGGATGACAGGAAAGACTAACGTAATTACTGAGTTTCCTCTGTCTTCTCTCTCTTTCTCTCTCTCTCTCGAGGTCAACCATTGCTGTCATTTTCTCAATTCTGCAACTTTGCCTTCTTTTTTTGTAGCAGTTCCGATATCTGGACGCTCCAAGCTAAACCCATATGTACCCTTTTAATCTTTGTAAACCTGCATTTCACTGAGAAGGAAAAACAAATGTTCCTCCTCCTTTCCAGGCACAAAGGTGATAGCTCAGGAGAGAAACAGAAAGACACAGAATTCTTTCCAGTTCTGGTGAACACTCTGGGCATTTTGTTTAAAGGGGTGATCAATTGACCTTTAATTAATAACAATATAAAGGGCTAACATTGAGTGCTTACTATATGTCAGGTACTGTGCCAAGCACTCTGTATTTTATTGTCAATACAGCCCAGTGCAAGAGATAATCACTGAATGCCTTTTTTAGGTGGGAAAACAGAGGTATAGATAAGTTAAGGGACTTGCCCAGGACATACAGCTAACAGAAGGAGTGGAAGTTGAAACCTGGCCCCTACTTTCAGCCCATGTACTACAGCAGCAAAAGGAACAGAGGAGGGTACCCTCCGCAGTCTGGCCACTTTTGGTTATGTAACTTCTTAAGGGAGACCAGTCCTCATCATCCCATGTAGGATTTATTCAGTGCAAATTTAAAATGCCTGGTAGATTAATCTGGCAGCCAACACCTTATCACCTGCCTCCCCCGATCGTGAAATCAGTCCCTGTCTGTGTGTAAACTCAGGTTATTCTTAGCTGAGGAAAATTATGAATATATGTGATTCATGTATGTAACTGTTAAAAGTATTACTGTAATGCCCTTTTGCTAACTTGAATCTTGTCTAAAGTGTTATCACTAGGGGCATTTTGATGTCTGCCACCTAATCTCTTAGAATAGAGTTTTATTTTTTCTGATTAAGTGTGCCTGTCGCATAAATCCATGGTTTAATAAAGACTGGATATGTTTTTGACTTTTTTTTAAGAGAAATGTTTGTGCCTGGTCTGATAAAAAGATGCCACTCACCTCTTCAACAATGAGATGCTTTTTTGGACTATTTTTCCTGGTGTCTATTGGGAGTAATGATGCATATATGAAATGGCTTGGCTTGGCTGAGTGGGAGCTGTAGAACTGCTTTTGGAACAGTGCAAAACTAACTCACCTAAATATGCTCCAAACTGAAAACCTGGGCTCACTGGCATTTTTCTCTAATGGAGGTAATTATCCAAAGACAAACTCATACACACCAACAAAACCCTGGAACAACAACAGTGGTTAAGACCCCACCTCTATTTAGAGCTCTCAAAGATTCAGATGCTGTGCTAAGCAATCTACACGTGTGAAGTGGTTCCTGTAGATTTGGTACTCCATTATACCCACATAACCGATGAGAAAACTGAGGTATAGAGAGGCAAATCATACAGCTAGAGCCAAGATTTAGGCAGATTCCATTCAGTTTTTAGTCCTCTGAATCACCATGATTCCCAGTCAAGTGACACAACCTCAGCTGCTTACAGGGGCCTGCAGGCAATTTAAGTGAGTGAGGTCAGCTGGTGCAAGAAAATGGGGAGTGGTGGGACTGTAGCAAATGGAGAGAGCCTAACCTAATGAAAGAGAAGCTGCTACTCACATCTGGCAGGCAAGCAGGCCCAGGGCAGCCAGATCTTTTGATTATCCACAGCAGGCAAAAATCTAGAGTTCAATGAGAAACCTTCCAATTTTTAAATGTTGGCATATAATTTTATAAAATCCTTCTGCATGTCAACAGCACATACTTATAGTTCATGCTGAGCCCATGGGCTGCTGTCTTCCACCTCTACTACTCTGACTCCCACCACACAGAGCCTCGGCTGCAATGTACTTGTTCTTAAATGTTACCTTCTCCATGGAAGTGCTCCTGGGTTCTGAGCTCTACTTCTTGATTCAGCTTTGTGAGCACATGCTGTTGAAGCCTGGAGGAGTGGGTGAACCCACCCGGATCAGTGCCCTATGGGCACTTTACATGCTCAAGTGCCAATTGCCTCTTTAAGCTTTCCTATACTCTCCCTACTGTGACTTAGACCTTCTTTGCCTGAGTTCTCGTGAAGCCATGAACTGCAGTTGGTTGTATTATATCTCCCTCTTACCTAGCACATTTCTGCTTTCTCTCTATTACAGTCTATTGGCCTATTTCTCCCTATTACAGTCTAGAGGCCTATTAGAGTCAGCCTCTTGGAGACAGATCCAAAGTCTTATAAATTACCCCATTTTTCCTGCCTTCCTCCAAGGCTGAGCTCATTTCTTAATAGGTTCACCTTAAATATTTATTGAATTAAACATAAAAATTGCAGTATACATAAAGCTTGTGTTTCTATGACTGTGAGATAGGAGACAAGTTCAGTTGCTTTAATAAAGACCTAAACAATTCAGTTACTTTGCCTCTGCAAAACTCAGTTTTCTCATCTGTTAAATATTAATTATTTAATACCCAAGTAAAAGAATCACTTAATCGATGTAGATTGCTTAGCACAGCACCTGATGCATCAGAGGCACTCAGTAGAGGTTAGTTCTTGCTGTGACTGAACTTTCACAAATCACACACGAGATTTAATAGAGTAGAGCCAGGAGTAACCAAACACCAGAGGGTCTTATTACAGATGGTCCTCACATCATGGATTGGGGTCTTCAGGAACTCATAAAAGGTTTCTTTCAACTTAAGACAACAGCTAGAGTTCTGTATATATTTTTACTGTCAACTCGAATTGTTTATTTGGACCTAGTTAATACACATTTTTTCTTTCATCACAGAAATATGCATGAATCCAAATCTAAATGCATGAATGAATGTGCTAATTACTCTCTGTTATGGACTGAATTGTATCCCTCCCAAATTTATATATTGAACTCCTAACCCCCAGTACCTCTGAATGTGACTGTATTTGGAAATGGGGCCTTTAAAGAGGTAATTCAGGTTAAATGAGGTCATATGAGTGGGCCCCAATCCAATCTGATAGCTGTCTATATAAGAAGAGGAAATCTGGACATACGTAGAAACACCAGGGTAAGGGTCATGTGAGGAGATGGTGAGAAGGTGGTCATTGGCAAGCCAAGAAGAGTGACTTCCGGAGAAATCAAACCTGCTGATACCTTAATCTGTACTTCTAGCATCCAGAACTATGAGAAAATAAATTTCTGTTGCTTAAGTCACCCCATCTGTAATATTTTGTTATATAGGGAAGGAAAAAAAATCCTTTTCTTTCTACCCCTCCAAGCTCTCAGCTATACCCCCATAGCAAAAGACAGAATAACAAGAGAGAAACATTTTATTTACAATATATAAATATTTATGTTTCATGAAAGAGGAAGCTTCATAAGGAAATGACCCCCCAAAAGCAGTTAGAATTGAATGCTTATAAACTGAATTGGACAAAGAGTAGTAAATTATAAAAAGGTGATAAGACAAAGGGGCTTAGAAGAGGGTAGTTAATCATAGAGAAATGGCTAGGAAGATAACAGTTAGTTTAAAAAGGTTTGTTTGTGCTGATTTCTCTCAGTTTAAACTTCCGGTCCTTGAGGATGAGAATGTTACTTTCCTTCTGGTATAGGGAGGACAGTTTTCATGTAGGAGTTTTATCTCCTGCTTTCAGGAAGAAAAAGGGGAGGGCCAGAGAGCCCTTCTTGTACACGCTGGTTTTGGAAGTGTCTTTAGCTTAAAATAATCCTTATGCCCAAGGGGCATATTGTGGCGTGGCATATTCTGCTGTCCACAAATGATTACACCTTTCTTCCTTTGGACCTTAGCCTCTTTTCAGTCATGCAAATTCAGAAACTTGGAAGTGGGTATCTGCCAGAAGTAAATGGGAGAAAAATATACTTTGGAGAAAGAGCATGTTTCTCCCTGCCTCACCTCTGTCTCCTAGCCTGATACCGAGGGGATTTTCTGAGGAAGACCTGTGTGTAGATCCTGTCAGTGTCCTGTCCATATCCCTTTGGGGCCCCGTCTCTGTAGCACATCCCAGCCAGACTGTAAACTGCCAGCATCGCATCTCTGCATGTGGAAGGATTTTTTCTGGTGGCTGAAACCTGCTCTACCAGTGCTCAGAGCAGGCAGGACGTGCCAGAGAATTGATGCCCAATGACAGATGGGCGTGGAATATAAACACCTCAGCTCCCCCACCCTCACATGGGGTAGCTCTGATAACCCTACAATGGCTTCCAGTGTTCTCTAGCGGGGTTAAGCTTCATTTACCCAAGTTGTAGCTTTCTTAATAATGAAACTTTTATTGGCTTCCCTCTCTAATCATGTTGAAGTCCACTCTTCTATTGGTGTTCCTAGGAGCACCTCCCAAGTAAACTACTAGTTCTGAAATTCTTATTTCAGGGTGTGAAAATGTTGGAGGAACTAGAACTAAGAAACCTGCTTTCTGGCTACCAATATGTGTACACAAAGCTTCCATTTTAAAGATGCTGCTCTTGGCTGGGTGCAGTGGCTCAGGCCTGTAATCCCAGCACTTTGGGAGGCCGAGGAGGGTGGATCACTTGAGCTCAGGAGTTCGAGACCATCCTGGCCAACACGGCAAAACCCATCTCTACTAAAAATACAAAAAAAAATAGCATGACAGTGGTCCCAGCTATTTGGTAGGCTGAGGTAGGAGGTTTGCTTGAGCCCAGGGGTCAGGGGTGGGGTGCAGAGGTTGTAGGGTTATAGTGAGCCATGATTGTACCACTGCATTCCAGCCTAGGTGACAGGGCGAGACCCTGCCTAAAAATAATTTTAAAAAAATAAAAAATAAAAAGAAAGAAAGAAAAAACATACGGCTCTTGCTCCTGCTGTTTCTAATTTAATGAGTTGATACACTGCACTGTGTTCTTTCTATAGTAAGTAGTCTATCCTCTGGTGAACTCTTGTAGCCTCTACCTGCAGGGAAGGGTGCTCTGACAGTCCTGTTCTTTGCCTCATGTAAATATCTTTGCCTCAAATCCACCATTCTGCATTTTTTTCTTCTATAAACATGAAAGCCTAATCCCTTCAATGCCTATTGACTTTCATTAGCTCATACTCTTGCATCATATCTATATTTTGGGTAAATGTGTTTGCATCAGTGTTGTATGATTTTAATAGGTTGTCTTGTGGCTGAGCTGTATATTTCTTTATGGAGCTGCTGCAATAACTTGTGAAGTTTGGTTTGTCCAGGGGTTGAATCTGTCACTGGACTGTGATAGACAACACTTCTTAGGAATGACACAAGCTGTCCTATGTGTGCAGTAAAGCTCTGGCTAAGCATCACTGTCCCTCAACCTGTTCTCCTTTGAGTTTGACATAGTGAATGTCAGAAGGTTTAGGTCTTCTCAGAGACCACTCAGAACAATGCTATGGACACTCCAAGTTAGGTAACTTTCAGCATTCTGGGCTACCTTAACCCTCTGCAAACTATTTATACCCAAACCCTGGAGTTTTGGAATGAGGACAGCTCCGGGTGAAACCTCCAGAGAAGTGCATTAGTGAAACCTAACCTGACCACACATTTAACCTCCTCAGAGGTTTTGCCAGGAAGATCACTCATCTTTGCCTCTTCTGGAAAGGTTTTATCACAGAAGCTCTCTGTTGTGTCTTTTGTGAATCTCTTATATTAGTGTGTAAATCCTAAGAAGTATTGCCGGCTTAGGGGATTTACAGGAAAGGTTCAGGGCTCCACCATCTTAGTTTTTAATCAGTAGTTAGCACTGCATGGCCTTCAGCATAGGGATAAAAGCCAGAACCACAATTTAAGGGCTGTGGCGGACTCACTCCGTGTATCTCAGCCAACCTATTTGCCTTCTGCTCATTTACCAGTAAAAAGGAAATAAAAGTGCGTGTTACTCTATTATTCTCCCTCTAATAATTCAGAAAAGCTTATGCATTGATTAAAATATTATATGGAGGGAAGATTTCAAATAGGCCCTGGGTAAATCTACTAACCCATGTAAATCCAGCTATTACATTTGAATGGGCTTCCTTTGAAGTAGGCCATTCTGTGAAAAGATGATGGTCTTAATCCTGTCTGTCTTTGAAACATGTTCAGTAGGATAATTTCACCTATCAACCTGTTGGGGTATTAGTTTGGACTTAATGCAAAAGGAGTCAGCAGTGAATGGTGAAGCACAAAATTCCTTGTTCAGTTTTCCAGAGTTTGTTTTCCAAAATTTAAAAGTGCTTATTTGTTTTTGTTTTATTTTAATGATGTCAAATGAGTTTGTTGAGACGGAGGATTTGATTTGATCTAATTATTCTTGACAAAAGCACTGAACACCAGGACTGCATTGGGCAGCTTGTGGAGAGCCAGTATCACCTTCGCCTGAATCCTTTCTTTCATCTCCTCTGTCCCATATCATCATCTTCTGGGATTTTGCTTCAATAGGTCTCAGCTCTGCCTTTCCTTTCCATTCCTGTTTTCACTATTTTGTAGCCTAGGTTGTTTCACAGCCTGTCACTGTGATACCTCCAAGTTGTCCTGATCTTAGTTCTTAATATTCCAGGCAACTCTGCCTCCTGTTTCCTGATGTTCTATAAATATTGATTATTTGATTGCAAGGCATGATCGATGATTAAACCAGAAAGGAAAACAAAAGAACATTAAATATTGATATCTTCCATAAGGCAAAATCAGCATCATATTTAATTTGATTCTATAGATATCTAATGTGGACCAACAGTGAGATTTTCAAGCACATAAGGCCCATTTCAGGAAGTTGTCAAAATTGTCCAGGGAAAATAATCTTTTTTTCTTTTTCTTTTTCTTTTCTCTTTTTTTCTTTTTCTTTTTTTTTTTTTTTTTTTTTTGAGATGG
This sequence comes from Homo sapiens, assembly GCF_000001405.40. Taxonomy (NCBI): domain Eukaryota; kingdom Metazoa; phylum Chordata; class Mammalia; order Primates; family Hominidae; genus Homo; species Homo sapiens. Next base: position 22,370,321 of record NC_000007.14, on the reverse strand, counting down.
AGTCTCGCTCTGTTGCCCAGGCTGGAGTAAAGTGGCATGATCTTGGCTCACTGCAACCTCCGCCTCCCAAGTTCAGGGGATTCGCCTGCTTCAGCCTCCTGAGTAGCTGGGACTACAGGCGCCCGTCACCATGCCCGGCTAGTTTTTGTATTTTTTTAGTACAGATGGGGTTTAACCATGCTGGCCAGGTTGGTGTCAAACTCCTGACCTCAGGTGATCCACCTACTTCGGCCTCCCAAAGTGCTGGGATTACAGGCATGAGCCACTGTGCCCTGCCAAGAATTAGTCATTTTTAAAGCAACAATCATAAAGTAGATATCAAGCAAAGCAGTTTCAATTATTTAGAACACTGAGTAGCTATTCAAGGCTATTAATATGCAAACTCAAAGGCAGAAAGGCTAGAAAAGCAACATCTCTGCCCTCTTGTTAGGGACTGACATTTTATGAGGATTACCTGTTGTCATGGCAGAAAATTCATCCAAATGCATACCCATCAGTAACTATAAGGAGCCGTGAATTCTCTAGTAAACGCTCCAGAAGACAGACACAAAATGCTGCCATTCCATCTGTTTTTCTTCTCATGGAGGATCTGTGCTGCCTTAGAAAGACAAATGCAAAATTCAAACAAAAAATAAAGTTGCCTCCTGCAAATGTTTTATTTGGGTATTTTCTCCTCTCCCATTTTACCTCTCACATCTGATCCTGTGCTGATTGTCTCTTCTTCAGGGTATTTTTAAGATTTGAGCATAAACAGATATTTTGGAATTCCATTAGAATTGTCCCTTCCCAAGATGACTGCCTCCAATCCCTCCCAAAATCCCCTTGCCAGAAGATATTGGTCCACCTCACAAACACTGATGTGGGAAGTGACCTTTGCTCATTTTCAGGTTTGTGTCTTTTGGTGGTGGTGGGGAATGTCCATTTCTACTAGTTAGGTATCCTCTAAGATAAAGAGCAATCCTTTGCATTGCAGTTGAATTCACAATAAACGCCTCGTAGCGTAAACGAGGCAGCTTACATCTGTCTTGTTTTTGGTCTGTCTATGCATGCTCATATTTAGGAAGTTAGGCTCTGCCCCAAATACTGTAGGTCTTAGAAGATTTCCTTATTAGATTCATTACTTTGAAAGTCTGATGAAGCCTGTGTCTTTTTGCCAGAAAAGTACACAGGCATTTTTCATATAAGGAGGCTCCCAGCCCCTGTAAAACCTATGGACTCCAGACTGTAAAGAATGATGAAGATAATCTCTAACACACTTATACTGACTGTGCCAGCTCCATTCTAAGTGCTTGACAAATAATGACCCATTTATTCCCACAATGATTCTGTGAGACAGCTCCTAAAATCATTCCAATTTTACAAACGAGAGAACTGATTCCAAAGATGTGGCCCATTAAACATCTCATGATTGGTTAAAGGCAGAAGGAGGATTTGAATCCAGCCAGTATGGCTCCGGAGACCACCATACAATAGTGCTGCTCATTTAGAATTAGAAACTATAAGGAAATGTGGTGAGAAAGAAGGGAAATAAGATAAAACAACGATGTTTCCAAGTCTTTTCTATGATTTCATGGACTCTTGAATTTATTTCATGTTCTCTTCTAATGTCGACACTATAGAGACCTAAAAATGTATCTTGTCCATATACTCTGAGAAAAACTATTAAAACTTTATAAACAATTAAGTCCTGAGTCTCCTGTTTAAATAAGTACAAAATTCCATTGTTGCCATTATAAAAAGTATCTGAAAGAATGTTTCAATCTACATATTAGAAAAGTGAAACTATCAGTTTTTATCTGGAATCATGTAATTACAATTCCATGTAATACCCACTATGCAGAAAACTATTCTATAAAGTAATATTCAGAAAGGATGACATCAACCCCCAAGAAGTTTACAGCCAAAGAGCAGTCAAAGATAACAAATATACAGATACCCCAGGGGACTAGCTCTCCCTGAATGGACTGGCGAACTGAGTCAAACTCTCTCAGCCTTAACCATGAAGGTTTTGACATTTCACCTGGAATAAACAGAAACTTTATGACTAACATCTTTTCCTACTTTTTTTTTTTTTTTCCAAGACAGAGTCTCACTCCGTTGCCCAGGCTGGAGTGCAGTGATATGATCTTGGCTCACTGCAGCCTCTGCCTCCCAGGCTCAAGTGATCCTCCCACCTCAGCCTCCTGAGTAGCTGGGACTATAGGCGCATGCCACCACACCTGGCTAATTTTTGTATTTTTAGTAGAGATAGGGTTTCACCATGTTGGCCAGGCTGGTCTCAAACTCCTGACCTCAAGTGATCCACCCACCTAGGCCTCCCAAAGTTCTGGGAGCCACTCACAGGCGTGAGCCACCGTGCCCAGCCAGCTTTTCCCATTTCTGAATGAATGGACATAATAGAGCACCTGAAGATAACAGATTCAGCTCTGCTAATAGCAGTTAGGAATTATTACCCCTTTGAGTGTCTCTTCCTTTAACCCTCCCTCTCTAGGGACCTCGTTGTAGAGACAGAATCAGAAGAGTGTCACATTTAAATTTTTAAAAAGAAAGTTATTCTTTTTAAAGTTATGCTCCTCTTATCAATATTACCTCTTTCAAGTAGGTTTATTTATAAATAAAGCATTTACATAAGCCTTAGTGTTTCACTTTATTGGGCTTGATATGAAGCTTAAGAATAGGAAAACAAATTTGGGAGATTGACCAAAACCATTTACAGAGTTTGGGTGCTTGTAAAAATATATGCAAATTTCATATGACTATCCAATAAATGTGTATGTATGTGTGTTTGTATGGAGATACTTTTGATTAAATATTCATTGTGGATTCTTTTTTTCATTTCCACCACTTCTGAACATAGAAGAGGTGAGATTTATTAATAGCCACTGACATTTATGCATATTCTGATGGTTAACAGGGTTAACTATCATAGGCATTCATAGGCATCGTTTAGCCTTCAGAACCACCTGAAGGTTGGATTTTATTATCTCTATTTTACAGATAAAGAAACAGGCTCAGAGAGGTGAAGTGTTTGGCTAAAGTCACAGAGCTAATAAATCATAAATGTAAGACTTAATTCAGGGTTTTCAACTCTATGTTCAATGTCTGTTCAACTTCCCTACAACTGTATTTAGAGTATAAAGGATGAAAAAGTTATACTTTCATTGTTGGCAGTGAACAAGGTGCTTCAAGAATAACCCATCTGAAGATGCGGAGTTTGCCTAGAGTGGGGAATGTGTGGCAAAGGAAAGTTGATGAAAATCGTATCTGGACCATGGTTTATTCATCAGGTTATGCGGCTTCCCTGGGACTGACTGGGAATTAAATAACTACACCACCAGCAATATGGAGACAACATGGTGCCAAGAAGAGCACTGGCTGTAGTTTACAAGCCACCTCACCGATGAGAGGCTTCGCACATATTTGGTCTAATCTTCTCAACAACCTGGTTGTATAGGTGTTAGAACAGAAGGTAGAAGCTCAGACCAAGTAACTTGAGGGCACATACCTAGAAGGTGGAAAGACCTGGTTTTGAACCTAGGCCTATCTGATGCCAGAGCATGGGTGTTCTATTTTACCACCCTAGGTCTGCAGAGTACTCACCTTTGAGGAAGTCACTAGTTCTGTGTCAGGATAAAAGTGATATTAGCTCCATGAAGGTAGCTGGGAAGCGGGGAAGGCAGAAAGCTTTTCAGCCTGTTCAGATCTCCTTCCTTTCCTAGTATCAGAGATAATTTTTTTAACCATGCCCTATAATAGCAGTTCTCAAATTTTTTGGTTTCAAGACCCCTCTACACTCTTAAATTATATAGAACCCCAAAGACCTTTTATCTATGTGGGTTATAGCTGTATCTATGAATGCTTATCATATTAAAGTTTAAAACTGAGAAATTTCTTCAAAATATTTATATAGTAAATGAACTGATTATATGCTGTTATAAATATGTTTTATGAAAAATAACTGTTTTCCAAATCAAAACAAAATTTAGTGAGAGGGCTGGCATTGTTTTACACTTTCACTAATTTCTTTAAATGTCTAGCTTAAGAGAAGCAGCTAAATTCTTGTATCTGGTCCTACGTTCTGTCTTTTGCCACATCCAGCGTCTTTAGCCTCTGGAAAACACCCATGTATACTTACGAGAGAATGAGAGAAAAGGGGGAAAGTAACATTTTAGTGTTATTAGGACCCTTGGGAAACCCCTGAAAGGGCTTTGAGCAAGTCCAGAATCCTCAGATCACTGTCTGAGAATCCCTGCCCTATAGCCACTTCATTATGTACTAGGGCCAGTGAAATAACTGAATCTTTGATTAGAAAGGACATTACAGGTCATTTAGTCCAATCCTCCATCTGATGAAACAAAATCCCACCAAATCCTGCCTAAGCTCCCCATTTTGCAAGGACAGGGGCCACTCCAGGTTTAAAAAGGACTTTAAATGGATAGAAAAACACTTATTATGTTGAGAAGAAACTTTTCTCTCTGTAGTTTCCCACTTTGGTCTTAACTCTGCATAGAATGAGTCCAATTCTTTTTCAACACGTTCAAAATATTTGAAAACAACTCCCTTGTCATTCCTTGAGTGCTGTCATTTTCTCTAAGCTAAAGGCTTCTTTATGTTTAAGAACTTGGGACACCTTCTGCTGCTTTCAGTGTACTTCGGCCCAGATTTATATCTTCTGATCGAGATCTTCAAAAGCCAATCTGAGCTCATATAATGTTGCCAGTACCCTCTAAGACAGGTTTGCTCACAGCTCATTCTGTATTTAGCTTGGATCAATGCTACAAATGCTTAACATTCACAGACAGAGGAGAAGCATATTCTTAAAGGCTTCTAATTTCTGTGTGGGCATGACTTTGAATCCTTGTTTCCTTTTCCACTGTCTTCTCTCCTATTTTCCTGGTCCAGGCCCTGATTTATCCAGGGCATCATTTCATTTGCCCCTTCTCTTTCAATCCTATAAGAAAGGCAGTGCTATCTGTGCAGAGCTTTAAAGTGTGCAAACAGCGTTACAAACACCACTTCATTTGATTAGCACAGAAATTCTGTACACAGAATGCACTGATACAAATAGCAAAAGAAAGCACAGAAGAAGCTTCCATGAACTTGATCTTATGGATTACCATTTTAATACTTCACGCCTGGGATCCTGTAACCTGCTTTGCCGGCTGCCCAGCTTTCAGTGTCTCCCTATTCTAAAGCACTTTACATATTGATGCTAAAATCATCTTCCTTCCCTGCTGATCTGAACATGCCACCATCTGGTGTCCATTTATAGCCTCCCATCACCCATGGGATAATGTACTTTCCTACAACCTCAGAGACTCTGCATCTGCTGAGACCTCTGTCTTGCTTTCCTTAACTTAGGATTGCAGTGTTTAGCTAATCATGATTTTGTTCATTCATTTGTTCATCCATCCAGCATTCATTCATGCGTGCATTTATTTGCTTATAATCTAGTACATGGTAGCCACTGTATTAGATGCGAGAGGAGAATATAAAAAAGAATAATTTCTGCCCTCAAAGGGTTTATAATCTTGCATAGCTGAGATGGGCCAATCTGACTTAATTCAAATGCAGAGATAGACTATGATAACACGGGTGGTAAATGTGGAATCATAATTTTAGGTAAATGCTGAGGTTTACCAAGGAAGGATTAATCCCAAATGGAAAGAACAGAGAGGGCTTCTAGGAGGAGCTACTGTTTGACCTGTGTAAAGATGAGTAGATTTCCACAAGCAAAGAAGGGACACCATTGTCTTGGCTTTCTTGCTGTCTGTTGGTTAAGTTAGTTCTCTTATCACCCTTTTCCTCTGTCTTCTTGGGCATTCAACCACATAGATTTTTTTTTTTTTTTTTCAAAAATGTCCTAAGTACTAAAGGGCCTGGTGAATTTGCACAACTGACTTTAAAAAAGAAATTTCCAGGATGGTGGTAGTAAACAGCATATGAAATGGCATGAACAGACAGACTTTTTTTCAAGATTATTAGTGAATGAATAGAAGATGAACTTATAGGGAGGAGCCCCCATCTGGCACCCATGCCTATCAGCCACTGTCTCTGGCTGGAGCCACCAATGCAAATAATATAAAGAAGGTTTATCATCCCCAAGGGGGATATTTGCATGATGCATAGTGCGTGATGTACTACAAAAATAATAGCACAGTGTCACACAGGTTTGTCATGAACAGTCTGATAGCAGATAGTTACATTTATGATTCTTGAAAACGGAAATAAAATGAATAAGGCTTAACATTTTTAGGTTGGAAACATGTTTCCTTATTTTGCTACATTTCTCTCAATTGCATATTCATTCCATAAGATAACATAAAAATAGAGTTAGTATCAAGTACTCAAACCGTTCTGTCTGGCATTCTCAGCAGAGGCAGCACGGGAAGACTTGGGTTTCTCCTGCAAGGATCTGCTTTTTGTTCTCTTAAAATTAAATGAGAGAAGCCACAAAAATTAAATGAGAGAAGCCATAAGAGTCACTGCCTGAAATTCCATACAAATGGAGATGGAAAGTCACCTGCAGCATGTTCTTCAAGCTTAGCAAAGACAGAGTGTCCCTGCTACTCCTCTATTCCCTGAGCACCCTGGTCTAGCTCCACTGTTTACCATCATGATTTTGAACACTGGCATCTCTCTCTCTCCAGTCCTTTCTCTTCAGTTCTAGCTCACCTCCTCTTCTTGCTGGTTGAAGTTTCATCTGGGCACCCTTTAGTTTAGTTGGTATAACTGCTATATATATATATATATACACATATATATATATACACACACACACATATACACATATATATACATATTTATATATACATATTTATATATATACATATATACATATTTATATATATACATATATACATATTTTTATATATATACACATGTGTGTGTGTGTGTGTGTGTGTATGTGTGTGTGTGTGTGTGTATATATATATATATATATATATATATATATATATATATATATATATATATATATAAAACTAAACCCTCAAAAACCAGCTTAGCCCTTGGGAAGGTTGTGCTCATATTTAATCCATTTTGGTGATTACATTCTGGAGGGTTGGCAGGGTTGAATAGAGAGACAAAATTATATGCAAGTTTTCTGTTTTTGAGAGCTGTTAAACCAGTGCAAAACATCTTGAATGGGGGTAAATTTAAAAATGGGAGATGTTGGGAAGAGATGGATTCCAAAGAGGACTTATCAAAGTCCTAACAGCTGTGGTGTTGGGAGACTTCATTAGGCTGATGTGCATTCTATACATTTAAAAGAAGACAGGTAGGCAGGGCATGGAATGACACAAGGGAAAGACCAGCTCACAGATGATTTCCTCAGCATTCTTAGTAATTGTATAGGAACACAAAAATTAAATGAGAGAAGCCATAAGAGTCAGTGCCCCAAATTCCATACAACTGGGGATGGAAAGTCACCTGCAGCATGTTCTTCAAGCTTAGCAAGGGACAGAGTGTCCCTGCTACTCCTCTATCCCCTGAGCACCCTGGTCTAGCTCCACTGTTTACCATTGTGATTTTGAACACATGGCTAGCAGAGAAGGGAAGATGGAGCTGCCATCTTGAACATGTCTAGACCCTAGTTCCTGCTGGCATTCACTCGTGCAAGCTCCCAGCTTGCTTGTCTCTCTCCAGTCCTTTCTTTTCATTTCTAGCTCACCTCCTCCTCTTGCTGGTGGGAATTTCATCTGATCACCCTTTAGTTGGTATAACTGCTATATAAAACTAAACCCTCAAAACCGGCTTCCCCTACCTCTTTGACTTCTCTAAATCTGGAGCCATTTTTAAAATTTTTATTTTTAAAGATAGGTAATATATTCACATGTTCTAAAAAACAAAAAAATATAAAAAGTGGTACATGCAAAATCTCCCACCTTTCCTTTCCCCACGTGCCCAATTCCAACGACTTGAAAAAGTTTCCAGAGTTTCTTCATGCATGTACAAAAATGGATATAAATTTCCATCCTTTTCATTCACAACGGAGTATGTTCTTCACATTTTTTGAGCCATGTGTCCTGGTCATCTATTGTTATGTAACAAATACCTCTAGACTTAGTGGCTTCAAACACTTTATCATCTCTCACAGTTTGGTGGGTTGATGGGGCTTAGCTAGGTAGTTTTTTCTTGAGCTCCTTACATACGATTGCAGTCAGACATCACTAGTACAGGAGTCATCTGAAGGCTCAGCTGGACTGTGTCCAAAGTAGCTCCCAAATTGGCAGCAATTCATGTTGGTTGTTTACTGGGAGCTCAGCTGCCAGATCACCTCCACAGGGCTTCCATGTGGCTTGGGCTTCTCCCTGCAAGGAGGCTGGGTTCTGAGTAGGCACATCCCAAGACCAAGCAATCCAAGACAGCAGGAAGTGGAAGCTGCCAGGCCAACCAAGGGCTATTTACAGAACAGGTGAAGTCACCTCTGTTTATTCTATTGGCCAGATCATTCACAAGTGAAACGGCTACATGGTCTGGGGTATATACCCAGGGTTCATCCTCCTGTGCCAGGAAAATTTAGGACACGAACACACATGAGGGGTTTAGGAGTGGAGGTTTAATAGGCAGGAGAGAAGAGAAAGAAAAACAGCTCTCTCTATAGAGAGAAGGGGGGTCTTCCCAGCAGAAAAGACTGGCTGGTGGTGGATGTGCCGGATTTTATAGTTCGGTTTGAGGAGGCAGTGTCTGATTTACCTAGGGCTCACAGACTGGTTCGATCAGGTGTGACGTTTACATAGCAAGTGGGGAAGACTGGTCGCCCCATGCTAATCTTATTATGCAAATGAATTCTCCCTTTGGCCTGCACCATCTTTTCTGGTCCTCACTGTACACATGGCTGGGAGAAAAGGGAAGTTGGAGCCGCCATCTTGAATATGTTTAGACCCTAGTTCCTGCTGACATTGACCTGTGCAAGCTCCCAGCTTGCTTGTCTATATCTGCAGCTCCACTTTACAGGCTGCTCTTTGTTAGAAAATGATTTGGTACTGCTTTTCATTATAAAGGAAAGTCTTTCCAAGGACTCCCATACCCTTACTATTTGCCTAAGTGATTTCTTCTTAACTCCTGTATCACAAAGTCTGCTCAAATTCAAAGAGATGGAGAAAGAAACTCCATCTCTTTTCGGGGGAGTGGCAATATCACACTGCAGAAGAGCTTGGAAGATAGGAGATGCTGAACTGTCCATCTTTGGACAATACACTCCACAACACCATCTGAAGTATTTTTCTACTGCTCCTATGCCCAAGGAGCCTTCTTTTGTACTGTCTAACATCTAACCCCTCATTTCTGTTTCCATTGCCGCAATGAATTCAGGCCCTCATCACTTTGTAGCTAGCTCATTGTCAGAGCTATCTTCCTGGTCTTCAATTTCGCTATCCTGCCAATAGCCTTAAAATTTGTGTTTTCTTACCATGGGTCTTTACACACACTTTGACTTTGATGATCTCATTCTCTTAAGTAAAATTCAGCTCTGGTACCCCATCCTGTAGGAAAAATTGCAAGTGGCTGGCAAGTGGTCTCGTTGACTTGTGTGGTTGGCACAAATATGATTTACATTAAAAGAAATTTTTTTGGTCAGGCGCAGTGGCTCACGCCTGTAATCCCAGCACTTTGGGAGGCCAAAGCGGGCGGATCATGAGGTCAGGAGATCGAGACCATCCTGGCCAATATGGTGAAACCCCATCTCTACTAAAAATACAAAAATTAGCTGGGTGTGGTGGTGCGTGCCTGTAATCCCAGCTACTCGGGAGGCTGAGGCACGAGAATCGCTTGAACCCAGGAGGCAGAGGGTTGCAGTAAGCCAAGATCGTGCCACTGCACTTTAGCCTGGTGACAGAGCGAGACTCCATCTCAAAAAAAATTTATTATTATTATGGGTAAATCATAGCTGTACATATTTATGGGGTACATGTGATGTTTTGATACAGGCATAGAATATGTAATGAGCAAATCAGGGTAATTGGGCTATCCATCACCTGAAGCATTTATCATTTCTTTGTGTTAGGAACATTCCAATTCCACTCCTTTAGTTATTTAAAAATATACGGTAAATTATTTTTAACTATAGTCACCCTATTGTGCTACCAACAGTAGATCTTATTCATTCTAATCCATTTTTATATGATTTACATTTTTATAAGCTTTCATACTGCAAAATCAGATTTTGTATAGAAATCCAGATTAAACTGTTTGAAAAACTTAGTTCTTATATATGAAATAATTGAATTATTCAACTCATGTGTTCTAGATACTGAACAAAAGAGAAAAGAAGCCCTGTCCTTATGTCATATACATTTTAGTTGTGGGGAGGCAGACAATAGGCAAAATAAATAAAATATATAGAATATGGATGGTGGTAAGCTCTGTGGGGCATTCGGAAGGGGATGAAGAAAGGAATGGATAGGAAAGACTGCAATTTAAAATCACATGGTCATGGAAGGCCTCACTGAAATGGTGACATTTGAATTTAAAAACTGAAGACACTGACTGAGAGAAATGTGGATTTCTAGAACTGCACTATCCAACATGGTAGCCACTAGCCATATGCTGCTATCTAAATTTATATGAATTAAAATTAAACAAAGTTAAAAATTCAGTTCCTCAGTCACCCTAGCCATGTTTCAAGTGCTCAGCAGTCACATGTGGCTAGTAGCTGCAAAACAGATAACAGAAAATGTGCATCATTGTAGAAAGTTCTGTTGGACAGCATTGCAGAGGACTCTCATTCCAGACAGGGCACAGCGAGTATAAAGGTTGCTTGATTTGAGTTAAACAGTGACGTGGCTCTTCTGTGTACACATCCTACTATTCCCTGTTGTTTGCCTATTTTTATCCTGAAGCTAAATGGCATTTGTCATTTATCACCTTAACCTAAACCAATTTTCCAAAGGCCCTTCTTGAACTTTAGACGCTTGGTCTATCCCATAGAATCTAAGGAATGCTGGCCTTGCATTGAGCAACTGTGTGAATGGGTTTGAAGACCAGGAACCTGGACCAGGAGACGGAACACGTGTTCTACTTTGGAGTAGAGTAAGTTCATGGTATGATTCAATGTTGTCATTGGGGTGATGGGGCGCAAGCACCCACTAATCTGAGTGTCCTGGAGGGCTTCTAGTGGGCCAGGTGTTCACCCTTTAGTTGTATGTCATGGGGAAGTTGGAGGTATGGGGGTGAGTGGCACTCTGGGGCTCAAGACAACGACCAATTACCAACTGGAGCTGCAATATCTTAACACTGTAAAAACGGATAGAGTCTGACATGGTAACATACAAATGCAATTTCAGCCTTGGATAAATGCATGTGATAGGTATTTGGAAACTGTAATGGACTATGGAGTCCTATTATAAAGTCCTTTCCAGTTAACACACACAGCTTAAGGTGACAGGGTTTAAGGCCTTCTGCAGTGTGTTACTAGCATCCATTCTGGTATCTTCTCTTACTTCTTCATTATGTCATCTTTCCCTTCACTAGCATGACATATTTTCAGTGCCCAGTGAGTTCTGTGTGATACCACCTTTGTGTTTTTCTCATGTCTTTCTCTCTTTTTTTTTTTCTTTTTTGAGACGGAGTCTCACTCTGTCGCGCAGTGGCGCAATCTTGGCTCACTGCAAGCTCCGCCTGCCGGGTTCACGCCATTCTCCTGCCTCAGCCTCCCGAGTAGCTGGAACTACAGGCGCCCACCACCACGACCGGCTAATTTTTGTATTTTTAGTAGAGACGGGGTTTCACCTTGTTAGCCAGGATGGTCTCGATTTCCTGACCTCGTGATCCGCCCGCCTCAGCCTCCCAACGTGCTGGGATTACAGGCGTGAGCCACCGCGCCCGGCCTCATGTCTTTCTTCCTTACTTGAAGGACACCTACCCTCCTTCTGCCTGGTTGAATCTTCCCCACTCACCCTTAAGGTGCAGTTTAAACTTCCTTCCTTTCGTGGATTTAGCTTTGCCCATCCCAGGCCAGAAGCATTTCTCTCTCCTGTGGCCTGAAGTGGTCTTACCTACACTTACTTGGCAATTAGCAAGAGTACAAGTGCAATATCTTTGTTTTTCTGGATGTTTGTCTACTCCTAGGTTAAGTCTTACCTTCCTTAAGGGCAGAGGTCACAGTTCGTTCCTCCTTTTTTGTTACATGGCATGTTTTTATACATATTTGCCAAGCACCTACCATGTGAGTGGCTGAGGGCACAATGGTAAACCAACTCTGGACCCTGACCTCCTACGATTCTTGTCATTTTTTAAAAATGTGAATAAGCTTATTCAACTTTTGTAAGTCTTAGACAAAGATGGGGATCCCAGCGCCCCACTGATGAGAAGTCAACACCCTGGCTGGCCCTTGTTGAAGACAGATTGAGCTGAGATGTGAACATTCACACTCCCTGGCGTTTAAGGCACTGCTGGAATAGTTTCACTCTCAATGATCCAGAATTCCTGCCTCCTGGAAGGGTGTAAACAATGATTCACACCACGGCAGGCCTTTACAGTTCACCAAGCACATTCATCACAGCAGCGGGCTTTCAGGGAAGGTCAGGTTCTGACATGCTAACAGAGATTCACCTTCAGGTCACCAGACTTGCAGCTACTCTGCTCAACACCTATCATAACCAACAAAAGTTTTCTCCCTTCGTCCTTTAAGGATGCGTGTGCCAAGAAGGGTCGGCGCAAAGCAATTTTGCCTCATGGTGTTTGCCTTGTAGCGTGTCTATTTTGAAGTTCCTTGGCCAAAACAGTTCCCAGGAGTAAAGATTACGATGAGGGGCCAGGCTGTGCAAAACGCGCGGGAGGGCGGACGACTCTCCAGCACACTTGGTTGAAGTCCAAGTCAACCCCTGGCTATTCGAAGAAGTGAAGCAGGACTTTTCAGCCTAAGGGGTAGGGGGACAGGGACAGGACAGAAGAGCGGGTTTGCCGGAGATTCTGGGAATTCTGCACCTGTGGATGAGCCGGTGCCCAAGGTGCCCTCTTCCTCCCGGGTCCCGAGTGGGAGATCCGAGGGGGACAGGTCCCAGGCAGCTTTCGCAGGCGAAAGGGCGGGGCGGGGCGGGGCCCGCGCACCTGGGCGGGGAGGGGAGGAGAGAGGAGGGGAGGGGAGGCGCGCGGGGCTGAGCCTCGCGGGGGCCGCGGCGCGCGCCAATGGGCAGCGGCTGGCAGCGCGCCCCGCGCCCGAGCCGCAGTCGCGCCCTCTCGCTTCCTGGCGAAGGCGCGGACGGCGCGCGGAGGCGAGCGCGGTGGAGAGGAGCCCCCGGCGCCGCAGCGCCGTCAGGGCATGAGGATGGCCGTGGGCTCCGTCAAGATGCAGCCGCCGTGCGAGAGCCCGGCCCTGGCCGCCGCGGCGGCGGTGGTGGCGGCAGACGGCCCCCTGCGCCGCAGCCCCAGCGCCCGGGAGCCCGAGCGCGAGCAGCCGCCGGCGTCGCTGCGGCCGCGGCTGAGGGACCTGCCCGCGCTGCTGCGGAGCGGGCTCACGCTGCGGAGGAAGCGGAGCGCCGCTGGGGGCCGGGTGAGTGGCCCGGCCCTGTCCGAGTGGGCACGGGCGGCGCGCACGTGGAGCCCGCGCCCACCCCCCGGGCCGCTGAGGGGGGCGTCTGGAAGTTGGGGAGGTGGCGGAAGGGACGCCCTTCTGCCGGACTCGGCTGAAGAGGGGCCCGGGACGGCGGGTTTTGAGGTGCCACCCCCTGAGCGACGGCTTCCCCCGCCCCCACACCTCCCCCCCACCAGGCTGCACCTGACTTAACCCCAGGGCCCCCAGATTCAGGCTGCGGGACCGGGCATCGGCTGAAGACGAGCTGTTTGCCTCTTCTCGGAGGGGAAGCTGCAGGTGTCCAGCGTCCAACAGCCAGCCAGCCCTGTCCCAACCGCAAGCTTCAGGCCCCACGAGCGGCATCCCTGTTTGCAGGACGCATGCGACGTGTGTGCTTGTTTTGGAGGTGCTGTTGCAAGCTCTGGGCATCGAGACTGGTTTTGGTGGTCTCCACCGCCGAGGGGCAGACCCAGGAGTCGGAAGCTCTTGGGTGAGCTTCCAGTTCCTGGGTTCCGGTGTCTCCAGCACTTAATACTCCTGGACACCCTCTTGAGCAGGAGGGTGCACGCCCCCAAGAACCTTCAATATTGACTTCCTGATGGTGTGTTCAGATACGATTTCCTGGTGAAGGAGTGTCCCTCATTGAGTTCTAAGTGCATCTAATGACCTGAGCAGGTCAGGCATGTTTTGTATTTTTAAGAGAAGCAGGAAGGTCTGCTGATTGTCTCCTGGGATCTTTAAGAAGCCACCTAGGAGGCCCCGCCAGGGCCTCAGGACACAGAGCTGACTTACTCAGATTTCCCTGCTCACCAGGGTTTGGCGGCACCTTTGGTGGGTTCTACTCATCTTTTAAAAATTTATTATTAAGTGGTCTTTAATGAGAAGCTGCATCAATGTGGTTTTTCTTTCCCGTTTGGCTGTAATTTTTAAAATGCAGTCTTGTCTGACTTAAAACAAGACCTTGCTGGGAGACTTCTAGCTCTTTCAGAGATGGGTTTGTGTAAACTTGAGAGTGAGGGATAACCACTTGTTTTCATGCGCCCTCCTTTGGGTAGGGAAGGGTCTGAACTGATGTCGGTCTTCAGCTTCTCGAGGCTGCATCTCTCTTTTCCTAGGCATTTTCCATCTCAGGTGGAAAATGGTCCATCCCAGGTCCATCTCAGAAGATGTTCTGAGGATTCTCTGTGTGTGATGGGACATTCTTAAAGTCGGTGACCCAGAGAGTTTAGGAATTGCCCACAAGTGACCTTAACATGTGTGGCATTTAGGATTGCCTGCAAAGTAAGTGAGGAAATGTGTCCCCAAGATGTGGTGTCGGAATAAACAAGAACTGGAGTTATAGACTTTGCAGGAATCCAGGGAAAAGTAGGTCAAATTATGTTTCTATTATCCTTGACGGTTACTTTTTCATGGCACAGAATACTGAAGACATGAGGGCTGCCAGGCAGTCTGCGACAAGAATTGCTGAGGGTTTCTGTATAAATAGATCTATAGTATTTATTTGCGTTCATACTCATGTTTCTTGCTGCCTGGGAGGGTGTCGTATACCTTGTCAATATACCTATTTAGTTTTATTTTTTAATTACTCTGAATGTGGTTACCTCAGATAATGTATGCTTTATTAACCCTCTTTGATTCTAATACTGTATTATTTCTTTTTGGGACTTTCCAAACACATTTCGTAACTGCATAGCCAGTTTTTATTGAAGGAAGTTTGATTGTCAGTTTTTCCAGTGTTGGAAACCCATACTTTTTGACTATTTATTTGACTGTTTATTTCCCCTTTCTTCTGCCTTGGAACTACCTTTGTGATTTTGGAATCTTCCCCATCAAAGGAGTAGGAAGGGGGTTGAAAGAAGGAGAAAAACAAGTGAAATATGAACTTGTCTTAGGCAGCTCAGGCTGTCATAACAAAATACCGTAGACTGGGTGGTTTAAACAACAGGAATTTATTTTCTCACAGCTCAGGATGCTGGGAAGCCTGAGATCAATGTGTAGGCTGATTAGGTTTCTGGTGAGGGCTCTCTTCCTGGCCTGCAGATGACCACTTTCTCGTATATCCTCTCATGGCCTTCCCTTGGTAAACGCAGAGGAAGAGAGGGCTCCCTCTTCTCATAAGGCCACTAATCCCATCATGAGGGCCCCACCATCATGACCTAGTCTAACCCTAAATAATTATCAAAGGCCTCATCTCCAAATAATGTCATGTTTGGGGTTAGGGCTTCAACATAAGAATTTTGTAGGGGGCATACACTTAACAGTCCAAAACACAGGGGGTTTGAAAGAAAGAGAGATACAAGTAGAATATGTATCAGACTGGTTGGTTGGTGACTTGTTAGCATCTGGGATTGTCTGGTTAACCACCTTGGATTGGGCAGTGATGCTAATGCAAACAAATCATGGCTTGGATCTTTTTGTAGACCTTCAGCTTTGTGTCTCATGGGCCATACCTCCAGACTGGAGCTGCGTGACTTCAGGGATAAGTTAACAGAAATCCATTACCACTAGTAAAGACACAGCTTTGTGCATTACATGAGTTAGTTGAGTTTTCATCTCCTATATTGACCAAGATCTGATTTAGGAATATGTGTGGTCCTTATCCATGCTGCCCTGGGCTCCCACAAACCTGGACAATCTGACATCAACTGACATTAACAAAGTTCTTTGTGGGTTGTGTTGCTCAACCCAGGTGCATTATAGGCTTTTTTTGTTGTTGTTGTTTTGTTTTGTTTTTTTTCTGAGACAGGGTTTTGCTCTGCCACCTAGGCTGGAGTGCAGTGGTGTGATCATAGCTCACTATAGCCTCGACCTTCTGGCTCAAGCGGTCCTCCCACCTCAGCCTCCTGAGGAACTGGGATACAGGCACACACCACCATGCTTGGCTAATTTTTTTTTTCCTATTTCTTTTAGAGACTGGGGGTCTCACTACGTTGTAGGCTATCTGTTACTAGGAAAAAATCAAACTGCCATTTGGTTAATATGCCTGAGTTCCTTGGTTCCTCAGTTCAGTCACTTCTAGTTGTGTTGAATTCAGCATGCATACTGGTTAAGACTCTTTGCACTTCTTTAAGACAAATGAGGGAAAGACTAAGTTGTACATTGTGGGAGGGCCCTAACTACCTCTTAAAAATCAGTAGCAAAGTAATGCACAACCTGAGTTCCTGACAAAACCCTTTAATTTTTTTAATTGTATAACAGAGATTATGAGAGAATGGTATAATGAACACCTGTGCTTCAACAGTTATTAGCATTTTGCCAGTCTTGTTTCATTTATTTTCCCCCTCCATACACTTTTGTAGGGGCTAGTGCATTTTAAAACAAAATTCCGTACATCATGTTGTCTTACTCACAAATTTTTCAGTTTACGGTCCTGATAAGGACATTAAAAACAACAGCAAAACTTTGCCTTTTTCACACCTAAAATATTAATAATTTAAAAATATAATTTCCATATTCAAATTTTCTCAAAGTTGTCTTTTTACTTATGATTGTTGGAAACAGGAGCTAAATGAGGTCCACATATTGTATTTAGTTGTTAGGATTTCTAATTTATTTTATAACAGCTTCCCCTCCCTTTTTTCATGCCAGTGATTTGCAGAAGAGAGTGGTTCATTTGTGCTGTAGAACATCCTACTGTCTGGACTGATTCCTTGTGGTGATGTTTAGCTTGTTCCTCTATTCTGTTTCCTGTGATCTGGCAGTTAGATATAGAGGTTTGATTAGATATAGGTTCAAAGACAAGTAACCTTCATGGATGGTGCTGTGTAAAATCTATTGCATCACATCGTGAGACGCATAATGTCTGGATATCTCTCTTTTTGAGATGGAAAGATTGATTCGTGAGTTTAGGTAGTGTCACTTAGCTGTCTGTCTTCTACTTAATGATTTTAGTATCACAGATCGTTGTAGCCTAGATCCTTTTCATTAGGGGTTGCAAAATGGTGATGATCTAAATCCATCATTCTTCTTGCATTTATTAATTGGAATTCGGTCTGTAAAGAACTTTCCCTCATAAATTATTTAGGTCTCCTGAAATTCACAATGTGCAGGATAGACAGGGAAAAGTCTTAATTTTTTCCTTTTACCAACTATCAGAGTAATGATTTGGTGCTTTAACAATCTCCAGTGAGAACCAGTGAGTTTTTCTTTTTTAAGTGTCATTAAGAACTTATGAATCTTAATGTATTTGTTTCTGTCACTTCAGTCAATATCCTTTTTGGTGCTTGGTTTATCTTTGTCTCCTGTATACTTTTTAAATGGCCAGTAAACTCAAATACCTTTCTTACTTTTCTGACGCAAGATATTCTAAGTGCATCTTGTCCATAGTCTGCTGCTCCCGACCTGAAACCCTGAAATCAGCCATTTTCCCAAGGAGCATTGATGAATTTTTTTTTTTTAAACTGACAATCGTTCATTTCCCCATCTTTTACCTTTCTTAGTGGTTGCATTATTTTTCCCTTGGTCTTAAGCCTCCTACCTTACTTTTTTGTATCTTTTTAAGTCTTTCTCATCAGGTTGTTTCTAAGACTGATATTTTCCCCCTAATAAAAGAACTGATAACAGCTATTCCCTTTTTCTGTATATACTGTCAAAATGCTGGGACTGACTTATTTTGGGCTTTGGCTGCTGTGATGTTTTCTGCAGCCTCTGCCACTGTCTTCAACGTCTTGGTATCTGTTTCATTTACAGCAGCCAGAATGATTCACCAGTTGTGCCAAATTGCTCACCAAAGACCTTCAGTGATTCCCAGCTTTTGGATTGGTCATCAGAAGGGCCTAATTCTCTTTAACCACCCTTCACTAGCCAGGGTTCTTATGGCCTGTGCTCTTCAAAATTGAGAAACTGGGAAGAACAGCTGGTAGCCCTCTGAATGAAGTTCTCTCTTTTTCTTTGCCCAGATGATTCCGTCTCAAAAAGGAACAAAGTATCCCTTTCCCTTTGTACAAGCTGGAGTGCTTTAGCTCTGACTCAATACCCTCCTCTGCTAGAAACTTGACTTTATTGATTGAGAAATAGAAACCGATCCAAATTATATACCAGTATGCCCAATGTATCGCCGTTTTAGGCACCTATTTTACAGGCAAAGCATGTCATTTATTCTTTGTGTTTAAATTGAAATCAATGGCTAACATCATAGCACTTAATTATGTACCATGCATATTCTGATATAAACTTCAACTCTCACTACAAGCCTATGAGCCTATGAGTTAGATGCTGCTATTTGCATTCCACAGATGAAGAAACTGAAACACAGGTGTAATTTGCCCGAGGTTACAGAGTGTGTGCCAGAAGGGAGGTTTGCATCTATGTATCCTGTTTCCGTAGAGCCAAGTCCATGCTCTGAATTAACTTTAGTTTTCCTCAAATGCATTGAGAGGGCAAAGGGTCTATTTACTCTAAACTGTGATAGCCTTATAGTACCTGCTGATATTATCTTACCACTCTGAGAGAGGTAAATAAATGCCATTAATAATGTCAGACTTTTCACTTTTATTTGGGCACACAGAAGCTTATTATTGACATATTGGGTTTAGGGGAAGTGGGGAGAAGCATTGTGGTTATAGGCGAAAGGTAACTAATGTTTACTTAAATTAAAAATAGCTCAAGATCAGCCTGGGCAACAAAGCAAGACCATGTTGCTACAAAAAACAAACAAACAAACAAACAACTAAAATACAAAACAAAACAGCATCCATGTGTCATAAGCAAAATCAGCCATGCTCACTTGATCAAGGTCAATCCAAAAACCTTGTGAATTCACCCAGCTTACTTTGTTCTCATCTGCTTATGGCAGCCAGAAGATAAAGGCCATTAAGAGAGGCATGCATCTGCCAGGAAGGGTGAGTCAGATCAGATATGAGGGACACATAGTGAACTTATTTGAGAAATATTGACTTCACTGCCTCTGCTTGCTGACAAACTACTATCCTGATCCTTGGTGTAAAACTGTGTTAGCTATGGCTACAGATAAAATAAAGCTCTGTGGATGCCAACTTCAAAAATATTTATTTGGGAAGAAGGAAAAGAAACTGTAGATTCATTTAATTTCGTGTGAATTCTAGCAAAGGAACTCAATGGCAAGTTAATATTTTATTTACTTATTTCTTCCTTTCCCTCCCAACCCCCACACTTTGGTGACATAATTAGATCCCAGGAAAAGACACAGGCTGTGGCTTCAGAGTGGGTTTGAATCCCAGTGCTATCACTTATTATCTTTGCATTAGTTATTCTCTGAGCATTCTGAGCCTCAGTGTCTTCCTCTGTAATGACATACACAGTGGATCAGGTTTTTCCATGAATAGAATATAAAGTGTTGGGTACATTGGAACTTAAATAGTTATGTCCCTGGCAGGATGCTTACTCTATGCAAAAGGACTTTCATGGACATATTTATAGAAATCTAGACACAAACATTTTTGCTTTCATATGCAATGTTGGATTCTATTTTTTAAAAGCACATGATATCCCAACATATAGTGAGTATTTTAGGTAGCGTCTAAATACTGATACCATAACAAATAGGCTTCATTTCATACTTGCACTTTCTCTTAAGTTGATGTGGCAGTAATTGGCAACTTGTGTAGCTAGCAATAGATGGAAAGGTAGGAAATAAGTCATTGGTAGTGACTTTGAGCGCTTGTGATTTTTTTTTGCCTCAATACTGCATAACAATCTTTGTTAGGAGTATAGATAATTCCAGTAATGATATATGATCTGGAAGTACTTTTTGAGAGATCATAAGATTTTATATGAAGATAAAATAGTAAAAATCAATGACTTAATTTGTTGTGGCAAATCATTATTATGGTAAATCATTCGTTAATGGGTACGGACAAGGGAAAATCCACAGATGCCACTGTGGTAGGTCTTCTTCAGATTGAAACCTCCAGAGTCCCCTGAAGGGAAGAGGTATTTTCACCTATGAGGAAATTACAATCCAGAGAGGTTAAAAGCTTTCCCATGGCTAACCATGTAGGAAATAGCAGAGAAAGAATGGAGCCCAGAACTACCTGATTTCAAAGACTGTAGCCTGTCTGCAATATCGTGTCTAAAACTTTGAAAGGATAACAACATATGGTATATTGAAACAATGGATGCAGGAAACATTTCAAGTCTTAGTGTAAAGCACAACTCATTCTCTTTCCACTCTCTTCAGTAATGGCTTCCAGGATCAGTCATTTATTTATTTTTATTGATACATATTTTCAGGGTACATGTGATAATTTGATACATTAATATAATCAAGGGTAATTGGGATATTGATCACCTTAAATATTTTTCTTTTCTTTAGGAACATTTAAATTATTCTCTTGAAGCTACTTTGAAATGAAATGCACAATCAATTAATGTTAAATTATAGTCACCCTTTTTTTTTTTTTTTTTTTTGGATGGAGTCTCACTCTATCGCCCAGGTTGGAATGTATTGGTGGGATCTCAGCCCACTGCAACCTCTACCTCTTGGGTTCAAGTGGTTCTCCTGCCTCAGCCTCCTGAGTAGCTGGGATTACAGGCATCCACTACCATGCCTGGCTAATTTTTGTATTTTTAGTAGAGACAGGGTTTCACCACGTTGGCCAGGCTGGTCTTGAACTCCTGACCTCAAGTGATCCGCCTGCCTCAGCCTCCCAAAGTGCTGGGATTACAGGTGTGAGCCACTGTTCTTGGCCCCTACTGATCTGTGGAACACTGGGTCTTATTGCTTTTTTTTTTTTTTTTCTTTTAGGCAGAGTCTTGCTCTTTCACCCAGCCTGGAGTACGGTGGCACCATTTTGGCTCATGCAACGTCCACCTCTGGGTTCAAGCGATTCTTGTGCCTCAGCCTCCCTCCCAAGTACCTGGGATTACAGGCATGTGCCACCACACCTGGCTAATTTTTGTATTTTTAGTAGAGATGGGGTTTTGCCACGTTGGCCAGGCTGGTCTCAAACTCCTGGCCTCAAGTGATCCGCATGCCTTGCCCTCCAAAAGTTTTGGGATTACAGGCGTGAGCCACCGTACCCAATCCATCACTTATATCTAAGTGTATATTTGTACCTGTTAATCAAACTCTCTTCATCCCCTCCTCTCCACTACCCTTCCTGGCCTCTGGTAACCACCAATGTACCCTCTGTCTTCATGAGAAGGGATCAGTCTTTACTCAGAAGCTTTGGCCATGGCTTGAGCAGAGTAGCTGTCAGCCATCTCCCAGCAATACCAGCCATTGGACAAGAAACATGAAGGTTTGGGATGACTCATCCTAGAAGTCATTGTTTTCTCAGCTCCATAGTACACATCTACTTGGAGATTTATAAGGCATGCAAGCTCCTTTTCTGGCCTGTATGAAAAACTGGAAGAGGTAGAATGAGTTCCTTGTAACCCAGGATTTATGTTTCTGATGGTAACATGCTTGATATTTAAGCAACTTGAGATTAGGAAGTTGGAAGTACACATACCTGTCAAAGTAACTGAACCTATTTACAATAGAATAAAATCATTGAGAATACACAGTATCTTTTAATGAAATTAAATTTTGGTATGTTTACCTTTTAATGCACTATGATTACCTGCATGGAATTACTCTTAATTGTTTTTGTTGTGGGTGGGGGGATTCCAGGCCTTTTTGAGAATCAAAAGATAGCACAGCAAAAGAAATGCACATTCAGACATAATTTTGCATCTCATTTCAGAGGGCTTGTGGATGTTCTGAAGCCTGTGCCACAAGACCCCTGGTTAGAAAGTGCTTCTCTAACTTGCCTTCCAGAAAGCAGCATCATGGTTTTACAATTATTTTACCTTTTCTCTCCTTTTCCTCTAAAAACTTGATATAAGTACTCATTCAGTTGCTAGTAAATTTTTTTTGAATCAAAATATTTTACTGGTGTTGAATTGGAAATCATTCACCTCCAAATATAGCAAATGCTTCGGTAAGCCCTGGTAGGTGGTGGTGCTGAAAATGATGATAACTATTAATATTTAACAAATCCTAATATAACATTTATCATATCAGGTTGTTTGAAGTACTTTAAGAACAGTAACTCATTTAGACCTGGTAACAACAATCTTATGTCGCAGATGGTCTCATGGTCTTCTTTTCCCGAAGAGAAAAATGAGGCATAGGTTGAGTTGCCTAAGATCACCCAATAAGAGAAGGAGTCAAATTTGAACCCAAGAAGGCTGACTCCATATTATACAGTCTAACACTTCTTCTGCATCCTCTCTCTAAATAAGATAATTAATGTATGTCCTTGATTAGAGTCTCTTTTTTTTCATTTTGACACTTTCAAAATTGAGATGTATCTTACGGTTGCTGTGATCATTTGAAGAAGTACTTACTGTTTTGCTCCCTATAAAGCTATTATTAAATTGATGGTATATCTTAAAATTATTGGTGTCCTTGAATAAAGGAACTATGGTAAGCCATGTGTTTTATTTAAAAAATATAGCTACATAGTTTATAGAAATATCATAGTAAATCACAGCTTTAACATGGGGTATACAAACAATCCCAATTTATTTATGAAGTGGGAAAAATGTAAATTAAGATTATATTAACAATCTATATGAACACTGATATTGCTTAGGTAATGATCTAAATGTGAGAAGAGAATAAATTTAAATTTTTTCCTACAAAAAGCATTAATAGCCTTAGAGTAATGTTGAAGGTGGAAGAAACCAAAATTGTAAGTGGGGGCAGGGGGTTAAAATATATATATGTGTGTGTGTCTGTGTGTGTATATACATAATTATCAGTTTTCTTACAGCTTTTTTTAGGAGAGCAAAATTTAAAAGTTAAACTTTCCATATAAATTTCCTAAAACTGAGAACCATGAATATAACTAAATGACATTAGATATAGACATGCCTTTGAGTCACTGTAATTTGTATAGTGAGTTGGCAGATCTTACCTTCTGTGACTCAGTTAATCTGTTTTGTATTCATCTGCTTTGTTCATGGGACATTGACTTCTTGCTTATAAAATCCTTTTCATTTTGTACTGTTTGTATTATCTGTAGAGAAAATATCATTCAGGACTTCTACCAAGGCAAAACAAATCTTTACTAAAGTTACAATTCTGAAAACCAGGGTTTTTGCATCCTAGTTGGTTGTCTTCCTGTATTTTTTTCCAACTGGTCTAGCAACTTAAACTCAGTCCATTGGTGGTTTTGTTGTTCAGTTGAATTTGACCTTGTCAAATCATTTACCTGCAGCTGTTATGAGGTGTACATGCAAATACTTGTGATTGCCTAACACTTAGGACTTTGGTGCTGACGGCAAATTTATTTTATCTCTCATTACTGTTGAGGGAAGTGAACAGCTTATCACTTCTGCTTGCTCTGACACTCTAAATGTTGACTGTAATGAACAAACACTGCAAATGGTTGACTCATTATATTGTGCTGTGAATTTGTACATAGGAATGAAATCTGCAAAAAAATTTTTTTTACGTTGAGAAGAGGATATAATAATAACTTTTGGAGATTAGGGGAAGTATGATGCCTGTTTCAATCTATTAAAATGCAGTTTGGCTGTGGGTGTAAGAGAACATTTTTTAAAATGAGCTTACCACTTAAGGGCTGCATGACCTGGAGTAAATCAAATAACCTCTGTGAGTCTCTGTCTCTAAAATGGAATACCAGTATTCTATCATGGGAACCAATGGTGGGATAGGGAATCAGGTTTTATTTCTTGTTCCTTGTCTGGCCAAGGTCCAAGCAGTGTTCTGTGTTGAGATGACACCTCAACCAGTAGGACACTTTGGGGTGAATCTTAGACAAATGGAAAGATGGGTGTTTAATATTAACCACATCTCTTCAGTTGGAGAGGGAGAAGTTAATGCATTAGCAGAGGGAGCATTTGAAAATGGGAAAGGGATCTAATTAAATCAAGAATCTGTCATATCAAAAGAGTAAAAAGAACACATCTATAAATCTGTTTCTAGAAGATTAAATGGTTTGTTTGGCCATAAACAGAATTCTAGGAGAGGTGTCAGAAGAGTACTTAGTGGCAGCAACCCTATGTGTCTGTCAGAGATCTTACCAGGTGGTTTTCTCTTCTTTTGGGTACTGTTTAAGCATTCAAATTTCCCACTGCTCTTGGCACATAACTCTCTAAAAAAAAAAAAAAAAAAAAAAAGCTGCCTAGACATGTTCTAATCTACCTTGAGTATCTCAAATGAAGCTAGATCTTAAAAAAGCCCAACTGCAGTTGTGTGTTCACTCTGTCGTGGTTTATATAATGCTTTACCTTCACAAAGCGCTTTCATATACATTCTTATTTTACTATTTTCATAACTGGAATAAAGTCTTTTTTTTAATAGACTCAAAAGTTACTGAGCTTTTCTATATGCTGCGGCCTCACCGTCTGTGAATCACAGGCAGTGCCCACCTAGTTATGTAGAGGATGCTCAGTAAGCCTGAGCTGCTGCTGTTGTCATTGCTGTCATCATCATCAGTGCCTGAAATTGCAGATCTGAGGGATTCCAGAGTTAGTCTCTCTGAAGAGCTGAAAGAGATCTTACTGGTTATATTGGTAGAAATTAAGTAAGAAAACTGAGGCTCCACAATTGGTATCCTGCTGAAGGTCATCATGAGGAAGTTAAGAGTCAGGAGCCCCTTAGGCTGGGCTTCTCAGTCCAGGGTCTCTGAGAAGTTAGCCTCAGGCTGCGGTGAAGGGTGGGGCTAAAGCGGAACTTCTCAAACTGAAGCCTGCATCAGAATCCCTGGAGGGCTTGTTAAAACACATATTCCAGGGCCTCAGCCTTAGAGACTTTGGTTCAACAGCTCATGGACAGGGCCCAATCATCTGCCTTTTTATCAAGTTTTAGGGTATGCTGTTGCTGCATCCACAGACCACACTTTGTAACACTGGACTAGAAGGCCTCAAAAGTTTGGTGACTGTCATCATCAGAACATTGCTTAGGTCAGGAGTATGCCTGGCTGTTTACCACCTCCGTGATGAAGGCCAGACCCAAATAGAGGACTCTGACTATAAGAACTTTATTGAATGAATAATTTTGGAAACTCCCCCTTGGTGGTTTCTGCAGAGTAACTGGCAGTTTAAAAAAAGAAAAAAGTGGGGAGGATTTGGAGCATCATCGCCCATGGCAGCTATGCTGGCTATTCTGTTTGTCCATCCTGAGTCCTCTCTGCCCTTCCCTGTTCTGGTCTGCACCGTGGAGGCTGCCTTTGTGGATGTTCATCACCAGGACTCTGTTGCCCTCTGGCTTAGGTTGGGTTCAGTCAGTGGTAGGTCAGGAGGAGCAAGAGGCCAGCAGTATCTATTCTTCCTGCTTGCTCTCTTTTTCTCTGTGGTGCTTGCAGTGTCTGTGACCGCCTATAATGGCAGCTGACCCTGGGCAGTCCCTCCTCAATCGCGTCACCTCTCTCCAGCCTCCAGTACAGCTGTGTCTCCCCTTGGCTGTCAGGCCTCGAACTGTTCAAGGCTTGTCATGACTGGTCCCTTTGTGCTGTAGCATCTCCTTGGGCCTCTGAACCTTGCCCACACATCTTTGATAGGCTGTTTTCTAGAGGACCCTTGATGGATGGAGGAGCCCAGGTAAGAGCCATGCTAGAAAATGTGACAGTGGGAGGTGTAGCCATGGTGAGAAGAAACTCGTGAACAGAATGGGCACTGGCAAGTATGATGGCAAGGCAGAGAGGCCCAATCCCTCTTTGGGTGGAGGATAGAGGGAGAGGCAAGGGAAGGCCTGGCCTTGAAAGTGATGCTGGGCTTCACCGTAGAGGGTCCTGAGGGGTCCCTGGACCTCTGGTTAGAAGCTAGGACTACTTGAATGTGAATCAAGGGCCATTTCTGTGCATAAACATGGGTGGCTAGGGTTTGGAATCGGAGAAGCTGTTATATGAGGAATTGGCATTCCTTCTCTGCAATTGCCTAGCAATGTTTTTTCTGCCCCTGCTTTTTTTTTTCCGCAGACACCCTCAGCATCGTCAGCTTATACGCAGGAATTATAAAACCTTTATGTGGGACTTTGATCTTGCTAAATTTTGTCACCGTGTATTGAACATGTTCTGAAATGCCTGCCAAAACTACATTCATGAAGTAACAAATAGTCGAATAGGATAATTACACCTTTGGTTCCTTTGCCCATAGGTTCCAGCAATGGGCGTGTTGGTGAGATAAAACACATTTTTCATGGTTTGGGGGGTCATCCAGATCATCTTCTACAGTAACCTCACCATGAAGCAGGACTACCACACATACTAATACCAATTCTGCGTGTTTATTAGTTCTTTTATATTGAAATGTCATGCTAGGTTGAAACTATTTCAGAGCTTTTGTAAATAATATTGGGGTGGTAAAGGTTGGGTACCAACATCTGAATACCTTGTCTTAATAAATGAAATATATAAAGACAAAACAAGCCCCCAATCTCAAATTTTCTGTTGTTACAATTCTTTAGGTATAAGAAAAATTCTCTATGAGGAAAAATCAACCCTGGAATTTTTTTCCCTCTCTTTCTGGGTAGTTGGGTTGATACCTACCCAGATCTCATCTTGAATTACCATGTGTTGTAGGAGGAACCCGGTGGGAGGTAACCGAATCATGGGGGCAGATCTTTCCTGTGCTGTTCTTGTGATAGTGAATAAATTTTATGAGATCTGATGGTTTTAAAAAGGGGAGTTTCCCTGCAGAAGCTCTTTTCCCTTGTCTACCACCATGTGAGACGTGCATTTTACCTTCCTCCGTGATTGTGAGGCCTCTCCAGCCATGCGGACTGTAAGTCCATTAAACCTCTTTCTTTTGTAAATTGCCCAGTCCAGGGTATGTCTTTATCAGCAGCATGAAAACGGACTAATACAGTAAATTGATACCAGTAGAGTGGGGGCACTACTGAAAAGATACCTGAAAATGTGGAAGCGACTTTGGAACTGGGTAACAGGCAGAGGTTGGAACGGTTTGCAGGGCTCAGAAGAAGACAGGAAAATTTGGGAAAGTTTGGAACTTCCTAGAGACTTGTTGAATGGTTTTGCCCAAGATACTTGTAGTGATATGGACAATAAAGTCCAGGCTTAGGTGGTCTCAGATGGAGACGAGGAATGTGTTGGGAACTGGAGCAAAGGTGACTCTTGTTATGTTTTAGCAAAGAACTGGTGGCATTTTGCCCCTGTCCTAGAGATTTGTGGAACTTTGAACTTGAGAGAGATGATTTAGGGTATCTGGCAGAAGAAATTTCTAAGCAGCAAAGCATTCAAGAGGTGACTTGGGTGGTGTTAAAGGCATTCAGTTTTATAAGTGAAGCAGAGCATAAAAGTTTGGAAAATTTGCAGCCTGACAATGTGATAGAAAAGAATATCCCATTTTCTGAGGAGAAATTCAAGCCAGCTACGGAAATTTGCATAAGTAATGCGGAGCCTAATGTTAATCCCCAAGACAATGGGAAAAATATCTCCAGGGTTTTTCTGTTGTGAAGCAGAAAAAGGTCCAAGGTGTCAGAGACCTTTACTGCAGCCCCTCCCATCACAGGCCCAGAGGCCTAGGAGGAAAACGTGGTTTGGTGGGCTGGGCCCAGGGTCCATGTGCTGTGTGCAGCCTAGGGAACTTGGTGTCCTGTGTCCCAGCTGCTCCAGCCATGGCTGAAAGGGGCCAACATAGAGCTCAGGCTTTGGCTTCAGAGGGTGGAAGCTCCAAGCTTTGGCAACTTCCACGTTGTGTTGAGTCTGTGAGTGCACAGAAGTCAAGAATTGGGGTTTGAGAACCTCTGCCTAGATTTTAGAAGATGTATGGAAATGGCAGAGGTTTGCTGCAGGAGCAGGGCCCTCATGGAGCACCTCTGCTAGGGCATTGTGGAAGGGGAATGTGGGGTGGGAGCCCCTAAACAGAGTCCCTACTGGGGGACAGCTCTCTACCACCTAGTGGAGCTGTGAGAAGAAGGCCACTGTCCTCCAGACCCCAGAATGGTAGATCTGCTAACAGCTTACACTGTGCCCCTGGAAAAGCCATAGACATTCAACACCAGCCTGTGAAAGCAGCCTGGAGGGGAATATACCCTGCAAAGCCACAGGGGTGGAGCTGCCCAAGGCTGTGGGAGCCCTGTCTTGCATCAGCATGACCTGGATTTGAGACATGGAGTCAAAAGAGATCATTTTGGACCTTTAAGATTTGACAGCCCTGCTGGATTTTGGACTGATACAGGGCCTGTAGCCCCT
Source organism: Homo sapiens (assembly GCF_000001405.40). Taxonomy (NCBI): domain Eukaryota; kingdom Metazoa; phylum Chordata; class Mammalia; order Primates; family Hominidae; genus Homo; species Homo sapiens. The sequence goes on along the minus strand of NC_000007.14, from coordinate 22,341,662 downwards.
TTGTTTTGGCCAATTCTCCCATTTGGAATGGCTGTATTTACTCAATGCCTTCACCCCCGTTGTATTTAGGAAGTAACTAACTTGCTTTTGATTTTACAGGCTCATAGGCAGAAGGGACTTGCCTTGTCTCAGATGAGACTTTGGACTGTGGACTTTTGAGTTAATGCTGAAATGAGCTAATGTTTTGGGGGACTGTTGGGAAGGAAAGATTGGTTTTGAAATGTGAGGACATGAGATTTGGGAGGGGCCGGGTGGAATGATATGGTTTGGCTGTGTCCCCACCCAAATCTCGTCTTGAATTCTCACGTGTTGTGGGAGGAACCCGGTGGGAGGTAATTGAATCACAGGGCAGATCTTTCCTGTGCTGTTCTCATGATAGTGAATAAGTCTCATGAGATCTGATGGTTTTAAAAAGGGGAGTTTCCCTGCACAAGCTCTTTTCTCTTGTCTGCTGCCATGTGAGATGTGCCTTTCACCTTCTGCCATGATTCTGAGGCCTCCCCAGCCACATGGAACAAGTCCATTAAACCTATTTCTTTTGTAAATTGCCCAGTCCTGGGTATGTCTTTATCAGCAGTGTGAAAACAGAGTAATACACTGGGTTTTCTTATATTTATATGTCAGAAAACATGGATGTGTGAGGGAGTCAAGGGATGACCTCATGCAGCTGAGGCCATAATGATAAGTCACCTCGTGTTACTCAGTGTGGCACAAGTTCAAGTGTATGAACCCTTTGGTTTTGCTCCATTTTCTCTTCTTTCTGGTCATTTCTCCAGTAAAGCTTGGTTGCTGGGTACCTGGAGAAGACAAGCAAATGGAAGCCCAGAGGACAGGAGCCCAAATCTGCCAGGAAGGAGGTAGAGCATTCCCAGTTGAAGGCTTCCAGGAAGTGGCCATGCCTGTGCATCACCTCTTAGGGGGAACGGACCAGAGGGAAGAGGAGAGGGGGTTCTAGTGCGGAATACCCTGGTAAGAGAATCCAAGCCCTGGTCAGGGAACAAGGAGGAGCTCAGTGTGGAGGAAGGGCTGTGGGGGCTGGGGGACCCAGACATACAGGAATCCCTTTTCCAGGCTCAGACCCTGGGGCAAGGATGGTTCCCGCAAATCCATCTTGTTTTCACCTCCAGTCTAGAGTGAATGTTCTCCCTGTCCCCCTAGCTGGGAAAGGAGTTTTTCCAGTTCAGAGACTCAGGTCCACTTTCTGTGCTTACCATCTCCTTCTCTGGTTTGGTCTTCAGAAGTCTCTGATCGGCCTTCTTCCTGGTTTGTGAAGATTCATCTCCTTACTTCCCCTTGGATGAGCTATCCATCTTCACTTTGGGTTAGGTTTCCTTTGGCTTTGTGGTTCCTGTTGTCTTGTTCTCCTCTCCCGAGCTTTTCTCCTGGAGGCTTCTCTGGTGGGCTGTTTTCCCAGTCTCTCTTCTCTGAATCAGCTCAGGCGCTTGTTTGCTGTCATTGTTTCCCAGCACAGCACTCCTGTTTCTTCATCCTGGCACCAAACCATCAGTTTGCCTGGCCCCAGCTGAGGGCTCCATTTGGAATGGGAGAGGGTGCTTGATGCCCTTTTCAGGAGTTTGGATGATTGAAGCACACCTCTGCATGTTAAAACTGTCAGAGAAGCCCTCACCCCACCCAATCTATTAATTTTTTTTAGAATATTTAAGTTCTCACATTCCCCACTTCCCATAAGAAGAAAAGGGGAACTGTTGCAAAGGCTTGAGTAACCATCCACCTGGTCTGCTTTAGGGGGTGGAGAGTTACAAATGTGTTGATTGCTGATTAGCATAATATTTTCAAAACTACCTGCTTTAAATAGTGACCTCTGCCTTGGTCAAAGGATACATATGAGAAGGTATTGCTCAGGTGAGAAGTGAAATTGTGAAAGTCAAAACCAGTTTCATTTTGTAATGATTGTAATAAATGTAGAAGCTTCTATTTAAACAATTATAATAGCTTTGGGAATATAAGGCTAAACACAAGACAAAGGAAAGTGGATTAATGATTTTAGTTGTTGTGTGTACTGCAGGCAGCACCTGTCCCTCACATCCCAGACTGCCGTTTGATGCAGTCACCCTCTTTTGCATTTCCTGGTATCTTTTCTTCCTTCTAAAATCTGTGTCATGCACTTACTCTAATGTGTCCATCAGGATGGTTATTGCAGCTTTTGCTGCAATAACAAAACCCCAACAAAAACTTCGTAGTTTAACACAACACTTTCTTTCTTTCTTACTAAAACATTTTGCATCCGGACGCTCTTCAGGGGAGCTGTCTTCTATGTGGCAATGTTACTGGCTGTGAAGCTGTACAGGTCTTCAGCAACCTCACTTCTTGCCTCCTCAGAAGAAAGAATTCAACTGAGAGGCATAAGGCAGAGTGAGAGACCGAAGCAAGTTTTAGAGCAGGAGTGAAGGTTTATTGATAACAGTTGCATCCTTTCTCCGCTGATTCTTCCTCTGGGGTGGAGTGTCTGCAGTTGCTTGCTAGCAGTTGGGAGGGGCTGCATGCACAGTGTATTTACTGAAGTTGTATGCATGCTCACTTGAGGCGTTCTTCTCTTACCAGTCGAGTGTTCCCATAAGGTCATACACCAGTTAAACTCCATCGTTTTGCCTCTTAGTGCGCATGCTTGAGCCCACTCACCCACCTCCTGAGATCTTATCTGGAAGCTGCTGATCACCAGCTTCAGGTTTTTTCTATGAATTGGGAGGCCGCCTTTCCCTGGTGCTGGCTCTGATCAATTATTATTTTAGAGACAGTTAACAAACGCCTGATCCTCACCTGATGGTCTTCTGACATTCCTGGTGGTGGGGGCGCCTCTTCTGCCCTGCTCATGTCTGACTAGCTACCAACTGTAACAGCAGCTCTGTGTGTATGTTTCCCTGTCACCGTCTTCCTCCACAATGAATGCAGCATGTGAAGAAATAATGGAGAATTGCACATGGGCTTTTAAATACTCTGGCCAAGGTGACTTTTGCTTGTATTTCATTGGTCAAAGCATGTTACATGGTCTCAGTCATTTAAGGGACCAACAAAGTGTCATCCTCCCAGGAGTCTTGAAGGATAAAAGAAGCACAAATGTTAGGAATGTCTACCTCAGCCATTAGACGTTGAGAATACACAAATGACTAAAGGAATTATCCCAGTCCTTAGCTACTCAAAGTCCAGTGGGGAAGGTAAACATGTTGATTGTATTATGGTTTAGTTTTATAAAATTTTACAAATTTCAAAATACATAGTGTAACTATAGTGTTAGAACATAAAATAACAGAAAATACTTTGGGGAGTGCAAAGATATAGAATCTACCTCTCTGAGTTTGGAACGAGAGCAAAACTTCAGTGTGGAGGTGATTTAAGAGCTGGGAGTTGTCTACCCACCAGAGTTAGAGCTACATTACCTTGGTAAGGTTGGTGTCTGACTTATTTTATGTGCTGCGTAACAGGTAAACTAATAATTTGGGTTGTAACTCTAAGAAATAGGCTTACCTGGTTTTGAGACCTCAAGGAAGAAATTAAAGCAATCTGTCAGCAGTAGAATAGATCCACTAGTTCAAATGAAATGCAGCAGGTAAGTATCCTTCTAATGAAGACTTGCTAAAAATACTTTTACTGAGCAATTATGCTACTGACAGTTCTTTGATCTCAAAAGATTAAACTTGCTGCTGCAGTATGAAAAGAACAAAGCCAAGTGTAAAATAACAATCAGGGTTAGTTATTAGGCAACAAAGGTTGCATATAGGTACTTTGATTTGCTCAGAGATTTCTGACATATTTTACATTAGATATAAATGTGAGTGGTGTGTTAACATTGCAAACAATGTGCTTTATAAACAAAAGAGTCTCTTCCTCAGATCTAAGAGCCATGGTATTGTCCTCTTACACTGCTGTATTCCCCACTGGCTTTGCCCATCACGCTGGACATGGTCCCACTGAAAGCACCTTTGTAAAAATTGTAACAGAAAATTATGACAGTGAAAGAGATCTGACCTAACCAACTCTATCTTGCCTTGAACCTCCAGACTGCCCTGGGTCATTCCGGGCCGTGGGCCAAGCTAACTTTGGGAGAAATTTAGTTGATAGTTTAAATGATAATAGCTCTTCCCCAAACTAAACTGCCTTTATAAAACTAATAAAAGGCCACAAGTTTAGGATTATGAGGGGGTCCTGAATTCTGCTAAGATGTAGGTATAGTTAACCAATTATCAGCCGTTTTGGAGGTCACAAGATTTGCAACTTCCTCAATTACTCCTGTAAATAACATTACTGTTGTAGAACCTAAGAGTGGCCTTTTAAGATGTCTTTTAAAACTTTTGCATTTCTAATGACCTGATGGCCCCACTTGGACCCACAACGCTTGACAACTGGTCCTGTTATCCCCAGCCAGAAGCAGAGTCAGCACTAGAGGACCATTTTCCACACCTCTATGATTGCGATTACATCCCCAACCAAACCAGCAGCACCCATACCGTAGCCCCTGCCCACCAAACTGTCTTTGAAAAAGTCTAGCCTTTAAATTTTCAGGGAGGCTGGTTTGAGTAATAACAAAATTCTAGTCTCCCATTTAGCCAGCTTGACGCGTATTATACTCTTTCTGTATTGCCATTCCCCTGTCTTGACAATTCGGCTCTATCTGGGCAGCAGGCAAGATGAACATGTTGGGCAGTGACACCACCTCAGGGCCTGTGCACTTGTTTTCTCAGTCTGAAGCCCTTTCTCAAGATATCCATTCACCTCTCTGCTCAAAGGCTATTCTCTGTGAGCCTGTTGTAGGACTCTTTCCTTAGCTCAGCTAAAGATGGGGGTCCTTGTCACACAGCCACGAAAAATTAGGCTCACAGGCAATTTGAAAGGTGAGGAGGGCAGGGTTTATTGGGTGAAAAGGGAAACAGGGATCCTCTGCAAAGCCAGAGTTCTGCTTGTGCACTTCCCGCCTGGCAGATTGAATCCCAGGTTCCACCCAGGAAGAGGAGGGGCCAGGCTCCTCCCCACTGCAAATGGCACGAACTTCTGTGGCTCCATCCCAGTGCACACTCCTCTCAGTGCACAGGCTGGTTGGAGTTTCTCTGGGGACCGCTTCCCAGCTGGCTGTCTGAAGACCCCTTGGCCACTGTACTTAAAATTGTAACATCAACCTCCTCTCCATGCCTTATTCCTCTACCACTGTCTAACATACATAATTGATAATTAACTTCTTTATTTTGCTTAAGTTCAGTCTTCTCCCAGTAGGGTATAGCCTGTTTCTGTACCACCAGAATAAAGGACCCTTCTTCATAATTAAGTAAATTTAATTTTATGAAATTAAATTTCATTGCCCTTATTCGTATTGTGCCTCACATGAGCATTTTGGAACCACTTCATGTAGTAGATACATGGTTTGGGGCAGAATAAAGGTGAGACTATATGTGGACATGATGTAACAGATGTAAGGTGGCAGTCACCATCAGTTGACAAAAGCATTTCTTTAGAAAGATTGGTCTCTTTCTGAAGAGTGTGCAGAGTGGGGAAAGGAGAGGTTAAGGCAGGGAAGTCACTTAGGGATTGTTGCCCGGGTGATAGGGCTTGAGGGCCTGATCTAAGATGGAGGCATTGGGAATAAGAAGTCTGGGCGTTGGGAAGGAAGGGATGCTTAGGATTCAGTAATTTGCTTTCTGTTTGAACAAAAAACTAAAAATCAACAAGAACACCAAATAGGTTTCTGGTGTTGAGAGGACTAGAAGTCTGTCAGAAATATGACCAAAGGTTGTCTTTTCTATACAGAAAGTCTCTTAGATTCCCAATATTCTTATTTAAGAAATTATAAGTGTGGTCGTTTGCATGTTTGTATGAAAAGTAGTTTCTGTTGTGCAAGTTACCTTATGTGACAGAGAAGGAAAGGAGTTGCTTTTTAAATGACTAAATGGTGATATTTGCCTTTAGGACAGCTTTGGAAGTTTCGTTGTTGTTGTTGTTGTTGTTTTGTTGTTTTTTTTTTTTTGCTTGTTTCTTGTTTTGGTTCAGGGAAGGAGAACTAGATGGCAGTCTGACCATTCTGTGTGTCCCCCCACCCTAGAGTTGATACGGCTTTGTGGCCTCCAGGAAAATGGAAGTAGATGCCCCACCCACCCCACCTTGTCCCCAGGCTGCACCTGCCCAGTGCCAGGTCTCCACCTTCATTGCCCAGTCAGCATGGTGCCAGTTGTCCTCAAGCCTAGCCTTGAGGTAGGTGTGGGAAGATGAGGTAGAAGATAGCTCTTGTGGGAAGAGAGGGAACTGACTGGATAAAAAGGAGAGAGTTTACTCCCTTTATCTACCTCTGCCTTTCCCAGTTCTTAGATTTCTATGTGTGTGAAGTCCAGGGAACTGTGGCTTAAAGATACTGATAGCTGTTTGTCAGAGTAGAGTCTGGTAGAAAACTGTGAACTTGTGTAGCTGATCACATGAAATCCACTTGCCTCGTTGAAACTAAAAATGAACACCACTATTTCTTGCTTTCATAAATTTGCAAGTGCTCTTGATTGTAAGGTAAGGATTTGGCTCGTTTATAAACATGCATGCCCCTGCCTATCCCCACCCATTGCCTCTTCTCAGTGTTCCTCAGGTAGTTGACTTGCTATTGGGGCAGGATACAGTGGAGGCTTTTGTGTTCACATAACACTCTTCTTTGTAACTGGATTCGGGACTGAATCTGTCAGGGGTCTTAATTGCAAACAAGAGACCAACTCTGAAATTACTGGAAGGATGTTGAGATGCAGGTTGGCTTGCAGAATTATTGGACGGCTGGAGAGGTAGGCTTCAAATGGAGCAGGAACCAAGAGCATTCTTCAGAGAAGGATAGGAAGAATGTAGAGATTACAAATGTAAAAGCTGGATCCAGCTATCCAGGGTTTCCCTGACCCTCACCCACTGAATGACTGTGGGCAAGTGACTTAACCTCTCTGTGTTTCCAAAGATAGTTATGAATAATAAATGCATTAATATTAATAACAAGTGCTTAGAACAGTGAGTGGAAAATAATAAGCAGTAGATCAGTGGTTGGTAAATACATACTGCTAAGTGATCTTATATGTATACATATGTATGTTGGCAGTGCTGCTAAATAAATGCCAGGCTGCTGTCCAGGATGCAGGTGTTCCTTCTATGCCACAATCTCTTCTTTGCTTGCCTTAGCTTTTCCCTTATCAGAAATTGCCAATCTTTGTTCAAGGACTTTGTTTCAGTTCTTCATGGTTCTCTCGGAAACATTGATTCTGGAACATGATTAACGACAGAGGATACATAAAGACCTCAATGTCTACATTTTGGGCTTTAGTTTTACACTGCTGCCCTTAGGAATAGTGTATTCATTTTTTTTCTGCCACTTTGTGTGTGTGTGTTATTAATACTATGTTTTCATGATCATTTTTAACACTTCTCTTTCTCTTTCCTCCTATTGTTTTGTTGAATGAGAAAAAGCCAAGATGGAAACTCTTGTGGTAGACAAACCCATCTGTCAGGTCCACGACTAACCCAAATGTCATGCTCAGGGTCAGGCTCGGGCCCATGCTGAGGTCCGTGGGGTGTGGGTGGATTGGCGATACTGGAAAGAACACTCGGGGCGCTGTAGGCAGGTGAAATGTAGTTTTATTCAGCAGCTCTCTCATTAGCAGCTCTCTTAACACTGTCCGCTCTGTCTTGGCTGCTTGAGCCAGCCGCTCCCATGCACAACGGCGCAGCCGACTCTCCTTTGCCTTCAGGGTCAGTAGTTTAACCGTTTCTTGGGGCACAAGCACGAGCCATGTCAAGCCATGCCGTGCCCTGGCTCCCCTCTGTCCATCTGCAAGACAGACAGCTCTGGTTCTCTCTCTGTTTCTCTGGGTGCCAGCACAAGAGCACCTATACAGTGCCAGCACGGCAGTTATACCTTTTCCAAACAATAGTGGCTCCAAGCCAAATATGAGCTTACACAAACAGGTTATATAACAAGTGGAGGTGTGTGCCTGCGCGCAAATCCCACCAAGTCATGCAGGCCTGGATGTGTGCCTCAGCCTATTCCTTGACCAAAGCACATTCATATACCTTACACCATCCTACCCCTATGAAGGTTTTTAGAGGTCCCCCTCTTTTTAAAAATTGCAGCATTAATATTTAGAAATAAAAAAGAATGGGAGATTCCTGTAATAAATACTCTTTTCATTCTTTAAATTTGGCTCAAAGAAAACTACAGCTGTCCATTCTTTTGTTGAAATAATCTTTCCCTTCAGGTAAGATTGTTAAGACTGTTGGTTATTCTGGCAAACCTAGATCAGAGTCTGTTTGTAGGGAAGCTTTACTTAAAAAAACATTAATGACTAAGTATATCCCATGCACTGAATATGCTGTTTTGGGCCCAAGGTTGGTTAGTGTTGCCCTCTCTCTTTCACCTCCTCCCCCTGACCCCCCACTGTATCTGGGTATATAGTCATGCAGTTCAACCTGATTTTAAATATGTAAATACTTAAATATTTATCTACTGAAGATCTGAAGACTCAAAGGAACTTTTAAAAAGTTTTTTTCGTGACAGTTTAACATGAGAATTATAGAATCACTATAGTGAAATGTTAGCATTTAATATGAATATATATCTGTATCACATAATGAGCTCAGAGTTGATCTCACTTGGTAGGCAGAGTAAGAGATGATTAAAAGCATTTTATTTCAGCTATGTACCTACACACATATGTTTGTGTGACCTGGGTAACCATATAAAATATACTCCTTACAGTGGGTTGCAGTAAAAAAAAGTTTGAAAGCCAGTGATTTACGAAAACAGCCACAGGTTCTTCCAATTGTGTGTCTGTGTACCCTGTAGTGGGTTGCTCCCTCAGGCGTAGAAGGGTGTAAGAAAGCCAGAGAGAAGGTGGCTAAAGATTTAATGTGCCACCTGTTGGTTAATAGGACTGTGATTGTGAGAAGTGTTTGCTGTCCAGCTTGAGATACATAGGACTTAGGTGAGGACTATGTGAAAGAAATTGCCTCCCATGAGTCATGGAATTAATTTATAACTGGAAAGCTTTCGAAAACAAGTTTCCTGTGTGTGTCAAATCTCGTCCATAATAAGAAATGGGAACCAGTTGTTGAAAACCTCTTGTTAGCATGGAATCTTTACTACAGAAATGTGGGTGAGAGTGGAGGGAGAAAGTGCTTTTCACAGAAAGAAGAACATCCTGTTCTCTGTAGGTGGAACACTCCTCATTTTACCTTTGTATTTAGGGCTTTATTTATATGATGACTTTTTTACTGCATTTAAGTACATATGTAAAAATAAAACATTGGGAAACAATTGTGCTAATTAACTCCTGGAGCTTCATTTGCTCATGATTACCTTTCTAAGGTTGCCATTGAAAACCTTACTGAAATGAAGAAGGTTTGACAGGGCATTAAATCTCCCCAGGGCGTGGAGGCACAGCAATTTACAGGCAAAGTTCGAGTGCCCTGGTAGAGAACCTTCAACCGGGAGGCTTTAGTTTTGTTTTTAGTTAACTTTGGAGATTATCATTTGCAAGTAAATTTGTAATTTCAGAATCTGTCAAATATAGTTAAAATTTTTTTTTGCTTTTAATTGTCATAAAATACACATAAGATAAAATTTTTCATCATAACCATTTTTCAGTGTACAGTTAAGTATTGTTAAGTACATTCATGTTGTGCAACCAATCTCCAGAATCATGTGGTTTTCAAGCTGGAAGGATATAATGTTTTTACCCTAGAATTTTAACAATACTTTGATGTTCTAAGTTTTTCCATTACTTTCAACAAGTTTCCTCTAAGTCATGATTCTTGGATTATGCAATAGAAATAGAAGGAAATCACTGGTAACCTGCTTACTGCTGTCCCTGTTCTGAATGTACTCCTTCTTTCTTGAATGTTCTTGGTCAACTTGGTACCTCCTGTAACTTTTTCTTTTTTCTTTTTTTTTTTTTTTTTGAGATGGAGTCTCGCTCTATCACCCAGGCTGGAGTGCAATGGTGCGATCTCCACTCACTGCAAGCTCCGCCTCCCGGGTTCACGCTATTCTCCTGCCTCAGCATCCCGAGTAGCTGGGACTACGGGCGCCCACCACCACGCCTGGCTGATTTTTTGTATTTTTAGTAGAGGCAGGGTTTCAGCATGTTAGCCAGGATGGTCTCGATCTCCTGACCTCGTGATCCGCCCGCCTCGGCCTCCCAAAGTGCTGGGATTACAGGCGTGAGCCACCGTGCTTGGCCCACCTCCTGTAACTTTTTAAAGGGGTGTTGACCTTTTATTTCAAGGACACACGTAATATCAGACTTAAGAGGGTATAGAAAGATCGAGCTTCTGTGGGCCTTCCACCTTGGAGAGGGGCATATCTTAGAAAAAAGAAATAAGATTCAATCATTCCATTTTATGTTCCATCTACAACTTTTAAAATAGTTTCAGTCCAGCTTAGGAACTGCTTTAAAAACAACTATGTTGGTGATTTAATCTTACCCTCAGTGAAAGATCTGTGTGGAAAAGTAGTTAATTGAATCTGTATTTCAGGGTTCTTTAAAACCCCGTTTCCTCCCACGGGTTGCTATCTGTGTCGCAGTTTGCATGCTGAAGCCTGAGTACTGACGTTCTCTGGTGTCGAACTGGAGAGTTGGCACTCGGGACTCAGGAGGGAATGTGGTGGACAGTGGAGGGCTGTGGGGCAGGGATCAAAGCTGAAATCCTTGCCTGTGGAGCTCTAATGAAGCTAGCGTCCTATATGTGAGGATCATGATTTTAATTTAAAAATTGATATGCGGTTTACATACCCCAGAGTGAGTAGCTAATGCAATACCTGTATTCTGGGTCAGAGAGGGAGTTTGGATTTTACTAAAAACGACATTGACCATGTGCCTTCAGGTCAGGTATTAAATGTAGCTGTTGTCTTATAATCCATTGCATATATCACACTCCTGTTTCTGAAGCTGATATAGAACCTGGTTGCGTATAGACATGATGGAATCTAAATACGGGGGACTCCTGAGTTACTGATATTTGACTTTGCAGTATTTACTTTCTGAATTGTTTTCTTCAGATGTTGTTAGATTTGATTATTCAGAGGTTAATGGCAAGAGAAAGTGATCCTAAGCACTTTAGCAAATGGGCCACAAGACACTCCGAACAATGATGTTCTTAGAACAGGAACTTGGGCAGAGCCTAGTTTGTATCCTTTACCTACAAAGGGCCATTTAGAAATGGAAGGGCTGCCTCATCTCTTCTTGCTTTGCTGTTTGAAATTTCCCTACCATAGGTTATCACTGTCTTCTGTCTGCCTTTACACTTGCACAGGGCTCCTTCCCTTACATCCATGGTCTCCTCTGTGCTTACATCTCTTCAGGATGGGCAGAAAGCCAAATGGACTTCACTGGGCAGAAAGGGAGCATTAGTGCCAACATCCTTCCCAGCAGACCCCAGCCTTGTCCTGCTTTCTCAGCTCTTTACCTAGAGGTTTAACTCACTTTCCCCCATCCATAACTGCAGTTACATGAGAGCTAACTTACCTGTGGATTTCTTTCTGTCTGTAGACTTGTTCTTAATCCTTTATGTGTCGAGTCATCGTTTTTATCTGTGAACTTTGTCTTTCCTTTATAGGGTTGGAGGTGACAGGGCTATGAGAGTGGAAATGTTATGTTGCTTCATAGCTTTTTTATATATTGTTTTATAGCTGTCTTGTAGACAGACTGTGGGGAGCCAGGACACAGCTCTGTTTGCTTGTGCCCAGAGGGAAGGAGTTAAGTTGCTGACCCTGAAGAGAGAGCTGGCCATGCAGCTGTGTGTGGGAGCGGCGGGAGCAGTTAGTGGAGACAGAGACAGTCTAAGACAACTGCTGAATAAAAATATCTTGTACCTGCCTGTGGCCCCCTGAGTGTTCTTTTACCTGTCTGCCACTCATCCACCCATTGCCTTCGGACCTCAGCATGGGCTGGATCCTGACCCTGGACCTGACAATATCCAACATCAAAAATGTGGAAGTTTGGGAAGAGGGAAAAACAACAATCTAGCTATGACACAGAACCCATTCTGTTAGCGCTTTGGTGTATTCCATTCTGTTTGTTTATTGGGTATTGTTGATCTTATACTGTCTCTTTACTTTTACTTATTTTTATTTTTCTCTTTTCATCAAAATATTTCCATGTGTTAAGACTCTTTAAAACATCTGAAATGGCTGCATAATGTTTCATCATGTGTCTGGACTAGACTGCGGGAAGGGAGGAGGAACCAGAGTGGGGGGAATCCTTTTAAGTAGTAAACATACCCTAGCAACAGGTGCCTTCCTCTGTAATTCATATATATTTTGTTGACTGATTCCCTAGTTATCTACTTTTGGAGTGGAGGACACTTTATTAACTTTAGATCTTTCATCTAGAAACAGATTATCAATCAGTGTAAACATACTTTTAAAAGGGGCCTCTTTGAAAAAAATTAGGGTTGTGATTTACTCTAGCTTAGCTGAATAAAAGAAGAAATTAAGTTTGCTACCTAATTTCATGCAGATTGAAAGCAGAAAGAGTGCAGTTGTTGGTGTTTAAAATGAAGTTTGATTAAAATTAAAAATTGAGAGCATTCTAAAAATAGAATCCCTTATGAAGCACCTCTTACAGTAATTATGCTTAAACAGGAAAAGTAAACACAAATAACTTTAAGTTGCTCTTGGAGCTTACAGAGCAGAATACACGTAAATTGGAACCTGAATATGACTTTCCCCCTGTATAGTGAAAAAAGTTAGAGAGGAGGCAAAAATACATCCAGTAAGTTTGAGGCAATCAGGTTGCTTCAGTCTGAAGATCAGGTGACTCTTTTGTTGGCCTCTTTGCCCTGTTGTTCATCTTAGCTGCACAGCATCCTGCTTTTGGGGCCAGGGCTTGTGTCTGCTTGACCTCCTCCGCCAAGAAAGTAAGAGGCAACATCACATCTGATAAGTCATTGGTGGGAGGCCAGTAGAGAAGACTGTGGGAGCAGGGTTTTGGAATTGTCAAGTGGTGGTATTACACATTGGGATAGCATTTTAATTTGCTGTTTTCTGTTAACACCAGTAAATGTGCTTTGAGTTGGTAACAGATGTTTAGATAAATAAATGTATGTATGTAGGTATGTATGTAGGTATAGTATACGTTTAGTGTCAATTACAGGATTTCCACTTGTCACTGTCCAGGTAAAATGTTTGTATATACAAAAATTGACTGTACTTAGGGTTCTAAACAGTGGTGATGGCAGGTTGTTACACTGGCAGAAGCCCTTAGAAATTCTGTACCCATTTGGGAAAGGACTCTGGTCCCAAGAAGCTAATAACAGTTGAATAGTTCCAGTTTAGCTCTTCCAGACTCCCAGGTGTGGGAAATGGGACCTAACCCTCACGGCTCAAGCCGGTGAATGAAATAGCCCATGTCCAAAAGATGCTTGATGGGAAATGCCTGGGAATTTTCCAGGAGAAGGATTTTCTTTCTCACACATCCTGTTTTCCCTTCTGACCAGGAGGAACCTTGGGTAAGAGGGTTCTCTCTTGGTATGTAGAGAATTCTATTAGGGTCCCACTGGCCTTGCTTTGTGACAGGCACTCTGCCACGTCCTAGGGATGTGGGTGAAAAGTATATAATCCTGTCCCTTGAAAAGCTTACGGTCTAGTAGGGGAGACCCACATTCATGTACATAGTAATACTAAAATTTCCAAATTTCTTGAGTGCTCAACAATAACAATAGGTAACATTCACCAAGCACTTGTTACATAGCAGGTGCTGTTCTAAGCTCTTTATATAATTTTACATTAGTGGTTGATCCTTTGGGAACTTGTTAGAATTGGAGACTCTGAGGCTTCACCCCAGACCTACTGAACCAAAATCCATGGGTTGGAGCCCAGCAATCTTTTAAATAAGCTCTTTAGGTGTCTCTGATGTCTGATGCATGCTGAAGTTTGGGAATCACAATTTTAAGTCATTTAGTTTTTACAACAACCTTAAAAGTAGATTTTATTTCACTCATTTAAAGAGGTAGAAACAGAGGGACAAAGAAGTTAAATAACTTGTCCAAGGACACAACTTTTAAGTGGTGCTGATGAGCTTTGAATCCAAGCAAGGTGAACCCAGAGCTCCACTCTTACCAGTGATGCAAGGCTGCCTCCCGGGAGGAGAGGATGCAGTGCACAGAGGAAGGAACTGGAAACTCTGGAAGGTGAAGAGCGTTAAGGAAGGTATTAAAAGGGCTAGATTTTTTTCCTTTATAAACATTTAATGATAATTAGCTACACAGAATGCATCATGTTGGACACTGGACATTTATAAGTATGAGCACAATATAGATCCTATCTTTAAGATTCATGTAATGAATCAGGGGAAATTCAAATGTAAATAAGAATCTGGAATCCAAAATGCTTTAGAAACACATAAATTCTAACAGGAGATTTGAGCATATGAATGTATTTTTACAATCTATATGAAAATTTAAACATGAGTAGAAAGGCATTCTAGGCGGAGAGAGTGTTATGTGCAAGATTCAGATATTTGAAACAACACTTTACACTTATGGATTTACTAGTACTTTTGTATATTTGGCCTTTAGCATCAGTTTTCTGGAGTCAAGCATTGTCCAGATTATTTATAGATTGAAAATTCCCAATTTAAAAGGAGTTAGTGAAACTAATTGCTCCTTTTTCATTTGCTTTTTTTAACCACTTTATTAAGGTATGATTGACATACAAAAAGCTGTACATATGTAATGTATACAACTTGAGTTTGGAAATAAACTTTGCCACGAACCTATCCATTACCTGCAAAAGTTTCCTCTCATCCTCTTTAATATTTTTTTTGTGGTAAGAGCACTTAACGTAAGATCTACTCTCTCAGCAGACTTTTTAAGTGTGCAATACAGTGTTGTTAACCATAGGTGCTTTGCTTTATAGTGTATCTTGTATAATTAGAACTTTGTACCCTTTACTAGTACTTCTACTTTTTGTTTTAATCTTAGGCCAAAACAACTTCTAGCTACCATTTCTTGCTTTTATGTAACCTAAGTAGAGATGGAATTGTGCCTTAAATAGTTTGGGAGGAAATAGTCTTAAATTGCAATGGGAGATAATTTTGATTCAAAATTAAGAGTTCTTACTAATAACTGGTTAAGCACTAGAATATATTGCCTGGGAGATTATACAGCTCTTCCTGTTCTTTAAAGTTTGATAATCGAGACCAGGATTGGCCAACCTTTTCTGTAAAGGTCCAGATAGTGAATACTTTTGGCTTTGATGGCCATTATGTAACTCTGCTGTTGTAGCAGTAAAGCAGCCAGAGTTGATATGTAAACACACAGTGTTCCAATAAAACTTTATTTATGAAACAGGTGGCAACCGGGTTTGGTCTGTGGACTCCTAATCTCCATCCCCACTGTCTCACATCGTTTAGAGGAAGGCCTGGTGACCCCCGGAGGTCCATTCTGCTGCTACATTTCTGAAGCTCTTCATATATCCTAGTTGAGTAATTGAAAAATAAAAAGTGGAACAAGTATCCTGAATTCTTCCTTTCATCAGAAGACCCTACACTATCACACCTTTATTGTTCTGCAGCTTTCAAAAATCTATGTACAAATTGAAAAGACACATTTAAGACAGTAGTTTATATCCAGATGCCAAAGAAGGGAAGAAAGGTGGCTACTCCAAGGTTTATTTCTTTCACTCATTTCTGACCTGTGAGTAATGTGGGAATTGAAAAGAGAACATTTTTCCTGTTGACGACCCCACACAATTTCCATGTTTTTCACTACAAAGGAATAATTGGTATTCAAGTGGATCATTAAGTTTTCAAACAAGCTCATAAATCATTCAGTATATAAAATTTAGCCAGGTGCGGTGACTCATATAATCCCAGTACTTTGGAAGCCTGTGGTGCAAGGATTGCTTGATCTCAGGAGTTTGAGACTAGCCTGGGCAACATAGTGAGACGTCGTCTCTACTAAAAATAAAAAATTAGCCAGGCATGGTGGTGTGCACCTGTAGTCCCAGCTACTTGTGGTCTGAGGTGGAAGGATCGCTTGAGTCTGGGAAATAAAGGCTGCAGTGAGCCATGATTGTGCCACTGCACTCCAGCCTGGGAGACAGAGCAAGACCCTGTCTTTAAAAAATTACATATATTTATAATTTATAGAGTCATATCTACTCCCTCTGTGTATACTCAGCTAGCTCTGTATGCACACTCTGCACTCTCTATGCATGACCACTTAAGGCAGGGATGGAAATGAGGGGAAAGGATAGGTGGTGATTGGAGTGGGGCAGTGGTGGCGATGGGTTTCATAGCTTTTGAGGTGGTAATATCATGCTTTACCACTTGGCAGGTTATCAGACAGTGTGATGTTGGAAATAAATCACTATTGGCTAGTCAGCGGTTAGCTCCTTCTCCACACTGATGGTCCTAGATCTATAGAAGGCATGACTCCCTCTGGTGGGTTAGGTTGGTTGAAAAGAGATGGCATATACCTGCAAATGGGGCCAGGAGGCACTATATTTCAGTGGCAAATATGGAAAGTGCTAGAATGTTTGGGGGAAGAGATTAATCATGGGAGGCTCAGGGCTTGGTTGGACTTCATGCAGCGTTTGTGTGGATTGACTGTAGGGCAGAATGTAGAAATACAGGAAAGTGCACAGAGCAGAGATCATGGCAAGGGCTCAGGCATGGAGGGGGAATGCATGTGGTTTGTCTCATAAAAAGGAGACAACCTGCCTGGCTGAAGCAGAGTGTCTGTAGAGAAGTGCAGCAGGAACTTTGTAGACAGGTAAGGAAGGTGTGGATCACTAGGTTAAAGACTTGGAACACTGTGAGCACTCAGGGAGAGTAAACTTACAAATATATGTTTGTTGTGTTAAAAATAAGGTGACATGTAGGGAGGTGTTTTCGGGAGATTAATTCGTGCGAAGATGCCAGAGACCTGAGTGGGCAGGGCAGCCATGAGAGTCATTCTGTTGTGCAGCCCAAGGAAGTTATGGAGGGGCGGTGCAGCTTTCAGAAAAGAAATAAATGTTGTATTTTGAGATAATATTTGAATAATTTTTGAGACCACATTTGTGGGGAGGAAGAAGGTCATTATTCTTTTTTTAAAGAACCTTTTTATTTTGAAGTAATTTTAGACTTAAAAGTTGCAAAACTAGTACAAAGGGAGTTCACTTATAAGCATCACTCAGCTTCTCCAAATGTTAACATTTCTACATAACCACAGCACAATTGTCAAAACCAGCACTTATCCACACGATTAACTAAAATATAGACCTCATTCACATGTGCCATGTGTCCTGCTAAGTTCCTTATTCTAGTCCAGGATCACATAATGCCTTTAATTGTCTGGCTCCTTTGGTCTCCTCTCATCTGGGATAGCTCCTTAGTTTTTATTGGTCCCTGTTAACCTTGACAATTTTAGCAAAGTACAGGCCAGTTACTTTGAAGAATGCCCCTCAATTTGAGTTTGTCTGATATTTTGTCATTATATTCAGGTATGCATTTTGACAAAAACAGCATAAAAGTGCCTTTCTCTGTTCATCATATCAGGAGGCAGATGTCAACATGTCTCATGATAGGCGATAATTTTTATCATTTGTTTAAAGTGGTGTGAGCTAAACTCCACTGTACAGTTGTTATTTTTTCCTGTGTACTTACTAAGTATTTCGGCGGGAGATACTTTGATACTTATGCAAATATCCTATGTCTCATCATAGGTTTGTCCACTGATGTTAGCATCTGTTGATGATTTTTGCCTGCAACATTTATTACTATGGTGTTTGCCTAAGGTGGTTTTCTGTTTTCTTCTTTTTACTGCATTTAGTAATTAAAATAATCCCATGAGGAAGGGCTGTCCTTTCTTCCTGATCCTCATTTATTTATTTATTCAATTGCTTGTATCAGTATGGACTCATGGTTATTCATTTTATGAATTATAATTCAATAATTCATTTATTTGCTGTTCAAATCATCCCAGATTTGGCCAGTGGGAGCTTCTTCACGTTGGTTGCTGTAGGGAGGGTCCATCTTGGAGTCCAGGTATGACTGGATGAGTTCTTGTTAATAAAACTAGGAAATTCAGTGACAAGTGGAGATAAGTAAGCTCGCTAATTAAGCCATTTTTCCTAATTCTTTAGTTACTTAATTCTCAAATTTTAAAGGTTTCTCTGTGATTGCATTAACCAGGGAGGCCCATATTGGTAGGCAAAACTATTCTCTTGTTTGTAAACACAGCCCAAAAGAAATATTCCCAAGAACTAAATAAAATCAAATTGATGAAGCTTTGGGGTTTGTTTCTGTTGTATCTGTTGTGTATATTTTCCCAGAAGCTGTTGGTTCTTGCTGATTTATCTCCCTTGCAGTGAAAGGTTTGTGAAATGTTTATAAGTCCTCCTTGAACCCACTTTCATTTTCTACTTAGCTTTTAAGTAGGGAAACATGTTTCTACTAGAATAGTGCCCTTTAACAATGGGAAGTCAAAATTAAGTATAATGCCATGGATGCCATTAAAAGGGTAGACTCTTTCTGAAGGTATGTGGGTACTACGCTACTGTGCAGACATGAAGATACTTCAGCTTAGGGCTATGTCTAGATATGGAAAACACATACAACATGAGCAGGTGCAGGACAGGATTTGCTGAAACAGTGGCTTTTTGTTCTACACAAGCCACTTGGAGGTTCAGCCACGGATCCCCATGCTATTGGTAAATGACAGTACCTCTTCTTCATTCAGCAAGGCATGTGCAGGAGGCGATGTCTGAGCAGTGCTCCAAGCCCCATAGCTAAAGTGGATGAGGAGAGGTTCAATTTGCCATTCTCAATCACTTATTTTTACAGTTCTCCTGAAACCTGGCTGCACCTTAGAACCACCTGGGAAATTTGAGGAAAGACTGCCCAGGTCTCCTCGTAGAGATTCTAATTCAGTATGTTTGGGGTGGGTCCTTAGTACCTGTTTTATTTGTTTTTCTTCAGCTTCCCAGATGGTTCTAT
This sequence comes from Homo sapiens, assembly GCF_000001405.40. Lineage (NCBI taxonomy): Eukaryota > Metazoa > Chordata > Mammalia > Primates > Hominidae > Homo > Homo sapiens. The sequence goes on along the minus strand of NC_000007.14, from coordinate 22,322,721 downwards.
TTACATCGAGGGTTGAGAACTGCTGGGTCTAGCCGATACTATTTGTGACTTCTTACTGCAGTTAGATGCACTTTTTTGTCACATTACTCTTAAATGATCACATTCTATATTAAGAGACATGTATGGGACAATAACTGCAGCTAGGTTGCAAACGGGCAGATTTCTTAACCTTTTTAAGTCTAGTTTTGTCATCTACAAAATAGGATTAATTATAATACCTACCTCATAGTTTTTCAAGTATTAAGTAATGTGATGCATGCAAAATATTTAATATAGGCTGGGTGCGGTAGCTCACACCGGTAATCCCAGCACTCTGGGAGGCTGAGGCGAGCGGATTGCTTGAGCCCAGGAGTTTGAGACCAGCTTGGGCAATAGGGCGAAATCCTGTCTCTCCAAAAAAAAAAGAAATACAAAAGTCAGCTGGACATGGTGGTGGTGTGTGCCTGTAGTCCCAGCTACTCAGGAGGCTGAGGTGGGAGGATGAATTGAGCCTGGGAGGTCAAGGCTGCAGTGAGCTGGGCTTGTGCTACTGCACTCCAGCCTGGACGACATGGTGAGAACCTGTCTCAAAAAAAAAAAAGAAAAAGAAAAAGAAAAAACCCCAAAAACTTGGTGTAGTCTCCGGCACACAGCAGAAACTCAGTTACTATTACTTAATAATGTGCAGCATGTTATCATAGAGTGATGTGATCCACCGCACCTGACCCATTATCCCCAACTTTGACGACTGGATAATTCTCAAGGCCGTAATCTGGCTGGGATTCGGTCCTTGTAATCTTGACCAAGCTTTGGTTGAGATGTAAGTTTATTTGGGGGCTGAAGAAGGGCCCACAGGTTCTTCTTGTGTTAAAAATCCACTGGGCAGCTTAATAGATCATAGCCTTTATTATTTTATTGTATAATCGCTTTACATATGTGCCTGCTAGTTATGTGGCTTTTTATCTTCCTGGGTTTGTAAGAAATTCAAGTGTATTTATTCCATTGTTTCATCTTCATATTCTGCCTGGTCACCCAGAATAGGAAAAGGGACAGTGGCTGAAGTTGGCAGAAAGTTGTGTCATGAACTTAATTCTTGCATTATCAATAAATTTGGTAGTTCTTGTTAGTTCATGTTAGTAAAAGGGCAGGTAGTGCTTCTGTAGTGACTGAAGTGATTCAGTCTTTTTCCTTTATTTCTCTCACCCCTTAGTAGCCTAAGTACTTTAACTGAGTCTAAGGATAGTATTAAGGCATCTCCTTTAAAAACTGATGGAAACTGTGCCTATCTCTTTTAAGGACTAATGAAAAATATGCCTTAAGTCTATTACACTGTTTAGCAAGATATTTTTAGCAACTCTGGAATGAGTTCCATGCCTGCTTCAGACTCAGTTTCATGAACTATTACACTTTAATTTTAATATATACCTGACTTAAAAATGTAATATATGGTTGCTAACCAATTATTTCTGGAGTTACTCCATTTTTTTTTCTGGAAGTCCATTTGTGAATATTAAAGGATTGCAATTTCCTAGTTTACATTTAAAATATGTGGTTTGCCTGTAATTAGTTAGGGAAACATTTTCCATGGTTCATTAAAATGGAAAGGAGAAATACATTTGACTTAAAAATCTATTTTCATTTATGTTATTAGTATTTTCATCTCTCTGGGTTATATATGTCTTTCATGAAAGAATCTTTGCATCCAACTTAAGTAATTCTAGGAAATCTAAAATACATAGGATAAAGGAATCATCACTTTGGGCATTATATTTATGAGAGATTACGGTGGGAGCCATTTAAGAGAGGATACCCTGCATCGAGTGACCAGCCATCTAAGATTGCAGAGAAAATTGATAAGGAGATTAGGATCAAGAAAAAGAATTCATGGGCTTAATAGGTTCTTTAGATCCTATGCCTTCTGGCAAATGGGTTTTCTAAATTAAGGATGGTATCTTGTCCGTGTGTGTTTCTGGAAGTTCCCACAGTGCTGGGTGCTCAGCTGAGTAAGTGCTTCAAAAATGAAATGAATGGAAGTAAGTTGCCACAGGAGTGATGAGATGAAGCCCTGGGATGCTGAGAGGAAAAACAAAACCAAGGGATTCCAAGATGGGATGAAAACAGCTGAGTGATTGTATATCAGGGAAAGAATGTTAAAATGGAAAGAGGGGGGTGCATTTTCAAGGGTGCTTTTGCGGTACTCTTGCTGATAAATGCTGGGAGGGCAGTTCTTGAGTGATTTACAGCAGCAATAAGATGGCCCATGGTGTTTCTCTGATAAAATTAAGTAACAGTCCTTTCCCAGTACCTGCTAAAAATGAGGTAATGGATGGAATATTCCCCATGTTCTTTTCCTTTAAGCCTTTGGCCCTTGCTATTTTGGGTCAGTACTGAAAACTAACATAAAGTGGTCTCTGCGGAAGTACAGTTATGATCATCGTTTTAAGTTTAGGGAGTCAGTGCTTGACTGAGTTCCACAAAGCTCTCTGGCTCCCCATGCTCAGCTAACAAGTTTGAGAACAGCTGTCCTAGAGTGTTAATGAAACAAAGCTCTCCTGGGACCAGTGAAGAGAGGGTTTCAAGGGAGTTCCTGACAGCCAACCTAGGAATTGTGTCCTGTAAAAGACAGTTATTATGTTGAGCTTGTTGAGTTCCTGGGGCCAGTAGCTTATCTAACGCTGCTATCTATTCAGTATAGAAGAACCCCATTGCTTTATTTACTCACCTTACCTACCTTTTGAAGCAAGCCATCCATGGGGGAGGTTTCTGTTAAGTGGAATTGTGTGAGTGTAACACGAGTGTGTAGACAGCCAGATTCCGGTTGGCAATGGCCAGGAAGGCAAGTGGCTTGTTTTCTTTTGTGAAAATGCCCCTGCCCACGTTTTTTTTTTTTAGACCTTGTTTCTGCTTAAAAGCTTTTTCTTTAACTAGATTATATAAACTATTTTGCTTCTCTTAGCTGATTCAGGCAATTAGATGAGTAATAAAGACTGTCATTTCTGGTCTGCCATAGTGATTTTAAAAGTCTACCTGTTTGGAGAAAAAAATAAATTATGATGATTCATCTTCATATAATCTGGTGCATTTAAAACTTTTAAATTGTTCAGTATATCAATAAGGGACTATATTACATAGGCTCATGGTACATGAGGCCTAGGCGGGGCTGATTGGTAGTATATTTAGACAAGACCAGAAGGCTGGGAATTAAAAATGGGCTCTCTACCTTATAAAATTTATTTTCTTTGAATCAAGCTACACATCTTTAACAGGGTATCAATTGGCATTTCTGGATAAAGAGTTGATACATTTTATTTTAGTTTAATTAGGAGTAATGTGAGGGCCATGTGGCCTGGGGAAGGGGCAGAATGGGAATTCTCTTTTTAGACTAAAGTTTAGTAGAAGGTTCAGATGCTGGAAAGTGATGACTGGTAGGGCATGTTTTGTACATTTAGCAAATTTTTCTCAGACATGGAGGCGGCAGGCTGAAAACTATAGGATCTCAAAAGATAGCAAGACTTAGAATAGAGATGGAAAGAGCCTTTAAACATAGGTTGGAAGTTCAATAAATGTTAGTTTCTCTGTTCTTTTTTTAATACTGCAATAGGAAATGATAATAGTTCTGTATTGTGCTTAAGCGTATGTAGGTGATGGTGCTGTTTCCTGGATCATTAGGCAGGAAAAATTAGCTCCTACAATTCAAATCATTCAGCAAATAATATTAAGTTCATACAGTTATATAAATATCTAAATAAATGAATAGAAAAAATAAACATCTTTGTGCACAATTGTGTGCTGGATGCCATGAAAGCAAAGCAGTATAAGCTGCCAGCCCTCCCTCAAGGAGCTTATGGATTCCTTGGGGCAAATGGACACACAGAAAAACAGTCAACAATGCTGAGCACCCAGGTGCTGCACCTGAATAGTAGCAAAAACAGAGCTCTAAAGAGGAGCGTACCCCAGCAGGAGGAACTTCATGCAGGAGCCGACTCCACAAAACTGGACTTCGAGTCTGGTGGGATTCTGGGAAGCATTGAGGAAGATGGAAGGCTTTTAACATGAAGACTGACGTGACTAAAGGCAGGGTTATGAGTGGCAAGTTCTTCTGACAAGTAGGTCTTGCTAAACTGAAGGAGCTTTGCTGGGAGTTGGAAAGAGAATACTGGAAATCTGTTGGAGGCAGACTGTGGTGAGCTGAGGGGGCATGGATTAACTCGGATAAGCAATAAGGGATCCTCTATAAGTCAAAGGGGTGATTTAGGGAGATTTGCTTAGTTGTGGTTTGAAGGATGGCCTAAAGGGGATGTGACCTAGAGAGCAGGAAAATCCACTGGGAAGCTGAAGCAGGTAGTTGAGTGTATAGTGATGAAGGCCTGAGTTAGGGTGAGGAAAAGGAAAGGAGAAATGGAATCCAAAACACATCAAGAATAAAGTGACTGGTCCAAGAAAATCCCAGTCTTTCTACTGTACTTCTCTTGGGAGCCATTGAAGTGGAATATCCTGTCCTGTTGTTACAAATGTTGACCAGATATTTACATTGAGTGAAAATAAGGATGCTAAGCCCTTAGGGACCATGATTTGAGATTTAAGCTCATTTTTTTTTTTTTTTTCATAGCAGAGGCCTGCCCTGGCCACTGTTGCTTATGTTTTCATTTTTTGGTACAAAAGTTTATTTGGTTCTAACTATTTTTTTTTTCTTTGTTTAAAATAGACTCTATCAAGAAGAATATCTAATCCGTACCTTGAACATACGCCTTCCCAGGTATGATTCCTTTCTCTTTTACTGCCTTTTCTGAAATAGTGATTGACAAATTCTGATGTACAATTATCAAGTTACAGTTGTTCCCTTTGCTCCTGACCACATAGAGTTTTGCAGGGATGCTGCAGTGATCACATTATCTTCACCACCTGGGATGACACAGCAAAAGTGTTTGAGATGCTCTGATCATTGTCATGATTCAAGATGTTCACGAACTAGGGAAAAAAATTATTTTCCCATCTTCCAGGTTCTTTACATGAATGAATTAATGTGGCAGAGCATGTATATAATATAAATACGATATAAATATAATATAGCTATTGTTAAAAACACTGTATTTTACAAATAGCATATATTTTACACTGAGTTTTGTGTAAAAGGAGATTTACTTCCTTGTTATTTATCATTGTGTTGCAGTAAAGAATCAGTCAATAAAGAGTTGCATTTTTTGGCTGGGCATGGTGGCTCACGCCTGTAATCCCTGCACTTTGGGAGGCTGAGGTGGGCAGATCACGAGGTCAGGAGATTGAGACCATCCTGGCCAACACGGTGAAACCCCATCTCTACTGAAAATACAAAAAATTAGCCGGGCGTGGTGGTGGGCACCTGTAGTCCCAGCTACTTGGGAAGCTGAGGCAGGAGAATGGCGTGAACCCAGGAGGCGGAGCTTGCAGTGAGCTGAGATCGCACCACTGCACTCCAGCCTGGGCAACAGAGCAAGACTCCATCTCAAAAAAAAAAAAAAAAGAAAAAAAAAGTTGCATTTTTTAGGCTAACAGGAGACTGTGAGCTTTGTGAGGGCTGGGACCTTCTCTACCTTCTCCACCGCTGTATCCCCACCATCAGGAATAGATCTGACACTTGACAGTTGCTCATTATGTACTTTTTGAATGACTGAGTGAATGAACATTGTATGCTTTCAGGACTAGTCAAGTGTCAGCTTACTCACACCGCTTCCTCGGTAATACTTTCTGTCATCTGGCTTGTTGAAGCTTTGTTTTTTTTTTTTTTTTAAATAGTTTTAACATGTTAAAAAATAATTTGCTTCCCTTCCTACTTCCTTATCAGCTTGTATTTAGGAGATGATATCAGGAAAATTAAAGAAGTATAAGGATGGGGTTGATGTTCCTGGTCAAATCATAATCATTATATTATCAATTTGTTTGCCTTGAGAGAAGATGTCAAATTTTTCGGCCAGGTGCAGTTGCTCACACCTGTAATTCCAGCTCTTTGGAAGGCTGAGGTGGGCAGATTGTGTGAGCCCAGGAGTTCAAGACCAGCCTGAGCAGCACAGGGAGACCTGTCTCTACAAAAAAAAACAAAAAACAAATATTAGCTGGGCTTGATGGTGTGTGCTTGTAGTTCCAGCTACTTAGGAGGCTGAGGTGGGAGGATCGACTGAGCTTGGGAAGCCTAGGCTGCAGTGAGCCATGATCTTTCCACTGAACTCCAGCTTGGGTGACACAGCAAGACCCTGCCTCAAAAAAAAAAAAAAAAAAATATATATATATATATATATATATATATATGTCTATGTATACATACACGTGTGTATATGTATATATGTGTGTGTATGTATATATATATATAGTAGATACACATTTAATCTATCTATCTATCTATCTATCTATCTATCTATATAGTAGATACATAAAAAATTTACTAAGAAAAAAGTAAAACTATGTAGGCATGTACCCCCAGTAATATATTAATTTTCATAAACCTTATGAAGACAGCTTATTTTCATTTAGCCCCCTTTGCTTGTGAAACAGCATTGTGCTTTGGGGGAAGGTGCTGGTTATAGAGAAGGAGGTAGTATTATAAAGTAGGACCTAGCCCCCTCTAGATCTAAGAACTACCCTTCTTCATCCTCCAAGAACCAGAGACTCATATGGGGGAATTAGAATATTTAAAAAAATAAGTTAAATGAAATTTTTATCTGATAGTTGGAATTATGAAGTAGATGAAACCGGATGCTTGGAATTGACTTTGAACTCTGCAGTTGAATGAAGCTTAAGAGTAAAGCAGCCTGCTGTCAAATTGTGTCATGGTTCGAGATGTTCACTAGATAGGGAAGAAAATTGTTTTTCCATCTTCCAAGACCTGTGTATGTTTGCATTATCAATATGCAGACTTAATGCATAATATAAAGTCTTCAATTTGCTGTATTGATATAAATATTATATTTAAAAAATAGTGGATGTTTTACACTGAAAACTTTGTGTAAAAGAAAATTATTTATAACTGTAGTTAAATAAAGCAGGTTAGCATTTGGAGAATAGTTACAGCTTAGCAGCATAAGTGGACCAGTAGCTAAAATAAAGTAAGATAGTTGTAGGTTTATAGCTGTATTGGCTAAAATATGTCTCAACCTTATGGACTTGGTTATGATTTTATATATAAATATATGAATATATATAAATATATATATATATATATATAGTATGCTATTGGTAGTTCACAAATTGTCACATTATTGTTCTATATTTACAGTGACTGTCTTTTCCATTTAGATTTATGGAGAGAATTCTTCTTGTGCAGGAAGAGCATTGAGGAATATTATTATCGTTCAAGCAGCTGACCTGATAAAGGACAGAGTGAACCTCAAGGGGTTTTACAGGTAACACAGTTTTCTAACACCTTGTCAGAAATTCTCTTTGAGGAAAAAAAACCACCCTGTGTTAAAATTGTAACCTTGATCAAAGAGAGGTGGACAATATCAGTAGTAGGAGGGTTTGTTTGTTCTATTGGGGAAACTGATGGTGACTTTTCATTAAACTTAGTCATGCATTTGTTTACAGTTTGACTCCTGTTCTGAAGTTAGGGTATGGAATTTCCAGCCCCAAGTGTGGATGGGCTCCTGAGAGAGTCTCTGCTCTGCTTCCTCTGAGATGTGATATTTTGCAGCGGGTGAGGGGGTGGTGCTACATTAGGGTCTTTAATAAATATAGATCCCCTCTTTAGGGGCCTTATTGAGGCCCTGAAAGGATGTCTTGGGCAGAGACATGCTCTAACTCTCCAGGTGAGAGTGGGCCTCCTCCTTGAGTGCATAAGGAGCAGGGAGAGACAGGTTGGCATAGGGATGGCAGGTGTCTACCTTGACAGAGATATGAGAGTAAACAGGTAGGTAAATGGCCAGTTTTAAAGTACAGCTGGACCAAGGGCATGGTCACTTAGAAAACTTGATGTGCATGTTTTCATTTTATGGAACAATTTAAAGAAAAAACCAAAAGTAAATTATTAGCTTTTTGTTTTGCCAGATAAAGATATTAAGCCACACCAAATGATACCAAAACTATGAAAGAAAACAAAAAGAAAAACCACTACCATTTGTTATCACTATTCTATTTCAAAGAAATGACGTGCAATACCCATCAAGAGTAAGAAGAGGACTCAGGATTCATGACACCCAAAAAGTAGGAAGTTCTCAGAATAAAGGATATTCCTTTATGTTAAATAAACTTAGCTTTATGATAAACTCATTATAATATTTCTGTTTTTTCTGTTTGCTGGAGATGGAAAAAATTTTATCATGGCTTGGGTTTTTGGGATAGTAATTCCCAGACTATCAGAGTGAGACCACCGACCCCCTTTGTACTGAGGCATAATTTTTCTATAGTAAAATGCGCAAATCTTAAATGTACACCTTGAACTTTTATTTATTACACACCTGTGTAATCATTATCCATTTAGCCACTATCCAGATATAGTGGATTTTCATACCTCAGAAGGTTCCTTCCTGCTTCTCTTCAGCCAGTAACCATTCCCTGCAACCATTTTTTTAACATCACAAAATTGGCAGAATCTATATTCTTCTGAGCCATTAATTGAGCAAATCCATAGTGTGGTGAGAAACCCCAGTGAATTAACACTTTAATTAAGCACATTTAATCAATCACATTAACATTTACATAGGTTTTGAAAAATATGCCATAGGCTAGACATGCGTATTCTGTTTACAAACAATGCCTTTGTGTGTATGGACTCACGGAGCTCTTTAAAAAGCTCCAAGATCTGCTGTTTTCCTCCCATTAGGGATTCATTCATAGCCCAAGGTCTGAGAACCATGAGGTTAGAGCCCAGACCAAGTAGACAGGACAGGGAGTAAAAGGGCTGTGGTGGTTGGACTACTTCACATAGAAACTCACTTTAAAAAATAAATGATGGCATCACCTTTAGAAACATCTGACTTCTCCTTTTTAAAAAAACTAAATTTATATGTGTAAGTCTTTGAGTAGAGTCGTGAGCAAGCTCACAGTATTCATTTTATTTACATGAGGCCATGTGTAACATCAATCATTATTCTCATTTTTTCCTCCTTTATTGGATCTCCATGGATAGAGATTGAAAAAGGATTGGGAGATGAACATTAATCAGGTTCATGGAAAAAAATCCATCTATCCAAATTAGAACAGATTTAGGGTTTAACGGGAATAGAATGGGGAGAGAGCATGTGTTTTCCTGTGATCTGGCCAGGACCACCATTCTTTTCTAATCTAAGGACTCATTAATATTCTGGGTTTAAACATGAAGTGCTCATGTGATTACCTAGGGATGAATCATTTTCATTTTTCTGGTAGTAAATTGAGGTAAAGTATTCCCCACATACCACGTGAGAACTCACTTTCAAAACTTTGAAATGCTTTCTATTCACTTTATACTGTAGGAAGAATCACACTGGTTTCTGAGACGTCATTTCTTTGCATGAATACGTCACTAAAATACCATCACCTGATTTATTTTAAAGATTATTGTAGCATTACTATGAATTAATTGCTAAAAATCTAACTAGAGACAGGAGGATGCTAAGATAAATCAAATTTTCAACTCTGGAGATTGGGTAAATTCATGTTTTGTTAAGCAGTCACATGGGCTTTGAGCTGATCACCTCCATATCACATTATTCCTACCTAGTATTGAAACTGGAGTCAGATCTGCATGTACTTGGAGCAGTTTCTGGATTGAGTACAAGACTGAAAATACACTGTGGGTAGGAACTGCTGTCTGTGTTTAGATTGTTCTGTTCCAACCATCTCTCTTTTCTTCCTCACTGCTCTCCCCTAAGTCCTGTGGATTTAGGTATTTTAACCATATTGTAGCAGACATGGGGACAAGGCATTAAATGCAGAGACAACACCACCTCATTTTGTATGCTTTGGTGATATTAATGATAGTGTTTACTTTTACTCCCATGTTTGCCCTGGGGTAGGTGGATCCTTATATGTGATTTAAAACATAACTTGATAAAGTCAGTGGGGGAAATAGAAAGGGATCATATGCAACAGAAATGGTAGTTTGCTCTGAGAGCGGGGCTCAGTTTTTAATTAATATTGTTACGACAGTACTGTGTTCTAGCATATTGAGTCAGAGCCCTGCCTCCCCAAAACAGAGTGAGCTCTTCCCAATGAGAAGGGGGATCTGGGGGATTGGGGCTTTGTGGTCACCAGCATCACCTGAGAGCCTGTTAGGAATGTGGAATCTGGCCAGGCGTGGTGGCTCATGCCTGTAATCCCAGCACTTTGGGAGGCCGAAGCTGGTGGATCACCTGAGGCCAGGAGTTCGAGACCAACCTGGCCAACATGATGAAACCCCAGCTCTACTAAAAATATAAGAATTAGCTGGGCGTGGTGGCAGACGCCTGTAATCCTAGCTACTTGGGGGGCTGAGGCAGGAGAATCGCTTGAACCCGGGAGGCAGAGTTTGCAGTGAGCCGAGATCGCACTATTGCACTCCAGCCTGGGCGACGTGAGTGAAACTCAGTCTCAAAAAAAAAAAAAGGAATGTGGAATCTGAGGTCCCACCCAGTCTTACCGCATCAGAATCTATACTTTAAGAAGATCACCCAGGTGACTCCTAAGCAGAGTTTTGAGAAGCCTTGTTCTAAGAAGCTTCTTCCATATCACCTGTGAACAAACAAGCAGCTGTATCCATCTAGCTACCTTTGCAGTTTGACAGTTTAGTTTGTTTAGTAAATGCTTTATTGTGTTCTTTCATAGTCCAGGTGATGTCAGACACTCAGAGCAGACTGAGGACCTGCATTGTTTTGAGAATATGAATTAAGATGGTACAGTATTTAATCCATGAGATAAAAGTGCTTTCAAAGCCCTGAGATGCTGACTAATTGGCAGAGGTGTTGAGGAATTAATTAGTTAATTAACACTTTGAACCTTTAACATGAAAGATATCCTATAGAATTAGAAGTTAAGTCTTGACTGTTTGGTCTAATTGCCTGTTTTATTGCCATCTGTTTTCTCATTTTCTCTAAAAAAAGAAATCCATATATTTGACTGTTAATCTTTATGCTGTCTTATGCTAACCTGCAACTGAACATGTCTAGAATTGGCTTAATTGCCTTAGAGTATCTGTCAAATAGTGACACTTTACCAAATATATTCTAGCTTTTGATGAAAAGCTGGGATGTTTGATCAAATATCTCAGCAGAAAAGTTTACTACTTTATTTTTCTTCACCCCAGAAAATGTAGCATCCATGGCAGTTCATATTGTTGGTTATGGTGTGATTCTAGGGTATTTGTAACTATGCCAATCACAAGAGACAGCAAAATAGGCAATATTTTTCTACTTTAGAAATACAAATAAATGTCGGCATCTCTTGGTCCTTCAGTACTGCATATAAAGATAGTCATTATATGATACATTATTTTAAAAAAACATTTTGGCCAGGTGCTTGGCTCATACCTGTAATCTCCGCAGTTTGGGCAGCTGAGGCAGGATCACTTGAGCTCAGGAGTTTGAGACCAGTCTGGGCAACATGGCAAAACTCAGTCTCTACAAAAAACAAAAATTAGCCAGTGGTGAGCACCTGTACTCCTAGCTACTCAGGAGGCTTAGGTGGGAGGATCTCTCAAGTCTAGGAGGCAGAGGTCGCAGTAAGCCGAGATTGCACCACAGCACTCCACCCTGGGTGATAGAGTATGACCCTGTCTCAAAAAAAATTTTTTTTCATGATCTTTTCTCATAAGGGAGAGTGAAATTTGATGAAATTTCTGCAAATGACAAAACACTTCAGAAGTTTTTCTTTTTGTTTTCCCCCTGAGGCTCATATGTATCTGAAAAGTAGGCATGATGATACCGCCTGTAATAACCAGGTTATGACATTTTTTTGAATATAGTTGTGTGTTTTAAGACAGATTACAAAAATAATTTTTCATGCGTGGTTAGTGGAATCCAACACATCTGGGTTTATGGTTATGTGACCTGGGCTGCTTAAATAGTTACAATGATTATATTAAAAAGATTAACAATCAAATTTATTGTTCTTGGAGTAAATTTTAGGGTTCAATCTTTGTTTGAAGAATAGCAAACAAACTCTATACAACTGACTGTGGTCCCAATTTTGTCTAATCTTGGAATTATTTTGTTCTCAAAAGGACTAGATAAAAATCTATAAATAATTGAACCAAAGTTTATCACCACCAACTTGAGGTATGTAGCTTACCAAGGTAAAAGCATTATCTCTATATAAAAGGCTGCTAAATTTATTCCTTCGTTTTTCAAACAAATATATTTTGACAACTTACTGTGTATTGTGGACTGTTCTAATTGTTGGGAATTAATAGTGAGTTATATAAAGTTCCTGCTCTCCTGAAAATTATTCTCTAGTGGGATAAGCAGATATTGTTCCTTTGTAAAGATATATACTTACTAAATTTTAGGTGATTTGATGAAAAAGTAGAAGACAATTTGACTCTTGTTTCCCTAAGGAAGTGATATTTGAGCTTTAATCTGAAAGATGAATAAGAGGTATATGCCATTTATTCTTGGGTTGCTTGTCTAAAAAAAGCAAGCACATGAAAGGAAAGGTATTATATATCATTTTTGTTTTTTTGGCAAACGGATGTCAGCAATATCTTACTGTGAATGGCTTTGCTTTTGTTCAGGAGGAGCTGCGTTGGGTCAGAGCTGGTAGACTGGCTTCTAGAACACTGTCCTTTCGTCCAGTGCAGATCTATGGCCATAGGAGTCTGGCAACTCCTACTGGACATGGGAATTATGTTATCAGGTTAGTATTATGTCTTGAAGGCACAGCATCATTATTTTATTAAGCTATCAGATGAAAATACACTTGATTTTCTAGAGGATGTTACAGTCTGGATGGAAATTATTTTTGAAGATAAATATTTGTATTCTCTCTTATTTTCTAAGTGACAGGTCATCTTTTGATTCACTTATTTCTCTTACAATTCTTGCAAAAATTATTAGATACTTGCTGATTCATAGACTAATATTACCTGTAGGAGTCCTTCCTCTACTTCCTTTCTTCTGAACTCAATATGCTGCTTACAAACTTTTTTCAAAATCAGTGACATCTTTAGTTGCTCTAAGTGTGTGATTTATCTTGTAGTTAGGATAATCATCAGAAACTGATTTTATGAGTGGGATGTTATGCCATTTTAATTGACTAAGTAATCATGAACACTTTGATATATGACCTATGAAAATTAGCTGTTTAGACTGAACAGAAAGTAGATGTTAACTGGCAACTAAAATAGGTGATGGATATCTCTTTTCTTAGTTGAGCCCAGAGAACTGAAGGATTAGAAACCGAGCAATCTGGATTATTTATTTAGCCCAGTCTCTCAGCTGCTAGTTGGTCACTGAAAAGCACTTTTTTCCTATAGGTAATAAATATCAAGGGCATACCCCTGGTCCTGTTGTGAAAGAATGGTACAGATATGGACGTGGGTGTAATCTTCTTAGATAGTCAATAGTACCTAGCACCGAATACTCTTATTTATAAAATTAGTTAACTACCTTTGAAGAATGGAGGTATTATTAGGATACTTGATAGTTTCAGGCTTTTGGTTAGCAAAACATTTTGTACTAATACCTTTTGGAAAAATCTCTAGCTCTTGATTCCTTTAAAACAGGGTTTCCCCACCTTGGTAGTATTGACATTTGGGTTAGATAGTTCTTTGTTGTGACGGGCTGTCCCGTACATTGTAGGGTTTTTTTTAACAGCATCCCTTTTTTCTACCCTCCAATACTAGTAGCGCTCTGCCCCCAAAATGTAACAACCAAAAATGTCTAGACGTCACCAAATGTCCCCTGGGGGAGGCACAGTCACCCTAAGTTGAGAATCATTGATCTAAAACTTGCCATTATGTTGTATTTCTGTATTACTAAATTAATTAAATATACTAATTTGCTTTGGGTCACTAAAAAAGATTTCTCCCCATCCTCTTTGAATTGTTATTGATTTTATCTGCACCTGTCTCTGAAGCAGAAAAAATATGAATACATGTGAATATGCTGGCCAGAGCTTCTAGTAGTAAAAATAGACTAGTCAGTAAGTCCTTTCCAATTCAATGGGATTATAAACATGAATGAGCTTAGAATGTATAATTATAGTCTTAACCCTGATTGCTCCCAATTATTAGGGCTTTCAATTTATCATTTGAGTTATTACTCTCTGAGTAATATCTTTTAAAAAATTGATCTATATATTTTTTGTTTCAAACAGTGGACCAGCATCTATACTTTCAAGATACTTATGTTTTCTACCAGTTTTCCTCTGATGAATGTAGCTACTTGTACTGTGAATTTGAAAGAGAAGAAGAATGGCAAAATGGTGTCAAGCTTTTACTGCAACTTGTGCCTCTCATTCCTGCCAGAGGTGGCATCTGTGAACTGTAAGTAGATGCTCTCTTGTGCCATTGTATTCTTACACTTAGACAACATTTACCATGTCTAGGGACTATATTCTGCTCTTTAAGATCACTGTCTCACTTAAGAGGGAGTTACTATCCCCATTTTTCAGATGCACATTTAGAAAGATAAAATAAATTGCAGAAAATTAAATCCAGCTAATAAATAACTGGTATTTAAATCCCAGAAGCCTATGCCTAACCATCTGTACCATGTGGTTTCTAAATTATCATTGTTATAGGAGTAGATGATCTAAATTAAGAAAAAACATATGATTGGGCTTAAGTTGGAATAAAATAGTAACTCCCATCCTATTCGCTATCCAAATCGTGACTTTCCTAAGAGCTCAACAGAATGTTTCTGAAAATAGTCTAGAAGCAACATTTGGCAAATTAAAACACGTGAATCATCACATGAAGATACTGAATCACTATATGATTAAAATGAATTAAAATTAATTAGGGAAGGCTTGGGAACAGGACTTGAGTCATGATGTGGTGATTCTGACATGACTTTGTTTATCCATGGTGATAGCTTATTTTAGAATTATGAGTTATGGATTAAAATTTCAGTTAAAAACTGTTACATATGCAGAACACTTCAGTGTCCAGAATGCTTTCCCATATTGTTGACTCTTTCACTTCTATGATATTAGCGGGGGCAAGCAGTATGGTCTTTATGTCATAGATAAGAAAGTAGGTTCAGAGAGAAATACCTGTATAACCATAACAAGGGTAACTCTTATTAGTTAAAAAAATGACAGTTGACTGTTGAGAAGGAGGTGGAGCAAGATTAGGGAATTGAAGTCTCCACCAATTGTCTCCCAGGCAGTGACCCTAATTTAACAACTATCTACACAGAAAAAAAGACCTTCATAAGAACCAAAAATCAGGTGAGCACTCATAATACCCGGTTATAGTTCCATATTGCTGAAAGGAGCACTGAAGAAATAGAAAAAACAGTACTGAATCACTGATACCACCTCACCTCCACCATTTACACCAGCGTGTACAATAGACACAAATAAAATTAAATACCTAGGAACTAACCAGAGAAGTGAAAGATCTCTGTAATGAAAACTGTAAACACTGATGAAAGAAATCCAAGAGGACACCACAAATGGAAAAAATATTTCATGTTCATGGATTAGAATAATCAATGTTGTTAAAATATCCATATTACCCAAAGCAATCTACAGATTCAATGCAATCCCAACCAAAATACCAATGACATTCTTCCCAGAAATAGAAAAAACAATCCTAAAATTTATATGAAACCACAAAAGATCCGGAATAGCCAAGGCTACCCTAAGCAAAAACAGCAAAACTGGAGGAATCACATTACCTGACTTCAAATTATGCTACAGAGCTATAGTAACCCAAACAGCATGGTAATTGCATGAAAACAGACACATAGACCAATGGAACAGAATGGAGAACCCAGAAACAAACCCACACACCTACAGTGAACTCGTTTTCAACAAGGTGCCAAGACATGCACTGAGGAAGACACAGTCTCTTTAATAAATGGTGCTGGGAGAACTGGCTATCCACATGCAGAAGAATGAAACTAGACCCCTATCTCTCACCATATAAAAAATCTAATCAAAATGATTTAAAGACTTTTAGAGCTCAAACTATGAAACTACAAGATTGGGGAAAATTTTCAGGAAATTGATCTGGGTAAAAATTTCTTGAGCAATACTCCACAAGCACAGGCAACTAATGCAAAAATGGACAAATGGGATCACATTAAGTTGAAGATCTTCCTGCACAGCAAGGATACAATGAACAAATTGAAGAGACAACCCACAGAATGGGAGAAAATATTTGTAAGCTACCCATCTGGCAAGGGATTAATAACCAGAATATATAAGGAACTCAACTCTATAGGAAAAAATCTAATGATTCAATTTAAAAATGGGCAAAAGATCTGAATAGACAGTTTCTCAAAAAAAGACATACAAATGACAAACAGGTTTATGAAAAGGTGTTCAGCACCACTGATCATCAGAGAAATGCAAATCAAAACTACAGTGAGATATCATTTCACCCCAGTTAAAATGGCTTATATTCAAAAGACAATGGCTTATGTTCAAAAGACAGCAATTACAAATGCTGAGGAGGATGCAGAGAAAAGGGAACCCTTGTACACTGTTGGTGGGAATGTAAATTAGTACAACCATTATGGAGAACAGTTTGAAGTTTCTCAAAAAAGTAAAAATTGAGCAACCATAGTATCCAGTAATCCCACTGCTGAGTGTATACACAAAAGAAAGATTATATATCAAAAGGATACCTGCTTTCCTATGTTTTTTGCATCACTGTCCACAACAGCTGAGATTTGGAAGCAACCTCTGTGTCTATCAACAGATGAATGGATAAAGAAAACGTGGTACATATACACAATGGAATACTATTCAGCCATAAAAAAGAATGAGAGATAGTCATTTGCAACAACATGGATGGAACTGGAGGGCATTATGTTGAATGACATACGCCAGGCACAGAAAGACAAACATTGCATGTTCTTATCTGTGGGGTCTAAAAATGAAAGCAACTGAACTCATGAACACAGTAGAAGGATGGTTACCAGAGGCTAGGAAGGGTAATTGGGGACTAGTGGGGAGGTGTGGATGGTTAATGGGTACCAAAAAAACGTTAGAAAGAATGAATAAGGCCCACTCTTTGATAGCACAACAGGGTAACTATACCAATAATAACCTAATTGTGCATTTTAAAATAGCTTAAAGAGTGCAATTGGATTTTTTGTAACTCAAAGGATAAATGCTTGAGAGGATAGGTACCCCATTCTCTATGATGTGCTTATTTCACACTGCATGCCTGTATCGAAACATCTCATGTACCCCGTAAATATATATACCTACTCTGTACCCAGAAAGATAAAAAAAGAGAAAAAATAAATAAAATCTCCTGTTAAATGACAATACTGAATAGTTAATATGGACTGTTTTTAGGAGAATAAGCTTCAGAATATTGATGAGACTGTGCTAATAGAAAGGTTGATTGTGGAGAATGAATTTTAGGTCAGGCACTGTGCTGAATGCTTTATATTCATTATTTTACTTTCAGAAGAATGTTATAAGACAGGTACTATTATTATCTCTATTAAATAAGAGGGGAAATTAGGTACAGAGATCGGGTAACCCGTCCAAGGTCACACAAGGATTAAGTGGAGTTTTAGTGTTTGAATCTGTGTGTGTCTGGCTTTAATGACTGTGCTTTTAACACCTGATATTATGTGTCCTTCCCCACAAGTTATGGGGATCATTCTAGGACCCCTTCCTATAAAATTATAAACAGAAGCTATAAAAGTGTTAGACTAAGCTCTGGTGAAATGATTATGGATTTCCCATCACTGCTGTCTATAAAGGGCCTTGCAATAGTAAAGCAGAATTCAGATACCATTCAATTGGTCTCACTCTAGGAAATGTCCTGTATTGTGATATGCTCTTAATATAGGTCAGAAGTGTCCTGAGAAAAGTCAAGGAGCAGTTCAATGAACTTTAACAAGCTTCCTAAAAAGGAGTGGCATGATTTTAAACCAGAGATGGCTGTGGCTAGCAGTGACTGTTTGGGACTGGCGTTCTTCAGCAGCTCCTTTCAGCCTTTCCTGTCCTGCACACAAGATGGAGGTGTGCATAATCCCATGTGCATGCCCAGATTCACTGGGGCATGGGACTGTGGAAATAAACTTGCAAGCTGTCCTCGTGATTTAACTCCACCTCCTTCTCCGCCACTCGGAAAACAAATTGGAATGCCAGTGAAATGACCTTGTTGTAGAGAAACCTTGGGTCTACTCTAATTTCTAAAAATGAAAAATTTTAAAATTTGCAACCTAATAATAACTCCAGATTACTTGCAGTCTTTTGTCATACTGATCACTGTAAACACAAATCTTAGGCTCTGGAGTTGAGAATTGCTATATAGCATGCCATGTTTATCAGCAAGTTTTTTCTGTTGGTGTGAATGTGTGCATTTGGGAGTAGTAACTGACTCATACAGCAAAATTGTCATTGGGGAACCTATGGACCTGTCTGTTCTAAAGTACTAAATATATAAAGATAAAATTATTAAACCATTGCAGGTCTCTTCTAGAGAGAGACAGTATATACCTTTTTTTTTTCAATACTACCATCATAAGCCAACTTTTATGTTATGGTAGAATGTTTTTGGCCTAATTTTGGAGATCTAAGCTTTGGCTTATCTAGACTTGGAATATACTGTGATCAGAGAAAAGATGTCCATGGACATTGTCCTCATTCAGTTGCTCTGTCCCAGTACTTTCTATGGTTGCACATGCATGATCCTATCCCATTCTTTTCACCCCTGGCCCACCCCTCTTTACTTCCTCATGCCAGTGTGATACTCTTGCTCTTTCCTCTGCTCTTCTTGCCTTTTTCCAGTCAAATTCTACCCAGCCCTCAAGGGGAAGCCCCAGTCCTGCCTTGACCACAAAACTTCCATGATGTCTCCAGTCCATGTTGCTACTGCTTTCAGTAACTTACTGCTCTTGCATTTTGTATTTAAAAAAATTCCATGCTTCCATGTCATTCTTAGTTCTATGATGCTTTGTTTCTATCCATTTTATTCAAGTGCCCTCTTGATTCTTACATTGTCCATTCATTTGCTGAAAACCCAATTTTGTGTTCCTTTTAATAACCTTTTTGACGTTTAAAGGCTACTGATACCTACCTGTGTGAGCCTATCTACATTAGGCCCCTCTAATTTGCTGTCTTCTAAGTGTCTTCAAAATAATGCAAGGAAACCATTTAATGGCTCTATGTAAACACAATTTTGTTCCATACAAATGCATTTCTAAAAATAGTAAAGGGGATTTTTCTCATTTAAAAAAGAATCTTTAAAGCAGGAGGGGAAATGAAGCTGTTGGAAGTTTTCTAAGCTAGTTTGAAGAAACAGAATTTTATACAAAATAACTTTTATACCCAAACTGAATAGATAATTAGAAAAAAAAAGTGACTGAATCAGTTGTCAAGGGTACTATCTCTGGGGGAAAAAAGAACAGTTATGGTATCTCCTTCCAACAGACAGCCAAATCAAGTTATCCAGAATGTACTGTTTCTAGCTCTTTTATTTTAAGCAGAGAGTTGAGGAAGAATGGGTGAGGAATGATGAAATAACAGCGTAGGAAAAGGCAGTCTAATTATTCCCTTGGGACTGGTAAGATGCTTCTAACACTACCTTGTTTGGGCCTTTAGGCTGTGAGGGAACTTGACTATTTCAATTCAGCTGTGGTTATAGCAGCTCCCAGCTTGCCAGGGGTGGGAGTGGGTAGGGCTTTGAATAGACAGTCTGTAAAGCTTGAATGCATAAAACTGTATCCTACCACTTACACAATAGTTAACATTTATGCTGTGATTAAGATAGAGAGGACTGCTAAAATTTAACTCATATTGCACTCAAATATGGAAAGAAAATGTAGCTTCTTTGTTTTTCTCTAAGTGATCTGATGTTTGTCTACATGAACTGCCATCCTGCAGAATGACCAAAAAAAAAAAAGGCGGGGGTGGGGTGGGGGGAAGAAGCACCCTTTAGTAAAGTTATTCTAATACAGGAATTTAAAAAGTCTCTCTAGTTAACTTTTTAGTGTCTTTTAGTAAAAGAGCCCAGTCTCTGTATTTCTCCCTGTTTCTCAAGGTAGCCTCTGGGTACATGGCGAGTGGTCTGGGCGCCTTGACCTTGGCAGAGGAGGACAGGGGAGGCTCTCCTGTCAGAGTAGGCATTTTTTCATCCTCACTGGTCTTGCGAGTGGATAGGCAGCCAGCTCCTTTGTGCCCCTGAGATATAACTGTTCTTGGCATTCTTTTGGCATCTGCTGTTGGAGCATGAGGCTGGTGTAAGTTGGGTGTCAGCTTGATTAATGCTGGTGGTCCTGCCTGGCTGATTGGCCTTCCTAGATGTCTGTTGGCATTGCTGACACTCCTAAGGTCTGGCTGTGGCTCCCATATACACCCTGTTCAGCCACATGGCTTCTGCTGAAACAGCCCCCTCTCTGTCCTGACTGGCTAATATTACTGTGATAGAAAGATTTTACCAAACATGCTGCCTGTCGCCACTTGGCTGACACTTCTGAAAAGTCCACAAATTTAGCTTCATACATATTTGTATCCAAAAGGGATTACAAGATCGTGGAATTTGCTTCTCTTAATGTTTAGGTGAGGAAGATGAACAGGGAGCAGAGGGTCTGGGAAAAGACAACCACTTGTCACCAGCACTCTGTGGAGCGACTTACTTACCAGGCATCTACTGATCTTAAGCTTCCGTGTTTGGCCTTGTGAGGGATATGACGATATGTAAATAATGTAAGGCCTTCAGCGACTAACAGGGGTTGAGCTCAGTTCATACAGATAACAAGCTGGCAAGTCGTGTGCCACAAGTGATACCTGGGAGCTTATCACAAAGGTTCTGAAGCTGTGGGAAAAAAACCAAAATTATTTCCTGAGAAATGAAAATATGTCATACAGTTCATTTCTAAATTCATAAAAAAATCTGTAATTACTGTGTGGAATATTCAGCTCTTCCCAACTATTGAAAATTAGTTTTTGTTATAGGTTATTCCTGTCTTTTGTGTTTTCTACATTTTCATTATCTTATTACATTTAACAATAGAACTGAAATGCATATTTTCGGCCTATCTACTCTTAATTTTTTTTTTTTTTTTTTTTTTGAGACAGAGTCTCACTCTGCCACCCAGACTGGAGTGCAGTGGCACGATCTCGGCTTACTGCAAGCTCCGCCTCCCGGGTTCACGCCATTCTCCTGCCGCAGCCTCTCAAGTAGCTGGGACTACAGGCGCCCGCCACCACGCCCAGCTAATTTTTTGTATTTTTAGTAGAGATGGGGTTTCACTGTGTTAGCCAGGATGGTCTCGATCTCCTGACCTTGTGATCCACCCGCCTTGGCCTCCCAAAGTTCGGAGATTACAGGCGTGAGCCACCACGCCTGGCCCTACTCTTAATTTTTTTGCTGCAAACCTTGACTTTTTGGCCTCTTGTTTATGAGACGTTAACTATGGCAAGATAATAACGAATTCCACTGAAGAGTCTTATGAAGAATAATCTATTGATGGAGCTACAGGTTCAGGCCAAGATGGAGCAAGTCTACTACAGCCTATCTCTTGTATTGATTACAGCTGAAACCTCTAGATAAAATACAAACAATAACTACCCGAGGCCCCTCAAAAGTAAACAAAAGCAGGCAAATTATGGAACGAAGTGAAACTTTGGAGAAGTGACCTACACAGGTGTGAGTTTTCCCTTTCCGTTTCTTTTATTTCCCAGCGTTGCCTCAAAGGCAGGCCTCAGATGTAGACAGGGAGATCAGTGGTGGCACAGTTGTCAAAATCTATAGTAGAAACCCCATCTTTCTGGCAAGAAGAATCAGGAAAATGGGTCCCTGTAGTTTTGAAGAGTGTGATGGGGTGGGGTGGATGGAGAAATCCTTGTCTTGATTCTCCTTTTTTCTTACAGGTTTGTCCCAGGTTCAGAGCTCTGTGGTGGTGGCAGTGCAGGCAGATGATAGACAAGGAGTGTTTGGTTTTGGTCAGAACTGGGCAGAGGAGCCCCAGCTAGTCTGAGAGTGTAGGGGAATCCAGGAGAGGGTAAACCTAGGGAAGGGTTTCATTAATTTTGTGTATGAACTACACAAATGTGAGTTTCCTGAGCTGGACATCTGCGGGACAGACCCAAGGTACCATAGAAAAGGCATTGAAAACTGAACTGCAGCTGGAATCATTGAGGCTGTATAGCATTATGTTCAAAATGGCCAGGATATAATACAGAATTACTTGACACAAAATAATCAGGAAAATATGACCATTTGTCAAAGGAAAAGCAATTAATGTCTACCCTGAGATGACTCAGATATTGAAATTATTAAAGACTTGATAACAGCTATTTTAACTATGCCCCATTAGGTAAACAAGTTTCAAATGAATAGAGGGATAGAAGTTGTTAGTCAAGAAATAGAAAACAAACAATAAAAAAAGAACCAAATGTAGTTTTAGAACTGAAAAACATACTTGAAATTAAAAATTTGTTGAATTGGCTCAATAGCAAAATAGACGTGACCTGAAGATAGCTCATTATAAATTATCCAGTGTGCAGGACAAGAAAAAAAACATTGAAGAAGATGAATAGTCTCAGGGACTTGGTGGACACTGTAGTAAAGTCTAACACATGTTGGCATCCCAGGAGAGGACAAAGAGATTGGTGCAGAAAAAAAACTTTTAAATAATGACGAAAAGCTTCCCAAATTGAGTGAGAGACAAATCTGTAGATTCAAGAGGTCCAGTGAACCCCAAACAGGAGCACTCAGAGAAACACACTCCTAGATACTTAAAAACAACTAAGAAACAAATAATGAAAATATCATGGAGGCAGCTAGAGTAAAATGACACATTACCTACAGGAGGAGTAATGATTCAAATAATTAGAGGTTTTATGTTAGAAACCATGGAGGCCAGAAGCCAGTGGAAGAAAGTCTTTAAGGTGGGGGAGGGTGGAGGGGGGAGAAAGAACTGTCAATCCTCTACAATGAAAACAGATTTTAAAAATGGAGGTGAAATAGACATTCTCAGATGAAGGAAAACTAACAGAATTTTTTGCTAGCTGACTGTTTCTAAAAGAAATCTAAAGGAAAAATTTCAGGTTGAATAGAAACAATATCAGAGGGAAAGTTGGAAATTCAGGAATAAAGGAAAAGCTACATAAGTGGTAGATATTTAGATAAAAATCAAAGGCATTTTTTATTTTTATTTCTTTAAAATATATATGACTATTGAAAGGAAACATTTGGTGGGCTTTTCAGTGTATGTAGATGTAATACATATTATGATTATAACAAAAGATAATTGGGGAAGGATAAAGAGGCATATACAATAATATATTTAAAGGTAAAATGATATTTGTAAAATCTACTATTTGGAAATCATCATACTTTGAAGTAACTCATGGGTGAAAGAGGAAGTCCCAAAGGAAATAAGGAATATTTAGTATAGAATGTACATTAAAACATAACATGCTCAAAATTATGGGATGCAGCTAAAGCAATACTTAGAGGAATATCGATAGATTTTAATGCTTATATTAGGAAAGAATAAATGTCTTAGATCAATGATCAGGGCTTCCACCTCAGAAAGCTAGCCAAAGAAAAACAAACTACAAAGAAGGAATTAATAAAGATAACAAAAATTGATGTAAGTGAAAAGAAATTAGAAAAAAAAATAATGAAACTAAGTTGGTTCTTTGAAAAAAAAAAAAAAGGTACGAAATCTCTCACCAGAGTGTTGAAGAAAACAAAAAGACAAATTGCCAATATCAGGAATAAAAGAAGGAATATCACTGCAGACTTACATTTGAAAGCTAACAAATGAATATTATGAACAACTATGTGATCATTAATTTGAAAACTTAGGTGGAATGGACACATTCTTTGAAAGACATTAACTACCTATGGTCCTTCAACAAGAATCTGAATAGAATTATGTATACTAAAGTAATTGAATTTGTAGTTGATGCCCTTCAAACAAGGAAACAATGGGCTTACATAAGTTTACTGGCAGATTTAACTAAACATTTAAAAAATAACTTATGTCATTTCTCCTATCCAAGTACGAACCAGGCCCAATCCTGCTTAGCCTCTAAGATAGGACAAGATCAGGCACCTTCAGGGTTGTATGACCATAGACAAATTATGTCATTTCTATATAACCTCTTTCAGAAAATTAAAGAGGAGTGACTGTTTCACATTCATTTTATGAGGCCAGCACTGTCATGACAAATTTCAGAGAAAGAAAACAGTAAGGCCGGGCGCGGTGGCTCATGCCTGTAATCCCTACACTTTGGGAGTCTGAGGCGGGCGGATCACGTGAGGACAGAAGTTTGAGACCAGCCTGACCAATATGGAGAAACCCCATCTCTACTAAAATATGAAAAAATTAGCCAGGCGTGGTGGTGCATGGCTGTAATCCCACCTACTCGGGAGACTGAAGCAGGAGAATCGCTTGAACTGGGGTGGCAGAGGTTGCAGTGAGCCAAGATCACGCCATTGCACTCCAGCCTGGGCAACAAGAGTGAAACTCCGTCTCAAAAAAAAAAAAAACAAAAAACAGAACAATATGACTCATTAGCATAGACACAATCTTCCTCACATATAAAAATTATAAATACGTTATGAAAAAGGGGAGTTTACCCTAGGAATACAAGGATGGCTCAACACTCAAAAATCATTCAATATAATTCACCATATTCACAAGCTAAAAATAGACAAATTATATGATAAATTTTATAGATGCAGACAAAGAATTAGAGAAAATTTAACCCTTCAAGATAAAAATTCTCAGAAAAATAGAAATATAAGAGAACTTCCTCAATCTGATAAGACTTTATACAAAACCCATAGCTTGCATCATACTTAATGGTAAGAGACTAAATGCTTGCCTACTAAGATCAGAACAAGGCTAATATGTCTTCTCTTAGTACACCTCTTCCACTCAGGCCAGTGCAAAAAGTCAAGAAAAAGAGATAAAAGGCATATATTTGGAGGAAAACATAAAGCCATCTCTCCTTGCAGATGACATAGTTATATACATAAAAAAAATCACAGGATTAATACTTCCTCTCTCTTCAGCCATCACTGGCCATGGCCATCTAGCGTCTTGTTCTGTCAGATTTTAAAGGTAGATGGAAGAGGTGGTTCGTTAAGGAGTCTAAGGATGATCAGTCTCATTTTATATTCATGGCCTTTAATCTTGAGTGGGTCTTCAATGCTGTGGGGTGGTCCTGTTCATTTCTTGGTATATTCAGTCTCCTAGAAAACTGTATCACAATTGCTCCCCTCTTACCTCTTTTTCCTTGCTTTTTATTTCATTGAAAGGAACATTTTAAAAACTATCTTTCTCATGTTTTATTTACCAAATCTGTCAACCTGCCTGCATCTATATTGGTGGACTCTATCTTTGCTCCTGATAAAAATGGATGCATGGTCCACATTCTTATTTAAGGTCAGTTTCCTCACATTGTGCACTGATCCCATCTCTGCACCCCTACTCAAGGATCTCATTTCTGAAATCTCATTTTTTTCCTGCTTCATCAGCTTTTTCCTCTACTGGATTGTTCTTTTCAGCATGTGTTGATATTTCCCTATATCTCCCTCTAGCTGCTGCACAATGTCTCTGTTCCCTTTTACAGCAAAACTCTTCAAAAGATATATTTATGGTTACTTTCTCTACCTCTTCTATTCTTTTCTGAATCTACTCCATTCAGGCTTTCAACAGTACCACTCCACTGAAGGCAACCTTGTCAAGATTACAGAAGTCTTCCATGTTGCCAAATGCCAAAATGCTGATTTTTCAGTCCTCATCTTACTTGACATGACAGCAGCATTTGGCACAATTGATCATGTCCTGGAAGCAGTTTTTCCACTTGGCCCCTGGGATAACATCTCTTGGCTCTTCTGTCTCACTAGCTGCTGCTTTTAAGGCTCCTTTGCTAATCTTTCCTTTTCCTGATTGTATTAACTGTGTTTCAGTGCTTTGACATCTGGGGCCTTGCTGACCCTGGAAAGACTGCCCAACCCAGGAATAGTCCATTCCTAGAGACAGTAGAGAACTTACCTGCTAGCTTTGCTGGGAGCATACCTTTCATAGGTAAGCCAGCCACTCCAGAGCTCATAACATAACCACTTTTTTTTATTGGGCTTTCACCTTCTGGGCTACTTTTCACCTGCCCTAATCACCCCAGCTCCAGGTACCAAACAGTTAGGGGCAGTCCCTATGCTTTTGGTCCTGCTGAAGTTAATCAAACAGTCTATCCTCAGCCTGTTTACCCTGCCTTACCCGTTCTATTCTGGGGAAATCACAATAGAGGTTATTTCCCACATCTTCCCCCATGTCCTCTGCCTCCTGACTGACACTGGTGCCTCCCTGTGTGGCTCCTCCTTGTGTGTCATCCCCCCTTCTCTTGGGAACTGTGAGTAAAAAACTGTCTTTTTAATGCCAGTCATCTCTTGAGCTGTTTGCCTCAGATTATTCAGACTGGCTGTCCCTAAATAATGAAACCTTCATTTTGAAGCAGTGACCTCTAAACACAGTAGAGGTCAGTCTTGGACTTCTCTTATTTTTTCTGCTCTCACTTTGGATGTGCCCTCACCCAGTCATGTACTTAACATCGTCTCACAGTGATGGTTTCCAAAATTCAGGTCCCTGTCTCCTCTTACCACCCTATACAAAATAGCACCTCCACCACCCCTCACTTCTGCCTCCTTTGTTCTCCTTACCCTGCCTGGTTTTTTCTTACTACCTGATGTTTATTAGCAACATGAGACATCCCTTGGCCTCCTTAGTTTCTGAAATGGTGATGGATTCACACTCTCTGGCCAGAGAGCTTAAGTTCAAGTCTGCTATTCCGATGTCTGAAGCCTACCCTTTGTACTCCTAACTTTACTTTTCCTAATTAGATCCTCATGACACTTGGAGAGGAGGAAATACCGTGTGGGTAAACAAACTTTTTTTTTTTTAGTATTTTTCAAAAAATTTTTGTGATGGAACTTGGCATAAGATTTGTATTGGCATCGTAAGTGAACAAAATTTCCACTTATTACTTTAAACTGTTTTTGTAAAAAGTGTTATGAAATCAGCTAGTCCTAGTCTTTGTGATTACTCATTACCTCCTCTCCCAAGGAAACACTAAGTCCTTCAAAATTTCCATTGTTTATAGACAAGGCTTATTCCAGGTGTGGGAACAGATTGCTTATCTTTATCAGAGTACACTTATGTTTAAGAGTAGTACAGGAATTTTGCAAAAATTGGACATCTAGGCCTGATTATATTAGCATTTGAAATTGAGCCATCTAATTAAATATTAAACATTAATACTCAAATCCTCAAAATCAAATGTGAAAAATCTAATTTTATTCAGTTTAGATTAATATATAACTATACACTCTGGACTCTTAATGAAACCTTTCCCATTCATAATTCCCTTTTAGTACATTTTTTCTATAAGCATAACTAGTAGCCAGAAGCTATGAAAAATTATCTTCTCTTGAGAAGGTGAACAATGTTTGTATTCATGATATCAAAGATCTCAAGAAAAATCTAATTCTCATTCTTCCACCATCCCACTTCTTTTTTCATAGGAATTTGCTTTGTTAAGCAAAACTTACTTGTCTAGAATATAGACATCATGGGTAGGGGAAATGGGGAGATGTTGATCAAAGCATACAAACTTTCATTTATTAAATTGAGCAAGTTCTGGAGGTCTAATGTACAGCATGAGTGGTGATGGGTGTTAATAAATTTGATTGTGCTAATCACAGTGTATTCACAAATAATCATGTGGCACACCTTGAATAGATATCTTTGTTAATTACATATTTTTAAGTATAAAAAGATTTTGGCTTTATGCTAAGTGAGACGGGAAGTCATTCAAGGATTTTGAGTAGAGGGACATGAACTAACTTACATTTTAGCAAGACTATGCTGGCTTCTGAGTCCAGGTGAGAGATGTTGTGGCTGGGACCACAGTGGCAGTGATGGAGGTGGTGAGACGTGGTCAGGTGAGAGATATGTCTTGAAGAGCCAGTAGGATTTCAGGGTGGATACAAGGCAGAGTATGAGAGAAAGGGGTTCAAGAATGACTTCCAGTTGGAAGGATGGAGTTTCCATCAATTAAGGTGAGGAAGACTATAGGAAGGGCAGGGCTTTTTGTTATTTTCCTTTTGGGTAGGAGTGGACATAATGATAATGCATCCAGTTTGATGGTTAGAGGGATGAGGGTGGAGGACCATAGGTTTTTGTCATCTCTGCATCCTCACAGTGACACCCTTAGATATTGCAGACCTCTTGAACTTACAGAGACATCTGCCTAGAGCACCAGGACTCAGCACTCTCCCCTGGAGAGTTACCAGGTCTGGCTTGGGGCATTGGTAAGCAGAGACCTTGAAAGGTAACCCAGGGAATTCCTAAAGGAGAGCATCTGTTGGCATAAACCCTCAGGGAGGGATCTTCCTTCCAGGGGTCACTCTATTTCTCTTCTCTTTCTGTCTTATGTCACTTGTCACTGTCATTACCTGCTGATTCCAGTAAGAGTTTCTTTATTTTCTTTCTCTAATCACTGACAAACTAGACCCACAGCTTCTCTCTCTCTGTCTCTCTCTCTCTCTCATTCACGAGCAGCACAGCCCCCTTTAGTAATAATGGAAAACATGCAAGTGTTATACTTGCTTTTCCTCTGCTGCATCTGTTTCCTTATTTATTTTGATTGGATAAGTGAGAACTTTGTCTTTCCTGGGTTGCACTGAAAAGTATTTACACACATTAA
This sequence comes from Homo sapiens, assembly GCF_000001405.40. Lineage (NCBI taxonomy): Eukaryota > Metazoa > Chordata > Mammalia > Primates > Hominidae > Homo > Homo sapiens. The sequence goes on along the minus strand of NC_000007.14, from coordinate 22,293,960 downwards.
AACAGAATGTGTTTAAATTTTGTAAAAGGTACATTTGCTGGAGAAAAGAGAGTCTGGTATTTTTGGGCGATTTAGTCTAGAGCTGAGGAGGAGGTTTAAGGTAAAAAGTGACCGTAGTGGTGAAAGAAAGGAGAGTGGCCGAGTATTGCCTTCTCTCTTCTTTCCCCCTTTTCAGGCTCTCCCGCTGTTGCCTGTTGCTACCAGTCCTGCCTTCATGACCTTCCTTTACACCAGGTGAGGGACAGTTGCGTGCTGGTGCAGCGGGGCATGGGGCATGTTAGCAGGGAAGGAAGAGCATTTCCGAATTCTAGAGCTCTCAGTGGGCAAGTGAGGAAAATCCTTGAAGGTTTGGAGTCTGGAGAAGAGCAGGACCAGATCTGGGTTTTAGAAAGGTGATCCTGATATCTTTAGGCATCTGGGTACAAGAAGAGAAGCCAGAGACAAGCTTGTCAGAAGGTGGTTAAAATAATTTGTTCAAGCGAAGATGAGAGCCTAGACTGTCGAAGAGGCTTGGCAGGGAAGGAAGGGAAGTGAGAGGATCTGGTGACTTCCCAAAGGCCGGAGTGAGGAGGGAAGGGATGGCTCTAGGGTGAACAGGACCCATGATTCCAAGGGGAGAGCTGAGGGCAGGAGGTAAGAGAGGAGTTCAGTGTGAGTTAGGTTGAGTTAGCCTGTAAGGTACCCATGTGGGTGAAAATAAAGTTCCTGGAATTGCCACACAGAGCCACTTTGAAGGCAGATGGAAAAACAGGGCAAGCTCAGGGGAGAGCCAGAAGCTAGAGAGATACTTGGGAGTTCTGGGCTTAAATCTTGGTGATTGAGGTGATAACAGTGGGATATGGGCTGTGGGACAGCTCTTGGGAGATCATCACTCTGTCCCTCTTACACATATTTCCTTAAGAGATGTTTTTGCTAAGGCATGGTTTGTGCTGGAAGATCAATGAAAGACAGTTTTGCTTCCAAACAGGGACTAAATTGTTTGTCACTAAAACAGCAGCAGCTCAACCGTTAGTTACCAGTCTCGTATACAAGAGCTTCTCTTGGAATTTTGAGTTCCTTTCAGCAGCTTGTTGAAAACAGATTTATGAGAGAATCTGTGCTAGTGCAAAATACCTCATGCTCGTTAACTAATACTTCGGGTGTCTGTTGGGGTCTGAGAAACATGAAAAGGCACAACCAGCCCATGTGTCACTACAGACACAGACAAAGCAGCAGAAGCCCTTGTTTTGTTCTCTTGCCTCTAGTGCCTTTGGTTCTTAATTTCCTGTCTTTTCAGTCACCTCAGCTTAATCACATAAATCTGGTTTGGTGGTTGAGGTTATAAAGCGTTTCCAGTCTGTTCTCAGTATAACCACAGAAGCCTTGTGAATAGAGAATCTTAATAATAAAGCTTGTTCAAAATACTCATCATCCAGGTAACCTTATTAAAAAAAGATCCCAAGTTATAATGCTCAGTTCCCACAGTTTTTATTGGGCAGATTGTTAGCAAGCATCTCAAACACTTTGCTGCATGAGCGCTTAAGTTATTTGACAACATCAGCACTGCTTCATACCTGTATCTTGCAATTTTTGTAAAGGCAGTGGTTTGTAGTGCATTGCTGTGATTTGAAGGGTGGGACTTTCTTTCTGGAAAAGGGTTTAATAACATTTACAGAAACAAGAAGGCAATGCCAGAAGTGATCCAACTGGCTTTTCCCTTCTTAAAGAGCTGCTTCTCAGCTGTCCCATGAGCTGGGAGAAGCCCTCCTGCCCCATAAGGCTGGCGTTGCAGCTGACACACTGTAGTTACTGAGATTGAAATCAATCACTGGACTGTGATGCTGTTAATACTGCTCTGCAGGGCAGTGACCTCCAATCCCCCCTCCGCCCCCTGTCCACAGCATACATTGAAAGGGATTGCTTGTGGAAATAGATCTTGGAGACAATTTTATATATTCAATAGCATTAGTCAGTTTTTTTCTTTGACCAAACTAGGAAAAAATGTAGTTTATGAGATTGTTCTTAAGAAGTAGATAATTTTGTCTGTTAGAATATACATTTGGTGAAGTCTTTTTTCATGAATTAAGTTAAAAAGATTGTTTTCCCCAAACAAACAAACAAACAAACTGATCTTACATTGTTACACATCTCATTAGTTATTTAACACGTGCATAATATTCTTAGCTTCTTAGTTGGGCGGTAATCTCTTGAGAAAGCAAATACAAAGCCATACAAAACTTCTGCGTTTTTATATTCCTCATAATTCCCATAGTGGTATTAGGCCTATAATAATACCGTTTTATAGTAAGTTTGTTTTGGCTAAAACTCAATTTCAGTGGAAAGTTCACATTTCATATTTTCAAAATCTGGATTCCATTTAGATTTAGGAAATTTCAGCACTTAACCACCTTTTATTTGCATCTACCTTCTGTGCAAGCCCATATATTTTACAACTGGCATGTCAGGGTTATTCTGCTGTATCATGGGGTGAGTAATACCCCATCGTCAGGATTCAATTGGTGCATTGTAAAGAGGTTCTTGCTAATTGATTTTGTGAGAACATTTGGCCTGCAAGAGGATTATGTTCCTATGGAGTTACTGTCACAACCTTTGTTATTTTCATGAGTACTTTTGCTAATATAATAACAATGACATTATTTGCCCTTTATTCTTCCTAACTTGGTAGATAAATTTGAGCAACTAAAACTGAAAAGTAATTTGTTCTTTTTTTTTTTTTTAGGTCTCATCAGAAAATTGAAGACTCCGAAGAAAGCAGTGATGAAATTCTTGTGCGTCTAACATCTGCGGTAAGACCATGCAATTTTCCTGCCTAGGGGTGCAGAAATAATGAAGCTGGGGTCCTAGAAGGGAAGTTCTTTGGGTGATGGTGTAGAGAGACATTTTCCCTGTGGCTGCTCATCATTGTGGGAGGTATGAGGCAAGGCAGAGGGAGACAGTGGCTTTGACTTTCTATATGGGGATGGAGCCTCCCTTCATGAGATCATAGATATTTCTGGTGGAAAGTTCCTGCAACCTTTGTGGAGGTGGAGGTGTAGTATCTGATTTTTTAAATACAGTATGCGTTAACCTAGGAAAGTTGTGACCTGCTGCACAAAGGAGAAAAGACTCTTTCATTAGGGAAAAAAAAGAATTACTTCAGCCAAAAAAGGCCGGGTCACTAGTTTTTAATGTACCATATTGCAACATTTTCATTGTGGTTTTTTTTTTTTTTTTTTTGAGACGGAGTCTCGCTCTGTCGCCCAGGCTGGAGTGCAGCGGCGGGATCTCGGCTCACTGCAAGCTCCGCCTCCCGGGTTCACGCCATTCTCCTGCCTCAGCCTCCCAAGTAGCTGGGACTACAGGCGCCCGCCACTACGCCCGGCTAATTTTTTGTATTTTTAGTAGAGACGGGGTTTCACCGTTTTAGCCGGGATGGTCTCGATCTCCTGACCTTGTGATCCGCCCGCCTCAGCCTCCCAAAGTGCTGGGATTACAGGCGTGAGCCACCGCGCCCGGCCTTTCATTGTGGTTTTTAAAGCTATTGATTAGACTTTGTAATTGGTTGAAGTAAAGTTCATGGCTTTCTTCATAGGAAAAGCTGACTGTGGTCACTAAGCCTTGAGTTTCAGTTTTTGACAGGCTCTAGCAATCCTACGTCACCAAACTTGTACCTATTGACTTGGCTGTTTGGAAACTTTTCTAGCCTTCCCCAAAAATTATTTAGTTCTGCTTTAACTCCATTATTAAAATGGTAATTGCTGAAAATCATGGTTGATTGGGTTATGTGTAAGGATGAAACTGGTCTGTACAGAGTTTTATACACTAGGTCTTGTCAACTGGGCACAGCTTGAAGATTGAAAGTGTCTTTCCTACTCTTCTGGAATGCAGCTTAGAAAAGTAATTTTGTATTAAATATGTGTGTTCATTTGTTGTCACACTGCTTTAAAGAACTACCTGAGACTGGGTAATTTATAAAGGAAAGAGGATTAATTGACTTACAGTTCCACATGTTTGGGGAGGCCTCAGGAAACTTACAATCCTGTTGGAAGGGGAACCAGGTACGTCTTGCATGGCAGCAGGAGAGAGAGAGAGTGAGAGTGGGTAGGAGGAAGTGTCACACACTTATAAAACCATCAGATCTTGTGAGAACTCACTCACTATCATTAGAACAGCATGGGAAACTGCCCCCGTGATACAATCACTTCCCCCCAGATCTCTCCCTAAACACCTGGGGATTACAATCCAAGATGAGATTTGGATGGGACTCAAAGCCTAATCATATCAATATGATAATCAATGGTGTAAAAAACATGAGATGGAATCTTGACAGCATATTTTGAAAACATATTTAGAACTTTTCGGTTTAAAATATTGACCACAAAGGAGTGCCTGTGGTGTGCATAATTATAATTAGCCATCTGTTTAAAAAGCATTCACTATGGGCCAGAAACTGTGTTAAACGTTGTGTGTTTGTGTGTACACACACATACATACACATTCTGCTAAGCTGTACTGTACAACAGCACTATGAAGTAGGTGGTATTATGTCTATTTTATAGATACGAAAGCTTACAGAGTTTGAGTAGCTTGCCTAAGGTCATTCAGCAAGAAAGAACAAAACAAGAGTCAGAACTCAGAATTTTTATCTCCAATATTCTCCTACTATGCCTCATTTAAAAATATATAATAAATAATGTAATGTAGTTATTGGGATAGTTTCAGAAGTGATAAAGACATGTATGATTTGGTTCCTATAGCCACACCAAGAAGATAAGACAGATATATTCAGAAGGCTAATATATAAAGGAGTTGGAAATTGTGCACAAAGAAAGGTGGTGAATAAGTAAAGTCGTAAATTCAAGACCACAACAGAAAGCTTCACTGCAGACACTGGACTTGAACCACCATTGAAAACAGTCAGGATTTGGAGATGATAATTAGGAGGATGTGTATTCTAGCTGTGGAATTTATTGTGGGCAAGCATAGGAATGAGAAAGTACAATGAAAAAATGTAAGTAGACCCACCAAGTTAGAGAAGAAGGTCCTGGTTAAGAAAAATGAAAGATTTTTTTGAACAACAGATTAATGTGATGAAATAGATGTTCAAGAGTGAAGATAAGTTGAAGATAGGGAGATTGGTTAGAGGCTGTTGAAAACCTAGTTTATGGTGGTTTTTGTGGGAACCAAAAGAAAGATGACTTCAAAAACGAACACAAAGAAATTGATTTTTTTAAGATTGAGACCATCCTGGCTAACACGGTGAAACCCCATCTCTACTAAAAATACAAAAAATTAGCTGGGCGTGGTGGCGGGCACCTGTAGTCCCAGCTACTCGGGAGGCTGAGGCAGGAGAATGGTGTGAACCTGGGAGGCAGAGCTTGCAGTGAGCTGAGATAGCGCCACTGCAGTCTGGCCTGGGCGAAAGAGCGAGACTCCGTCTCAAAAAAAAAAAAAAGAAAAGAAAAGAAATTGATTTTTAAAAAATCAGTATGAGTGGGTAAAGGTGGAGGAGTGAGATAACTGAAGTTCTGAACTTGCATGATTGGGGACATGATGATATTCTTAGGAAGTTGAGTAAATTATGCAGTAAGGTAGGTGATTTTGGGGGATATGTTGCATTTGAGGAGATAAGAACAGAAATATGCAGGAAACATCTGGAGACAAGAGTCTGAAGCTCAGAGAGCTTCTGGAAGCCAGTCACAGAGAAGTTGCAGATTGAAGACCCGAGTAGAAGATAGAGTCTGGGGAACAGCCATAGGCGGAGGGCAGTAGGGAGACTAGAGGACAGTGAGAGGAAATGGAAATAACTGAATGGTTTATACCATGAAGGTCACATTCAAAAGACCCTCTGAAAAGGAAGGAATGGGCAGCAAAGTGTTCACTGTGGATTTAGTTGACATAATCTTGCTGGAAAAATCCCCAGGCTAAAAGACTGAAGAAAATGAGGTAAGATGCTGGAGTGGTATTTAGAAACGAAAATAAATGGCAGAGAGGAAGATTTCATCTCTTCAACTGGTGGGCAATCGGCCTGCAAAATTGAAAATATCCTGTACTGAGATTAAGGGCCTTGATTCTTATTTCTTCCAACAATGTGACCTTGGCCAAGATGAGTGGTTGGACTAGACAGTTGCTAAGTTCCTTCAAGTTCTAAAATTCCATTGTTCATTCTAGAAGCATTTGTTAATGGACAGTGGGACTCAGTCTACCTCTTCATAACATAGTTGTTCCTGTTGACAATGGCATATAAACTTTGTTATCTAGGTGATAGTGTGTGCAGAAAGATATTTACCTATATCACTCAGGGAACAGTTCTCATCTACTGTGACCCCTAATCATGATAAAGGAAAGCAGAAGTGACGTCTGTAATGCAGAGTTGCCAGTGTACTCTTTGAGAGTCTGTGTTTTTGGGGGTATTGGAATGGGACAGTGGTTTCCAGCAGTACAGTCAACCGTGCCCTCTTGTATATTCACCATTTTTATTCAAATGTGGTATTTTTGCATGTGACTATCTTAGAAAATTTCTCATTTCTTTAACCCCAGTAGTTCCTGGTTCCCTCTTAGGTTCATCAGGAGGAAAAGTCCTGTCATCTAAAAATATATTATCTGAAATTTTACTCTGGAAGAGGATACACATGAGTTTTCATATTGAAGGAACATGAGAAGATGGTGCATGTGTAGAAATAAGAATGTCTTTATAATTCAGTCAAATGTAGGGTTGTTAAATGTACATAAACATGAGCAATTAAATTGTTCCAGCCATGTTTCTAGTGGTCTTCAGGGAAGAGCCATCTTTCCAAGTGTCAGACATACAGAAACCTAAACAGTGAAACTCTGTAAGAAGTTTTCAGCTTAAGGAAAAAGGACATGGCTGTAATGGACCCTTTCCATTACATAAAGTCTACAAAAACACTCTAGGAATTATCTGGAAGCAGTGTGACTTTCCGCATTCTAACTTATCAGCTTAGCCTCCTTTCTAATATCCTCTGGTGCTACACATTTTGTTAACTTGGAAACCTCTTTTCATCGACTGCAAGTCTCTGTTGCTGTGATAAAGCTGGCAGGCCAAGAAGGGCCTTTGAATGACACAGCTCATCAGTTTCCACCCTTGAAGTTCTGAGCATTGTTTTATTTTTAAACATGAATTCTTCCAGTGTTTGTGACAAATAGAGTATTCAGAATTGATCAGACAAATTTAAAATATTCATATTACAACCCAGGGGTCTGCTTGCTCAAACCTAAAGTAAATACGGGGAAGTGTTTATGGTGAATTATGTATTACTTTCAAAGCCACAATTCTTAAGGATGTAAATTTAGGAAATCAGCTAAACTTTGAAGCATTTAAAAGATCTGAGAAGTACTTGGGAAGCATCCAAAGACAGGAAATAGAAACATGAACATTCTTAAATAGGAGATAAAAACGTATTCTAGACTTCCATCTCATATTTACTTAAAATCAACAACCAGAACAAAACCTATTAGGTTGTTTCTGTTTTTTAAGGCTAAGTTTTTATGTTGGAAATTGTAGAAATAGAAAAGACAAACATCTCATCTGGGTTTGAATGAAATTTGTGACTTTTGTTCATAGTCTAATTGTCAAACACCTGAGGTGATGTGAGTTAGGCTAAGTTGTGCATTATTTATATTAGATGCCTATTTGGTAAGATGGGTATGTGGGAGGTCCTTATAAAGGGACAGGGAGCATGTCATGTGTCCTCTATGCTGCTAGATTGGATGAAGTCAGCCATCACATGGGTGGTGAAAGAGAAGAGAGTCTGAGTGTCTGGAATAAAACATTAACCCGGTGGTGGTGGGGGGGAATTTATGTCTCTCTCTTCTGATCCGTAGTCAGACGCGTTATCCATTGCGCTACTGATGTCTCTCTCTTAAGAGATAAATTAAAATTACAAATTGGGTGTTCAGAATTTAGGAAGAGAGATCCATGGGGTTGAGAAAAACACTTGATACTCTTGGATCATGTAACTGGGCACTCTTACACCCTTGTGTTCCATGACAGAACTCACCCAGTTTATAACTTTTATCCATTTAGATGTTTCTATTTGTATGGTTCTTCTCTGTCTTCTGGCTCATTTTCTTTGGTTCATCCAACTTTCTTGTGGGATCTCTGCCTTGGATGCATTTAGTGGTGTTTTCTAAATTCCTTTTCATAAGGGCTTTTCATAAGGGTTTCAGGTATCCCTCCTCTGAGAAATACCACTGGACTAAAATCTTACTTGCCAGTCAAGTCCTGTCTCATCTTTCACCTGAAACTTCAGTCATTTTCTTTGAAGGGTGTATCTTTCACAGTACTCTATCTACAGCCTTTCTTCATCCAGAGAGGTTATAAAATGACAAGGATTCCTTTAGTTTGTCCTTCTTGGTGACTCTACAATTTGGATTTGATATATTGGAGAAATTCATCTTTGAACAAGAATTGTTATTTTGGACAGGAATTTGTTGTTCAGTAGCTGAATAACATTGACAACTTCTTTGATTGGAAACTTTTAAATTGATACTGGTTCAGTAATAGCATGAGGTTTGGGTTTTGATGAATCTTTAAAAAGAGAGGTTTAGAGACTTGTTTAAGAGATTGTGTGCCAAGTCAGCAAGATCTGGGGGTAATCTTCGTTGAATGAAAGTTGGGGGGATTTGTCATGTTGAATACAGATGGTCCTGACCATGATGGTCTGATGTAACGATTTTTCAACTTTGTGGTGCTATAAAAATGAGACACATTTGGTAGAAACTGTACTTCAAATTTTGAATTTTGATTTTTTCCTAGGCTAGCAATATATGGTAGGATACCCTCTCGAGATGCTGGGCAGCAGCTGTGAGCCGCGGCTCCCGGTCAGCTGCATGGTCACTAGGATAAACGACTGGTACTCCACGGTGCTCTGTGTTGCCAAATGAGTTAGCCCAGCTGTAGGCTGATGTGAGCGTTCTGGCACGTTTAAGGCAGGCTAGGCTAAACTAAGATGTTTGGTAGCTTAGGTATATTAAACAAATTTTTGACTTACAATCATTTTAATTTATGATGGGTTTATTGGGATGTAACCCCATCATAAGTCAAGGATCATCTGTATGTGATAAGCACAATTGAGTGATGAATTTCTATCACATTTAGAAATATGTTTTTCTAAAAATGCAAAAAAATGGGTTTCTATTCACCCTTTTTCCTGGCTATCTGCCTTTTTCTTCCTGGAGAATGCAGAAATGGAGTGTAGGTAATCCCTTCCCTTAGACTATCGCAGCCTGATCAGACATGGCTATTCAAAGAATAAAAGTTACACCCCCAGTGAATGACAAGCCTTCTTTCTGGCTGCCACAGGATCATGAACATCTTGTTACCTTTTATTTCTTATTTCTAGGGAACATAAAATTCCTACTTGGAATCCTTAGGCTGGCTCCAGTCCTTCCAGTGGCTTAAGAGCTACTATATGATTTGGGGAAGGGCCAGGCAGATTGAGTTTTGAGGGAAAGTGTCAAGTGAGACCGGAGAAGACGGATCTAGTTCCAAGGGGCATTAAGGAAGCACCAGTGGAATTGTAGCATATTCTGGTAGCAACTTTTTTCTGTGGTTTATACGGAGCCATAGGACTTGATACTACGTTCTCTTCTTGTGTTTCAATCTGTCCTCATCCAATGGGCCTTGGGCTATGGACTGTCAGTCTGTAGGACCACGTGGAATGCTGGCTAAAGCTCCTTCTGTATCCTTTGGTAGGATCTCAGAGTAACACGTCACAAACCTATACCTGTCAATACCTGAATAGATTGCTGAATAGTATATTTCTATTGCTTGTCAATAAAAAATTCTTATATGTTCTGTCTATTACGTATCTTCGTCCTGGTAATAGATCCCCAAATACCATAATATACAGGTTGCCACATGCACGCGCACACACACACACACACACACAGCTTTTTAAAATTAATTACTAAGCCATCATCTCTAATTCCAAAGAAACTATCAAAATCTACCCAGATTGTGTGGTAACTTAATTTTTAACTCTAGCCCTGAGAGTTTGGTTTTGGTAAGCAGGATGATACATACTGGATTGCCTATTGAAATGAAGCAATGCAGGGCAGGGGGAAATTTATCTTTATGTGTTCAGAAAGATGTAAATGTGCAGAACTCATTTAAGGGTAAAATGTCTCAATGAATCTCTTAGGAATAGGGAAAGAGGATTGTGCATGTTTGCATACATGTATGTTATGATATTTGAATATCTGTTTCTGAGATGAAAATCACTTTGATATGCAATACCCATGGAAAATATAGACTTTTTATTGACAAGAAATAGAAATATACCATTTGACTCTCAATTTGGATATTGAGAGTCATGGGTTTGTGAAGTGTTAATGTGAAATCTTCTCTGAAAGAAGCCGACGGAGCTTTAAAAGGATGATCCATGAATGTTTCATATTTGGCTTCTTCTTTGTGCATTTCTTTAAAATAGAACTTCTTATAGCTGCTTTAGATGAAATGTAAGTTTTGCATACTTCTGTCAGTGTTATAGCTTTGTATGGTGTGCCCATATATAGAGGAGAACCAGGAGGCATATAAAACAGTGAAAATTACTTGAATTTTTTGGTGGTGATGGAATAAGACAAATTTTAAATTAGTTTCTGTTATTTTATATTGTTGTAAAAATTATAATGACACTTTATGTGGATACTGGGTGGAAATAGTGTGAATTCATTTCCTGTGTTTGTAAATGTCAAATGAGAAGTCTGACAGTGAAATAACAGTACTGTGGATTATGCTTTGCAGTTTCCTTTTTGTTTAGTTGACATTTGTATTATTTAACTTGAATATAAAGACTTTATCATTTTTCTAAATGCAGATTAGAAAAGTGCCTATAATGAAATGACCCAGAAATAAATTATTATTACTTGCTAGGTTATTTTTCATGCGTGTGTGTGTGTGTGTGTGTGTGTATTTTTTTACAGAATATTTTTTTTTTGCAGAAAAACCCTAAATATTTTATTTTGTGTTCTATACTTTTTATTTAATATGTTCTTGGAGCTAAAAGCACTGGCCACAACATATTTAGTGATTCTATAGTATTCCATTACACAGATTTAAAATCATTTTCTTCTATTTTGAACATTGTGATTTTATTTTCACTCTTTTGCTGTTATGAACAGCTCAGAGATGAACTTCTTTGTGGGGAAACCTTTGAAGAGACTTGTTTGCAGTTGTTAATGCATTATCCTGCATTAATGCATTAGACCAAGTGAGAAATGGGTAAGAGGCTAAGAATGGCTAATATTTGTTGAGTTCTTACCTTGCACAGGCATTTTGATACTTTTTGTCGTACATTGTCACATTTCAGTCTCACATGACAGGGTGTATTACCATTGCATTGGAGAGATGAAGCATTTGAGACAGGCGTTATTAATTATTTAAGAGTCCATATTAAAAATAATATCTATGTGGGTTGAAAACACAGTTTTCCACATTATCATCACTTAAAACATTTTATATTTACTGAATAGATTTTAACAGGTTGGGTAGGGAATGTGATTGTGGAATTCTCTCCTAATTTGAAGGATTTTATGAAATGATGCCCATGGAATTATATTAAATAGCATTTTAATTTTTAACCTATTAGAAATTATAAAATAGTGGTAAACATGGCTAAATGATTTAGCAGTTTAGAAGTTTATTCAGACTGGTTATCAGGTTTTGTGATTCCATTGTGTGAATTCAGAGGAAAAAAAATACAGCTTGGTCCATGTGTGCAAGGAGCTTACCATGTAGAGGTGAATAGCTGTAAAGGTTCTCTGTGGTGAATACAAAGTACTGTGGAGGTCAAAGTAAAAAGTCATTGTGCTCAGTTACGGTTTTAAAATAGGTCCGCTGGAGAGGGGGGAATGGCTTGAATGATATGTTGAATATAAAGGAGAGTATGAATGAATAGAAAATATTAATAGCAATCTAATTAGAAAGAATAGCATGAGTGAAAGAGCCAAGATGGGATATGTTTGAGGAATGGCCATCATTTCTGTTCAGCAGAAGTCTGTGATGCATAGAAGGCAGTAATAAAGAATCTGTGTATCCGGTGGGCAGAGCGAAGTGTCTACTAAGGTCTAGAATTGCAGAGGGAGAGGTTAAGATTTTATGTGGTAGACAGAAATAGCCAGTGAGGCTCCTGAGAGGATTGGAATGTGCTATAAGAAGCTTTATGTAGTAACATCTTTGTCAGATGTGTTAGAATAGCGAAGGAGAATGAGGTTCATAAGTTAACCCAGGAAACCCTGTTGGCTATCTTGGTTTCATTGAACTCATCTCAATTCAGCTGAACAGATAGCCACATTGTATCTCCTCACCACATGTTCTGCAGTGTACCTCAGTAATTAAAATGAGGAAGTATTACAGTTAATTGGAATTCTTCAGTTTGAGAACATCATGGTTGGTTTATTTGGAACAAGGATAGAAGGGAAGACGGCTTTAGATATTATCTTCTTCACCAGGTGCAGTGTGGATCACACTTGTAATCCCAGCACTTTGGGTGGCTGAGGTGGGCAGATTACTTGAGCCCAGGAATTTGAGAGCAGCCTGGACAACAAAGTGAGAACCTGTCTCTACAAAAAATACAGAAATTAGCTCGATGAGGTGGCGTGCACCTGTGGTCCCAGCTACTCAGGAGGCTGAGGTGGGAGGATGGCTTGAGCTCGGAAAGCAGAGGTAGCAGTGAGCTGAGCTCGTACCACTGCTCTCTAACCTGGGTGACAGAGCCAGACTGTGCCTCAAAAGAAAAAGAAAGAAATCATCTTCTCCAATTCCCTTGTATTACGGATAAGAATAGGAAGACCCATGGCAATTAAAAGAATTGCTCAGAGACCCCAGAACCCTACTTGTGTTTAGAGAGCAAGAGAGAAGAAAGGGTCTGTCAGGTAAAAATGTAGACTATCATTTTATTCATGTTTTTCACATTTGCTCTCTCTCCCAATCCTAAGCCAAAGGAGGAAGTTATGGAACCACTCTTAAAGTCAGAAGTATATTTTCAGGCAATATTCTTTTTTTCTTCTTCACTAAATTTTGAATTTCACACTGCCTAAGATTACCCCAGCATTGGAGATGAGCAGGCACTGCTTCCTCACCTAGATTGTTTGAATGAAATTTAGTTAGGCTGACATTCTAGATGTCAGAGATTAAACTCATACTGCAGCATCAGCTCAGGATGTAAGAGAAACATTCCCAGACATAAAACAAGGAAAAGGGGATAAAGTTAAGACGGAAAAAAGAAATAAATGGCTTTTGTACCTATATGTTTCCAGTCTCATTATAAAACCAAGTATATACATATGATTCATTAAATGAACTAGTCTCAACAAGATAAAAGCAGGAAAAAATTTACCCTTTTTTACCAGTTTCCTCGAATAAGTTCTGACTGGTTCATTCCCACTCCTGGGTGAATCTTTTTGCAGATCCACAGCTTTTTTCAGCTTTCTCAGAGCAGTCTCCATTTCTTCAGATATTTAAAAGTCCATTTGAGTCCAGTATCAGAGCTTCAATCTTCCATCCACTTCAAAGCATCTCCTTTCCCCCAACCTGAGCATGGGAAAAGGGCCAGGGTTGGTTTTGTTGACATTTCCCATCATATTTTTCTGTCTTTTCTCTTCCCTACCTCCTCCTCTGCTTCACTGTGCTGCTTCTGGCTCAGCCACGGTTTGAGAGGCTAGGGAGAAGTGACGCCATATCAAGAAAGGTCTTTCTTGACTGCTACAGTTACAATCCGGCCTCAGGGTTCTCATGTGAGAGTTGTAGAAATCTCTTTTTTTTCCTGTATGAGGCCATTGTGTGGATTGGTGGATATTCCTGTGTCTAAAGAGCTCTGGATTATAATTCCATGGCCCTGTCATTTCCTCTTCTTCTGAAACTTTAGGACTGTTCCTCCAGCCTCTGGCTTCCTTCTCACAGTTTTCTTCTATTGGGGTCACCCTACCTTTTCGGGAGGCCTGTTTCCAAAATGACCTATACCCAACTCTCTACTGGCACATAGGAAGCACGAGGGCATTATTGTCCTGTCAAACCCTGGAAATGGAGGCCATCCCAACACAGCACAGCTTTTTTCTCTTTCTCTGCCTCCATGTGCCCCATTTGCCAGCCCTCTTGGACTTTTACAGATGAGAGCAGTCCCTAAACTTTAGGAACAAATGCCAGCCAATTCAAGTGATTAAGACCCCTGTCATTTGACTTGAAGTCTGTACGTATGTATAATATTTATCCTTGTAGCACTCCAGCAGCTCCCTTTAAATAAATGGTCTTTGTTGATCCCTCCTGAATAATCTTCAAGTCTCCCTCATAATTCCTTGAAGTGGGTGAAGGGATGAGGGTTGCCGACATGGTTTTACAGAATTTTGCTGCTTCAGGACTAATGGAATCTGTGGGGGTGCACCTAGCTCTATCTTTCGGAGGTCTGAGCACTTTTCACCAATTGTTCTTGACTTTGGGTTTCAGTGAAAATGCTGAGACCACAGGACAAATCTCATTTAATATCCTCTTACCTATAATACTAATATGAAACTATGCACAAGAATATATTATATCTTAGTAGATAACAGAGCAAGTTTTCAAACTTAATAGATCCTATGCCAATCATGAAAAATTAAAGCACCATTTTAATTTAATTTGAGTTTGGATTAGAAGAAATATCAAGGAATAAAGTTCAACTTTTTAAAAAGCATCTACAGGTAGGAAAGTTCTTTAAGTGGATTAACACTTAATCTACTTAAAACTGTGTATTGAGAGTCAGGACAAACACACGTGGGGTTCTGAGAATTGAATGGGCAAAAGACAGTTTTAAAAATAGATACTAAAACCTTCCAAAAAACTATTACTAGGCTCTTCTAGTTGTATAACAAAAATTTTCTCTTTAAAACAAAAGAGCCTATGGATTCAGTGGAATATGAGTAGCAGGTTTCAGTGGTTTGTAAAGAGGTTTGAATAGGCTATGTAGCTGGGTAAGGAATTATAAACACATATAAGAGATCTGTGTGCATATATGAACTTAATTTATTCTAGATTATCTTCACAAAAATTACGGAACTTCAAGAGCTTATCTATGCAGGTTACTACAGGTCAGATACAAAAGGCACTATGCATATAAATTAAGTCAGTGAATACATGGAAAATATTTGGAACAGTGCCCAGGTACATAATAAGTTCTATGGAAGTGTGTGTTTTGTTGTTTTATTATTTTATATTCTGTACTCTGTGTAGAGGATTAAGGCATCTAGTATGGAACCGAAGTAGGTGACCTTTTTATTATTTCTGGCCTGCAATTCTGTGATACCAATACTTTTCCTAAAATCAACATTATTGGCATGAACCATCTATTGACAATAGATAAAATAATATGGTAAATAAATTTTTATAGCTCATAGCTAATAATTAGCATCATGTTACATGCAGTGAGTGAATTTAGGATTAGCTCTTTGGACACTGGGACTGGGGATGATTTTTCCTCATCTACTTTTGTTCATTTTCTGAATTTCAAACATAAACCTACATTACTATAAATTACCCAACAAAAACCACAAAAAAGTGATTTTGTTTAAAAATTAACATAAGTATAAATTATAGATTTTCCAGATTACACACATTGTGTGGTGGTGATGAGATGTAAAAAATCAGAAAACTTATGGACGTCTTGATAATTCAGGTTAGCTCCATGCAGAAACTGGAATGCAGGCTTTGTCTAGATAAGGGAAAGAAAAGAACATTCTAGATAGATCGTAAGACTTGAGAGACATCTCAAGGGGTGAAAATGGAGGCAAATAAATGAGTTAATTTGAGATGAATTTGGGGCACTGGTTGGGACTTTTGGGTACAACAGGAGAAAGTTGTAAAGGGAAAGAGAGTTTGGTGTAATCTAGTGAAGATTTTATAGCAAGTAAATCATGTTCCAGAGCTAGGCTGTATTAGCAAGTGACTTTAAGGCCCTAACAAGGTGTTGAGGGATTGTTTTTCAGGATCCGTGTCATTCTGTAACGGGTAAAATGGTCCCCCAAACATGAATACCCCACTTGGTACCTGCACATATTACATTACAGGGCAAAAGGTGCTTTACAGATAGAATTAAGGCTACAGACCTAGATTGTCTGTGTGGACTCTGTCTAAACATATGAGCTTTTAAAATAAAGGAGAGAACTTGCTTTTGTGGGAGTCAAAGCAATATGGCAGAAGTCAAGGTGAAAGAAATTCTAAGCCTAAGAAGGGGTCATCATGTCATTGCTGGCTCTGAGATGTAGGAGCCCATGTGCAAAAACCAGAAAGAGGGCCCTAGGAGCTATGGGCAGCTTCCGGGTGACAACCAGCAAGGAAACAGGTACCTCAGCCCTACAGACGTAAGAACTGGATTCTGTCAATGACCTGCATGAGCATGGAAGAACATGCTCCCCTAGAGCTTCCAGTTAGGAGTGCAGCCCAGCAGGTACTTTGCTTTGGGCCTTACACGAGGCCTTGTGAGAAGCAGAGAACCCAGTTGAGCCAACCTGTAACTGGACTTTTGACCTATACAAATATGAAATAATAAGCGGATATTAAGCAGTAAAATGGGTGATAATTTGCAATGGAAGAGATACTAAACTAATGCACATTTCTTGTTAAATACAAGAATTTGAATTTGGATTTGAATTTGAATTTGAACCCATAATCTCCTGATTCTAATACAGCAGTTCTCTTTTGAATGTCAGAAGCTGCCAGGGCACAGCTACTTAAGTTGATTGATACCTCTGACGTTTCAAAGTGAATTTTGAAACCTGAAGTCTGTCCTTCATACATTTATAAAGGCTTCAGAATTCTATAGAAATCTAAAAGTTCATTTTTAAAGTAAAGTCTGAAAGTAAAGTCTGAAAAAGCACTTTAAGCACTGTTTACACATTTTCACTGAAATGCTTCAGCCTCTTTTATTCTAGTTGCAATGGGACTGGGCTAGGTAGGTGAAATATAATAAATGGAGGAAATACTGATTGTGAAAGAGTTTATAATTTAGGTGGAAGAAAGGGCTTAAACATATGCAATATTAAAGCAATTAAAGACTGGATATGTCCTTTCTTCTGTCATTCAGCTCAACTATATTCTAATAATGTGATGAGGATGATAATAGATAACACTCAAATAGCACTTACTCTGTGTCGGATCAATCAGTCCCGATGATTTATACATGTTAATTCGTCTAAATCTCACAACAATCCTATGAGGTAGAGGACTGTGACTCCACCCCACCGTCAGGAAACTACAGCTTCTCTCAAGGTTGGCATAAAATAATTAGAGATTTCCTACTCTTGTTTTAGACTTTTGGATCTCGGGTTCTGAATCTTGGTCTTCTAGGAGGCTTCACTTGTTAGCAGTTTTTATGCGTAGAATTTCTAGCTGGAAACAGTCTTCGCTAATCTGAGTTTATCCCAATATCAGTCTTTGTAATGTAACATCCCTACAAGGTTCTACAGGAATCTGTCCCTACAAATGAGAGATTGCTACCATAGAAGATCCCTAGAATGTCTGGGACTTCACTGTTGATGTAGTTACACAGTTGCTGTAGTTTATAATCTTACCTCCAAAGGGCACGATGATTGAGAAAAGATATGTATGGAATGGTGTGTAACATAGAATAAAAGACGTAGTAAGACATGAGTTTAAAAATTATATTATGGCTTTGGAGATGCTTTGTTAAATAAACTATATCATGAAAATCCACCTGAGAATCATTTATGAGCTTTTTGTAGATTGAATAATACGCTGGGTCTACCAGAAAACACCAAAAAAAGTAACTTGAGACATAAAAATTAAAATTTTAATTATGTAAACATAACGTTTTATTTTATTATTACAACAAAAATTAAAATGTCTAATATAGACTTATTTCCTTAAAATACATTTTATATACAAATTTTTATTTATCAGGAAATTCAGGTAGATCAGCAGTTAGGGCTTCAGAGAAATTACCAATCAGAGGTTGTAAGAGCAGCTTTGAAAACTGAAGACACAGATACACCTGCTCTTTTGAAAAGATGTTAGTGTCGTTAGCTTGTTCTTCTGAGTTCTTGTAAACATCTGTAGTTTCTTCTGTTGTTTGTACCATGAAATTCATGAGATTTCCACGACAGGAAATGGTTTCCAACAGTTATTTTTTATCTATTCATTCAGATTTGTACCACCTCTATTTCTGTGAGGTGGATTAGATGGCCATAACATCACCAGCTGTTCAACTGCAGGCTGACATATGTCACCAACTCCCAGGTGACATGAACAACCCCCATGGTCTCCAAAGAGAACATGCTTGTTCTCTTTTGGTAGTGGGGTCATTAGGAAATGAGACATTCTTAAAACAAATCTTTAGAACAATCCTTGGGGCACTTCTGATATATACCTTCCCATGTAAAGCATCTCCTATTGAATCTCACAAATTCAATAGACCATTTCCACTGTGGACAGTTCTGGGTATTTGAAAGTTCTTACATTGAGCTAAAACATGTCCTTTTGCAACTTCTCTCCATTGGTCTGAATTTCAGCCTCAGACTTTGAAATACTTGAAGTTAATGATCATGTTCCCCCTACACCTTCTCAGTAACAACTGTAAACATTTTACTTGTGTTCTTGATCACAAACGTATGTACCAGGAATGGTGCCAGGAGTCAGGTTCATAATGATGAATAAAGAAGTCCATTTCAGCGGGCTTATAAACTAGTTTTGGAGCCCTCCAGCTAAAGAGGAGATTTCATTAGAGTGTGATACATGCTATAATTGAAACAAGTATAGAGTGCTATTGGAGTATAAACAGGACTTCACACAGGAGAGGTGAGTGGCGCTCAGGAGAAGATGGTACCTAAGTTGGGATCTGAAGGGTAAGTAAGTGACAGCCATACAAGGCGGGGAGGTGGGGAGGCATTCCAGACAGAATATGTGAAAAGACCTGGGGCAAAGAGAGAGCATAGTCCATCCAGGGAATAGCAAATGCCATATTTTAATAAGCTTCGAGCATGGATTTTGGAAGGAGGAATGGAGATAGAGATGATACTGAAGACCCGACCAGAAGAACGCTATATATGCAGTATCAGACATTGGACTCTGTCATAGTGTCATGGAGAAATCTTTGAAGAGTTTTTTGGGAAAAGATATAATATTATAAAATTTATATTTTAGGATGATTTAGTCTGACTGCAGAGTAGAGAATGATGTGGGATGGAGAGAGAAAAATTAGAGACAGAGGCCTGAGTAGGAGACAGTGATGGGCTGAGCTAAATCAGGGATACCTTATTTCCTGGCTTGGGACTATGGTGTCTGATGGTGCCATTCATGGAGCAGATTTGTGGAGTGCAGCGGAATTGGTAAAAAAGTGACTTCAGTCTAGGTTCAGTGGCTCACTGCTGTAATCCCAGTACTTTAGGAGGCTGAGGCAGGAGGATTGCTTGAGCCCAGGAGTTTAAGACCAGTCTGGGCAACATAACAAGATGTCATCTCTAAAAATAATTAAAAAATTAGCCAGGCCTGGTGGTGTGTGCCTGTCCTCTCAGGTACTCGGGAGGCTGAGGCAGGAGAATTGCTTGAGCCCTGGTCATGGAGGCTGCAGTGAGCCATGATTGGACCACTGCACTCCAGCCTGGGTGACAGAGTGAGACCCAGTCTCAAAAAAAGAAAAAGTGAATTCACCTTTGGAAATGTTGAGTTTGAGCCACTAAGTGGGACTTTCAGGTCCAGAAGGTAGATGGCTATGGGGATCTAGGGCCCAGGAAATATGGGCTGGAAATGCAAATATAATTGAAGTCATGTGAGTGAATGGAAAGAGAAGAAGGTCAAGAGGGTTGAGGATAAATCACTAAGGGACATCAAAGTCTTTATAAAAGGCAGAAGAAGGGGAGCCTTTGGAGAAGAGAAGCAGTAGCCAGAGAGGAAGGAGAAAACCTGGAGCATGGGATGCCATGGAATCCCAATGGTTAAGAAAAAGGGAGTGAGTAATAGTCAAGTTGTGCAGAGATGACAAGGTAAATGAGGATGGCTGTGTTCGTCAAGTTGAACTACAGGGAGGTGACTATCTCCTGGTCATTCTCCTGTGGATACTATCTACTCCTCATGGACCTTAACAAAACCAAATGCAATCCAGATGTTGATCTTTCTGGAGTCCATTTTTTGTGTGTGTGACCTGAATATACCTCTAGTAATATTCCTAAAAACACTGTTATCCATTCTAAGTAATCCAACTCCCATTAACTCAAAGTATGCTTGTACTCAACTATCAGATCTTTTTAATGTGAACCTCTATCATATTAGGTGCATGTGTAGCAGACTTAATAGACGTTTAAAATCGTAGAAGACTATTCCAGTTCATTTTGTTAGTTTCAGATCACTTCTACATATATTAGTCTTTAAATGGCCAGCTATTATCTCAGTTACAATAAAGTTAACATGCATATTTGTTTGCATTAAACAAGTCTATTTAAGTGATTTAAAAATACCCCTGGCCGGGCGCGGTGGCTCACGCCTGTAATCCCAGCACTTTGGGAGGCCGAGGCGGGCGGATCACAAGGTCAGGAGATCGAGACCATCCTGGCTAACATGGTGAAACCCCGTCTCTACTAAAAATACAAAAAATTAGCCGGGCGCGGTGGTGGGCGCCTGTAGTCCCAGCTACTCAGGAGGCTGAGGCGGGAGAATGGCGTGAACCCGGGAGGCGGAGCTTGCAGTGAGCCGAGATTGCGCCACTGCACTCAAGCCTGGGCGACAGAGCCAGACTCTGTCTCAAAAAAAAAAAAAAAAAAAAAAAAATACTCCTAAGTGCCTTGAAACAGATGAGTAAGGATAGATACATTTTATCATCACAGCATGCTTAACAAACACCTCTTTGATGTGATGACAGCAGTTATTGGGGAAATAACTATCTGTTAAATAAACTATTTGGTGGAGAACAGTAGTTTCTTGGCTGGGCATGGTGGCTCACGCCTGCAATCCCAGCACTCTGGGAGGCTGAGGTGGGCAGATCACTTGAGGTCAGGGGTTCAAGATCAGCCTGGACAACATGGTGAAACCCCATCTGTACAAAAACATACAAACAAATTAGCTGGGCATGGTGGCAGGCGCCTGTAGTCCCAGCTACTCAGGAGACTGAGGTGGGAGGATTGCTTGACCCCAGAAGGCAGAGGTTGCAGTGAGCTGAGATCGTACCACTGCACTCCAGCCTGGGCAACAGAGCGAAACCTTGTCTCAAAAAAATAAGAAAATAAAAAATAAAAGTACGGTTCTTAAGAAGCATATTTATTTATTTTTTCTAGAATTCTTAAAGTCCATACTAGCTTAACATTATATAATGGCTTAAAAGTTGTATATTTTTTGGGAATAAAACATGGAAGAATATTAGATTATGTTTCTTCTTACATTTAGTTTAGGAAATTGAGAAAAATGGGCTCTGTATTTTAAAAACATTTCTATCATGGCATCAAAATTTAAATGTTTCTAAGATTAATAGATTTACTAAAAGCCTTTAGGGAATTTGTGAATTGGCAATTCTATTAAAAATTAATTTGTAAGGACAACGCTTTGGTAACTAAGACCTTTGCTAATATTGCTCTGTCCTCTCAAAATGAGTTTCCTTGATTTTTTTTTCTTTTTTTTCCTTCTTTTTTTTTTTTTTTTTTTTTGAGACGGAGTCTTGCTCTGTTGCCCAGGCTGAAGTGCAATGGCGTGGTCTCAGCTCACTGCAACCTCCGCCTCCCGGGTTCAAGTGATTCTCCTGCCTAGGCCTCCCGAGTAGCTGAGATTACGGGTGCGTGCACCATACTCGGCTAATTTTTTTGTATTTTTAGTAGAGATGGAGTTTCCTCATGTTGGTCAGGCTGGTCTCGAACTCCTGACCTCATGATCTGCCCACCTCGACCTCCCAAAGTGCTGGGATTGCAGGCATGAGCCACCGCGCCCGGCCCAACTTTCCTTGACTTTCTAATTGAGCTTCATACCTTGCTTTCAAGGGCCTCCTCTTCCAGCAAGCCTGCTCATGTCTTCTCAGTTAACCTCTCCCATGGAGAAACTCTCTGTCACTCAGAGTTTGCTTGAATCTTAGCTTTGATGCAAAACAGGTCTGGGAGCCTTTGGATTTTAAGACCAAAGGCACTACTAAACTGCCAGAGGAAAAAGAAGACAGAATGCTGGACATAAGACTGACTCTGATTCTCACTGAATGTCAAGGCTATTTTGTGAACAGCCATGTTGGTTATCCAAGATAGAAAGCCAAAACATTTCAACATGTTTCTGACTCTAGTTTCTGTTGGGTAACTAGGGGAGAGGGAAAAATTTGGGATATGTTTTATCAGTCCTTTAATCGTCCTCTATTTAGACATTTACAAGGCCAAATATAACTGTCAGCTGCAAGTGTTTTGAATTGCATAGTTGTTTTATATTGAGTAAACTATATTTTAAATTAAACTTGAAGGTTCTTAAAAGCCTCCTTGCAATTTTCTTTGTACTTGAATAAATCTTGTCTGTCGAACTGCTACTATAGTAAGTGAATCTTATTTGATTGGATTATAGCATAATTTTATATCTAAATACAGTGAAGGCCACGTTCCTTTACAAATGAATTAAATTAGAGGAGGACAAAGTACAGACTAAAAATTTTCAGTTGAAATGAAGGTCGAAATATGGGGCCTTGGAGAAAGTAAGATACTTGTTGAATAGAGCAGTGATTTCTCACCCTGGATGCAATAGAATCACCTAGGAATCTTGGAAACAACAATGCACACTGATGCCTGGTTCAATCCCGAGATTCTGATTTAGTTGGGGCCTAAATATCAGTATTTTTTTTAAACCTCTCCAAATGATTCTAATGTGCAGTCAAGTTTGAGAACTGCTGAACTAGATGAAAACTCAAGCTATTTAAAGAAAGCATTTCCCAGTAAGTAGACCAAAAGTAGTGACCAAATAGCAATTGGGAAAGAAGAAACATGAGAAAAAGATGAGGGAGGGAAACTTTAATGTAACACTAGTAGAGGTTTACAGTCCCTTATTCACAGTCCTACATTAGAAAAACTCTGAAAAACAAAAGTTCTTCATAACTAACTTGGTGGCAAAATCCAACCAAAACTGAACATATTTGGTGGCAAAACTCTAGGCTTTTTCTAGTCTTCCTTTATCCCATTTGATTTGAATAGTAATGCATTTCATGGAAGAAATATTAATGTATCTGACTACAAGTTGCTGCCCCAGACCTCACTGAAGATACCTTTCTGAAATTTGTAAAATTTTGAATTCTGAAATACATCTAGTCCCAGGGAGTTCTGAAAAGGAGTTAAGGATTATAGTAGGGAAGGGTTATGACAGGAAAAGCCAAGCTAATAATTTACTGTTTCTGTCAGATTAAGAACAATGCATTTTTTTCTAATGACCTAGGCAGTGGTTTTGTATCCTCATTGGATAAAAACCATGGCCAGTATCAGAACATGGTTCTACTACATTTGGTACATTTCTCAAGCCTAACCCAACAGTGGCTCTATTTCAGGCATGGTGAGAGGAACTCAGGTTAGCCAACAACACAGTTAGATTACAGTAGAAAAATCATCATTGTCTTATAAAAGACTCTTCAGCATAACAAATGACTCCAGAATCTACAGATTTGAAACAACGTGTATTTATTATGTTGGTACCGGGTCTGTCTCACAGACTGTGGCAGATGGATGAAATGAGTACTCAGACACAGGTAAGCAGTGTGAGAGCACCTAGGTGACTGCCTGGCTCTAGTGGCCAGAGAGCAGCCCTGAGAAGCTGGAGCTGCTTGCTTTTATTCAGTGCAGGCACAGTGCCAAAAACCTGGAGCCAACACTACCTGTAGGTAATTAACATTCATTGTTCGCCTTTCAGGGAATGTCAGGTGTACATAGATGATCAAAGGTCAGTTCCTGGTCAACACAAGTAAGCAAGCTTGTTTAAGATAAATTCCCCCACATTCTTTTGTACCTACTCCTTGCCCTCTGCCTCAGTTTTATAGAACAGCTGCCTTCACCTGTTCTCCTCCGGGGCTCTGCAGAACCTTTCGACCTTTCAGAAGGTTTGTGTCCTTTCCCTATAGTTTTTCCCACCAATCTGACTGATCCCCCACATGTTAGGAGTTGGGAAGCACCTTAGCTAGGTAGTTCCTGCTCAGGGTGTCTCAGGAGGTTGTGGTCAGAATGTCAGCCAGAGCCTCAGTTATTTGAAGGCTCAACTGGCACTGGAGTATGACATTTCTTTTCCAGTGCCAACAGGTCCCTTATTAACACACAAAGAAAAGTGTAGTCCCTGTTTGTGTAATTGCTCAGAGTTTTAGTTTTCAATTCAGTTTCATATAAACCTAACAATTATTTGCAAAGGCCAGCTTTGAATCCTTCTAACATGTTCTGAAGATTTCTGCTGGGAGTAACTTATGATGGGAATGCCTTCTCTGAATTTTCATTGTCCTCCCTCGGGAAGTTTTTTCTCTCCCCTCGGTCCTTTCTGTGTTTTCTCCTTCTGTCTTTGTATAAATAGGGTTGTCTCTTCAACCACCTCTTGTGGGCTAATGAGTGAGTGTCAATTGCCCAGGATAATGTGAAGAAAAGGCAAACAGGTCCCTGCCTCAGTGGAGTTTCCAGCCAAAATATAGGCATTAGTCACACAACTTTAAATGATTGATTGCTAGGTCATTTAAAAAAACAAAAAAGAACTGTGAAGATGCTGTAGCAGCATGAAAGGGATCTTACCCAGTGTGTGGTCTGCTTGATCAGCACTTTCCCCTTTGCGTCTTGTAGGAAGACTAACCTATCTTTGGGTTTCTTTTTTTTTTTTTTTTTTTTGTCAAAAACTTTTTCCCTCCCAATGCAGAAACACGGAAGCTATCGTACATCCTCCTTTGCATAAAATACTCGTATCCTCCCATGGCAGAGGTTCAGTTGATGTAGTGTAGTACAGTACAGTAATCTCATTTATTTTATGTAAAAAAGCAGCCTAGGTTCTAAGTTGAACTGTGAAGTTCTTCATGCCTTTCTCACTGCCTGTCTCTCACCCTCCCAAGTGCCCCGGAAATGCTCCATTTTTTGCTCGCTCATCTCATTCTTTCCTTTCTTTCTCTGTCAACTCTTTGAAAAGCTGTAGTGTTATACAGTGGTGGGAATATAATCCTTTCCTTTTCTGAGCTGTTTCTATTTTGGGCATCATTTTCTAATTGGAAAAGGAAAAACTGAGAATCCCATAAAGGGAATTCAGGTGTGGAAAATTAAAAGAGGAAGCTGGAGATGACTGGTTTCGATCCGTTGTGAGCAAATTAAGTGATCCACCTCGTGCATGATTTTCCATCTCTGCCTTCTCCCTGTGTGTGTGCCACAGTGGGGTTTTCCCTGGGAGATCATAGAATCTAGAAACCATTGACAAGACCCTTGTGAATGTTTATAATCTGCCTCTTTGTCCCAACTCCAAATATTTGTGACACTGTGAATGAAGAAAATCCTAAAAAGAACTGGTAATACTACAATAAACCTTACAAACAATTTAAAATATGTAAAATATGCAGTAATTGATATTTTTACTTCGATGCTTTTTAAATTTATTTGAGTATGCATACCAGTACTTACGAAGGTTTTCTTGTGGTCATTCATCACTTCTGTCTGCCTCAGTACTCTTCCCACTAAGTTCTTTAACTGTAAACTTTCCAACTGTGAGCATTTTCAGAGCTCAAACTCCTAAGGTTGGAGAGGGACTGATTGTCTTCTCACTGCCATGTAATTTTCCTGAGAGAATCTTACGGTGTCAAAGATTGTCTTCTCACTGCCGTGTAATTTTCCTGAGAGAATCTTACAGTGTCAAAGAATCAGCTAAATCAAGACTATGCATTTTTGAATGACTTTCACTTAGCCCATCAGGGAAAGTGCAGCAATAAAGACAGATGGGACAAGCTGCCTTCTGCAGGGGTGATAATGCCCTGGCTGTTGAGAAAGCCAGTCCTATGTGGAGTCTCAGGGTCTAGCATATTGCTACACTTGCCTTCCAGTAAATGAATGTAGATTATGTTAATTTGAATAGCAAATCTGCAATTTAACCTTGAACTCCCTTTAAAGTGTCATTACTGCAATATATTCTGCTGCCTGATACCCCCACCCGCCGAAAAAAAAAAACCCATCATCACCAGTTCCAAACACCTGAACACACAAACTTCTGAGTTTAAGAGTTTGTGTCCTGAAGGGGAGAGAGCTTCCTCATTATGGAATTTTTATTGATACCTTCATGTTATCTTTGAAAGTGACTGTGCTTATTTTTGTCACTGTTTCGTGTTCTGCTTTGAAAATGTTTTCAAGGACGGATTTAAGTGTTCAAAGTGGGAAGGATGAGAGTGAGAGTAAGTGCTAAAAACTTTGGACAAGTGAGTAGGGTTAAAGACATTTAGGATTTTAAAGGTCATCTAGTATATTCCCATTTCACCTGCCCTATGCATTGATGATGCTTGCTTTTATGTGGCATATTATCCAAAATGGTTGCTGTAAACCTGTCAGACTTGCAGTGAACATTCATTATATTTGAGCAGAGGTCCAATTAAACCAGGATTACCTATATCAACTTTACTAGAATTTCTTTATAAACTAGCATCTTTGAGGGATAAGTAATATTTAATCTTTATTATGGTATCATGTATATTTTAATAATTCATAATTGCATTATATCTGAATATTATATAGTTTTTTTTTAGGTACTTCCCATCATCACAGGGTAGATACCAGTGTTTTACAATGTATACATTCTGGCAACTGTGTAACTTTTAAAAAAGTAATTCAATATGATTCTTCTAAAAGTTTATATGCAGAGGTTTTTCCATGTACTAAAAACAAGCAAAAATCAAAAAAGTGCTGGCAGCAAACTTAGGTTTAATTGAAACAGCTCTGAATTTGGGTTGGATATCTAAGAACAAAGTACTGCTTTTGATGGCTACATTTTTCTTCTTCTAATTTGATTTTCCCCCCTAATATTT
Source organism: Homo sapiens (assembly GCF_000001405.40). Classification (NCBI taxonomy): domain Eukaryota; kingdom Metazoa; phylum Chordata; class Mammalia; order Primates; family Hominidae; genus Homo; species Homo sapiens. The sequence goes on along the minus strand of NC_000007.14, from coordinate 22,267,018 downwards.
TATTAGGTGCAGAGAGAGCTAGCAGCTGTTATTGCTTTGAAAGCAAGGAAGTCTGGTAAGTCATCTTTTATGGGGCTGGAGGAAGATTCTAATTCTTTGGGGGTATTTCACATATCATCTGGTAGTGTGCAGTTGAGTGTATCTCAGGAAGTTATGGTGTAGAATGCAAAGAATTATACCATTTGTTTTTAAAAATCATTTGTTCTACCATCAGAATAGCACAGGATGTTATATGTAGTTCTTTAAGATAAAATGTCACTGCTTTGCTCTAATCTATTTTTGATTTCAAGAAAAAATGAAATTTAAAGTTAAAAATATGTTTGAAGTCCATTGCAACCATATAAGGATCTAGGTACATGACAAAGTAAGCCGATCACCTTGTAATTATGTATCTTAATGACAAAGGACAATGGGTACTATAGAGGTGGTCTTTTTTATAAGGCTTTAAAAAAATCTCAAAGTAGTTTCTTCTAAGAATAATTGAATTGCTTAATGAGATTTCAAAGCAAACATTATTCCTAGGATTGATTGATAGGTCTGATTCCTCATACCTATAGGATATAATCTGTGGAAGTAACATGTGGAAAGGAAAAGGGGGCTTTCAAATACATTTTAAAGGAGAAAAAAGCATAATCTGTTAGAATTCAATATGAAATGGAGACTCACTGAAGTAGAAAAATGCTTGCTTAGATGGGAGGAATGTCAGTAGGAGGCATCCTTTGCTGCGGGAGGAGGTCAATGCTGAATGGAATGAAAATCAGAAGGGAGGTACTTCTTGGATAATGTTAAACTAGAATAAGACGTTTCAGGCGAAAAGACTATGACAAAATCAAAGTGATGACCAAACTTGAAGAAATAAAATGGAATGGAAATGTCTCAGCAACACAAACTGTACATTTTATATCTTTCTTTTTCCAGTTAGAAACCCTAAGAATTTGATTTTTTCTCAGTTACTATTTGAACCAAAATACCTTAGAGTGAATTAGCTTATTACATTCATATTACTTTCTTTGTTGGTTTGGCAGATGTTGAGGACATAGAGACTGGAAGCTATAAAGGTGATGGGAAGGAGGATGCAAGGAATAGCAATCTTGGGTATTGAACAGAAGGCAGCATGAATAAGGCTCCCCAGTGAACAGCATTATATTTGCAGAGGTGGAGGCCAATGTAGAGAAAGGACATCAATAAAGATTGCAGGAGGGAAATGCAAATCAAAATCACATTGAGATTTCTCCTCATCCCAGCTAGAATGGCTGTTATCAAAAACACAAAAAATAATAGATGCTGGCAAGAATGTGGAAAAAGGGAAACTCTCATAAACTGTTGGTGGGAATGTTAAATTAGTACAGCCACTATGGGAAACAGTATGGAGGTTCTTCAAAAATGTCAAAATAGAACTACCATAGGATTCAGCAATCCCATGGAAATCAGTGTATCAAAGAGATATCTGCACTCCCATATTTATTGCAGCGCTGTTCACAATAGGCAAGATGTGGAATCAAGTATGTATCAATAGATAAATGGATAAAGAAAATTTGGCACGTATACACAATGAAATATTATTCAGCCACGAAAAGGAATAAAGCCTGTCATTTGTAGCATCATGGATAAGCCTGGAGGACATTATGTTAAGTGAAATAAGCTAGGCACAGAAAGACAAATACTGCATGTTTTCACTCATATGTGGCAGCGAGAAAAGTTGATCTCATTGAGATAGAGAGTAGAATGATGGTTGCTAGAGGCTGGCAAGGGTAGGAGGGATGAAGAGTTGGTTAATGGGTACAAAAGTATAGTTAGACGGAGTAAATTCTCTACTGTTCAATAGCACAGTATCGTGGATATAGTTATCAATAATTTATTGTATATTGCAAAATAGCGAGAGAAGAAGATTTGAAATGTTCTCAATACAAATGATATATGTTTGAGGTGATGGATATCCCAACTACCCTGATTTGATTATTATACAATATTTGCATGTATTAAAATATCATGTACCATACAAATATGTACAATTATTATTTATCAAAAAAGTAACTCTAAAAAAAAGATTGCAGGAGGGAGGGCCTGGAAATAAATTTTGCTGGAGCTGATCTTGATTCTCGTCATGATAAAGAGACAAATGTACAGTCCGTACAAGTTGGGATGACAGTGTCTTGAAGGATAGGATTTGATTTTTTAAAATTTCAGAATAAAGTAGAGAAGTAATAAAAAAGTTGTAGCATGTCATTGCCAGAGAAAGAGCAAGTAAATACAGATAGGGAGGCTGGAGAAGGGGTGGCTGATTTACACAGAGTGGGATTGGAAAGCCTCTGATTTAGAGATTTTTGAGCCAAGACCTGAAGTTGGTGAGGGAGTGAGTCCTGTGGCTATCCACAGAGTATTTGGGTGGACACATTATGCCAGATGGGTTCGAGAGACTGCAAGGAGGCAAGTGAATGAGGCTGAGAGAGGTAGCTTTGCAATGTCAGATGAAGAAGTTTCAACTTTCTGGAGGTGGAGGGAGATGAAGATGAGCAAGCAAGACCCACACATGTTAGATTGCATAATGTCAAAGACTGGTATGAAGTCAATTTTATTATGTTGTGATGTCACTGTATGATATTAGCATGTCTGTTTTCCTTACTTATTTGATCAATGGAGTTTGGAATGTGAATACAATTTTGGCAACTTCTCAGGGACAGAGTAAAGTGATCTCATACACTTGTACTAATGATGGGGACATAAATTCATAGTTTTTCAGGAAAGCAGTTGTTCAGTATATTCCAGTAACTCTATAATCCAATAGGTTTATATGACTGGAGGTCTGGCTGTAGGACATAATCAGAGATGCATGTAAAGATTAAGATAGAAGAATATCTGTTGCATTTTTTTTAACAGAAAGTAGAAACAATCCTTAATTCCTTATGATAAGGAAATAATAAAATTGGTATATCAGTACATTGGAATATTAAACAGCTTTTAAAATGATGTTTGGGAGAATTAATATAGTAATTTTTTCAGTGAATAAAGTTGTATACAGTAGCATGTATTCTCTTTTTCATGATAAAAATAACTATTTTTTCTTGCTATCATAGTAGAACATGCTCATTGAAAAAAACTTTTATAATACAGGAATGAATGAAGAAGAAATTTGAAAGTTATATATCATCTCACCAATCTAACCACTAATACTCATTTTATTTCCAAACATTTTTTAATTTTTAATTTTAATTTTAATTCTTTGTATTTTGGCTATTTCCAATTATTTTTTTCTTTTTTCTTTTTCTTTTTTTTTGTTTTTTGTTTTTTTGAGATGGAGTCTCGCTCTGTCGCCCAGAATGGAGTGCAGTGGCGCAATTTCGGCTCACTGCAACCTCTGCCTCCCAGGTTCAAACAATTCTCCTGCTTCAGCCTCCCTAGTAGCTGGGAATACAGGCATGTACCACCACACCCGGCTAATTTTTGTATTTTTAGTAGAGACAGTGTTTCGCCATGTTGGCCAGGTTGGTTTTGAACTCTTGACCTCAGGTGATCCACCCGTCTCTGTCTCCCAAACTGCTGGGATTATAGGCGTAAGCCACCACACCCAGCCACCAAATTTTTAAAATTAATATGCAGATATGATATATTATATATTAATATGCTGCTGATTTAATAAAAGGATCATCTTATATGTGCTCTTTTGAGATAACTTTAGATTTGCACACAATTGTAATAAATAATACAGACAGATCCAGAGTATCTTTTATGCAAATTACCCCAATGATAACATTTTGCAAAACTACAGTATGGTATCACAACCAGAACATTAACATTTTCATCAACACAGCGATCCCTCATGTTGCTCCTTTATAGCTACACTGACTTTCCACTACCTCTTTTCTCTTCTTAATTCCTGGCAATCACTAATCTGTTCTCTATTTCTGTCATTTCAAAAATATTATATAAATAGAATCAGACAGTATGTAACCTATTGAAATGGGCTCTTTTCACATGGCATGATTTTCTGAAGCTTCATTCAGGTTGTTGGATATATCAATAGCTTTTTCCTTGTTTTTGTTTGTTTGTTTGTTTTGAGACAGGGTCTCACTCTGTCACCCAGGCTGCAGTGCAGTGGCACGATACCGGCTCACTACAGCCTTGACCAAGGAAGTCTAAAGCAATCTTCCCACCTCAGTCTCCTGAGTGGCTGGGACTACAGATGCACACCAGTACACCTAGCTAATTTTGTTTATTTTTTGTAGAGACAAGGTCTCACTACGTTGCTCAGGCTGAGTGCTTTCTTTTTCATTGCTGAATAGTGTTCCGTGGCATGAATGTACCATAATACTTTTAACCATCCACCAATTGAAGGACATCTGGGTTGTTTCCAGTTCTTTGGCTATTTTGAATGAAGCTACTACAAACATTCCTATTTAGGGTTTTTTGTATATGTGAGCCTATCTTCATTTCTCTGGAATAAATACTCAGGAGTACAATTGCTGTGTTCTATGTTTATGTTTAGTTTTTTGAGAAACAGCTAAACTATCTTTCACAGTAGCTGTGCCATTTTTACATTCTCACTAGCCATGTGTAAGTGCTCCAAAGTCTCTCAGATTCCCTGCGTCCTTGCCAGCATTTGGTATCATTATTATTATTATTTTTAATTTTAGCCATTCTGATAGGCGTATAGTGATACCTTTTCGTCATTTTTATTTGCGTTTCCCTGATGGCTAATGATGTTGATCTTCTCAAGTGCTTATTTGCCATCTGGATGTTGTTTTTGGTGAATTGTTTGTTGATGCCTTTTGCCCATTTTTTAATTGAATTGCTTTTTTTTTGTTTTTTATAGTTGAGTTTTGAGAGTTCTTTATGTATTCTAGGTAGTAGTCCTTTGTTGATAAGGACTGGTTGGCAAATATTTTCTTCTAGTCTGTAGCTTGTCTTTTTCATCCTCTCAACGAGTCTTTCACAGATCAAAGGGTTTTAATTTTGATAAAGTCCAATTTATTAATTTTTAATGAGTCTTTTAATGCTTTGGGGTTAAATCAAAGAACTATTTACCTAGCTCTAGAGTCCAATTATTTTCTATGCCTTTTCTTCCCCTGAAAGTTTTAGTTTTATGTTTTACATTTAAGTCCATGATCACTTTTGAGTTAGTTTTGATATAAGGTATGAGACTTAGGTCAAGTTTCTCTTTTTTTTTTTGGCCTATGAATGTTCAGTCACCTCAGCACCATTTGTTGGAAAGACCATCTTTCCTTTTGCACCTTTGTCAAAAGTCATGTGGGCGTATTTGTATGGGAGTATTTCTGAGTTCTTTGTTCTGTTCCATTGAACAGATTCCATTGGTATCCATCAATACTACAATATTGATTACTGTAGCTATATGTAAAATCCATTTTTATAGGATTAATATTATCGTTATTATTTTTGAGACAGGGTCTCACTCTGTTGCCTAGGCCGGAGTGCAGTGGCGCAGTCACAGCTCACAGCTCACTGCTCACTGCAGCTTTGACCTCCCAGGCTCAAGCAGTCTTCCTACTTCAGCTTCCTGAGTAGCTGGGGCTACATGCAGGCATGTGCCACCACACCTACCTAATTTTTTTTATTTTTTTATTTTTGGTAGAGAGGGGTTTTGCTTTGTTGTTCAGGCTGGTCTTAAACTCCTGAGCTCAAGGTACGTGGTGATCCTCTCACCTTGGCTTCCTGCACCCAGCCTAAATTTTATATCAGTAATATAGTTTTACATCATTTTTATTAATTGTATATACTAGCAGTTTAATTCTCGGTTGTACATTTAGGTTTTTAGTTTTTTTTCCATTGTAAATAATAATAGAAGAACCTGAATGTATATTTTTGTATATATCTCTTTGTGCCCTTTTCCAATTATTTCCTCATAATAAATTACTAAATGTGGAATAGCTAGCTGTGGACAGCGTTAAGGTTTTGTTTTTCACGTTTAGGACTTTAAGTCCTCTGGAATTAATTTTATGTATATGGTGTGATGTGGAAATCAAAATGTTTTCCTTATGTTAAGCCAGTTACCCTATTAGCATTCATTGAATTCTTTGCTCACTGATCTATAATGCTTACTCCATTATATATGAAGTTTATATATATGCTGTGCTTGGATTTATTTCTGGTCTCTGTGTTCCACTGATCTATTTACCTTTCCTTGTGCCTACACTATCCTGTTTTAATTACCAATGCTTTATAATAAGACTTCAGGGGAGAGTGGGGCATTGGGTGGGTAAGGCAAGTCTCTTCTTACTTTTCTTGTTCTCTTCAAAGTTTTAATTTGTCAAGTTCCATGAAAGTCTCTATAGGGATTTTTTAAATGTGTATTTACCTTATAGATTATTATATAAATCAGATATTTTTGAGATAATGTGTTTCTATCAATGAATATAGGGTATCTTTCCCTGTACAAGTCGACATTTTTGTTTGATGTATTTTTAGGTACCTTGTAGTTTTGATTACTGTTGTAAATGAACTATTTTTTGTAATATCTTTTTTTTTTTTTTTACTGGTCCTAATTTCTGCATTGTGTGATGGTTCCTCAGTCTTTTTCTTTAATGAAATTTCTCTTTTTTTTTGATAGACTTTATTTTTTAGAGCAGTTTTAGGTTCATAGCAAAATTGAATACAAAGTGCAGAGAGTTGCTTTATACCTCCTGCCCCACACATGTACAGTCTCTCCACTATCAGCATCCCACTCTGGTTTGGAATGTTACGTTTTTTACAATAACGGAACCTCCATTGACATGTGGTTATCACCCAAAGTCCATAGTTTAGGGCTCACTCTTGATGTTGTACATTCTATGGGTTTGGAGAAATGTATAATGACATGTATCCACCATTATAGTGTCATACAGAGTAGTTTTACTGCCCTAAAAAATCCTGTGTGCTCCACTTATTCAACTCTATGTTCCTCTAACCCACTACAACCATTAATTTTTTTTTTTTTTGAGACGGAGTTTTTGCTCTTGTTGCCCAGACTGAAGTGAGTGCAGTGGCACGATCTCCACTCACTGCAACCTCTGCCTTCCGATTTCAAACGATTCTCCTGCCTCAGCCTCCCAAGTAGCTGGGATTACAGGCACCTGCCACCACACCCGGGTAATTTTTGTATTTTCAGTAGACGGGGTTTCACCATGTTGGGCTGGGCGTGGTGGCTCACGCCTGTAATCCTAGCGCTTTGGGAGGCCAAGGTGGGTGGATCACGAGGTCAGGAGTTCGAGACAACCATTAATCTTTTTACTCTCTCCGTAGTTGTTGTCTTTTCCATAATGTCATATGGTTGGAATCGTACAATACGTAGCCTTTTCAGACTGGCTTCTTTCACTTAGTAATATGCATTCAGAATCTTTTCACGGTTTCAGAGCTCCTTGGTTTTTAGTGCTGCATAATATTCCACTGTCTGGATGAACCAGTTTATCCATTTACTTACTGAAAGACATCTTGGTTGTTTTCAAGTTTTGGCAATTATGAATAAAGCTTTGGATATGCAGATTTTTGTGTGAATGTAAATTTTCATCTCTTTTGGGTAAGTACCAAGGAGTTTGATTGCTAGATCATGTGTTAAGAGTATGTTAAATTTTATTAGAAACTACCAAGTTGTCTTCCAAAGTGGCTATACTATTTTGCATTCTTACCAGCATAATTGAGAGGTCCTCTTGCTCCACATCCTCACCAGCATTTGATGTAGTCAGTGTTCTAGATTTTGGCCATTCTAGTAGGCCCTTTTAATAGATGTGTAGTGATATCTCTTTGTTTTCATTCACAATTCCCTAATGACATATGATGTTGAGCATCTTTTCATGTGCTTATTGTATGTCTTCTTCGTTGAGGTATGTGTTCAGGTCTTTTGCTCATTTTTTAATTGGTATGTTTTCTTATTGTTGAGTTTGAGTTCTTTGTATATTTTGGATAACAGTTCTTTATCAGATATGTCTTTTGTAAAATATTTTCTCTCCATAGCTTGCCTTTTTATTTTCTTAAGTGTCTTTGCAAAACAGAAATGTTTTTATTTTAATGAAGTCTAGCTTATCAATTTTTTCTCGCATGAGTCATGCCTTCGGTTTTATATTTACAAAGTCATCACCAAATCTAAGGTCATCTAGATTTTCTCCTATGTTATAGTCTAGGAGTTTTATAATTTCACATTTTACATGTAGGTCTGGGGCCCATTTTGAGTTCATTTTCAAGGGTGTAATGTCTGTGTCTAGGTTCTATTTTTATTTTATTTTATCTTTTGCATGTGGATATCCAGTTGTTTCTGAACCACTTGTTGAAAAGACAGTCTTTTCCCTATTATATTGCCTTTGCTCCTTGTCAAAGATCAATTGACTATATTTGGGTCTATTTATGGGCTCTCTATTCTGTTCCATTGATCTATTTGTCTATTCTTTTTTTTTTTTTTTTTTTTTTTTTGAGACGGAGTTTCGCTCTTGTTGCCCAGGCTGGAGTGCAATGGCGCGATCTTGGCTCACCACAACCTCTGCCTCCCCGGTTCAAGTGATTCTCCTGCCTCAGCCTCCTGAGTAGCTGGGATTGCAGGCATGCAGGTGCCACCATGCCCAGCTAATTTTGTATTTTTAGTAGAGACAGGGTTTCTCCATGTTGGTCAGGCTGGTCTCGAACTCCCAACCTCAGGTGATTTGCCTGCCTCGGCCTCCCAAAGTGCTGGGATTACAGGCGTGAGCCACCGTACCTGGCCTGTTTGTCTATTCTTTCAACAATACCACACTGTCTTGATTGCTGTACCTTTACGTTAAGTATTGAAATTGGGTAGTGTCTGCCTTCCAACTTTGTTCTTCGCTTTCAATCTTGTGTTGACTATTCTCAGTTTTTTCTCTCTCCATAAAAACTTCAGAATCAGTTTATCTGTATCTACATCTATTATCTCTTCTAGTTGGCTCTTTTTTTGTTGTATGAGAATTTTCGATTTTGTGTCCCTTAAAATTGTTGAACTCCAATGAGTTCTAATAGCTTCCTTAAAAATTATCTTGGATTTTCCACATGGACAAATTCATCATCTGTCAATGATGACTGTTTTGTCTATGTTTACCAATGCATATAATTCCTTTTTTCCCATATTATAATATTTCATTAGAGCCTTGCAGTATAAGTTTGAATAATATCAATGATAGTTGTCATTCTTATTTTGCCCCTGACTTTAATTAAATATAATGTTTTCTGATTAGAAGAGCAATATAAATGAAGAAGATTGTATTAGGAAAAAACAAAGACATTTCTTTCTTACAACCCCTCCCCACCCTGAACTACAATACATTTGGGAAACAATCTAGGGGTAAAAATAACCAACAAGATATATATTACTGTATTCAAAGAATTCAAATATGGAAATATTAGAGATACCTGACTGATTCACTGTGCATTCTCAATGCTTGAGTTGGCATTGAGTGTGGATGTGAAGGAACAATGGCAAGGTACAAAAGAGCCTAAGTCATAGGTATTGTATTCATTTGTTCCTTTATCAAACCCTAGCTGGGCACAAACTATAAGCTGAATGCAGTGTAAGACACAGGATACAATAGTGAGCAAGGACAAGTATGGCCCCTGCTGTTTTAAAATCATAGCATATGTTTCATAAATAGAATGCATTAATGAGTCAGTGACTGTCAGAGAAAGGTAAACTTCTTATTGTGATTTTAGGAGGTGATCAAACGCAGAACCATTAAGCATGGCCTTAATTAAGTAGAGTTCCAGCTGCAGAATGGTGTTTTCTATGTATGCTTCTTATTTTTAAAACTATTGAATACTTTTTAAAGGAGAAGAAAAATAAGCTAATATACATCAAATAAAAAAGTATTTAAAATGATAGCTGGCACATCTGGAGCTTGACAGAAGGAATTGATTACCCTACTATCTTATGTCTTGTAGTAAAACTGTTAATTAGGGCACAGGTGGTCCTGCCGGATTTCTGTCTAACTGCAAGAGGTTATTAAAATGAGCATTAATGTAAAAAATTTTTAGTTTCAGCCCACTGTACAAACAGAAATAAAAGTAACTGCCAATCAGTGTAGGTTTTATGAATAATTAAAGGCTGTAAGCTTAGTAAAAAATCTATTTGTTGTAATTTTCTAAAAGGCCATTAGGATGTGCCTTTGAACAGTTTTCTACCCTAAGAGCGAACCTTAGTGGATGTGAATAGCATTTTAAGGCTTCATAAGATTTGCAGAAATTTGCACAGATATCCTTGCACTTCTTTCTCGTTGTTGGATTGCTTATTCTCCTGCTAATGTTGGCTCATTAGTGTCTTGGGAGATGTGTTACTTCCCTTTTCCAGGGAATCCAAAGCACTTTTAGCTCTCATTATCTTTAGATCATATGAAATTTGTGCCATGGTGGGCTTCTATTTCTGGAAAGCCAGAAATCTCATAGTGGTAAATCTCCTTGGCAGTGTTTAAATTTCACTCTCTGTCCTTAGCCCATAGCTAGTTAAGTGTTTTAAAACTAAAGTATCTGGGATTTTAAAGTTTGAAAAGGAAAGAAGGACCTCCAGGCTCTGTTTTATTTTTGTCATTACGTGTCTTTGCGACCTCGGCTTTGTGATTTCAATTTGTATCTTGCAGGGGCTGGCGTAAAATTTGGTAACCTCAGTGATTCCTTCCAGCTCTAATATTTAAAAATCCTGTTCTAACAATGTTTTCACTTTTTACATTCATTCACCTCAGTCACAACCTTGGGACTATTTTATTCAGGATTATTTTAGGTGCATGTGACAGAAAAACTAACTGAAAACCAAAAAGGGAATTTTTTGCCTCAAGGACTCTGTAGAGTTTAACAGTCTCAGCGAGGGATTGTCCTGATAGCCCCAAAAGAAGCTTTGCTAAGCGATCTTGTTGGAAGGATGAAGTGCCCACCTCTGGAGCAGCAGGAGAATGGCAGGGGGAAGTAGACAGGTCAAGTCAACCCCACACAAGCAAAATACATGGCTCTACAAAGAACACCAGCAGAGGGGAGAATGGCTGCTGGGCAGGCAAGAGTAATGTGATCACCCCAGAAGGAATTGTTTGCACTGTCTCAATCACAAGATTTAGAGAGGAGGTGCCACCCTGAGACTCACACAGGCTAGAAAGTCTGCAGGCAGAATGCAGACTCAGGTTTTCCAACACCTGGTCTCTGGCATTTCCAGCCACACTCCCACTCTTGATTAGTAATTTTCAAGATAATGAGAGTAAATATGTAACTTGTGAAAAGGCATTCTTATTCTGCTTTTGTTCCTGGAAATTGAAAGGAATGAATTGAAAACTCATAAACTCTTCAAGTTGTGGGTAATAACATTTTTTCTCTCTTTCTAGGATAAACCAGCCAGGAATTCAGGTTAAAGTGTTCTTCATGTACCAAAATATTTTACTAAGATATTACAATATATATGATATATCAAAGTGTATAAAATGGTTTAGCCTATTGTGTTTTTGGTTTTGGTTTTGGTTTTGTTTTGAGACAGTCTCATTCTGTCACCCAGGCTGGGGTGCAGTGGTGTGATCATGGCTCACTGCAATCTACCTCCCAGAGTCAGGTGATCCTCCCACCTCAGCCTCCCAAGTCACTGGGACTACAGTCATGTGCCACCATGCCCAGATAATTTTTAATTTTTTTTTTGGTAGAAATAGGGTCTTGCTATGTTGCCCAGGCTGGTCTCAAGCTCCTGGGCTCAAGCAGTCCTCCCGCCTTGACCTCTCAAAGTGCTGGGATTACAGATGTGAGCCATGGTGCCCAGCTAGCTTATTGTGTTTAGCTTTTAAAAACATTATTATTTTTAAGAGGCTAGAACGGATAAGAGAGAAGCCAATGTTTTACGTTAAATTGTTTTTTCTAAGATCATATAGGATACATCTTTGATTCCTATGTTCAAAGAATGTATCCTATATGACCTTATAATCCTGTATTCAAGCTTAAATAGGCATTTGGGGTGGGCATATGGTTTCAACAACCTGCTAACTCTTATTTGCCATGACAGTGAACTCCAGGTAAAACATTCAAGTAGGAAACCCCAGGATCTGGTAATCAAGGTGGACCTGTTAGACTCGGGGTCCCCAATCTCTGGTCGATGGTTTGGTGCCTGTCCGTGGCATATTGGGAACTGGGCTGCACAGTAGGAGGTGAGTGGCAGCAAGCAAGCATTACCCGCTGAGTTCCACCACCTGTCAGATCAGTGGCAGCATTCGATTTTCACAGGTGCGCGACCCCTGTTGTGAACTGCACATGCAAGGGATCTAGGTTGCGTGCTCCTTATGATAATCTAGTGCCTGATGATCTGAGGTGGAACAATTTTATCCCAAAACCATCCCATCTCCCCCTTCCTCTCCAAGTCCATGGAAAAATTGTCTTCCGTGAAACTGGTCCCTGGTGCCAGAAAGGTTGAGGACTGCTCTATGAGACAATCTGAGGGGTTTGATTTTTTTTTTTTTTTTTTTTTTGAGACGGAGTTTTGCTCTTGTCACCCAGGCTGGAGTGCAATGGCGCGATCTCAGCTCACTGCAACCTCTGCCTCCTGAGTTCAAGCGATTCTCCTGCCTCAGCCTCCCAAGTAACTGGGATTACAGGCATGTGTCACCACACCTGGCTAATTTTTTTTTTTCAGTAGAGACGGGGTTTCTCCACCTTGGTCAGGCTGGTCTCAAACATCCCACCTCAGGTGATCCGCCCGCCTCGTCCTCCCAAAGCGCTGGGATTACAGGTGTAAGCCACCATGCCCGGCCTTTTTTTTTTTTCTTTTGATTACCCTTTGTCTAAAGTCCCAGCTTTCCAGATCTACTGTGAGTAACAATCACATCACCAGTAACACGATTTTGGAAAACTTAGAGGTTTTAAGCCCCCTTTTCAAGTATATGTATGTAATATTGGGAGCAGTCACATGTTAGCAGGACTCACCATGCGAGGCATTTGTGAGGTTTGAAACTGGACACCAGTGAAAAGGCATATTCTACTTTGGAGCAGAATATTCCAAAGACAAGATATTCATATTGCTTTGTCACAAGAAATGAAATTGATGATAGAATATTTTTAACAGTATAAATAAGGCTTTCCCTTTTTCATGTGTAGAAGAAAAAAATAACCTTTATACCTGTGGAATAGCTTCTGCTTTTATGGTCTTATAAATTTTTACTTTTTATTTTTAGTTGACAGGTTCTTCTTTTAACGTAGCACCATATTAGACTTTACCTTGATCCTTTGGTAAATACATAGCTAATATTTAGGAGAATGCATGACAAATGGGATTTTAGAATGGATGTTAGTAATAAAATTAGGGTCAGCAAAGACAGGCTGACTTGCTTAATATAATTATTGTCATCTCAGATTTCCTTTACCTTTCTGATAATATGTGTTTAATTTTTTTGGAAGAAATTTAAGTTATCTTAAAAAGCTATAGAGATATTATTTTGAATGCTCTCCTTTTGATCTTCTTTCCATCTAATTGCTGAGTGTTCTAATAAAGAGTGTTTACGCTAAAAAATGCTACGTTATAAGAGGAGTCTGTTGGCTGTATTTAAGTAATTAAAAGTTTATGCTTATTTTTTGGTGGTATTTTCAACCACGTACATTTCCCAAGACTTTCACAGCCTCTCAAAGGATGGACCAGGATCCTCTCAGAATTGATTTTTCCAGATGGTTTGTTTCTGTCCTTTTCTTTTCTTTTGCCACATCCTCGATACTGTGTCCAGCAGCGCCCATCACTCTCATTTCTGGTCAGCACAGGCCAACACCGATTGTCTGATAACCCCGCTGAATGTGTTGTTTAGCATTTGTCAGCCAAGAGGAAAGAAGTGTCATGTGTTTTCCCCTAAAATAATCAACACAACATTCTTGTCTTCCTAATTGATTGATGATTCCTAGGATGTTTTCCCCAAAAGAGAGAGCTTTGCCTAACACCATGCTGATTGTTGAAGTTTGTAAAATCTGTCTCCTTCTCCAGTGCTATAATAACTCATTGTTCTAACATTTCCAGAGATCGTTCTTCTGTCCCTGCTTGCTGACAAATTTTGTATATTCACGTCCTGTCTCCACCAGTGCATGTTCTTGTTGAGCAGTGATCAATTCAATGTTTGATGGGTTGTATCTTTCTTTTTTTTTTAAGTGAGATAAAACCATCATAAGAATCTTAAAACAGTAATTCTTAATGCATTGTAAAGTTAAAGCATATTTGAAAATGTAAAATTCTTACAATCAAGAAAGTAATAGCACTGGTAAAGCCCAGGAATAATTGAAAATGCATTCAGCAGATGCTTTGTAAATTTTTTCTAACTCTCCCACTGGGATACAAAGAAAATTGCCTTTAAAAAAAGTCCCATGACACTATCTTTTGTAATTAGAGCTATTAAGTCGAAATGATAAATAACCATTCAATGGCATACTATAAAAGAAAATAGCCCTTTTCACAGATTTCTCCTGATGAGCAGGAGATCTGAGAGTAGTGAGTATAAGAAGTTAGATTCCTTTAACCCTGAGAATTGTTTAGAATTAAGAAAATCAGAAAGCAAGGCAAGATGATTTTCTTTTTAATCCTTCAATATGGTCATGCCCATTAAGATAGTAAATGAAACAGATTTGCCAAGGAGGTGAATAATTATAACTACAGCAGCGCATACTCCAGAATCCAAGGTTTTTGAGGTCTTGGTTTTCAAAAATACTTGGGGCACTTCAGTCAAGCTGTGTAACACTTAGTAGACAAAGCTAATTGAATTGCTGTAAGTGGAAGCTTGTTCCTATTGTAGGGAATTTGATCCTGGGAAGAACTGAACACTGATGGTGCCAGTAAGGTGACGTTGCCCAGAGCAGGTTACTGTCTGGTCTTGTGTGGTCCAGGACAATGATTTTAAGCTCTTCAGAGTCCTACTTCTTCTTGCACATGTTTTATACACATTGCTAAGCCTGGAGAAACAGTTTCCTGAGACATTGAGCAGAGAGGTGGGTGTAAGGCGGGGGAGAGGCATTAAAGAGAGAATCAAGTTTTCTAGTTGAGAGCTAAGAAGCAGCTTCCAGCATTGCAGCTCCTGGGAACATGTTTTTTGTGAGGAAACTAGATGAGCATAATGAGTGTACCCTGTGCATAAATCCAATATTAGTTCTGTACCCAAGGTCAAATGAAAGTTAATGACCATTTACACACCAGAGATCTGAAACCCACATTTTATTTCCTTCTCATAATGACAAAAGGGGAGAGCAATTTATATTTAAATTAATTTAAATTTCAAAGCATAAACACAGAGGTCTCCCTGGCACCTCCACTTTTTTTTTTTTTTTTTTTTTTTTGTCAATGAAACTTCCTGGCAGGGCTCAACTTTCATGAAAATGAAATCCCATCCTATATCATTTTCCCAATGTGGACAGGTTTTTATTTTTTGTGGAACTACCTCATTCTCACCCTGCTGGGTTAGTGATACCAAATCAGAAGTCAGCAGTGCAATCAGGGCCACTTTATTTAATGATTTAGGTTTTGCATTTGTTGAGCTAATTAACTGATTGTGGCAACTAATGGCTGTCCTTAATACACTGTTGACTGGGCAGCTACTCCCCTGAAGCCTGCCAGCTCCTTTGTCCTTGGTTCCCTGGTTAGTGGAAGCTGCTTCCCAGATGAATCTGTGATACATGCCACCCAGCATTCTGAGGCAGGGCCCAAGAGGCCATTATGCTAATTACCAGGTGCCCTAAACAGGACATGCATCCACTTATAACGCTGTATCTGACAAATTCTGTGTATTTGGGTAAATAAAGGTTTGCACTGGAGGGTACGTGAGTGGTTGCTGGGGGGGTGGCATTGTCTATGATTTATTTTTAGAATTTACAATTCTGTGACTGCTTCTCTGTAAGGTACAACATTTTAATATTATTATTGCTTTTGCAATCTGTAGATGTTTTAAAATATTAAATATTAAAATATTTGAGGAAATATTAGGAGATCACATAATTAAACAGAAAACTTTAATGGCTAAAATCATGTCTCTTATATACTAAAATATTCCTTAAGAAGAAAAATCCTTGCCATATGCTATTCTTATAGAGTTATGAAATTCTGTGGAAAACATGGGCTTCTACCAAAATTTAGCAGTTCTGGGGGTGTGGCCAGGAAATTTGACTCCTACACTGGGTGTGTTCCCCCTGATTAATCACTGTCTTTTTTCAGCCTCAGTTTCCATTCTTTTATAAAATGCAGAGGTAGGCTTGGTCGATGACTAGAGTACCATGCTGGAGGTCATGTCCTAAGTACCAAGTACTAGGAAGCTCCCCTTCTCTCAATTATACATTGCTGTCTATTCCACAAGAATATGAGAATAATAATTACTAATCATTTATTTTCCTTCCTAAACTTTTTTCATTTTATCGACTTTTTTCCTAGTAAAAATCTACTGAAGGCCTTTTTTTCCCCCCGGGGACATTTTCTTCTGTCATTTGTATTGACAAGTAAGAGCTATCAAGGGAAATCTTTGTCCTGGCCGTATGACCCAGCTAGTGTCCATCCTTCGTCACATTAAAAGTCTAATTGGATAAACAGACATGCAAATGGAACTGTTCTCAGTAAAACTGGAAATGACATGAACATGGTATGTGAAGAAAAGTAAATAATATTCCATAGTAAGTGATGCAAAGTGCATAATTTGCTTCAGCTGAATTCCACCAGGATAAGTGATGCTTATGACAAAAGTGAAATTTATATACTATTCTTTTCACTCATGTAATAAAAAATACTTAACACTTGAGAGTTTCTAAATCAGACATTGTCTTTTTAAGCAGATAAGCAAGCCCTGGTTCTAGCTATTTGCATTTTTCAGATAGGTTATAAAAATACTGTATTTTAAATACTGTCATATAGTGATTAAGATTTGTTTTGGGGATAAGATTAGTGATAGACATTTTCACCCTGGAGTCAATGAAGGCACGTACAATGAAGGCATGTACAATTTCAGCTTAAGTGGTACATTTTATTGTTAAGTGTTTTTGTTTGGAGATAAGGAACCATAGATAGATAGATACTTTGTAAAATAATCCTAGGTCCCTTTCTGATAGCCGCATCAAAGTCCCCCCTTGACTAAATAAAATTGTGTTTTTTCTAAAGCAGTGGTCGTCAAATTTAATTTGCATAGCAGTTACCTGCAGCACTTTTTAATAGTGCTAATTCCTGGGCTGTACCTCATGGGGCTTTATTTAAGTATAGACTGAGGCCCTGACATCTAGATTTTAACCAGCCGTTAGCCCTCAGTGATTCAGATGCCAGACTTTGACAATCACATTCAAAAGTCTGTATGACCCGCAGAGTTAGGGAATGAGCTGGTGTTTTATAAACGGTGTTTGGTGGTCTAAGAAACCAGTCACCATAGAATAAAACATATATGTTATAGTTCTGCGACTACCTTATTTATTGGAGAATTGCCTAACTTTCTGTGTTTCTCTACCAGTGAAAGCTTTATAAAAGGAGAATTATTACCAAGCTTTGTTTGGTGGAGAGTCAGGAATAAGCAAATATTCTAACTAAAGTTTCTATACTAAACTTGTCAAGGCTTTTCTTTTTTTTGAGCGGATTTGCACTAGTTTAAAGGATAAGGTGGGGTGCAGTGGCTCATGCCTATAATCCCAGCACTTTGGGAAGCCGAGGTGGAGAGATCACTTGAGGTCAGGGGTTTGAGACCAGCCTGGCCAACATAATGAAGCCCCACCTCTACCAAAAAAAATACAAAAATTAGCCAAGCATGATGGTGCATGCCTGTAGCTACTCAGGAGGCTGAGGTGGGAGAATTGCTTGAAACCTGGGACGCTGAGGTTGCAGTGAGCCAAGATCGCACCACTGCACTTCAGCCTGGGTGGCAGAGTGAGATTCCATCTTAAAAAACAAAACAAAACAAAAAGGGTAAATAACTTTAAGCCTGGCTCCAATTAAGTGTATCTGAACTAAGCCATATCCTCGTAAACTGTGTGCAGGTCCCAAGGGCTTGTCTGGTTCTCCTTTTGCCAAGAAGTAGCTAACTTTCATTAAATAAAAATGAAGCATTTGCTTTAAGACTTATTAAAATCAGTTGAGGAAGTTTACACCTTATCCTGTTATTGTTTTCTGGTAGAAGAATGACTGTGAGAAATTTCAGTTGAGGTTGTCTTTGTAGGCTTAGGAATAGATGGTAGTATTTAGAAATGTTGCCGATTTTCTTCCACCCTGGCTACAATAGGGAGCAAAGCATGACCCATACAATTTGCCATCTTACTTTTATAGGTTCTAGTCTTCTTCACTTTGATTTTTAGTATTGTTTTAGCATGTTTAAAAGGCTCATTTCCTACCTCCTAGTTCCGGAGGTAGAACTAAGTGCAAGTTCTTCCCCTCTGTGTGAGAGGCCTTACAGAGCAGACACGCGTTTATCACTTATGCCTAAGAAAGCAAGCTTCCCTGCGCTGCTGGGGATTAGTGAGGAAGGTTAAGGAAATAGGAGATTATCAATAATCTCTGGCTAGGAATACTTCTTGCTGACAGTGGAGGAGTTGGGGGCATTGTCCCAGCAGCCTGTGGTCCTCAGGGAAGTGGTGTGTCCATCTGGTCTGGTTAGGGAAGGGGCAGATTCCATCACTGGGCCTCACAAGTATTACAGCAACACACCCAGTCTGGAAGTTTGGACATCGGGCACCTCACATCTCTAGTTCTCAGCTTCATCACTGAAACTAACCCAAGACTTAGAATTCAAGCTTAGCATTTGCACCTAAATCCAAGTTAGTTGAAGTTGATATGTTTTGTTTATAACAGGCCTCCATGAGTCAACTAATTTCGTGGTTAGCCTTGTAACCAAATGGACAGTGTCATCAAAAGATCACATTTGTTGGAATGATCCGGGCCCCTCTAAGGGAATTTTTCTAGGGCCTACTCTAGCACAGGGTTTTTGTTTTTTGTTTCTTTTTACTTTGATGATTTTAAAAAAAAATTTCAACTTTAATTTTAGAGTCAAAGGGTACACGTGCAGGTTTTTTACCTAGGTATATTGCGTGATGCTAAGGTTTGGGGTATGCATGATCCCGTCACCCAGGTACTGAGCATGGTACGTAATAGTTTTTCGGCCCTTGCCCTCCCTCTTTCCCTCATCCAGTAGTCTACAGTGTCTATTGTTGCCATCTTTTTGTCCATAAGTACCCATTGTTTAGCTCCCACTTATAAGTAAGAACATGCAGTATTTGGTTTTCTGTTCCTGCGTTAATTCACGTAGTATAATGGCCTCCAGCTGCAACCATATTGCTACAAAGGACATTATTTCATTATTTTTATGGCTGCATAGTATTTCATGGTATATATGTACCATTTTTTTTTTTATCCAGTCCACCATTAATGGGTCTCTAGGTTGGTTTTATTTATATTAGTGCATTTTCATACTGCTATGAAGAAATACCCTAGACAGGGTAATTTATAAAGAAAAAGAGGATTAATGGACTCACAGTTCCACATGAATGGGGAGGACTCACAGTTCCACATGAATGGGGAGGCCTCACAATCATGGCAGAAGGTGAAGGAGAAGCAAATGCATGTCCTAGATGGCAGCAGGCAAGAGAGTGTGTGTGGGAACTGCCCTTTATAAAACCATCAGATCTCTTGAGACTTATTTACTGTCACAAACAACAGCACATGAAAAACCCACCTCCATGATTTAGTTACCTCCTTCTGGGTCTCTCCCATGACACGAGGGGATTATGGGAGCTACAATTCAAGATGAGATTTGGGTGGGGATGCAGCAAAACCGCATCACCATGTCTTTGCTATTGTGAATACTGCTGCAGTAAACATATGAGTGCATGTGTCTTTTTGGCAGAACGATTTATTTTCTTTTGGAAATATACCCAGTAATGGGATTGCTGGGTCAAATGGTAGTTCTATTTTAAGTTCTTTGAGAAGTCTTCAAACTGCTTTCCACAGTGGCTGAACTAATTTGTATTCTCACCAACAGTGTACAAGCATTCCCTTTTCTCTGCAGTCTTGCCAGCATCTGTTGTCTTTTGACTTTTTAGTAATAGCCATTCTGACTGGTGTCAGATGATAACTCATTGGAGTTTTGATTTACATTTCTTGGATGATTAGTGATGTTGAGCATTTCTTCATATGTTTATTGGCTGCTTGTGTGTCTTCTTTTGAAAAGTGTCTGTTCACGTATTTTGCTCATTTTTTAATGGGGTTGTTTTGTTTTTCCTGTTCAATTGTTTAAGTTCCTTATAGATTCTGGATATTAGACCTTTGTCAGATGCACTGTTTGCAAATATTTTCCCCCATGTTGTAGTTTGTCTCTTTACTCTGTTGATAATTTATTTTGCTGTCCAGAAACTCTTTAGTTTAATTAGGTCCCACTTGTCAGTTTTTGTTTTTGCTGCAATTGCTTTTGAAGGCCTAGTAATAATTTTTTTTTGCCAAGGCTAATGTCCACAATGGTGCTTCCCAGGTTTTCTTCTAGTATTCTTATAGTTTGACGTCTTACATTTAAATCTTTAATCAATCTTGTTGGTTTTTATAAATGGTAAAAGGTAGGGGTATATTTCATTCTTTTGTATATTGGCTAGGCAGTTATCCCAGCACCATTCATTGAATAGGGAGTCCTTTCCCCATTGCTTATTTTTGTTGATTTTGTCAGAGATCAGATGGGTGTAGGTGTGCAGCTTTATTTCTAGGTTATCTATTCTGTTCCATTGGTCTTTGTGTCTATTTTTGTAACAGTACCATGCTGTTTTGGTAACTGTAGCCTTATAATATAGTTTGAAGTCAGTGAATATGATGGCTTCTGGCTTTGTTCCTTTTGCTTAGGATTGCTTTGGCTATTTGGGCTCTTTTTTTATTCCATATGAATTTTAGAATAGTTTTTTCTAGTTCTGTGAAAAATGACAATGGTAGCTTGATAGGAATGGCACTGCATCTGTAGATTGCTTTGGGCAGTATGGCCATTTTAACGATATTCATTCTTCCAATCCATGTTTTTCCATTTTTGTGTGTGTGTGTGTCATCTATGATTTCTTTCAGCAGTGTTCTGTAGTTGTCCTTGTAGATACCTTTCACCTCTCTAGTTAGATGTATTCCTAGGTATTTTGTTTTTTGTGTGGCTGTTGTAAATTTGATTGTGTTCTTGATTTGGCGCTCTTCCTGAACATTATTGGTGTATAGAAATGCTACTGTTTTATGTACATCAATTTTGTAGCCTGAAACTCCACTGAAGCCACTTATCAGTCCCAGGAGCCTTTGAGATTTTCTAGGTATAGAATCGTATCAGTGAAGAGAGATAGTTTTCCTAATTGGATGCCTTTTATTTCTTTCTCTTTCCTGATTGCTTGGCATGGGCTTCCAGTACTATCTTGAATAAGAGTGTGTTATGTTGATATTTTAAGAAGAAAGCCAAATAGTTGAAGTAGCCTATGGTTTTCTCAGTTTATGTGGAAATTCAAAATACATGTACTTTTATTTATTTGAGAGGAAATATGGCTTAGTGCCTTCAACATGGACTTGAAAAATATACAAAATGGGCAGTCTTTAATTGGTGCTGGGAAACTGGATATCCTCAAGCAGAAGAATGAAATTGGACCCCCTATCTCACACCATATACAAAAACAAATGAAAAATAGATTAAAGACTTAAATGTGTGAATTTACACTGTACACTTCTAGAAGAAAACATAGGGGGAAATCTGTATAACATTGGTCTAGACAATGATTTTTGTGGAAATGACCCCAAAAGCACAAGCAATAAAAGCGAAAAAAGACAAATGAGATTACATCAAACTAAGAAGCTTCTGCACAAGAAAGGGAGTAATTAACAGAATGAAGAGACAACACGCAGAGTGGTAAAAATTATTTATAAACCACACATTTGATAAGGTGTTAATAGCCAACATATATAAAGAATTGAAACAACATGATAGGAAGAAAACCTGATTTTAAAATGGCCAAAGAACTTAAATAGACATTTGTCAAAGATATACAAATAGCCAACAGGTTCCTGCAAAAAGTGGTCAATATTACTATTCATGAGAGAAATGCAAATTAAAATCACAGTCAGCTATCACCTGCTACTTGTTAGAATGGCTATTAGCAAAAAGATGAAAGATAAGTATTGACGAGGATATGAAGAAAAGATAATCCTTGTACTTTGCTGGTGGAAATGTAAATTAGTACAGCCATACCACAATATGGAGTTTCCTCAAAAAACTAGAAATGTAATTACCATATGACCTAGCAATCCTACTTCAGGTATCTATTCAAAAGAATTGAAATTAGTATGTTGAAGAGATATCTGCACTCTCATTTTAATTTCAGCAGCGGTCGCCTACCATTTTGGCACCAGGGACCTGTTTCATGGGAGACAGTTTTTCTACGGACTGGGGTAGGGGGATGGTTTCAGGATGATTCAAGCACATTATTTACTGTGCACTTTATTATTATTACATTGTAATATATAATGAAATAATTATACAACTCACCATAATGTAGAATCAGTGGAAGACCTGAGCTTGTTTTCCTGCAACTAGATGATTCCATCTGGGGGTGATGGGAGACAGTGACAAATCACTGGGCATTAGATTTTCACAAGGAGCATGCAACCTAGATCACATGTGCAGTTCACAATAGGGTTCACGCTTCTGTGAGAATCTAATGCCGCTACTGATCCGACAGGAGGTAGAGCTCAGGCGGTAATGTTCACTCACCCACCGCTCACCTCCTGCTGTGTGGCCTGGTTCCTAACAGGCCATGGATCAGCACCAGTCCGTGGCGTGGGGGTTGAAGACTTCTGCATTACGGTATTCACAATTGCTGAGATATGGAATCAACGGAAGTGTCCATCAACAGATGAATGAATAAAATATGGTGTGTGTATATATATATGTATATACACACACACGTATATGTGTATATATGTATATATACACACACACAATAGAATACTATTCAGTCTTGAAAAAGAAGGAAATAATGTCATTTGCAACAACATGGATAAACTTGGAGGACATTTTGCTAAGTGAAATAAGCCAGGCACAGAAAGAGAAATACTACATGATCTCACTTACGTGTGGGAACCTTAGAAAGTGGAACTTAGAAAGTAGAACTTACGGAAGTAGAGAGTAGAAAGGTAGTAACCACAGGCTTGGCGGGTAGCAGTAGGAGAGGACTGGGGAGATGTTGACCAAAGGGTACAAAATTTCAGTTAGATAGGAGGACTAACTTTTCCATATCGATTGCACAGCACGGTGACTATAGTTAATAATAATGTAGTATCTATTTCAAAATTACTAAAAGAATAGATTCTCAATGTTTTCACTGTAAAAAAATGATAAGTATGGAAGGTGATGGATATGTTAGTTTGATATGATCACTTGACAATGTATACATAGTCATTCTAAAATCATTCCACAATGTATGCATACATCAAAGCATCCTATTGTATCCCATAAATATATACAACTCTTATTTGTCAATTAAAAATTAAAACTTAAGAAATAGATTGGGCTGATAACTAATGCTCTATCAGCATTTTTTTTTGGCTGAGCACAGTGGCTCATGCCTGTAATCCTAGCACTTTGGGAGGCCGAGACGGGTGGATCACCTGAGGTCAGGCGTTCAAGACCAGCCTGGCCAACATGGTGAAACCCCATCTCTATTAAAATACAAAAATTAGCTGGGCATGATGGTGGGTGCCTGTAATCCCAGCTACTCGGGAGGCTGATTTGGGACAATCACTTGAATCCGGGAGACAGTGGTTGCAGTGAGCTGAGATCGCACCACTGTACTCCAGCCTGGGTGGCTGAGTCAGACTCTGTCTCAAGAACAAAACAAAAACAAACAAACAAAAAAAACTTTTTTATCCCCAAATATATTTTGGCTTAGTTTCGTTATTTGACAGTCTTATGAGATTGCTTTCTTTTGTGAGCCGTAAGTACTTACATTGATATTCAAAAATGGTAATATAGAGGCTTTCAGAATTATTAACTGCACTGAAATGTAGAGGGGAAATGCTATGTTCTTTATTTTTGACAGTGGCTCTGTGGTCCTTACAAGTTGCTACCCACTGTCACTGAGCAATATTGTAGTTGTTTCTGATTTGAACTCTTGTTTCTTTCTTTCTTTCTTTCTTTTTTTTTTTTTTTTTTGAGACGGAGTTTCACTCTTGTTGCCTAGGTTGGAGTGCAATGGCGTGATCTTGGCTCACCGCAACCTCTGCCTCCTGGATTCAAGTGATTCTCCTGCAAGTGATTCTCCTGCCTCAGCCTCCCAAATAGCAACCATGCCCGGCCAGTTTTGTAGTTTTAGTAGAGATGGAGTTTCTCCATGTTGGTCAGGCTGGTCTCGAACTCCTGTCCTCAGGTGATCCGCCTGCCTCGGCCTCCCAAAGTGCTAGGATTACAGGCGTGAGCCACCGCGCCCAGCAATTTGAACTCTTTTCATAATGAAAAGTCTGTTTAAGATGTAGCTGCTTCCTGGGGCTGGTTTCAGTCCCCACTTTTGGATCGCTCATTCCCTGGCATGCAGGGATTGTTGGAGCCACATGGACCATGCCAGTCACTCTGCCCTAGTGAATTCGAGTGGTGACCAGGGGCCCTTCTCAGCTGGGTCAGGGTCTCTAGGCCTTTCTGGCTGCCCCACCCCATATTGGCAGAACTTAAACCCTATGGCCTCCCTGCCACATGCTCCATCCAGACCTTTGCCTTTTGTAAGGGGAGGCTCCATAGCAAGTCCCTATCCCCAGGGCATGTGGAAACTGCTAAGTGCTAGGAACCTTCCCATCCTGGGAAAGAAGAGCTACTCAGGAAAAATAGCTGCTGACTTGCTGTGACTCTGCTGACTTCCAGAGGTGCTGGGGGCAGACTTTGGGGCAGTCTTCTCTGTGTGCCAAGACTGATCTGTGTGCAAACCAGCACCCCTGCCCACAGTTTACCCTCGGCCATCTCTCTGGCCTCACCCTCTCAGACCTAGCCCAGCCAAGGGAGATCAGGCCCATAGCTTTTTACCTGCCCTTTCTGTTGCCTTGTCACCCTTCTTCCCACAGTCTACTTGATGCAATATGGGGACAGCCTTGAACTTTTCCAACCTGTCACTTCCTGACTTCCTCCTTTAGGGGAGGAGCCTGCAACTTAGCATCGCAGGAGAGAAGGTCAAGATCTGGGACTTAAAGAGTTGGTTCATGATATGCAAAGAAAGGTAACAGAATCTCTACAGATTCTGCCATTTCAAGTCTGTTGTCTTGCCACAAAGTTCTGCTTTGGGTGTTGGAATATAAATATTAATGACTTTGTTTTTATATTCCTTATCTTCCACTCTACCCCAGTGGCAGGTGGGTCTGACGAGGAAAACCATCCCATCCACAGATAACAATGCAAAAAAGCATATCACCATGTTTTGTATAATAATATAAAGTCACTAACATTGATTAAGTAGTTTAAATCCATCCCTCCTTCCACACATCCATCCCATAGGTTTTTATCATCTCCCGTTTACAAGTAATGAAATTGAAACTTGGTGAGTTGATGTAATTTCACAAACAATTGTACAAGAAGTATTGTAGGAATAATGCTTTATTTTTCCCTAATGTATAATAAAAGGAAGTTCCTTTAAATTCTAGCAGGATAGGTTTTGATGGGGGTTAAGGCAAATTTTCCAGTCTTATTTCCTGGACTTATCTTGGACTGCCCCTGCCCCCTCTATTTATTTAGTGGCTCATTTGGTGTCACTGCTTGTATTTGCAAACACAAGGACACCTGGGGAATTCTTGGTGGCTCCACTGTATGTTTTAAAATTCCACTGTAATGTCTACTGGGAAGATTTGGCAGTAAAATTACTGACAATTCAGAAACAAAAAAACTTAATGAGCATAATATAAGTGGCAAAAAGTTGCAATAAATGTTTTAAAATGTAGATGTCTGCAATAAACTTTAGTTAACAAGAATGTCCTTTAGACCTGACCTGTTGAGTTTTCTGGTTTACAATCCCCATGGCAGCATCAAGTAGCTGTGAAAAGCAAATCAAAAGACTCAGGTTCAGTCCTGGCTTAGCCACTTGGCATGACTTAGTGACTTCTAGAGGCTCATTTTCTTATTCTGGACAATGGAGCTAATGGCACATGCTTCTGGGGCTTGTTGGAGGGGCTAAATGAGATGGCCTAAAGCACACAGAGCTTTGTACTGACACATAGGTAGGCTCAGAGTTGTTTTTCTTTTGCTGGCTGAAATAAATCTTTTACAATTTAATTTCTGAGAGAAATTGTGTAGAGTATTGGAGTACACTAGGATCTTTTTAAGTGAATGAACATTTTGCAATATCTAGGAATCGTTGCTGCTCAATATTTTACTGTGTGATGATAGCAGATTGACCTGAATCTGTATTGTCACTAGAACACAACATTGAAAGGCACAAAAAAAAAGTAAAGCTGGCTAGTCATGGTGGCTCACTCCTGTAATCCCAGCACTTTGAGAGGCTGAGGCAGGCGGATCACTTGAGGTCAGGAGTCCAAGACCAGCCTGGCCAACATGGTGAAACCCTGTCTCTACTAAAAATACAAAAAATTAGCCGAGCATGGTGGTGGGCACCTGTAATCCCAGCTACTTGGGAGGCTGAGGCAGGAGAATGGCTTGAACCCGGGAGGTGGAGGTTACAGTGAGCCGAGATGGCGCCACTGCATGCCAGCCTGCGTGATAGAGCAAGATTCTGTCTCAAAAAACAAACAACCGAAAAAAGTAAAGCCTTTCTGCCTCTCGAGAAAAATATTGAAAAAAAAAAAACCCAAACCTGTTGCTAAGGTTAACTTGATTTTTGTTTATCAAGGTTTTATTTTAGTTGGATAATACACAAGCCACCTTTGCATTAAAAGAAAACTTTTTTTTTTTTTTTTTTTGAGGTGGAGTCTTGCTCTGATGCCCAGGGTGGAGTGCAGTGGCGTGATTTTGGCTCACTGCAACCTCTGCTTCCCAGGTTCAAGTGATTCTCCTGCCTCAGCTTCCTGAGTAGCTGGGATTATAGGCACTCGCCACCACTCCTGGCTAATTTTTTGTATTTTTAGTAGAGACGGGGTTTTGCCATGTTGGGCAGGCTGGTCTCGAACTCTTGACCTCAGGTGATCCGCCCGCCTCGGCCTCCCAAAGTGCTGGGATTACAGGCATGAGCCACCACACCCGGCCAAAAAAAAACCTTTTTTCCAGTACATTTCCTTATAAGAATGGCAATGAAACGGGCTACTGGTATCAATTACTGATTACCTCTGTATTACCCCAAGCCAGTGGGATAAGTATTTATGCTCTAATTAAAGGAACCGATATGAGATACCTTTTGCTCTAACGACATTATCATTGTTTTCTGTTGAATAACTTTTCCATTGAATGGACGTATATTAAATCTTAATCAAAAGAAAACACTGTAAAAACCTATTAAGAAGTAGAAGAGAAGCTTGGAGAGTCTTAGCTATTAAAAAAAAAAAGATGTAAGAGTTGAAATGGAGTCCTCTCTGCTGTAGGGCAGGGATAAATCATGCAATCAGTAAGGCAGCAGGGAGGGTGGAGCGAGGCCACCCAGAACTCTCTCAGTGGCTTGAGTTGCCCCTTGTCAAGTGTGCTGAGCATGGAGTATCTGATGGGGGAGATGGGAGCTTTTCAGCCACCTCTGCTTTCAGTCTCCCCACAGTAGATTTATTGGGCTGTCTGAGTGCTATGGCTTTCCCGAACATACAGCACACCTTTATTCAAACGTTAATAAAAATAATACATTTCTTTCATGTAGCAAACATTTATTATCTTTTTCTATAGAACCATGGGCTGGAAGGCCTAGGGAGGATTTGGGGGGAAGGCAATGGGTAGGAACACTTAAAATTGTGTAAGTCATTACGGCCTTAATGACATTGCTGCCAGTGACCACTCCTGCCTCCACTCTCCCAGCACAGGCCCACCTGGGCACATCTCCATAGCAGGGCCCTGGGAACTGAAAGGCAGCCAGCTTCCATTGCAATCCCAGCCCCATCCCTCACTGACTCATCAAACATCACTTCTTTAAACATCAGATTCCTTAGTTCTTAGTAGGAAATCTAAGTCAGTTCATGCTTATACTGTTTGAAATAAAGCTCCTGCTTTTTTTTGTTTGTTTTCAGCCTCATTTCTGTTCAATTTATTTTAGGCTATTTAATCTTTAAAACATATTGGTACAGATAGTGTCAGACCTGAGTGTACTTAACTGTCTCCTTTACTCACTTCCTGTATAATTCTGTGCAAACTATCTGACATCTCTCAGCCTCAGTTTTTCCATCTGTAAAGTGAGCATAATCTTGGAATCTGATTAAGGAGAGGACCAACCACACACCTGCCTTACAACATCACTGGTATAATGGATATATGCTCCCATTTAACTCATTTTTTAAATGAAGAATCATATAACTGTCAAATGTAAATGGATTCTGCTTTGGCCAAGGAAGTTGATCTCACTTACTGAAAAGTTATAAATACTCCTTGTTGAGCTTGTGTAATGACTGAGGTATTCTTTTTCAGTGAGCATAATGTCATTGCTCAAGGCCTAACAAGGCAACGCCACCAGCCTATAGACTAGTTGGCTTTGGTTGGTGAGTAGTGACATTTCTGAAACCAGATCACGCATGGGGTGTTGCTGGGTCTGGGCAATGTGATTTTATCCATGTATGTGCTTTACCTCTCTCCTTAGTGTGTTGGAAAAATTATGAGTGTCAGAAAATAAACACAACTACAATTTGTCAATTTACAATTTACAAAATAATTTTTAAAGTATCAGAAAAATTCCTAATTGAGATAATTCGAGAAAAGTGAATTGCTAAATTCCAAGAAATGGTATTCACCTTTTATTAATAGAAATTTGATTTTTCACTAGCCCTAATAAGTAAATGCTGAACAGATATTTAACAAATGTTGGCACAAAGAGGTATCAAATTATTAACCTGCCCTCAATGGCCACACGGCTCAGTGCAGTCTTGCCAGGACCTCTACCAGAGGTTTTCTAACATTTTCCAATTATGATCTACTTCCTGCTCCCATGTCAGATCCCAGGGGTTTCTTCAGTTTACGTTTGTTTATGCCAGCTCTCGACTGCATTTCTCCCCTTTTCTCATTTACCTATCAGAATCCGCATTTTCCTGGATGCCTTTCATGATGTTAACCCCCTCCCCACAAACTGCATTGACATTTTGCTCTATTTATATCTGTCTTATAATTATTACTGTCTGAATTGACTACCTTTGTTCAGTTCAGTAGACCATTACTTAGTACCTCTGTGTTCTAGAAATTATTCCAGGTGCTGGTATTACTGAAACATGAGGGGTTTAATCTAGGTCCTGCTGCTCACCACACAGAAAGCCAATCTCTGAGACGAGGATTATTGCCAAGGAAGAAGGCTTTAATTAGGTGCTGCAGCGGAGGAGTTGGGAGCTCAGTCTCAAATCCATTTCCCTGACCAACTAAAACTAGGGGCTAATATAGCAGGGAAGAAATGTAACAGGTATAAGAAAGCAGAAACTAGGGAGGGGAAAGGAAGCAATCAGGATGAATGAAGGGTCTGGCCTGTCATGTCTGGATGCAGTGATCTGGTAAGTTTCAATTCTTTTGATTTTTTTTTTTTTTTTTGAGAAGCCTAAAGGTTGTTTCCTGAGGAAAGAACTCAGATAAAACAAATATAAGTCTCAAGCTTTAAGACCAGAAGGGTCAATTTCTATGTTTATCCAAAAAAAAAAAAACAGCAACAACAACAACAAAAACTATCTATGGGACTATTGGGTCAGTTTCACTGGGAATATGAAAATATATACTCTGTCCTCTCGAAGAACTCATAATGTAGGTTAGCAAAGACAGATATTTGTGTTGCTGACTAAAAAATATCAAGTGTACAGAAAAAGAGCTTTGTTGGGCTAGGAGGAAGCACTCTTCATTTTGTCAGGGGCCATAGATGCAGAGAATGAGGACTCAGAAGACTCTTCATTAAGGAGCTGGTGTTTGGGCTGGGGAGCCCGGTGGACAAGAGTAATTTCACCTGGTGAAGGCAGGGACAAGGGCATTCCAGGTTAGAGACAAAGAAATGTACAAAGGAAGAGATGCAGCACCTGGGGAGAGGGTCCAAGACCTAATGGCCTGGCCTTTGAGGCCAGGTTGAGGGCTTCCACCTGAACATTGGCCAGTGTTCAATAGAGTGGGGATCACAGGTATCAGAGCTTTCAAACCTGCACATCCCTGAGCTAAGTCCCATGGCATCAGAGACACTGGGGATGGGGCTATGGAGCCTGAATTGGTATTTATCTCCGTGTGACCCTCATGTGCTCTAAGCAGGCATAGGCAGGATAGGGGGATGGCTTGATCAGACTTCCATTCTGGGGATGGAACTCCGGCAATTGTGTGGAGAATGGATGGAGGGAGAGGCCATGCCGTAGCAGCCTACATGAGATGTGACCATGGCAGAGAGGATGACAGGTGGAATCATTCCAGAGGTAGAAGTGACAGGATTTAGGGAGAGATTGAGGTGAAGGCTCAGGGGAAGGAGGACCATGAAGGTGCCTGAGATTTGTAGCTTCAGTACTTGGTGGTGATCTAAACTGAAATATCCCAGGAGCAGGAAGATGCTTGTGATTTCAGACCTTCGTGTCCTCACGCCGTATTAAATCAATTACTCTTTCTTGAGGTGCAGATTGTGCCACTACACCTATCACAGCAGCTTGTATGTAGCAGACATGTTACCATCTGTGAAATGAAAATATTCAACTCGTGACTGGAAATGTGGGCCTGGAACTCAGAGAAGTGGGCAGAAATGGAGACAGATTTGAGAATAAACTGTATTGCAGTGAAAGTTGAAACCCTAGTAACAGATAAGATCACCAAGGAAAGAGGCAAAGAGAGAAAAGAGAGCCTGGGGAAAGCTTGCATTTTTAGAAGATTTGAGGATGATAGGGACACAGAAAAGAGAGTTTTAAGTCAACAGTCTCAAGTTCAGCTGAACAGATTGGGGTTGAGAAAACACGCTGGAGCAGAGATGTAGTGGTCATTGGTCCACCTTCAAAGAGAAGTTCAATGGCACTGGATGGGCCAGGTTATAATACCATATGGAGTGGCTTTATGGTGAACACTGACCCCTACTTTTCTAATTTTAACACTAAAAAAATACAGTGATGAGGCAGAAATGTTACAATTACCTTTTTTCTTCCTTTTTAAAGAATGGAAAAGATTTGAGTATTTGGAAGCATTTATGATTATATATATTGATAGCAAAAATGAGTATAGTGTCTAAACATTTCTCACTGCAGGCTTGTTTCTGTGCCATCTCCCAGGGCTGAATGTGGTTGGAGTATTGTTGAAGGGCCTCCAAAAGTAAATATTGTGACCCCACTCCAGGATGGTACAAAAAATAGCTGATTATTTAGATAATGAAGAACTGGGCTCTGCCTCCTGTGGCCTGGAAACACTATGGTGTTTTCCTAACATTTTTATGTCCACAACCCACAGAACATGTAAAAGATTCCGACCTAGTACACCTCTCTTCCATACTTGTGAAAAATACTTTACTAGTTGCAAAACATTTTGATCTTTATTTTTCTATTCTTCCTATGATATTCTGTTCTATTTCATTAAGAGGGAAAAGAAACCCTGGTCAGGATCCATGTGAATGGATTTGCTGATGTGCAGTTTGACCAGCCCTGTTCTGTTCCATCCTTGACTGTAGCAGTGATGAACTGTCACCGACACGTACATTTTACATTTGAGGCCTAAGGCAGATTACTTCACCTCACTAGTCTCAGTTTCCTCATCTGTAAAATGGGGGTGATTTTATCTGCCCAGCATTTCAGGTTGAACATCAGATGAGACCCTTAATGAAAGAGTTTTCTCTCTGTAAAAATGCTACACAGGTGAAAGATTATATTACTGACAAAACTTTAGTTCTTGGCAGAGTACCCAATAAGTTATTTTTCTTAACTATTTGCTGATGTCTCACATTGAGGCTTGAAATGCTCAGTTTCTATCTGTAGTCATCTTTGGGGTTGGTTTGTAAGATTTTTTTAAAGAAATGGGTTGGTTGATTTTTAAATAATGGTCCTGATGAGAGTCAGCACACGACAGTCATTGTGTGTTTAATGTTTTCTTGTTAGTGGGGCTCTTACCTTTACAAAGTTGATCAGCAGAAATTAAATAACATCATTTAGAAAGGACATGAGTCCCCTTTGTGTTTAAGTATTATTATTATAATAGAGTTACTGACAGAGTTGTTTTTTGTTGTTGTTGTTTGTTTGTTTGTTTGCATTTTAGCACCCATCCTAGTAAGTCCTGGGGAGAGAAAACCTGTTTTGTCCCCAAGGCAACAAGAAAGCACTATCAAGTTAAGCCCCACAATCCTAGGAGGCTTTCAACACTCATTCACCTTGAATCCCTCTTGGCTAATTTACAAATAGATACATTTAAACTAGGTACCCTTAACGAATCTGTTAATTAATCCACATACATGCTTAGTTCTCCTGTGGGCACTAATGCTCACCACTCAAAGCATATGCTTTAGATCTTGCACTTGTATCTTTTGTTATGGTAAGTTATTTTCAAAGGCCATTACTTGCTTTTAGACTCTGTGTGTTGAGAGATAAGGAGATGGTTTGTGTTGGCAGAGAGTGAAGCTCCTAGCCTCCCTCGGTCCCAGAAGCTGTCATTCCTGTGTACGTGTTTCGCTGGAGGGAACTGTCCCAGAATCAATATTTGCATAGGAAATTTTCCCCAACCAACTCTTATTCTGATCAGATAAAAGAAAAATTGAACTCAAAAATCTAAATAACTCCTTCCTCCTTTTCCCACCACATGAGCCACACCACTGGAAGGCATAAAGAGAGAAATTGTGTTTTTATTTATTTTTTGACATTAATCTATGAACTAAAGGGTCAACAGAGTTCTCCCTTTTAGGGGACCATATATATTTTATGCATGCAACTTCATAGGATAATCATAAATCCTTGTCTAGGATAAATACACTTTTGCTCCCAAGATGCATTCTTGGAATTATAATTTTTCCTATTTCCAAGAAAATAATGTTATTTACGCTGTCTTCTCTTTGTCATTAGGGGGTTGAGGTTGAGTCCAGCAGAACTTTGAGAGTTTGTCCATTATGCAGATTTAGCTTACAGAGTTAGCTTTGCCAAGTCCCTTAACTTGCTTGTGTTTCTAATTCTCACCCTGTTAGTTTTGGCGTAATGCTAGGCAACCGATTTTGAGGTCTTTAAAGATGTGACAATAAACATAGCATTGTTGTTGGGGATAAGCTAGAAATAAATACAGGACTGACACTTTATCCTAGGTTTGCTTTTATGTTCATCTATTCCTCCTTTAGTTCTATTTCTATGTATTAAGAATTATTCCTAAAGCTTAAAATGTAGTGTGAGGCCAGGTGAGGTGGCTCATACCTGTAATTTCAGCATTTTGGGAGGCCGAGACGGGAGGATTGCTTGAGCCCAAGAAGTCCAGCATGCAGTGAGGCATGATCGTGCAACTGTACTCCAGCCTGGGTGACAGAGGGAGACCCTGCCTCTAAAAAAGTGTGTTAACTGTCAATCTGAAATTATTATTTAGTGTCCTGCATGTTCTATGTTCTAGTATAATAAGGTAAGAAAAAGAAATGCCTACACCCTACAGCATTGTTGTTTTAAAACCAAAAACATGAATTCAGTAGGCTAAAATATTCTGAAATTTAATTTTCTTCATTTTCATTGAAATTAGCACTTTAAAGAGCAAAAATTCAAATAAAGCACAAATGAAGTGCCAAAGTATGGTTGCTTTTTATGTGAAGTTATTTCACATTAGTATATGATCAGCTTGCCCTCCAAGAAAATTACTCTGCATTCCAGGATGAGGAAAGGCTTCTTCTGTTATTTCAGTTGGTTAAGTGGAGTTCCTTACTTCTATAGCCCATTGCATTTTTAAGTGGAATTTAGGATGTTATTCTATGTTTTATTTTTCCCTTTATAGTCTTGCCTCTAGTTTTTCAGAGAAAACACGCATGTTTTTCTTTGTTCTTAAGTTTCCTCCTAGCTGGGCAACAGTAGCAACAGGGAACCCCCTTTGAACAGGCATGAATGGAACTTTTCTCTGAAAAATAGAAGAAAAGCTTCTACCCTCTTCACCTCTTCCTACCTTGCCTTTAGATGCTCAGCTGGTCAGAGTTATCCTAGTTATCCAAAGCG
Source organism: Homo sapiens (assembly GCF_000001405.40). NCBI lineage: Eukaryota > Metazoa > Chordata > Mammalia > Primates > Hominidae > Homo > Homo sapiens. Next base: position 22,232,898 of record NC_000007.14, on the reverse strand, counting down.
TGAACAGAAGAATTTCTCTCTTTTCTTCTTTCATAAAGTTACAAAAGAAGTAGCTTATTATATAAGTAGGCATAGTCAAGCAGTGCAGTTTTGATCACTTGGGGATACATTGTTCATGCCAGTTAGCATTTGCAGAGCCCTACTGTATGCACAGCATTATAGGTAGGCTCCATGGTGGGCACCACACAGCAGGCATGAATGGCATACAAAAGCAAAAAGTACATGAAATGATATTTTAAAAAATACAGAGCAGAGAGCACAATATTTAAAAGTACACAGGCCAAGCGTGGTGGCTCACACCTTGTAATCCCAGCACTTTGGGAGGCCAAGGCAGGCAAATCACTTGAGGTCAGGAGTTTGAGACCAGCCTGGCCAACATGGTGAAACCCTGTCTCTATTAAAAATACAAAAATTATCTGGGCATGGTAGTGCACGCCTGTAATCCCAGCCACTCGGGAGGCTAAGTGAGGCAGGAGAATCGCTTGAACCCGGGAGGTGGAGGTTGCAGTGAGCCAAGATTGTGCCACTGCACTCCAGCCTGGGCAAAAAGAGTGAAGACTTCATCTCAAAAAAAAAAAAAAAAAGCACACAGAATAATGTAAACTGAATCAATAAGTACAGTGGGTGACCTCACTGTCAGCTAGGTTGGTATGCTTTGGCCTACTTTTGATGAAGAGGGCAAAAAGCATAAATGGCATGATGGATACAAGGAATAACTATTTAGGAGTCATCCTTGATTGCTTCTCCTTCATCTCTTTTTTCTCTCTCCATATTCAATTCATTGGCAAGTTGTGTCCATTTTGTCTAAAAAAATATAGCTCCAGTGTTCCATGTTTCTCCTGCTCATTGCCACTTCCCTGATCTGAGTCATTGTCATCTGCAGGCAACATTACAGCAACAGTCACCTAACTGGTCTCCCTGCTTCCGCTCTTGTTTCTCTCAAGTCTGTTCTCCCAAAGAAGCAAAAAAGAACTTTTAAAAATATGCATCAAATCATGCACTTCCCAATTTAAAATTCTTTCGTGGTTCCCCGTGTTCTTAGGCTTAGATCTGAATTTATTGTGGTCTCTACTCTCTCCAGGCTTGTTGAATGTCACATCTCCTGCTATGGACATAATAGCTGCTCCGTAAATATTTGTTAAAACAGAAGAATAAGTTATCTAAAGAGAAAAGTAATCCAGTCATTATGTGTGGATCCCAGTTATGTAAAATACATTTTGGTGTTGAATGTCAGTGTGAAATTGGACATTTGGAGGAAGCTAGAGAGTTCAGAGAAGCCCTTCAGTGATGAGCAGGAGAAGTTCAGATGCCATGAGATAAGCAATACATAAGCCAAAGTCTGGCACTTGTTTTTATATTTTTTGAGACTGATTATTTTAGCATTGTTCCCAAGCTGGATTGGATTAGTGAGAGGCTGGAGTCAGGGCTTTGTGTAAGAGGTCATTGTACCCATGAAGAAAGGGTGATAAGGGCTTGGATAGGGAGATGCTGGGAAGGGATATACGGATTCAAGACTCCACAATATGGAATTTTGTGGTAACAATGCACTGAGCAACCCAGATATAAATACTGTGCTTCCTTTATTATATGACATTTAAACTGCCAGCCAGAAAGCCACATTAAAAAAAATATATGGCTGTTCTTATATGAAATGAATAAAAGTCTTCATCTTATACCCACAGCTGCCCTTTTGGTAAAGCACAATGCTGATATGGTGATGTCAGGATGGGTTTAGGTGAAGAACAGAATTAAGATTGAATTTTCTCACTGCCATTGATTTAATACATGAGATAATATGCAGGAGAAGTACCCAGTGCTATTAGCTAACTTCACATTTGATTAACAAAAAATAATGCCAATGTTTACATTTTGTGAATCTATCTAACATTTTTTCCCGCTAAATTGCGATCTGAAAGAAAATTATCTGAAGCATTTTTTGTATGATGATACATTTGTTTAATGGTGTTCTTTTTTTTAAGCAATTGAACAAGATGAAGAAAACAACGACAAACATGTAGCTGTAACAGAAGCCGAAAGTGTTCCAGATTCTCAGGTATGATCAATTCTGTGACAGCCCCTCATCATACCCTTCTGTGTTGAGGGTGGTGAGACAGTGCAGGTGTTAAAAAATGATATAGGTTTTACCTTTTATGTTTTGTAAATAGCCATGTTATTGGGAATAAAGTGCTCAGTTTTGATATAAAGGTATTTCACACAAAGGGTCCTAAATTGGTAATTATATTTATAATTTGATTCATGGGAGAGGGTCAGATAGACACACTTTACTTCCCAGAGGAAGCAAGGGAAATGAGTGAAGGGCAGACATTCCCCTGAAGAAGGCAGTGGAGAATGGGCCAGCTGACAGCACCAACTTGCTAGAGGTTCTGTGCTACCTCCCAGTAGCTAAATCACGGCATGAATATGCTTTAGGTAGCATACCTCCAAATACTATTGCACCATAAAAACTTTGGACACCCTAGTGCTGCCAGCTGTTAACTTTATATAACAGTGGAGCATTTTAAAATTCTGACTTAGCCTAGTTGACTCATCTCACTTCGCCTTTAAGGTTACAAATCTGTTGATTCTGGTCAGAAGAATCACATTAACTTTTTCAATAAAGATTGCATGGACAGTAATGTTTTAATAAAGTCACATTGTTTTGCTGTGGTAATATTAAACATGGAACAGTCCTCAAGTTCATATTAAAATTATACTGCAGGCTTCCAAGCAAACCTGTGCAGGGATTCCCCAGCTCAGTGTATTTACCACTTTCTCCAAGTTTCTTAAATCCTTAAATTACTAGTGGGACAAGGGTTTCTAAATTTAAAATACTGTTATTCTTTATTTGTTCTGAACTTATTCTATGGGTAAATGTCTGTTTGAATGCAATTTTATTTCTCAAAAGGATACACAGACCTTACTGTTCAGGATTTTGTGATTTTTATTCAGCAATGATTATATAACTGTGTATCTGTAGGACATACAGAGGGATGAAATCATGAAACCAGTAGATTGATAATTAGATTAGGAACAGATTCTACTTAGGTTTGAAAGTTGAATTAAGTTCACTGGGCAGCATGGCATCATTATGAGTGTTATAGGCCTAAGCTGGTTAGGAAGGAAGGCAGTTGTCACCTCCTCTGGTGTGTCTAAGAAAGCTTGATCTGCTACCGTAGTGGAAACACCAGTTTTATTGGTTTAATTCTGCAGGCCCGTCTATATAAGTTCTCTGGATGGAATAAGTAGTTCAAGTCATGCGAGGTGAGCTTAAAGAAAACTTAGAATTTTGCCATCAGATACATAGGCAGAATTAGAAATAAAAATGTATGCTCATTGGTATGTACGTATGTGTGTAATTTATATGTACAATTTATTTGATTGATGTATATACATTTAATGGCTTGAGCACCTATTTGCCAGGCTTCACAGTATTTCAGATTACTTCAGTCTTCATTCCAGAGCATATTTTAAGCAAGTTAAGTGGATTCTGATTCCTTCTTCCGCATAGATGATGAAATATGTTACCGTGGGGAATGTGCCTCTAGGCTGCTGAAAACTTTGGGTCTATAAAAGGTTAAGATGGTTACTAAGCCCAGACAGACTTGGCCTTGTTGTACACAGGCTTCCCATCTACCAGAGATCTCTCATATGTTGGCTGCTTTTTTCTTACTCTCACTAAAAATACCTTTTCTGCTTAAGAAACTCCCTGTTTTAATGCTGTCACATGTGGGTGGAGTGAAGAGAGCATTTAGAGTTGGGTTTACCTGCCAGCCCTTCTTCCTTAAGGGATGTTCCTTAGTGGCTGTAAACCTGGAAGATCCTGTAGGTCGCCTAAGTCTTTGTCCCCATGGTGTCCCCACTATGCTAGACAGTACCTAGCATGCATGGTTTTCATCTCTGCAAAATGGAGATATTATAAGCTTGTCCTGAGGTTGAAATGAAGCAACATAAAACACTCCTGGCAATCCCGGCACATAGGAGAGTTTCAGTAAATGTTGGGCAGCATAATGTAAAGACTAGGGGCGCTGCCTCTGGGGCCACACTGCCTGGATTCTTTTCCTGACTGGCACAGTAACCTTGGGCGAGTAACAGTCGTGGTGGCTCGCACCCGTAATCCCAGCACTTTGGGAGGCCAAGGCAGGTGGATCGTGAAGTCAGGAGTTTGAGACCAGCCTGGACAACATGGTGAAACCCTGTCTCTACTTAAAAAAAAAAAAAAAAAAATTAGCTGGGCGTGGTAGCAGGTGCCTGTAATCCCAGCTACTTGGGAGGCCGAAGCAGGAGAATCATTTGAACCCGGGAGGCGGAGGTTTCAGTGAGCCAAAATCCTGCCATTGCACTCCAGCCTGGGTGACAGGGCGAGACTCCATCTCAAAAAAGAAAACAAAGCAAAACAAAAAACCTTTGGGCAAGTTAACTCTCTTGTGCTCCTACCCTCCTTTTCTGTAATAATACTGGGAGCAGTATTATTGTATATAACACTTAGGCAGCACTTCATATATATTAGACACTCTAAGGTTCTTTGTTTTTATTAATGTATTTAAACATCACAGCAAACCCTCCAGGATAGATAGTTTAATTACTACCACTTTATAGATGTGCCGGTAAGGGACGGGGCCAGGTCTGAAACCAGGGCAGTCTGGTTCTGATGTCCTTGCTTTAAACAGCATGCAAACTGCCTTTCTAACCTCTGTAAAATGGAAATAATTGTTAGATTGTTCTGAAGATTAAAGGACTACATGTGAAGCAATTAGAACAGCACCTGACACACAGTAAGCACCCAACAAATCAGCCTCTGTCAGTTATTGTCACGCTGACCATCTATCTCATTGCTTTTTGGTTGGAATATTTAAAGTATCTAACTGGGCCAAGTTGCAGCATTACTCTCTGCCAGATGGTATCTTTGCAGACACAAAATATTCTAGTCCCTTCACTGTATTATAGGATAAAAGGATTTAAGAATCTTTGTCAAAATGTACTGAAAATTTGCCTGGTTCTAGCTTTTAAGAATTCTAATGAGATCTTTAATTAGTTATTAATTGACTGATTGATTGATTGCAACAGGGTCTTACTCTGTCACCCAGGCTGGAGTGCAGTGGCACGATCATGGCTCGCTGCAGCCTCAACCTCCTGGGCTCAAGTGATCCTCCCACCTCAGCCTCTTGAGTAGCTGGGACAACAGGTGCACACCACCATATCCAGCTAATTTTTTGTATTTTTTTGTAGAGATGTGGTTTTGCTATGTTGCCCAGGCTGACCTCTGACTCCTGGGCTCAAGCAGTCTGCCCACCTCAGCCTCCCCAGGTACCGAGATTACAGGCGTTAGCCACTACACTTGGCCTTGAGTAATTTATAATATATTGAACTTTGGAAATTCTTGCTTTGATTCCATTAGCCATTGGCCACTGGATTCAGTGAATATTTTCATTGTCTCCTATCCTCCATTTGAATCAATCATTCTATTATTAAGTGATAATAATTATTTGTTATACAAATTAACTGCTAAATATTTGGTAACTAATTTATCAGTAGTCAGACTATAACTTTTAAAAATATGCATACTAAAGAAAGCTCTTATTTAATACTGTCAAAGAAAATTGATTATCCTGTTAAATCTTTTATGTTTGATATTATTCGAGTTTGCTTATTCTCTTTTTTAACTTTTTAATTTTTTTTTTTAACTTTGCTACCCTGCTTACCAGTGTGGTCAAGAATGTATACAAGTCTGAGCTATAATTTCTCTTAGGTCAAAACAAGAGAAAATATTGGTGGCCCCCCTACTTTAGTCTGAACGTTAAAGGAATCAAGCATGTGAAGTGAATGAACCCCTTACTTTTTCAATTATATAAATTTATAATACTATATATTATGTAAATTTATAATTCTATATTTTGATTTTAATCAGAAGGGATAATTTTCTAAATACAAAAGATTAAGAAAGTACTTGAGGGAAATAACAGCATAAATTTCATGTAAGTGTGGTTTCTGCCTTATTCCTAGCTCTCAGCATGCTCTGGCAGGATGCAGCATTACACAGTATTTCTATAGTATGGGTCTGTCCATCCTATACAAAGGTGATGTTTTAACACAAGGAATTCCACAAAGGAGTAGGACCAGAGAAACTGAATGTCCATTGCCTTGCCTGGACAGTGACGGGCTAGGAATTATGAAATGATTTCTAAAGCTCCCTGATGCCCCAGCATGGTGTTCGAGGCCCATACCAGTGACTCCCTAGGGATTCCTCACCTGCCTTGACTATCACACTTTCCATTAGGTACATTTCTCACTGTGGATGCTTCGTGGTTCATTTCCCAATTCTCAAGGGGGCATATTCTTCTATCCCTAACAGGGAGAGCTTTTTCATAGTCTAACTTTTTTCTCTGAAGAAATTTGAGAAAATGAATATTTGTTGCCCTAAAATTATTATTATTTTTTGACTATGAACTGTCTTCTGAATTTTCCTGGAAAAAAATTCTTAATATTTTCTGTTTTCAAAATAAGGTGCATACAGTAGAATAATTTATCATCTAAGCTCATCAGTGTTTTATTCTGTCATTTATATTTCTGTTTAAAATAGCAAAAAAATTATATGAACTTCTAGGCTTAATTTTTAATGAAATTAAGATATTACATAGTAATCAATAAAAATTTATCTGAATATCCTGAATTTGAACTGAATAGCATTCTGTTATTGCAAAAGTGCTTTCATGAAAGGTGGACTCTTTCTTTCTGGTTTCCCTGACCTTGATAAGCAATTTTTGCAGCATGTTTTACCTAGGTGTTTTAGAAAAAGTGGTTGTTAAAGTTAAGATAATGCAGAGAATGTTTTAATACAAAGAACTGTGCTTTTGTCCCAGTAAGATGCTCATTTATCATCCATGTGGCCTTTCCCACAGGAATCTTGTCCACGCTTCATTCTGCCATTGAGGGGATGGACCCAACATTTTTATGACTACATTTATAAAGGAAACAGGCTTTTCGTTTACATTCATAACATTTCTCTCCTCAAAGGCTGAAAATCCTATGAATAACTTTAATTATACATTATGGAGACTTTTTTTCAAAACAGACCTTGAAATAAAGCTCCTAAATAACTCTTCTGACAGTTATACATTAATCTTTTATTTTTTTTCTGGCTTAGCAGTGTTAGGTAAATTGTTTATAATTAATTTTACACAGAGAAATTAAATAGACCAGGGATGTGAAAGTCTAGATCAAGGACTGTTAGTTATCTTGCTTCTCCTGCCATAGCAAAGCTCCCACAATATATTAATAAATTCATGGGTTTCTTGAATTAAATCACTAAATTATGGAGCTCTGAAAGGGACCCTGAGGAACATCTAGTTTGGCATGATGCTTCCGCATAGCACTGCCTTATAAATCATCTGGGATATATGGGTTTAAAGTCTCCCAGTGAATGAAGAAGCATTCATAACCTCCTTGAAAATCTTTTTTGATAGTTGTAATATAAGGAATGCTATAGAATTGATTACCTTGTGAAAATGCATCTAGAAGTTATTTAGAAACCAGAAAATCAAAACAGCAATATTTTCTCTTTAATTATAAGATGGAGAATTAAAGAAATAAGTTAGCCTGAAGCCCATTTTAAAAAGTAAGAGCATTTTGCCTTTAAAATACATATTTGCTTCGTGGGCCCAAGTATCTGGTTGTAATGAAAATGTTTCCTCCTGAAAGGGAAGTTCATTTTATTTACATATTTATTTATTACTATTTTTAGAGAGAAACAGAGTCTCACTCTTTTGCCCAGGCTGGAGTGCATTGGTGTGATCATAGCTCACTGCAGCCTCTAACTCCTGGGCTCAAGCAATCCTCCTGCTTTGGCCTCCCAAAACACAGGGATTATAAGCGTGTGCCACTGCACTTGGCTGAGAGAAAAGTTTATATTTAGGATTCTAATAATATGTGAAAAATGCTTAGAGTTCCTTGAAAAATCATGTTCACACAGAAATCCAAAAAAATAGTGAAGACCTTAAATTTCCTCTATTTAATTTCGGCCTTTTATTGATGATGCTGTAATCAGCTGATTAAAAAAAAAAAAAAAAGAAAACCAAAACACTGTACTTGGGACCTACAGATAGAAGGACAGACTGTCTCCAAATCGAGTCTGTGGGAGCTTAGCTGAGTTGCTTTGGAGCCAGTGCCGGTGAAAGGAGGGAACAGGCTCCCCATGGTGACGGGTTAGTTATAGCTATCCAGTACTCTCATATGTGTCCCACCACTGTCTGGGCCTCCATTCCCCACATGCTGTCTTTTGTATGGGAGGGCCATACTGGGGAGCAGAGCAAGATGGGGACTAAATCCATCACACCACTGATTAAACCACAGAACAGGTTTCCAGGTTGGCATTTTGGAGGGTCATTAGCATCCTCCCTCCACCGCCAGGACAGTGTATTAAACACTGTGCAGATGACATGGAAAGAGAGAGAAGAAATCCTCGCTGGTTGACGTACATGAATTTTCTAGATAATAGAAATGTATTTAAGTGTCAAAGCATTTAAGTAATGTTTATTTGTAAGTAGAAATTGCCCCAGTTTCCCTGCCTTCATAGTTATTTTATAACACCATTGAAACTTTTTTACCCTTCTTAGTGTAGATTAAAAGAGCATCTTAATGATAGGCCCATATATTTACCATTGTCTCAGATTATGGACTGCATTAAAATCCTGACAAACAGAAATATGCCCTAAGGAGGATGGCTAGGAGCATAAAAGGATCTAAAAATAAAAATCAAGTGGGCCTTTAGTAATGCTTGGCAATCTTTATTCTACTTCCCTTGCCCAGTTTCCCCTTCTCTTAGGCCATGAGTTGACAAACCACAGCCTACTGTTTGTTTTTATAAATAAAATGTCATTGGAATGTAGCTGCGTTCATTCATTTACATATTATCTCTTGCAGAATTGGGCAGTTGCAACAGAGACCCCATGACCTACAAAGCCTAGAATATTTATTGTCTGGCCCTTTACAAAATAGTTTGCCAGTGCTTGTAACCTAAGTGACTATTAACATGCCTTCTTTTCTTATGCAGCAGCATCTCCCCACAATTTCTTATTTTCAGATCATAACTCTCTTCTTATTTTTCTGGGAAATAGAAGCCTTCAGAAAGGAATTTCTGCATGTCCCTACCACCAAATATGCCAACGTACCTGCATATTTACCCCTGTATTTCACTGTCTCTCCTGTTTCACTGGATGAAATATTTAGATTCATATTTCTTCCTGAGAGTAGATCTTTATCTTCTCTTTCCTACTCAAGAACATTACTCTTGAAAATGCCCCCTTCTCCCTCCTGCATCATCAAATTTTGCTGTCTACTGGAATTCTAATAAAGGTAAACATCCTGGAATAGCCGTCATGTTAAAGCAAATAAGCAAGCGAAACTCTCTTCAAGGACACTCTTCAGCTAATGCCTCATTTCTTGTCACAAACCTCTTTGGAAGAATTGTGTCCTATTTACTGTTGAACTCACGTTAATAAAGCTTTTGTCCCTATCAGTTCAAACAGAAATTGCTCCACTCAAAGTTACCAATTACTTTTGTCAAATTCAGTGTCAGTTATTTTGAGCCCATCTTGTTTGATATTTCAGCAACATTCGATAGAGTTTTTCACTTCTTCCTCCTTGAAGCAGCTTCACTACTCTCCAGATTCTCTTCTTGGAGCCACTCCTCCTCAGATTCCTTTTCTGATTGATTACTCCTTATCTTCCCAGTATCGAAACACTAGACTCAATTCCTGGATTTACACCATTCCATTGGTAAAACCAGAGGAATACCATCTGTATTCTGATGACTCTGGAATTCATATCTTCAGCCTGGACTTCCCCTGAACCTCCAGACTTCCAACTCAGCAACTCCACTTGGATGTCAATAGCCATTTTCCTTCCCAGATCAACCCCTGCCTCCCCCCATGACAACTCCATCCTTTCAGTTACTCAAACCAAATATTTTGGAGACCCCCAAACAGCAAAATCTGCTGGCTCTACCTTTGAAATATATCCAGTGGTTAGAACCACATGTACCACCTTCACCACTAGCACAAGTTCCAAGCCATGTCTTATGTGAAAACCAGGCTCCTAACTGGTCTTCTACCATCAACTACTTCCCCCAGTCCAACCCAGGACATACAATGATCCTGCTAAAATGTCAATCATATTTTGCTAATTCTCTGTTCAAAACCTTCCAAAGGATTTCTGTCTTATTCAGAAAAAGAATCCAAACTCCTTATACAGCCTATAAGGAAATTGTGTGTTGGGCTCCTGCATTACCTCTCAACCAGTGCCACCAGTCTACTCCCTACAGCTCTTTTCTAGCCCTGCTGCTCTCTCTGCCTATCCTTGAGCATGCCAAACACACTTGAGCATTAGGGCCCTTGTACTTGCTGTTCCTCTGCCCGAAACACACTTCCTTCTGGATATCCACATCACTTCTTCCTCATTTCCTTTAGGTCACCATTCAGATGTCATTTTACTAGAAAACCCTTCCTTGACATTTTTATCTTAATAATGCCTTCAGTTATTTATCTGTCCCCTTACCCTGCTTCATTGTTTTTTCTGTCATATATTACCACTCTGTATTTCCTATTGGTATGTTACATCATGAATGTATGCTCCAGGATGTAAGGAACTTTGTTTTTGTTTTTGTTTTGAGATGGACTCTCGCTCTGTCGTCCAGTGCACTGGCGTGATCTCAGCTCACTGCAACCTCCACCTCCATGTTCAAGCAATTCTCCTGCCTCAGCCCTCTGAGTAGCTAGGATTACAGTGCACACCACCACGCCCGGCTAATTTTTTGTATTTTTAGTAGAGACGGGGTTTCACCATGTTGGCCAGGCTGGTCTCAAACTCCTGACATCAGGTGATCCACCCTCCTCAGCCTCCCAAAGTGCTGGGATCACAGGCATGAGCCACTGCACCCGGCCAGAACTTTGTTTTTTTTTATGTTCACTACCATATTCTCAGAACTTATAGTAGGTTCTTACTCAAATAAATCCTTTACTCTGTTGAGTGAATGAATGAATAAAATAATTTAGGGAACTAGGGATATTGTATTAGTCTGCTCTCATGCTGCTAATAAAGACATACCTGAGATTGGGTAATTTATAAAGGAAAGAGGTTTAATTGACTCACAGTTCAGCATGGCTGGAGAGGCCTTACAATCATGGCAAAAGGCGAAGGAAGAGCAAAGGCATGTCTTACATGGCGGCAGGCAAGAGAGCTTGTGCAGGGGAGCTCCCCTTTATGAAACCATCAGATCTCATGAGACTTATTCAATACTACGAGAATAGCACCGGAAAATCCTGCCCCTATGATTAAATTACCTCTACCTGGTTCCTCCCACAACATGTGGGGATTATGGGAACTACAATTTGAGATGAGATTTGGGTGGCGACTCTGCAAAACCATATCAGATATATATCTGGAGAATATTAAAATGAGAATATAATAAATGTTTGTATTTAAATATTTGAAAGATTGTCACATTGGATAAAGAATAGGCCTAGTTTCCATTGCTTTAAAAGGCAAAACTAGTCCTCACAGATTGAAGTTAAATGGTTTCAGTTTTGTCTAGTGTGATAAGAATAAGGGACTTTCCAACAATCCTGGCTATCCAACAGAGTACAGACTGTCTTAAGATAAACTTAGGTCCCTGTCCAAGGAAACTTTAGAAAGGAACTGAAAAGCCACTTGTGAGGGATGTTGTAAAAATCTCTGACTTTGGTGGAGGAATTCCACTTGCTGTCCTCTAGGAGTCTGTGATGTGGGCCACGTCAGAAATTTTTTATTTCCTTCCTAGTTCGACAAACTGCTAGATAAAGAGATACCACTGCCCCTGGGAACAAAGATTTAGTCATTGCTTTGCATGGATAGTTCCATTTCTCTGCTGCCCACTCAACAACACGGGTATCTTTAGCACAAACCGTTAAGATCATGAAGTTTGGATTCTTTGCCGGCCCCTTTGCTGTATTTGGTCATGTTATGGAGTATATTCAAATCCTGTAGGTTATGTTGAGGAAAACGGATTCCATAGTTTTGACTGCTCCTGCCAAGTATAACTTTGGATTTCTTTATTAGATCATGTCTTGGTATGTCAGTATGAACCATTTTGGAAAGAATTTGAGCAGAAACACTTCATAATTAGTGTGTTAGAATGAACTTTTTTTTTTTTTCCTATTTCAAAGTCTTAGATTCACCTTCCTCCTCCTATTATTATTTAGGCACTTTGACCTAATGTAAAATATGATGCTTTATGGATCATTTCCAAACCCCAATGAATGAAATTTCAAGCTTTCTTTTTCCAGTGTCTTATTTTTAGCAAAATATTTCACCATCTTTTATGCACTATTAGTGGTATTTTACTAATGCCCCATGGTAACTTCCCAATTGTGAAAAAAATTATCTTGTGATCTTCTTGTTAAGGGTTTATTTATATACGGAATAATTTGTTGTGGAGCTAAAGAATTGGGGTGTTGCATATTGTTATTTTTAGGGCTCTGTATCAGTTCACCCTTTCACCAGTGTGGTTCCTGGCTAACTTTCCCATGAGTTTTTAACCTCTTGCTAGGCTCTGCTTATGTAACAGGAAACAGGCTGTCAGGAACAAACAAACAGGAGCCTATCAGGCGCACACTTAGTAGCAAATGATTTAGTTTGCTCTGTCCTTCACCCTCTTAAAGTAGGGTGATACGCAGACTCAACTTTAAGTCTTTTGGCATGGTGCTCTTAGGTTATAATAATGTAACTTCAATTTTTGAAAGGCAAAATATTTTACCAAGACCATGATTTAATCCAGGCAGTGGAAAAGATGAGCTTATTATAAGGTGAACTTTGCGGTGGTGTCATGTCCTGGGACTGTGGTTTTAAGTATATCTTCGCTTTTTCTCCAACTCTTAAGGCAGGGGTGATGTGCAAGCTCCAGGAAAGAGATGAAATCGGACGAATTGAACTAGTCCAGAAGCTGGCAAAAGAAAACTATCAGTTTTTGCAGACGGACAAAAAAGAACAGGAGAAGTCTGAACACGTAAGCCTTTTGCCTCTTGGGGATGCAGGTTTGAAGGGGTGGAAAATGTTTTTGCCTGATTGCATGTTTGAACGAAAGACTATTTTATTTTAAATTCTTTAGGTTTTGGGGGTTTTTTTCCCCCCAAGAGCATCCTCCTTAGTAAAAATGACAGCTGCTCATAGCTCTAAGCAAGTGGCTTATGACACAGGATTTATAAGAGACTCTTCTCAAAAGTAAATTATGTAGAAATATGAGAATACATTTAAGCAAATATGAATCCTTATCTATTTATGATCCTGCTTGGGTGGCTTTCAAGTTTGATTTTGGAAGTTTTGCCTTATCATATAGTTTGTAGAACATGAATTTTGAAAAAACATTTCAACATATTTTTATGTTTAGTACAGAGGTGGATCTAGTTGCCAAATGAATGTGTCCTAAGTCACTAGAAATAGATGAAAACACAAAAAGAGATTATAGATGCTCTCACCAAGTGGGAGGGTCAGAAGGGAGTTTTCCCAGTATCTTATGAAGGCTTGTGTTCCAACAAGAGTTATATTGTTTGAATATAGTTAAAGCTGGAGGAAAGGGACGTTCCGCTTGGTCCTCCTGAAAGCAGTTATTCAGATTGAGCCTTAGAACTGAGAGTGCTGCCGTCATGCTGGGAAGACAATGGGACCACTTTCTTGTGCCACACATTGTTATCTGTTGACTTGGTTGTTGTTGGTTATGAGACTTCACTCTCAGTGCTGCACTATCCAGGATTGCTCATGAAGGGGAAAATTCCTCTGCGCTTATACATGTGTTTCTCTGACTTTAATTTTTCCTTGAGATTTTGTTTTCAACCCTTTCCAAGGGGGAAAACATTGCTTCATGCTTTTTCTCCTCCAAGTCTATTAATACAAATGGCAGGGTTTTACTGAGAAGGAGAGGAGGTAAGATGCTCAAGTCTGGCTGGCTGCTTAGTTTAATAACATAGCACTTCTCTAACAGTGAGACATCGAATTGTAACAGTTGGTGTCTCAAGAAAGAGAATAATTAGGCAGTTTCAAAGCGTTGTGATTGAACTATTTCAGAGGCGACTATTGACTTTAAGTGTGGATGTAGGTCTCAGGCAACCTTCACTTTGCTTGGAACTATTGAAAACTTTAGCACCTTGTTCAAGTTGTTAAAAGCACCCTGAAGTTTGACTATATCATAGACTGACGCCTAACCTCTGCTGTGTCCTTAGGATATTTGAGTATCCTAGTGTGCAGCTTAAATTTTTCAAAAATTTTCCTTTTGATTCATTTTAATTAGATGAGCAACAGTTTTCATATGCCATATTTTATTGATTTCAAGATGCACATTTCCCCCACAATAGTCTTAACAATTGATGATATGAAAACATGTCATAGTTTAATTGTGAGCATTTTTCTTTCCTTATGGTTCTTAAAATGAATGCTGTATCTTACAACTGATTGCAAGTTAGGTCCAGTAAACCAGTAACAACTTCAGGTATGGTAAGATCTTTCAAAAATCAAACAGTAGAACAGTAGGGTACCACTTCACCAAAGTTAGAGATCATAAGCTTTAGGCTTATGATTAAGGCTTATGACAAAACAACTTTGCACTTATTAAAAAGATACCTCTGTGTTGTCTTTGTTGTATATTTAGTTCAGTCCAGAATATTATAAGTAGTCACGGCCAATGAGATTATAATACTCTTCAAATCTGTAACTATAGAAATCTACACTTCCTGTGTCCTTGTGTTCTCACTGGGTGAGAGGAGGGGGTAGGGATAGCATTAGGAGATATACCTAATGTTAAATGACGAGTTAATGGGTGCAGCACACCAACATGGCACATGTATATATATGTAACAAACCTGCACATTGTGCACATGTACCCTAAAACTTAAAGTATAATTAAAAAAAAAAGAAATCTACATTGGGGCTGATAATTGTAAAGGCTTTTAACATGAGGCAGAAATTTAGTGATTGAAGATTTGCAGCTTTGCTCTGGTTATCTGCTCTGTCACCTTTAAACCTTCATTTCACTTGTAAAACAGAACACTAACATTTTTTACTTCTTGCGTGACTGTCATATCATGGGTGCATTAACAGCTCTGAAACGTTTTTGTTTCTGAGAGGAAAGATGGTGTGTAAATAAACATTGGAATTATGACTTTTTCTATGTAGACTTTCCTGTGAAGCTTAAAATAAGGAAAGGAATATTAGGGATCTTTCTTTCTAGTGATAAATATAAACAAAGCCATTCTGTCATCTCCCTTCTGCAGGATGACACCAGTGGAATCTTTCAACTCTCAAGGCTGATATTGATGTAGTCCTCCACTAAATGAATTATTTGGTACTAGATGGTTACAGTTTTTGCAGTAATTTATTAGGAATAAAAACCACCTGCTAATTCACTTCAATCTTTTATGTCTTGGGCATTTGATGTGCCTATACCTTTGCTTACCCCTTAAGTTCACAGTGTTCATGAAGGTGGTGCAGTGTTTTCGTTTTTCCTGTCCTCACTTTCTTTACAGTAGCAGTCATCTGCTCTTCATAGAAACTCAGTTCTGACACACAGCATGGACAGAGGAAACTGCAGTTTACTTAACGTAAACCTAGGTCTGCAGTTTCCTCTTCTTGTTATAACAATAATGACCAAACCCTGAAGTTACATACAGATTTCCTTTCTTTTATGATTTTAAAATGCTTCATCGACTTCATCCACCATTCCTGGGCCAAAGCTAGTTAAGTCGACAGTGATAAAATTTGAGTTAGAATCCAAGTTGCCTATTGAGTCATTCTTTTGACTAACCTTCATTACTTTCCAGTTCTAGAATGCCACATAGATGCCAAAGAGAGAGCTAATTTGTAGCACTACTGCACAGGCAAAGACATAAATTTGATAGAATAAAGCCTTTGTTGCTGGTACATCTTGTTACAAATTGAAGGGGATTACAGCTTTCTCAGTAGGCATTTCTAATATTTTCTTAACTGCTAAATGCTGTGATTATAAATGCATGCCATTAGAGAAATGCTTCACTCTATGCTTTTGCCAAGGTGTTTCTGAAATTTAAGAAGTTAAATGTATAATTATCGCAAGCTTCTCAGGAAGCACTCCATTTTTCTATTTTCTATTAACTAGCTGTAGGCACAATGAGCAAGCACTCATTCCTATGTGTTGAAAATTATTATGGGAGGACTTTCAGAAGGGGAAAGAAATGGGCTGTGTCTTCTAAACATTATGATAGTAGAGTTAACATTGAGTTGTTGGTTCTTTAAAGAAATTATCTCTGATGTAGGCATTGTATTTCCTAGCCTTAATTCTGTGACTGTGCCAACAGAGCAAGGGACGTGTGTTATCAGATGGGGACCTTTGAGCTTGACCCTGAAGAATGACTAATGGTCATAGAAGAAGGCAGGGGACAGCATTTCAGGCAGAGGGACCCATGGGAAGATACATGACTGCAGTCCTGGTGATTCCTAGGGAATGGAGAGGGGTGGGCTGGGAGTCAGCCTAAAATTCCATTATGAAAGACTGGTAAGCTAAAAAAGTCTACCAGCTACCCTAAGGAGCTTAAACTTGCCTTTTGGTCAAAGGAAAGCCATCAAAGAAGGGAAGTGGCATAATCAGATGTGGCCTTTGTAAGATCTCTCTGGCATTGCTTTAGAGGAAGAATTGAGTGAAGAAGAGGGAAATGTTGGAAAGAACCTTTAGAAAGCTACCATAGTGAGTCAAGTGAGAGGTGCCAGCCTGAACTGGGGCAATGACCATAAGAACTGAGGAGGGAGTAAATGTGGAAAGTCATTTACACAGTAAAATTGACAGAATTCAGTGACTAGCAATGGGGGATGTGCATGCTATTTTATATTAAGCAATTTGTAAGGATTCTTTGGTATAGTGGCAGACATAAGAATGTTGTGTTTCTTACCACCTTTGCCAAAAAGCTATGTAAGCCATTTCCCTTGCTTTGTTTGCCTGCAGTTTGCTTCAGGTAGCTGAGATGTTAGTATTTATCTCACTGACAGATTGTTAGGTGGGGTTCTGGCAAACACTATGGGGACTACACAAACTTTTCTTTCCAGAACCCTTTGAAAATACCTTAAACAGAGAGAATCTCTGGTAGCTCCCAAATAAACCGACATATTTGGCCAGAGCTTTGGCATTT
This sequence comes from Homo sapiens, assembly GCF_000001405.40. Lineage (NCBI taxonomy): Eukaryota > Metazoa > Chordata > Mammalia > Primates > Hominidae > Homo > Homo sapiens. The sequence goes on along the minus strand of NC_000007.14, from coordinate 22,215,724 downwards.
GCTGCAATATGTGTGCCTTCCTCAGAATTAACTGGGATTTTAGGGTGGCTCTCCTGATCTCTGTAATCTGAGTTGGTGTTACTATACTTCTATTCTAGAATACTCTCTGTCATCCATTCATTTGCTAACTTTTGTTCAAGCCGATGTCATAGAGGAGCCAGGCTAACTATGGTGGCTCCCAACTATGTGGCTCCTGCCCTCAAGAAGTATAGTCTAGTTGTGGAGGAAAGATATCAACACAACTAACTGAGATACAAGGAAGCAGTGAAGAGAATCCCAAGAGAGACACATAGGAGTTTGAAGAAGAATTTACACCTGAGAAAGCAGGATTCTTTCATAGGGCAGAAGTAGTTTGACCTGGACCTTAAATTAGGTTTTGGGTTGGATTTAAAGAATCCACATTGAAGAAGAGTATTCCTAGTGGGAAGAATAGCATTAGAAAATGCACAGAGATACCAAAATATTAGATGTTTTTTGGAACTCTGAAACGATTTCATGTTTCCAGAATACCAAGAATTGGGGGTGTGGGAGGGGAGGCAGGAGAAGGAAGATTTCATGAGAAATGAGATTGGGACCAGACTGTGGAGGATTTTGAGGGCTGAGAAGTTTTACTTCATTCTAGAAATAATGAGGAACGACTCAGCATTTGTTTGCCTGCAGTTTGCTTCAGGTAGCTGAGATGTTAGTATTTATCTCACTGACAGATTGTTAGGTGGGGTTCTAACTTTTCCTAAGGAAGATGGTTGAGGCAGGGCCTTCATGAGATAAATTATATTATTTCAATCTGACTGAACAGTGACTGAATAGTGAGGGAGCTGAAGAGTGATTAAGCAGACTTGGGGCCAGAGTGAATTCAAGTCTGATTGCCTCTGGAGGGTGTCTTCCTTCAGCCTTCATCACTGGAGTGAGGACTGATAGGTGGCCCAGAAGCCAAGGTAACCGGAACCACAGCAGTCCTTCGAAAGAGGGCATGCACTCAGAGGGCAGCTCTGGAGGACAGAGACAGAAAGAATACGTAGGGAGGGATGGGGGTTGGGGGGCGGGAATGCAGAAAAAGAAAAGGTGCTTGCCCAGTCGTAACTTAGATTTGAAAAGCTTATAAACTTTTCATATTTTATTTTCAGTAAAATAGTTACATCAAAGTATATGACTAGATGGATGTGGGTCCTATTTCCAGGAATATAGCTGCACTATTCACCAGAAAACTGAACCTGTATTTTCCCGAAATGTAGTTTATGCTTTGTAGTGTATTAAATTGTAGATTAGAAATACCAACAATAGCTCCTAACCTGACTTCCTGACTTCCAACTGTAGAAATGAGCAGTATCTGTAAAATGTATGTGAAAACTTGGTTCAGCAATACTTTCCCTAGGGATCCTGTCTGTATCCCTCCCTTGCCCCACCCCATTTTCTTCTGTTCCTTTGTTAAGTCTGGGGACCCACCCTACTTCCTTCCCCTTTTCTAATTCACTCATGAAATATGGATGGGTGGGAAGGGGATTTTGCACACTCTGAAACTGCATCTTGGCACAGTCTGCTGCCAGGGTAGGGTCTCTATCACTCAGCCTCAACCGGAATTTCCTTTTCCCTGTTTCCTGCAGCCTCATCCTGGAATTCTGCCTACGTCAAAGGTTCCTTGTTTAAGGATTACGAGGGGAGAAGTGGTTTGGAGTATTCTGGCTACTGTCACACTTATTTACATATTAAAAGTTGGTCTCTACCTTTTCCCAAATTTCATTTTGTCTCTTTTTAAGCAGTTAAATATAAGGTGAAAATCCTCTTTTTACTCTATATGAAATACTAAAAGGAAAAGAGGTTTGATCATTGTTTTCAAACTTATAATTGTACATCTAGGTGAGTAGTTTCAAGCAATCCCAGCATTATTTGAAGTTTATCAGTAATTTAGTTTAACCAAGAAACTACTTACTAAAGAGAAGTAGAACTTTCTAACATTACTGTAATAGAATTGAAAGTCACAACTAGGGTATAATAGGCAATTCATAATACATTAAGTTGCCCAATTATAAACTGAGAAATCACCTCATTGAAACCAGGTTATTTTTCTTAATAACAAAATCCTGACTTTGTGTTGGATTGGTATTAAAGTATCTTTCCATTGGAATTAGGCTTCCTGGAGTGAGTTATTATAGTCCATTTTTAATAGGGAATAATATGGCCACAGAGTAACAAAAAAGTAGAAGTAGCTAGTTCTTGCCTCCAAGAAGTTTACAGTCTAGCTGGGGAAAGAATTTATACATGGAAAACAGTTAACCATTCAAGACAGCATTTAATGAAGTCTCTAAATAAGACATTTAGAGGGAAGTAAAATCTGGCAAACACATTTCACAACTGCAGCAAACCATGCTCTTCTCATTTATTTAGGAACAAGGTTTACAAGTTTGGTTCACTGTGTGTGCTCTTTAAATTCTAGCTTTTCCTCCAGAAAAATAGCAGTTAACTGCCAGTGAAAGTCAGTGGTGTGCTCCTGCTGTCTGGTGGAACCATCTGCTCATTAGCTGTATTTTTAGGTTTTCACAAGAAGCCCACTGCAAGTCCTAACATTTTTAAAAAATTAGTTTGAGCGGTTTTGAAGAGAGAGGAATTTGTCATTATGCTATTTTTTGACGGTGCTCAAGTTTATTTTAAAAGGCTCAATCAAGAACATTGATACTGGCTCAGTTTGTTTGATTTATCAAACTCATGTTATCAAAGGGTCCTTTTATTCTCTGCTGTACAAATGCTGCTCCTAGCTTTATTAGGTTCTTATTCTTGTAAAATTAAAATAGCCATATCATCTGCAATATGGTTGAAAAATCATTAAAGTGAAGTATTGAAAAGCAGGTTATTTGCCACTGTTGTTTTGCCATCACCCTCCTCCCCCAGTGGTATATCTCACTCCAGACCCCAGGTGACCTTATATTCTTTTCTTCTCTACCCCCATCAAGGCCTGATCTGCATTAATGTAACAGTGTTACTACCATGTAGTCTGGTGTCTGATCAGGCAACACTAGAAACTTTTGTCAGGCTGGTGTTATTTGGGTTTATAATGAATGTTTTAAGACAAAAAGTTTAGGGAAAGGATGCACAGACAGATGGAGAGTTGTTCATGATAACTGTGTACTTCCAAGGTTTGGAAAAATAAAAAGAAGAGATATCAAGAAGTAAAGAGACATAGGCAGCAATTTACAGTGTGGCTTGGTTCCTGAAGGACTGCCCTGATACATCTCTGACCTCATGAACTGATGTTCTGCGAGAAACTCAGAGACTGAATTCAGTTTACCTGTGTGGTCAGCATCCAAGTGCTGTGGAAGCATTTAACAGGGACCTTGGCTAGTCTAGGGAGTCATGCACATTTCCCTGAGAGAGAGAGAGAGACAGAATCTGAAGGGTCAGGAGAGCTATGAAAAGTGAGGAGGGATGGGTGTTCCAGGCAGAGGAAAGAACACATGTGAGGCCGGGTGTGGTGGCTCACGCCTGTAATCCCAGCACTTTGGGAGGCCAAGGCGGGTGGATTACGAGGTCAAGAGATTAAGACCATCCTGGCTAACACGGTGAAACTCTGTCTGTACTAAAAATACAAAAAATTAGCCAGGCATGCTGGCGGGTGCCTATAGTCCCAGCTACTCGGGAGGCTGAGGCAGGAGAATGGAGAATGGCGTGAATCCGGGAGGCGGTGCTTGTGGTGAGCCGAGATTGTGCCACTGCATTCCAGCCTGGGCAACAGTGCGAGACTCGGTCTAAAAAAAAAAAAAAAAAAAAAAGAGAACACATGTGATAACACAAGGGGCCTGATGTGGAGAAGAGAGCAGCTTTAGAAACAGAACCAACCAGCTGGAGCCTAAGTGTGGACTGTGGATGGGAGAGGTAGGGCCAGGTGAAGAAGGTGCAGGAGCTGGAGGATGCAGGACCTGTGGGTTTATCCAAACATTGTGTGCTAAGAGCAATAGGAAGCTTTTGTGTAGAATTTAAGCAAGAAGGAAGGAAAAATGATTAGATTTAAATTTTTAACATTCCTCCGTTGCAATGTGGGAACAGATTTGAAGGAGGAGAATGGGTCACACTCACTCCTTCAAAGCTTCCTGGTCCCACTTCCCTCACAGTCCTCTCTGTCGATTTCACATTAAGTAGTAACCAGCATACATGCAAAAGGATTTGCTGTGGGCAGCTCAAGTCAGGGGACTTCAGTTCCAGGAAGACAGAATGTCCAGTGATAGTTCACTTCTAATTTATTACCTTTTCCCTAAAATATACTGCTATATCACCATTTTTCTTTAACAAGTTGGCTTGGAGTCAGTCCTGTTTTTGTAGAAATGAATTTTGTGCATGCATATAATGTGAATATCTTTTGTTAATAAACACCATGCAGGCAGATATGTTCGCTTTAAATACAACTTACTGTGCTGTATATTTGCCTCATATTGATTCAGCCAAAGTTTGGTGATTTCTGAGTCATTCATATACTTTGGTTGCTAAAGATGAGGAAAAGAAATTTATAAAAGATGTCCATGTAGGATGCAAAGAACCTTTTTTTCCTTTTGCAGTGGGAAGTGGGTGGAAAGGAAAAATTCCATCTGGCATCCAGCAGTCCTAAATGTTGTTTTAAGATAGCAAAAATAGAAGATTGCTGAAAATATCATAACAGAACATAACAGACTGTGGGCAAGTGTACAGTACATTTTTTCTAATAAATCATGCTAAATATGCGTATTTTACTTATAACATGACCAAGTTCTTGTTTGCTGTTACATAAAAATTTGTCTTTATTTTTTGTATTAAAATTATCTGCTCTCTTTTTGAAGCAAAAAGGATGATTGTTTTGGTCTGAAGAGATCAGTGTTGCAGTACTTAGGTTTAACTGGAATAGGTTTTTGAATTTTGCAGTTTTCCCCTCTTTTTCCAGCATTTCCCTCCTACATTTAAAAAAAAATGGAGAAATAAGATGTGGCATGTATGTTCATTTATGGCACATTTGTACATAAGTCAGTGAACAAGGCTCAACCATTTTAACAAATCCTTGTAAATGTCCTCTTTGTTCAGGTTCCAGGAATGACTGGGCACGACTGAGGCAAAGTGAGTCAGAGTAAAGGATTAGGGGCACCTCAAGATCCAAGAAACACATAATAGTAGAGAATAATGGTGATAATGAGACAATTAAGATGTCAGAAAGTGGCTTGGAGGTATGGATTCACAAGAAGGCTCAAAAAACTTAATGAGTCATAAAGCATATCTGGGTGACCTCAGAGGTGCGAGTCGGGGTGGAATGTGTCAAGGTAAAATTTTTGCCCTCCACCATCAAAGAGAGGAGACAGTGGTACTTCCTACAGATAGTTCTTAAAACCTTTCATGATCTTGCCTTGGCTAGGATTTAGAGAAGTAGAACAAGCTTTATGTTGACACCCCTGTGAATAAAGAATTCTAACATTCCCCAAATGGCACAATGCATAATAAAATCCCAAAGTGAGTTTTATGATTGCTGGATGCTATCACTTTCTCCCTGCTCAGTCAACTTATTGTTATTACAAATTGGGGGTTTGTGATGATGCATTATTTTTCACCATCAGTCTGAGTAGTCTGGAGTTTTCCTCTGAGAGTCATAGGCATTAGAAAGAACTTTAGATATCATGTGTCTTGATGGCTTGGGGAAGGAAAACTTTATTTCTAAAACTGGCACCTGCTAAATAGGATTATAAGCAGTTTCCTCTAAAAAGGGGAAAATATATTCTAAGACCATTAGTTCTTTTGGAAGTGCATTAGTCACAAGAAAATGTTAAAACATTTCCATTGATAATATCTTCTAGCAAAAGTAAATACCTTTTAGCCTCTGTAATCAGAAGCAATTTTGTTAATAGTTTGTTAACAAAAAGTGTAATTCTTTAGTTTGTTAGAGAACTTCTTAATTCAGGCTTTGTGCTTTTATCTCTTTGTGTTCCTGAAGTTAGATTTTGTGAGGCCCTAAAGTGAGGCTGGGCTGATCGACGTGACCCTTGCCCTAAGACAACACTTCTTTAGAACTACTCCTCCCCTACCTATTAGCAGTTAGCCCCTCAAAAATTAGTGACTCATGAAAGTGGGCACAAACAATTTGGCCAGCAAAAAATAAATGGGATCATTCAGTTCTTCTCATTAAACACCCATCTGGAAGCACATGTCTAAAAATTATCTCAGTATTAAAACAACACTCAGGTATAACTCTAAAAATGGTGGGGGGGAAGGATAGTTGAAGCTACAGACATAATACTTTCCTCTCTAATAATATGTATGAGTAGAATTTTAGAAGATATGTAAGTAAAAACTGTAGGATACGAAATGGAGAGATGAGAGCACACACGGCCCAAGTAGGTATTGATTTACACCTACAGGTTTGTGATTAAAGGATGAGCCAAGAAAGGGATAAAAGGAAGATCTTGAGCCTGCACAAGGCAGACTTCTGCCTATTCCTTAAAATCTGAGAAAAGAAACTTTGGAACAAAAGAGAGAGCCAATTTTATTCTGATTGTCTTTCAGGAATATACTTGAATGCCAGATGTTTGTGCACAGAAGCCTTTCATGACTTGTTGAACTATTAAATGCCATTGCCATTATAATTTGGCAATCACCTCTGACCTTTATCTCAATTGTCAGTAGATCCCATTTCCATCCCAAGTCAGTAAATCTAAGTTCCTCTCCTTTAGTATTACTCATAATCTTGGCACATAGAGGAGATGTGCACAGACCTGACAAAATTCACCACACCCTGGAAAGAACCTTATTAATAATGATCAGAGTGGCTGTAGGTACCTTCAGCATCTGCAGCTGCACCAATAATGGTGCCCCACACTTTGTGGTTTGTGATTTTTGCATCTTAGCTCTGACTTCTACTTTACGTTCCATATCTGGCTAGTCCAGTTCTTCCCTAGAATCTTTGGAGAAGAACGTAGCAAAAGAGTGTCTTGCTGGTCTCATTTTGGTCCAAACCCAAGTTTTTAGATTGCTTCAATCCAGACTAGAGAAGCAAAAAATGGTGACTTTTCCTTCTGAGTGATTGATGATAGTAGGCTGCAGACATCTCAGTCTAGGGAACCCTATAAAGAAGGAAGAATTGGGCAGCACAGGCCTGTGGAAGACCCAGTGAAGGGAATTATTCCTTAGCTGAGTGTGATGAGCCAGAGACACAGGGATTTTGGTCACACTGGTTATTGCACTGGTCTTCAGACAGAGGCCAGCATCCCTTATGATCATCCCTAATGATCTGTGCTGAGCTGATCAGACAGTTTCTCCACCATCAGCAGCTTAATTCAGATTCCTTCATTTGAACTCACAGAGATGATTAGAAAGAGTTATACTAGTGAAGATAGAAGACAACCAAATAGCTATTTAGCTTGTTGCCACCAGTGTAGTCATTCAGTGACAATACATAAAGTTAACTTTGTTGATGGCCTAAATAATTTTAATGTCAGTACAACCTTTTTTTTATAAGTAGAGCAAAATTTTAAAATATCTGGCTAAGATTAATTTATTCTTACCTTCATTCACTGAGAAAAGCATTTGTTGAGCACCTATGAACAAGACATCACATGAAATAGAACAGAGACAGAAATGAGCAAGGTGTGATGTGAGCCCCAAAGATACCGGCATTTAATGAGACAGAAGCATGTGAAATGAGACAGAAGCATGTGAAAACCCAGACAGGAAAACCCAGTAAAGAAGAAGGGCAAAAACACACAGAAGAGAGGGCCAGGAAAGGCTTCCAGATGGGAGGAAAGAGTGCACTTTGAATAAGGTATTTGTTTCCAGAAAATTGTTTTCTCACATTCCTGTAAGGCATTTGCTAAATTAAGCATCATCTTTTTTACTTCCTGGGTTATGGCCAGGTCAGGACACAAATCATAAATGACAAAGATTATAAATCTCAAATCTAAAGGAGGTTGCATATTGGAGTTTACAATTCATTCCCTTCCCCATTTTCTAGCTACAAAATATACTTGTCAAAAAAAATTTAGTATATTATACATAGTCCTTGGCGTGTTTCACTGATTGAATTTGTTTTTGAAAACAGGCTTCATCTGGAAGAGGTTTACAGGTGTTTAACAGTCCAGAGTAAAGTAGCAAGCAACTTGCTGGAATTTATAGCACATTTCTGTTAAAGAATTTTTGTTGTTTAAAGTTGTTCTACTACTGTAAAAGTAATGTATGCCCTTCATAGAGAATTTAGAAATAATAGAAAGTTACAAGGAAGAAAATAAAAATTTAATGATAAACCACTATTTCCTCCCCCCACCCCCTGGCTGTCCCCAGTCTTTGTATTCTGAGGCTTTCCTCATATTTTCATGACATGCTTTACTTAGCTACCCTTCCCTGGGGGAATTTTGCTATTATAAACTATAACGCGCAACTCTCCAAAAATCTTTAACTAAGTTTATATTCTTAAGGATAAATTCCTAGTAGCAGAATTACTACTTATAAATATAAACTGCATTACTATCTTTTATGTTTTTACCCAACCACTTTCCAAAAAGCTTGTGCTAGTTTTTACTTAAATCAGCAATATATGAAATTACTTGTTTTGTAATCCCTTCATCCTAGCTTTCACCTTCATTGAGTGTTACAATTTTGAGTAGGAGAAACTATGTTATCTTTGTCAGGTTGATGGTGGCCAAGGGAGAGGGAGGAAAATACTATCTTGTTCAAATGTACATCTCTAGTGTAGTTGAATATTTGCGACTTATATCAACCTATTTCTCTTTCTTCTGTAAGTAATTTATTTTTCTCCTTTCTCATTTTTCTCACTGAAATTTTCTTATTGATTTGGACAAGTTATTTACATATGAAGGATATAAAATTTTGTCATATTTGTTGCATATTGTTTTCCTCAGTTTGTTTTCTACTTAGTTTGTTTCCTAATTAATTATTTTTATACACATGAGTGGAAATGTTTTTTATTTTTAATATTGTCTTTAAAATGAGAAATCCCTTCCTCATTAAGTAAAATTTTATTTTATTTTTTCTATTCCTTTTGGAGTTGCACTTTTCACTCAGACCTCTTTTTTTTTTTTTTTTCTTGTGACATGGGTCTCACTCTGTTGCCCAGGCTGGAGTGTGATGGAAAAATCACAACTCACTGCAGCCACAATCCTCCCACCTCAGCCTCCAGAGTAGCTGAGACTACAGGCATGTACTACCACGCCCAGCTAATTTTTTGGTATTTTTGTAGAGACAAGGCCTCACTATGTTGCCCAGGCTGGTCTCCAACTCCTTAGCTCTGGAAATCCTCCCAACTCACCCTCCTAAAGTGCTGGGACTATAAGCATTAGCCACTGAGATTGGCCTCACTTGGATTTTTTAATATAGCTGTGATTTATTTTTGTAATGTAAGATTTCTTGATCAACTATCACATGCATAATTTTTCTTCAGTTAATTTACTATTTTATTACTAGCATCAAAGACATTCATTTTATTCTGGAAGAATTGAAATTCTGTGATGAACAAACTACCTCCCAAGTTAATATGTTGAGTGCTGATTTAGTAAATCACTTTACCTCTCTGAGCTTCAGTCTTCTCATCTAATAAATTAAGATATTAGATGTCTAAGATTTCTTCTAGCTCTAAAATTCCTTTCTTAACTTGAAGACACCCTTCCCCCCAGATTCTGCAATATCCATGCTTTTGAGTGTTGAACTCTTTCTGGGAAAATGTCACCATTTTATAAAGGATACCAATTGATTACTCAGGAAGTTCTGAGTAGCTCTTTTTTCACTCTGATTGAATATGTCTATCAATGCCAAGAATCATTCTGTTCTTTTATGTTCTAAAAATACTCCAGTGGATAGAACTTCTAAAAATTTACTCTGTGAAATGGTGTTGATACAGGACAGATGGCTGATCTAGCATATCCAGCTAGAAGTGTCTGTTATCAGGACATTAAAATGATATTTCAAGTCAAGTCATTAAATATTTGGAATTGTTTCTCTGAGATCAGAATGTCCTGAGGAGGATCAAAATCTGGAATTCCCAAATCTCTGCAGTGAAGGAAATGCTAGCTCTTACTGCCTTGAACTCTTAGAAATACCAAGAAAGTAACCTAGTTCTTGATGTTGGCTAGGTTCATTAGCTGCTACCCACAGCCTAGCTCCAAATTACTGTTTTTAAAACATGCAGATTTTTGTCTCTTACATGTCTATCTGTCACGTGAAGAATTTACTCTTTGAGAGCATGCCTATATTTTATTTGAACTTTTATCCCCAGTGTTTAGCACTAGGCTTTCAGTCAGTGTTTGTGGAACTGGAGCTGATAGAGAAGGAAATTGTGGGTGGTTTGAGATGTTTCCCACAGTCGAGTACTTCAAATCACATCTGTAAAAATCCAAAGTTTTACCAGCTTCAGGATTCCAGTTCATTGGATATTTAAAGTTTTAAATAAGAAGTTTTCTACCTTAGAGAATTAACCTGGAAATGATAAGCAGAAAAGGCAGGAAGGTTCATCACCGGTAGTCACTTTGTAATACAGAAAAGTCTTTGGAAGAATCCATCCCTGGTAAAGAGTGGATGCAGACGTTCAGACTTTAATGGATCACAGGTTGTGGAGCAAAGATCTTACCTGGGCAGGTTTGTACGTGAGGATTTTGACCTTCTTTGGCCCTCCAGGTGCACATTAATATTCAGGAAAAGAGAATTTGTTTTTCATATGTGTTATCACTTTAATATTAATTCCTCACTTAAATACTAATTCCTTTTTTGTTCCCCCAGTCTGTCCTCCTCTTCTCTCCACACCTATTCCCTCCCTTGGAAAAAAAGGCAGGAGAGATCTACCCCTATGCAAGCAAATTCATCTTTGTCTTATTTTAACCTTCGCTCTTCCTTTTTACCTTCTGGTTTTTTGTTTACTTTTTTGCTTGCCTCTCAAATCATTTTAGCAATATTTCATTACATCTTACATTCTCTTAACCTATTTTTAATACCAACTTCCTGTTACTGTTCCATGCACCAAGAGTGCCACTTTGTCTACCTTTATCCCAACCTTGTTTCAAACTGTGAAATGAAGTTTCTGAGATGGCTACAGCAGAGACCAAAGGCGTGCCTCCCTAAAAACACCAAGGAATGTACAAAACATGAAAAAACAGGAGTGTTTACTTAAGATGCTTTGTATCTCCTCACTCTCATTCCATGTGATCTGGCAGCTGCTACAGTAGCTAGAAATTTTTCATTCCATAACTTGCATAAATACTGAAACTCCCCCTTTGGATTGCTACTTTGCCCTCATGGAAGTTCCACAGGCATGCGTGCACACACACACAAGCATTTCCTCACGTACACACATGCAGATGCTCATTGACACACACGCACAGGAAATTTGGGAAGAGTGATAGAGTTCTTTGACTTGAAGCCTTTCAATTTTTTAGAGTTTATTTCCTTTTTAAGTTTGAAGAATACTTCTGCTGGGTCTGCTCAGACATAAGAACTAGCTTTTTCAAATAATTTCAGTTTATGAATTAGTTCTTCACTGAGTCAGGAGGTATCAAACACAACTAAGTTTCAGATCCTATGGGAGGAATTTGAGAGGAGAAGTCAAAGCCATAGGAACCAGTCAGGGCTAGCTATTTTATGCTGCTCTGAAAAGTCATGTTATCCTCTTGTTGTTCAGTTGTAAAGGCTTCTGTAAAACTGCTGCCATGGATTATTCAAACCCCACGGGACAAATATATCTGCAACCAGAATGTAGAAACTTTAATCATAATTTAGTGTAGGTTTCTGTCCTACCTTTGGGCTGCTAGTGAAAAGCAGTGATTCGGGTTACTGGCAATTTTTTTCCCTTTCTTCTTCTACATTTCAGGAAATGCTTAAGGATCTAATTTAGATTTCTGCATCCTCATTTCTTCCGACGTGATCTCAAATAGGCCTCTGTCAGGTCATGTGTGCACACTGTACCATGCCTCAGTTGCCCGTTGACCCAGGCTGCTTGGTTTCAGGGAACTGAGGCACTGCTGAGGAGCCCTGGTCCACAGCATGCAGGTGGTAAGTGGCTCAAAAAATCTCAGTGGTTTCCTAGTTTGGCTGACCCTTCACCTATTCCCTCGGGCCTTCTAACCAGGGCGAATGGATGTACCTCCGAGTCTCTGCAGAAGGAAATAACCACCATATCTGGAACAAGGAGCAGCAGAAAGCAGTGGCATTCCAGCTGGCTCACTTCAGGTGACCGTGGCTGGCATCACACCTTGTTTGTCATTGCTGTGTTTTCTCCTGTGTATATTCCAGTCATGCCAACAATGAAGGATGCAACTGTGCCTTTGCAGATCGTCAGTCACCCTGACCAAAGACCAAGAGCCCATAGAGCATTAGCTATCTCTTGACATTCTGTGTTAAAAATGTAACAGTCAGAGAGACAACTGAACTTCCTTGTCTCCCTTCTTTTAGTTTTTGGTCTCTAGAGGTGTACACTTCTTGGCGAGTGAGATTTGCGGGGAGGTGAGTACCAGAAAGAAACAGCCCCACACGCCCATGAAAATGATCTATTTCATCATCCCTAGCCCTCCTCTGGCAGAGGGGCTTGGAACCTCCTTTTCTGCAGGTTCCGTGAGCTCTGTAGTTAACTCCTGTGATGCCCTCTGCCTCTCAGTAGCACATACAGCACCATAGGCAGCGGTTTGCATTGCAGTGGAAAAAATTTTATGTTATTTGTGTGTGTTTTTAAAATTTGGATGATATTTATATACACATACACATAAACAAAATCATAGCAAGACCCTGATACAAATTCAATTTTGTAATACTTCAGTGTTAGTATACTTGGATGGCATACAGTTACAATATAGTTTGTATATTTTTCTGCCCTCTATTTACTGAGGGCTTTCTCTGTGTCCAGTATTCAACTGGGTCTATAAGGTAGGGATTATCCCATTTCACAGGCAAGAAAGCTGATGCTCAGAGAGATAGACCACCCAGCTAGAAAGTGGCAACTCTAGGATTTGAACCAGGTCTGTCTTTGCTTTGGTGGATATCCGTTTAATTTGATTCAGGCTGTAAGTTCTTTGAAGGGCTGCCATCATCTGAGTTTAAGTTTTATGCTATTCAGAATTGGTTATTACCCATGAAATAGAGAGAAATGGACGATATCCCTGGCTTGCGGCTTGGTGGAAGGGTTCTTGGTAAGATGTGTACATTGTTAAACAAATTAGATTTATCTAGTCATTGGTGATTGAACTGTTGTTGGGGTGGCAGGGGACTGTGCTGGGCCTTTATCATCTTTTTTAGTGCCTAAAAGTCCCAGAAGATGCATAATACCCTTATTTCTTAGATAATGCTTTGGAATTTGGGGAGTGTATTTTTATTCTCCCAGCAAAACAGCTATTGGATGGCTGCCAGGATTTGGCTGTAGATAAGGCAAGCCCTGTAACCCATGTCCTCTCAGTATAGGTTGAGGCCTTGTCTGCAGCTGTGAACTCAGCCATTCTTTGAGGACAGGCCTCTTCCTGGGTGAAAACTGGCTCCAAAGACCCTGGAGTCAGAATCAAGCTCCATTTCTGCGTCAGAGTGCTATGCCCATTACTCAGACTTAGCCTAGATCTGACTTTAAGCTTTGGTTCCCAGCTACAGTGGACTAGATTTTGTCCTTTTGTTCTGCAGACTTCAAGCTTGAATTTTCCTTTTCTACCCAAGCCTACCCCTCGGACTTAGTTCCTCTGAGACTGAACCTCTGCCTCTTTGCCTTTGCTGACCTCTCTGTCCTTGACCTTGAGCCATTCTGATTTACAGTGTCTGTCCACTTATCCATCATTTGCCAGGCCATGCATTCATTTAACAGACATTGTTCTGGATGTAAAACCAAACCAAACCAGCCACTGTTCTCATGCAGCTGTCATCAGAGTGGAACTGACCCTGCCATTTCTCCTCCCTCTTCTACCCTCCATCCCACTCCCAAACCTGGTCATCAGCCAAGAACTTTTATATTGGAACTAGAAGCCTGCTGGAAAATATTTAATAAAATTTAAGCTTTTATGATAAACAGTAACACCTGTGTGATTGACTAGCCACTCTCAAAGGTCACATGGGAAGTGCAGAGTGTGAAGCAAGCTGTAGAAGCTAAATTACAGTAAACTGATATAGGCACTAGACAAGAAAGACTGTTAAGACCATAAAGCATGTAGAAATTGGATTCGGTCAAGTAGGAAAATGCTAACACACCCTACCCTAAAGCTTTTAGATTTTTTCTTTGAGTTGTTTTCTGGACAGCAGGAAGAAGAAATACATGACCAATATGGTGTAGTCTAAATTAATGAAAACTTAACACAAGCGTCTCTGGAAACTGTGAAATGTGAAGCATGCTGGGCTGTCTCTATTTGCATCCCTTTCTCCATTCTCACATCTGCCCTGTGCTGGGACAGCGAGTCCTCACCACACACTGTGGAATGCATCACCCTGGATTTATTGTCCTCCTGCTCTGAATGGGATGCAGCCAGTGGGAAGCATCGGCAAGAGATCAGAGGGTGGAAGGAGAGAAAGGTCATGATATTCCTCCTACCTCTGTCTGGCTTCCTTCTGTAGTTCTGGCAGTGACTGCAGCTCCTCATTGGTAGCTTCTCATTTATGCCTCCAGCTCCCAAAGGGATCCAATACTTACTTTTTACCTCCCCTTACCCCTTCCAGCCCAGGGCTAGTTAAGATCTCCCTCTTTTCTAGTCCTGGTTATCTCTCACCATTTTTGCTCAGTTTCATCAAACCTACCTACACAGCTGTAAATAGCCCCTTCATTAAACACTTTCACAACCCTTGCTGAGTGTGCATTTTCCTGCCAGTATCCAGAATGATCTGTCAAGCTAATACAGCATGTTGAAATATATTCATAATAAAAAGACATTGACTTTATATTTCAAGATGCTACAGTCTATCCCATCTTTTCTGCCCTATTGTGCAGTAGGTTACTAGCTGAAGTTGGCCCTGGGATCAAATTCCTAGGCTTGCTCTGGTTTTAGGGTTATTAGACAAGTTGTTTTGTATGATGATATTCTTAGAGGCAATGAGATTGAATACATACAGTTTTTCTCTAGTAGCCAGAAGCTTTCTGTTTAGTCATGCATATTGGTTTTCTGTTGGAGTTTGGTCAAGTTCCGTAATAAATATATGTTTATTTTCATATCTATAAAAGTCAGACTTTACCTAGATTTTATAAATGATGATGAATCCTATTAATCTTGTTTGGGCTTTCATTAGAGTTATTAATCTTAATATGTGTGGGATTAAAAAAAGGAAAGAACTAATTGTCGTTATCTAAATACTCTCCTTCTGCCAGAGTATCGTGTACAAAGACATATTTGTTAGGCCAGCTCCTTTGTGGTCGGGTGAGTCTAAGTGGCTCACCTTGACATACATCTGCTAACTTAATCTCTCTCTTAATCATTTCTATCTTGCCAGCAATATTCTTTTGACCTTTTTAAAAAACATCTGTTTACTTTTTTTTTCATGAGAAAAAGAATCATGAGATACATTGTCAGCAAATTATCTAAGGGTTGTTCTCGAATAAAATTCTTTTTGGCCAGAGGAGATTTTTTTTTTCAGATAAGTCTTATAATTCTGCTGTACCCACATTTGTATAACAGACACAGATGTGGGCATTGATGGCTTGGTCAGCTAGGCTTTATGTGAATTTCCATAGTACAAGATGGGAAGAGATACCTAACTGCTAAATCATGTGCCCTCTTCCTATTTAGGAGAGCCAACACTTTGGGCTTCTGTGAGAAAAGTGGAATCAAGATTAGTTTTGTAGAATCTTTGTGTTGGAAAGGGTGCAGAGCATAGCCCTGACTCTTGATCCAGAATCGTCTTCATTTGTTCTATGATATTGTTGATACACTCCGCTTCAGCTTGAGAGAGAGCTGGGTCCATCTCTGCTGTTAGCACTTCTTTAAATTGGTCCCCAGTCAGCCACTTTTATCTCATCACCCACTAGTGGAAAGTCGCCTTTCTAGAATGTCATGAGTAATTCCAGGGCTTCCTCTCCCACAGGGTAGAGTGGCTCAGAAAGTGGAAATAATCTGCTGCTATTTATCCTCCTGAACTCTTCTTTCTCGGACCTTCCAGCTACCTGAACTGTACCTCTCAGGACATATTTCTCAGAGCCCTTTGTGGCTCCCTGGGGCAGATTCATGTGTCCCCTGGCCAACAAATCTGTGTCCACAGACTCATCTCTGCTCAGTTCCTTTTTTTTTTTTTTTTTTTTTTTTTTTCAATTTTAAGGTAAAACTTACATAACATAAAATTAGCCATTTTAAAGTCTATAATTCATGTCTACCCAGTTCTTGAGCCCATCAGGCCCGAGGCAGCTTATATACTGGGAGCCCCATCTCCACCAGCCTTAACCTGCATGTCTCTGTGTTCCAAGTTGCATAGACATAGGTGCCCACAAATACAGCCTTCCTCTAAAGCCGGTCCCTGCCGTGTTTAGCTCTCTTCCTGCCTTGGTCACTGATTCGGGTCTGGTTGGCACTTCATTTTCCCCTTGCTGGGTCTTGAGTGCTGCCTGATCTGAGCTGGTTGAGCTGTGGTCATACCACTGCATTCAGCTCCTGTCAACTCTCTTCCTCTCTTAGAATGAAAGCCCTTGTATGGCTTTCCCAAACCAGACAGGCCATCCAGAACTAAAAACCGGCTATGCTAGAACTTTTGACTCTCACTTTGGCCTAGACCTCCCTGTTGCCTGACCAACCAACAGATTGCCCTGCACTGTCAGTCAGCACGAGGGAAAGTGACATCTCCTT
This sequence comes from Homo sapiens, assembly GCF_000001405.40. Taxonomy (NCBI): domain Eukaryota; kingdom Metazoa; phylum Chordata; class Mammalia; order Primates; family Hominidae; genus Homo; species Homo sapiens. Next base: position 22,199,000 of record NC_000007.14, on the reverse strand, counting down.
TGATAGCTGTCATCTAGAATATAGAGCATTGGCCATCTTAGGGGACATCTGTGGTTCTGGTTAAGGGCACTGGTGTCGAGCCTGTCTGGGTTCAATCTCAGCTTCGCCATCTGTCTGCTCTGTGATCTTTCTTATTTAATCTCTGGGCTCCTGTCTCCATTTGTAAAATGGGAATTTTCATAGCATTAGTCTCATAGGATCATTATAGTGATTAGGTAAAGTAGTGGATCTTCAGCCCTTAGCTTTGCCTGCTGTATGGTAAGCCCTCAGTAAGTGTTAGTTGTCATAGGTTTATCTGCCTGGTTGTGGCTGATTCCTCCCCAGTTGCCCATTCCTGGTGGTTCTGTTTGTTGCATATGGCAGTGTTGTCTCCTTAGTTCTTGAGTTGTCATTACCTCTACCATTATGGAATAAAATTATATTAGGTATTAATGGTCCAGTAACTAATAATTGCATGATGTTTTACACTTCACAAAATACTTATATTATCTTAAGTAGTGGCCAAGGCTCGGTGCTATCTCACATGAGCTACTCTCAAGCTAAGACCCTGAATTAAAGCAGGTCTTCTGATCTGATGTATATGTAACTCCTTGCCTAGCTTTGACATTGTCCAGTGTAACAAGCATGCCAGCTGTTCTTCTCAGGTTAGCCCAGTCTATTTGCCTCAGCTAAGCTGATGGTCAGGATGCAAAGCAGGGCAGGCCAGTGCCCTGTGGAGTTTGATGAACACCAGCAGAGTTTGACGATCCCTCCTTAGGAAGAGCGCCTCTCAGCAAAATGTCCCTTCTCTCTGGGCTGTATCACAATTCACCAATTGAAATGTATTCTTAGAGATTTAAGGTGTTCTTTGGGAGACTGAGGTGGGCAGATTGCTTGAGCTCAGAAGTTCAAGACCAGCCTAGGCAACATGGTAAAACCCTGTCTCTACAAAATAAAATAAAAAATTAGCTGGGCCTGGTGGTGTGTGCCTGTAGTCCCAGGTACTCAGGAGGCTGAGATGGGAGGATCACTTGAGCCCAAGATGCAGAGGTGGCAGTGAGTGGAGATTGTGCTCCTGCACTCCAGCCTGGGTGACAGAGTGAGAATGTCCTCCTACCACCCCCCCCCAAAAAAAAAGAAAAAAGAGATTTAATGTGTTGCTCTCTAAACCTCCACTTTAAAATGCAAATGCATTCATTCATCTTTTGTTTATAAACGTATTCAGTAAATGTTAATTGAGTGTCTGTGAAATGTCAAGACCTGGCTAACTATTGGGAATTCAAAGTCAAAGAAGATAGGGTACTTGCCCATGAGTGAGCTTGGGCAAGGCGGGGACAGAAAGTGCATCAGTAAGTGCTCCTGAGAGTGCTGAATTATAAGGATACATGTGGTGCTGTGAAGTCACACAGAAGGGCCAACAAGATCAAACTGAAGACCAGGGGGCTTCCTGGAGGAGGTGATTCTTGAAGTGAACTTTGTGGGATAAATAAGAGTTAGGCCAAGAAAGTTGTGAGATGAAAAGAAGTATAACAAGCCATTGGCTACAAATGCCTTCCTATCAGTTAACATCTTCAGTTAATGTGTTCACAGACCTAAGGGCAAACAGCATTGGAACTCGTGTTACTTGTATGACTTCTTGAGTGTCGTAGTGTCAAGCTAGATGATTTTCAACGTTTGCCATCTGAAAGGTTCTCTCTACTGCCTGTTTCAGACAGGTTTGATTTGGGAGGAATGGGTCTCTTCAAGCTGACTTATTTCCTTTAGAATGAAATTTCCAAGATGTAGTCTTCTCTTCCTCCTTGTTCACTCACAGTTTAACACATTTTCCCCACTCCTGACCTAAAGTGACCTCATCATCACTTTTTCTTAGACTTACCATCTTTGTAAATGTTACAGTGTCAGGCAGGCTTTCTCCTGGGGTCTCCTGATACAGCGCTCTCCTGGCTCTCCTCCTGGCTCATCTTGGTAGTGGTCTTCATGTTCTCTCTGTACGTAGGTTCCCCCATGACTCGAATATTCTCCCACTTTACTTCTTCCCCTTAGTGTGATTTTAGCTCCTTTAATCCCCAATGTTCATAGTTCTGCCTCTTTACTGTTCCTCCTTAACAATCTCATCCATTACCAAAGCTTAAATAATTCATAAATTTGTCTCTACCCTTGACCTTTGTCCAGAGGCCTAGTTCTTTATTTCTAACTGCTTGCTAAACGTCTGTGGCAGGCAGGCTGTCTTAGTACGAAACATCAGCGTTTAAAATCAGAAGCATCTGTCTCACCAAAGCCGCTCCTTCATACACATTCTCCCCTGTTTAATGGTATTTCCATTCTCACAGTCACCCATAGTTATCTTTGATTGTCAGATCCCATGGATTCTACTTTTGCATTGTCTCTTGCATTTGGCCACATCTTAGGGTGCTGACCCAGTTATACTTATGTTGTCATGGAGCCTATTAACTTGTCAGTTAAGAGCAGGGTACTTGCCTCACTCATTTTCACTTGCCGCTTGGTGTCCAGAACAGTGCCTTACGCAAAGGGAGCAAGCCCTCACTATTTGTTGAATGAATGTCAATTAAGTGTTTTAATACTTTACCTGCATTTCATGAACTATTTGTCATTGAATATATTTTCTGTTATTAATTCTCTTAATACTTTTAATCTTAACCAATCAAGCACAAGAATAAAATTTCATACCCAGAACCTCAACTATGGTACTTCTGTTCCTTCTCAGGATGAGAAATTAGTTAAGCATGCAGGGGTCAGGAAACATTAATTTACCTTTCCTTCTTGAGAGCCAGATGTAATTCGTAGGATTATTACATTTTTATGGCAATTTTAGATAACATATTTCCCTTTGTACATTAATTTTTCTGCTTTTTCTCTTCTTTATTTTTAATAGGTCTTCAAAATGGAAAACTATCACAATGACATAGATGCTATTGATAGTACATCAATATGATTCAGCTCTTCCCCTGCCTGGCAGAGTGTGGCTGCTGTGTGCACAGCCATGTAATACATATTAGTTACACAGGCATTAGAGAAGCCCTTCCCATCCATATGTATGTGCATGGCCTGTGGAAGTTAATAATGCCATATATCACATGCACATAGAATGTAAAACGTACTTCAGAATGACAGCAAGCTCATATAAAATGAGTATTGGCGCATGATTAAAGGAAACCAGGGAAAGATTTTTGTCCTTTCAGAGAACAGAATTATTTGTTTGTTCTGTGTGTCTCAGCATCCCAGACCCTCATTCTGCCTTTTTGTTTTTTTGTTTTTTGTTTTTCGTTTTTTGGGGGGTTTTTTTGGTCAATATATGCACTTCTCTCCAGCCACCTTATTTCACTTCAGCCACATAGATAACAAAGGAACCCCTTTGGAGAAATGAAAGATAGCAATTACACATTGGTATTCATGTTACGGGAGTCCCACTGTCGTCCTCAGGGAGTTTCACAATGAATATCCAGCATTAATTGCCACAGTAACTGCACGCGTCTGACCTTGCTGAAATGTAATACATCGGTTTTACATAGTGAAATTATTTACCACTAAAAGATTAAAAAAGAATGATCATAAAATTATATTGCTGTTTAGAATGACAAATATTTTTCGTTTTTAAGAAAATCCTGGAGGACTTAAATTATTAGCTTATTGCATTTTCTTAGGAATCAGAATACCAGGAGGTAAAGTCACAATTGTTATCAGTGATTTGGCTGGCAATTAGGGCAAGATTAGTGCCTTCCTCTTCTTATGAAAGGTGAATCAAATACATTGACATCCCTGATTAGCCTGTAGAACCAATTAATAAGGCACAATGGATATTTTTTTCTCTGTTGGGGGTGGGGATATCCTCTTTCATGTTTGTACCTGACCGTAGGTAGGTAGGATTTTCTGTAAGTAGGGGAAACGTGCTAGGAGCCCTAAGCACATAGTGCCTTTTTTAAAGAGGTGACATCATCTTTAAGGTGAAACCTACTTACTGTCAACTTTTCTTCCTTTAATCTTTTGCTCCAATCCTCAGAAATAGGGAAGCTAGATTTTCGGACATGCATCTTATAGTTCCTTTCTCCCGGGCTACCGTACGCTTACTGGGTATTGCACATCAGGAGAATTTCACACTAAACACTCTGGAAGTGTTCATGGCTCCGAGTTGGAGGCCACCCTGCTGGGTCAGCAGCAAGCTGTCCTCTGTGACAGAGCCACGTCAGCGGGCCACACTCACTCTGGGCTGTGGAAGCTGTGTGTGCAGAAATGAATCTGTGTGTTCAGCCATCTCTCCTTTTTAAAAAGGGACTGAGGTGAAGAAAGTCTGTGCAGTCATCCATGGCATCCGAATTTCAGCCTAGATGAGATTCTAACTAGAGATCCATTTTTGCTTATATTCTGGCAAAACTAGTACATTATAAATTTGAAGGCCATCTCAAGTCTGAAAAAAAAATTGAATTGAATGATGGAGTGGGTAGTTTTTTTTTTCTTGCCGCCTTTTAAAGTAAGGGTGTAAAGTAAATGAATATATGTATTGATTGCAACTACTGAATAGGGCTTACTCATTGTCTTAATGTTTCAATAATGTATATTTTGTATGATTCAACTTTAATAGAGTGTTTAATAAACATCTACCAGGTAAAAGAGAATATAGTATACATGCAATTAGTATGTTGTGCTTTTTGAAACTTTGAACTTTGTAGTCCCTAAATTGTTTAGGTAGTTTTAAAAATAAACTCTGAATTCCACCTCCACTTTGTTTTCTATTTCCTTTAAAGTATTTATGTCTGTCTAATGTTTTAAGTTTTCATAGCACTTGAGCCTGGATACTTTAATATTAGAGGGAGATTTTTGACCAGACTCCTAATTTATTCTCAATCTTTGAAGAGATGATACTGTAAAGCAACTCTAGAAAATACAGCTTGAGTTAGCTCCATTTTCCCCCCACTTTTAATTTTCTCTCTCTTTTTCCTTCTCTCATCCATCATCCCTGTCCACAATTAAAGCAAGATGATGAAGTGACGACTGTTCAGGTTAAAGAGCAAGACCAGAGCGTCCTGGTGCTGAAGAAAGTGCAGTGCTGTGGCCCAGCCCCCACAGCTGGGAGTGCGGAGAGCCATTGGAGGTGAGAGTTTCCCTGCAGCCACAGAGGCACGCGCTCCCGTTTCCTTTTCCCTGCCTGCCTTCCCTTCCCTTGCTCCATCTCACTCGCTCTCTGCCTCCTCTACCCTCCCTCCCTCTCTTTTCTCTCCGCCTCTCCAGCGTTCTAGCTGACTGCAGAGCTCTTAGCAGCCAGATGGACTCAGTTCCCAGTGAAAGGACAGGGATGGCAAGATCTTTTAGCATTTAGGGGATGCCTTTGTTAGTAACCGTTCACAATGGGCAGCTCCCGGCTGAGGGTCTTTGACCCTCATTTGGAGAGGAAAGATTCCGCCGCGGCGCTCTCAGACCGAGAGCTGCCCTTGCCTACCTTCGATGTGCCTTATTTCAAATACATCGACGAGGAGGATGAGGACGATGAATGGAGCAGCCGCTCGCAGTCTTCCACCGAGGATGACTCAGTGGACTCTCTGCTCTCTGACAGATATGTGGTGGTGTCCGGGACCCCGGAGAAGATTTTGGAGCACCTTTTGAATGACTTGCACCTGGAAGAAGTCCAGGACAAAGAAACAGGTAAGGCTCTGAGTAGCTCATGCTTCCAGACTGATAGCAGCTGATGCCCTTGTCAGTACCCTCAGGGGCAAGGTTCCCACTGTTAGCTGAAACCGGGGTGGGGAGAAATAGCATATGCTTTGTGCGACTCGTCCCTTGCCTTGTGCTGATTTGTTTAAATCCAATAAATGGACACATGTAGATCCCAAGCAGCTCCCTGGGAAGTAGCTGTACAAAGAAAATGATATGAAGGCAGCTGTTCTTGTTTCTTTGGCAATTTTTCCCAAATCTCACCTAAAGGCAGTTGGCAAGAGACCAACATTCAATAGCCCATGTTCAATGGAAAGAAATACAAGGAGGAGGAGGGTTAGCAGGCGTTCACCTGGCATGTAGGCAGTGCTGAGCTGGGGGCAGCAGCCTCCGTGCTGAAATGTCAACAATTAATGCAACTACTCAGCAGCTACATGCTTAGTGGCAACTTCTGCCTTTTTCCAAGTGGTTTACAAACTGCCTGGTCAGAACAAGCCCCGAGGTGCAGACTATGATACTCACAGCTTTTCAGAGCAGAAACTGTAATGCACTAAAGCCTTATCGATCAGACTTCTTGTATTTTAAATTTAATCTGAGAGTAAAACACTCATTTTGCTTTTTCACCCATACACTTTTGGAAACACTACTGTTCCACTTACAAAATGACTTACCTGTAACTTCCTTTATCTCAGAAGGGAGAGTACTTGCTTCTCTTAACCAGAATTTGTAATTTGTTCCATGCTGGAGCAGTTATTCCAATGAATAGGCCTCTGACTGTAGCCTGCATTTTGCAACTTGATCCCTTAACTAAAATGCACTGTTTGCTCCTACCATAGCACCTGTGAGACCCACAGTTTCCTTAGGTTTTTACCATGCAAGAAGGATTGTGAAATGACAGCTTAGGTGGGAACAAGAATTTCCTTGTGTCCCTGGAGTTTTGTCTGAACATAGGTGATGTCTGGGTCTATTTTGCATTCTAAAGGACAATAAGAGAAACAAGTATGTGTGAAATACATAAGTGGGCAAAAAAACAGTATCAAAATGACCTAATCATGTATCCTACAGTAAAGTTATTGTGTAATTTTAAAATTCAGATAGATACCTTATTTTGCATATGTTTGAAGACAAAATCAGTAGTTGTCATTTATATGCACTAAATAAACAGCTAAAAGAAAAACATATTCTCTTGGCATTTGCTAGGTTGATTTTGTATGTCTGTAGATTAATATTTTGTGCATTTGAGCACTATTCCCATGTTCTGCTTCATCAAATGTAATCATCATGGAAGGTGGGTCTAATTTTCAGTCTACTGATTACCAGACTGCTTTACACAGGTGTTTTGAACTAGAATACAGACAAATTATCTGTCATGGAAAAGACACTTTAGTAGAGGTTTAGAAAGATTGAATACTTCCTTCTTCTTAATAACACTACAGTTCTATAGTGCAAGACTTTGTGTCTGGGTCACATTAGTAAGCAGGGAAATTATTATAACCTGCCCAGGCCTAGCTTCATTTCATTTTCTTTTTAATTGTCATTAGTTTGTGTTCTCTTTACTTTTGAGAAAATGGCTCAGGTGCTCACAGGTTCCCACTACTTAACACTGAGAATGACAAATCACCCTTATTATTGTTGCTAATGTCAGAATTTGCCTGCTATTGGGAAATATAGTGGTTTGCATCCTGTCTAGTGACTTATTCTTGCTTTCTTCTCAGTTATACCAACCCCTGGGATCACATGTGTCACTTCTGCCATGTGCTCACAAAGCCAAGCGGACCAGGACTTCATGGCTTGACTCTCCTAGCACCAACCTAAGTGGGGAAGAAGGGGTTGGTTGGGGTCACCTCACCTAATTCCTGCTCATTTCCTTAGAGTTTGGGGGAGGGACACAAATGAAACTTTAGAGTTTTGCAGAGACATCTGAGTGGCAAAATGGTAACAACTTTCACCAAAGAAAGATTTTATGAAAATGGAAAAGTCAACTTTGGAGAAAATGATTAATGTGTATATAAAAGAGATGCCTAAGTGGAAGTCAGTGTAGCTCTTCCAAACTTCAAGAACGGCACTTGGAGAAAACACAACAGAAAATCCACCATGTGGTTTCTGTTAATAAGATTATAAGAAATATAATAAATATAAAATAAATGTCATGTGCAAATTGAAGAAAAGGAGATATTAATAGCTCGAATACTAAGCAAATCAGATATTCAAAGTAACAGGACCCCTTGTCGCTGACAAAGGTGAATTCTAGTTCTTTATCTCGGTCAGGTAAGCAACCCTCATTATCAAAGGCCCGGGTGTGCAGGAGCTGAAGAGAGTTGCATAAACCATATGGAGGACAGATGGAGGAAAATGAGAAGGGGCTGCAATAAAAGTACACAGCAGCATTTTTATGTTCTTGAGCGCCCCTTTTACGGAGATGGAGCCATCTGGGGCCGCGTGTAGCCATATGGTGGCCCTCCACATGGCCTAATAGCAGTGAGGAGGAGAGGGTCCATGGGAGAAAAGGAATGGTCCTGGAGGCTGGGATGAGCCTGTTCTGGATTCTTACATTTTTGGACCCATCAGAGGCTGGGGAAGATAACTGAACAAGAGATGTGAGTAATTTCTCATCGCTTTCCCACAAAAGTCACTAATTTGTGAAAATGTAGGTGCAGGACCCAATAGAGGAGGCCCTCTGTGCTCCCACAGGACAAGTGGAAGTGATTACTGATTGATGTTAACATACAAATAGATAACGTTTACTCCATTGAATATAGCCGGGAGGAGAATGCCAGGGCTATTAAGATAAGGCATTTCTGTTGTTACTGGACTCAAGAATAGAATAGGAAACAACTAAATTCATATAGTATTCTATCAGCAAATCAAGCTTTTTAAAGGAAAAATAATTCTAGAGATGCTTAAAAGCAACCTACTAATGATTTTCTTAAATGAGTTGACTCGCACACACCTACTATGTATACTATTTTCATAATCCCTCAAGTACGTATCTTTCCTCCTTTGTAGTGAAAGGCGCAAGAAGTCATCCAGTATGATATCTATGGAATGAAGGAATGCATGAGTGAATGAGTGAATTTCTTTCTTTTGAGACGGAGTGTCTGTCTGTCACCCAGGCTGGAGTATGATCTTGGCTCACTGCAACCTCTGACTCTCGGGTTCAAGCGATTCTCCTGCCTCAGCCTCCAGAGTAGCTGGGATTACAGGGGCCCACCACCACGCCCGGCTAATTTTTGTATTTTTGGTAGGGACAGAGTTTCACCATGTTGGTCAGGCTGGTCTCGAACTCCTGATCTCGTGATCCACCTGCCTCGGCCTCCTAAAGTGCTGGGATTACATGCGTGAGCCACTCTGCCTAGCCGAGTGAATTTCCTAAACTTTTAAAGAGAAGATCAATGGGAAGTGCTGATAAGGAACAAGCAAACCAACCAGGCATTTGGGTCTTTATTTGCAGCCAGTTTTGAAATGTTCATTCATCTGTGACAAGCTCCCTTTTTGTTTACTAAGTTAGCAATAACACTCCCTGAGAGCAAGCAGCAATGAAATTCATTGTCATCTAAATTTTTCAACATTTCTTCTTTTGTCTGATAGTTCTTCATTGTTTAAAGTAGGAAAACTATGAGTCTGGTAACTAGATATTTGTGAACCTGGACAGTGATTGAAGCTGTTTTCAAAGATTTCCTTTTTTTTTTCCAAGGTTCAGGTTTTGACTTGAAATATTTTGAAATGTTAGAGGAAAATCAAATTGTTTCTGGAGCTTTATCTTTTCCCAGAAATTGGGCAAACATCACTGGGCATGAGGTTTACATGAGAGAATTACGAGGAAGGTAAGAAAGAAAAAAAACAAGGAGCTGTGAGTTAGAGGAGTTGAAGGGATGGGGGAGCAGGTTTGGGCCCAGCCAGTCCTGCTCTGTGGTGGTCCTGCTGGTGACTGTAGCTAGTTAACCCTTTCTCCTCCCTAGAGAGGATAAAGTGTGTTTTGCTTACAGATACTTCTGTAGTGAACGATGATTTCTGTTTCAAAGCAGGGGGAAAACTGTGGATTACATGGAGAAACCCCTTCTTACTGATTTTTCTTTCTGAATCTGTGTTACGACAGGTCTACCTTAGGGAAAACATAGGAAATATGTTATTTCCCATTTCCTTATTCATCTTTTTGAAGAAAATGTACTTATGATTACAAGTTTCCAAGAAAAAAAAAAGCCAACAGAGAATAGAATAGTAGGAATAGGTAAAGCCTACCAGCTGATTCTCATTAGGCCTGACCTGATTTCTTTTAGGTATGGCTGCTTTTTTTTTTTTTTTTTTAATTTCATGAGGTTATCATTCAGTATATTCTGTTAGCATGCCTCTGTGTGGACGTGTCTACACAGCTTGCCTTGATTCTTTCAGAGATACCTCAGTGTTGGGGAGCTGGCGTTTAGCAACACATAGTAGGTTGAGCATGTGATTGAAAAAGTGAGTTCGTTACTGTTCTAAAGAGGAAACAACCTCTGTGAAAGTGCCTGTTTTATATTATAGGAGTGTCTCACTCAACTGATAGAGTCCAGAAGCTCTTGATGGTCAACCTAGTGACTTTTTTTTTTTTTTTTTTTTGAGACGGAGTCTCACTCTGTCACCAGGCTGGAGTGCAGTGGCGCGATCTCGGCTCACTGCAACCTCCACCTCCCAAGTTCAAGCGATTCTCCTGCCTTAGCCTCCCAAGTAGCTGGGACTACGGATGCGCACCACCATGCCCAGCTAATTTTTTGTATTTTCAGTAGAGACAGGGTTTCACCATGTTGGCCAGGATGGTCTCAATCTCTTGACCTCGTGATCCACCCACCTTGGCCTCCCAAAGTGCTGGGATTACAGATGTGAGCCACTGCGCCCGGCTGTGATGTTTTTTAAGCATTGCACTGATAAAACATTAAGTAAAGTGAGGGCAGGCACCTCATTTTCTATTAACTTTTTAATCTTGTCTCCTGCCAACACCAAGCTCATGATAATCCCTTGATATTTAATTATGTAATTTTCATGGAGGAAAATTAAGAATATCTTTCTTCTTCCCCTTGGAAAGATAGAAGACAACGTAAGTGAACTTCTTCCTTGCTTACCTTGCCTTTTAGCATTCCTGGAATGATCCTGGGTGCCTTTCTTCCAGGCTTTTTCTCCCAGGTTGCCAGACCATAATAACCCCGTAGCAGCATGGCTTTTGCTGTACTAAAAATGTTTGAGGGTAGGTAAATATTTAGATGGCGGTAAGTCTTTTCATGATTTTGTACAATTGATATGCACATGACATTATCTTGTATTTATATCTTTTTATTTCTGTAAGGTCATGTAATAAACAGACCAGTGTAGCTTATCTGTAGCTGCACATTAGCAGCACCTGTGATGCTTTTAACAAAACAGCAATGTCCAGAGATCCTAATTCAGTTGGGCTGAGTTGGGGCCTAGGCCTTAAGGTCTTTAAAAGTTCCCCAGGTGATGCAATCCGCAGCCAAGTTGAAAGACACTGAAATAGAACATTGTCTTACTTCCATATTTTGAAAGACCAATTCTAGGTTTCTATTGGTTATAGATATACAGAGAGTTAGGAACAACGTTCCCCCTTTACAACCCCTCTGACAGGACTGTATGTCCAGCCTCATGTCCGCTGGCCCCTGTCCTGGAGTTCTGCAGCTTGAGAAGTTCATAACTGACAAACCTACACTGCCAGTCCTTCCATTAAAGTGGTTTTGGATAAAAGGACACCATCAGAGGGAACAGAGGTACTGGACACACAAAATGTTTGGTTTCTCATCTCTTGGAATGAGAAGGTGGGACTATAGTGAAAAGCCATTTGGATTTTTGTGTGGGTTCTGTCACATGACACAAATTCCTGGATGGTCCTTAGGTTTCACAGCCAAGAATGCTTCTGAGAGAAATAATGTTTTACGAAAGGAGAAAATGCATATAGCAGAGTAGAAAGGTTACTAAAATGAGATTCTAAAGTCTTGAGTACCGAATCTGGGCTCCATTAAAAAAACAGCCTGAGACTTTGAGCAAGTAATAAATGAAATGATCTCTAAAGTATCTTTCATCACTAAAACCCTTTGATTCAAAGGGATCTATATTTTCTTTCCTTGCAAAATATGTTACAGAACCATAGAATTTTAGGTGGGAGGGAGACCTGAGAATTGGTGTAGATGACCTCCAAAGTCAATTTATGCTGAAAACACCATCACATAGCCCTTGCACGAGGGCTTAGGAAATTTGGTCTAACTTCATGTTACTGCTACATTTCTTCAGCCTCGTAGAGCTGTTAGAATGTTAACGGGGTATTAAGCTTAGAATCCAAGGCTCAGTGGCCATACCTGGTGATGATTTAAGTGTGTTTTTATATAACCTTGTCCAATGGGAAACTTTTTAAGTTCCTTTGAGAAATTATGCCATAACATTTCTAAAGAATAGCTTTGATTTATCACTCTACTACTAAATTCCATTTGCAGAATTTTATTACCAAGCCATTTTGGGATATTCAGAAATAGTGTTGCAGGAGAAAAGCAGCAATTTTCCCTCAGTGGTGAAATATACTACATCATATCTCTTCTACTAGCCATTTCCTGGCAATTCCTTAACTTTTAGCTTTATACACTGCTTCTATAAAAAATGTAACTGTGAATTTTAGTTATTGAGTTTCTGAATACCTTAGAAAAATTTAGTTCCTTTATTTATTTAATTCCTTTAAATATCTTTGACCTCCAAATGCATAGGCACTGTTCTAAATGCCAGGGATACAAAATAGACACAAAACTCCTTACCCTCCTGAAGGCTTATATTCTATTGGAGGGAATCAGACAATAAAATAAGTAGGAAAATATTGTATATTAGATGATGGGTTGCTAAATAACCAATATCATTATAGGCACTAATTTGGGATAACTATATCCATGTCTTTAAAAATAAAAAAGCTGGAGGATCTTTTAATGTATTTAAAGTATTTTAAGAATTAATGTGAAACTTCTGGTCAAATGCAACGAAGTTCAGAATCAAAAGAAATACACTTAATTGAAATTTTAAAAATAACATAAAAGAAATTTGAAGTATGCATAGGTATCCCCAGTTGGTAAATCACTATTGTTAGAACCCATAGAATCTGCATTTGTGGAAATGTTTGATAAGGATATCAGCCTTTTACCATCTTAAACTGTGAAAATCGCTTTATCCAAGGCAAGTAACTGGACTGGGCTGCTACTTAGTCTTTTTCAGCTTTAAGAAACTGTCACTTCAAAATCTTAGATTAAGCACTTTGGGAGGCCAAGGTGGGCAGATGACTTGAGGTCAGGAGTTCGAGACCAGCCTGGCCAACATGGTAAAACCCCGCCTCTACTAAAAATACAAAAATTAGCCAGAAGTGGTGGCACTGAGGCATGAGAATTGCTTGAATGCTAGAGGGGGAGGTTTCAGTGAGCTGAGATCGCACCACTGCAGTCCAGCTTGGGCAACAGAGTAAGACTCTATCTCAAAAAAAAAAAAATTAGATTAATTTGTTTGCATACATGCTAATAAAAAAAAATCAGTGAGAGACTGAATTCATTAGCACAAACTCCAGCTGCCCTGGGTGTGCCTCAGATGCAGATGAAGAGTACCACTGTTTGGTAAGGGCTTGTTTTTCCAGATAAAGCAAAGACTTGAAACAGCTGTCCACAGTGACAGTACAAATCCCCAAAATGGTGTCAAGAGAGAAAAAGTGCTCAAGTTAGAATATGATTTCTGTTCTACTTTATAATGTGTGTGCTGTGGTTTTTGTTTTGTTTTGGTTTGGTTTGGATTTTGGTAGTTCCTTGAGCTTCTCTCCTAATTACTAGCATGGAGAATATAATGTACGGTATTTGTTGACCATAATTGAAGCATTGGAAGGCTTTATAAATTAGTGTTGACAAAGTGATGAGATAATTAGAATTGTGTAGAAATTTTCTCAGTTGTTTCACTTATAAAAGCAGAGGCTTTAGGCCAGATGACATTTGAGGACCCTTCTAGCTATGAGAACCAGGTTCAAAGATTACTCCAGACACCAGTTTATTTATTCAAACCTTGTCCCATTAGATGGATCCTTTTGCAAGATAATTATCCCCATTTAATGGACATAGAAGCCAAGGTAGAAGTTAATTCAGTTGCTTAGTGATTGAGCCACCATTTGAATCGGGAAATGAGCCCAAATATATTCCGAGTTGTATCCCGAAGATTATTTTTGCTAGAGACTGGAATCATGGATGAAAGGCATAATTGAAGTAAAAATCTACATTCAACTCAAGCTATAAGCCCCAAATCAGGTGCTTCAGTACCCACTTAAGAGCGTTCTAATCTCCAGCACAAAGACCTGCTTCTTGGATTCCAGCTGTGAGCAGAATGGCCACTGGATGAGCTAACTGCTTCAAAAAGGTTGAGAGAGAGAGAGGAGAGAGAAAGAGAGAGAGGTCCTAGTTCCAGCTGACACTGTATCAGACTACTCACATGAGAAGTGATTAAAAATTAAATTTTGACTGTGGATTTCATTTGAGGTGCTCATCTTCTGGGTTAATCTATTCTCACCACCTTTGAACATGCAATAGTATGTATGATAACAAGGGAACTGATGCTTTTACACTGCCAGTAGATTGTGGGTTAATTAATACCCTTGTTGTTAATGAAGCAAGGTGAAGTGAAGTGAGACCCAGCTGAAGCATAAGATCATTAACATACACTGATTAATAACGGAAAAATGTGGAAGTTTTCATTACAACACAACCAATGGGCAAAGGAAGATATTTAATGGATAGGGATATGTTTAATAGGAGTATAGCATACCTTTCAGGGAAACAATCTCGATTTAGAATGAGAATGGATCATTGGAATGCATTTTTTAATTGCATCATTTTCATGTTTGTACCACATTTGAGCTGTAGTTTATTATCTGAATTTTAATTTTACAAACAATTTCAGCATGAAAGGTTATGCAAATGTTACAGTTTTCCAAATAAGAAAGTATTCAGAAAAATGTAGAGTAGTTTATTCAATGATTACCTAATATTTCTAGTGAACTATGTGGAGAGATGAATACTTTCATTAAACTTTTAATTTTATGATTTGCTTTCATCCTCCACCCTTGTTTATTCTGTGTCCACTGTTAGAATTTACTACGATAAATGCATAGGAATGTATATGTATATTTATTTATAAACTAGAAAATAAGACATTGGGTAATTAACTTGTAATATTTAACTAAAGGGAAACTACAGTTGGCTTCGCAGATGTGGCTTTTGCCACAAAAGGTTGACCATTTTACAGTAGACTTTGTAAACGGAAAGTTCAAGTGGAAGTCTAGAGCATGCCAGAAACAAACCAAAGTATTATAGGGTTCTAGGAAATTAATTTCAGGAGGATCTGAAGATAGGAAATGGAAAAAGGAGTACATGAGGGGGAAAGAATGACCTTAGAAATTAGATCCTTAGCTTCCAGACTATAAGAATTATGGAAAACTTGGGCATCTTAACAGTTTATGGACTTTCTTCTTTAAATACTTTGAAGGAAAATGTTAACCACTTTCTGACAGGTTAGAGTGGAGGTTTTGTCCTAGAGGCTGAAGGTGAGATAATCTGGAGGTTCCTGCACACGGTGTTCTATCTAAATGACATATGCATGTGACTGCTTATTTCCTCGAAGTCAGTTTCAGTGCTGACCTCAACCCCTGAACCCCGGTTTTCCTGTGTAAACTGCAGCCAGCATGGAAGATGGAGAAGTCAGTGGACTTTCTACTTTATTCATATTTGCATATGTTGTTTTCTTTTTATCCTTTATTTACATTAATTTGCTTCACCTGAAATACTTTACCTCAAATGCCCAACTTGATACTCATCTTTTTAGCTAGACTTCCATAGAGAACTTTGGTTCTTTCTTTGTAGTTAAGTAAATTTCTAATTTTCTAGAACAACTGGAGGATAAATTATTACAAGTAATAAAATATTCTGCTCCACTGAGAGTTGCCATAAGTATGTACACAAATTGTCAAGTTTCAGAGAATCAAATATATAAAATTACAATCTGTTTTCAAATATAAAAATCTTTTTTTTTTTTTTTTTTTTTTTTTTTGTGATGGAGTCTCACTCTGTTACCCAGGCTGGAGTGCAATGGCACCATCTCGACTCACTGCAACCTCCCCCTCCTGGGTTCAAGAGATTCTCCTACCTCAGCCTCTCGAGTAGCTGGGACTACAGGTGTGTGCCACCATGCCCAATTTTTGTATTTTTACTAGAGACAGGGTTTCACTATGTTGGCCAGACTGGTCTTGAGCTCCTGACCTCAGGTGATCCACCTGCCTCATCCTCCCAAAATGCTGGGATTATAGGCGTGAGCCACTGCTCCCAGCCTCAAATATAAAATCTAATAGCAAACTATGAGGACCTAATAATAGTCCTTGCTTTTATTGTTATATGGATAAGATATTGGCTTACATCTATATAATCTCTTTGACGTAGGATGAAGGCTGCATTTGAAACATAAATCCTCAATATAACTTGTTTTTTCTCATAAAAATAAATTTGAGACAGATAATACCTTGTTTAATATTCTCTTGATATCCTGTCTCCCTGACAGGGTGTACCCTTTAAAGAAGAAGGCTACATATATTACTTTTCTATTTCTTTGGAAAAATAATTTCTACAGCATCATTTCCCAGTTCAGTTAGTGCTAACTGGGGTTTCATTTCTTTTGAAAGGAAATTTCTGTTCTAAAACCTTTAAAAATGTGTAAATTGCCATATTTTCTCAGGAAGTTTCGTGTCTATTGGCATATTTAATATTGCGCTTTAGTAGAAACGCATGTGGTTTTGTTAGTGTCTGGCTGTATTTCCAGGAATTTGTTTAAATGTGTGATTTAAGTGGGGCATTTCTGGAGTAGCAAATTGAAGGGAACAAGAGATACTGAAATTCATGAAGACAAGATATTGTGTCAGTTGTGGGTTTGACAACCTAGTAATTTTAGCAAAATGATAGTTTCACTCTAACATCGGCAGCTGAAATTACTTGAAACTGTGTTTAAGACAGTGTCAACGGTTGAAAAACCTCTGTCTCCTTCTTTCTCTTTCTGTGTTTCTCTCTCTCAGAGATCTTGTGTCATCTCCCCAGACGGTTGTTGGATTTAAAGTGAGATAATCAGATGTCCTTGTCTGAATTTTAAAATGTTTATGACATCTTCCTCAAGTAAAATTTAGCATTCTATCAGAAAATGGGGGAACAAAGTGTTTTTTTGTGTAAGAGTGTGTACTTCAGATAGTCGTATAAAGTGTGAGGAAGGAGTATTAGTGGATGGCAATTTGTTGATTACAGTCACTGCATGTTAATCTCTCACAGCATGTTTCAATCAATTATTGCTTCATTGAAAGGGTGTAATGTCATAGAATTGCTCTGACAAGCCCACATCTAAAAGAGATATTCTTTGTGTGGGAGAATGTTTGCTTTTAACCTACCTATAATTGAGCTTCTCTTCATTTTTCCTATCAGCCTTTTGGCACTATAACCTTCCCCTCCCATTTCCCATTATCCTCATTTTCTGCCTCAGGCTTTCTTACTCTACAATTGAAACCTTTTCTTTCATTCAGTTTGCAGCTTTTTTGCCTTGTACTTAAGGCTGCTACTTGGCTGGCAGTCCTTCCCTTGAATCTCAAAAATAAATATGAAATTAGAGTTGTTAAATACGGGTGACAGAAACGTGGGAAACTAAACAACAACAACCAAAATCCCAGAACATCTTGTCATAATCTAAATAGTGACAGAAAATAATTTTCAGAACAATTCTGTAGCCTTTTCTGCTTCAGACTTGGACTTGGCGTTCTTGTCTGGCATTTAGGATATTTGGTGAATCTTCTGACTTTGAAATATTTTAATCCTTTAAATGAGCTTCATTTAGTGGGAACATGAAAAGTACAATTTAAAATTCTCCATTGCATACCTGGCTGGATATTGCTACCTAAATTCTCAGTCTAAAAACAAATATGGTTTTAGATGAATGAGTATATGTAAGCTTCTGCTATTTTTTTCTTATTATATCCCTTTCAATATTCTTCACCTGTTATGAAGAAGAATTTATGTAGTACTGACAGCAAGTAAGCTTTTTCCCCCTAAGTTTTCTTTGAGTCTTGCTTGATATCACATATTTTCTTTTGTGTAGCAGCTTACAGATTTTAAATTTACTGTCATGTCGTATGTTTTGTTAAGAAAAAAAGAGAGAGCAGAGTGATCTTTTCATCCTAATTTTGGTTCTAATTCTCAGAGTTGGATATATAAAATGTGACCTTTGATGTCTTGGTTCAGTTTGATCTGTATTTGAAGGCATTGCCAGCCATTTTCATTTACTGATGGCTTCTGTAGAACAATTTTAGTTAACCCAAGTTCTGCCAATGCTGATTGGCATAGTGTGCATATCTCAGAATTATTATGACAATTTGCACTGTTTGATAGTCTCCCAGGGAAGGTGTTTGTTCTTCCAAACAAACCAACAAACAAACATCCAAGGCACTGTGTCTTCGTCAGCACATTCTAGAAATCCACAGTAGTGAGATCAGGATGAATTAATATTGTTAAGTATTCTTAACACTCCTTGAATGTACCTTTCCTACTTTTGATAATTGAGAAAATTGAGAACCATATCATATTGCAGATCGTGTACTTGAGCTTCTGGAAATTTTCAGTGTACATGTGTTATTTGTGAGTAGGCACAGCTGCATATAACAGAAAAGCTCTAATGATGATTTAAACATGGTATAAATGTATTTCTCTCTCATGTGAAAATAAGTATGGAGAAATACAGTCCGCAGCCGATAAAGCCACTCTGATATCAGTCAGTTCTGAGATTCCTTATTTGAACTTGATTTCCTGGGCCCTGATGGACACTAGCATAACTGTCCAGGCAGCAGGATGAAGAAAGTCATGAAGAGCACACTTGCCCGTCACACACGGCTTCTGCTTTTACCTCATGGACCAAAACTTAGTCTTGTGGCCACATCTAGCTGCAAGTGAAGCTGGCAAATATATTGTATATTGTTTTGTTGTGACTTTAAAATATCAGGGGAGCAACATGCCCAGGGAGAAAAAATCAAAGTTTGATTCCCAAAAAAGGGGCAAATGGCATGTAATTTTGTAAATAGAAGCTTATGTTAAGTTTGTTTTGATATTGTAGACCCAATACCATAATTATGTATTTGTTTCTTCAAAGAAATATGGACATACTATGTTTTAACGCATTGTATAATTGTCAAGGGAAAGGGGTCCTGATTCAGACCCCAAGAGAGGGTCTTTGTGTCTCACGCAAGAAGTAATTCAAGGCGAACCCATAGAGTAAAGTGAAAGCAACTTTGTTAGAGAAGTAGAGAAACGAAAGAATGGCTACTCCATAGGCAGAGCAGCAGCTTGAGCTGCTGGACTAAGGATACTTATAGTTATTTCTTGATTATATGATAAACAAGGGGTGGGTTATTCATGAGTTTTTCTGAGACTCAACGTTCCTCCCCTTTTTAGAACATATGTGGTAACTTCCTGATTGTTGCCATGGCATTTGTAAATTGTCATAGTGCTGGTGGGAGTGTCTTTTAGCATGCGATTGTATCATAATTAGCATGTGATGAGCAGTGAGAACAACTGGCGGTCACATTTGTCACTATCTTGGTTTTGGTGGGATTTGGCTGGCTTCTTTACCACATGTTGTTTTATCAGCAAGATCTTTGTGACCTGTACCTTGTGCAGACGTACTATCTCACCCTGTGGTTTAGGATGCCTTAACCTTCTGGGAATGCAGCCCAGTAGGTATCAGCCTTATTTTACCCAGCCCCTATTCAAGATGGAGTCACTCTGGCTCAAATGCCTCTGACATAGTCATTTTTTTAAAAAGCCTGTGAAGTGGTTTGGATTATCTCTGATATCCTCCTCAACAAGTGAATATTTAGAATAATCTTACATATGCTTAGCATGCAAGGTTTAGTTAGCTATAAGTACTTTTCTTATGTCTGATTTGAGCTGTTGATTTCATGTTTGAGAATTATACATCATTCACTCTAAATTCTTGTCATTGTTAGAAACATTTTTCATATAAGAAATTAAACATGAACTAAGAAATATTCCATATATTATTGCTTGGAAGAAGTATTATTTAAACAATGGCACAAATTAATAAATCTACTCTTATAGAGTAGATTTTAGTATCTAATTGTATATAATATTCTATTATTGTGACATAATAAGAAATACATACTTGGTCTCTGCCACTGGGCTGGAGCTCTTAAAACCATGGAATTTCATGAGTGATAGAAGTGATAGGAGCATCTTTTGTTTTAGTATTTGGTTTTAATCACTTATTCTTAACACAAGAGTTTCTAAGACCTTTGGAATGTCTAGAGTGATAGGAGAATCTTTTTGTATGCTAATATGATGACTGGTGGCTGGGGTCCCTAGATAGCTTCAGGATGGGAGCTGGTTGCCAGAAAGACAAGGCATGACTAGAGGGATAGAGCTTTTGGTCCCAGCCCTCAACGTCTGGGGAGGGGAGGGAGATGGAGATTGACTTAATCACCAGTGGTCCATGATTTAATCAATCATGCCTACCTAATGAAGCTTCTATAAAAACTCTAAACAATGAAATTCAGAGAGCTTCCAGGTCGGTGAACACATCCATGTGCCATGAAGATAGTGAACCCAAACCCCACGGAAACAGAGGCTTCTGTGCTCAGGACCTTTTTAGACCTCATGCTGTGTAACTACTCACCTGACTGTTCATCTTCATCTCCTTTATAATAAAGCAGTAAGTGTAAGTAAATGTTTCCCTGAGTTTAGTGAGCCCTTAACAGGTACTTGTCAGACCGCAGAGGGTGGTTGTGAGAACCCTGATATAGAGCCCACTGGTCAGAAGTACAGGTGACAACCTGAGACTTGTGATTGGCATCTGAAGTGGGATGCAGTCTTGTGGGATTGAGCCCCTGGTCTGTGAGGTCTGTGCTATCTCCAGGTAGTGTCAGAATTGAATTATAGGAAACTCAGTTGATGTGTTGAGAGTAGAAAAATGGTTTTTTTTCAGTATAATCTTTCATATAGAGAATTCATCTAGAAAGGAGGGAAGAATTTTATGATTTGGCCTTTTGTAAACAATTTTTTTAGTTTTTACCTTTACATTTCAATTTTAAAAAATATAAATATGTGTAACTGGTCAGTCTTAAAAACATTAGGAATTTGTGGACCATTTCAGTCCTTCCACGTGATTGTCAGTTCTACCTTTTGAAAAGCAAATTGGCTGATCTCGTATCTATTTGCTATGGCCAGGTGTCCACTAGAAAATAAAAAACAAAATAAAATTTGAGTAGGAATAAAGGAACTCCAGCATCCTGGCACTTAGGAAACAACTTTATAGGGGCATCTTTGGTGATTTAAGACCAATGAAAGACCACCTTCTTGTGTCTATGACTCTACTCCCGCTTCCAAACCTGGAGATTCTGTTACTTTCCTGCATTTTCTTTTCCCCTAAACCGGATGGGTTATTTGGGTCCACACTCTCGGGAGAGCATAGTGTAATGAAAGAACCAGGGCTGGGACTTAGGCCCTTCAGACATCATCTTGCTGAGGAGCCCTGGGTGGTTATTCTCTTTATTCATCTCAGCCTCAGTGCTGTCACCTCAAAAAAGATAATGTGCAACCTACCTTCTAGGGTGGATATGAGGGGCGCAGGCCATGTAGGTAAAGCCCTTAGTGTTAACAGGTGTGGAATGTTGGGTGGTGATTCCGTGATTATCATTAGCACTGGCACAGTTTGTGGTCAATAAAGGGTGGCTGTTTTGAGTATATTTAACTAGCGAGGCCGCTATCATTTTCCTCCCTTACTTTTTCTCCTTGCCCATTGAAGCCACTCTGGCTACCTGGTGCATGGCCAGATAGATATGGTTCAAAACAAATTTGGGGCTCCCTAGAAAATAAAGACAAAATAAAGTTTGAGTAGGAATAAAGGAACTTCAGCATCCTGGCACTTACATGGAAAACAACTTGATAGGAACATCTTAGGTGACTCAAGGCCAATGACATATGCTGGGTAGGGGTTGGGGTGTGGAGGACTGCCCAGACATTCACAGGAGTGTGATATTCATCAGCCTGGGGTGTGGAGGATGCCTTATGTGGTCATTTAATTATCTCACCAATCAGATTCCCAAGCTCTGTGAACAACTTTCCATTCTCCATGGCAGAGGGCACAGTTGTCATCCCTTAGTCACAGAAGTTCAGTAAATGGTTGCTGACCAAACCTTTCTCTGTGACCCAAAAACATGAGTCTTCCTTTCACCTGTGTGAGAAAGAAAGCAGCTGTGTGTTATTGAAAAGAACACTAATAACAGCTCTGGAACCAGAACACAGAGGCATGTCTCCTGTCAGCCACTGGTTGATATATTTGTCCTAGCAGTATTTTTAAATACAGGCAATACATTAAAGTAAATTTTCTTGTGTTGAAAATTGTCAGTAAATGTAAGATCCTGTGCCAGATTATTTCGAAAGAACCTCAATTGGCCAGGCGCAGTGGCTCACGCCTGTAATCCCAGCACTTTGGGAGGCCGAGGTGGGTGGATCATTTGAGGTCAGGAGTTTGGGACCAGCCTGACCAACATGGTAAAACCCCACCTCTGCTAAAAATAGAAAAAAATTACCCGGGCATGGTGGTGGGCTCCTGTAGTCCCAGCTATTCAGGAGGCTGAGACAGGAGAATTGCCTGAACCCAGTAAGTGGAAGCTGCAGTAAGCAGAGATCACACCACTGCACTCCATCCAGCCTGGGCGACAGAGCAAGACTCTATCTCAAAAATAAACAAACAAACAAACAAAAAGCCTTAATTGTGCTTACTTATGTTTACTTTAAATTAGTTTTGTAGAATATCTTCTTATCTTTAATATAACCTAGCTATCTTGCCAATCCTTAGTCTTAACAGAGGCAGTTGACTATTCATTGCTAAACTTGGAAGAAAATAAGTCTGTCTAGAATTCCTAGAATTTCTGTTAACCAACTGATATGGTTTGGCTGTGTCCTCACCCAAATCTCATCTTGAATTGTAGCTCCTACAATTCCTGCATGTCATGGGAGGGACCTGGTGGGAGGGAATTGAATCATGGGGCAAGTCTTTCCCCTGCAGTTCTCATGATAGTGAATAAGTCTCATGAGATCTGATGGTTTTATAAAGGGGAGTTCCCCCGCACACGCTGTTTTGCCTTTGACACGCACACACCATGTAAGACATGCCTTTGCTCTTTCATCCCCTACTGTGATTGTGAGGCCTCCTGAGCCATGTGGAACTGTGAGTCCTTTAAACGTCTTTCCTTTATAGATTACCCAGTCTCTGGTACGTCTTTATTAGCAGCATGAGAACGTACTAATACATGAAAAAAAAGTAAATACAATGTTATTTTTCTGAAATTTAATGCTAATATTAACATTGGGAATGATGATGTATTTCAGGTTTTGAAAAAAGTTCATAATACAGAACCTTTTGGTGCTTGAGAGGTAAAAACATTACAATGTCCTAAGTTGATTCAGTTGTTAGAATGACTATTAGTTTGCTTGTAATAACCATATCTCAGGCTTCTAATTTAGGATATTATGTTTAAATTAATTTTCTTTGTTTCCTGAAAGTTAAGAACGTTTAATGGACAAACACTAAGGAACACAGCTTGTATGTTTAGAACACGTGTGTGATGTTAATCAGACAACCATGCAGCAACTCCGAGAGGTCCGAGTTGGACCGAGTGAATCTTAGAGCTGGATATTAATTTTTGTTGGTAGATGCTGGCAGATTGGTGCTGAAGGCTTCGTGCCCATGACAATTCCCACATTCTAATCTGTACAGTTAAATAAAATGATAATTGTATTGATTATTGAGAAATTTTTCATCCCAGCTCCTTGTGAGAGCAACTGCTCTTACTAAACAATGAGCTCTACAACTTTAGGAGGAGTCTTTGGAGAAAAAAAGAAAAAACAGTGTGATATATGGTGTGACCACTGATTATCAGAATATCCTTCGTTCCTTTTAACTAGAGTATGCCCCCACCATTCACCAAGGGGCATCTCTCTAAGGTCATCAAACCAGGGACTGTCCACATAACAAATCCAGTGCTCTTTGAGTCCTGAGCCCGATAAAGCCTCTTCAAGCAGCATTTAACACTCATTTCCAATCCTTTTCTTTCTTGTTGGTTATTACATTTGTGTCCCGTTTGTTTGTTTACAGAAAGGAGGCTATTGACTGTACATTCGTTTCTCTTTATTCTGTTTCTCTCCTCCTTCTCTTTCCCCTTCCTTAACTCATCTTTCCCTTACCATCGCCCAAACATGAATATCCCACTCCCTTAGACTGCTGCTTATTTTTCTGAGAAATCATGTTGGCCATAGCCATCCTCTTTAGGTACTGGCTCCCACAATCATAACTGTAACCCTCTTTGGCAAGCTCTGGTTTTTGATATTTTTTCCTAATAGCTTTCCTTAGAGTAACCTGGGGAACCCAAGCTCAGCAAGTTTAAAAGCAAACTCACCTCCCTCCCCTTATCCTTCCCTTATCCAGTCTGAGTTCCCTGATGAAGCAAGCTTAACTCATATCTCTCTTGTCACTTCTGGTCTTGAAAATCTCCCTTCACTTCCCTTTTCCTGTGGAATAAGCCCCAGGCTCCTTAGTTTAGCATTCAAAGATCCTTCAGGAATTTCCTCCAACCTATTTCTTTAGCTTTACTTTTCAATTATACTATGTGATCTCTTCTATTACTACTACACAACTGTGCTGTAGACCAAGACTTACCAACTTGCATGTCCACAGGCAGTAAAAGTGAGTGAGTGAAGACTGCCAGAGCAGAAGGGTGATGAACTGGAGAGTGCCTCCTGCATAAAGTAGGCAAGTTGGCTCTAAACATGGTTGCCATAGGAGATGTGGCCCTGGTGTTGCCAGATCTTCTGACTTTTAAATTTTGTCAACTCACAGAAAGCATCTCTAGGGACTAAACAAGACCTGCAAGTCACAAGACCACAGGTTTGTGACTCAGCCACAGACCCACCCACATCCGTTGCTTTGCTCACATTTGCTTCTCCTTTTCCTCCTCCAATTCTTCTTGGAAATTCATAGTTCTCAAGTTTTTGTTGGCGGATTGGTAGCACTTGGAGAATTGGGACAAGGTTGAAATAATTTTATTTTATAAAAATAAATAATAGGTAGTATTTATCTAGAGTGCCTAGGGTATACCAGGCTCTCTGCCAGTTGCTTTAGATACACTGTCTTATTTAATCTTCACTGTAACTCTGCTAGGTATAGATATGATAGCCACTTTACAGGTGACTTAACTAAGGCCTAGAGAGATTAAGGACTATGCATTAGGCTACCCCGTTAGATTTCCAGCTGTCTGTTTCCATAGTATTCTTTATACTGTTTTCTGAGCTTCCCAGCATACTTGGCAGACGCATGCATATGCCATGAATGGGCTGCAATTGTACCTAGACACTGAGAGCAGCTGATTGGGATGTAACAACAGGAGCTATGAGGCCGCTCACCGCTCTTAGTCCCAGGGTGACCTGCACCCTTTCTCTGAGTGCCGCAGCCTGGAGAAGGTAGACAAGCCCCCTGTTTATTACTCTATGCCCCTCCAAGTAACATTTTTAAAAGGCAGTGTATAGAATTAAGCATAGCTAAGAACGGAATACCTGTTGTATTCAAATCATTCTTTCTTGAAGACGGAATGACAGGATTCTAAAACTGAATTTTACAAGTTAAAATAAAAACAGATTTGATTATTTGAAGAGTGTCCCCAAGCCCTGTCTGTAGTAAGTTCCTGTCATTTAAAGGGGTGACTTTTAAGATTTGATATATAAACAGCGTTAAATAAGTAAGCACTTTTTTTCTGCCACAAATACCTAAAAATAAAGCTAGATCTCAAGATTTGGTTATGTTAGAATGGCTAAAGAAAACGCTATGGTGAGCCTGTAAGAATTGGCAGGGATTAAGTGAATTTAAGAGCTGTAGTAAAAAGCTGCGTTCGAGGTCGTTAATATCACTTTCAGAAATGTAAGATACACAGGGAAAGAAGCATTGCTTTTAATGGCATAGCACTTTAATCTATTATTCCAACCTGAACATGAAAAAAATTTTATTTGTGCTTAATCAAATTACATGGTACATTTTGGCACTGCTTCTCAAAAAATAATGGCAAGTTGTAACATTCCAGGACCAGAAATGGGCCCTTTCATGTTCAAAGCTTTTCTTGGCTTCTTAAAATAAAGGTTAAGTAGAATATATTTTAGAGTGCCTTAAATTCCATTACATCTGAAGTAGAAATACAGGTGAAACAAAACGGCTAATAGTACTTCAGGGAATATGAGTTAATACAGAAATGTTGAATATTCACATTACCATACTTGGATTAAATGGCTACTATAGGCAGTTGCCTGTCAAAATTCTTTTAATTTGCTTTCTTGGTAATTCACTTTAACAGCTGAGTGGTTTCATTATCGCAGTGCATTTTGCTTATGAGTGTTGAAAAAATAACCAAGGTAGATTTATATAATTTTTCCTACGTAACGCTATACTTCTAGTGATTTTTAGACTTCAGGGTTTTGTTTTTGTTTTTTGTTTTTATGTTACAAAGAAAGCATTAAGCTTAGACCTTTTGGTAACATTTGGATCAGTTTTTAAAATTTGATTACATTTATATGTAACAGAACTCCATGAAAATGGTCTGTACCAAACCTCTTACTATTCTATCTTGACACAACTCTAGCATGCTCTAGGGATACTTGTGTTTTGCAGAAATAAAATGGGAATTTTTAGAGCTTCATATACTTAAAATGAGACAGAGAAAAATGTTTTAATTGGTACATACAAGAGAAATACATTCAAATAAAATTAAATAAAATTAGATAATTATTTTTATATGACCTAAAAATTAAAATAGGCCGGGCACGGTGGCTTATACCTGCAATCCCAGAACTTTGGGAGCCCGAGGCATGCAGATCACCTGAGGTCAGGAGTTCGAGACCAACCTGGCCAACATGGTGAAACCCCAGTCTCTACTAAAAATACAAAAATTAGCCGGGCATGGTGGTGTGTGCCTGTAATCCCAGTTGCTCCAGAGGCTGAGGCAGGAGAATAGCTTGAACCCAGGAGGCGGAGATTGCAGTGAGCTGAGATCATGCCACTGTACTCCAGCCTGGGTGCCAGAGTGAGACTCCATCTCAAAAAAAACCCCCAAAAATTAAAATAGTAGCAGATGATAGGGAAAAGTCCTATATGACATCAGTATAGCTAATTACATGCATGGATTTCAAAACCATTTCTATATATATTTTATTTCAAGTTTTATAATAGTTAAAACTATAGAAGTATTTACCTTCCAATTTCAATGATTATCAAGATGTTACTTTTTTACTTGCAAGGATGTTTCTTGTATTCAAAAAGCCACTACGAAAGTATTATTTTATTTTGGAGTGGGGAGGATAGTCCCAAAAATTTATTGATAAGCCAATAATTTAGGATTAGATTTAGTAATTTACTTAGTGCATAGAATATCAAAGAAAATGGCTGGCAACGTGGCTCATGCCTGTAATCCCAGCACTTTGGGAGGCTGAGGCGGGCAGATCACCTGAGGTCAGAAGTTTGAGACCAGCCTGGCCAACATGGTGAAACCCCCATCTCTACTAAAAATACAAAAATTAGCCGGGCGTGGTAGCGCACACCTGTAGTCCCAACTACTCAGGAGGCTGAGGCCGGAGAATCACTTGAATCTGGGAGGTGGAGGTTGCAGTGAGCTGAGATCGTGCCACTGCACTCCAGCCTAGGCAAGAAGAGCAAAACTCCATCTCAAAAAAAAGAAAGGATATGAAAGAAAAAGGTTTTGTGTATTAACATATGCATATTAATATGCTTAGGTATTCACAAAGTTAGAAATCAAAATGAATACTTTTTTTACTCAGAGTGTTAATATGTATGGCAACTATGAATTTGTTTAAATGAAAGATACTTTTATGTATACAAACATGCTTTTCTGCCTGTTGTCTTAAATTATTATTAAGTACTATGTAGTGTAATAGATAATTATAGTGTTTTAATTTGGATGCCAGTGGATTTGTAAGTCTTTCTAAATGGCTATTGTCGGCTAATAGTCTTCAGGGGATCATTCATATAACCATCATGGTTCTAAAAATATCTCTAAATACCAATGGGACAGCCTCTTTTTTGGAAGCATGGCTGTTATAAATTGCACTTTTATTTGAAGTGCATCACTTTGATTATAGTATTTTCATTCATACCACTCAATTACTTTCAGAATCTGCACAGCAGAAAAAAAAAAAAACATGAATGCTGGAAAAGAATAAAGGAAAGCTCTTTGTATAGAAAAATTTAGAACAATATAGTAGTTAAATAGAGAGATATTTGAGTTATGAGTATTGGGAATCTGTTCTATTCATTAGAATTTTTAACTATTTTCTTTATTAGGACTTCAACTGGAGCTGTTTTTATATAGCCTCATTGTTTTTATTTTAATTAATATTTCTATGACAGATAATTAGGTAAATGCTGTTGAATTTTAAATATGATATTGGCTTAGGAGAAAATAAGCATTTCTGGGTCAAAGCCCTTAACAAAATATTGTCATATGTGAGCTGATTAATTGAATTGAATGCCAAATGGGTTTGCCACCATCCAACCAGACTCTGGTAGTCAGTTCATTATCTAAGGTTGTTCTGGAATGGAATGACTGGTTATGTCAAAGTTAATGGTTTAATGGTGTTCTTTTTAATCTCAGCTACTAATGAAGTAAATCTTGATGAGAGAATAGTTCTAACCTCATTAAATGCAGCTAAGTGTAAGAACACCCCAAAGAGTCTGAACCTCTGTGTCACATCCAGCATTTTAAATGCCAACTCCCTCTCAGTGCTGTCACCCAATGGTTTCTGCGCACTGGTGGCTCCTATCTACAAGAGCCATTGAAAACCCTAAACTAGATTCAAAGCTACTCTGTTGGCCAGGCTCAGTGGCTCACGCCCGTAATCCCAGCACTTTGGGAGGCCAAGGCTGGCAGATCACCTGAGGCCAAGAGTTTGAGACCAGCCCAGCCAATATGGTGAAACCCCATCTCTACTCAAACTACAAAAATTAGCTGGACATGGTGGTGCATGCCAGTAGTCCCAGCTACTTGGGAGGCTGAGGCACAAGAATCACTTGAACCTGGGAGGCGAAGTTTGCACTGCAGCCTGGGTGACAGTCTCAAAAACAAACAAACAAACAAAAAAACTACTCTGTTGTCCTTGCTGCTTGTGTCTAATATTGAGTGCAAAAAAGAAACAGCTTAATTTTTTTTTTTTTTGAGACAGAGTCTCTCTGTGTCGCCCAGGCTAAAGTGCAGTGGCATAATCTTGGCTCACTTGCAACCTCTGCCACCTGGGTTCCAGCCATCCTCCTACCTCAGCCTCCTGAGTATCTGGGAAGATTCAGCTTTTTTTTTTTTTTTTTTTTTTGACACAGAGTCTCGCTCTGTTGCACAGGCTAGAGGGCAGTGACATGATCTTGGCTCACTGCAACTTCCACCGCCTGAGTTCAAGCCATCCTCCTACCTCAGCCTCCTGAGTAGCTGGGATTATAGGCATATGCCACCACACCCAGCTTTTTTTTTTTTTTTTTTAACAGTAGAGATGGAGTTTCGCAATGTTGGCCAGGCTGGTCTCTAGCTCCTGGCCTCAAGCAATCTACTCACCTTGGCCTCTCAAAGTGCTGGGATTACAGGCGTGAGCCACCACACCTGGCCAGATTCAGCTTAATTTCTAATCAGACCTGAAAGGTTGAGGATTTCCATCAACCACATTTAACACAGAGAAATGTTGTAATTTGTAAACATTACTCTTCAACAGGCCCAGAGGAATAGTTTTCAAATTGTATTTCCAAAATATGCTTGGTTTCCAGCTAATATGCAAGTGATTGATTTTAATTGAAACTATTTTTAAAAACTGTAATGAAAGGCACACATTATATATTCCAAATTTCTCATTAGGATGACCAGTGTTTAACTTGAGCTGCCAGGTTAACTTGTTTGGAGACAAGTAAAGTAAACCTTCCCGTGCCTTGTTCATATATTTGAAACTTCCATAAACAGAGACTCTAGTAGGGGGCCCCTGGCTCTTCTGCGTACACAGGCTGTGCATGTCCATTCATGTGACATTGTTGGATCAGGCACGCCACCACAGCCTTTTTGTGCTAGGTCTAATTTATGCCCAGCAAGGCCCAGGTATATCTGTTTAGGAATTCGCTTTTGCCATAGAGTAATAGTAAGTTAGACTACTGATTGCTAACATATTGCAGTGTGATACAACAATGTAAGTTTAGACTTTTAAAAACATGTTTTAAATCAAATAAGAAAATTTGTCGAATTTATTATTTTGACAGGGAATACTATGAACTTAGAAATAAAATATCTTTCAGATAAATTCTGTTAATACTCTTCATTAACACCCTTGGTTCATTTTAATTACAGGCATCTTGCAATTAAAAAGCAAACTTTTGAAAAACCTACCATTTGCAACCACTTACCTATGTGGATTAGGATTTCCTTGATATTCTGCAACCAAGCAGAAATAAGTTATGCCCTGCAGCTAATATAGAACTGTAGATGTCATCCACAACCTCGTATATCAGAGTTTTGTGTTCATAAATATTACCTTGTTTTTCTGATTAACTTTTAAAGTAAATATTACTGGTTATTCCTAAAAATTCTGGAGATTTTCTTTCATCCAGTCTTCAATGTAGAGCTATAGGGCTCTATACTGGGCAATTATTTTTACTTACACATCATCATTATAACATGTAGATCTTGGAGACCATAAGCACTATTGAGTGTATGTCTTAGTCAGCTCAAGCTGCTATAACAAAATACCATAGCCTGGGAAGCTTAAACAACAGACATTTATTTCTCACAGCCTGGAGGCTGGGGAGTCCAAGATCAAGGTGCTAGCAGATTCAGTGTCTGGTGAGGACCTGCTTCCTGGTTCATAGGCCACAGTCTCCTCGATACTTGTATGGTAGAGAGATGAAAGGAGCTTTCTCAGGACTCTTATAAAGATAGCAATGCCATTCATGAGGGCTCCACCCTCATGGCCTTATCCAATCCTAATTACCTCTCAAATACCCCCTCCTAATACATCATACTAGGGGTAAGGTTTCAACATATAAAGTGGCAGGGGTGGGGGTGTTGCAAAGGACATAAGCATTCAGTCCATAACAACAGTACACAAGCTAATTACTCTAATAATTTATTACTGTTTTATATAACTAAAAATGTGATGTCTGGAATGTAAAAGATGAAAATTAAATCATATTGTAAAATGAATTTTAAGTTAAGGAGACTAGATAATCACTGTTGTGGCAAAATCACCACTTTACATTCTGCATATAATCTTTTGTACCATATTGGAAATTACATTGAAAGTCAGAGTTTGCCTCTTTAGCAATTCCATATTGTATACAAACTGAACTCTTCCAAGAACACTTAAAGCACAAAGATGATAACAATGTAACCTGGTTTGGTTGGTAGAAAAAAGAAATTAGGAAGAAGTATGTTGTGATACATTGTACCTGCTCTCCAATTTTAACTGGACTCAGTTCTGTCTCTCTTCAAGACTAAGAAAATCACTCATCACTTTCCCAGCTTCTTAAAGATGCATTTAAGAGATAAAGGTGAATGGCCTTGGAACCTGATATGTGTCTTCTGGGTTTTATTATTCATTGTTCTTGCCCTAGACTTAAGTAAATGGCTTTGGAAAAAACCTTAATTTATTAACACATGAAGGCTTTATTCCCCGTAGGACTTGAGTGTACACCTCAGAAGTCTTGTAAAATTTATTTTTTAAAGCACATTATTTATGCATTTGTTTTCTATATCATCTTTACCCACAAATATAAATGAAATTTCAGGAAAACAAGATGATAACAAAATTGTATGTTTAGAGAGCTCTGCAACAAAAATATCTTATTGCTTGAGGCATTTGATATAAGGAGTTTTTCATATCTTAATTTTAATAAATAATGTCTTTCCTGGCTAAAATTCTCCTAATCCCTCCCACAGCTATCAATATTTATCATATTTCTGCCATGCACATGGTTCTGGGGCCCAGATAAGCAGCTGCTCTTCTTATCCACCTCTTTGCTTACCTTGTGTTTGTTTTTTTTTTCTTTGCAGAGACCCTCCTGGATGACTTCCTTCTCACGTACACTGTCTTCATGACAACTGATGACTTGTGCCAGGCTCTGTTAAGGCAATATCCTTCATTATCTTCAGGCTGCTGTGTCCACTTCCTCTCAGACAGATGTCCCACGTTAGGAATTAACTGCCTTCCTTAATTTATTCAACCCCATAGTAGAATGTGGATATGTTAAATATTAATGTAATGATATCCAAGGTAGAAGATGAAATGAGACAGACAGGGGAAACTGGAAATGTGAACAGCTGTTTTCACATTCTATGTTGTGGCTATATTACACTGTTTATATTATGTTCGCTTCACATCTGTGCCTCATGATTGCTTAGAAATCTGGAGGCAAAATTGGCCTGCTGGGTAAACCCCAGAGTCAAGAGATTGTGTGGAATGGGAAGATCATGGAATAAATGGACTTAAAGGAGAATCAGTTAAGTGTCAGACCACTTGTGAAGGAAAATGCACATATGTGATATAATGTTCCTGGCAAGTATCTCAGGGGAGACAGGCCATTCCCCCACATGGGAGGTCGAACCTAACCCCTGGAATCAACTGTCATCTTTTCACAGCTTTGTCACTGCATGCTCTCTGAGAATGATGGATGTGATTAGAAGGTTAATGACCAGTTAAGGAAGCCTTATAATTTTATTCACTAACTAGAAGAGATGCAACATAGGATCATTGAAATGCCACAAAAGAAATCCATGTAAACTTACTGAAAGTCTCCAAATGATCTTCTTCCTTCACAGTATTTAATGTATTCAGACGCATTTTAAGTGTTTAAATAAGCTGTTGCTGTGCTGTTTTTATTAAATGAAACTGAAGATTCCACTCTAAACCACATGAAAATTTTAAGGAAAATGGATTGCTTTTGTGTATACTAAAGTTCTATTAAGACCTAATGATGGCTGGGTGTCGTGGCTCACACCTGTAATTCCAGCACTTTGGGAGGCCAAGGTGGGAGGATTGCTTGGGTCCAGGAGTTCAAGAGCAGCTGGGCAACATAGTGAGACCCCATCTCTAAAATATATATATGATATATATATATATGATACATATATATGTATATAATATATATATAATATACATATATATATTTGGTATATAGATAGATAGATATTTGGTGTATATATATATAGGCATACCAAAACTAGCTGGGCATGATGGCATGCGCCTGTGGTCCCAGCTACATGAGATGCTGAGGGAGGAGGATTACTTAAGTCCAGGAGGTTGAAGCTGCAGTGAGCCGAGACCGTGCTACTGCTCTCCAGTTTAGATGACAGAGGGAGACTGCCTTCAAAAACAAAAGACCTAATGATAATGCTTATTTAATATCCTTTCTCTGTTAAATAATTGTTACGTGTCTCCCAACTTTACAGCATTTTCCCACCTAAAAGAATACTTTAAAACTTCATAAAGGACATAAAGTAACATCTCTCTTAAAAAAATAAATAACTGGAAATGATGATTACTTTTAGTGCTTTACTATATCCTATGAGCAAACAAAGCTATAGTCGATATTTTGCCACTTTTTAGAACCAGTTCATAAAATTGATCTTGAACTGTTATTTAGTTTTGAATTTGGAAAGTTTCAATAATATGTGCAGATTTCCTTCACAGCTTTCAAGTGGAGTGTTGCTAAGACATTTAGCAATAGCGATAAGATTTTGAACATCTTTCTTCAAAAGTGTTTTGGAAAAATATCTGTGAGCTAATTTCATTTACATTTTAATGCTAACATATTTCTAAAACAATTACCACCCATTAAGTAATATAAAATATACTTATAACAAATGAGATGCCTTTAAACTACATTCTTTAACTATGATCCTAATATTATTTGTGATTGTCATTTAATAATTTAGTGTCCTATAGGATGTCCCTAAACAATCTCTAGAACTTAACTTGGATATATATGTTTTGAGTCTTTGACTAAGACATTATATACACAAATTTAGTTCAGATTTTTATGAGCCTTTTTACCGATAATCAAAACCCATGAACTCTAAAACATTTTAAGCCAGAAGTCTTTCTTTATGATTGTTTCTGTATATTTGCACTCTGCCTTTTATGAAATAATACCACAAACACAAAGGGAATCTATATTTAATGTGAGATATTTTTATGCACATCTTAGTGAAGATGTGTTACATATTCCACTACAACCAACGTCTTAGAAGTGGTCTAAATTATTTGTTTTTTCCAGTGGTTTTAAAACATTATTTATAGATTAAAGCTATTTGTGCTGGTTTTAGATATTTTAGATAAGTATTTTTATTGTAATAGTATTTAATAGCATCATAAAGAGCATTAAATTCATAGCTCTGAGCCAGCTAATATTCTGTGCATTACATAGAAGTTATAACTCTCACCACATGCCTTCCCATTATTTCCATCAGCAGCTAAATTTATAAATCAGTGTAATCTAGCATAGACAAAATGTAAAAGAATGTCTGTATCCTAATATTGGAAATCAGATTAATACAAATGCAAATTTAACCGGTAAATATATTTTAAATATATATCTTGCAGGGAGGAAAACAAGGTAAAGCAGATAACTATGAATGGAGAATGGTTGAAGTGTTGCTTCTTGAA
This sequence comes from Homo sapiens, assembly GCF_000001405.40. NCBI lineage: Eukaryota > Metazoa > Chordata > Mammalia > Primates > Hominidae > Homo > Homo sapiens. The sequence continues at coordinate 22,164,537 of NC_000007.14, read as the reverse complement.
ATTGTTTTATTCTGCTAGTCCATAATCATAGAACATATATATGCAGCTTGACTACAAAGTTCATATCTTCATTTACATATGATGACCTAAAAAATTGCATTTCTTAATTTTCTTGATTTCTTTTCTTTATATTAGTGAAGGTATTATATTCACAGGAAAAGAAGAGAAGAACATTTGTTTAAGGGGAAATAATGTAAGATAAATCTTTGAGACAGGTCTTGCTCTGTTACCTAGGCTGGAGTAGAGTGGCTCGATCATGGCTCGCTGCAACCTCAACCTTCTAGGCTCAAGTGACCCTCCTGTCTCTGCATCCCAACTAGCTGGCTCTACAGATGCCCATCACCATACCCAGTTAATTTTTTTCTTTGTAGAGATGAGGTCTCACTTTCTTTCCTGGGCTGGCCTTAAACTCCTGGGCTCAAGCAATCCTCCTGCCTCAGCCTCCCAAAGCGCTGGGATTATAGGCATCAGCCACCATGGTTGGCCTAGATAAATTGTTATTATATTTTGCCTTTCAAGAGAAAAACTAAAAGAAATAGAAACAGATTTTTTTTGTGTTTGCCTGAGTTTATTTCACAGGTGGAAATCAAAGATGGTCTTAATGTATTTTTGCAGGATGGGGAGACATTGACTAAATTATATTTTAAAATATTAGCAAAGCCTGAAATAAAGTTTATTCCAATTTTGCAATTGTATATTAGTGTTAAAGAATATATAATGCTGTCCAACAACCCTCAAGTGTTTGATGTCATAGCATTCCCTATTCCTAGTCATCTTTTTAATGTGTCCAAGACACTCAGCTTATCATTTTGGAGACAACAAGAATAGATTGGTTTAGAATATGCCAAGCTGCTGTTGCATTCCTAGTCATTTAAACACTTTGCCTTTGAGGTTGTTATTTTTATGTAATTTTAACAGCATAATTTACATATGGTCATCGTGTATAAATTAGGAAATGCTAATAAGTACAATAAAAATAATTCATATGCTCTAAAATCTCATTACCTTGAGAAACCACTGTTAACTATTCAGTATATATCCCTCCAGATAGTGACATTAATCATATAAATAAACATTGTTAACAGAAGTAGATCGTCCTAACATATTCTTTTCTTACTTGCTTTTCTACTCAACAATACATTGTGCATATTCTCTGTCAGTAAATGTACTGCTGGGCCATCATTTTTCTGGCTGCTGAATAGTCCGTTAAATGCATATATAATAACTTAGTCAACTGTTCTCAGTTGCTGAGGCATTTAGGTTATTTCCTTTTTTTATTTTAAATGAAATAATTTTCATTTTATTTTAAAATGAAATAATTTTCATTTTATTTTAAAATGAAATAATTTTCATTTTATTTTAAAATGAAATAATTTTCATTTTATTTTAAAATGAAATAATTTTCATTTTATTTTAAAATGAAAATTAGCAGTCCCTTTTACCTCTGTGTTCACACATGTATCCAATGTTTTCAAGTAAGTTCCTAGGAGTGGGCATTTGAATCATGTTACAAATTCTGTTGCAGAAATCTATACTCATTTGGAACTACTTTAGAAGCACCTGGTTTTACAGAATGTGAATTTCTGAGGACTAGACAGCATCTGGCCTCATTCTGACCTAAAATGTATTGAAATAGTATTCACCTGTGTAGTGAGGCTAGCTCTCTTCTTAGAGTCACTGTTGAAATTAATGGACCACCTAGTATCTCCTTGGGCTGGCATTAACTGCATGTTGCCTATGAAACCATGTCAGCAGCTGTCAGTGAAATGGTCCAACCCTTCACTTCCTGGCTGCCTACCGAGTATACTTCAGTCATTTTCCTCAGTTTACTTTTGCTCTTCTCAGTGCACACCTTTTGCTCTCCCTACGCATATTCTATTCTTCCTGCATGTTTATACACTTGTATGCCTTCACATATTTTGTAAAAATAAGAGTAAATGGATGTCTTCATATTTTAAAATTTTCAACAATATAATTTTTTCTTAACCATTTGCACCTATTCTGCTAAGAAGTATCAAGGCAAAGAGGAAAACTCAGACGTTCCGCGTAGGAAACGTAAAGTCTTGCATCTTGTTTCCCAGTGGATTGCTCTGTACAAAGACTGGTTACCTGAAGATGAACATTCAAAAATGTTTTTAAAGGTAATCAAACATTTCCAGATATTCTTTGATGCCAAATAACTGATTCTATTTTTAGTTATGCATTTTAAAAATCTCATTTGTAGGTAACAGTCATTCAGCTTTCTTGTGATAGTCAAGTTGTGATTCAGAGAATATTTAAGTTTATTTTGACTTCTGAAGCTTGATATTCTCTATCTAAAAAGTCATGGAAATTTTGATTGCTAATGAAATAATTAAGGAAGGTAAATCAAAACATTCAAAATTTGATATAGCTTAATATGTTGATATTCATTATAAGTTTAAAGTAACCAGTCCTCTATATGTAATATTTGCATAAAACATTATTTATCATTTAAAAACTATATTGACAATGTATGTTCTTTGAAACATTTGTCAGACATGGTATACTTTGAGAATTTTAAGCAATAATTTGTAAAATAGATATAATCTAGTTTTACATTTAGAGTGAGACAAACTGATTTATTTTTTCTAATTAATAGGCTTCAATATCTTTTCAACACAGATGATTATCTGGAGAGATGATTAGTAAGACAGTTGGATTCCTTTGGCCACCAAAATCATATTAAGTCTGCAGGTTAGGACAGAGAAGGAATACAATGGAATTCTAGCAAGGAAGAGTTCTAGTTCAGAGTAGGCAACTGCCTAAATAGACTCAGCCTTTCATGAAGGAAACTACTTTGAATTCAACATTCAGTTGTCATTTAGGCATCCAGTTAAAAACGAGTCTAACCAACTCTTTAAACTCATGTTGTTTGCAAAGCAACTGCTTAATTTAATTCAATTGACTTTTTTCTCCCAAATGATTATGTGGAATTGTGTGTGTGTGTGTGTGTGTGTGTGTGTGTGTGTGTGTGTGTGTTGAGACAGGGTCTTGCTCTGCTACCCAGGCTGCAGTGCAGTGACGCAGTCATAGTTCACTGCAACCTCAAACTCTTGAGCTTGAGAGATCCTTGCACTTCACCCTCCTGACTATCTGGGACTAAAGGCATGCACTACCACACTCAGCTAATTTTTTCTTTTTAGTAGAGATAGAGTCTTGCTTTGTTGCCCAGGCTGGTCTCGTACTCAGCTCAAGCAGTTCTCCCTACTCAGCCTCCCAAAGTGTTGGGATTTACAGCCTGAGCCACCACACCCAACCTATATTATTACTATTATTTATTTATTTGTTTACTTATTTATTTATTTTTTGAGACGGAGTCTCGCTCTGTCGCCTAGGCTGGAGTGCAGTGGCGCGATCTCGGCTCACTGCAAGCTCCGCCTCCTGGGTTCACGCCATTCTCCTGCCTCAGCCTCCCGAGTAGCTGGGGATTACAGGCGCCCGCTACCACGCATGGCTAATTTTTTTTTTTTTTTTTTGTATTTTTAGTAGACACGGGGTTTCACTGTGTTAGGCATGATGGTCTCGATCTCCTGAACTCATGATCTGCCTGCCTCAGCCTCCCAAAGTGTTGGAATTACAGGCGTGAGCCACCATGCCCGGCCTATTATTTTTTAAGATATAGAATGGGCTGGAAATCTCTAGTAGCCAGCCAGCTAGGGATCTCTAGAATTCTCTTTCCAGAATTTCCACCTATGGCCCTGAAAGCAGATAGAGAGCCATGGCAGTTGAGAGAGGAGCTGCGAGTTATGATCCCATTCTGGATCTCATTGGCACCTGGTGAAACCCGTACATTGTCCTGAATCCCTCCTTATTTCCTGTGTTAGGATAGCCATGGTATGAGTCTTAATCCCTACAAAATGGGCATTCAACCACTGAGCTCTCATTTGTCTTTTTTCTCCAGACCATATATAGGAATGTACTGGATGATGTTTATGAATATCCAATACTTGAAAAAGAATTGAAAGAATTTCAAAAGATACTTGGAATGCACCGTCGTCAGTAAGTATTTCATTTTCCTAATTATAGTTAATGAAAGAAAACAGCAGCAAATATGATAGAATTTGGAATGCCTTATACATAAAAGTTGATTTTGAACATTTTGACTCAGATTCATCTTGATGCCTTAGCTTTTCTAGTAGTAAATTGTATGTTTTGTTCTTATAACTCAAAATGAAAGAACACGGAATTCAGCTTATTGACTATTGTTTTAACCCTGTTTTATATAGTAAAAATAACCTGGGCCATAACAACCAGGTACGTAAAAACAATTAGTAAATTATTACTTAATTTTAAAAGTCTGTTTAACTTGTCATTTTGGGGCTTGTAACTATCTCTATGGAATGGGGAGGAAAAGTTTTATAAATAGGTCCCAGGGAGTTGTGGAACATTTTATTTTATTTTATTTTTTGAGACATAGTCTCACTCTGCTGCTCAGCCTGGAATGCAGCAGCGCAATCTCGGCTCACTGCAACCTCCACCTCCTGGGTTCGAGCGATTTTCGTGCCTCAGCCTCCTAAGTATCTGGGATTACAGAGGTGCACCACCACACCTGGCTACTTTTTGTATTTTTGGTAGAGATGGGATTTAGCTATGTTGGCCAGGCTGGTCTTGAACTCCCAACCTCAGGTGATTCGCCCACCTCAGCCTCCCAAAGTGCTGGGATTACAAGTGTGAGTCACCACACCCGGCCTGTGGAGCATTTTAAAAGCTCAATTTTATGGGTTCCCTGAGGTTTCTTTATCAATTTAGAAAGACTTTAAAAAGCCATTTACTCAATGACTCTTGGCATGTCTAAGTGTCCCCTAGGTATCTGTCATTAATCTTTCAGATTGGCAACACCCAACTTTACTGTTAGCGATATTACCATTAAGTCCCCTTACTAATTTTGGTAAAAGAAAACATCAAGTCATTCAGTTTTCAGATTTAGCCACAGAGTTCATCTAAAAGGGAAAATTGTTATCTGATTCACAGTGCAGTTTCTATTTCGTAAACATAAAGTACATACATTGTCAAGTTGTGAAAAGCTTCTGTTAAGATTTCAACAGTCACAAATTGCACCTCTCAGAAAATGTTAATTCAAGCCTTTCAGATTACTAATTTGTGATTTAAAGCTTGACTTAATTTTAGTAAAGGGAGACCTCATTGCAAATTAATCTGAGGTAGCAAACCATGTGTATAGTCCTCAATCATCAAAATCTTACATTGAGAGATTTAAAAGTAAAGTGCAAGTTAGCACTGTACCTTAGAGATGGATGTTGTAAATGCTGGTGGTCTTCTTTTATTGCAGTCTACATTATGTTATGTTTCCATAGCCTAAGACTTATATGAAAATATGAACTAATGAATGAAATCAAAAAAAGAAAAAAAGGACAACCTTGTCCTCAAAATAATTCCCCATATGGAAATTGCTCTGTGCTATGAGGCAGACCTGTTACAGCTGGGAAACTTTATTTCATGGTTTAATACATGTAAACACATTTCATCAAATACATTAATGGAAATTTAATACATTCCATTTTAAAAGCTACACAAAAATGGTAAATAATAAAGTAAAATAAGAAAATGATATTAAGAAATGATTCTTGGCAGGCACAGTGACTCACACCTATAATCCCAGCACTTTGGGAGTCAGAGGTGGGAGAATCACTTGTGTCCAAGAGTTTAGGAGTTTAAGACTACCCTGGGCAACATAGTGAGACCCCCATCTCTACAAAAAATAGAAACTTAGCTGGGCGTGGTGTCACATGCCTGTAGTTCCAGCTACTTGGGAGGCTGAGGCAGGAGGATCACTTGAGCCCTGGAGGTCAAGGCTGCAGTGAAGAGTGATCACGCCACTGCACTCTAGCCTGGGTGAGAGAGTGAGACTCTGTCTCAAAAAAAAAAATGATTTTTGTCTATTTTTATAAGATTATGAAATAGCTTTAGATTCTAGAGTAAGATTCAAGCCCTAAATGTAAAACTCATGACTTTTTTTTCTCTAGCCCCAGTACACAAATAGAGGAGAAAGTGTTTCTTTCTGAGAGCAAGATTGATACCTTTAATTTATAGTTCACCTAATGATGTATGAAATTGGCCCCAGTACTGGCTCCTTCATAAGTGGAGCTGGCCTTCAGAGGGCACTTGAAGGTGGGCATCTGCGGAGATGATCAGAGATGGGCAGAGTGTTCCCAGTTCCACCACACAGAGACACATCCTGGAGAAGATGTGCCTTGGCTGAATGACTTAGCTATCTAAATAGCAATAATTTCACCTAAAATCTGTCACTATCACTGTATGAGAAAACTTATTTCTATGGACTGAATATTGCAATTTTAAAAAATCCTCATTTCTGTGGACTGAGTTCCCATGGACTGAGCAGATCCAGTTCCTCCCTCACTTCTGAGCTTTACTTTCTGTGGGTAGAAGGCAAAGTACATCTGTTGAATCCATAACTTCTTTACTTCCTGGCTCATTTGAAATTCAGAGCCCAATGTCAAATGTGTTGTACATAGTGAATTAATGAATACTGTGTTTTATTTTTTTTAAAGAGCAAAATCCTCTGCCTAGTGCTGGAAAATTAGTCTTCCGTAACAATAACTGCATTATTCTGGGTTTGAGACAAAGACTGACTTCTTGCCATTTTTCCTTTCAGCACTGTAGATGAATATTCACCACAAAAAAAGGTAAGCAGATGCTTCTATACCTAAAATTAGGTGATCCGGTTTGGAGACCTTGCCTTGCCTCCCTTGGCGTGTTTCATAATTAAAATGAATACTGCCTCGAGCAGAACACGACAAGGCGGGGCGCCTGGGGCTGCAGCTTCCCTGCGCTTTCCTGCTTTGCTTTAGTTATCCCTGTGCTGGTGCAGATCCGATTTTAGCTGTGTACCCTTGGCTTTTTGACATTCTGCTGATTTTGTGGTGCATTTTAGAGTCTTGGGACTCCCTGCTATCCCTGGAGTGATATAAATTTGAATAATGTTTATGTCAAAAAACAAAATCCAGGTAGAAGGAATCTTGACTCTAAGAGGAAAGAAGTCTTGTAAAGAAAATATTTGCACTTTTAATACAACCGAAAGAGAAGGTAGCAAGTGGGAATGTGTTCTCAGTCCAATTTGATGAGGGAGAAATATGGACTGAGATGTCAGGCACAAGTTTGGGAGACACAGCTATATCAGGTGGATAATCATAATGAACAGCATGCCTGTGTCCCTTAGGAAAGTCATTGTACTACAGCAGAGGTACTGAAACCATCTCAAAGTTGCTTCCATGAAAAATGTAATAGCAGAGGATCGGATTGTGATAACTTATACCTTATAGGTTAATGTTGGAATGGGGAAATGATGTTTATCTCAGGAGACTCTATGGATGTTTGTAATAGCCAGATGTGAAAAATCATGTTGCAGGGAATAAATATAGGGGCTTTTGGCCTGCTGCTGGCCTTAGCCCAGGCCCATCAGATTGCTCAGAATCTCCACCACCACTTGCATTAGTTGAGGCGACTCCCAGTTTATTTCTCTAAGATTGGATGGGTGGATTTCATATTAAAAAAAAATTTGGCTAGTTCTTTTGGAACATATTGTAAACAGCTATGGTTTTCCAAAGGGCAGGAATGTATTCATTCATTGTTCTCTTTCTCCCATCTCACAGAATAAAGCCCTTTTCCACCAATTCAGTCTTAAGGAGAACTGGCTCCAGCATAGAGGAACTGTGACTGAAACGGAGGAAAGTGAGTATGGTTTGAAGTGAGGGTTTGGGGGTGGGCAGCAGTTAGCCACCATTTTTCTCCTACATTGGCATATCAGCCTGACTAACCTTCATTTCCAGCTGTCACCCCTCAGATAAGCACGTTAGCCTCAAACAGCATGGTTTTTCTTTTCTTTATTTGAGCATTATGGTTTTCTTAGATCACATAATACTGTCCCAAGCACCAAGGATACTTATAATTTGGGAAGCAAGGAAAGGAGACAATGCCTAGAGCCTCCTTGCATTCTTGAGAAGAGGTAAAAATGAACGGGAGACTCAGCCTTTTCCTCCTAGAACCATCTCCTCCCTGCCTTCATCAGCCCATTGTCTATGACTAACTGGAAGGATCACCAAAGTCAATGTGCAGATTTGGGCTGAGTCAGTCCATGACTCAGTCCACGAGAAGAAACTCCTGTGGAGAGAAGGCTGTACGGTAGAAGCTCCTGCAAGGCCAGGCTGTGTGGGCAGTGCTGCCCATCTACTGTGTCCTCAGTCACTGCTTATTTGCGTGAAATAAGAAATATTACCAGTGGTTTTCTCCTTTTAGATAAAGATTGAGTCAAGCACAGAGCTGGAAAACACAGCAAATTAAAATTTTAATGCAATTATAACTCACAGACTCTCTCTTTTGCCTCATCTTTCTTCATATGCTGAAATTCTGAGTGTGATCATTTAATATTTGCCCAATTTCTGGAACTTGTAAAAGAAGTCACAAGGATGCTTATTACATTAGATAGTGTTTGCATATAATGCTGCTGATACATGGTTCTGTTGGCTCATATTAAGTGTCATCCGTACCAAGTGAAAGAGAAAATAAAATTATCTAACTTCCTAATTCATTCGTTGCTGACCTTCCTTGCCCATTTGTCTTAAAGTTTCATCGTGTAGTTTTCCAAGCTGAGCTGCAAAGAGGCAAAGTATTTCGAGGCCCCCAGACTCTTTTTATCAGTTTATTTAGCAAGATGTAAACTTACCCTGCATATAGTGGTTTATAGACCAGATTTTGCCTTGCTTAAAAATTCCATCTTTCTATGGAAGGAGGAAAGCCTTTTTCTCTCTCACTAGTCTATTGGCAAAATACAAAACAACTATTTGTTACATGCTGTTGTTTTAGTGACGTACCCAACCAAACCAAATATGTCAAGTGTCTCCTGGTGGTGTGTTTACTTTGAGGTTCTATACATATAAACTCATAGTTAGACTTTTGCTTCATTTGTATTTCTATGAAAACATTCCTGGGTTTATTTTTGTGGTGCCAATTAAACTGCATATAAAATTTCTCCAGAAGCTTCACTCTCAATTTTTTTGCAACACCAAAGAGTAGAATATCTAAGTATATTATTGTCCTTCTGTCTATTTGAAAGAAGCTAGTGCATTTTATACATTTATAGTAGCTGATATAAGAGGTAATGTGTCAGTTACTTCCATTGCTATTAAAACAGCTTCTGCTATTAATATCATAAAGAAAACATTTTTCAGGACCCATTCACCCTGATAGTGATAATGTCCTAGTAATAATTATTAGCACCACAGACAATAAAAAGGAAATTAAAAAGACTAGAAATGTGACCTCCATTTGGAAACTAAATTCATCACTACCTTGATGGGAGAAATGGAGTCATTCTTAAATGACTGAGAAAGCTGAACTCAAAAACCAAGGCAGATGACAGATTTTTAGATAAGCTTATGAGAATTCTAATAGCAAAATACGGTGTTCTTGATTGGGCCACTGAGATTGTCCTGAAATGGAGTGTAAAGGAAAAATTTATGAATTAGACACTTTAATATGCAGCTTTGGGAGATCTCAGCAACTGTCAAAGAAGGGATTTAAAAATACAGTCTGTGTACCACAGTTTCCACTGTATTATGGTCAGATGGTTTCTACAGTGAGTACACACTTGCGTGACTCGGGTCTCTCATTACATAATGAAAAGATTAAATACTACTTGTGCTTGTTGGCTGGCTTTACAACATCTGAGTTTCATGTGTTTGCAAGCACACATTTATAGACGTATACCCTCAGGTGCTCATGTACATATATAAAAAATCTAACTCTGTATGTGTTATACTGAAGAGAATAGCCAGGTGGGTTGATTTAGAAAAGTTGATCAAGGTGCCTTGATTTGGAAAAGTCTATACCTCGTGACCACTGTTCTCTGTTTCCAAACAATTCTTTTCACTTGTGCAGTTTTCTGCCACGTGTATATAACAGAGCACTCCTATGTCAGTGTGAAGGCAAAAGTTTCCAGTATAGCCCAAGAGATCCTAAAAGTCGTGGCAGAAAAGATCCAGTATGCAGAAGAGGATCTGGCTCTGGTGGCCATCACATTCTCTGGGGGTAAGTTGTTTTCTACCCTTGAATATTAATCTTTCACTGATCTCCTTCAAAAGGAGGGAGGTGACATTTTTGTAGAGTAAAAGTGCAGCTCCTCCCTTCTGGGCCCGCAGCTGGATGACCACAGTAACAATAAGAAGCTGCCTACCAGAAGTGTTTCCATGACAACAGTTGGGTACTGTGGGATACTGAATTTCCTCCCCAAGAACTGAATAGAGAGGCATGCCAGTGTTTTGAAATACATTATAAAGCTTTTCATATTTTGTACTCTAGATAAGCCTTCTATTTTCCTATTTAAATTAACTTGGGAAATTGCTAAAGAGTGAAATTACTTTGGGGTGGAAAAAAAAAAGGAAAGATGGCCTTGAACCAGTCCTATTGCGGGCTGACAATTTAATAGTTAAAGACTCCCTATTGAAAGACAAACTGTACAATAAGCTGAAAGCTCACACGGCAATATTCCTTTAGGTGGACGTGGGGAGTGAGGCCTGGTTACAACTTCTCCTTCTGTTGGGCCTTATGTATCCTCAGAGAATGGTTTATTGTCTGTTTTGAATAAGATCACACAGATTACAAGCTGACACTATTGATCTATGCGGCTTGAACAGACCTCTTCGTTTTCACTGGAGCCTGTCAGATCTCAATGTTGCTGGCCTCCTTTTTTGGTTTGCAATCTTTATTTAATATCTCCTTAACCCTGAGAAAAAAATACAAAGAAAGTGACTTAGCATCAGTAGTTGAAAAATGTGAGCACTGTGGGGGCTAATTAACCAGAGATGCGGGCAGGGGAGGGGAGCAGATTAACCGCATTCCTGTTTACCCTTTGTTATCATTCTGCAGTTGGGAGATGAATATCAGAATATACTTGAGGGTAAAGTATCTTGTTCCTATGGCTTTGTTGCTCACAGGCAGGTAAAATGGTCCTACAAGCTGGTTGATTACGTATGCAAATGAAGCCCTTCTCCCTGGGCCTAATACATAAGAATCCCTCCACCTCTCCCAGGGCTCTAATTGTATATCTTAGCAAAACATGATCTAGAAAAAAGAATTTGAGAAACATATGGCCTAAATGACTTTTAATCAGAGAGTGGTTCGATTTTTAATAATATATTTCAAATTGGTATGATAAATGTATGTTATGTTTAATTTTCAAGTGACCAAAAATATAAAAGGATTTTAAACAGTATTAAGCTTTATCAATACTGCTTAATTAAGCAGTATTAAGCTTAAGCATCCACCTCTCAAGGTAGTACCACTACAGAGAGTGATCCTGGGGTCCCCATTCAGACAGAAGGTGCCAGAGAAGGAAGAGCTGAATGAACTCTGCAGCAAAACTGAGACCCGTCTCCTTTGGGAGCTGACTGAGAGTCAACCCAGGGCCTCGTGAGAAGCTGGCAATTAATGAGCGGCTCTTTCACTACCCAATATCTATTTGGTGGCTGTGAAATACCATTTTCACACTCTATTAAATTAGATTCATCAGTATGGGCAATAGCGTTGTAATGTCTATAGACCCATTGCTAATCATCACTAGAAATATCAGCATATCTCTTGAATTATCCCACAGATTTGGCAATGTGCCATTATTTTCCATCCTCTACTTTTTTCTGTAGAGAACCTTTCTGCCTGCATCTTTTTATCCCCCAAACAATAATGTTTTCACAAAGAAAACAATCTCAAAAGCTTAATGCAATCCTTGTTCTAGTTACATAATTTTTAATAAATTATATTTTAGTCCTACTTCAAAAAGAAATGGTGAGTTTTTTCTTTGTTTTTGTCAAAAAAAAAGTTTTAAGATATCAGAGATGTTAGAGGTTTTATGGATTTTTCTAAAAGGAACAATAGTATCATTCTCATAGCTTTAGTAAGTCTTTAGCTGTTTTTTACCCAGGGTAGTTATACGTATGTAGTAACAATAAACTACCCAGTTATTCAGAAGTTAAAATTCTATCAGTTTTAATCTTTCATATTATAGTGACAAACCTGAAAATAAGGGGAAAAATGTTTCTCAGCAAATGGAAAAATGCTATCAGAAAGTCATGACATTTTATTCTATAAAGTATAAATGGCTCTCATAAATTCAGATTTAAAGTATACATAGGCACAGAAAGGGCTGCAAGAAATTATAGCTGAACAAAGAAGGAGCAGATGGAACCCAGGAGATGGAACTTAAGAATCCAGCTGTGTGAGACCATCCGCTATACATGTCACCAGCCCAACATTATAGTACTGTGGATCTTTATAATGCTGGGCCGTAAAGAATATATTAGATTATTATTTGTATACTCTGCATTAAACAGAAATGTTCAAAACAACACTTTGCATTTGGGCCAATTATCTAGAAAAGGCATATGGAATATTGCATTTCCCAATCATGCTGCATAACTGAACAGCTACCTTAGGAGAAGTTGATTGTGTCACAGTGAAATAAACTTTAATATGACTTTAGTCTACTCCCATATGCATTTTGTAGTTAGGAGGAGGGCATTTTCTAGGAAGAAAGCTATTATGTTATAAGAGGGCTCCAATTGTGGTAGAAAATGGTCAAAGGATAGGAACAATTTGCAACAAGAGAAATAAGATAGAGGAGGAATATATGAAAAATATTCAACCTACTAGTTAAGAAACACAAAGTAAACAGAGAATCTACTTTTTGTATTAGCAAAATAGTAAACTTACCAAAAGTAATGATCAGACTGGGTGCAGTGGCTGCCACCTGTAATTCCAGCACTCTGGGAGGCCAAGGCAGGCGGATCACTTGAGGTCAGGAGTCTAAGATCAGCCTAGACAACATGGTGAAACTCCATCTGTACTAAAAATACAAAATTAGCCAGGCGTGGTAGCAGGCACCTGTAATCTCAGCTACTCGGGAGGCTGAGGTTGGAGAATCACTTGAACCCAGGAGGAGGCAGAGGTTGCGGTGAGCCGAGATCACACTAGTGCACTCTAGCCTGGGTGACAGAGTGCAACTCTGTCTCAAAAAAAAAAAAAAAAAAAAAGTAATGATCAGTGTTGGTCAGTGTGCAAGTTTTATACCTATTTTTTAGGAAAATATATTGTCTTTCTTTTTTAAAAAATAAAAATCAGAAAACAATTTGGTAGTTTGTATCAAAAACTTTAAAAATATTCATTCCCTTTGACCTAGTAATTCTAATACTGGGTGTCTGTCTTAAGAAAATCATTTATAAGCAGACAAAGATTTAAACATAAGGATATTGACTTCAGCAATATATATTGTGGCAGCTATAATAATAGATCCCATTTACCAAACCCCAGTTATGTGCCAGGCCCCGTGCCAGTACTTAGCACACATCATGCCATCTAATTTATATGACCAAAAAAATTAACCATTAAATGTTCAACAGTAGAGGAAAGATTAAATGATGGTATAATGAACTATCATATAACCAATTAAACATGACATATGTAAATAATTTTGGCAAGTGGATAAAGTGCTTATAAGAATATGAGAATATAAAACTATGGAATAATTGCAAATGTATATGTGTATCCGCAATAGTTATAAATGCATATGCATAAATCATTGCAAATCAATGCAATTATTTGTGTGTGTATATATATACATGGTTATATAAAAATCAGAACAAAAATAGACCTAAGTGTAACCAGTGTTAACATGGTATTGTTATCTTAGATGAGTAAATTTTACTTTTTGTCTTAAACTGTTCTGTGTTCCAAACAATGACTAAATGTTATAGGAAATAACTGCAAGAGGACTCCACTTTCTGACCGCTGAGCAGTGAGAGCTATTTGTGATGCCACTGGTATCATTGTATAGAGTGTGCAGAACTTAATTAATCCACTTTAAGTTCTATTTACTTTTAAGTATTTTTCTTTGGCAAGTTTCACTTTTTAAGTGTACTGTGTAGGCCTACTGCTGCTACTCTTGTATTTCTGATTATTCCTTTTTTTTTTTTTTTTTTCAAATAAAGAAAAGCATGAACTTCAGCCAAATGACTTAGTCATCTCCAAATCCCTCGAGGCATCTGGTCGAATATATGTCTACCGGAAAGACCTGGCGGACACTTTGGTAAGGACCTTCAGCCTTGTATTTGAAACAAACAGGCCAGGCGAGGTGGCTCATACCTGTAATCTGAGCACTTTGGGAGGCCAAGGCAGGAAGATGGCTTGAGCTCAGAAGTTTGAGACCAGCTTAGAAGTTTGCAACCCTGTCTCTACAAAAAAACTTAAGAATTAACTGGGCATAGTAGTACACACCTGTTGTCCCTAGGTGTGTGCTGAGGTGGGAGGATCTCTTCAGCCCAGGAGGTCAAGGCTGCAATGAGTTGTGATCTCATCATTGCACTCCAGCCCAGGTGATAGGGTAGGACCTTGTCTCAAAAAAAAAAAAAAAAAAAAAAAGGAACACACGTACCACATAAAGCATAGGTTTTATGTGTTTATAATGAATGTTAAAAAAATTAAATTATTTCTTCCCTTATCCAATGATACAATTCCCAAGTAACAGTACTTTTACAAATCAAAAAATCAAAAAGGGGTTGAGCAATTCAGTTCAATCCAACTTGAGGAATTCTAAACCCTGCCTAAGTGAAACCCTTTCTAAGCCCCTGAAATAAGGGATTTGAGATAGGTGACTCCTTCTCCCATCGAATTTTAATTTCATTTCTTCTTTTTCGGTGAGTATATGAAGATGAGGCTGAGAAATGCATCCTAGGTGGATTTAAGGAGAAAGAGTCCCTTGTTTCAGTACATTTGGTACACTTCGTTCCATTCCCTTGAAGAAAAGCATGGATGACCTGCCTTCTCTGTGTAGAACGGGGTCATGGTGATGGGACGTCAGCTGCCACTGAAGATAAAGAGTCTGGAGAAATGTAGAACCCACACTTTAAGTTACTTTCAGTCCAAAATTTAAGAACACCTATGCCTAAGTGGGTGATTTCATTGCTGCTGTGGTTCCTAAAGACCTCAGTCCTGGGATTGGCTTCTGAATAGGAGGACCAGACTTCAGATCTGTCATCTAGAAAAAGTGGGCTCTAGCAGATTGCGATTGTGTCTGGAACTCAGAGTCCCCATCTCTTCATGGAGCCATCGCTGGGGCGGGTCTTTCTCACTGGCTCCTGTTGTATGTATAATTGAGAAACCTGCATACCACGTAGGTTAACCCAAACTACTGATAATAGTTTTATGTCCAGATATATGTCTACTGGAAAGACATTTTATGTAACGTTGTCTGCAGGATATTAAGCTATCATAATAATGTTAATCACTTATTACCAGATCTGTATGTGCTGAGTAATTTACATACGGTATCTCGTTTAACACTTCCAGTAACCCCACGAGAGAGGCTGAGTAACCACTGTAGCTTCATACAGCCAAGTCAGGGAGAGTGCTTCGATTTTTAAATGCAATTATATGTTTGACTCTGAAGCCCCTGCACATTTCTTTCATTTGTACATGCCTTACTTGGACCTTTCCTGTGCTGTCCTTCAGCAGGCCACAGTCCTGTGTAATTCTGTCAGTGAAACATAACCAACTGGGTGCTGCACAGCATTTTTGAGTAAATAATGAGATTGATTTTACCGCTCCCCATGAAGGAGGACGATCTGACATGTAGCTACTGTGGGGCTTGTTGCGGTAGAGGAAACCCCCACTCTGAATATCCTCTATGCCTCCTCTGCCACCCATACGTGGCCTTCTCAGGTAGCTCCCTCCTGTGCATCCCCACGGCTCAATCTACCACTGTCCAAGGCCACCTTCAGAAAAGAAGGCAGGCCTGGGCAATGCCTTGATGGAATAAATAGGTGCTGTGAAATATGTTCCAAGAGAAGCCAGACTCCATCCTACCCTCAAAAGCCTCCCCTGCCAACTCTTGACACCACCTAAAATTGTCCTACTGGAATCATAGATTTAGATATTTCATCACCAAAAGATGTCAGTTAAAATCTAACATTGTAAGGGAAGAATAATACCTGAAAACACCAGTACCTACTATCACTTTCACATAGATTAATCTTCTTAGAAAACAGGAATTAGAGCACTGAAGGAATGAGATAGAAAAATTTAATGTTCCTTGGCAAGGGCAATGGACAACCTTGAATAAATAGAGTTATTTAACCTTGAATAAATAGAGTTAATAACTCGAGTTGGGTAAGGGACCCAATTAGGGAGAAAATGGGGACAAAGAGCCAAGTAGAAGTATCCTGACACCTCCAAATTATTAAGCAGGTATGTGTGTTACTTCCTCACTCTGGGTCTTTCTTAGAAAGTCAGCAGTAGAGCCTGTCTGGTCTTAGCCTGGCCAGACCAATCCCTGAGAAACCTCAGCTTTTCCTCCACCTCAACACCTCTACATTTGTTAGCTGGTTCGTTTGGTCATTGCTTTCCGAGCACCACACTGTGCCCTACACTGGGGATACAGAGACAAAGTGGACCTTGACATGCTGCTGAGAGGACTGAGTCTGTGGGAAAGCTCTGTGAAGATCTTCAGTCATTAGGTTTTTTAAAAAAAATAGGAAACGTTTTCATCAATGTAAAACTTCTAAAATGCAAATAACTTATTTTTCAGTTTAGAAATGTTGATTAATATTTGGCACCTGGAATATTCCCTTTATCCTACTATGTCATTTATTTTTGCAAGGTTCCTTCTGTTTGTTTTAAAGTTATTATTCAAATCTAACGCTTCAAATGGGAGAATTTATATTTTCATTAGAAAACATCAACTATTTTGGAAAGATGCCAAATAATCTTTTTAATAACTTTAGTGGTGAAATAGATTGAAAGTTGTGATGGCATCTAATACTTTTATGCCATATCTTAAGGAAATACTGTTACCAGCCTCATAGTTGTTAGGCCCTATTTACGTAGGGAAAGCAGTTGATACTTAAAATAATAATCTACCATGGGATATAAATGAAATAATTTCTATTTTTTATTTCATGTTAAAACTTTTTTACTTTCTATGGGCATTTTAATAAAATGTGTAAATGTGTGTCTGGGATGAGACTTGCTAAACGTATTTCCTGTAAACGCCATGTCTGTCTTTATTGAAGTGCACCATGACATTTCTTCTGTTTGTTTTTATGCTAACCCTGCCGGCACATTAATTCTTACCAGAAGCCAAAGTGATTTCGGGGCTTTCACTTTCATTATGCTGTCTGCCAGGGCAGTGTTTTATAATCAGATTTGTGCGTGCATGTGTGCACGTGGGGGTAGGGGAGAGAGATGGGGGAGGAGCGGGCGAACTCACTGAAGTATCATTGATCACATTCTACTGTTCCCAAGACCGTTTCCTAAATTGGCTGTAACTCACTGAAGGTGAACAGACCAGGGAAAATATTAAGTGCACTCAGAAAAGATTACTTTGCTAATCTGAGCTTCTAGTGCCTTTCTACAGCCAGCCAATGCAGTGCAAAACATTTGGGAATTACTGAGGATCTTTTTGCTTCTGTTGGTTTAGAACCCATTTGCAGAAAATGAGGAATCACAGCAAAGGTCGATGAGGATTTTGGGAATGAACACTTGGGATCTTGCTCTGGAATTAATGAATTTTGATTGGAGTCTATTCAATTCAATTCACGAGGTAAATGAGGAGTGACAAGATAAAATACAAATGCTGTTTTAACTGTGAATTCTTTGTGAAGAATATCAATGCGTGCGGTGATGAAATTATGCTAGAATAACGTGGTCCAAAAGATATTTGGGGACTTGAAATATATTGAAAGACTGACTCAATTCTAAAAAAATCAGAATATGTGAGCATGCTTTTATTTGCCCCTAGTGTGAGCATATGCTTGTGTAATGTATAAATATGCTGTATTTCATGCATATAAATATATATATGTATTTGGAGATGAGGCTCTAATGGGGTTGATGAACCATTTTATCTTTGATATTGATAGGTTTATTTTTTCCATGAAGCTTATGATAGTTGTACAAGAATCATATTCATATTTATGTATGTACACACATATCCATCTTTTTACTTAAGAACATTCTACAAATTTAGACTGCATTGTAAGACTTCAAGTAATTTATTGAAAATTTTGGATATATTTCAAGTTTTTATGTCCATCAGTTTTTCACTTGAGGACAGATTATAACATTTTTAAAACAATAGATTGGGAAATAGCAAAATGCTACTGACGATTCATGAATACATTTGTCCAGAGAAAACCCTCACAGGAATCAAGAGATGAAAAATGTTAGAGCCCTCTGTAACCATATGTTGCATTTGCTTCGCCATGTAGTGAAATTTTTCATTCTGAAGTGGCCTTTCCTTCTGAAGAAGGAACCTCATGCCCAATTTAGAGACCCAAATGTCCTCATATTTTCTCATTAAACAGATTTCAATATTATGATCAGAATGTGAGCAAGTACTGAATTCCTTCAGACTAAATGACTTGTGTCTTTGGAAGTGTTAGTAGACTGGGATATATCCCTGCTTATGCAGTGGAAGAATGTAGATTACCTCTATAAAACACACACACACACACACACACACACACACACGCACACAAACACATTTAAAAACAAATCTCTTCTATTGCTTTGCACATGGTCCATCTATATAAATAGTTACTGGTCTTGTTTGATTTCGTAAATTATCAGACCTTGCCCTAATCTCATTCTCTTTGCATTTTATGGTTTGACAATGTTTTATATTGGTGGTTTTTAAAGAGCAGGTACTCAGACCAGCATCATCAGCGGGACTTGGGCACTTGTTAGAAATGCAGATTTCCGGCCCCTCCACACCCCTACAGGATCAGAAGTTCTAGGGGTGGGATCCAGCAATCTGTGCTTCAGCAGTCCTCCAGGTGATCCTGATTCACACTAAAATTTGAGGACCACTGTCTTAGAGAACAGACCTGTGAGGGTCTGATGTGCACCTTAACAAATACTAGTACTACTAGCGTTCATTTTCACTTGAATTTTTCAACATGACAAGTTTGGGAAATTTGGGGATTCCTTTTATCCTATGATTTAAACTTCAGGATATCTTAGATTTGTATATAAAGATGTCTTCCTTACATTCTGAAAAATCACTTATATAAGGATTCTAGGTGAACATTATTGAATGAGGCACCTCTAAAACTAACTCATTTTGAATTTAATGTATTACTATTCACCATGTTCTCTGTTAGTGTATTAATAATATGGGAGGAACTACCTGAAGTAGCTCTTAAAATTTGACCGAGTTTTGTATCAACCATACTTTGCTATAAATAAACCCTGGCATGAATACATTTTCTTTCAGCAAGAGCTGATCTACTTCACGTTCAGCAGACAGGGAAGTGGGGAACACACTGCAAATCTCAGCCTTCTGCTCCAGAGATGCAATGAGGTCCAGCTTTGGGTGGCCACGGAGATTCTGCTCTGCAGCCAGCTGGGCAAGCGAGTGCAGCTGGTGAAAAAATTCATCAAAATTGCGGCTCAGTAAGTTTCTAGTGTGAGAAGTGCCATTCCTCTAGTCTTCTTGAGAGAGTACATTGTTCTTCTTTCTTTCTTTCTTATGATGATAAGGGTTGGGATATAAACGTGTAATATGGAGTTAAATGACTAAATGGCTGAAAATGTCCAATTTTGAATATTTATGTCTTTGCATTTCAAGTATTTATACCTTAAAGTAAATGTCAAAATATCAGACAGAAGCACTGTGCTCTCTGCCTCAGCACTAATAAGCAGGCAGTACACACATCCTTCATCCTGCAGCTGAACTACAGTGTGTCTGGGTGAGCTACAGGAGGCAAGAAAAAAGGGGATGATGATGTGCACAAGTGGGAATCATTACACGTCAGGTGCATTGTAGGACCTGCTCATTGCTCCTTGAGGCCCACCGTATGAACTTTTGCGAACTCGTTCATTAGAAGGCCCTGCACTGGCTGGCCCCACCCCCTGAGCCTCATCCCTGGGTGCACCCCATGCTCTAGCCACTCTAAATGTCTGTCCCTCCCATGAGCACCATCTTCCAACCCTGAACACTTGTTGGCTTTGCCAGGAATGGCCACTTGCACCCAGCAAATTGCTACCATTCTTCAAGACCTCAGTCAAATATTCCTTCCTTCCTGAAGTTACCCGATTTTCAAATGCAGGGGTACTACTTCTGCTACTGCCTCTACTTCCCCTCTGCACAGATATACTTTTTACCTTCCGAAAACTTATTATATTTATTAAATTTATCTGTTTATATAGGATTTCTTCACTAGGCTGTGTTCGCTTTCAAAGAACAGGGGCTATTTCTTATCAATCATTATACCTGGGTGCGTGGTACAGACCTTGGTAAATAGCAATGACTCAGTTAATGTTGAATGAAATTTTAGTAACTTGCTAGGAGCATCTCTTAAAATATCAGATTCATATCAAGGGTCTGTTCTTTGGACAGCTCCCCAGCAGAAGCAGGGAGCATGAATCAAAATCTTCCCCAGCTCCTTTTACTTCCTGCGCTTCCAGTTTTATTTCTCCTTTGTCTTCCAAAGTAGTTTTTATATCAAACAGTTTTCAAGTACATGTCAGTGCAGCATATTCAGAAACTATATATTGATCACTTACATGTACAGATGTGTACAAGGTAGTGTGGGGAAATCAGACTGAGTCTACACCAGTTCCTGCCTTTGTGAGGCGTGCAGTGTGTCAGTGGGTAATTCTATACCTCAGCTGGCTCCTGTGCAAAACAGAATGGGAGAATGCCCTAGAAGAAGATCTAAGTCTGTTGAGGCTTTAGAGGAGCGAGAGCTCATACCCCAAGGGTGTGGGAAGCAGGATCAGGAAAACGTTGGTGAAGGAAGTTGCCTTTGAATCTATTTGAATTCTGGGTGGGATGTGACAGGTAGGAATTCAAAAGAGTACACTCTCTGTGGGAGGCCAACTCAGTGGAGACAATGAAGCAGAGCCTGTGGTTAGACAGTAATCTGTTCTGATTTAGAGTGGAGGGGGATTTGTAAGGAAGTTGTGGGAGAATGATCTGCAAAGACAGATGGGACCAAATTGTAAAAGATCTTGAATTTCAGATTGAAGGGTTTGAACTGAATTGAGAAGGGAGAAGGGATTTTTTGAAAGTTTTTGGGCAGGAGACATGATCAGAGTTATCCTTCAGGAAGGTTGGTCTGAAACTAGCACGTTGAACTGTAGCAAAGAGACCCCAAGAGTAGGATAATTTTTCTTAGGCAAGAAGAGACCATGGAGGTTCCTGACCTGGTATTTGGTGTGACTGGGCATGGAAGGATAGATAACAAGATCTGCCTAAATCTTATTGATTACTTTTATGGTGAATGCTTTTTTAAAAAAATTTGGCCATTGTGTTCCAAAATGGCTTGTAAAATTCCTAAAGGTGAGGCTCTTTTGGGTAAAAAGCTTTCTTATAAATGCTAATTATGTGGATAAGTGGGAAATTAATGTTCCAAGGAGTAAGATGATACCACCCAGCTCAGTTCCCACTATAAGATTATATCTATCCTCAGGGAAATGAAATATATTCACATCTTCTCCATATGGCCCCATGCTCTTGAATGCTTTATGGTAGTGGTCTCTATCCCTAACCCATGGAATAGAATGCCAACAGAAACATAAAGTTAAATTCCCTGTAATCATGCTAGTAGGAATAACCAAGGGAAAATAGTAATTTCCACAATCATGAAGCGTTTTTCCTGCCTGAGGCATCCTATTTGCATATTCATGTTTCCCCTCCTTCTCACCATCCCCATCCCCCACCTCTGTGGATTGAGTGGATTTTATTTCCTCACACAAAGACAAAAGGAGTGTTTGCTGAACTGGAATGTTTAGTGTCAGACAGTCTGTTCTTATCGTGGAATGAATGACCCTCGTTAACAGAGGATTCCAGCCTGGAATGGCATCTAATATTTGCACTGTATCAATTTGTCTTCTCCAGAAAGTGTGTCTGTATTAATTCCTTTTTTTTCTTAACAGATTTAGATGTTAGTTATATGTGTGTTTTTATGGGTTTTTTTCCTTAAAATATGACTAAAAAAGAAAGCTATATGGACCAGGAAAATTGTTCATGAGGAGCTAAAAGATAAAAAGATAGGAATTCTAAGATTTCACATAGATAAATTAAGCTCAATAAAACGTAGAATAATAGACATCTTTATAATGAATAATGATAAAATCATTTCCCCAGAAGTTCTTGTTTTCTACTTCAGCAAATGCTGTTTAAAAGGCTTCTTGTGTACTAGGAACCTGGGTGATGGGCAGAATGTAAAAATGATTAGACGTATACTCTAGCCTTAAGGAACCTACTATCTAGCAGAGATTGCATAAGCAGTGGGGCCTCCATCATATCCTAAGGTGAAGGGACCCAGGGGTAAGAGAGACTTCGAACTGGAGCTTCCAGCAGGGGGATGGAACAGTTCTTACTGACCACAAGAGCCTCTACAGAGGAGGCTGGTATTTCAAAACATCAACTCAGGAGGAGATGGCACTAACTCAAGTCTGTTCTAGCTGGTGGGAACGTTCAGGGTTGTGAAGAGTCAGAAAAAGTAAAATGAGGCAAGTGAACAGCAGGATGAAGGGGAGTCACCATGTGAAAGGCAGTGATTCTCAAATGCAGGTAGGTTTCCCAGTCACAGACTGGGAGGTATCTTATTGGAGTTTATTCATGGAATATACCAAGTGGGGTCGACCCAGGAGAAAGTTGGCAAAAAACCACGTAAGGGGTCACTTGGATGAAGGTACAGGGCCTCACAATTACCAAGGAACTGCTGGCAGAGCCAAAAGCTGGACAGGAGGACCATGAGAGGGACAGACCATGCCCAGTGGAGGCTCAGCAGCAAGGTGCCTGCAAGATGTGTGTCCACCCCAGATACCTTTGGCATGAGGTGTGGAGGCAACACGGCCTTTCTAGGTTCCACTGTTCTGGGGATGGAACTTCTAGAATGCCCCCAGGCCTGAGCCTTCCTTGCTTGGAGCCATGTGTAGCTGGACTCAGGCAGTACCTAACCTGTGGGGCCGGCTCTGGGCATGCCAGTGTAGGCAGGGCCTGCCAGAGCACAGCTGCTATGGGTCTCCCTACTTACTCCACAGCTCAGCTTATTCTCCTGATTCTGAACTAGGTCATCTCATACACTATGTATGCAGCTGGGAATCAGTATAGCTTTAGGAGACAGCGGTTTGTATTATGTATCGAGAACCTTTAATGTCTTCACAGCTTTTGACCAATCATGGAATGACTGGAAGTCCAATGTAATGGGAAAAAAATCACAAATACAGTAAAAAGTTTATTCCAGCATTCTGTGTAACTGGGAAAATTGAAAATCATCCACAATAGAGGAATAAATTATGTAATATGCTCTTTTGATAAAATATTACATAGCTGTTAATGATAGTAAATAATCCATAGTATATAATATAACATGGTATTTAACTGAAGAAGCAGGCAAGATCTACACTATTCCCAGATTCCATGTGAGACATTGGTGGAGAGGTCAGAAGGGATGGCATCTGAGGGAAGCTAAACAAACATCACAAGGCCCCTGATACACGCTCTGCTTACTGCTAAGTACTTCATATTTTTACATAGTAAACGATCAAGGGAGGGTAATTTTTTTTTATTATTTTAAAGCCCTATCTCAGAGAGGTTGTTTTCTAATGCTCTCCAGATAAAGGAGTGCCTGGAATTCACAGCTATTCTGGCTGCCGTGAAATCCCGAGCTCCCCCTGCCATTCCAAGCCCTCTTAGCTGGCTTTGGAAATTAGTGGAATGTTGACCAGTTAAGTCTCTGGGCATGATTGATGTTATGCAGAGTGGATAGCCTCAAGAAGTGAATGGAGCTCAACATGATCTTATTTTGCATTTCATTTCCTTGTTTAACTGAGAAATGTGGAAGAGTATTCCCATTAATATATGCCGTATTTAAAATATATACATATTATAGTAGCTATTTTGTTGGTAGCAAAGAAAATGTGCCTAAATGTAATGGGAGGGGGAGCTTAGACCTGTGGGGTGAGAAGGGCTTGTCTGTCAAAAAATGAAAAAACATGTTTTGATGAAGGAGTCAGGACTAGTGAACTGTTAAAAGGAGAGTGGGGCGTATATAAAGAAACATGAATTTAAAAGAGTGCTCAGTTGAAATTGTAAATGCACACAACATAGGTAAAAAAGGAGGAATCTTGTGAAATATGAGGAGGGTGTCAAGAGCACGGATCTTTTCCTTTAGGTAAGAGTGAGCTGAGGCGTTTGGAATCATTTCTTTGGCATTAGAGACAGCTGAAGGGCAGTAAGGGGTACGTAGGCTGTAGAGCAGAATTCCTGAGCTCTGTGGCCTAGGAGGGTCTTTTCAGCTTTATCTTTTGTGATTATCTGGGGAAAGAATGTTTCCTCAAAGTGTCCTCTACTCTCTTTTATTTTATAGCTGCAAAGCCCAGAGAAACCTGAATTCTTTCTTTGCCATTGTGATGGGTCTCAACACTGCTTCTGTCAGTCGACTGTCGCAGACCTGGGAGGTGAGCCTTGGAGTCCCATGGTGAGGGGCACATAAAATGGAAATAAAGTAATTTACATGGATTAAATGAGATAAGTACTACTAAACTAAAAATGTTTGAAAGTCATATGTCAAGGTGGTAGGGATCTTTTTGATCAAATGGTCTTTAAACGGTTGTATAATGTGTCTGAACTAGATAAAAATGGTAACGTGCTCCCCAGCTAGAATTAGTCTTCCCCTCTGTCCTGCCTGATAGTGCAGTGCTCGTTCCAGGCTGGTCCCCACAGTCTCCCCGCATGATGATGCGTGCTCAGAAGTGCGTTTGCTGTGATGCTAATGAGTTTAAGCTTCGAGGCCTCTCACTTGCAGGGCCCCTGGCAATGTGTTCACATGGATGATGTATATTTTTGTAAAATTTGCGAAAGCAAAGTAATTTTAATATTCTTTTTCTTAAAGAGGATCCACAAAACGTTCTAAAGTTTCAGACCTCCCACTTCCTGGCTCTGCACGCCGAAGGCTGTTTGGGTTCTGAGATGCAGAGGCCCACTCAAGTTCGCACAAGGTCTGACGTGTGGACTGCGACATTCATGTGGGAAGACCTGAAACTGGGGATACCCCTAAACTTAGCCAGACACAGGCGCAGGACTCTGCCTCACTCATGGTCCCCTCACCGTCCTTCCTTGGGCTTTTGTTTCCTTCGCTCTCCTTTCCTTCCTGACTGGCTACCTCCCTATGTACCACTTCTCCCCTCATCATTGCTCTTTAAGCATCATGCCTCTGCCTCTAGCCTGCGTGTGGCTCACTGTGGTCTCCTCAGCCTCCCTCACAGTCCTCTCAGATTTAGTTCCTATCACTGACTGTGCCATTCTCTTCATGGTTCCCAACTCAAACTCCTACAAGAGAAAAGCTGATAGGCCAGCTATCTTTTTCTCGGAATAGGTCTCTGGGCAACCTGTGGATTCGCTTTCTTTCAGTCAGGGGTCATACCCTGAAGGAATGCACTGTGCTGACCCAAGGGTCAGAGTCAGTCCTCCTTAAAGGGGCCCAAAAGAAAAGAAATGAAAGCCCCGCCTGCTCTGCTTAAGCAAACAAGACCTTCACACACAAAGCAAGATGAAAGACATGGGTGACAGATGCCACGATTCATTAGAGTAGGAGGAAAACAAATGGCTTGGCAAGGGTCAGTGGGGAGCGAATTTGAATTAAACCTTGAATGAAACTGATTTGGAAAAATTGAGAGGAGAAATAACTCAATTAGATTCAACCAGCTTATGTTTAATCTGCGCATTGACTGCCTGCTATGTGCAGAGCACTGCATCAGTGCCATAGCAGACAGGAGATGGCTACATGAGAACTGAGCATGCCTGTGATGACAGAAGTCTTGGACCAGGGCAGAGCAAGTGGAGGGACTCATTCTGCCTCTGGGTAGCTGAGAAAACTCGAATGAGAAGCCTCAAGCTGCAGGGCCTTCGAGGTCCAGCTGAGAGTTACTGGAGTGTGGGGATGGGCATCTCAGGTAGAGGTGACCACAGGATCTCCAGGTCTGGTGACTGGATGAATGGAAAGTGATCACACTTCCCAAATAGATAATACAGGAAAAGAAACAGATCAGAGGTCAGCAAACTGCTTTGGTAAAGGGCCAGCGAGGAAAAATGTTTAGGTTGTGCAGGCCACATGGTCTCTGTTGCAGCTGCTCAACTCTGCCATTGGAGTGAAAGAGCAGCTGTAGTACGTGCCTGAATGAAGGGGCGTGGCAGCAATCCAATAAAACTTGACCTCCTAAAAGTAGCTCATGGCTAGATTTGTTCCATGGCTGATCTCTGGAGTAGATCACTTAGTTCGACTTCGGACATGTTGGGTTTGAGGTGCCACTGGGACATTTGTGAGGGATGTCCCACAGACTAAGGTAGGCAGCTTAAAAGAAAGATTGGAATCAGTTGCAAATATCTCCATTTTGTGTCTTCTCATTTAATTGGTCCTCTGTTTGTTGGGGTGTGTGTGTGCGTGCGTGCGTGTGTGTGTGTGTGTGTGTGTGTGTGTAGTTTCCAAACAGATTAAACTACCTGTTTGCTGTGATAAACTGAGTCCATATTCAAAATTACCACATCGAAAAAAATCTATCTCTAAATAATGTAAAAGTCTAATTATTGTAGGAGTTGCCTCATTGTTTTGATTCCTTTTAGAAACAAAAAATCCCAGAAATATCTTCTTATACTTTGTTGTTAGTGTTAATAGCTGGCATTTGTTAAGTACCAGCCAAGGACCGTGTACTTTTCATGAGTGGTCTCTACATCCTCAGCTGAAGAAACAGATCCGAGAGCTTGCTGACACACCAAACCACATAGCTAGAAAGGGCAGAGTCAGAGTTCAAACTCAGGCTGCCTTTAAATATGTGCTGTTTACCACAAAAGATTACTAAGTCAATATTGAAAGGCACCCAATTTTTTACTTAGCCATGTTAAAAGCAGGCTGGAACATTCCAGGCCCTTCTTCCTTAGGCCTGAATTTTTATTTGGGAGGATGGCCTATGTTTCCATCCCCTGTCACTTTGCATGGTACCTGTTATGGTTGAGCTCTTCAATTCATTGATTCCACTCATTAAAGTGCAGGCTTCGTCACTTAAGGTCTTCCTGGCCCTTCACTATTTAGCCCAATGCTGTGAAATAAAATTTCATCATCTATGCTAAAAATGTCAGCCAACATAATTGTTTCCCACTCAGGAAGACTATTAAGAAGATGAGAGCATTTGTCAAAGGTAGGGTATGGAACTGAAATCTAAGTTTTTATTAAATGACCACCAGTATGTGGAATGTCTAACCAACTAGATTCCTGAATCATGTGGCTGTTATTTTAAGCTGTTTTAAGCAGCATTCCTAAGGAAGATCACATTAAAGGGATGATGAAAATTGCATAATGAGAAGCAATCAGGATTGAACAGATGATAGAGGTATTTATGTTCAGAAATGTGACACAGATAAACAACGTAATGAAAACTCCCTTCGATGCCTCTGAAAATAACCAACTTCTGTGACCTTCTGTTTTTTGTTTGTGTTTGTTTTTTAGAAAATCCCTGGGAAGTTTAAGAAACTTTTCTCTGAACTTGAAAGTTTAACAGTAAGTAGTTGAGCCAAAGGGGACTTATTCTTCAAAATAATTGCTAGGGTCTAGTTTCTTTCTACATTATAGTGGGTGGTATTTGTACTCTACCGTGTCAGGTAGCCTAGACTAGTTTACTTGTATATGAAACTGTAGCTTTGCTTCTTATGGAGGGAAGCAAGTTGACAGTTAATGCTTCTTCCTCTCCTTCTAAAAACGTAGTGAAAATAATCCTTTTAGTGTGATTTTTTCAGAAGGCAGGCTTTTAAGTATAGTCCATTTCAAAGCCTGCAAAATTAATCAGTATAAATTTAGCATGCAATTAGTGTCTCATGCATTTTCTTTTTCCCTTTTCTCCTTTTTACAATTTCTTAGATTGAGATTTTTAAAAATTATAGTTTCTTTTTAGAATACAAAAAAACAGTATCCTCTTGTTTTCTCTGCATTTTCTGTGCGTTACAAGGACAGCTTTTCTTGGTGGTGTATCTAACAAGAGACTTTGGGTTAATTCATGATATAAATTATGCAGAGGAAACTGTACTTAAAGGACCTCTTTGAGGAAAATAATAGGACAATCAAAAGATGTCTCTCATTTGCGGTCATTTCCCTTTATTGTAAACCAATAACTTGAATTTCATTCATTGCCTAGATTTCCTGCCCTAATTTAGTGAGTTTATTCTCCTAGGAAACCTTTATCTACTTTGTTCTTAGGAGGAATCTCTCTATATCTAAGTTATGTTCAAATTGTGTAGCAAAGGTGGATTTAGAATTGTTTCTATAGCACATTGATTTTTCTTTCTCTTTGTAATCTGCTTGGTTCGGCAGGATCCTTCCCTAAATCACAAAGCCTACAGAGATGCATTCAAAAAGATGAAGCCACCAAAAATCCCTTTCATGCCCTTATTGCTTAAAGGTAATGATTTTCTATCTTTTATGCCATGTAATTTCATATTTCAGAAATTTATTACTGTAACTATTGAGGGCAAAAAAGGGACTCTCATTTTGTCTCTTTACAGTTATTTTGACATTCAGACCTAATTGTGTTGCCTTGTGATTGTTTTTCAAATAGCCGATTATTTTTGAGATACCTAGAATACGTAATTGTGTTTGAGCAGACACCAAAGCATTTTCACTTGACTCACAAAACTTGGCACTGGAAACATTTGTGTTTTTCTTTTACTCTACTTCTAAGCCCTGTATTACTTTCTTTGAGCCAACAATCCACCGAATTCAACCAAGAATAAGGCTGGCATAAAGAACCCAAATGGTGATCAATCATGTTCTATTTTTGCAACCTAAACTTAAGAGACGCAGCCCACAATTTGCTGTTGTATGAGAAGTACCTTTGGTCAATACAAGTAATATAGCTTTCGAAAAGTGTTGATGGAGAAGTGTACTTCCTTTCTTCAGGAGTGGAATTGAGTTGGGAAAATATTTGATAGCTGCAAGTTACTCCACTGACCACTCCCCACTAAGCACCAAATAATTCATCATGAAACATGTTAGTTAAATTTATTGATGAGATTTCAGTGATCTCTCTTTCAAACCAAGGGGATTAATAAAAGGAAACTCTTTTTAATCTGGTGTATACCGCTGACATTCAGTGTAAATCTTTACCTGTATGCTTCCAGGGAAAGGGGGTTTGGGCATTATCCTTGGCCGTATTTTGATTCCTTCAAGAGGTTTAGTAGGAATACTCTTTCATCCAGCCTCTTTTCTTCAGAGGCTTGTAACTTCTGCTAAGCCAGGCCCCAGTGGCTGGACCCATACACATGATTCTAGAAATGAGCTGTGTGGGAACTGGATTGCTGGTTGGCCTGGCCATCCTCATTCCCCACTTCCTCCCATTGCCACCACGCCCCTCGTCTACCCAATAAAGCTGGCATTTTCTCTTCAGCTTCTCTCAAGAACAGCCAGAGCTTGGAAAATTATTGTGAGTTGCCGTACATCGTGCAGCTACTCACTGAGTCTTCCTTCATCAAATATGAAGCAAGAATCTCTGTGAAACAGGAATATAATATTAGGACAATGGAGATAGATATGCACAGATGCGTCATCCAAGCCGAAAATATTCTGTTAAATACAAATGCGTGAAATAAAGAGACACTGTGGTGCCCAAATAATAATTTAAAAGTTTATTTGACTCTTCATATTTATTTGCTTTTAAGAGAAGGTCTGTGCTTTTTATTTGTGGAATAAAATATCTTCAATTAGAGGGTGGGAGGTGGCAGGTGGGAAGTAACACTTGGGATCATTTAGACACAAATAAAGACAATAGAAAGTAGGACTGATGTAGGAAAGGAATTGATTGCAGGAAGAAAAAATTTTGAAACAACACATACTTTAAGGTAATGAGAAATTAGTTGACAATATTTCTTTAACTTAATTAGATATGAACAGAGCCTTCTGCCATATATTAGTGGTTTCCCCCCCAAAATATTTAATGCAGTCAAGTGTCTCACACATTTTAGCTCGGATGCAATTTTCTGCTCTGCTGAGTTTATCGAGACCTCTGTTGGCAGCAAGACAAATTTCCCTTTTTTTACTGAAAACACATTTACTCATTTCAAAAGAATAAGAAATAAACATTTGTTATTTTCTTATTAGAAGCTTCCTTGAATTTAAATAAGCACTTAGTTTTCCTTTGTCTTAATTTTTTGTCATGATAAAATCATATAGTATTAGTACTTCATTGTACTTAAAGTTACTGTTTTTGTCTGAAATAATTTCCAAGGAAAATGTGATGAAAATATAAAACATGTATATTATGCCTAAGATGAGACATTTTGGCAAAAATATACAACATTAATTCTTAGGCTTTTTTAATCACATAATTTAAAGTTTCAATGAACTATTTTAGAACAACCAACTTAGTTTTTAATGAAAGCTCTTTGTCTCCCCCTCTCTTGTGCCTCCCACTTTGAGTAGCTTTTAATTAGAAAAATGGGACCAAATTGAACTCCTTGGTGTTTAAGAAGGATTAGGCCCCCCATATTGCATTTTTTGAAAGTCAGTTCCCAATAAGCCTGCAGATTATCAATTAAGTGGATTACCTGAGGATCCTTCCAGCCCTCAATCTTCCTCTTTCTTATTTGAATTTCTTGCCTTTTGATGTACTTTCCCCTTACTGTGGTGTGGAATCTTGGTCAGAAAGGGACGAATGGGAAACACTAAGTGCTGGGGAGAAGACCCAGCTGAGCTAAGGATCTAAGGAGTCGTAGTTCATGTGCTATTTTTGGAGATGGAGTGAATCATCTAGTTGTTTGAGGATAAACTGGGGTTCCTGTGGTGGGTTTCATATATGTGTCTTAGAGTGGAGTTTATTGTTGCAGATTTGTGCGGGTCTCTGAAGGGAAGGAATGTTGGGACTCTTGGATGTTTCTTCCTCCTCTTCCACTTGCCATCTCTTCAAAGTCATTTCATTGAGCAGTTCTATTTCAGGAGATGTTTGGGGTGTGTTCAGGTGTCTCCAGGTGAAAGAGGCCTGGCAGTTGCTCATTTCTCATACCCCAAAACTGCTTCTTGTCCCATGACTTAAATTCTGACATCTTCGTTTTTTTCAGCCCAACCTCTCATTTGTTTCTCTCTCATACCTTCCGTGTCATGCACCTGCCATTCAACTGCATCGAAACCTGTAGCCAGTTGAACTCTTCCCTTTCTCCCGGACTGCAGCACCTTCCAGCCTGTCTCCCCTCTCACCTGGCCAGCACCCTTGACACCTTCCCTGCCTTATGCTTAGACAGTACCAGCCTGACAGGCCCTGGCCCCTCAATAGAGCCGCCACACACTCTACTGAGAGCTAAGAGTGAGAGGGACTACCTAGGAAGAGGAGAGATTGCCGGCAGGAGGGACTGCCTGAAGGGAGTGAGGAGGGAAGCACTTTCAGTGTTGCAGGGGCAGCTCATGTGTTATAAATTGAGCAGGTTGACTGCACCTGATAGCAAGAAAAGCCAAGTCCTTTCCACTTGAGGTGCCTGGAGAGGCGCAGTGGTGAGGGGGAGCCAGCCTCCCTTTGTTTGAATCCTGGCTCTGACACATATAGCTGTGAGCATGGGTTAGCCATAGACGTCCTTGGGGCCTTAGTTTCTTCATAGCCTTACCTCCTAGAATTTACCTTATGAGTTAATGCAGCTAAAGCTCTTTAGAGCCATGTCTAACACTGTTAATAAATGTAAGATGTCATTATTGCCACTGCCCTCCTCATCATCCCTAGGAAGAGGGGTGAGGGGCAGGTGAGGGATAAACCTGTAATGCAGGGGAAATGGACTAAGCCACTCTGAGAAGCTGTGTGGAATCTGGAATTCTTGGAGAGTTAGTAGAGGCCAGACCTTCAGGTGGTATTTAATGTAGACAGAGTGTGCACAGGTTTGCATTTGCTACACAGAAAAGGTAAAACCTGTGTTGACTTCTCTTTTCTGAATACCGTGTCACGGAATGAAAGCTTGTAATTATTTTCTGCAAGCAAAATTTCAAAAGATAATAAAATAACCAGAGAGTTTGTCAGGAGACTGTGTAATTAGTTGTGAATCGTTTTCCTACTAGGACATCAGTTTACAAGCAAAAAAAAAAAAAGAGAGGAAAGGAAAAGAAGCTTATGAAAACATTTCAGTCCACATTGGAAGCTGTGTATAACGCCTTGAGGAAAGGGTTGCATCAGTGTGTGCTGTAACTGTGTAACTATTGTCACCTCCTGGTGACAGTAAAAGCTTTGTGGCCCAGAGTTTTGGTGGCAAGTTTTAGGACCACCTATCTCATAATTACCCCATAGGGACCAGCAGAATAAAAATCTTGATTAAAAGCAAATACATTCTTTTTCTATTTATAGGAGTTTTTAAGACATTCTTTTCCCCTCTTTTCTATCAGGTTATTTTTACAAGATTTTTAAAGGCTGTTTTTATTTGGTTGGTTCTCCATATATGTAATATAACATGATTATTTGCACATGCTTTAAATTATAGTATATTTATTTTTGTGATACTTGTCTGCGAGGATTCCCTGATGCTGTCATCCACCCTCTGATCCGATTATGGCTAAGTCATCCACTCTCAGAGCTTCAGTTGCTACCTTTATTTAATGTAACTAATTTCCAAATCTATATGTCTTGAGGAGGCACTCTTTTGTTTACTGCAGCCAACAGGAGATATTTAATGAATATCCTCACTCATTTAAATGCAGTGAGCCTCAAACCAAATTTAACTTTATCTTCCTCTGAAAATGCACTTTCATTGTACTTTCCTCCTTTTATTTTCATCAGTGATGCTTGCTTTCTACTAGTCGAATGGGGCCAGACATCTTGACTTTTTCAAGCCTGCCTCTTTCCTCACTTATTCCTGGTACACAATCAGACATCAACTTTGGGAACCAAAAATTTAAATTTAAACATCTAAATCTATATCTTAACTAGTTGTTTTAAGTAAAGCAAGTCCCATACACTTTGCCAGGGATTTGTAAAAAGCAAACACATACTTACTAAAATCCTGTTGTTTCTGGGTATTCAGTCCTTTTCTGCTCAGTCTTCTGACTTAAACACATAATGGAATAATTAAGTTATAGACTAGCTTTAGTTTATATTAAGCAGATTGAAGTCAAACATTTCATTATGAGTGCAAAATATATACTTTCAGTAAGGTCACACTGTTTTTACACACACACATATACACACACACATAAATTATGCACTTTTACATCAAATAACACATAAATCCAATTTCAAATTGCCTCTCCAAGTGCATGGAATGATCCATAATGTTTAGGAAAAATGAATAAGTTGCATTGTACCTAGACCTCTTCAGCCCTGACTCATGATCCATTCCTAATGATACATACATCTTTTTGTTTTTAATTTTCAGATGTAACATTTATTCATGAAGGAAATAAAACTTTTTTGGATAATCTTGTCAATTTTGAAAAGCTGGTACGTAAATTTCATTACTTCTCCCTTTTTTACAGTAACAGAAATGTATGCCTTTCTTTCCTGCTCTAGGAAATAAATAGTTTTAGTACTTTTCTCCATTGGATGCATGGCGAATTCAAGGAGCTTATTTGCTTCATTCAAGGAGCTTATTTGCTGCATGTTGTACGCTGCCAACAAAATGTATTCCAATTAACAACAAGTATGTTAGCAAGGTTTTTGTGAACCAAATATGAAAATCTGCGTTTTGTTTTTAAAAATGGAATATGATAAGATGAAGAACTGAGGGTATATTATTGAACCAGAGCTAAAACTGTAAGGCTGCTGTCAGGAGGAATCCACACTCAGGAGATTATGTTTTACTGCTTTATAGGCATCTCTCAGTGTCTCAGCCTGCATGCTTTCAAGGCACAGAGGGAAAAAGTTCCTCTCCTGGGGATATATGTTTGTCTCTCAGGACTCCAAGCTTAAATGTGAGGCTGGAATTTGCAGGGTCTTGTGTGAAGGGAAGGGCCACTCCTTTATCAGCCTATGGACAAAGGGTGCCATCCCTGAGCACCACGGCCAGAGCGGCTCAGGCAAAGTACCCTCCCTCCTTACAAGCAAGAGGTTCCCAGGGCAATCCTCTCTAAATGTTTCTGAACCACTGCTTCCTGAATGATTTCCAGGGCATTCCCAGGTGCTTTGTAATACAGTGGGCCCCTCCAAGCCTTTCTGACTTGCCCTTGAGCAAAGGAGGGGTTACCCATAAGAACTGAGCAACTGTAAAATAGAAGTACTCCAAAGAGACCCACTTGCCTGCAAGAGGAATGGATTTATCTGACAGATGAACTTTAGTGTCATAGAGTAAACTGTCCTTCATGGTTAAAGACGATACCAGTAACCCTGCTCCACAGATCCTGACCTTTGAGTGACCTTTTCAGTAATGGTGATGGATTTGTGTGAACTCTTGCAGAAACTGACCCTGGTTCCCTGTGAGACTGAGTCAGGCACTTGAGAGGAGGTTAAGTGAGGCAGGGACCACAGACCATGATCAAAGAACGG
Source organism: Homo sapiens (assembly GCF_000001405.40). Classification (NCBI taxonomy): domain Eukaryota; kingdom Metazoa; phylum Chordata; class Mammalia; order Primates; family Hominidae; genus Homo; species Homo sapiens. Next base: position 22,129,995 of record NC_000007.14, on the reverse strand, counting down.
TAGGAACTGATGAGTCCTGCTGAGGCTTGGCACCTGACCTTTGCCTCAGAAGTACATTGCTCTGCTTACCCAGCCAACTCCCCACATGTAGGGTGAAGCAGCTTGGGAACAGTGTAGTTGGCTCTTATACAACCCTTATACAACCCCCAAAACCCAAGCATCTGGAATATAGAATACAGTCTTGGAATATCTTGCTTTATCTCCATTTTAACCACACCGAAGACCATCACTTCACGGCTAGTGCTTTTCTAAGTGGCTCTGTCAATACATTTTCAAGTTTGTCTCTGCAGTAAGTGTTTTGGAATCAGAGCTCAGTTATTTTAGATGCTACAGTCAAACCAACAGAGCCAGAAATGGATAAAGTGTTATTTTTTTGTACGTGTTTTGTGTTGCTGTGTGATATTCTGAAGATCACAGGGCACTTAATGAAAGGCTGCAGGCACTAGAATTCTTGCCTCTAAGCAGGTTAATCCCTGTCGTTTGGGATTAATGAAACAATTGCGGGAATATGAAGCCTTTGGTCAATATTTACTTCGCTTCCTGGCCAACACATCTCCCTAAGAACAACACATGAGATTTGTGGAGCATCTGTGAAGATGTGGGATGAGGTGTGTCACGCCAAGTGGAATTCCCTGGAAAGGCCTAGTAATCCTTTCCCCTGACTAGTCCAAGGGGCCGTGGGAGAACAACTAAACTCTTTATCAGCTGGCTGTTGCCTGTTGTTGAGGGCAGACGTGAGGTTGACCTCCCTAAAGTGAACCAGTGAATTTGTTAAGTTCATTATGTCATTTCCCCCTCAGATAGTGCCACCAAAGTGACAAGATAATAAAAAAAAAACCTGAACAAGTCCATAAAGTCACAAATGGGAACAAGCTGTGGAAAGCTTGTTCCCACCTTCCTTCTGACCAGCATCTGTGGCCCTCCCCTGCTCTCTCCAGTAATCCAGCAGAAGCCTCTTAACGCCAGCTCTCAAATATGCCAAGACTGCCAACTAACCATAGGGCTGGAAATGAAGGAGGTCTAAATGATATGACTTCTATTAGGGTCAATCATCATACCCTTAATTCTTTGAGAAAGTTTAAGGGAATAGCATGGCATAAATAATATTTTAAATTCCTAAAGAGAAATTATATTTTATAAAAGAATGAAGAAATGGGTGCAGTTCAGCATGCACACAGCACTCACATAGCGCACACGCAAGCCCGTCAGGCAGGCACGGGCTCTTCATTTCCTCAGAGGGCAGGCTCCACACCTGGGACTAGTGAGCTCCTGGTCCACAGCATGCCTCATGCTGACCCCTCCTTACACAGAGTAGACAGGATAAAACTGTGTCCAGGACAAAAAGCAGTTTTATGTCATATATAGCATTGTGTTACACTTGGATGCTGGAGAATGAGACTGACCTTTCTAGGAGAAACACTATTTTCAAGGAATATTTCTTAGTAAAGGACTGGGTTTCTCTAAAGGTAAAACAGGATCATCTTTCACGATAATGAACCAATAGAACCTAAGTGAATTAACTTGTGAAAAGTCAATTCCTCATGATGGATATTAACTTAAGCCAGCTAACAGATAATTCAGTGTATTATCTTTATCTGACTGATGCAGGCCAGTACACTGAGTCAGACCCCATGAAAATCCAGAAGCCCTCATCAGGTCTAATGAGATTTCTGTTCTTTATGCTACATTCCTTGCTGCCTCAGCTACTGGAAATGTTTTCATCTCAAACTGTTTCATAAAAAGAAACAAATGGTTTCTTTTCTTCTCTTTATCCCTCGATGTTAAGAGCATCATCTTTTACCCTGTCTACCCCCTCCCCCTTTAGAAAGCCTAAAGATGAAGACCAGAACTCAGGTTTCAATGCCACACCCACTACCCAGCCTTACATCAGTTTGAGCCTTGCACAAGCTACGCAAATGGCATATGATAGAAATCAATGTGACGCCAGAGCTTAAAATGAGAAAACTGACCTGGGAAAAGTGGTAAAATCTGGGGAAGGAAACTGAACAATACATGCACAGACATGAGTCAGGTCTCATTTCCTTTACAAATGCAGCTTGAGCTACTGCAATAATCACTGTCCTATTCAATTTTCCACTATCGAATAGAAGTGCATTAGAAATACGGTTATGACAACAATTCAATCAGTAGGTCATATTCCAATAATATTTCTGTATTTCTTCTGAATTTTAAGTAAGAACATATTTTAGTGTTTAATATTCTTTCAGCAATAATTCATTGAGGGTTTGCTGTATATGGTGATCCTATGCTCAGTGTGTATAGTTGGGACATGAAAGATGTTGACCCAAATTGGAGGCCCAGATATGAATGATATTAATTCTTGAATAATAGGATGATGTTTGTATTGTGATATGAAACAAAGTAGAGAGCTACTGTTGATTCTCAAGAGAACTAGAACATGAAGACAATAGTATTTAGAGATTATTCTGGCAATTAAGCCAGCTAGCATAGCATTTTGGAAGAGAACATACTGCACTCTAGTTCCTCTTATGGCATATACGTATATGCTTCCAAAATGCTACTTCCTTCAACATGAAAAACTAAAAGTGGTAGAGACAGCTCACTCTTGCAAGTACAAAAGTATAAGATGATGGGATCTTGTCCAAAGCAGCTGTACATTTAAGAAGACTTTTGCCGGCCAGGTGGGGTGGCTGATGCCTGTAATCCCAGCCCTTTGGGAGGCCAAGGTGGGTGGATCCTGAGGTCAGGAGTTCAAGACCAGCCTGACTTGAACATGGTGAAACCCTGTCTTTACTAAAAATATAAAAATTAGCTGGGTGTGGTGGCATGCCTCTGTAATCCCAGCTACTCAGGAGGCTGAGGCAGGAGAATCACTTGAACCTGGGGAGTAGAGGGTGCAGTGAGCCGAGATCACGCCATTGCACTTCAGCCTGGGTGACAGAGTAAGACTCCATCTCAAAAAAAAAAAAAAAAGAAGACTTTTGCCTGGGAATCAGTGAGGACTTCAAGGAAAGAAATTAAATTAGAATATTGAAGACTGTACGTGAATATAAACTATGAACAGAAAATGGTCTCTAAAGATGTTGATGTTGGCCGGCCACAGTGGCTCACACCTATAATCTCAGCATTCTGGGAGGCCAATTTGGTTGGATTATCTGAGGTCAGGAGTTCGAGACCAGCCTAGCCAACATGGTGAAACCCCATCTCTACTAAAAATACAAAAATTAGCCAAAATTAGCCAGGTATGATGCATATGCCAGTAATCCCAGCTACTCAGGAGGCTGAGGCAGGAGAATTGCTTGAACTGGTGAGGCAGAGGTTGCAGTGAGCCAAGATCACACCACTGCACTCCAGCCTGGGTGACAGAGCAAGACTCCGTCTCAAAAAACAAAAAAAATGATGTTAATGTTTTAGAAAATGTTCATCTTTTGTCAGTATCTCATTTCCAGTTACAATTTAAGATACTTGAACCTTTGAATCTACAAGAATTCCTACCTCCATTCAGCACATATGTGTAAGTCAATGTGTCTGACATAGTAGGCTCTGCACATCCAAAGCCCTCTGGTGGTACTTGGTCTAAAGAAGGAGAAAAGTTCAACAGCAATGACAGTGACACAAAGCCAATAGGTGCTGTACGAAGAGCAGTGGGGATGTTGAGATTGGAGCCTCTGAGTCCAGGAGGGACATCTCAGAAAGGCTTCATGGAGAGGAGGTGACACATACCCTGAAGTGAAACACATGTGCAAATGTGAACAGGATGACTGGGGCTGGGGGTGCTGCACTTCTCTACAATGTATTTTCTCATGGCTCATAAGAACCTGTGCAACCCGGATTGGGTGCTACTGTTTTTTGTTTGTTTGTTTTTGAGACGGAGTCTCACTCTGTCACCCAGGCTGGAGTGTAGTGATGGGATCTTGGCTCACTGCACCTCCGCCTCCCAGGTTCAAGCGATTCTCCTGTCTCAGCCTCCCGAGTAGCTGGGATTACAAGCACCTGCTACAACCCCCAGCTAATTTTTTTGTATTTTTAGTAGAGATGGGGTTTCGCCATATTGGCCAGGCTGGTCTCAAACTCCTGACCTCAAGTGATCCGCCCACCTCAGCCTCCCAAAGTGCTGGGATTACAGGTGAGAGCCACCTCACCCATTCTGGTGCTACTGTTTTTGCAGATAAGGACTAAATATTCTTTGATAATCCAAGCTCCATAGAATCAAAGCTACATCCAGCTCCAAATACAGTTCTTCTCTTTATTACAGCCAAGAGTGCTAGATTATCCTTCCATCCTAGCAGGCACTGCTTCTTCAGTAACACCCTCAACGACCCTTCCATTGATGTGTTTCCTGTTCTACTTTACAGCATATGATCGCAGACACTGTCCGAACCCTGAGACACTGCAGGACTAACCAGTTTGGTGAGTAATTGAAGTCAGGTGCGGAATGTAAATTGACTCTACGTTGGTACCAACTGTGGTCACAAGTATTGGGTGGTAATCAATTTAAACAGATTGAAAAGTATCATATGTATATACATACGCATATTGTATATATATAGTAGATTGTCTCTTTGTTTCCTCACTGCATGTTGGGGATGCAGAGGAAGACAAGATATGGCAGATTATTATCCCCTCATGGCAGCAAGTTTATGCTGTGAAGAGTGACTTTACACACTCAGAAACCTCCTCCCCGCAACTCCCGCTGACTCCTGTCCCCACAGTGTCTTGCTTTGCTTGTCCATTGGCTCAAAATCACTGGTGAGTTTAGCAGGGGTGACCTTGCCCCTAACCTCTTTGCGTGGAGCCTTCCTGGAATAGGACTATAGCTTGTAAAAGTGCCTAAAGCAGCCTTCCAGAATCTTTTCTCCTCTCCAACAAAAACTTCCTGTCTGGAGCTGCCTTTCAGCTGCAAAAGTGTGGTTCTGAGCACTTTTGTAGAATCCCCACTGAGACTAATGTATGTAGGAATATTTGTTCCTTTTTAAATCTCAGCCATAATTTATACTATGTTTAAATGGTGTTAGAACATTGCAGGAAGGAAGGAAATCAACTTCATTGAGTTGAAGGAGCTTTCACATGGGCAATGGAATCCTGACATCAGTCCTAGCAAATGGGGATTATTAACCCTGTAGGTGTAGAACAAAAAGCAGAGACTCAGAGAGATTCACTTATTTAGCTATTATTCAGACTGAGTCTACCTTACCTCCTCGCCCTCTCTTTTGCCCTCTACAGATCCTGTGGATACAAAGGGTAATAAAAAATAGAAAATTGAGTTCAATAATTATAAATTAATCAAAGGCAACCACTCAGTTCAACTTCATTTTTTAAGTAAGACATGCCCATTGTAAAACAATTTTTTCAACAATATAGAAGTCTATATAAAGTAGAAAATCAGAGTCCTACTTCTCAAGAAAAGTACTGCTAACAATTGAGTACACCTGCTTAAGAATTTTTTTCTGTTCAGTGCTGGTCTAGGCTGGCAATATTGTCCCCCAACAAAGTAAGTTAGGAACTGGACTTCTGTGTGGATTATGTTTTCTCTTTGAAAAGGAGACTTATAAATACAGGACCTAATTTTCTAAATATTCACATCAATTAGTACCACTTTAATATACCTATATAATTCTTCATCAAGCATACAAGCGCAATGCAGTTACAATAAAAATAGTAATCATAACATCATCACAGAGATTCACTGAAATGTATAAGCATAATGCTGATGAGTACAGCTTCATATTGCTTTTATCCTCCTTTGCTTCCCAAGTGTTTACTGGGGATTCAGCTAATTCTAAGATATCAGTCTCACTTAACCAAGGAACTCTAGTTTATATATGCTCCAAGTATAGACAGGAAGGTGATAGTTATACTAACTTGTGTGGCCTTGAACCTGCCTTGAACCTCCCACTCATCAGAGAGCAACCCTCTGTGTGGCACTGAGCAAAGGAGAAATTTAAGTAACTATCAAGCCAGTTGATGTTCTAATATTTATATACAGTATCTTTAAAAAATTGGTTTGGGAACTGAATTATCCGAATTCATTTTAACGGTTTATATGAGCATAGTAAACCAATGTCAGCATTTGGGATAAAATATGAAAATGTTAATCAAGTCACTTATGCATTATAAAGTGTCATGCAAATGTCAGTTGCCATGGTTAGAACCATTCATTGTGCCATCTTTTTAAGGCTTGAAAATTAACATAAAATTACCTTTGTAGCATCGTGTTATCCAAACCAATGTTTAACTTTCTCGACGTCTTCCAGAGAAGGCATTCTGGAATAAAACAGCTTTTTGTTACTTTCAAACAGGTGGGATGGTATAAACTTTAACACCTAGTGTGTTTACTTGCTAAAACCAGGAAGCCTTGTTTCTATTAAACCTAAGAATTATAAGCCACCCATGTCATACAGGTCTTAAATTATTTCCTCATAAAATACATTTGTTATAGAGGAGAAAAAAGGGGGTTTCACCAAGAGAAAAAAATGCTATAAGAAAATGCTCAGCCTCCTGCATTTCCCTTCCCTCTGCTCAAACTGAGCTCCAGCAGCTCACCCTGCCTGTCCCATGCATAATCTACAAAGCAACAGGATATGATGTCTTCACCACTCACCTTTCCATTGTTTTACTGTAGTGCAGTTTGGCCAGTGTTCCCCAGCCTCAAATGGTTTGCTTGTGTGTGTGTGTGTTTGACTGTGGTGCACGGGCTTGCCTCGTGGTTCATGCTGCTTCATCCTGGTTCCTTATCAGCACGGACGCTAGCAGGGTGTGGATGTGTTCACAGTGCACTAAAGCCTCCTTTGGCCCCTCGATTCCTTGACTGCCCTAGATATGTGAGTGGAAAAGCCCCTTGTCTTGTCCTTCTCTGGGTAGACTTTAGTCCATACACATACTTTCTGAAGCTATTTCGTCTGTTAACCACATCTTAGAGTCTGTTCTGTTGTATCTGTTCATTCAGTTGCTCCATTAAATTTTTTTTTCCAAAAAATGAGAATACCAAAGAATTGTACAAAATCTAAACAACAGAAAAAGAGTGATTGCATTCATATGCTAAATACATTATCAGCGATTTTCAACGCTTCTAGACTGAGATATAGGACCCAGTGCTGGCCATTTAAACAGGTAACTGCTGTGAAAGGCTACCTAAAAGGGCTCAGGAACCATCTGTCCTGGGTCCGAATCCTGGCTGTGACAGTTAACTTGCTGCGTGACTGTGCTCAGTTTCCCCATCTGTGGAATGAGATAATAACGTAATTTCTAAATAATATACAATGTTAGGTAATAAATGCTATAAGTATCCTGCCAGTCTGATTGCCTGACCTGAGGAATCCATTCTGAGCTGAAAAAGCATTTCTACTGTAGGACAAGGACACCTCTTATGGGATTCTGACTAATGAGAACCCACCTAGTACATTTACTCAGCCTTAGTGTGGGGTTTTGTTGGTATGTAGATACAGCATTACTGCTCTCCTGAGATTGTCTTTTTTCCCCCTCTAAACAACAGGTGACCTGTCTCCAAAAGAGCATCAAGAGTTAAAGTCCTATGTTAATCACCTGTATGTCATTGACAGCCAGCAGGCTCTGTTTGAGCTCTCACACAGGATCGAGCCTCGGGTGTGAGCCCCACTGCCTCACCTCCCCTGTATCTGCAGCACTTTGAGCTACGGGAATGTCTATGCCAAGCACGTTGCTTTCCTGTGAGAAAAGAAGTTGCTGAGTTTTATCAGTATAACCCAAGACATTCACAGGAAAGCCAGCCAAAGCGTGTTCAGGAAGTGATGTCAGCCACCAGAGAGGGGGAGAGGTTTCTCCATGCTACTCTCGGGACAAGAAGGCAGAAGGAGAGTCAGAAGCATTCTTGAGATGGAGAAGGCTGGTTTCTTATGATCACATTGTTGATCCAGTCCAGTTTTCAATATGAGATGTGCCAGCATCAAGACAAGACAACGTCTTGACATGCAATGACCAAATATTTCATTAAGAGCGTGCATGAAACAGGAAGGAGTTTTTACTTTGCCTAGTTTTAGATTACTGTCCATAAGCTGTCAAAGAAGTCATTCTTTTGAACACCTGATGACAGAGACAGCATCTCTAGATCTCCAGGGAGGAGAGGTTTCTGTTGATACAACCTGTGACATCACCAAAAGCCACTTGTGTCTAGGGAGTTAGTGAGGACTGCAGCTAGCATCCATGCTCTGATGGGCAGATGAACAATGTCAAGGTGTGCATCACTTTGCACCACAATCAACTATTGACACATGCTTGCAGGTGAAATTAGTTTCTGTACAACTGATTTGCAGCTATAGGCAAGGTAGATGAAGTTGCTTTGCCAGTAAGGAAAAATAGTAATCTTTAAGAAATTGACTCATTGTTTAATTTCTGGGGATTTTCTTTATACTTCTAAGCAGGCTCTTATCTTTTATTGGACATAATATGATTTTGAAAAAGCACAGTGCCTGACACATTGCAAACACTCACCAACTGCTTGCTGAGGTGACAGAGTCACAAAAGTCTGCATTCTTGTGCCTGATGATGCATTTTGCGTACCTCATACAGGCTCCTTGCCCACACTATGGAATGACAGCAGCCAGTGCAGGGAGGTTAAGTGACATTTAATGAGTGAAGCACTTAGCACTCTCTAGGTAATAAGATAGTGGTAATTACTAGTGTTTTGGCAAATGAAAAATGCCCTGAAATAGCCAAATGTCTGATTAATGTTGGCAACTTAGAAGTCCTATAATCCAACTACCAGCCAAAGCAGGGAGCCTTTCTATAATTTGCCTTTTTTTTTTTTTTTTTCAAAATCTGAGTCTTCTAAAATCTTATTATTCCCATTTTTACCAATTGAGGCTCCTGTAGCAAATAAGACCTCTTGATATTTTCAAGGACTGGTTAGAGGATTTCTTTCAACCTTCACATGAACAAAACAGCCTATGGGTCAAAATAATGAAATCCACCCCTGCCTGCTAGATACTTGTCACCTTGCTAAAATGCAAGGGCCTGGTCCATTCATTTTCCAAATGCAGGAGTCTTGGTGCACTTCTCACTCTTCCTGCCTGTTCATCTCTTTCATGCCCACACAGACCTGTTTCCTTTTTGTCTCATCAACGCCTCATTCATCCTCATTACTGAGGCGTGTCCAATGCTTTTTGACATCTTTATAGCAGTGCTGTTTCCTGGGCTCAGGAACCACACTGAGCTTGAGATACTGCTGGAAGGAACCATGTGGAGAGAAGGTTTGGGAGAACTTTGAGAGAGACTTAGTTTGGCCCAGCATGTAAAACTTCAGTCCTGAACATTTATAGGGTTTTATAGAAGGGCATCCTCCAGGGCTGGTCCATTCAGAGAAATGCTGCATGCTGCCGTCATGGAATGTGGCCCACAGGACACCAGAGCCGTGAGAACCGGAGAGCAGACTTCCCTCACGGCTGGGCTGAGCAAACCCTCCAAAGCCCTCCTCACGCAGTTACTAACAATAGCATGGGCTTACAGCACAAGCACGTGTTCTCACCTTTTTCCTATGCCCTGGACTAAGGTTTGGCCAGTGTAATCATATAAGGCCATCCTGACATTGTTTCTGTGTTTCAAAATTTGGATTTTTATTTACATTAGAACTACATTGCTCCTAGTAGAACATTACCTTTAGGGGACTAATTTTCCATGGAGAACTATTTCAGCATATTGCATGCTGCTCAGACCCCAAGTCAGATATGCCCACCAAGCCAGATGAAGCTACACAAATGTGGTATTTAAATGCATTTTGTACAGTGACTTCAGAGTATCTCACATGACATGGGTGTAAACTGGCTGGGGAGAAAATGATGCTTGTTCACCTCTTCCTCCAGCCGTGGTTAGGTGGTCCTAGGGGTAGCAGAGGGAAGGGAGGATTTTGTGCAGTCAAGATTTGCTTTTCCATCCTTGTCTTCTGAATGTCTAAAATCTCTGCATCTTTCTGAAGTTTAACAACTGTCTCCAGAGGTTTGCCAGGCAGCAGCTCTCAGAAGTTTCCAAAGCTTTGCAGAATCTTAGATCTGGAATTAAAGAATTCAAGCCCGAATTGTGAGAACCAGATATTACTCAACAGAAAGCTCTTTCTAAGGAATCTGAGCTGTTCACTGGTGGACAGTGGTGGGGCTTGAGTGCTCCTTGTTAATAGGATGGGCCATGCACCCTCTCTGGATATTCACCAAGGCCTCTTCAGAATAGGGTTTGTTCTGGCTAGAAGCGTGGTCTAGAAGATGGCTAAGCTCTTTGCCAGCTCTCATTTGGAGTTTTATTATTGCATAAAATCTTCGCTCACTCTGCAAATCTTACGTAATCTGGCACCTTCGGCACCAGGTGGTGCAGGGGCACTTCTAAGTGGGCTCTTTTTGTTACAGCACAACTCTCAGACAGTCCTGTGGGTCTTTGGATTCGTCAGCATTCCAGCAAACTAGCCCTGCTTAGAAGTTAGCACAAGACAGCAGAATGCAGGACCCCGTAGGCAAAATCACAACCTTGCTATTAAAAAAAATTTTGTTTTACATACACATTTGCAGGTGTTCCCTAGAGTGTGGTGTTTTGAATTTGCTCTTTGTCATCTGTATAATTGCCAAATGATTATAGTGATACACATGACCTGCATTCACTTTTTTCTAGTTTCCTTAATTATGTTTAGAATAAATTCATTTCCCTAGACCGAGAACCACAAACAGGTAGTGTGGAGCATACACCGAATTTAGAAGCATGTGGATAAGGTCAGTGCTCACACTGCCTAGTCCACAGGGAGAGGATGCTGCATGAATATATACTTGCCTCTGAGTGGAGGAGAAATCGTGGCATGAAAGAGAGAGTACCAGTGATGACTTCTTATCCCTGGAGCTGGGCTTTCACTGCTACCCATATCCCAGCCCTGCGAGTCTGTTCTAGCCAGCACAGACACCGCAGATCCGGAACTGAATGTTCCTAAATGGCGCAGCCAATCCAGGCTTTTCAGAAACTGGGCAAAAACATTAAAATGGGGACGATCGGGTCTTCCGCAGTGGTCCAACACAGGATTTCTTTTAAATGTTTCAAAAACATGTCCTTAAAATTTCAGCCTGCTTCTTAGCGAGTGGGCCAGTTTTGCTTAAAACTGGTGGGGGGGCGGGGGGGAAGTTTTTAAAAATTGCCAAAAAGTTAGATGCAAATGTATTACTGTATAAAGCAAAGCTGTATATACTAAACATTTTTTAGCAGAGTAATATTTATTTGCATAGTCTATTTATTGTATTCGTATCACACTGTTATTAAATACTGGGATGAAATCAGTGACCTGAAGCAAGAAATCTTGCCTTTTAATGTATCATTAATTAGGGCTGCTGTGATATTGTCAGCTTGCATTAACAATTAGAAGATAGAGAACCCGCCATCAGGGTGTCTACCTAACTTCTCAGGGACTACACTTGGTAGTTTTCCACCATTTAAAGAACTGGTAAATATGAAACATTTGTTGAGTTACCAGAATTGCCATTAACAGTGTTTTCTTTCCCATATTCCATGCTTTCTGCCTCTGTGTATATATATAATATATATGTATATGACTGTGCTGTGTATTTATCGAAGCTAGTAAGCAATAATTTATATGTAAAAATGGCCAAGCAATATAAGGTTAAAACTTATATAAGTAACCCTTACCTTATCTTGTATTTTCAATTTTTTTTTAAAACTGCTTTTCCAAATATGAGACTATGTTAAAGACACTATTCATGCCTCTTAGTTTCTTGCTTTCTCTGTGATGTGTGTGGATTAAATAGCTCTGTTCTGGCAGCATATGATGCTCAGGGGGTTGGAACTCAGAAGTCATTTGCTCACTGAAAGAGCTACAAGTAGATGAAGAGGTTCTCAGGCAGCCCATAGAAGCCTAAATCACTTATCCTGCCATTGGGTTATTGCAGAACCTAAACACCCTATTTTGGAAATTGCATCAGTGTTCTCAGAGTCTGAAATCTGGGGAATCTGGCAACCATTGTCATTGCCTCACCCTACTTGAGCAGGACCAGGAACTGTCCCTCACCAGCCCAGATACTGAGTGCAGCTACCAGCCCAGTGGTGATGCCCGGGGCCCAGGATAGAGGTCCTGACAGCGGAAGAGCCATGAGTGGATGGAGCAGCACAGGGATAATAAGGATGCTCTGGGGCAGTGGGATGCCAGGCGGTATATACACTAGCGCAGACTGAGTGTTCAGCATCTTCTCTCTGTGTAAACAGGAAATTTGTACATCTTGCCCATCGAGGTCAAGTTTGGCCTTTGGCATGTGTCCATCTCCCCCTTGCAGGGGGATTATAAACCTCACCTTCTTGAACCCAGGAGTGGCCCAGTGTCTTGCTCTGTCCAGTGAAAAATGGGGAGACATGTCTGTGGAAGCTTTATGAGGTAGCCTGCACCTGCCATGCCTGCTGTGCTGTGAGACCTGCCCTGCTCCAGATGAAGGCACCCCTGTCAGCCTGGGTCCTGGATCACAGGAAACATGGAGCAGAGTCCTGGCTTGTGAACGACGTCTAACTTGAGTGAGAAATCAGACATCATCACTAGAAGTCTCTGAGGTCTGGTAGTGGTTTCTTACTCAGCAGAATGTAGCCTCAGCTGACTAATACAGTCTCTCAGGACAGTCTTTTCTTGACAAATTGCCCTTTCCCTCCGTCCACTTGTGGGCGGCAGTATTGGCTCAGCACAGTACCTCGTGGATGAAGCCACCTGTTGTCGCACATCCATGCAAAGGGCTTGGCTTTTTATGAGAAATGGGAAAGAAGACCTGAAGATAATTTTCTTGGGTTTTTCATCACCAGGAAGTGGCACTTCTGTGAAACAAGGGGAAATGGGAAGAGAAAACACAAGGGCATTGTCTCTAAGGCAGCCACTGGAAGAGAGAAGTCCTGATCCCTAAATCACTTCATCTGTAGGGGCTGACCCCATGGGGTCCTCCTGGAACCTGGAGAATGCAGGAGATGAAGGGAGAATGGGAAGAAGCCCTAGGTTCCAGCTTGGGAAGGGAATAGGAAAGAAAGAGAAATACCCATTGCTAAGGACGTGATGAGATTTTCTTCAATTTCGAGTGGGATAGCCGGTACTGGGAAGATGCACAGGGCTCCCGTGAACTCAGAAGCCTGTTCCTGTTAGCAAAACTCAAAACTCAAAATGAAACTTCTGGTCCTGGCCCTGGTGCACTAGCAACAGAATCCTACTCAAGGCATGAGGTTGCGTCTGAGGTTTTTTGTCTGAGGTCTTCTGAATACCCCATGAGCCTTTGCTCTTCATTCACTACTTTCAACAAATGAGATTCCTAAAGCATTAGACTTGCTGATGTTCTTTACTGAAGTACTCCTGTTACTGAAGGCAGCAGGAATTTCTCTTGCCTAAACAGAGCCATAGCAGTTCCCCTTCCCAGCACCTAAGCAGCAGGGCTGACTTTCTAGGCAGAAAGTGGCATCCTGAGGACTGAGCTAGTGCAGGGCTCCTGGGGAATGCACTCAGATCCCTGATCCAGCCAGACTCAGAGCTGGGTCCAGTCGCATTTCTTTATTTTGTTTCTCCTGCCCAGGAGAAACTCGGCCTGTGTTTGGCCCCACTGTGGCTTCTAATCATCCATCCTTATCCTGGGGATGGGGGTCTTCCAAGTGTTGGGAATTGAGACAGTACCCTATGGTTAGCTTTATGGGCATTTCTGCCACAAGGTCATGTCACTGCTCACCACGGCAGTCCCATAGTAAACTCTGTAGCCACCTTCTGAGTCCACTGCTCTCCCTCCAGCCTGGAGTTAAGGAACTTCCAAATTCTCCTCACGTGACACTTGTGAACCAGGGTAAACCAAGCCCCCCCTGTCTAGCCATATCATGTCACCATTATTTTCTGCTACAGCCACACCGTGAAGAAGATCTCAACAGGTCTGGAAATCTTCCTCTAAAAGAACAAGCTCCCCTGTTGGGGATTCACGCCATTATCTCTGGGTGGTTCCTATATTCCCAGGTTTCCAACCTGGAAATGGGTGGGTAGAAACGCCAAGTTCTCCTGGTTGGACTTTTCCTCTCCCTGGAAGACCCTGAACAGCAGTCCCAGCCTCAGAGGCTGGCTTGCCCGAAATGCCACCATGGGAAGTAATAGTGTACCCTTGTCTCTGGAAGGCCCCTCTTACTCACAGACATCTGGAAGTTCCCAAGTTGTGTGAAAGTTCCCAACTTGAGTGAAAATCACTTCCTGAGAAAATCCCTCTACTGGTCACCTTGTTCTTGGGGTCCCGACCAAAAAACAACACGACATCAACAGAGGGCAAAGACATTGAAGTCTCAAAAGCAATTAAAGCAATTAGCCCACCTGGAAGCCTTGAGACAGCGGCAAGAGCTGCTGCCCAAGTTCTTCAAGTTCTTTTTTTTTTTTTTTTTTTTTGAGATAGGGTCTCACTCTGTCACTTAGGCTGGAGTGCAGTGACATGATCACAGCTCATGCCTCACTGCAGCCTCAACCTCCCCGGGCTCAGGTGATCTTCCCACCTCAGCCCCCCTAAGTAGCTGGGACTACAGGTGTGTACCACCATGCGTGGCTAATTTTTGTATTTTTTGTAGAGATGGGGTCTTGCCATGTTGCCCAGGCTGGTCACAAACTCCTGGGCTCAAGCAATCCTCCCGCCTCAGCCTCCCAAAGTGCTGGGATTACAGGCATGAGCCACCGTGCCCTGCCCTTCCCAAGTTCTACAGCAACAACAGGGCTGTGGTGTCTCAACTCTCAAGTCCCTTTCAAGGTGGGAAATCTGGAGGCCAGACTGAGAAGGATACGTATATACCTCTGTGTAACTGTGTGTGTGTGTGTGTGTGTGTGTGTGTGTGTGTCTTGGCCCTAACTAGAGCAGCCCAGGCCACCAGAATTGCCTTCAGGACAATGAGCTCTTCCCCATCAGAGATGTGCAAACAGACCCGAAATCAACCAGCAGAGATGGTTGCAAGGGCAATCCAGAAATCAGATGACAGCCGTCTCAGGAGACTTTTAAGACCCTTTCAGCTCACGGTGGTTAGGAAAGCTGGTGTAGACCTGCAGTTGCCAGAACTAATTAGTTTTTTGGTGTTTTTTTTTAAGTGACTTGACTAATGTAGGAAATAAGAACTGTTCATGCTTCTTTGTATTCAGTTGACCTGGGCTAGGCCTCAGAAGCTGGAAGGGAAAAGGCCGTGGGAGGATGCCGGAAAGGAACACCTCACCCCTTCCCTGTCCTGTGCCCACTGCTGACTCCACAGTCCTACCAGGGATGAATGCCTGCAATAAACAAACAGAAAAGCCCCTGGAATCAATGCATCACGGCATGCTGCCAAGTGCCAAGCTGGCTACTGCCTCCTTAAGGGTAGGGACTTGGTCCGCCTGGCTCCTCACTGTACTCCTGGCCTCCAGCTGTGCAGCCCCATCCTGTCTCATCTCCCAGCCTCCCTGCCGGGCCCCAGCACTCAGGTCTGGCCTGTCCCTTCTCTGCCCACTCGACACAGTGTGCCCAGAACTCCTTCTCTACCTACCAAATAAGGATTGGTGCACTCTGAAGCCCTCCTGGATGTCCCATCTGACATCGAGCCCCTGCCCCCATCTCTTATCTGAATTCCTGCAGCCGATTGCACCTGCTACTCTTTCAGGAACCACCTTCCATTATCAAGAGCTGGGAAAACTGGCGAAAGTTTCTACCTTGCTCTTCACTGCTGTTTCTGCATCTCATAAAATGCTCCCTACCTCACAAGGTTGTGTGAAAAGTAAAATGAGAAAGTGCATATAAAGTGCGAAATACAGTGCCTGGTACATAGTTCACATCCAATTAGTGATACTTTATGTGTGTGTATGTGTATGTGTGTGTGTGTGTGTGTTTAAAAGCAAGGTCTCACTCTGTCACCCACAGTGGAGTTCAGCAGCATGATCTTAGCTCACTGCAGCCTTGAACTCATGGACTCAAGGGATCTTCTAGCTTCAGCCTCCTGAGTAGCTAGGACTACAGGTGAGCACCACCACACTGGGCTTATATGTATGTATGTGTGTGTGTGTGTGTGTGTGTGTGTGTGTGTGTGTATATAATTTTTTTTTAAGAGAAGAGATCTCGCTATGTTGCTCTGGATGGTCTCAAACTCCTGTGCTCAAGCGATCCTCCAGTCTCAGCCTCCTAAAGTGCTGGGATTACAGGCATAAGCCACCACGCCCGGCCTGTTATTATTATTAATACAGGATGCATGCCAGAAGATGTGTACCCACATTTTTCCTCAATCATTGAATATACATGGCTGTGGGTAAGTCATTTGACTTCTCTTATCCTCATTCCCCTTCTTGTCAAACAAGATAATAGAACATTTCTATCACAGGGCAGTTGTGAGAATGAAATGGACAATGCATGTGCGAGTTCTTTGTTCATGCTAAAGTGAAATAAGAATATGAGAGATTTCCTTTTGGAATCCCCTCATGCCTTGCACAATGCCAGGACAAAGCAATGGCTCCCTAAGTATTGGCTGATTTATCTGAATGAAGGTATCTTCCTATAGCTTGCCAAGTTGGGATAATACTCCTGTTAGTATTCATGCTATTATTATTCCTGTGTTTGGAGGCAAAAATGCTGACTAGACCTTGGGCCACAACTTCTCTGAGGACTGGGCAAAGCGCTCTTGCTAGATGCCACCCCATTCCTTTCCCTGCTGGCCCTCTGCAGGGACTCCAGGCCAGGAATCCCTGAACAGCAGCTCCCCTTCCAAACCTTGAGCTGCTGGTTTGCCACATGCAAGCGTCATCATTTCTGACAAGGGCCTGAAAACAGCAGGCTGTTCACTGTGCTCTGTGGTGTGCTCTGTGCTTGGAGGAAATCTCTGCTTTCATTTAGAACGCAGTCTGCAAGCTAAAGGGCAGAGCCTGCACTCTGAGGCCTGGGTTGAGATGAAGTCCCCATTGTAAAAGCAGGAGAGGCCAAAAAAGGGATGGTTCACCCTGGGCCCCATGTTATACTTGCATGGTGTTTTTCTTCCTTAAATCAACCAATAGCTGACCCCCTCACCCACCTCTCTCTACCTGGTAATATTAGCTCATTCACATTAGTCTACAGTGGCCCTCATCAGCTCCATCTTCTATCCTATGTACTGATCATCTACTGTATGCCAGGTACTATTCTAGGTGATGGAAAAACAACTATGAACAAAGACCCCCCCTACTTTTTTTTTTTTTTTTTTTGAGTCAGAGTCTCACTCTGTGGCTCAGGCTGGAGTGCAATGGCGCCATCTTGGCTCACTGCAACCTCCGCCTCCTGGGTTCAAGCAATTCTTCTGCCTCAGCCCCCCGAGCAGCTGGAACTACAGGCACCTGCCACCATGCCTGGCTAATTTTTGTATTTTGAGTAGAGATGGAGTTTCACCATATTGGCCAGACTGGTCTCTTGGCCAGGCTGGTCTCAAACTCCTGACCTCGTGATCTGCCCACCTCGGCCTCCCGAAGTGCTGGGATTACAAGCGTGAGCCACTGCGCCTGGCAAAGACCTCTTCTTCATGGACCTTTGATCCAAGGAAAAAGGCCATAAACAGAACAGGTAAGTAACATGTAGCAGACACATTAGATGGTAATAAGGTTCTCAAGAGCAAAAAAGCTAAGGCAGGGAAGGGCATTAGGGAGTGCCAGGCTCCCTAACTGGGTGGGATCTTAAGTAGGGTACCTAGGGAAGTTCTTTGTTATGAGTTTACATGTGTCTCCCTAGAATTTAATATTTAAAGTCCTAATCTCTGATACCTCAGAATATTACCTTTTTTGAGATAGGGTCTTCACAGAGGTAATCAACTGAAAATGAGGTTTTAGGGTGAGCCTGAATCCAATGTCACTGGTGTTCTCCTAACAGGGAAATTTGGAGACAGACACAGGCAGGGAGAACACCCATGTGAGCATGAAGGTGGCCACTCATGCTGGGGGTGGGGGATGGAGGGGAGTACCTGGAG
The DNA here is from genome assembly GCF_000001405.40 of Homo sapiens. NCBI lineage: Eukaryota > Metazoa > Chordata > Mammalia > Primates > Hominidae > Homo > Homo sapiens. Next base: position 22,112,082 of record NC_000007.14, on the reverse strand, counting down.
CAGACCTTTCCTTCACAGCCCTCAAAAGCAACAGACCCTGCGAGCACCTTGATCTCAGACTTTCAGCCTTCAAAACTGTGAAGCAATACATTTCTGTTGTTTGAGCCACCCAGCCTGTGGTATTTTGTTACAGTAGCCCCGAGAAACTCATGTAGCTTTGCTGGGAAGACCTGAAGGAAGTGAGGGACCCACCCATGCAAATCCCTGGGGGAAAAGCATTCTGGGCAGAGGGAACATCAAGTGCAAAGGTGTCGAGTGTGCCCCTTGGAGTTCAGCAACCAGCGAGGATCCTGGTGCAGCTGGAGCCAGTCAGGAAAGGAAGAGAAGCAGAGGAGGTCAGAGATAACTGGGGCCAGATCACATGGAGCCTTGATGTTTACCTTAAGTCAGATGAGAAACCACTGGAAGATTTTAAGCAGAGAAGGACATGACCACTCTGGCTACTGAATTTCAGACCAAATAGGGGCAAAGGTGGAAGTAGGGAAATCCGTGAGCTTATTGCAATAATACAAGCAAATACCATGGTGACTTCCACCAGGTGGTGGCATGGGGTGATATGACATAGAGTCATTCTGGATATATTTAGGAAGATACATCTGATATGGTTTGCTGATAAATTAGATATGGAGAAAGAGAAAGTTAAGAGTTAACCACAAGATTTTTGGTTTGACCAGCTGAAATCATGGAATTGCAACTAATTGCAATGAAAAAGACCTTGGAGATGGCAGGTTTGAAGGAGAATAGCAGGAACTCAGTTCGGGACATATTTGGTTTGAGATGTCCACTAGATAGACATGGATTGGAACTAACAATAATCTCTTTGTACCAAGTCTGACTTGTGTGCTTGATTTAGGGGACTTTCTACATCATCCACATCTGGGATTTCACCAGTCAAAGCCATTCTATGAGCTGGGGTGTTGTGCTGGATGAATACTTGCTCAATAATGATGCTTCAAACCTCCAGGTCCAAGCTCCAAGCATTGTCAGCACAGCCATGTGGAGCAACTTCGATGCACAGAACCTCTTCAAGTCCAACCAAATAGACACCACCCACTTGGGCAACAAGCCATCTCAGAGGGCAACCACCTCATGGGGCTCTCGACACTCTTCCCCTAGCAACCATACTTCAACTTTGACTTCACGGTTTGTTTAGTGCTGCCTTCTCATTCGGGCCTTCCTTTCCAGAAGAAATGTAGAAATATGAATTACACTTCTGTCATTAGAGATTCCAGAGGCTTCAATTAGGCAAGCTGAAATAAAATCTGTCTAAAAGACACGTAGTAATAGGCCTTTGAAACAAGCTTCGAGGTGGTCCCAGACATTCAGTTCCAATTTCACATTGCATAGCCAGAAACAAACTTGTACCTCAATGGGAAAGAACTTTTCAGACAGTCCATTATTTTTTTATGTTACCTTCTTTTGTCATCAAAAAATGATCTGGATCTCTTCTCTCCTCCTCACTTAAGTAACTTTTCTTCATGTCCTGGGTCATGCCCCAGGAATTTTTATCTACAAAGTGCTCAGCCTGGTGCACAATGCACATTCGCTGCTTAATAAATATTTGTTGCCTGAGATGCGTGCTGCTGGCATGACCAAAATGTGAGACGTTAGCGACATCTGCTGGGGATATGGTGATGGTGTGCAGAATTTAAGTCAGAAATGCATGTTTTTGAAGGGCTGAGTTAAATCAAATGCCACAATGGGGCACTGTTGGAAGCTTATGTCTACAGTGATGAGGCCATGGCTTTGCAGCTCTTCCTTACCAGGATGTGGTCCAGTGGGTTATTGTTCTCCTACAATATAATGCAGCCTTGTTTTTTTAAAAATACAGAAATCAAGAAGATGGAAAAGGAGCTGAACTGGGGAAAGCTGAGGTTTGCACAGGTCTGTTGGCTCCTAAGAAAATGAAGAAAGTGAGGGCAGGGAAAGGATGGAGAAGCAGGTCTCCAGTCTTCCCCCACTCCGACCGCTGGCCCTCAGGAGAAAGTGCAAGTGCCCAAAAGCAACTTCCCAGCCACTGTCCTTCCCCAGCCTCACCTCTGGCTTCTGCTCCCTGTTCCTGCCCCACACCCCAGGGGACACATTCCTCAGGTCCACTCCAGCCCAGCTAAAACGTTCAGGCACTCACCTCCAGACCTTTGAGCTTATTTGTTCAACAGCCAAGTAGCGAGTGGGGACTTGGGAACACTAGGAGGCGCTGTGCTAAACATGGGTGTACATTCCAGAGCCAGTCCAGGGAGTGTGGTTCCGGAACGGGTGGAGCTTCTGGTGTAGTGGATGTGGACTTTCTGGCCTGGAGCTCCTCTCTCCTCCTCACATAAGTAACTCTTCTTCATGCCCCAGGTCTCAGCACCCCCAGGAAACCTGCACTGGCCCCTCTAGCCTACACCAGATTCCCCCCAACCAAGCACCCTCGTAACACCTGGGTTTACCCCTCTCCAACCAAGTCAGAGCCTCTGAACTAGTTGGCCTGCTCCTCACCTCCCAATACACTAGATGTCCCCTCAAGCACCGGTTGCCTTCTTTACATTTATGTATCAGTGTTGATCACAAAACCAGAACAAGGTAGGTACTTCTGTGGTCCTGGAAGAGCTATGGTAACTGTCATAGACCCAGGAAAGACGCCGTTTACTACGCAGAGGTGCTGCGGTGAGTGACAGGAGACTCAGCAGCATTGTCATATCACAGAGCAAACCCTGCCTGCTGGGCTTCCAGGCCATGTGAAGGTAGAGATAACCGATGACCTGCTTGATTGAATGTGGAGCCCATGGGGCTGGTAGGGGTGCCAGGGCTTCAGATCTCTTCCAGTGTTCTGGGGTCTGCCTGTCCCAGGAGCTGGCAGCAATTCCAACACATTCCTGAGCACTTATTGCTAAGGTGAATCCAAGTTCACGTTCCCAGAACGGGTTCCGAGTCAACCACGCCAGAGGTCTGCGCCAGCTGCACTTGGTCTAGGAGGCCTGGGACCACCGTCAGCCCATTCTTCCTTGAGGCTCCGGAACAGCGTGGGACATTAGCTGAGCTGTGCTCAGAAGCAACTCTCTCGCTGATTAGGGCTGCCGAGAGTCCCATCGTCTGCTCACCTGTCAATCAATCAAGCCTCTTCACTGCCATCCTGACCATCCTGTCAGGGCTGATCACCTTGGCTGCTCACAGAACCCATGAGGACTGAGAATTTCCCAGATCCTCACAATGACTGAGCAGCCCTGCTTCCCTGGACCTTTATAAGCATCTGGAACATGCCCAGGTGTGCCAGGTGTGGCCTCCATGGCCTGCCAGAGGAGGGGGCAGGGGGAGTGCAAAGACTGAATCAGACAAAGACTAAGCTTTGCTTCTGCCCCTTCTTCACCCTTTTTTCCCATGCAAGAGTCTCAAAGGCAGATCCAGAAGGAAAAGTCAGCAACATTCCACCATTCGATTCCTTTTCTTGGCCCCAGTGTGTGCCCTGGGGCCCTTTCGTTCTTTGGCCTGGGTAGAGTGTGTGGCCACACGCTGCTGAAAAGGTCAGGGTCAAGATGCTGGGAGCTGCCAGTGGCGCTAGAGGAACCCATGTTTTCCATTGTGGATTAAAATACCCATTTGCCTGCGGCTGAGCTTCCCCTCCGAATCCAATAGGTCAATAAGGACCAAGGACAAAGCACAAACAGGGCCTGGAAGCCAAGAGATGTCGATAAAAATGGAGATGAATAGGCATTTCAGTGCGGGCAGGCCGTGGGTGTGGGGCATTGTCTTTTCTCTGGCCGGCAGTGCCTGGCCACTTTGTCTCCAAACAGTGCTTCCATTTTAGAGATGCCAGATTGGTTTGGACCCAAAGCTTGACTGTTGCGGGGTGGGCTGAGGTGGGAGTGGGGAGGATTCACACAGAAAAAAAAAAAAAGGCATCCTTCTGGGTGCCAAACGTGGCAGTTCCTCCGTTTCTTTCCAGTACAAAGCCCTCCCGATGCGGAAAACACTCCTTTTTGACCGTGTTACTCTTCTTTCCTTTTAAGAAAATAAGTTCCCAATCTTTGGGTTTTTTAAACAGTGCAAATGCTGGCATTTCAGAGCTGCTTTAGTGTCTTCGGCTAGATGTTGAAAAGAGCCCAGTCTTCTCTCATTATTTCCTCTGCCCCTCAGTTTATTTCATGTAGAGCTCTAACTGAAAGATCCCAGCCGGGTGCAGTGGCTCATGCCTGTAATCCCAGCACTTTTGGAGGCCGAGGCAGGTGGATCACAAGGTCAGGAGATCGACCCACCCTGGCTAACACGGTGAAACCCCGTCTCTACTAAAAATACAAAAAATTAGCCGGGCGTGGTGGCAGACACCTGTAGTCCCACCTACTCGGGAGGCTGAGGCAGGAAAATGGCATGTACCCGGGAGGCGGAGTTGCAGTGAGCCGAGATGGCGCCACTGCACCCCAGCCTGGGTGACAGAGTGAGACTCCATCTCCAAAAAAAAGAAAAAAAGAAAAGAAAGATCCCTGGAGTATGAGTCAGGAAACACAGGTTCTGCTCCCACTCTACCATCCTTCTGGCACCGTGACCTTGGGCAAGTCATCATCTCTGAGTCGGATTTTCTAACATTCTGTGACTATGCAGAATCACAGGATGGGAGGAGGCATGCCTTAGTTAGTTCACGGGGTCGCTATGTAATAAATGTTTGATTATGTATTGGTGACCTCATTCATGCATTCATCAGATATGCCAGGGATCACAGCAGGCATGAAGATACAAAGTGAAATGAGACCAGTCCCTGCCCATGAACAGGCAGCATGACAACATGATGGACAGAGCACGGATTTTCTGAGGGATACAGCCAGGTCCCACCCCTAATTAGCTTCTTGAGCTCAGCTAAGTTCTTAAAACTTCTCTGAGCCTTGATTTTCTCATCTGCATGATGGATTATTTTATAGGTTGACCACTCGTCCTGGTTTGCCTGAGACTGAAGGGCATCCTGGGACACAGAACTTCCAGTGCTAAAACCCAGAAAATCCCAGGCATATCAAGATGAGTTGGTCACTTAGAGGACAGATGAATTGAAATGACATATAGAAATGGACTCACACTGTGCCCTGCATCTAATAGCTGCTCTATAAATGTAGTCACACAAAAACGTGCTCCTCACATGGTAAAAGAAAAATAAAATGAAACAAATAGGTGAGTGCAAAATAATTGCAGTTTTTGAATTGTTGGAATTTGCTGTATAATACTGGAATACATTCTTAAATAAATGTGGTTATGTTATACATCATTTTAATGGACATTTCTCGCTTTATGTTTGCTAATGACTTATCACTTGCTGTTTATTTTATGTGTATTTAAACTATAGAAATGATGTTAGACATAAAGCAAATTCAAGTGATTTTCTTATTCGAGTTCAAAATGGGTCGTAAAATAGCAGAGACAACTCGTAACATCGACAATGCATTTGGCCCAGGAACTGCTAACGAATGTACAGTGCAGTGGCAGTTCAAGGAGACAAGGAGCGTAGTGGTGGGCCATTGGAAGTTGACAATGACAAACTAAGAGCAATCATTGAAGCTGATCCTCTTACAACCACACAAGAAGTTGCTGAAGAACTCAACATCAGCATTTGAGGCATATTGGAAAGGTGACAAAGCCCGATAAGTGGGTGCCTCATGAGCTGATCGAAAATCAAGAAAATCATCATTTTGAAGTGTCTTCTCTTATTCAACGCAACGGCAAACCATTTCTCAATTGGATTGCCACATGCGACAAAAAGTGGCTTTTATACAACAATTGGTGATGACCAGCTCAGTGACTGGACCCACAAGAAGCTTTGAAGCACTTCCAAAGCCAAACCTGCACCAAAAAAGGTCCTGGTCACTGTTTGGTGGTCTACGGCCGGTCTGATCCACTGCAGCTTTCTGAATCCCAGCGGAACCATTATATCTGAAAAGTATGCTCAGCAAACTGATGAGATGCACCGAAAACTGCAATGCCTGCAGCCGGCATTCGTCAACAGAAAGGGCCCAATTCTTCTTCATGACAATGCACAACCAAAGTTTCAAAAGTTGAACAAATTGGGCTACAAAGTTTTGCCTCATCTGCCACATTCACCGGACTTCTCGCCAACTGACTACCACTTCTTCAAGCATCTCGATAACTTTTTGCAGGGAAAATGCTTCCCCAACAAGCAGGATGCAGAAAATGCATTCCAAGAGTTCGTCGAATCCCGAAGCATGGATTTTTACACTGCAGGAATAAACAAACTTATTAATCATTGGCAAAAATGTGTTGATTGCAATGGTTCCTGTTTTGATTAATGAAGATGTGTTTGAGTCTAGTTCTAATGATTTAAAATTCACGGTCTAAAACCGCAATGACTTTTGCACCAACCTACGCTAAGGCAGCTAAGGCAGCACACAGGAGAGAGGAACTCTGAGAGCATCCCAGGGAGCTGGATGGTGAAGGAGGAGTTGGAGTTGATTAGGTGAGGAATGATGATTGGGGAGGTGCATTCTGTGTATGGAATGTTCATAAATGCATGAAAGCTTAAGAGCTTACAGCTGGGATGTCCTGTGCGGCTAGAACTAAGCAGGTAAGATCTCGAAGGTAAATCTGATTCATATCAGAGAGGCCTATTGTGATTCTAATGAATTTGGACATCATTCTTAAGGTCTCCAAACACTTTTGATGATGCATCCTTTTGGTGAAGAAAAAAAGAAAGGTACCCATACCTTTCCCAATATAATACATGTTATATTTATGAATAATGTACATGTATTGTGTAAATAAATAAAGCATACAAAAAATACAAGTGTTTAAAGGATCAAATTAAAGGTAAATACAAACAAGGGTTCTGTTTTTCTTCTACGCTCCCATGAATTACCTTACCTGCTTCCTCGAGGACACACACCCTACCTCAGAAACAGCCACTTTAGGCAGCAAAGAGTCACAGAGAGTTTTAAAGCAAAAAACTGACATGAGCAGATTTGATTTTTAGAAGATTGCCTTGGATATATATGTAGAAGACAAGGCTGGAAACAAAACGCCCAACGGGAAGCTATTGTAAAAGTCCAGGAGAAACGTACCAGTGGCCTGAATGAAGGTGACCACAGTGGATTTACAGAGAAGGTGACAGACTGGAGAGACATTTAGGAAGTAGAATCAAAAGGACATGTGGGGCTGGGTGCAGTGGCTCACGCCTGTAATCCCAGCACTCTGGGAGACCAAGATGGGTGGATCGCTTGAGCTCAGGAGTTGGAGACCAGCCTGGGCAACATGGCAAACCACTTCTCTACAAAAAAAAAAAATATATATATATATATATATTTAAGCTGGGTTTGGTGGCTCATACCTGTAGTCCCAGCTACTTGGGAGGCTGGGGTGAGAGGATCCTCTGAGCCTGGGAGGCAGAGGTTGAAGTGAGCCGAGATCACACCTCACTCCAGCCTGGGCAACAGAGAGAGACCTGGTCTCAAAAAACAAAAACAAAAACAAACAAAAAAAGAACATGTGACTGAGAAGGGACCTATTGAGTTAAACAAATACATGAATGCATACAATTGAAAGACGTCCACAAAGAGAGACACGCCTGGACCTGACATGAAATTCACTGACACTTTTGATCCACATCCCACGTATGATACAGAAAAACAACCAGGCCGGGTCCCCATTATGACTCCTGCGTACTTTGGCTCCCTGAGCCCCTGCCTCTATACACACACACACACTTTTTAAAAGTATATGTATGAAAGTAGGGCCAGGCGCAGTGGCTCACGCCTGTAATCCCAGCACTTTGGGAAGCCGAGGCGGGCGGATCACAAGGTCAGGAGATCGAGACCATCCTGGCTAACATAGTGAAACCCCGTCTCTACTAAAAACACAAAAAATTAGCCGGGCATGGTGGCGGGCGCCTGTAGTCCCAGCTACTCGGGAGGCTGAGGCAGGAGAATGGCGTGAACCCGGGAGGCGGAGCTTGCAGTGAGCCAAGGTCGTGCCACTGCACTCCAGCGTGGGCAACAGAGCGAGACTCCGTCTCAAAAAAAAAAAAAAAAGAAAGAAAGTATATTTAATGATTGCATTAGTAAAAAAGTGAATATAATCCAAGAGTATTATATTCACTTTTTTTCTTCTGATTTTAAAGTAAATGAAAACACTTTTGTGGGTCCCCAAGATTATCATGCCTTCAGGGCCTGAAAGACACACCAGGCTCTTTTCTTATTGAGGATTCAGCGCCATCTGGTGGTTCTCATCTCGCAAGGGTGCCCAGCCACTTCCGCTCTGCAGAAAAAGGTTCATCGGCAAAATTTTCATTCAGAGAATACTGACTAAGCCTAACCGCTCTGATTACTGCTTGACTCAGATCCAAACTGCCCGACACTGGGCTTTGAGGCTGTCTGATTGGCAGGAGCTAAAGTGAGACTTCAAGAAGACAACGAGAGCCCAGTAGTGACCACAAATCAGCTGAGGAAAGCCAACAGTCCAACTTTTTCATCAGATTGTTAGTGCAGTAATTTTCCTCATTTTTGTGCTTGAGGCAACATATCGAAGAGAATATAAAAAGAAGACAAGTTTAAGAAAGCATCTTTTTAAAATCCAAAAAAAAATCACAGTTTATGAATATTCATTAATCATTTCCTGCTCTCCTCTTGCCTGTACTTCATTCTATACCTGCAGATGTCACCCACGTGGGTCCATCCTCCAAGAAGCTGGAGGCTTGCCCGTGTGTCCCGTAGTACAGAATGTGGGGGTACATGGGCCACTACCACTGGGGTAATGTTCCCTGCGTCCCAAAACCGGGATTCAGGAGCTCTTCCTTTGAAGTCATGAATTTATAAAAGGTGTTTAATAATCGTTGCTACCATACATATTGTTATGTATGAATTGTGTCCTCCAAAATCCATATGTTGAGGTCCTAACCCGCAGCACCTCAGAAAGTGATCTTATTTGGAAACAAGGCCTTTGCAGATGTAATTAGTGAAGTAAAGGTGAGGTCGTTCTGGAGCTGAGTAGGGTTCCTAATCCAATATGACCGGTGTTCTTTTAAGAAGGGAAAATTTGGCCAGGCACAGTGGCTCACACCTGTAATCCCAGCACTTTGGGAGGCCGACGCAGGCAGATCACGAGGTCAGGAGATCGAGACCATCCTGGCTAACATGGTGAAACCCCGTCTCTACTAAAAATACAAAAAATTACCCAGGCGTGGTGGCGGGCGCCTGTAATCCCAGCTACTCAGGAGGCTGAGGTAGGAGAACGGCATGAACCCGGGAGGTGGAGCTTGAAGTAAGCTGAGATTGCGCCACTGCACTCCAGTCTGGGCGACGGAGCGAGACTCCGTCTAAAAAAAAAAAAGAAGGGAAAATTTGAAGATAGATGCATAGAGGGATGATGCTGTGAAGACGCAGGGAGAAGACCACCATCCACAGGCCAAGGAGAGTGGCCCAGAACAAACCCTTCACTCAGAGCTCTCAGAAGGAGCCAGGCCTCTGACACCTTCATCTCACACTTTTAGCCTCCAGAGTTGTGAGATGATACATTTCTGTAGTTTGAGCCACCTAGTTTGTGGTAGTTTGTGACAGCAGCCCTGGAAAATGAACTGAGATTTGTGGTGGTTTGCTGGCAATCTTTGGTGCTCCTTGGCATGTAGAAGCATCACCGTGTGCATGCTGCAGTGGGTCCACTATTAGCCCAGAAAACCCCCCGGAAGACTGCTCTGGCGGAGGACCTGAAGAACACACCTTTCAGCAAAGTGATGAAGAATGCACTGGTGTTGGGACCGTCCTCCATAGCCAAGGGATGATGATAAAATAGAACATCACAGAACTGAATTCACAGACAGCAGTGAGGCCAACAGGTGCCCCAAACAATGGAGAAGGTGGTTGTGGTCAGTCATCACAAAAGCTAGGTGGTTACTAATACAGTGACAGCAGAGTCTGAACATTAATGGAGACAGGTGACAGGACACAGTAACCCTAGGGACAGAATGAATGGACAGCTATCAAAGGTACTGACCAACATGTACAATCAAACAAAATCGAAGATGGTTAAGGGCAGTCATCCCAGTGAAAAGGTCCTCATCCTTTACCCAGTTGCTAGACCCGAACAAGTTTTCAAAGTCAGATCCCACCAACTGACAGAGAGGTCGAGTTTCCAGGATGAAGACCCTGTGACAACAAGTCAAGCGCACGTGACAACAATTCCACAGCCTTCCTCAAAGAGATTTGCTCCATTTACTCAGGTAAACATGCACTGGGGGCAGGGAAAAACCCAAACATGTCAAGGACTGGTAGACGCAGGGTCCAAATTGGCACTGAGAGGCAAAGCTCCAGAGCTTCATCCTTAGCCCCAAGTTAGAGGTGGGATATGGAGGGCGGGAAATCAATGGACTCCTGGCCCAGGGCTGGCTCACAGTAGATCCACTGGGTCTGTGGGCCCACCGGGTAGCCATTTTCCTCACTGTTGATTATGTGATTGGAATTGCTATCCTTTATTTTATTTATTTTTTTAACTTTAATTTCTGGGATACAAGTGCAGAATGTGTAGGTTTGTTACATAGGTATATGTGTGTCATGGTGGTTTGATGCACCTATCAACCCATCATCTAGGTTTTAAGCCCCTCATGCATTAGCTATTTGCCCTAATGCTCTCTCTTCTCTCACCTCCCACCCCCTGACTGGCCCCGGTGTGTGTTGTTCCCCTCCCTGTGTCCATGTGTTCTCATCGTTCAACTCCCACTTATGAGTAAGAACATATGGTGTTTGGTTTTCTGTTCCTGTGTTAGTTTGCTGAGGATGATGGATTCCAGCTTCATCCATGTCCCTGCAGAGGACATGATCTCATTCCTTTTTATGGATGCACAGTGGAATCACCATTCTTAATAATGAGCACAAGCCCCACGTTGGTGCTTTGGCCTCTGTGGTAAGAGTTATTGCACCGGGGAAAACCAATGGAAACATCTAAAACTATACCCCACCCTGGCCAAGATAGCAAATCAAAGACAATTTCACATCCTAGGGGAAATAGTAGACATTATAGCCACTCTTAAAAATTTGAAAGGTGCAGTTTTTACTTAATTTACCAGTTCTGGTCCCTACAACAAACAAACAAGTCCTGAAGATAACAGTGGGATGCCACAGACTCAACCAAATAGTAGCCCCAGTTGCAGGGACTGGACCAGATATGGCACCTTTGCTAGGAAGACTCAGGTCCACCACATCAGAAAAATATTAAAGGCCCATTGGTCTGGGATTTCTACAACTTCTTCTCCAAAATAAAGAATGAATTATTGCATGTTGAGCCTCTAATCACTAGAAAGAACCCTGGTTGGAGCCTTGGAGTTCTGGAGACGACAGCTTCCATAACTATGGTTACTGCCCCAAACTATGTCATGGAGAACACAAACAGCTGCCAGCTTGGAGGGAGGTTCAAAGCAGGAAGGAACTCTGCAGAGATTCCAGCTTCTGCGGTGCAAATAGCTCTGTTGTTGGGACTGTGGCACTCACCAGAGCTTATAATTTCCATGGAAGGAAAATATGCTGTGTGGTGTTAATGGTGAGCTCCAATGGGAGAACCAAACTTAGATCCCCAAGGTTCTGGAGTATGGCCATGGTATTTTCAGCAGAGAACTAAATGCTCTTTAATAAGCAGCTCCTGCTGTGCTACTGAGGCTTGGTTGAGAAGAGGCACATAGGATGCCCTGTTACGTGACCAGAGCAGGCCATCCTGAGCTGGGTTCTGTCCAACCCACAAAGCATAATGTAGGCTGAAGCCTGCAGGAATTCATCCTGAGGTGGAAGGAGATACCCATGCAATGATGCATGAACAGGTTGAGTACCCAAACAAGCCAAAAGAGCAGGTAGCCCAACTCTCACGTCCCCCACCACTTCACCTCACCATCTCTCCCTCTGGCCAGCTGGCAGAAGAGGAAAACGTCCAAGCTGTTTTTACAAATGGGCCAGGTTGGTATGTGAGAGCAAGCTGAAAATGGACAGCAACGGCATCCACAGCCCCATTCATGGGTGTCCTTGAAGGACAGTGGTGATGAAAAATCCTCCTTGTGGGAAACACTTTAAGAAGGGCACTTGGTTTTCCACTTTACGTGGAAAGAAGATGGGCCCAAAATAAGAGTATCGTTGCATTCATGGCAATGACAAACGGCTGGCTGGTCAGGGGACTGGAAGGAGAAAGGTTGGACCAATGGGGACAGCAAGATAGAAGGATATGGGTAGACACGTGGAACTTGGCACAAAGTGTGACTATCTTTATATTACACATTCATACACACCAGAAAGGAGCCATTAAAGATGAGACACTAAACAACAAAAGGGGTCCTTGGGAAGTTTTTGTTCATATTACACATTCACCTACAGAGAAAATGACAGCCAGCCTGTCTTGGCATCCCTGGGCAAGTTCTGCAGATTCGTGAATGGAGGAGCTGTTGTAGCACACAGAAGCTGTGCATGAGCCCAACAGTGTGCCCTCCCACCCACCCACGCTGAACTCTGCCACCTCCGAACACCCAACCTGCCCAGATGAGAAACCAGCGCTCAGTCCCCAATATGGCACCACCCTTTGAGAAGACCAACCAGTCATATGGTGGCAAGTTATATTAAACCCTTAGCACCCTGTGGGGACAGAGTTTCAACTTGACAGAATATACATATTCCAAGTATGGATTTGTGTTTTCTGCCCACAGGGCCTCAGACAGCACTATTATCAGACGACTTTGCAGCAAAGGAGGTGGGCACATTATCCGAAGATCCATGTGTCATAGCGCAAACCACATTATTCCTCAGCTGCCCGCTGACAAGGCAATGGAATGGCTGAAGTTCCAGCTCAGAGGTGACACCATGTGAAGATGGGGTGCCTTCCTCTGGGGCCCAGGGCACATTCTAAGCAAAGGCATTTGTGTGGTGCTGCATCCCCCTTAGGTGGAAAACGTGGGCCTGGGACCCAAGGGCCGGAAGCAGTGGACCCTTTTACCACCATCCCATCCCATGACCCACTTGGAGAATTTATGCCCTTATCCTACCACTCTGGGCTCTGTGGTTTTAGAGACCAAGGAGATGACTCCATCCCACTTGTCTCCCATTTATAAAGAAGGTAATCTTTATGCAGCTCAAATATAGCCAGGGCCACCCTGCCCCGCTCTGCAGACTGGGGAAGAAAGCCCAAGCCCACTCTAAGATCTTTGCTAATTCCCAGGGTGCCTGCGATCTCACACCCATTCCCTCTAGTTCCAGTTAAATAGTTTCTAGCTCTTGTTAACTAGTTTCTCCTGAGGGGCATTGTTAAGAAGACCAGAAGGCTCTGGGTGTATTTAAGAAAGGCTACTTTTCCCCCTTCCCCTGTCAGAAAGGCTGGGGGATTTTTTCTAATCTTCACTGTGAGAACCTGGTTTGGCTCCCAGAGGAAACACTCACAGGAAGTATAAGAGGCTACCTGGAGTTGTAACTCTCAAAGTTGTTCCCAGCCGCAATTTGTCAATTACACATTAACATTTCCTGGTCTCCAGGAGGTTTCTGCTTCTGAGCCTCTCTTCCGGTACGTTGAGATTCTCTGTAATCTACCTGTTTGTCTAATTTTGGAGGGCAGCAGCTTGTCCTTTTGCCTCAGTCCTGTGGTGGACCTAGAAGAGTTGATTCTCAGTTTGTTCAGCTTTTTTTTCTTACTGCAGGGATGGGAGAGATCACTTCAAAACTTCTTTATATGCCAAATGGGAACTGAAAGTCCACTAATAGAATTTTTACATTTTCCCTACAGTTTATTATATGGGAAGTAGTATAGTTCTGGAAAAGAGCCTTGGAGACCTGGATTGTTATGTTACCTGCCCCATCTCTCCTGACTGGATCTTGTAAAGTCTTGCTGGTCCATCAACTGGCAGCATCCTCCATGCTCAGGAGCTTGTTAGAAAAACAGCGTCTCGTGTGTCCTACCCCAGACCTACTGAATTAGAATCCACATTAAAACAAGACCCCAGATCACTCAAGGGCTTATTAAAGTTTTAAAGCTATGATAGCAAGTTACTTCCAACCTTTGAGCGTTAGTTTACTACCTCAGTTCCCAAACTGTGCACTGAGGCACCTGGTGTATTTTGAGATATTTTAAATGTTTAAGGGAAACACAGCAATATCTGCCAACACAATGTGAACTGAACTATCTCACTACTAGCCTGAGTTAGCTCCGGGTCCTGCCTCTGCCCAGTTAGCACAGTTTAGGGATCCTTTTGGTCCCACATGTGCTGCTTCTCGTTTATACTCTGTCTAGTCACATGCTGGTTCAACCCTCTTAACTCCCACCAGAAATAATAATTGAATAAATAATAATAACAAACTAGTAACACACAAGTCATTTGGCGAGTAGCAGACAGATTCATATTGTAATGTGCTCGACTTCACTGAGGCATCTCAAATGGTAAGGCCCCAAAAGAAACTTGTTTTCAGTGACTCCTCCTACTGGGCTGGGTGAAGGCATCAGGCCGGCTCTCCCCACAGCCCAGGCTGACTTACTTTCCAGCCACTTTCACTATAACAGCCTGATTTTGGTTATAAAAATGTGTTAATTTTTTATTGATACATAATGTATATATTTCTGAAGTCTATGTGACAATTTAACACATTCATGTAATTTGTAAAGATCAAAGCAGTGTAATTGGGATATCCGTCACCTTAAATATTTTTGAAACTTCACTGTTACATTCAGTATCCCCCCTTTCAGGGAAGGGCAGAGTCCCATGATCTGGGCCTGTGAAACCAAGAGGGGTGGGGCTGCTATGTTCTCCTCACCCTTTCTTTCCTCGGAGCTCATCTGGTGGGAAGAAGAGACAGGCTGCAGTTCAGGGGGTCCCCAAGACCACCGTCAACTTCCGTTGATTCTCTCGAAGGATTCACAGAACTCAGAAGAGTTGCTATACTTGCAGTTACAATTTGTTACAATGGAGGAACACAGACTAAAATCAGCAGAGGAAATGATACGGCTCTGATGAGTGGAGGAACACCAGGGTTCTTCCTCTCAAGTCAAATTGGATAAAACAACACGGACGCAGTGGTTTTAAGGCGTGGAGAGTTTAATAGGCAAGAAAGAAGGAAGGAAGAAGAAAACAGCTCCCCTGTACAGAGACAGAGACGGGGGATCCAAACAAAGAGAAAACCCCGTGTGGCAGAAAAGTGGTTGCTTATATGAGGAGGCTGGAGGAGGCGGTGCCTGATTTCCATAGGGCTTAGGGGATTGGTGTGACCAGGCACGTCATCTACGTAGCCCACGAAAAAACTAGCCCTCCCACCCTAGCCTTTTAATGTGCAAATACAGGGCGCCACGATGTTCTACATACGTGGAGATATGTGGGGGCGGCCATGTTGCCAGGCATATGTCAGGGCAAGGGCAAGAGGATCACGGTAGGAATCGCCATGTTTGGGTGGACCCAGTTTCTAATGGCCAGCATTTGCATATCAAAGGTTGCCTGCCCGGCTCTAAGAACCAGGGCTTTTCTGCTAGACAAGAAATGTTTCTGGAGCTGCTTTAAAAGAAACAAAAACTTCCTAAGGACCCCTTTTCCTCACTATCTGCCTAAAATAATCTCTTAATAATTCCTATAATAGGAAGAGGTGTACAGAGCAGAGTCCATGAGAGACCAGGCGTGAGCTTCTGGTTGTCCTCTCCCAGTGGAGCCAGGGAGCAGCACTTCCTTCTTCCAGGAATGACATGCGGCAACGTTCACAGAGCATTACTAACCAGGGCAGCTCACCCAAGCCATGGCATCCAAGGTTTTTATTGGGGGCCAGTCATGTAGGCATGGCTGACAGCCCACGTGGCTGACTTCAGTGTCCAGCCTTTAGAGGTTAAGCTGATACTACCTGGCCCAAGACTCCCAGATAAACGAAGACATTCTTATCAGGTAGAATATTTCTAAGACACAGAGGTTAACTCCCAGGAGTTTAGCAAGGGACACACCTTTCCCTTGGACAAGGTTAATCCTTTACTGCCCACGGGCCTATCTTGATGCGACCGCTCATGGCAAGAGTTGGTCACCCTGCTAGGCTAGCTCATTGTCAACACAGATTCCATATCAATGCCGGTAGCCTTAATGAGCCTGGAGAATCTGGGTACTTTGTTCTCTATAGTGCCCTGTACCTATTGTTATCCCCCGTACCATTTTGTAACCCCTGGGGTCAAGAATGAATCTCAATCAGTATTTCTGTATCATCCTGTTACTACAGCAACAGACACAACTTAATATTGCATTCAGGACATCCCTGTTTCAAAAAAAAAAAAAAAAAAAACAAACTCTTGGCATTTGTCTATAATGCAGGCTCCAGCTTTTCACCCAATGCCTCTGCTGTCTCCCCTCTTGGGAGCAAAACCAAATTCTTCCAATTTCAGTTTCTTCTGTCCCTTCCACCAAAGTTTAGCTCCAGGTCAAACTCTGCATATCCAAGTCCATTTAAGAATTTGGCAGAAGCAAAAAGCCTTTCATTCTCCCAGGATCCACTCTCCTAGAAGGCATTTTTGATTATAGATGGCAATTTTTTAAATGTTACAATTACTGCCACATTATTAGTCATCAGTCATGGATGATTCCCTTTTTTAATTGAACCCTCTGCTGCTTCCAACCTGCTACAAGAACTATGGTGCCTACATTCTGGTGGTTGACAGGAACACTTAGCGAGACCAAGGCATTGCTGAATTTTTACTGAATCATCTCATGTTCTTATTGGCATGGGAGTGTGTCAGCGGTGTTGAGGTAACTCTTCTTAGCAAGGAAGTAACCTGATTTGTTGTATGCCCTACTGAATAGCTTTGACTTGCCTTAAATAAATACCTTATGAGGACTGTGAGATTCAATTGAATTGCTTTCATGGATGAAATTCAATTTCATGCATACCGAGTTTCCTCCTAAAAAGAGCTGAGTGTATGTGCTTTGCATGGTGATATGGTTTGGCTCTGTGTCCCCACCCAGATCTTATCCAGCACTGTAATCCCCACGTGTCGGGGGAGGGGCCTGGTGGGAGGTGATTGAATCACGGGGGCAGACGTCCCCCTTGCTGTTCTCATGACAGTGAGTGAGTTCTCACGAGATCTGGTTGTTTTAAAAGTGTTGCACTTCCCTCTTCGATCACCATCTCTCTCTCTCCTGCTCTGCCATGGTAAGACATTCTTGCTCACCTTCACCTTGTGCTATGATTGTGTGTTTCTTGAGGCTCCCTAGTCATGCTTCCTGTTAAGCCTGTGACACTGTAAATTAATTAAACCTCTCTTCTTCATAAATTACCCAGTCTCAGGTAGTTCTTTAGAGCAGTGTGAAAATGGACTAATACTCATGAACATCCCTGCCTTGTGGAAATGGAACACCACAGGTGCACTGTAGGGAAGGGGCTTTGTCTCCTGCTGGCCAGTCAGTGGTTCTGCACTCTAGGCCAAGGCATGCATCTGGTGTGAAAGCACAAGGGCCACCATGGCTCGTTAAGCGTGAAGTGGCCCTAGGGACATTGCTGATTTGAAGGGAAGCAGAGTTGATGGAGTAACACTGGCTGCTCAAACCTCATCCTTTCCAGAGCTTAGTTCCCGGGCAGGATCTTAAGCAGATGAAGTACAGCTGTGAGCAACCACAGAGTTACATGTGCTGATGAGACTTCATCCTGGCATGCAGGGTGGCTTTGGGGCTGTATGACCAGTGCGGTCACATGGGGCCCTGTGCTCAGAATGACCTGTGTATGGGGTATAATGCTTTGTGACTTCCGTATCGAAACTTTTAATAATTTTAGCTTTGAATTTGTGTTTCGTAACTGACATCTATGGGACCATGGAGTATGTGCTGAGGGCTTGAAGGCTCAGCTCGAGTGCAGTCCCTCCTGCCACTGCCTTCCCTCTCTCCCCTGGATGAGCTCTCAGCTTCCTGTGTCCCATGTCCTGGCTCCCCCAGCCCCACGTGGCTTTCTCTTCCTTACCCTCCTACCTTGTGAATACTGCTTCCCGCCATGCCCGGCAGTGCCTGGACCTGGACAAGGCAGGGGGTTGGGCTGGACACATGTGCTTCACGGCATTGGGGGCCAGGGCATGGGTGCACCCCCACTCGGGGCTTCCAGCACCACAGCACAGCTGGAAGGGACTTGGCAGGAATGAGCCTTTTATTCACCCTCTATCCAGTTATCTAGGGCATCCCAACATGGAAGCTGCAATACCCTTGGGAGTTACCCATCCACAATGGCTTAGGGCAGCTGGCCCCTGGGAAGGGGAGATGCCTGACTCCACTTCTCTGTCCCAAGCTATAACATGCTGCGTTGGTCCAGTAACTGACAAGAAAGCAGAGGAACCCAGCAGCCAGGGGACATATACACCAATTCTCCTAGGGGCCTGTGAGAGTCCTCGCTCACTTCTCCACTATCCCCCAAGCCCGAGGACCTGCAACATTAAAAACACAAAATTTTAAAACACAACACACACAGACACATATATGAAAATATATATTTATAGTATTTATTTTAATAATATAATTTTAAATTCACTGGACCCTGAAAATTATGTAGCCAGTTTTGCTGGCATGAAAGCAGTCATTTTTGTAGGTCACAGTTGAAACTACTTAAAAATTTTTAACAGTGTTTCTCTAGCTCCTGCCTGGATTTTGTTGATAGTCAGTATAATGGGCCAAATAATTACCCTAATTCCTGGAACCCATGAATATGTTTTGTCACATGGCAAAGGAGATTTTGCAGATAAAATTTAAGGTAATAGAACTTAGGACAGGGAGAGCATCCAGGACTATCCAGGTGGATGCAATGCAATCACATGGGCCCTTAAAAGTGGAAGAGTGAGAAGAGAGTTAGAGATGTGGTAGGGAAGGGAAATCCAGAGGAAATTCAAAGTCGACCATTGTTGCTGGCTTTGAAGATGGAAGAAGAGAGCCATGAGCCAAGGAATGTGGGCAGCTGAGCCAAGGAATGTGGACAGCCTCTAGAATGAGAACAATCTGCAGCCTCTATCAGCAAGAAAGGGGGACCTTATGGAACATACAACCTCATACAGCCAAATGGAACTCAGTTCTGCCAACAAACTGCATGCTCTTGCAGGTAGACTCTCCCCCAGAGCTTCCAGAAAGGAATGAAACCCTGTTTCCAGCGGAGTTGCAGCCTTGAGACACTCAGGCAGAGAAATCAGCTGAGCCCACTAAACATCAGACCTACACACTGTGATATAAATCTATGTTGTTTAAAATTTCTAGATTTGCAGTCATCAGTTACAGTAACAATTAGAAAACTAATACAATTGGTTGATCCAGTGGCAACAAGAATCTGGCAAGGTCACAGCAAGAGAGAAATGACAGAGAAAGCTCCAGAGGCAGGCACCAGAGGTTAGGCTCTGGTTAAATAGTTTCTCCTGAGGGGCATCGTTAAGAAGACCAGAAGGCTCTGGGTGTATTTAAGAAAGGCTACTTTTCCCCTTCCCCTCTCAGAAGTGCTGGGGGATTTTCTCTAATCTTCATTGTGAAAACCTGGTTTGGCTCCACGAGGAAACACTCATGGGAAGTACAGGAGGCAAGTTGTAGCTCTCAAAATTGTTCCCAGTCGTAATTTGTCAATTACACGTTGACATTTCCTGGTCTCCAGGAGGTTTCTGCTTCTGAGCCCCTCTTCTGGTAAGTTGAGATTCTCTGTATCTACCTGTTTGTCTCTCTAATTTTGGAGGGCAGTAGCTTGTCCTGTTGCCTAAATCCTGCGGTGGACCTATGAAGAGTTTTCAGTTTGTTCAGCTTTTTTTCTTACTGCAGGGATGGGAGAGATCAATTCCAAGCTTCTTTATATGCCAAATGGGAACTGGAAGTCCACTAACAGAATTTAAAAATTTTCCCTACAGTTTATTATATGGGAAGTAGCACAGTTCTAGAAAAGAGCTTTGGAGACCTGGATTGTTATGTTACCTGGCCCACCTCTCCTGACTAGATCTTGTAAAGCCTTGCTGGTCCATCAACTGGCAGCATCCTCCATGCTCAGGAGCTTGTTAGAAAAACAACATCTCAGGCATTCTACCCCAGACCTCCTGAATTAGAATCCACATTAAAACAAGACCCCAGATCACTCAAGGGCTTATTAAAGTTTTAAAGCTATGATAGAAAGTTGCTTCCAAGCTTTGAGCATTAGTTTACTACCTCAGTTCCCAAACCATGCACTGAGGTGCCTGGGGGCACCCTGAGGAACTCAAAGGGGCATTTTTGAGATATTTTAAATGTTTAAGGTAAACACATCTGTCCAACACAATGTGAACTGAACTATCTCACTGCTAGCTTGAGATAGTTAAGTTACAACTGAAATTGCTGTGTTCCTTTTGATGATATTGTCAGAAGCATTTGCACTAGAGCAACTCCATTTGGAATGAGGGCGAGGAAAACGAGGCTGGGACTTGCTGGGGTGCATTCTCAGAAGGTTATGCATTCCTGGTGTATAGATGTTTATGGTGAAGGTGTGTCTGGAATTGGTAGGTTCTTGGTCTCACTGACTTCAAGAATGAAGCCGCGGACCCTCGCAGTGAGTGTTACAGTTATTAAAGATGGTGTGTCCGGAGTTTGTTCCTTCAGATGTTCAGATGTGTCTGGAGTTTATTCCTTCTGGTGGATTCGTGGTCTCGCTGACTTCAGGAGTGAAGCTGCAGACCTTCCCGGTGAGTGTTACAGCTGTTAAAGTTGGCGCATCTGGAGTTGTGTATTCCTTCCGGTGGGCTTGTGATCTCGCTGGCCTCAGGTGGCCTCAGGGGTGAAGCTGCAGACTGTTGCAGTGAGTGTTACAGCTCATAAAGGCAGCAAGATTTATTGCTAAGCGCAAAAGAACAAAGCTTCCACAGAATAGGACGGAACTCAGGCAGATTGCCTCCCCTAGCTTGGGCAGCCTGCTTTTATTCCCTTATCTGACCCCACCCACATCCTGCTGATTGGTCCATTTTACAGAGAGCTCATTGGTCTGTTTTACAGAGAGCTGGTTGGTCCGTTTTGACGGGGCGCCGATTGGTGCATTTACAATCCCTGAGCTAGACACAGAGTGCTGACTGGTGCATTTACAATCCTTTAGCCAGACATAAAAGTTCTCCAAGTCCCCACTAGATTAGCTAGACACAGAGCACTGATTGGTGCATTTACAAACCTTGAGCTAGACACAGGGTGCTGATTGGTGCATTTACAAACCTTGAGCTAGACACAGAGTGCTGATTGGTGCATTTACAATCCTCCAGCTAGACATAAAATTCTCCAAGTCCTCACGCGACTGAGGAGCCCAGCTGGCTTCACCTAGTGGATCCTGCGCCAGGGCCACGGGCGGAGCTGCCCACCGGTCCCACGCCACTTGCCCGCACTCCTCAGCCCTTGGGTGGTCGATGGGACTGGGCACCGCGGAGCACGGGGTGGCGCCTGTTGGGGAGGCTCAGGCCGCACGGGAGCCCACAGGGGGTGGGGGTGGAGAGGGGGCGCTTAGGCATGGTGGGCTGCAGGTCCCGAGCCCTGCCCCGCAGGGAGGCAGCTGAGGCCTGCGGAGAATTCGAGCATGGTGCGGGCGGGCCAGCAGTGCTGGGGACCCGGCACACCCTCCTTAGCTGCTGGCCCAGGTGCTAATCCCCTTCCCCTCACTGCCTGGGGCCAGTGGCACCGGCTGGCTGCTCTGAGTTCGGGGCCCACTGAGCCCGCAACGGATCCCGGAGAAGCCGGCAGGATCCCTGGGGAGAGTTTTCTTTGTGAAGGGCAGGGCGCCCTGGAATGGGTTTGCTGAGCCCGCACCCACCCAGAACTCGCGCTAGCCTGCGAGCAGCCCTGGTTCCTGCCCACGCCTCTCCCTCCACACCTCCCCACAAGCAGAGGGAGCTGGCTTCGGCCTCCGCCAGCCCAGAGAGGGGTTCCCACAGTGCAGCAGCGGGCTGAAGGGCTCCTCAAGCGTGGCCAGAGTGGACGCCGAGGCCGAGGAGGTGCTGAGAGCGAGCGAGGCCTGCTAGCACGTTGTCACCTCTCAAAGGGAACAAATTAATAGTGTTTACTAAACAGACCCGGACATAGGAGTGTCTAGACACCCTGATATCTGGACAATAAAGGCAGTCCTAATTTTGCTTTAAAGATAATAATATTGATTCTTGCAAAAAATAGTAATTAAGAAAATTAATCCTTTATCACAACCTCTTGTATAGCAGAGCACATCTCCCCTTATATACGGGTATTGTACCTAGGGTCGACATGTTCCTTCTAACTTTCAGGAATGCCCTACTCTGTCTATGGAGTAGCTGTACTTTCACCACTTTACTTTCTTAATGAACTTGCTTTTACTTTGCACTGTGGACTCGCCCTGAATTCTTTCTTGTGTGAAATCCAAGAACCCTCTCTTGGGGTCTGGATCGGGACCCCCGTCCTGTAACAATGTCATATCAATGAGAAGCTAGGATTTTAATTGTAATAAAATATTAGTGCTGTGCAAAAATCAATGGGAACAACAAACGAAGTGCCAGTGTCCTATCTGATTCCAAAATCTGAGAAGCTATGCAGGGACCAATAGGGGCCAAGTTGTCAAGATATCAATACCTATTAAATAGCTTGAATCTGGCAACATAATACATAATGGTTACGTTTTCCTTTTGGCCTAGGAATGCTGACACACTAAGAGCACCATGAACTTAGAAAGTCTGGAAACCTCTGGTTTAACGTTTAGCTAATTACTTCCCTCTCACTTGATTTTTGAATGGATTAAATGAGATAAGGTGTGGTCATTTCCTGTCCATTGAATGTTAGTTCACTTCATATAGCCGTTATTCAATCTATTTTTTCTGTTGCACTTCATCTGCATTCTTTAAAGACTTGAACGGAACCATCATACCAAGGTCAAGGAACCCTGCAAGATACAATCACAGCACCATAATCACTTTCCTTACCTGTGCATCCCTCCCTGCTGTTTACAAACCACTTCACATACACAAGCTCCTTGGATTTTCACAAGCTCATGAGGAAAGCCAAGAAAGGTATTATTAAATTCATTTTAAATAAGAAAACTCCAAACACTGAATTGCAGAGAGGTTGCATAATTGCACAAGGTCACACAGTAGAGTCTTTTTGCTCCTCTAGGACTAATGGCTTTTATTTCCTTTACTGCCTGGGGAGAAAGGAAGATATTTGAGAACTGGGTGGGGCAGGAAATTTTAATCAAAACTGTGCTGCTGGTTGGAGGGCTAGCTTCCTGCTGGGGCCCACAGCCTCACACTTTAGAAACTGAGGTCAGCTGTCCTGAGAGTCACACTTGTGATGCCATGGTATGATGGGAGCCCAGTTGACTTCCCCAGATTGCCATGAAATTGCACAGGTCCTACCTAGGGCAGCAGCAGAAGTCAGCCCTGTCTCCTGGGATGAGTTCACTTGGCACTGAGCAGCTGCTGCAGCAAAACAATCCCACAGATGACCTCTACCTCCTCCATAAATTGAAAATAGTACAGTCTTTAAAATGGAAAAGAGCTTCTGACACTGTGTAAAAGAGCTTCTGACACTGTGATCCCACTCTCCTGATCAACCTGGTTTGCCACCCACCTTGGGAAACTCTACAAAATAGGCTTTCTGTCCCCTTACTGCCTGCATGGTGTATGCTGGAGTTGGGAAGAAAGAAGTGGATTCCTGATTGTGCAGGTAGTGTGCACAGAAGGACGTTTTGGGACAATCCAACCCCTTGTCTCTCTCTGGAGGACGAGTAGAGGTGAAGGAAGTTACTTGCTTGCAGGGGTTGGGTTTCTGTTCCAAGGTGGCACTGTCTAACTGGCAGCCAGATGACTACGCTGTGGGGGTTGAGGGAAGAGAACTTTCTATTCTGCTTCATTTATTTCCATTTCAGGTAATTTAATGAACCTTAAACACACACATTCATGAAGGCAGTTTTGAAGGTCTGAGGAGATCAGGAGCCTGATAATGGATTCTGGTCCCTGTGACAGGGATGCTTATGACCAGGAAGGACTGAGAGAATTCATGGAAGGCAACTGAGGCCTCTGCAGAGGGCTTTAGAGAGAAGGAAAGCTACATCAGAGCTGAACACACCACTGCCTCTGGATCCCTCATTTGGTTCTTGTCCAGATCAGGGCGACCTGAAACGATGACCATCTGTCCACTGTTTCTTAGCCTCCAGCCGGGGCCAAGCAGGCCTGGCGTGCACCAACGCTACTGCTCGGCCTCTCTGAGTCTACTGGGTGCAATGTCCTGCTTTGGTCCTTTTCCTACTTCTCAGATTTCATCCCTACTTAAAGAGGCAGTGTACAGGATCACTGTTGTTGTTGTTTTTTTTAAATAAAAATCTAATACTTACTGAGAAATCTCTAGTAGATTGCTTACATTGTGCTATGTGCTTTTAGATATAGTATCTCACACAATCCTCCCAAATGCCCCCATATTAGTTTGCTACAACTGCCAAACCCAGCAACCTGGATGGCGTAAACAACAGAAATTTGTTGTCCCCCAGTTCTGGCAACTAGAAGTTTGAAATCAAGGTGAGAGCAGAGCTGTGCCCCCTCTGAAAACACTAGGAAACAATTGGTTCCAGATCTCTCTCCTAGTTTCTGGTAGTTCCCTGGCTTCTTGAAGCACAGCTCCAGTCTTCACATGGTATTATTTCAGTGTGCATGTCTGTCTCCACGTTTCCCTTTATTATAAAGACACTAGTCACATTGGACAGGACCTACCCTATTCCAGTATGACCTCATTTTAACTAATAACGTCTGCAATAACCCTATCTACAAAAAAGGTCACATTTTAAGGTACTAAGAATTAGGACCTCAATATGTGAATTTTGTTCAACCAAATAACAACCCCTCCAACTAACAAGTAAAGAAATTGAAGCATAGGGAAGTCAAATAACCTGCACAGAGTCACAAGGCTAGCAATATGGTTTGCCTGTCTCCCCATCCAAATCTTATCTTGAATTGTAGTTCCCATAATCCCCTCATGTCAAGGGAGGGGCCCAGTGGGAGGTAATTGAATCATGGTGGAGGTTCTCCCCATGCTATTTTCATGATAGTGAGTGAGTTCTCATGAGATCTGATGGGTTTATAGGGGGCCTTTCCCTCCTTCACTCTGCATTTCTTCTTCCTGCTGCTAACTGAAGGATGCCTTTGCTTCCCCTTCCGTCATGATTGTAAGTTTCCTGAGGCCTCCCCAGCACTGCAGAACCATGAATCTATTAAACCTTTTTCCTTTATAAATTACACAGTCTTACGTATGTCCTTATAGCAGCATGACAGCAGACTAATACAGTAAATTGGTACCACAGAGAGTGGGGTGCTCCTATAAGGATACCCAAAAATGTGGAAGCAACTTTGGAACTAGGTAACAGGAAGAGGTTGAAACAGTTTGGAGGGATCAGAAGAAGACAGGAAAATGTGGGGAAATTTGGAACTTCCTAGAGACCTGTTGAATGACTTTGACCAAAATGCTGATAGTGATATAGACAATAAAGTCCAGGCTGAGGTGGTCTCAGATGAAAATGAGGAACTTGTTGGGAGCTGGAATAAGGGTGATTCTTGCTATGTTTTAGCAAAGTGACTGGCAGCATTTTGCTCCTGCCCTAGAGATCTGTGGAACTTCAAACTTGAGAGAGGTGATTTAGGGTATCTGGTGGAAGAAATTTCTAAGCAGCAAAGCATTCAAGAGGAAGCAGAGCATAGAAGTTTGGAAAGTTTGCAGCCTAAACATGGAATAGAAGAGAAAAACCCATTTTCTGGGGAGAAATTCAAGCCTGCTGCTGAAATTTGCATAAGTAATGAGGAGCCAAATTTTAATCTCCAAAACAATGGGGAAAGGTCTCCACGGTATGTCAAAAACCTTCATGGCAGTCCCTCCCATCACAGGTCCAGAGGCCTAGGAGGGAAAAATCATTTCCTGGGCTGGGTCCAGGGACCCCTGCTGTGTACAACCTAGGGACTTTGTGCCTTACATCCCAGCCGCTTCAGCTGTGGCTAAAAGGGGCCAGAGTACAGCTCAGGCTGTGGCTTCAGAGGGTGCAAGCCCCAAGCCTTGGCACCTTCCATGTGGTGTTGAGCCTGCAGGTACACAGACGTCAAGAATTGAGGTTTGGGAACCTCTGCCTAGATTTCAGAGGATGTATGGAAATGCCAGGATGTTCAGGCAGAAGTTTGCTGCAGTGGTGGAGCACTCATGGAGAACCTCTGCTAGGGCAGTGAGGAAGGGAAATGTGGGGTCAGAGCCTCCACACAGAGTCCTTACTAAGGCACTGTCTAGTGGAGCTGTGAGAAGACAGCCACCATCATCCAGACTCCAGAATGGTAGATCCACCAACAGCTTGCACCATGTACCTGGAAAAGCCACAGATACTCAGCACCAGTCTGTGAAAACAGCCAGGAAGAGGGGGCAATACCCTGCAAAACCACACAGGTGGAGCTGCCCAAGGCCGTGGGAACCCACCTCTTGCATCAGTGTGACCTGGATGTGAGACATGGAGTCAAAGGAGATCATTTTGGAACTTTAAGGTTTAATGACTGCCCTATTGGATTTCAGATTTGCATGGTGTCTCTGGCCCCTTTGTTTTGGCCAATTTCTCTCATTTGGAATGGGTATAATTACCCAGTGCCTGTACTCCCATTGTATCTAGGAAGTAACTAACTTGCTTTTGATTTTACAGGCTCATAGGAGGAAGAAACTTACCTTGTCTCAGATGAGACTTTGAACTTGGACTTTTGGATTAATTATGGAAAGAGCTAAGACTTTGGGGCACTGTTGGAAAGGCATGATTGTGTTTTAAAATGTGAGGACATGTGATTTGGGAGGGGCCAGGGGTGGAATGATATGGTTTGGCTTTGTCCCCACTCAAATCTCATCTTGAATTGTAGTTCCCGTAATCCCCATGTGTTGCAGGAGGGATGCAGAGAGAGGTAATCGAATCATCGGGGTGGTTTTTCCCATGCTGTTCTTGTGATAGTAAGTGAGTTCTCATGAGATCTGGTGGTTTTATGAGGACCATCGCTTATAAGGGTTTTCCCCCTTTGTTCAGCACTTCTCTTTCATGCCACATGTGAAGGATGTGTTTGCTTCCCCATCCACCTTGATTGTAAGCTTCATGAGGCCTCCCCAGCCCTGCAGAACCATGAGACAATTAAAACTCTTTCTTTTATAAATTAGTCAGTCTTGGGTATGTCCTTATAGCAGTGCAGGAACAGACTAATACAGCTAGTGAGTGACCAGGCTGGAATTTGAACCCAGGGCTGTATGATTCCAGAGGCCTGTTACTGGTTTTCAAATTTTGGCACCCAAGGTCACCTGCAGGGCTTATTAAACACAGATTGCTGTTAAAACGCAGATGCTGGGTGGGGCCAGAGCATCTGCCTTTCTAGCAAGTTCCAGGTCCTGCTGCTGGTACAACACCAGACTTTGAAAGCAGCTTTCCAAGCAGCTCTTGGACTTTCATGGCCATAAAAATCACCTGGGAAGTTTTGTTTGTTCATTTGAGCAGATCTTCTGGCCCATTCCAGAAGATTTGGATTTGGTAAATCCAAACAGGGCCCAGGAATCTGCATTGTAAACAAGCAAACCCAGTGATTCTCAGAGGATCAGTGGCCACCCTTTGAGAAAGAATGTATTTCCTGCTTCCCTGAAGACCGATGAGGTCCTCAGCTTTGATGGCACATTGGAACCACCCGGGAAAATTTCAGAAATTTGAAGCTGAACTGATGTCTGGGATTAACCCCGAAAGATTCTAATTTCAGGTAGTGTGGGGAGGGGGTGACCTGAGCCACTGGGTTTAAAGAAAATCTCATCAGGGTGACTCTAACATGTAGACAAATTTGAGAACCACCAGCACTGCTCAAAGTAATAAGCTACCAGAGGCTGGTGACCATATGCAAGATTCCGCAGCACTTAGGTAGCAGAGCCTGGGGGCCCCAGGAGTTCTAGTTCTTCCCCAGCACTCGATCAGAAAGGGTCCCCGTCATGACTAAGACCTTTTTCCAGCCCCAAAACCTGTACATTTTCCCAGACAACTCATCAAAATTAGCATACACTCATTCACTTATTCATTTATTCATGGACAAAATGGCCATGTGGAGGCCGGATGAACTGTGAGGGCACTGGGCCAGGTTGCCTGAATCTGACCCCAGCTTCGGCACTTGCTGGGAATGTGACACCGTGCACGTTCATTATGGGGTGCCTGGCTCTCCTTATTGGAAAACCTTACCTCCTAGGCTTCTTGTGAGGAATAAGTGAGTCACTGAAGATGGAGATCTTATAACATAGTAAGCTCTAAATTAGTGTGTTTTATAATCAATCATCGAAGAAATCTCTATCCAGCAGCTACCATGTGTCAGGCACGGGGTACAACGGAATAAAACACAAGGTCCCTTATCTAATTGAGCTGACAATCAGGAGAAGAAAGTGAAAATATATCATGTGAGGGTAATAAGTTACTGCGTTTCTCTCTCTGAACCCCTCAAATGCCCAGGGGCACGATAAGTGAGGGCAGCTGGACATCCTGTCCTGTGGGGTATCGCGGATGAGGGGTGTCGGTGAGGGAAGTGTGGCGGGTCAGGACGCCCGTTCACCAGTTCGCTGCTTTACTACCCGCCGCCTTCAAGCTGTCGGGTTAAACCTTTCCAAGAAGGCTCCCTTGAGCTCTCTCTCTCTCTTCCTCTTCCCCTTTGCTCCTTCCTTCTCTCCCTCCCGCAACTGCTCCCGGGGATATGTCCCACTGTCGCTAGTGTTTCAGTTTCTCCTGCAGGATTTCCGTATGGGGGTGGGGTGGGCTGGGCTGCAGCGGGGCGGGGCGTAGGAGCACACATCATGGGGCTGCAGCGGTGGCAGGAGCTCCGTCCGCAGGGCCTGTCTGACGGAGAATGGAGCGGATTGAAGGTCGCATCTTTTCTCTTCGAACTCTGAAGGCATCTCCCAGCCGGCACTGGGGGCGCTGGCCCCTTGATTTCCTAAAAGACAACCAGTCCCCCTGCGAGACCTCGCTGGCCATTCCCGCAGCCTCCCCTCTGGCAGCGCACGGTGGTCACGGGCGGGGGGTGGGGGCCGGAGAATGGCCCCAGGCCACTCCCCCCGCCGCGCTGGGTTGCTGTGCAGCGCGGTTCCGCGGGGCCTCGGCAGGTGTCGCTGTGGTCTGGGGAGTGAGCGTCTGCGAGTCCCCGGGAGGCTGGGCGCCGCCTGACGCGGTGTTGGGGGACCGGAGTGCTGAAGAGCAAACCGAGCCTTAGGCAACCGCAGTTCCCAGACAGAGACTGTTCCTGTTGCGGTGGAGGCAGGGGGCCTTTTGGTGAAGCAGGGAGAAACCTGGATTTGACTCTTCCCGGTCCGGTGGGATCCCAGGTGCCGCTGCTCCCTCGACCTACTTGGAGCTGGCAGGTGGATGGTTCTCGAAAGGCAGTGTGATCCCAGGGATGCAGATCCTGCGTCTCCACCCTGGAGTTTCTGATTAGGAACTAGTGGGTCGAGGCCCAGGAATTTGCAGCTTTAGCGCCTCTTCTGTCACAACGGGTGCAGTTCTTGCTTAGAAAAACACTAAATCAGAAAATCAATCAGATTAAGTCAATTTGCTGGAGGTTTTCCCAAACATCTGTGTTCTAGTTCAAAATATGTTTCATCGGGTAATTAGGAAATTACATTCGTAATTTTACCTCTGAGAAGGGCAGAAAGTGGCCATTCTCACTCCTGATCCTATAGCTCACTCCCCCTCATCTCAGCAGCGTCTGCTGTCCACTCATTCAGGCCTCCACTCAAATGTCATTTCCGGATAATCTTTTCTGATCACACTACCCAAGAAAAGCGCTCCCTCTCCACAATTCCCACCATCTTATATTATTGTTATGTATAACACTCATCAATATCTAAAAATGTTGTCACCCATTGTCCTTTTAAGTTCTTCCCTCTAATAAGGACTTTTTGGTCACATTTAGGTTTTCTAAAAAATGAAAATAATCACCTCTAATAACGAAACAATGACCGTGTTGCAATTGAAAGGCAAGTCCTATAGTCAAAATTTCAGTGTTGACTTTAAATTGAGGCACATCTTCCTCGCCTTGATCTTGAGTCTTGGGGGTGGGGTTTAGACAGGGAAGGGGTCCCGGTAGCTTCTCCTCTCCTTCTGTCCTTGGCCCTGTCCTCCTCCTTTCCCTTCTTGCTTTCCCAGGTTTCTGACTTTTCCAGAAGGCAGCCCAGGGTGGGAGCACTGGTGACAAAGCTGGAAAGTTCTGCCCTTCAGTGGTGACCCCACACTAGCACTTGCTGGTTGTGGTTACCTGCAAGAACTCCGATAACAAAAAAGTATTATGGTGCTGCAAAAGTAATTGCTGTTTTGGCCTTTAAAAGTAATGGGCAAATCGCAAATACTTTTGCATCAACGTAATACTAAAGATCTGCCACATGCAGCAAGTGCCAGTGTTGGGTCACGGGAGTACATACTCTTCCCTGTGTAGTCCTTTCACGGGGAGTGTGAACTCTCAGGGGGAAAGGCTTGGGGAACTGAGTCCTTCCTTACCTCCCTCAGCCCCTAGAAATGTAGTCATCCTCCAGCCAAGACCACTCCAGTTACTCCTGGCTATCTTCCCAGACAGGACCCAAGGTGACCCTACAAAAATTCTTCCTCTCCTGTGTTCCCTCCCCACTCTGGTTCACAGAAAATATTCATGCAATCTTGTCCAGGCTGGGTTTGCAGACCAGCCCCCGAGTCGCCCATCCCTTGGATTTATCACTGTGGGCCAGTGTGTTGTGTCCCCTAAGCACAGGACATCCAGAGTAAGCCCTTAGAGTAATCTTACTGAAGCTTCTTTAAGTGTCTGGGCTTTCCCTGGTGGGAGGTAGAGGAGGTAGGAGCCACAGCACAGTTGCAGCTTCTTCTGAAGAAATCTGCCTACTCTCAACCTCAGAACCATTTTATACTGTGGATACGTATATTAGGCAGTAATCAGGATAAATTATGTTTTAATATGTTGTTTTTTTAAAAAAAATCCATATTAATGCAAAAAAATTATAAGCAAAATATCAAAATTATAAATAAAGACAATATCAGTACTCCGGGTTTTAGAGGCACACAAGCAAGTGGGCTTTCTTTCCTCTCCTTTTTCCACGACTCCTTCCCACTTGGGATGTATTTTCTACTGTCTTGGAGCCTTTGCCAAAACTTCCATATAAAGACCATGAGGGCAGGGACTTTGCCGTGAAAATTGCTAAATCTTCAGTGTTGGCATTTGGCAAATATCTGGGAATGAATATATGAGTTATGGTTTCTGATTCTTGGATGTTCTTTTATTAGGGAATTTACAGTGGAAAATAGCTGTGGGAAAAAAAGCTTGGCAATGCTACATTTCACTTCTACATGTTGACTTTACCTCTATGACATAGCTTTATTTATTTTTTAACATTTATTTTAGGTCTGGGAGTAATGTGAAGGTTCGTTATATAGGTAAACTGCTGTCACGGGGGTTTGTTGTACAGGTTATCTCATCACCCTGGTATTAAGCCATAGTTATTAATAACTTAAGCCAACAGGTATTTTTTTCTGCTCCTTTTCCTCCTCCCACCCTCTTCCCTCAAGTAGACCCCAGTGTCTGTTATTGCCTTGAGTTCGTGAGTTCTCATCCTTCAGCTCCCGCTTATAAGTGAGAACATGTGGTATTTGGTTTTCTGTTCCTGCATTAGTTTGCTAAGGATGGTAGCCACCAACTCCATCCGTATTCCCGCAAAAGACATGATCTCATTCTTTTTTATGGCTGCATAGTATTCCATGGCATACATGTACCACATTTTCTTTATCCAGTCTGTCATTGTTGGGCGATTAGGTCGATTCCATGTGTTTGCTATTGTGAATGGTGCTGCAGTGAACACTGTGCATGTGTCTTTGTGGTAGGACGATTTATATTCCTCTGGGTATATACCCAGTAATGGGATTTCTGGGTCAAATGGTAGTTCTGCTTTTAGCTCTTCGAGGAATCACCATATTGCTTTCCACAATGGTTGAACTAATTTACACTCCCACCAACAGTGTATAAGTGTTCCCCTTTCTCTGGAACCTCACCAGCTTCTGTTTTTTATTTTTTTATTTTTAATCATAGCCATTCTGACTAGGGTGAGATGCTGTCTTATTGTGGTTTTGATTTGCATTTCTCTAATGCCCAGTAATATTGAGCTTTTCTCATATGCTTTTTGGCTGCGTGTGTGTCTTTTGAAAAGTGCCTGTTCATGTATGACATAGATTTAAAATATAGGTGTGGCTTGCACTTATAAACCCAGCTACTGCAGAGGCTGAGGCAGGAGAATAACTTGAGGCCAGACTTTTGAGACCAGCCTGGACAACATAGCAAGATGCTATCCTAAAAATAAAACAAATTAGCTGGGTGCAGTGGCATGCACCTGTAGTCCCAGCTACTTGGGAGGCTGAGGCAGGATGATGTTTTTTTCCAAATGTGTTTTTGTTGTAGGTAGCATTTGGTTTTCTTTTTCATTTTACAGAATTAAACAGAAGAGTCACAATCATATGCTAGACCACTGCCTATTTTAGGTTTTGTTCCTGGCTACTAATTTTACTTTTTATTATTTAAAATTCAACTTACAGTAGAATTAAAAATATTTGGCAACCAAATCTCTATTTCTGTGCATCAGTACAATAAGGTAAGTATAAAGTCACATAGTGCAATAAAATTTCTCCTCTTAAAAGGTGAAAACTTTCCTTTCTTGGTGTGTTTATTAATCTCTTATAATACAGTTGCATTATAAATCACTCCTTAAAATACTGATATCTTATACACCTTAGCTGTCCTATTACTGTAACTTATTTACATTGAGCTCCATTGCTTCCAGAGTTGGTTCCTTCCAGTGGGTTCTTGGTCTCGCTGACTTAAAAAATGAAGCTGCGGACCTTCGCAGTGAGTGTTACAGCTCTTAAAGCTGATGTGGACCCAAAGAGTGAGCAGCAGCAAGATTTATTGTGAAGAGCGAAAGAACAAAGCTTCCACAGCGTGGAAGGGGACCCCTGCTGGCTGGGGTGGCGAGCTTTTAGTCCCTTATTTGTCCCCGCCCACATCCTGCTTATTGGTCCATTTTTACAGAGAACTGATTGGTGCATTTTACAAACCTCTAGCTAGCTACAAAGTGCTGATTGGTGCGTTTTACAATCCTAGCTACAGAGTGCTGACTGGTGCATTTTATAATCCTCTTGTAAGACAGAAAAGTTCTCCAAGTCCCCATTCGACCCAGAAGTCCAGCTGGCTTCACCTCTCACCATCTTGAAGTATCAGAGTTAAAGATTTTACATTTGGATTAGATTTAGAAATTACTAGAACTTTGAATAATTTGGAACTTATTCATGATTAACTCACAAAAATTAACACCAACATTTTCCCTGTACACCATTCACCCTCATAGACATACAAAATTTAATAGATATTTTCAGTGTTTCCAAATCAGAGGCATCCTGGAAGCAGATTTCTAGATCATAAAATTACAAAACTGGAATTCAAAGGGATCTCAAAGTTCCAGAAGAACTTCTCAAGAATATAAAATTTCTTCTCCTAAGCTCTTTTGGTTTGTCCTACAGTATTTCAGTCTCATAAAGTTCAGAGAATAACCTGGGCAGAGCTATTTTCAGCAGAAAGAAAAGATTGAGTGATTCAATAGCACAATACAGTGCTACTGTTGCCTGGAAGATATTTAAGAATGTTCCCCATGAAGCCTTGGCTCCAGGCATAGAGATATGGATGTCTTCAGCTCAAATTCCAAGCAAGAGGTTATTCTTTCAGTCAGTATGTTTTTGGGGCTCTTCTTCCTACTTTCTAGGTGAAAACATGCAAAGAGTACAGTTTCTGAAGGGAGGAAACACAGTCATCTGAGCAAAGGGGTGTGCATCTCCCTCCTTCCCACCACGGCCCCATGTTGTTGTCGTGGGTCACTGGGTAAGGATTCATCATGAGTTAGCCCGTGTGTCTGAACCTGTGGAAGTGTTTTCACTGGTTTCTTAGTGTGACTACACCAGAGACACATCAGAACCCATTACAAAAGTCATGTCAAATAAAAATGAACTCCAAAGCTGAGGCTGATATACCTTTCCACCCACTGAACAACAAAAAAGAACTCATTTCTCCTACCACCTGGTTCAATGAACTTGACAAAGAAAGAATGATGTTTTGGGGTGAGATGGAAGAGAAGAGAAGTTGCTGTTTTTTTTGTTGTTGTTGTTGTTTGTTTTGTTTTGAAGGAAGTTGTTTGCCAAGGATCAGATGGTGGTTATCGCAACATTGTGGGTGATGTTGGGGAAGGGCTTCCAAAGAGGCTCAGAGCAAAGCTGGAATTGCCGGGAGTCTGAACCATGGCTGATTCCCAGCTGCTCAGGTCTGCCTCATCAATGCCCTGGTCTAACAAGCCACCCTCTCCCCCACCGCCATCTCACGTACCTCTCATAGTCCATGGGCCTGAATTATTACTCAATAGCCACATCTGTACAAACAGCTACTGTATAAAAGTTATGATTTTTGCCTACACAAATATGTGGACTCAACAAAATTTAGTTCTCTCTACAAAATAAGATTTCTGCCATTCTTAAAGCTTTTTTCTGTTTCTAAAAAAAAAACCCCAAGTTAAATGTTTTCACAGCAGAAGTAGATTTATACTGAAGCAAATAAATAATAAAGCTTAAGGTTCAGAGGTATGCATTTGTACAGCTTCTTCCAAGAACCGTTTTTGTAAAATTTGAAAAAATAAGATATTTTAACTGTAGTCAGTTAAGACCACTGCCTTTTCTGCTTTAACTTTCCCTTTGAATGACTTCTTATGTCTGGTGGCATTGGAGTAGCCAAAGTCATTTTTGGGATCCAGTTAAGGGAAAGTTGAATGACAGATACATTTTGTTTGGGTTTTATGAGATTGTATTTATTTGGTTCCCAATTATTTCACGTAGGAAGAACTTAGGCTGAGCTATACTGATTGTCCCAGTGTGGGAAGGGTTTTTAGTCCACATCCACGGTGGTTCTTCTCCTGGGAGTGTGAGCCAAAGGTGCCCCAAACCAAAATATGCAAGCAATGAAGGAGAAATAAGGTTTAAAATGTACGAAGTCAGAAGCTAGTCTGCATGAAATGTGTACAGTCATCAGAAATGTAATATTTAAGTAGCAGATTTAGTGCTCATTGATGCTGGGTCAAAGCAGTCCTATCTTGTCAGGAAATAAAAATTTGAAAAAATTCATAATGAGCCTCCACAACAATGACATCTATGACAAACTGATTCTTAAGTGTTTTCGATTTATAGTATTTAAAATTAGTCACTCCCTAAAATCATAAACTCACGTTAGAAAAAAAACGACTTAATAGAGGTTTTCCTAAATTTGATGTCAATCTGAAAACTTTACATGACATTAAGGATACTGAGCTGCTTTTATTTGGCAGCACAGAAATTATCATATAAAAAGTGTGCGGGCAAAATGTAGACAAAAATAATGTTGGGCTGGTCAATTACTATGTTTGTATATACAGTAATATATTTATTAATATTTTAATAATTATATACAAATTATGTGATGCCATGTTTCTGGATGTTGTGACATTTGTGATATTCGTCAACTTTTAAAAATTTATGACTAGGTGCAGTGGCTCACGCCTGTAATCCCAGTACTTTGGGAGGCTGAGGTGGGTGGATCACTTGAGGTCAGGAGATCGAGACCAGCCTGACCAACGTGGTGAAACCCCATCTGTACTAAAAATACAAAATTAGCCAGACGTGGTGGAGCATGCCTGTAATCCCAGCTACTTGGGAGGCTGAGGCAGGAGAATCGCTTGAATCTGGGAGGCGGAGGTTGCAGTGAGTCAAGATTGCACCATTGCATTCCAACCTGGGCAACAAGAGCGAAACTCTGTCTCAAAAAACAACAAAAAAATTGTCCTTGGTTATGATCTCATTTCTCATTCTAAATCATCACTTTTATAAACCCACCCCCCCACTATGTATTAAGATTCCACTGTCCAGGATGGACAAAAACAGGTAAGCAACTCCTTCTACAGGAACCTTTCTTAGCAAGCCTAAGATAGGAGGCAACACCATCCTACTAGCTAATCAGAATGGGAAAGAAAAAATAGATCAAAAGAAGGAGAAACTAGAGAGAAGGAAGAAGTACAGAAACTCAAGCTAAACAGGTGAAAGAGGGCCAGGAGAAAGATGAAGACCCAATAATAGCTACTAACTAGAGGGAGACATATAAAGCAAAATATTAGGAAAATGTAGAGTAAAACAGACTAAACATTTTAGAGGGTTTTCTAACACTCTGCCAGGCCTTTCCCAGATGGTAACTGAACCATTTGTTTAAATTAAGTCTTGCCTAAATTATAAGGAGCTGAGCTAATTTTCAATGTCAAGAATTCTTGGAATAGAGCCACAGGAGGTGGGAAAATGTACAGTAATGTGGAGGGGTTGGGGGAGAAGCGAAACATTTGTCAGCTGAGGGTTTCTGGGATCCTTCACTCATGTTTAAAACAATGGCCACCCTCCAGAAGCCAGCCACTTCATCATTATTATAGTGTTGAAGCCTAGTTGCATGAAATATTCGGTCCCTTAAATGGAAAACTTCTTTTTAAAAAATCACCTGAAATAACTGTCAGGGAGGAAAAGTGAAGGCTCGGGTAGCAGCCTCATAGGTGGCTTTCTCCTCTCACTTCCTTGTTTTATAGATTTTATAAAGTTCTTTGAATTAGAAATAATTTTTAAAACAAATAGGCAACCTACAAGGTTAAAAATTAAGATAAAATTGGCATTATTTTTGTTAAAGTGTCCTCAACAGCCATGTAGAAATAAGAATTTCCTGGCCTTACAAAATAGATTCCTAAATTTCTGTGTTGATGGCACAGGATTTGAGATGAGCTATTAAAAGAGAGTGAGGAAAACACCCTGGAAATGGGCAGAAACCACAGGGGCTACTTCTGAACATCCGTGAAAGAGAAGCAACTGCTGGATAAGGAGAAATGATCAGATTTCATCCTCTTTAAACTGTCTGTTCATTTGCCCCTGAAAACAGCTCTTGCAGCTGTCCCCACACCCTTCCCAGCATCCCCAGCTCATCTGAGTCCTTGGTCAGATGGCTTCCTTCACACCCTCCTGCCCCAGCTGTGTCTTTCAAAAACACTTGGATGCTGCAGCCAAGCTGTTTTTTTTTTTAACTTTCAGTTTTTATTGAGAGGTAAATTAGGAGTTGGGAACAATCCCAACTTAACTTTCCTAAACACTGTCACTAAGTGGCCACGGGTAATTGCTTGAAAGCTGCAGCCGCCAGATGACAAGTCTGCACTGAACAACCTGGGGTGGTCGGCAAACCTCAAAAGGGTCAGCCATTAGGCGCCACTCCACCGCCATACCAAACCTCCTGGATCTGTGAAATTTGGATCAGAACTACCTGAACAGCTTCTCTATCGGCTTTTCTGGGCTAAAGGGACAAGAATTGTAATTGTTGAAAGCTAATGATGATGATGATGTCTAACAGAAAATCACCTGCCTATGTACACATCAGGTTGGATCAGGTGCTGGGGACTGTTAACCTAGTGCCGATGACTTTTATAGTATCTCAGTGCCATAGGCAGGGGCATTTCAGCTCTTTAAATTCCTGCAGGGCATATGAAGGCAGTGTGACATATTGAAAGGAAATTGAACCCATTTTTAGGTCTGCCTCTATTGCCTACCTGCAAGCAGTGCAAAGGTCAGGAAGTCACTCCATCTCTGGGAGCCTCCCTATACCCATCTGTAAAAGTGGGGGAAGATATAGCAACATATGCACTTCAAAGGGTAAAGACATCAAAGTCAATAATGTTGACAGAGGATTTTGAGATTTCTATATAAATTTAAGTAGAACATATTATACACATGAAAGGTTCTCTATTACTAATGCCTGGAGTTACGGTCTTGATCTCCAGAACCTGCTGAAGCAGCCATATCTGCTCTTGCCAAAGGCTTTTCAGCAGGTCAGGAGCTATGCTGTGGAATTCCTTGGATCAATGAGATTCTTTCAGTTAAAGTAGAGTCAGTACTAGTATTTGCAAAGTCCTTTAAGACTTTGAAAGAACTTTGGAGGTCTCTGATTTGCCACAAGTTTGGCCTGAATCTCAACCAGCCTCATACTCAAGCATCATGATTGATAAGCATGTGTTGATAATGCGTGAGTGATGGAATGAATGAACATACATGAATGGACAGATAATCTTAGCCAGCCTGCAGGGTTGGCTATCAGCCCTCTTTGTTTTTACTCCATAATTATAATGAAGTAAATGACAGGAGAGCATCACTAATCTATGGAAGTGTTGTCATTTCCTACTCTAAGGACAGATTTTCCTTGTTTGTTTGTTCCTATTAGATTGTTATTAAGCCTAATTGTAGTTTTCTGTTCTATCTTGCTTACTTAACTTTAAACCTTCCAAGCAAAAGGGCATCTGTTTCCTCATTCTTACTTGGATCAGTTGCTGGAGACTGTTCACTTAGTGCCAGTGACTTTTAGAGTATCTCAGTGCCATAGGCAGGGGCATTTCAGCTCCTTAAATTCCTGCAGGGCATATGAAGGCAGTGTGGCATATTGAAAGGAAATTGAACCCAGTTTCAGTTCTGCCTCTATTGCCTACCTGCAAACAGTGCAAAGGAAGTTGCTGTATCTCTGGGAGCCTCAATATACCCATCTCTAAAAGGGAGAAGATATAGCAATGTATGCACTTCAAAGGGTAGTTAAATACATCAAAGTCAATAATGCTGAACATTCCTTCATGGGATGAAATAAGAAAGTAATTGCCAGCAATAGGGAAACAGACCACAAAGCTCTCAGGCAGGGAAAACTGAGGAATTAGAAAACAAGGAGACCTTGTTTATTTTTGTATTTATTTGTCTTTTCGAATTATAAAAGTAATACATGTTACATAAAATCTGTACAAAAAGTAAAGTAAAAGAGACATAAATCACTGTTAACATATGGGCACTTCCCTTCCAGTTTTTTTTTCCCCCACAATGCCTTTGTCATCGCTCAAGTTAGTTGTTTATTCATTCAGTAAATAATTTTGGTGTGGCACCTATGTAACAGGCACCATGCTGGGTGGGCACTTATATGGAAGACACCGGTGAACAGGACTGTTTGACCCAATGTTGTATTACTTTCTTTTTTTCTTTTTTCTTTTTTTGAGATGGAGTCTCGCTCTGTCGCCCAGGCTGGAGTGCAGTGGCATGATCTCAGCTCACTGCAAGCTCTGCCTCCTGGGTTCATGCCATTCTCCTGCCTCAGCCTCCCGAGTAGCTGGGACTACAGGTGCCCGCCACCACACCTGGCTAATTTTTTGTATTTTTAGTAGAGATGGGGTTTCATTTGTTAGCCAGGATGGTCTCGATCTCCTGACCTCGTGATCTGCCCACCTCGGCCTCCCAAAGTGCTGAGATTATAGGTGTGAGCCACCATGCCCAGCCTGTATTACTTTCTTCAGGGCTTCTCCCAGAGTATCATGAGCTCTGTCTGCAAAGTTGTGCTCAATTATCTTCCTATGTGGATTGTTTACTAAGAATTGCATCCCTCTCTGAGGCACATGAAAGTCTCTGTTCATTTGTTCCTTATGATAAAGCTATAATCATCTTAATACATCCAGTCCATGATGGATAAGACCCCTGAATTCTGACAATTACCATTGCCTTGGCCCAGCTGGCTCATCTTTTTCTGTGGAAAAGACAGAGAGACAGAGACAGGGAGGGAGGGAGGGAAAAGGCATTGTTTTTATCCTTGCTCACATAACGTGGAATTGTTCTCTACAGTATTCCCTCAGTCCGAGTCTCAGAATTTTATAGGCTTTCCTATTAGAATATTCCTGCAAATGGTGAATTAAAGAAGAGAATGAAAGAGAAGTATTTTCTCTCTAAATTATTCATGTCTAAGAATATGGGTACAGATCAGACTGCAACACCATTAAAAATGACTCTCCCTAGGATATAGCAAATACCTCCACCCCCAGTCAAAAGTCAATTAACTTCCCACTGACTTAAGTGGCCTCCCCAGCCACAGAAATGGCTCTCCTTCATTTTCGTTTGTCCCCAGGCCTCCCTCCAGCCCTTGAATGAAATGGTCTAAACATTTGTACACAATCAAGCTCTGAGTACAGTGTTCACAGCAGGGAGGGCTGAACTGAGGAGAGGCATGAGATGCGCAACGACCATCTCAATGCCAGGAATCCATCCTGGGAAATTTCTGAAAGTTCCCCAGTTTTTTAGACAATAGTATTTTCTAAGTCCCCTTTTGCAGTACAAAGGCACCTTTTGAGATCAGATTTTCAAAAAGTTATATTCAGTGTTTTCATATTACAGATGTCAATGGACACATGTATTGAGATGAAACTTTCCAGTATGTGAATGATTTGCTGCTCAAATTTTAAAGAGATTTATTGTCTTCTGTCACTCATTTTAGTTCCGGATAGCAATTTAGTAATGCTTATAAGACAAGTCTAAAAAAAAAAAAGACAAGTCTTACTCCCTGAGAAGCAGTTATTGGAAATTAAAAATATACATACATGTGTATGTATGTATATATATATACACACACACACACACATACATGTGTGTATATATATATACACACATACGTGTGTGTGTATATATATACACACACACACACAATTGACCCTTGAACAATGCAGAGGTTAGGGGTGCCCACTTACACACAATTTAAAATCCATGTATAACTTTTGACTCCCTGAAAGCTAATAGCCTACTATTGACTGAAAGCCTTACCAATATCATAAACAGTCAACACATATTTTGTATGTTATACATATTGTAGATTGTATTCTTAAAATAAGCTAGAGAAAAAGTTAAGAATATCACAAGGAAGATAAAATGTCATTACTATTTATTAAGTAGATTGTCATAAAAGTTTTCATTGTCATCTTCCTGTTGAGTAGGTTGAGGAAGAGGAAGAAAAAGAGAAGGGATTGGTCTTGCTGTCTCAGGCATGGGAGAGGCAGACAAAAATCTACATATAAGTGGACCCTCATGGTTCAAACCCCTGTTGTTTAAGGATCAACTGTATGTGTATACATACATTATAGATAGATAGGTAGATAGATCGATACATAGATAGACACATATATATACTATGTGTCTATATACACATACATATACTCTGTGTAAAAGTGTACAATTTTACGTATGTGTAATATATGTAATATATACGTAGCATATATTACACATACACATAATTGTATGCTTTTTTCTTTTTGATAAAATATAATAGATTCTTGATATTTCAAGTTTTTAATGAAAAATCTCCTAAGGCAATGGAATGGCTCCCTGTGCAAGTCCATGGGCCATCTACATCAGAATCACCTGGGAAGATTTTTTTCTTTAATGAAGATTCAGGGTTTTTCGTTTCTAGAGACTGACTTAGGGAGGTCTGGAATCTGTATTTTAAACATCAGCTCATTT
The DNA here is from genome assembly GCF_000001405.40 of Homo sapiens. Lineage (NCBI taxonomy): Eukaryota > Metazoa > Chordata > Mammalia > Primates > Hominidae > Homo > Homo sapiens. Next base: position 22,070,740 of record NC_000007.14, on the reverse strand, counting down.
TCATGCCCAGCTTGATTTGAGAACCATGATTTAATGAAATATATTTACCCAATCATGAAAAAAAAAAGCAAAACCATATGTCAGACTTTAGTTTTTTAAAATAATAGTGACAATGGCTACCACTGAGTTACTGTTATGTTCCCGGCCCTGTGCTAGGCATTTCCGTTATATTATCTTGAATTAAATGCTTGTTGAGAACCTATTATTGCTTTGATTTGAGGTCATCTGACCTAAGTCAAGAGTTTTTCTCTGGCTTTAAGAGAATGTTTGGTTTTTAAATTAGACCATATCTGAACAGGCTATTAAAGTGTGCCTTGCTCTCTTTACTTTGGGTTTCTTTTGGTAAGGTGCACAAAGAAGAGTTGTGATAGACTGAAAGACTCTCAAATATGTAGCCAATAAATAAAACTGAAAATGATAGAAAGTACATTGTTAAGACACAAAAGAGTGGAGTACAGTTTTGATAGGTGAGCTGATAGTCTATCTTTAGTAGTATTATAGATTCCTTCTGTGGAATCTATAATTCTGTATCTGTCTAGTAAATGCCTTACTAGACAGATATAGAAATATATTTAGATAGATCAATCCCTTCTCTTTTCCTATAGAGATCTATAAATTTATGTATGAAAATATATTTTTCCTTGTTCATTTCATTAATGTAACTATGTAACTGTGCTGATTTTGGTGATTAGAACTGTTATTATTTTTATATCTAAGGTAGAGTCATTTGCAAGTTGGTTTATTCTTAATTATAAGCTATATCCCAAAGACCAATTTCAGGGCATGGTCTTTAACTTTTTGAGAATAACCCAGTTTGCTAAAGGTGACATGAGCTGTTACTGGAAGTAGAATTAGCATATAAGTCCATCCTTACACTGTCTGAATCACCTTGTTGGAACCAATGTGATTTTTTGGTCTAAGACATGAATGCTACCCTTCATCCTGACTGTCATGTCAAAGCATTTGAGAATAGATAGAAAAAACTGCCATACCCAGTTTGCCCTTTCAACCCCAATAATGCAGTATAGAAACTATTTACTTTTAAAAGGTTTAGCAAGCTTTGGTTTTTAGAATGTCTGATCTCAGCACCTTTGGGTTGTAAAAGAATGGATTTTCAGTCTGTGAGATTCTAAAGGCTCTTAACATCACCCATATGGTCTGCGTTGTTTTGAGTACATCTTCTATGAATGTTGCTCAAAGGGAGAACATCCAAATTCATGGGTCCTGGGCAATTTCTCCCCAGTGAAATAGAGAACTGGGATCTGTTCAAAAGCTTCAAAGGTTTTCAGCCATTATAATCATGGCTAAATGTTAAGCATGAGGAAATCAGAACAATCTTCCTCTTATCTATTCAGACAGCTAAACTAATGGTCACAAAGTTCTTTTCTGATAATGAAGAAGAACTGTCTCTTGGACAGTGGGTAGTAATTCACTCAACAGACACTGATTGCATGGCTACCATGTGCCAGCAACTGGTCTAGAGGCTTGGGCCATGTCAAGGAATAAAAAGACAAAGATCCTTTTTTTTTTTTTATAGACGGCGTCCAAGCTCTGCCTCCTGGGTTCACGCCATTCTCCTGCCTCAGCCTCCCGAGTAGCTGGAGCTACAGGCGCCTGCCACCTTGCCCACCTAATTTTTTGCATATTTAGTAGAGATGGGATTTCACTGTGTTAGCCAGGAAGGTCTCGATCTCCTGACCTCATGATCCACTCGCCTCGGCCTCCCCAAGTGCTGGGATTACAGGCGTGAGCCACCGCACCCGGCCGACAAAGATCCTTTGTCTCTAGAGCTTTTATACTAAAAGGTTTTATGTATTAAACCCTATCGCATTCTTGGCTATTTGGAAATATCAATGGAATGTAAATATTTCATTGGTCTATAAGTTGCAAACCAATAACCAGAATTGTTAGTATAAACTTTCTTCCCTTACCTCAAAGAACTCAGATACATTGAATGTATTCCGAGCTACATGTGAAATGTTTTGTTGTTCATGGGATGTCGACCCCTAAGGGTTGTACTCACTTTGTACTCACTTTGCCTTACAAAGAGTATTCAAAGAGACCAGTGGTTAGTAATAGCTAAGGAGATTCTAAAACTGACTCTATCATTCCTTTCTCTTACACTAGAAAACCAAATTTTTTGGTTTTTTGGTTTTTTGTCGGCAAAACTGTATGTGGTGTGATTACTATTGCACTGTCTGACTCCCACACTCATGTTATTCTTCTAAAATGGAAAGTTCCTCTCCCACCTCTATCCACCCCCATAAATCCTCCCTATCCACTCAATTCAACTTATCCTTCCCTCAAGGTTCCCATCTCATCCATGATAACAACCCATTCTATGCTAACCCTTGTTCATTTCCCCTTCTCTGAATCCATCACACATTTAGAGTAGTCAATGATAGCCATCCATTTATTTATTCAACATTTATTTATTGGCTACCCTGATCTGCTCCAGGCACTCCAAAATTAGATTTAATCATATATTGTCTTGTGGGGTTTAACGATAATTGTGATATGTTCATCTTGTCTTTTCAACAAAATGTGCGTTTTCCAATGTGACAAACCATGTCTGAGGCCACCATTAGCCACACAGTGCTCTGTGTGAGTTGGACAAGGAGCCTCTTCTGTGTGTGTGGCATGGAGAGAGAACTCCCTGCTTACCCCTCACCTGTGCACCTTCTGTCTGCCCTGGAACACCGAAACAACCGTATGAGAGAGCCCAAGCATTGAACACTGCCGCAGCAAAGGGAAGGCACCTCAAAGCTTGACAACTAACTCATTTTGTTTAAGATGTAGATAGTCCTCAGTTATCATTAATAACAGAATTAATCTTCCTAGCTTTGGATTAGCCAGGCTCTCAATTTCAATTCCTATATTACAAGTCCGATGTAAGGACACAGCATCGAGTCTTTGTTAAGCACTCAGTTCTCATTGGGGTGATAACAAAATTTTCCTTCCAAACCTGGACACTTGTGAGAGGAGGTGCACACCAAGACACCAAGAATTAATGGGGACTGTCACAGGCAAACTGGGATGTGTGTATCCTAATGTCTGCAGTAGTAAAATAAGGAGTACCTCTCGCTGCCCACTGTTTAAGAAGGTATCAGCTCTAGTCTCTGACGATACAGGGCAAAGGAGGACAACCTGCCTCCTACATTAGGACAGGATAGGAGATCATCAAGGCCTGTAGCCCAGTGTTCATTCAGTTTTAGAGTCGAGTGGGCTGTGATGAGTCTAACATGTAGTCCTAAATAGTCATCATACTCTCTACTACCCTGGCCCTTTTGGGTAAGTACTAGGACTTTCCGCCCCAGTAAGAGGCTGCCCCCCGCCACCTTGCAAATCCTCCCTTGTGATCCCATTTTCAGTCCTGATCACTACCATCCACCATGGTCATTTTAACAGCTCAACACCCACAGAGGTGTGGAGATATAACTCTCCAGAGAAAGAACTTCAGAGCAAAAGTCCTCTTTAGCCAATGAAGCAGCCCTTGGTATTCACTTGATAAATACTAATTGGATATCTGACTGTGAGAGAAAAACCCAGCTTCTTTCCATCCCATACTGGAGGTGGAAAGGGACTGGAACTACAGAGATCCTGTGATTTCTCTCTCCAAGGCAAAGGAAGAAGCTCCACCTTAAGATGTCATGAAAGAAGCTTGGAAGAAAGTCAGGATTATCTATTTCTTAGGAGCTTCTTTAATCTCAAGATCAAGAGATTTCACTCAATTCCAGCTTCCTTCTAAGAAAGTTTCACTCTCTAAGTCTTTCAAACGTGGAGGACGTCTTTCAGGAACTTTGAATCTATTTAAGGACATGCCAAAATATTTCTGACCCAGAACCTTTTTAGACTAGGAAACTCACATGCAATACACATACACAAGGTTCTCTATATTTATGCGTATATGTGTATCTCCTCTCTATACAAATAGACAAGCACCTTTTATCTTGATAAAGAAAGCACGTTCTATTCATAGGAAAATGGTTGGGTCAGGCTTTCTGGGCTTTTTGTTTGTGCGCCACAGGGTGCCTAATAGCACTGCAGGGGCAGGCATCCAGTGTCACGCCAACCACCTACAGCATGCGTGGTGCCAGAGGCAGCGATGAGAGCACTAATTAGAGGGTGTCAGGAAACAGGAGAGAAGGAAGGGACACACACACACACAAAAGCATGAAACTTTCCATGAAGATGGAAAGTAAAGCGGGATGGGGTTCTCCTTTTTATTTTTGGTGGGAATTCTCTGCTTTTGGACTGTACTTCCTTCAAAAGAGTACCTTCTCATTTTACAGTTTACAGCAGAGCTGGGTTTGTAGAAATTGCTGGATGATCTTTTGAACGTTGGCTACCTGCTTAAAATAAACATTGTTTCAATCTGCTTTTATCTACATATGCATCACAGTGACACCTTCTACTCTATAGCAGCCATTGCTGACAGAACGTATATTCAAGAGTCTTCATGAAGATTCCCCGGTGTTGTAAAATTGGTCCTATGGCCTAGCACTGACTGTCTTCCTAGGGACCATTTGTAGCTTTGTGTTTTCATAGACGTTACATTTTTATTTAAGTGGTCCAAGCCCCCTCACCCTGGATGGTTATGTTGATGAACAAAGTAGATTCTACCTGTTATAAAGGTATCATTACTAATGCTACTAATAAATTGCAATGACTTCCAGCATCTAAAGATTTGGATGGTTCCAGTTATACACTTGACATTATTTTCCTGGATCTGATATTGCCTATTTTCCCCTGCAAGCAGTTGTCATCTTTTCTAGTTGAGCCTTTTACAACCCTATTTGAATATAAAAATCATTTAGGAATGTTAAAAAAAAATTACCAGTGCCTAAGTCTCACTCTAGACCAGTGAAATCAGAGCCTGTGGAGAGGATGTCAGAGAATTGGTTTCTTTACAAGTTATCCAGATAATTCCAGTATTCAGCGGGGGCCGAGAACTACTAGCTGTCCTCATCACGTCTGTGAGTGGCCTGCTTGGCCCCACTATCTCCTCCTTTGCACAAAATGCCACCCACTGCTTAATCAGCCTCTTTATGATTCTTAATCAGATCACCAGGGCCAGGACCAGGGGGACCTGAATGAGACAAAATTTAATGAGACACTCACTCTCTTGCCTCATCCTAGTCCTGGCCTGCAAACCAACTGACCTTCACAGAACCTTGCACTTGATTGTCCTTGAACTAAAAGCATTTACCTCCTAATTTATCTCCCGCCATCTCCATTGAAACCTGCCTTATTTCCTCTACCTGATTTGACAATCCTGTGCAGCAAATGTCATTTTAAGGAAAAACACCTTCTATGGGTAGAGCTGTTTTACTTCCACGATGATTAAATGATATAATTTACTTTGGATGGCTGTTACAGACCCTGGATATTGTAACAGTTGTCAGTTTTCTTTCCTTTAGACCCTCATTTCCGATTGCCCACTGCCTTCCCCTCCACCCAGAGGTCCCACCCCTACCTCAGATGAACATGTCTGAAACTCACCTCATTAGCCTTCCCTCCAGACGTCCTGCTTCTAAATCCTCCTCTCCCCCATTCCCTATCCTGGTGACTCACTCTTCTTTCTACCCCACTACACCAGACCAGAATTCTAGAAGACATTCTGTTATGCATCCAACCAATCCAACTCCAACACCTGCTAATGCTACCCTCTCAACATTCTTCTGAGCTGTTTCCATAAGTAATACCACCCATTTCCTGAACCTACCATGTTCTCTCATGCCCCTTTGCAAATGTTACATTCTTGCCCAGTGAGTTCTTTCAACGCTTGTCAGACAAGTGCATAGTCTTTCTGACCTAGTTAATGGCCACCTCCCATGGGAAACCGTCTTTGAACCCTCTAGTCAATGATCTCTCCAGTTCTGAGTCCCCATTGCCCCAAGTGGATGCCTCCAGTAGAGCTTTTATCATATTTACTGTAATTTTCTGTGATATGACTCTCTCTTCTCCCTGAAACCCTGGATTCCTTGGAGACAAGAGCCACTTTTCATTTATCTCTGTAGCCCCAGTCTTTAGCCCAGTTAATGACAGCTAACAAATTTACAGTGGATGTTTCTTAAGTGGGAGAATAGTTTAGTGGCACTAAAGAGTAAGTACCCTTTAACAGTGAGTTAAACTACGTGAAATCAAACACTTCAGGACCACTATTTGCTAGTTGCATGAATCTAGGCAAGTTATTTTAACTCTCTCTGCTATAGTTTTTTTTAACCTATAAATTGATATAATAATAGGACCTACCTCATGGGATTATTGTGAACATTAAATGAGCTAATAACTTTAAAGTACTTTCCAATCCTGAGATTTAAGAACTCTATAAAAATACTCCCTCTCTCCCCATCCCCAGCAAATGTACATATGAAGTTATGGACGATGAGAGCCTTTTTGAGATCACTTGCAGCACCTAACTCAATGTAGTGCTTAAGATCAACTATTTCATAGGACAGTTGTGAGGATGAATGTAGTACTACCTGTAAAGAACTTAGAACAGTGCCTGATACATTACATAGTAAGTGCTCAAGAAACAACAGCTATTCTTATCATCATTATTGCCACTTCCCTCCCTAATTCCTTCAATAGCTCTCCAATGTTAACTTAATTAAGTCCAAATTCTGCAGCCCAAGAATATGACGATATTCCTGCTTCTCATTTATAACCAGCATTTACTACTTTCACAAATGCTGTTCCCTTGACCCAGTATTCTTTTCCAATCCCACTCAGTTTTTCACTTGTTAGAATCCAGTCATCCTTTAAGGCATGTCTCAGATATTAACTTCTTAATAAAACTTGTTTCTTGAAGTTTGAAATTATGTATAAACTTTCTTGTCCTGAATGCCCTGTGAACTTCCTTTGTCTGTATTATTATTATTTTTTACTACGACTAACATTTATTGAGCACATAGTATGTACCAGGACCCTGATATGCACAAAATACACACATCATATCATTTAACTGAAGTAAGTAGGAGGTTGTAGTAGCCCATTTTCACATTGCTGTAAAGAACTGCCTGAGACTGGCTAATTTATAAAGGAAAGAGGTTTAATTGACTTGTAGTTCTGCGTGGCTGGGGAGGCCTCAGGAAACTTACAGTCATGGCAGAAGACGAAGAGGAAGCAAGGCACATCTTACATGCTGGCAGGAGAGAGAGAGAGAGAGCAAGCAGGGAACTGCCAAACACTTTTAAACCATCAGATTTCACGAGAACCCACTCACTATCACGAGAACAGCATAGGGGAAACTGCCCCCATGATCCAGTCACCTCCTACCCAGGTCCCTCCCTTGACACATGGGGATTATAATTCAAGATGAGATTTGGGTGGGGACACAGAGCCAAACCATATCAGAGGTTTATGTGGAAAAGTATTCAGGCAGAGTTGGAAAGGAGGTACAGTGGGTGGGGTATAGCTGTGTTTCTGCCTGTATCTGGCCTTGGGTTTATCCAGCTTTATGGAAAGCATATTCTTTGCTGGTTAGCAGAATAGGACCATTTGTTTTTGTCTTAAGTGACAGGGATTGTGCTTTTTTAATCTTACACCTCTATTATAAAAATAAGACATTTTACAACTTTTTTTCAAATCTGTATCTTAGTTAATAAATATGAATTTTATTTAATCTTAACATTAGAAAGAACATAGTAGGTTTTCTCTTTGATGATCCAGATGTCTCCTCTGTCAATAGGAAGATACACTATCAGTGCTCTACACAACACAAAAGTACAAAAAGACGTTTTTCTCTTGATGTGAAAAATCAGCTATGATATCCATTGCATTTGTTTTTATTTTAATACACTCCTGGTCAGTACAAAGCATGTTGCCTTTTCCAGCAATGAATCATTTGCATTTATACGCTCAAAGCATAATGTTGAGCCTGCTGATTTTTAGACCCCACTAGCGGACTAATTTGGGAATCAGAGCATCTCCATAAATTGTCTCAGGAGTTTGACTCTGCTACCTGCCAAAAATGGAGAATATATTATCCTTGGAATAATTTTTAATATACATTAGCTTATGTGGAATATTAAGCATGTGGATATGTAGTGCATTGATAGAACGTTTGTGGAGAGCCCGGTGTGTTGATATCCGCTCTCACATTTAGTTAGCACTGCTGTGTGCTCTCCTGAAATCAAGGAGCTTCCTTACTCTCTGGGTCTAGTTGGGTTTGCCCAGTGGGAAGCACCAATAAGAGAATGGAGGGAGAGTGGAGAGTAATTGAAGTATTTAGTTCCTGGCCCCTCCCTGGCACAGTGCCTTGGTCATGGCTCCCATCAGGCTACCTTTTCCACACAGCTCCCTCTGGCAGTAAACCCCTTCCTCCCCTTGCTGGTTGAAGCCAAGGGGTGGTAACAGTTCTAGGGTCACTAGTCTTGTGGTGTCCTTTACTTTGATGATATCTTTGTAAACAGTCCCTGTATGAAACTTCTTCCAATTTCCAAATTTGGGTCTGCTACCTGCTCCCTAGATACTGGCTGAGAAACCACCATTATCATATCTATATCTCTTAAAGTAACTTAGTGTCCAAGTTCAGGCAGGCAATAAAAAGACATACAGGTGCAGCCAGGAGGTCTTTCTAAATCTAAAATGAGTTCTAACTTGAGGTCCTACCAAAGCTCTCGAGGAAAGGCCCTGAATGAGGGAGGAATTTCTCATATGGTTTTCATATAAGACCACTCATGCATATATCACTGTTTCTTCTTAGAATCGGATCCAGAGCAAAAATGCCAGTGAATTCCAGAGATGACTTGTCAACTTAAATCCATGTTTACTTGCCAGGCTGGAAATTCATTGCAGCAGGCTTTGAACAGAAAATATTTGTCTTAAGTAAAAACTTGGAAGCTAGCAATGCATGATTCACAAATGGAAAGTGTCATTTTTTTAAATTGGGGAAGATGGCTGTAAAGTGGAAGATTCTGTTATATCCTTAATTATGTGGCTGGTTCTTCATAAACTCTTACTCTAATCTGCATAGATACAAAAATTACACAGCAATCTGGAAGATTTAAAAAAAGAAAGAATGAGAGAAAAGAAAAAAATGGCAGTAATTAAATGACAAAACTATATTCAAATAAAATTAAGGGTTTGGCTTAAAGCCATGGGGGGCATCTCCCTTTGTTTCCTTCTCTGTAGCATTTAAAGGAGAATGAAACAAAAAGAGCATTCTGGAAGTGTCTGAGCACTGACTTGTAGCCCTGGCCTGAAGAGAGGTTCATTGGCCCAAAGTGCCCTCTGAGTCCAGCACACAGTTTTACTGCTTTGGCTTCATCATTGTGCTTCATGTCAAAGCCCCAAAGAAGAGGACCAAAATCCAGAAAGAAGGAAGGATCTTGAGTTTAGTTGTTAGGTTTATCCATCATATCAAGGGCTTAAAAGATCCATTCTTACATAAAATGGAAGTATTTATAATATTAATGAAAAAAGAGGAGTATTTTAGATACAAAGAAAAGCACCCATATGCCCAACTATATTTAATATATATATGAACATTTTGCTTTGTTTTTTAAAGGAATACAGTAGTTTTGGATATAGTCGAAGTCCCTAGAGTATTCCTTCCTCTTCCCGTTCCTCATACTCTCTCCAGAGTCACTACAGTACGGAATCTGATGCTCACCTTTTCTATCATTTAATGCTTTGACTACAAAGGTATATATTTAGAAATAGTATGCATAGTCATCATTTTTTTTTTTACTTTTAAGTCTAGATAAATTGTGTTATACTGCATTGGGTTTTCCAGAATTATCCATGTTGATACATTGTAACTTTTAGATCACTCATTTTAGGTGCTGGGTACTATTCCATTATATGAGTATACACCATGGTTTATTTCTCCATTTACTATTGACAAATATTTAGAATGTATCTATTTTTTTCAATGGTTTGACGAACATCTTGGTAAACATCTTCTTATATACACCTGCAAAAGATTCTCTAGGATTCTTACTTTGGAAAAAAATGTTGGGCCGTGTGTCATGTACACTAGCAATGTCCCTGCATGTTGATATATTGTCTCCAAAGGGGCTGAACAATTTGCATTCTTACCAGAAGGCTCTGAGAATATTCATTCCCCCATCAGCCTTGTTTATATTTTATATGATCAAACTTTAAGGTTTTGCTAAGCCGGTGGTGGTTTTATTTGCATTTCCCTGACTGCTCATGAGGCTGAGTTTCTTCTCAAGGGTTTATTGGCTGTTCAGGTTTTCTCTTTTTCAATGATCCTTTCATGGAGATTATTGCTCCTTTTTCTTTTGTATTGTTTGTCTTTCATAACTGATTTGTATGGCATGTTTATGCCGGGTTCTCACCTTTTGTCAGTTATTAACATAATTTGTCTCAGGGAAATTCCAGGTTCTGTCTACTAAGCAGCAAATATTGCAGATGCCTGTTGCAATTGACACATTATTCCAGGGTTGACTCTAGGTTTTGTCAAAAGGAAGAAGCAAGCCTGTTATGATATATATTCTCAGATGAATATGATAGCAGAGCAAGTCACCATCCTTTGTGGATTTAGGGCCTGAGTTATTAGGGAGAAAGATCCTGGGAACACACCAAAAGCAGGGAATTAAGGATCTGTTGGAGAATAAGTCAAAGCTCATACAAGAGAGGCCAGCCTGGAAATTTACAGAAGGACAGGAGTAAAGGGTTTCCTAGAAAATGTGTTAAAAGACGGGTTAGTGGTAAGTGCTCATGACTCTAATGGTCTCTGTGACCTAGAGGAAGAGGCATCCCAATTCCCCACTGTCAGTCCAGTGTCACAGCATGCCGAGGTGGGTGGGCAGCAGGGAGAAAAACCAAAAGGGATTTGAGAAGGAAAAGCTTGCAGTTAGCTGGTATTCCTCACTATCAGAGCCACTAATAACTTTGCAGTGATTAGTCAGTGATTTTGCCAGTGAGGATGGCCAAAACCCAGCCAGGCTGTCTCCACTGCAATGTAATATCCATGATGGCACCAGAGGTCAGATCTGTCACCAAATTGTAATTTAACTTCAGACAGTCAAGCTCTATTTTATGCTGACTCCAACCTAGAACTAGCAAATAACAAAACTAGATGGTTTGCATTCTACCTCCTTGGCCTTCCCTTCCTCCCTGCCTGGTAGAGGTTGTGTAACTGACAAAATGACCCTCACTGAGGTGGAGGCAGGTACAAGCACATCCTTGGCATGAATGGCTGGACACAGAGTAAGAGGATTGATGGTAACATAGTAGCCAGACTGACCCTATCTTCTGCTCTGGATTATAGCAACCTGTGTGTTATTCAAGAAGGTAAGTAAAGGCTGATATGGTTTGGCTGTGTCCCCACCCAAATCTCATCTTGAATTGTAGTTCCCATAATCCCCACATGTCATGGGAGGGACCCAGTGGGAGGTAATTGAATCATGGGGGCAGTTTCCCCCATGCTGTTCTCATGATCGTGAGTGAGTTTTCGCAACATCTGATGGTTTTATAAGGGGCTTCCCCACTGTTGCTTGGCACTTCTTCCTGCTGCCATGTAAAGAAGGACATATTTGCTTCCCCTTCCGCCATGATTGTAAGTTTCCTGAGGCCTCCCCAGCCATGCTGAACTGTGAGTCAATTAAACTTTTTTCCTTTATAAATTACCCAGTCTCAGGTATTTTATTAGCAGCTGATAATAGACTAATACAAGGCTGAAAAGCAATTAAACTTAGAAATCCCCCAAATCGAACATCTCTTTGGTTTCTAACTATTTCAGATCCAAATAAATAAAACTAATTGAAAAACTTGTTTCACTCGGGTGGTGAAACACTGTCTCATAAATCACCAAGTGAGAAAACTGAATCAACCCCAGCGCCTTGGGCACAATTAGCTGTATTAGAGAAGAAATTAAGAAGCACTCCTACCCTACTGCTTAAGCTAAGCACAGCCTTTCCCTGTAAAGCCAGACATCAATCTTTGTTGCTGTTGTTTGTTGTCTTCTTGCTAGCACGTGTGAGAGTTGGTGTTCTCACCTGAATGTAGACTGCAAAGCAATGAAATATAATGTATAGCAGACATAGTAAGGCTTGCTGTAAGCATATAGATAAGTATTCTAATAAATAAACAAACTAGTCCTGCAGTATTGATTCATTCCAAAGCCTAATTTCCTTTTGTTTTGTTTCATTCACCAAAGTCTATATCCTCTAAATCTACCTTCATGATCCATCAGAACCAATTCTACATGTCCTCAAAGCAGATTTGGAAAACAAGCAAAAGCAGATCAGAAACTCCTAGATTTCTTTTTGGCAGTTATCAGTGGTTATTACCACAGAGCCATGCAATGTTGTCAGAGACTTTAAAAAATAATAATAAGGGACCGGGCGTGGTGGCTCACGCCTGTAATCCCAGCACTCTGGGAGGCCGAGGCGGGCGAATCACGAGGTCAGGAGATCAAGACCATACTGGCTAATAGAGTGAAACCCCGTCTCTACTAAAAATGCAAAAAAATTAGCCGGGCGTGGTGGCGGGTGCCTGTAGTCCCAGCTACTCGGGAGGCTGAGGCAGGAGAATGGTGTGAACCCAGGAGGCAGAGTTTGCAGTGAACCGAGATCACGCCACTGCACTCCAGCCTGGGCGACTGAAGACTCCTTGAGTCTGAAGGAGTCTTCTTCAGACTGAAGAAGACTCCTTCTCAAAATAATAATAGTAAGAAGAAGGAGAAGAGGAAGAAGAAGGAAGAATCAAATCAGTCTGGTGTCACAGATGGCCAGGGAGTGAATTAACATGTTAGAGGATGTCCCTTGCCTTTTCCAGGATTTAGGAATATCAGACAAACAAAATCTTGAGTTAACATGAAATTTCAAACAAAGTCTAGCCCACCTTTGACATTCATCTTTACAATTCTATTAAAAGGTTTTTAAAGCAAGAGTAGGTTATTGGGTTTCCAGTCATAAATGACAATCATCATTCCTAAATATCTTTTCTAAGTTTATCATCTGATTGTGAAGTCTCTGGAATTTCTCCTTCATTGCAATTTTAAGGAAATTTACTTTTAAACAGGGCTATCCTCCAAATTAAGTGATAGCCCATTGAAAATTCTCTATATCCATTTAATTAGGAACCCAACTTTCTGTTTCCAATTTATTTTTGCTTCTAAGCTTAAAAAAAAAATTTTTTTTTTGAGATAGAGTCTCACTCGGTTGCCCAGGCTGGAGTGCAATGGCACGATATCGGCTCACTGCAACCTCCACCTCCAAGGTTCAAGCGATTTTCCTGCCTCAGCCTCCCGAGTAGCTGGGACTACAGCATGCACCACCACACCCAGTTAATTTTTGTATTTTTTGTGGAGACAGGGTTTTACCATGTTGGTCAGGCTGGTCTCGAACTCCTGACCTCAGGTGATGCACCCGCCTCAGCCTCCCAAAGTGCTGGGATTATAGGCATGAGTCACTGCGCCCAGCCAAAAAGTTGTACTTTAAAATTAAATTTCATCTAAAATTCCCTGATCTTGTTTCCAGTCAAATCTCTATATCCTTTTCATCTGTGTACCTGGAAAATATTTCTCCTCAAAAAAGTGATTTTACCTCTTTCTCCACAGTCGTATGAGGGCCCTTATCCCCTTTGATAAACTACTGAAGATGTGAAGGAGGCTGAGGAACATCTCATTACTGTATGGGAGAAAAAAGTGGGACCTGTTGGTTAGGTAGCATAGGAGAAGTCTCCTTCCCATATTCCTCTTTCCTGGCGTGGCCCTCCAGCCAGGCTGCATGTTAGATTCTCCTGGGAACTCTGAAAGATGAATAATGCTTAAGACCCACCCTACACTAATTAAATCAAGATCTCAAAGCAATGTCCCCAGATCAGCAGCAGCAGCAGCATCACCTGGGAATTTGATAGAAATGCACGTTCTCACCCCCCACCCCCTAAGACCTGCTGAATCAGAAACTCCAAGGCTGGGCCCAGTAACCTATGTTTTAATCAGCACTTCCAGTGATTCTGGTCACATTCCAGCGTGAGAGGAAATTCCCTTGAGGTTGATATTTTATAAGTTCCCTAGATGACTCTGCTGTGAAACCTGGGTTGAGAACATTTAGAGTTTTCTTCTCTTCCTATTTATTTGCTTCTGTTTGATTTCAGTGAAGAAAAGACCAACTGCCTATTTCATTTACAGTTATTTAGCTCAAACAGCTGGAGTTGAGAGAGTTCTGGCTTTCTATACTATGGGTCTAAAAATCTCAGCCTAAAATGTGCCTGGGAGAGTCTATCTCCGGGACCTGCCCTTTGGACAGAAATGAAACCTCATCCCAGAATACTAAGAAGTATTGCAAGATCCTTGAAGAAATGAAGAAACATTATTTTAATTACTAGAATACTAGTCATCTTTTTTATATTCATAATGTTCAAAATCTCAAGACTTTTCAGGTTTGTTTTGTTTTCAGGGGATCTGAGTGACTTTCTGATTGCTAGTCACTTAATAAAATCTCAGGCCTGATAGCACTGAACTTGGTTTGATTGATAGAAATCCTCACAGCTTTAAATAGGAAGAGTCCAGGAAACCATTTCCTCCTCTTTTTTTTGGAGACGGAGTCTCGCTCTGTCGCCCAGGCTGGAGTGCTGTGGCGCCATCTCGGCTCACTGCAAGCTCCGCCTCCCGGGTTCACGCCATTCTCCTGCCTCAGCCTCCCGAGTAGCTGGGACTACAGGCGCCTGCCACTACGCCCGGCTAATTTTTTTTTTGTGTTTTTAGTAGAGATGGGGTTTCACCTTGTTAGCCAGGATTGTCTCGATTTCCTGACCTCGTGATCGGCCCGTCTCGGCCTCCCAAAGTGCTGAGATTACAGGCGTGAGCCACCGCGCCCGGCCCCATTTCCTCCTCTTAACTGCAGTTTCTCAAAATGTTCATCTTCTGCCTCCTCCTTCTTCCTTTTTTCCATTAACTCGCACCATACTCCATTCTTCTCCTTTTATTAGCAAGTTTTCTGCTTCTCTGTAAGATAATAAATCGCTCTTACTAGAGCCACAATCTTCTTTCCAAAATCCTTGGGACCAGATGTTTTTTCAATTCATACCTATTTCCATTTCTAGGGAATAATGCATTGTTCATATTGTATATAGAGAGGTCTGGAGAAAAGGTAGAGATATTCAGATGATGTGGAATAGAGGCTATGCATAGCTTTATGATGGGTAAGGTTAGGTTTGCCATCAAATCACTTAAGAAACATTTGCAGGCTTTCAGAGCTTTTTGCGTTTCAGCATTCTGAATATGAGACTGTGGATGGTGTTATATCCTTGAACTCAAGGGTAAGCCAGCACCAGCAGCATTGAAAAGTCACAGAATCCTGTAACGAGCTTAACATCTTGATGATGTTAAATTTAGATTGTTGACATTTAAAGGGAAGAACTTGTGAATACGTAGCTTTGAGTGCTTAGCGCCTAGACGGTGTGATGAAGGCAGCCTGGCTTAAAACATGATTTTCTATGTGATGACAGTCTGGGATGGTCATGTTACTCCTTAAGATGGACTACTAAATAATCACGCTGCATCTCTCACCTATTTTTAACTACAATACTGTCCAGGTGGCTCAAATTATAAACATTCTTTAAAAAAATAAAGGAATGAATATGTTTACAATACTACAGTCTGGAGGACTTTTCAAACATAATGAAACCCCCAAAAGTCATAGAGTTAAGAGTTGTTAAATTGCACAAACATCAAACATTTCTTTAGAGCAAACATTACTATGGAAGTGTCAAAGTGTCAACAAGTATTTGCAAGATATACTGGATAAACATCTTGGATAAACATGCCTTAAAGAATGATTTTATAAATCAAAAAGTAAAAGACCACCAGCCTAACTGAAAAATAGGCAGATAAGCAAGCCACAGACAAAAAGAATTACAAATTTCTTTGAAACATGAAGAGATTCTCCACCTTATTTTTAGTTTAATAAGATTAAATGTGAAAAACAATCCCCTGTCAAATTGCTAAGGATTAAGCCATTTGGTAATTCTGTTTTTAGAAATTCACCCTACAATTATACTCACATAAATGAATGAAGAGGTACCTGCAAGGATTTTCACTGCAGTGTTATTTTCAATAGATTAAGAATTAGAAACAATCTAATTGTCCTTCAGTAGAAAGATTGATTGAATAAAATGCATCCACATGCCAAAATTTTCTGTTGATGTTAAAACAAATGAAATTAATTTGCTTGTGCTGACACAAAAAGGTGTCCACTGTGTCTTGATCAGTGAAGAAAACCAGTTGCAGAACAAGATATGGAGTATGATTACACCTCTGTGTAGGCTGGTATCAACATAGAAAATGAGATAATGCACACCACACTTAGAACAGTGGTTACCCCTGGTGAAAGTAAGCATAGAGGGAGGGAGTGTTTTATACAATTTGATATACTGTTTGATTTATTTATAATAAGCATGTATTAATTCAGTAATATATTTTGGAAAACTTTAAAAATCTATGCACCCTTCTTGCAAGTCAAAGACAGCTTTGAGTCAATCTTATTTTGGTAGACTTACAGTGGGGCATAGGTGGAGGTATGGTTGAAGGGATCGTATTTCATCATTTTGTAGGAACTTCTTATTTGCAGTGGACGCCTTACTGTCCATTTGCAAGAATGCCTTGTTGTATCAGCATTTGTTGAGAATCTTAGTTAGCTATTTCGAGACAATCCCCAATGGGATCTCAGACTAAAGATATTAGCCTCATACTAAAGGAACTTCATGGCATTCAAAAATTTTCTTGACTGAGGGACATTCTTCCTTTCGCTCCTTATAAATACATTGACTGTTAACCAGTGCGTCAGGGGCCAGAAAGGTGCTATGGACACTAATGTAGTCAGCAAGTGTCCAGGAAGGTCCAAGTGCAAGCCCAGCCCTGGGTGATGCCAGAGCCCGGGCCCACAGACATCCTGCTTTGTTGCCTTTTGTAGCTGTGCAGTATATATGTATCATGTGGGTTCCAGTCAAGCCGGACTGTTCAGGTTCACTTCTGGAAGCTTTTACCAGCTGCCTAAGAGAACATGATGAGTAAGTTTGAAGCTGAAATCAGGATGACCAGAGACAGGAAAAATTGGTGCCAGATGTGAGACCCTGTTTTGTTTTGTTCTTTTTTTTTTTTTTTTTTTAGATTGAGTTTTGCTCTTGTGGCCCAGGCTGGAGTGCAATGGCACAATCTCGGCTCACTACAACCTCCGCCTCCCGGGTTCAAGCGATTCTCCTGCCTCAGTATCCGAGTAGCTGGGATTACAGGCATGTGCCACCACGCCTGGCTAATTTTTGTATTTTTAGTAGAGACGGAGTTTCACCATGTTGGTCAGGCTGGTCTTGAACTCCTGAGCTCAGGTGATCCACCCGCCTCAGCCTCCCAAAATGCTGGGATTACAGGTGTGAGCCACCGTGCCTGGCCTAGTTTTGTTCTTGATGGTGTGGAAAGAAAAGAGCTGATGCGGCCCTCATAGTTCCAAGCTGTCCTCCCACAACCCCACGTCATTGCTACAAAAGGCTCAGAACATACTTTCAACCAAAAGCGGTTCATCTCCCTATCAGCCAGGAACTCAGGCAAAAGAGAAACACTGGGGTTGATGTGAGTGAAACCTGCTGGAGGCCTCAGTCCCCAGAAAGCAGCCCCTCTCCGTATCCCAGCCAGCTTAGCCTGAGATGAGCTAGCCAGAGGCCTGAAGGCAAAAGTTTGGGACTACAAAGACCTCGACATCACCCTCTCTCATTTTACCTTTTTTTTTGTTGTTTTTCAAGCTAATCTAACGCATTTTAAGCTTTAGCACGCAAGTGGGGTTTCTATTAGCAGCCAAGTCTGCACTGTTCACAAAATAATTAAAGAACCAAAAGGGGATCTACTGTGAAAATAAAAGCCATGAAGCTTTTTATCACTGTGATTTGCATCACTAACTTCCTAGCAGTCCATCTGATTTACAATGACGTCTTCATGACTCCAAATTTAGAGCATTTATTTGGGAACTTTGCTTCAGTCTCTTAACAGCTACCTCCTGACAAGGCACATTGAAATGTATGCTGTATGTTTTGGGTTTGCTAATCCAACAGTCATTTCTGAGATCCATGCAAATGAAAAACATACCAATAAGACACGAAACCCTTAATTACTCTAATGTATGTACCGAGGCTCTCCTCCCAGCTCCTCTCTCCCTTCCTCCCTCCACCCCAACCTTTCTTAACTCCTCCGGGCACAATCCACTAGCTGAAGCATCCAGCCCATCGCAGTTCACTTAAACGGCTGCAGGAAATTTGTTTTACAAGGCTGGTTTTAACTGAACTACCTGCTGTGCACCACATTGCTACTGTTTGTGAAATGAATGATGGGAAAGGCAAGTCTGTGATTTCATTTGTTCAGACCGATTACTCACACGTTGCACACGGTATCATTTGCTTGTCACTTAATGACTGACCAGCCTGCCTGAATCATTAGTGCTGCAGTGCAGTGAAAAGAAGACCTCACGGCATAATGAGGAGCTGAAGGAAGTGGAGTGCTGTTTTACCTAAAAGAAATGGTGCGCAGAAATCCAGCACAGCTGCAGGTGTTCCGATGACAATGTGGGAAGCAGTTAGCTTCCAATTTAGCAGAAAATTAAGAGCGAAAAAACTGTTATTTGTGAGAGAAGATACTCATGGCAAGCAATCATCCTCGCTCTGCATCCACAAGATGAGCATTCAGCTGTCTTTGTCGTGACTTAAAACAATTGGTATCTTGGGCTGCATTCAACACCAGATTGGTGCTTATTATCTGCGGTTTATTCTTTCTTGGAATATTTTGTTCCCCCCCCTCCTCTATTTTATGGTTAATTTGCTTGCTTGAATGTAAAGCCATTTAAGCTGAAAAATCTGGATTGTGGCTGATCATTGTGCCAGGGCTCTGAGCTGTATGATACAAGATAATTGGCAATTTTCAAATTCATAATCTATTGTGTTTCACTCTCTTCCCCCCTCCCTCTTCGTCCCTTCTGCTAGTTTTTCTACCCCGTTCTTTGGCATAGTCTTCGAAACTGGCCACAGAGGGAAGGTGAGAGCACGCAAATTCCTCCAGTCGAGACCCCAAACTCCCAAGATGTCTCTTTGGGGAGATGGCAAAGCTCTGTGATGTGAATCCACATACCTCCAGGGAAGGCAGTCACAAAACAAAACACACACACACACACACACACACACACACACACACACAATGTTTTCCCATGTTAAGATTTCATTCCATTTGGAACCAACACTCAAAGTCATGTTAGTAGGATAACAAAAAGATTTTTACTTTATTTGAGGTTTTGGTTTGAGGCAGGCAAGAGAAACCTGATATTCTATAAACCAACTGACATGTTCCCATTTGGTTGTGGTCCAGTGGATAGCTCAAATATAGCACATTATATTCCTATTACCCCTTGCTATGCTAATCAGGGTGATGATAGAGAAAGATGCCCATATCCATGCTGACCAATACCATTTTCTACCTAAAACAAGTCTAGCCCATTTACTCCTAATAGTGTGATCTCTTCTTGTTTTATTCTTTTCTGTTTTTCTGATAGGTTATCAGAGTTCACACATTTCAGTCAAGTAATTTGGGACCTGCCACATTTCTCTCAGATATCTTTAGAGATGAAGTAGTGCGCTCCTGTTATTCTACCTGAACCTGAACGCAGAATGATGGTAGTACTCTATGTACAATTTCTCAGTGGAATTTGCAGGGGTGATAGCAATATGTTAAGCAGACCAGAGAGTTGTCAATAGCGATCCTGTTGCCTTAGCTCAACAGAATAGGCAGAGATTCTCTCTCATTAAGAGGGTTCAATTTTCAATGAAATTTTCTGTTCTTGCAAATGGCCAGGCCTCATTTCCTTGAAAGCAGGAAAGTAATGGCCTGGTTCACTTTTCTTCGGCTTATTGATTCCAATGTATTTATTTTTCCATTCTGTCACTCTATTATGTCTATGGACACAGCTGCTAATAACATCAGTTAAAACTGTAAAACATCATGTTTCCCATTTTTGCAATAATTTTCCACTTGAATTGTATTTTTCATGTACATTTCGGAAATTCACAGAAAGAAAACAAAAGAGAAAGAAAGCACAAGTATGGTGACCAATCGTAGGCAAAACAAGCAACAAATTAGCAGACAGAGGAGAAAAACGAGCAGAGAGGGGATAGAAGGGTTTCCACCTGCAGATCCTATTTTATGTTCTGTTTTTATCTTTCATGACTGTGTATTTCATGTTACTCCCCAACTCAGATACTCAAATTCCCTTTCACCGTAGCCGTATTTATTTTTCAAAATACTGGCAGGCCGAAATTTCCAACTGATGCGCTGCTTTCTGTGGTATAACTTGGATTTCCAAGTACACCCCATCCCATGTGGGTTTCATTTTACTACTTCCTCACGCGGATATTCTGCAGTCACCAGCTGGCCTGAGAAAACACTCAGGCACACTCTATGTTTGTGTCCACTAATAGTCACTCCGTCTTCGGTTCTGCCAATTTGGTGCATAATATTTTCATTTTCTCCATATTCATTTCCAATACTGCTGTCAGGTTCCAGCGTCTCCTTCATTAAGCTTCTCCTCTGGTTTCGTAGCAATCAGCAATGAAGGATCTTTTGTGAGGCCGGGGGAGAATTGATCTTGTTCTCCCACCACACTAGTGGAGCTGCCAGAGCAGGAGGATTTACTGCGTATCACGCAGATTGCCTGGAGGATGCTCTGTGTCCCCATTTGTCACACGGCTCCCATTGCTCACCAGGCGTGTGGGCTTGTAAACTTATTTCTGAAAACGTGAAAGGATTATCCTCGCTCATAAAATGCAAAATTTGCTTAACTGCCTTAGAAGATTTAAGGCTGTTCCACTTGTTTTTAAAAAAAGGCTTATTTGAATTACAAAGTATGACTGCTGTTGTGGTCGGAGAGAGGGAGGGGATGGCTACAGGCTGGCCAGACAAGACTCACTGTCAGTGGTGCATAAAGGAAGCGATCATGTTGACTTCCATGCTCTTCTACACTGTGTGGTGCAGGGCATCTATTTCTTTAAGGGTTCTTGGTCCAATCTGCCAATTATCCTAACGGGCAAAAATGCCAATGCAGAAGAGCATTGGAAAATAATTAAACTCCAGTTGGCTATTTAACTTTTATTTAGCTCCTAAGGAATGATAGATTTGCAATAGAAGATACAAAGGCCCAGACCAAGGGTAGCATCTCCATATTTGGTAAGTCTAGTAACATCCTAAATATGCACATGAAAGCCTTTGTGTTTTTTATCATTTACAGAATCCCACAGTTATTTTTATATCCAACCCAGACATAAACCGACTCCTACAAACTGAGTTGCATGTGACATTTATAATGGAATCCAGATATGACTATACTTTTGTAAAAACATCAATAAACACCACCACCACCACCAACACAAAAAACCTTTGTTCCCTTATTAAATCTAGATCCTTCAGAGAAAACACCCTCTAGGAGTAGCAATAAAATAAAATCACCTGTGAGAGGGGGCAGCTGTATCTCTTGACAATCCTTCCCCAAGGCCAACCTAGAAAGCCAGTCTTACCCTATCCATCGCTCTCTGCAGATCCCTTGGGAATGATGACTATGTCTTACTGGATTTTGTATCCCCCACACCCATATTGGTGATTGGTACATGTCAGTGCTCAGTAGATGGGTATCTGGGTAAATGGATGAGGTATGTAGTTTTGTGGCCATTTATTTCTTCTTCATTCTCAATGAATAATTTCAACTCAGATCTGTTCATTCAAAGCAATTCATAAATTTACAAATTTATAAATGGATGTGATATTTCTGGTGGAGAGAAAACTTCTTGAGGAAGTCTCAAAATGTGAAGTTAAAGGAGATTTATAAAAGAGAATATCAAAGAGAATGTTCAAATGTAACCCCATGGAATGGATGAAATAAATGATAGATACAGAGACAGAAGAAAGAAATAAGGGCTGTTTTGCAACCAGCTGAGCCAAATGCCCATCTTCTTCAGAGGTGAGTAACAGGAGACTGATTTTAGCACCTGCAGAAAGGGGCTTTTTATGAGCAGCCTTCACCATACCTGTGAGTCAGGAAAAGTTTGCTACTGTTTTTCTGTCACCCCATTTCTTGTCCTCACTCCCAGGTAACTATGCTACATTACTCTGTCACAGAGGGAACTGTGGTACGCTTCACCAATTCTTACTAAGGCAGGACAACAGAAAGAAGTTCTGTTGTGACTCCCTGCAGAAATTAAACAGGGTATACAAGGAAAGTCTCTGGGGATATAGAAACACACAAGTGTTCTACCTAAACATAATCCAGCACCTCCTCTTAGCCCCACATTGGCTGTATTTGGCAATGGAATTTTTTCCCCTTCACATCCTCCATTTGTCCATTTTGGTGCCATTGCCTTCACTGTTTTCGTTTTCTTCTGCCGGCTCCTTTGAGTGGCTCTCTCCCGACTATGAAATAGGCCTCAGCCTCCCATTTGGAGATCAGGTGCTCTCTCTCAGGTCCTCCCTGGGCTGATTCCCTGTGGGTGTCACCATCGGGCTCTATGTGCCGCCTGTCTGTGCCTTCCCATTTATGGAAATGGCAGCACCCTTATCCTGGCCCCCAACACTGCACTTAGGACACCACTCTGACTCCTCTGTCTTTTTGCCTATCATCTAATCAGTCTGGCCAAGGGATATCAAGAGTTCATTCTAAAACTCTTTTCCGTTTTTCTCATTTTCACTGTCATTACCTCAATCTAGGCCTTCATAGCTTTGGGGCTGAATTATTGTATTAGCTTAAATTTTATTTTTCTCATTACCACCCCTCGCAAACACATGCCCACACCTTCACCTGCTCATGCATCTGACACACAGTTGCTAGATTAATACTACAAAAATACCATTTCTATTAGGCTTATCTCCTTTAAAAAAGAAACCTTTGATTTTTTTTAAATTCACAGATAAACATTATATATATTCATGTGTACAACATGAAGTTTTCATATATGTATACATTGTGGAAAGGTTTAAGCAAATTAACATATTCATTACCTCACATACTTATCCTTTTTTTTGTAGTGAGAACATTTAAAATTTACTCTCCTAGCAATTTTCAAGTGTACAATGCATTGTTATTAACTATAGTCACCATGTTGTACAATGATCCCCTGGACTGATCTTTACCTTAAGAGCTAAAAATTGTCTCTTTTTTGGGGGAACAGAGTAGATTTTATGGAATTTTTTCAAATACTATATCTTAATATAAGTCTAAATGTGACAATTTTTTGTACCTTAGTACCAGGAGTATTACTCTCTACAGTTTGGAATGCAACTAAAATGCCCCAGGACAACTACCTGTATTCAAAAATCTCTCTCTTTAGTTTCATGGATCTCCAAACTCTGATTCCACTTCATTAAAAGATGCCTTTGACCACAATTAACTCCTTCTGCATCTTTGATATTTCTCCTCAAAGATAAAAGCTGTTCTTTTATCCTTAGAGATGGTTTTAAAGAGAAAGAAGGGGAATATAGATATACTCCGAGGGTATGATGTTACATAAACACCTATATGCATTTCTTTTCACTTAGGACAAGCTTACCCTGACACCCAGTGGATTCTTTCCAAATTCTGTCCCTCACCCTGTGCCTTGCAGAGCCTACATTTATTGAAAATTTGCTTTGCATAGATTATTTAATACTATATTTAAGATTATATTTGAATTGTCCTCGCTTATCCAAGGACAATTGGATATCCAAGGGCACTGGATGTCTTTCAGTAAATGGACTATGGATATTTTTCACTCTAATTATTTTAAAGCACATCTGGACAAAACAAGTTTTAAACTTTAATTTTTTTCATAATTTTGCATGGATGAGAGGTGCTAGGGAAGAAGTAGGGCAGGGGTCCCCAACTCCTGGGCCACAGACCAGTACCAGTCCCTGGCCTGTGAGGAACCTGGCCACACAACAGGAGGAGAGTGATGGGTGAGCAAGCATTACCGCCTGAGCTCCGCCTCCTGTCAGATCAACAATGGCATTAGACTCTCACAGGAGAGTGAACCCTATTGTGAACTGCACATGTGAGCATCCAGGCTGTGTGGCCCTTATGAGAATCTAATGCCTGATGATCTGAGGTGGAACAGTTTTATTCTCAAGCCATCCCCACCACTCCCCAATCCGTGAAAAAATTGTCTTCCATAAAACTGGTCGCTAGTGTCAAAAAGGTTGGGGACCGCTGAAGCAGAGGACCTCTTTGTTCAGCTAAAATCTTGAATGGTTTGTAGCTATGCAGAGGTAGGTTGGGACTTGCATTTGTGAGAAGTGACAAGAAAGCTGAGCATCTGTGCATGAGAAGAGAAGACTTCAGAGCTCTAGAGGCCAATCTGAGGGGAAGGGGATAAGGAGGGAAGTGGAAGGGGCGGGAGGAGTCAGGCAGCCAGACTAAGATGCAGAGTGTTGTGTGGAATGAGTTAGCCAGTGAGAAACCCCTGTCTGGGCAGACAAAGGCAAATAAAAGGACTTCAACTACAGGAATGACAGAACACCCTACAGGTCCATCAGAGGGATCAGTATATTTGAATATGTTCATACAATGGAAGACTTGGTAGCAGAGAAAATAAATGAATTAGAACTACATAAACTAGTATGACTCTTATAAGCATAATAGTGAATCAAACATTTTCCAAAGCAGATGTAATAAGATGCAATTGATATGAAATTTACAAACATCAAAACAACATATCATAAAAATATCAGTAAGTTCATGGGAATAATAAATTCCAAATTCAGGATAGTAGTTACCTCTAAAAGGGAGGTGAGAGTATAACTGATAGAGGGGTATGCAAGGGACTTCAACTCTATCGATAAGCATCACTTTCTAAGCTGAGGAGTGGACACATGGTGTTCATTTTACTTTTTAACCTTGTGTATTAGTCAGGATTGTCTAGAGGGACAGAACTAATAGGATATATTTATATACATAGGTGAGTTTATTAAGGAGTATTGACTCACATGATCACAAGGTGAGGTCCCACAATAGGCCATCTGCAAGCTGAGGAACAAGGAAGCCAGAGTCCCAAAACCTCAAAAGTAGAGAAGCTGACAGTGCAGCCTTCAGTCTGTGGTGGAAGCTCCAAGAGTCCCAAAGTTGTAGAACTTGGAAAGATGTAGGCTGGAAGACTAAACCAATCTAGTCTTTCCATGTTCTTCTGCCTGCTTTTATTCTGGCCCTGCTGGCAGCTGATTAGGTGATACCCACCCAGATTAAGGGTGGGTCTTCCTCTCCCAGTCCACTGACTCAAATGTTAATCTCCTCTGGTAACACCCTCACAGACACACCCAGGGACAATACTTTGCATCCTTCAATCCAGTCAAGTTGACACTCGATATTAACCATCACACCTTGTTTGTATATCTCTTAAATACCGCATAATACACTTTTTAGAATAAATTTTATTTTTTGGAAGTTTCAGATTCATTGAAAAATTACAAAGATAATATGGAGAATTCCCATATACCCCAAAGACACCCACTTTTCTCTATTACTAATATCCTAATATGGCACACTTCTGATAATTAATAAACTAATATTGAGCCATTATTATAAACTAACGTCCATACTGTATTCAGATTTCCTTAGTTTTAACTTAACATCCTTTTTCTATTCCAAGATCCCACCCAGTATACCATGTTACATTTAGCCATCATGTCTCCTTAAGCTCCTTTTGGCTGTGACTGTTTATCAGACTTTCCCTGTTTTGTTTTTTTTTTTTCGTTTTTTTTTTCCTTTGAGATGAAGTCTCGCTCTGTTGCCAGGCTGGAGTGCAGTGCCACGATCTGCAAGCTCTGCCTCCCGGGTTCACGCCATTCTCCTGCCTCAGCCTCCGGAGTAGCTGAGACTACAGGCGTGCGCCACTACGCTCAGCTAATTTTTGTATTTTTAGTAGAGACGGGGTTTCACCATATTGGCCAGGACGGTCTCATTCTTTTGACCTCATGGTGCGCCCACTTTGGCCTCCCAAAATGCTAGGATTACAGGCAGAGCCACTGTGCCTGGCCAACTTTCCCTGTTTTTGATGATCTTGATAGTTTTGAGAGTACTGGTAGGTATTTTGCAGAATGTGCCTCTTTTGCAATTTGTCTAGTGTATGTTTCATGATTGGACTGGAGTTATGGGTTTGGGAAGGAAGACCACAGATAAAGTGTCATTCTTGTCACATCATATCAAATGCATATGTTGACATGCTGTCAACATAACTTATCACTATTGATGTTGACCTTGATCACCAGGCTGAGATAGTGTTTTTTAAGTTTTTCCCCTACAAGTTTACTTTTTTTTTTTTTTTTGAGACGGAGTCTTGCTCTGTCGCCCAGGCTGCAGTGCAGTGGTGCGATCTCGGCTCACTGCAAGCTCCGCCTCCCGGGTTCATGCCATTCTCCTGCCTCAGCCTCCTGAGTAGCCTGGGACTACAGGCGCCATCCACCATGCCTGGCTGATTTTTTGTATTTTTAGTAGAGATGGGGTTTCACCACGTTAGCCAGGATGATCTCGATCTCCTGACCTCGTGATCCGCCCACTTCGTCCTCCCAAAGTGCTGGGATTACAGGCGTGAACCACCGTGTCGGGCCAAGTTTACTTTTTTAGCCTCTTTCTATAAAGGGGTAAAAAAACTTCTTTCTTTTGTTTTACGGCAAAACAAAAGCCCCACCTTATCCACGGGGGATACTTCCAAGCTCCCCAGTGATCACCTGAAACCTCATATATACTACGGAACCTGATTGCCATTGATCGAAACACATTTCTCTTCATGTCTTCCACTCACAAATTTAATGCCTTTTTCATTATAGCTAAGCAGTTTTAAAAATCATTCACTGTAACTTTTGTAGTTTGAAGACAGCAAAATTAGCATGAATTTCTTTTTTCTTCTTCACAATTTCACAGACAGAAGATTCATTTTTACCAGATAATTTAGCAACCTGAACATATGGTTTTTTTCTTTGTTAGGTTGAGAACTTTCACCTTTTCATTTAAAGGAAGCACTTTATGGCTCCTCTTGGGCATAGATGAATTGCTGGCATCATCACTCTTGTGCTTCAGGCCATGATTATATAAAATAAAGGCTACTAAAACACAAGCATGCTGCGATACTGCAACAGCCTGATGACTGAGATGGCTGCTAAGTGACGAGTAGGCCAGTAGCTTTTGGAGCATGGATACTCTGGACAAAGGGATGATTCACATCCCAGGCAGGATGGCAGGAGATTTCATCACATCATTCAGAATGGTGTGCAATTTAAACCTTATGAATTGCTTATTTCTGAAAGTTTCCATTTAATGTTTTCAAATCACAATTGACCGCAGGTAGCTGAAACGTCAGATGCAACACCACGAATAAGAGGGGACTATTGTAATCACTTCCTCACTTTTTGGCACATGAGATGCTCTGGGTTCACCTAGGTCCTAGAATCAACCATTTCAGCAAGGAACCCTGGTTGCTTTTACTGACAAATGGGATTAGACACCAAGATTTGGATGTTAGACGTGCTCATTGCTACTGGGGTGTTGTTGCTTCTATGCTCTCTCCACAGACAAAACAAGGAAATTTATATGTATCTACACGTATGCATACTAACCCATACATATATACATTTCTATGTATAACCATCTCTGTTAAGCTAAATAAGAGTTCATGTTTATATCTCCAACTCTAATCATTACCATATGGGTCGTTCTGGTCTCTTCCCCTTGCTTATCTGTAAATTTTCACTCCAACAGTGAGAAACTTGGCTCCCACAATAATATACTTAAGTCAGTCTAAAATTTGGAAAAAGAGAAAAAGCTGTATATAAATAAGGAGTATGCTAATAGTTTTTCTGTTACAGAAAGTGAATTCTGCCTATCTTGTGTACACTGAGAAGTGAAAACACAGCAATTGAGTTGTAATAAAAGTGTTCATAGCTCATAAACAGAATATATGTGTACATTCTACATTAATATACAAACTACACATACATAATTTTAATATAGGACAATAAAACTGAAACATACATATATATGTAACATATTTACAAAAAAAGAAATTCATAAAACAATGAAGCCTAAACATTTACAAATCAAGTTTTATAAAATATTCAAATTCAAATTAATATAGTATTATTTTTCTCCTAAATCATTGTGTGTGTGTGTGTGTGTGTATGTGTGTGTGTATGTGTGTGTGGCACTACTGGTGAGTACATGGTGAGCTAGGCATTCTATTAATACACAACTGACAATGATCTAAAATTGTAATTACTTTCCCAGAAAGAAATCTGAGAATAAGAATAAAAAATCTTAAATATATTCTTAGCTTTGGGCTCAATAATTTCTCTTTTCAAAGCCTATTCTAGGAGTTAATACTCAGAAAAGTAGACAAATATTTTTGTTCCAAAATGTTTATCACAGGATTACTTAAGACAGCAAAAGATAGAAATGACTACATTAGCAACTAGAAAACAATTAACTAATTTATGGCATCTTCATAGAAAAATATTGAAGTCATTGAAAATAAAGTATATAAAGTATTTTGAATAATATGGGGAAAGGATAACATAAAATCAGTTAAGTGAAAAAATTTGGAAACTAAAATTGTTTTCTAGTACGATCTCACCTATATGAAAAATTATATAGCACAATTTTATAATATCTAGCAAAAACTTTTAAATGTGCATGTCCTTAAACACTTCTTAATCTAAGAATTCATCCTATAGATATACTGACTTAAGTGTCAAATACATATGTGCAAATACACATCCCAATATTGTGATAGAAGACTGGCAACAACTTAAATGTTCACGAAATAGGACTGGTTAAATAAATTATAATACATCAAGACAATGAATAGCATGCATTTAGGCAGTGCTGCATGATTATATGCGATCTTGTAGATTTAGCATTTAATGAAGAAAGTTGCAGGATAGTATTTTTATTTTCTTAAAACATAATATATTCACATAATTTTTTATACTTATAGGATAGCTCTGGATGCACAAGAAACTAGTTCAAATAGTAGTTGCTTCTGTGGGATGGGGAATACGGTAACTAGAGGATTAGAGGTGGGAGGAAGAATTTTCACTTTTTTAGATCTTGCATGTTTTGAATATGTTACTAAGTGCATTCATGTCTTTTGAAATTAATATTTTAATTTTAAAGAAAAGTACAAGAATATGTAGTAAATTCGTTTCAGTTAAGTAATAAGTGGTTTGCTATGTGTTGCAGTCTTCTAAAAGCTGCAACAGTCTTTTAAAGGCCCCCGATCTCTTCCTAACATTCAAGTCAAGCCTTCATACAAGGGCTTTCTGGGAGTAAGGCTTCTGTTTTTTGGTTTTTGGGTTTTGAGGTTTTTTTGGCAAAGAAAGCAGTTGAATTTCACATCTTGTTTGAAGCCAATTAGGAAAAGAACAGCAGTTTTGAGACAGTAAAAGCATCCTCAAAATCAACTAAAGCCACAGAAGAAGCAGCTCGGAAAACCAAGGGTAACTCTAAATATAGATTATGGTTATAATATAACCATAAAAATGTAAATATAAATGTAAAAATTGATATACATTTTAAACACTTATATAAATACATAATTCCCCAGAATTACAGACATTATGGGGAAGTCATCAGAATTCATGGAGGACATGAAAATAGATGGAAGGGTGGCTGAGCCTGTTTTATCTAGATGTTAAGGAGAAGTGTGACTCCATCTGGCATGGAAATCTACATTTCTATGGGAAAACTGTGACACTTTCATTGACAGTTTCTCAACGAAAACTGAGCAGAGAAAAATGACCAGCAGAAAATATTAATTACCAATCTTAAGAAAAATCAAATGATAAATTCAGCTGGGTTGAAAAGGTCTTTAAAATTCCAGGCAATGTTTAAGACTAACTCACTCATTAGAATTATTCAATGCTTTTTTTTTTTGAGCAGGTGGGAAAGTTCCTTTCATGGATGAATACATGGATCATATTAATGCACAATTCTAACAGAGGTGTCACAAAATCTTATATGCCCATTCGACTGACAAGTAAAATATTTACGTCTATGTTATTTAAAAAAAAAAAATTGGATGTAGGCCGGGCGTGGTGGCCCATGTCTGTAATCCCAGCACTTTGGAAGGCCTAGGCGGGCGAATCACGATGTCAGGAGTTCGAGCCCACACTGGCCAATATGGTGAAACCCCGTCTGTACTAAAAATACAAAAATTAGCCGGGCATGGTGGCGGGCACCTGTAGTCCCAGCTACTCGGGAGGCTGAGGCAGAAGAATCTCTTGAACCCAGGAGACGGAGGTTGCAGTGAGCCGAGATCGTGCCACTGCACTCCAGCCAGCCTGGGTGACAGAGTGAGACTCCATCTCAAAAAAAAAAAAAAAAAAAAAAAAGGATGTATATCCCAACAAAAGATTTATCATGAATAGGTTCCTGGAAGATAACAAAAGAAATTTAACGCGCGACCATTAAGTTTTGATAGATTGTCGATTCTTCCTAGCAAATATCAGTAATAGAAGCTAGAAAAAATAATCAATTGCTTATGAGTGGTTACTTTTTTAAAAACTGTGATTTCAAGAAAACGTATTCCAGTCGCTAACACTTTGCAATGGGACCTAAAGCACACAAAATAATAAATAACCATTTGCTTTTGAAATTTCCATCAAGGGGATAGGAGACTTGTGAACATTGCATCAGTCTTCTTTCCTCTTCAGTGGCGCCACTAACAGTTGTTATAATGGTTAGAACACTATGATTCAATATAAGGCATCATGTGTGGTAATGTCATGCAGGTATTAGTCTATTTGCAGATGGTGTTTTATTACAGTGCTCTTAGAGTAATAAACAATGCTCTGTGTTATTTGTAGTATTTTGAAACTGTCAGAAGCTCTTATATTTGTCACCACTGCAGAGAAAAGACAAAAGGCAGCCTGTTGTTTCCAATGAGTTCACAATGTATTGGAGAACATGGGGCTTGCTTGAGGCAGAAAAAAATAAAAGTAAGTTCATTTGCAGTTCAGTTATGTCTGAACTGATTAACGGTAAGTATAATTTGTGAACTCTTACTGTTTCCTACCACAGGCAGGTTTTATGATTTTCCATAATTATCTGAAACATATTTTACAAACTTTTGACAGCAATAAAAATATAAAGGTCTACAATTTAAGTGACTTAAGACAAGTTCTGTAGAAATTTGACAAGTTTCTTGCCAACACAGAAAAGGAATTTACAATATAATAACTGAAAAAAAAAATAAAAACAAAGTGATCTTAGATCCATGGAGATTAGTTTACAGTCTTCCTTTAACTAGAAGTTGAATTCCTTCTTAAATGGAGATTTGTATTTCTGATTTTGTATTATCCTTACTAAAAGAGGGGATTTATACAATTTTTAACACACTGTCAAATTTACTGTTAAAAATGTAGGCGCTTAAAATTTTTTCTACCCAGTGGCCACAAATCTCAGATTATAAAATCAATGATAACAACTCAGAATTTGTAGCAATGCATTTAGTTAACAGCCTTCTTTTTTTATCTCTAGTTATGAGAATATGTAATTGTGGAAATCACTACAAGTAATGTGTCCCCTTCAATCTCCAGTTGGGTCACAGGCTTTTTACACAAAATTATTTTATTGAATCAAAAAGCCTTATTATATTGAACAAATCTCTGAATATCATTAACTAGAAATATAGTTATATTGCCTTTGATTTTATTTATCTTTTAAACAACTGCATCATGTTTGTATTGCTGCCTAGCAACCAACCCCAAAATTTCACAGCTTGAAATTCCCTACATTTGAGTGATTTATTAATTCCCCTGATTCTGTAGGTTGCCTGGCAAGTTATCCTGCAGGGTTCATCTGAGCTCACCCGTTCAGCTGCATTCACCTGGTGAGCCATCTTGAGCTAAACTTAGCTATGACAGGATGGAGGGCCATTCTCTCCATGGCTGACAATCGCCTGGACATGTCAGCTGGGACCCTTCCATTCTCCTTCAGGTTGGACTGGACTTCTTCATAGAAGAGTAGAAGAGTTCCAGAGCGTCAGCCTGAAAAGCAGAAGCTGCAGGGCCATTTGAAACCTATACCCCTCAAATTAGAGAATGTCACTTCTACCACATTCTTGGTCAAACCAAGTCACAAGCTAACACAGATTCAAGAAGTGGAGAAATAGATTCCATCTCTTTATTTGGGTAGCTACAAAAATATTCTGGCCATGTTTTCCAATCTACCATGCCCATATAATTAGAGATACCAAAATTCAGTCCCCACTGATAGCTATGCAGATTATGTCTTTCCTCAAGACATTTTACTACCATCTTCTAGAAAACTGTAATAACTACATAGATCTAGGAGGATTACTAATTAGAATGATATCTTCTGTAGTCATGCAGAGCACACATACATAATTGTAAATGGTTGTTCTGCTCAATTTCATACTGATTACTATATTAAAGGCAAGAAGGGGCTGGGCTTACTGGATACTGTCTGTAATCCCAACATTTTAGGAGGCTGAGGCAGGAGGATTGCTTGAGCCCAGGAGTTCAAGAACATCCTGGACAACATAGTGAGACTTCACCTTTACAAAAAATAATAATATTTAAAAATAGCTGGGTGTGTTGGTGCACATCTGTGGTCCCACCTACTCAGGAGGCTGAGGTGGGAGGATTTCTTGAACCCAGGAAGTTGAGGCTGCAGTGAGCCATGATCACACCACTGCACTCCAGCCTGGGCAACAGAGCGAGACCCTGTCTCAAGCAAACAAACAAACAAAAAGGTAATAAAGGCTGGAATATCAGTAGGTACTTAGAGACGATAATGAAATAAAGGGGTATTGGAAACCAGAAATCTTGTCTCAAATATTTATGATGATAGTAGATTGTAATAGTCAAGAGGTTAGACTGCAGAATCAGATGGTTTGAAATGAAATTCTGGCTCCTTGTTCACGAGCTGTGTGATCTTAGGCAAAGTACTTACTTCCCTGTGCTTCAGTTTCCTCATCTGTAAAATGGGGATAATTATGCCACTTCTCACATCGACTTGTGGTAAGGATTGATTGATATAAAGTACTTGAAAAGTGTCTGGCATCTAGTAAGTGTTGAACAAGTATTCATCACCATCATTGGTAAAAGAAGGAGTCCATCAACTTGGGTACACAATTAGAAAGGAGAGGAGAGATTTTTTTCCTAAGTGAAATTATTCTGAGAACCAAAACAATAATCATATTAGATCAGATCCCATCTTCCAATGCAAGCTAAATGTTTGGGACAAATAGAAGAAAATTTAAGAAGATGATAACTTACAACATTTCTGAAATAGTATTTTAACCAGACATTTATCTAGAAAACTTCAAAATCTGGAAAAATGTGTTACTTCATCGAATAATTAGGAATGTCACAATGCTAACAAGGATAGAACTAAACGATGAAAAGCAGAAATTGTCCAAGGACTTTTGTTGGGTGTTTTATTAAAATACCTGAAGTCTATAAGGAGCCTCTGGGTAATTTCTTAGAAACTGAGGAATTCAGGCCAAGTACAGGGGCACACATTTGTAATCCCAGCACTTTGGAAGGCCAAGGTAGGAGGATTGCTTGAGCTTACGAGTTCGAGGTTACGGTGAGCTATGATCTTGCCACTGCACTCTAGCCTGGGTGACAGAGTGAGACCTTGCCTTCTAAAGAAAAAAAAAAAAAGAAATTTAGTAATTCACAGTGAATATCAGTGAGTTTCCATAGGAAATGTATCTATGTGCCTGATACATATTTATATATTACAAGATGAACATCCCAAATTCAAGTTTGAAATGCTCCAAAATCCAAACCTTTTTGAGCACCAACATGATGTTCAAAAGAAATGCTTATTGGAGCATTTTGAATTTCAAATTTGTGGCTTTGGTATGTTCAGCCAGTAAGTATAATGCAAATATTCCAAAATTTGAAAAAATCCAAAGTCCTAAAAATTCCAAAATCTGAAACACTTCTGGTCCCAAGCATTTCTGATAGGAAATACTCAACCTGTAGACATTAGTAACCTTCCAAGTCCCCAGAGTTCTGTTCCATGAACACAGGTGTGTGTGTGTGTGTGTGTGTGTGTGTGTGTGTGTGTGTGTGTGTGTGTGGTGGAGGGTCAGGGTAGTGAGGTGTTTACACTCGGGAGAGTCCAGGAATCTATGTTCCTAATAAGCATCCTAAGAGATTCTTACCATTAATCAGGATTGTGATACACTGCTCCCACTGAAATCTGGTCAATGGGCCAGCAGCATCAGCATCACATGGGATCTTATTAAAATGCAGAGGGCTGGCCTGGTGGCTCACACCTGTAATCACTTCCAGAGACCGAGGTAGGCGGACTGCTTGAGGTTGGGTGTTTGAGACCAGCCTGGCCAACATGGTGAAACCCCAACTCTACTACAAATACAAAAAAATTAGCCAAGTGTGGTGGCAGACACCTGTAATCTCAGCTACTCGGGAGACTGAGGCAGGAGAATCACTTGGACTGGGAGGTGGAGGTTGCAGTGAGCCGAGATCGCACCACTGCACTCCAGCCTAGGGGACAGAGAAAAACTCTGGCTCAAATAAATAAATAAATAAAATGCAGGATCTCAGACCCCATTCCAGACCTCAGAATCTGCTTTTTAATAAGATCATATGATTCCTATGCACATTAAAGTTTGAAAATAACTAGATGATAACCTTTGGTCACAGTTGCATTGTGGTTCCATTTTCCAAATCATTTTCAAACATTGCCAAGTTGGCATTTAAATTACTAGCTATGTAATTACTAGTAGTGTTCTCTTAAATAACGCCATTTCAATAAATTCTACAAGAAGATAAACCAAAGGTTCATTTTTGTCACACCTGGTGTTTATGTCTCAAGGTATTAAGTCTTGAAATAAAGGCTTTAAAATAACAATTATAAAAGTAGAATAACAGAATCATTTTACTAATTCAAAAGAGATAATAATAACCACAACAATAGCTACCCTTTGACAGTGGCTTTGTCTGACAATAGGCTCTATTATGTGTTGCTGTGGCTTACATATGTTATCTTACAGAATCCTCAAACTTCTCATTATAAAACCACAACATTATTTTATCATTATATGGTAATAATTTAGATGCTTTTGCTTAAGGCCCAAGTAAAATCTCTTGTAGCTATGATTTTTCCTTCTACCTTTTAAGAAACATTAAAAACTTCACTACTTTGAAGCCAATTCCCCTTTAATTAAATTGCTCAGTTGTGATTCACTTCACTAGTAAATAGAGTAAGCCAGTGGGTAAGGCATAGTGCAAACTCTTTTTGTGACTTTTGCCCATTCATTCATTCATTCATTCATCTAACAAATAGTTATCGAGCTCAACATGTTTTGGGCTTTATACTCATACAAGAGATATAGAGGAGAACAAAATACAATCTGTCTTTAAGAAACATAAATCTAACAGAAAAGACAGATGAGGCCAGGTGCAGTGGCTCACGCCTGCAATCCCAACACTTTGGGAGGCTGAGGCAGGAAGATGCTTTGAGCCCAGGAGTTTGCAACCAGCCTTGGCAACACAGCGAGAACCTGTCTCTACAAAAAAAAAAAAAAAATTAAGTTTGCCAGCATGTTGGTATGCACCTGTAGCCCTAGCTGCTCAAGAGGCTGAGGTGGGAGGACCAGTTGAACCCAGGAGTTCAGGGCTGCAGTGAGCTATAGTCTTGTCACTGTACTCTAGCCTGAGTGACAGATTAAGACCCTGTCTCTAAATGATAGATAGATATAGATAGATAGATAGATAGATAGATAGATAACCAGCAATCATAACTAGATTCAATACATAGTTTTAATAGCATTTTAAGGGATGCATAGGAGAGGCTCAGAGACCACTTACACAGAATTAATGGCCTGTGAGCTGTCATAATAGACAAGGGTACTTGATGAGGAAAGGTGCTACATACAGACAGTGGAAACATGATGAGGAAAGGTGCTACATACAGACAGTGGAAACAAAACAAGCAAAAGAGTGAAATCGCCTGATGTGTTTAGGGGAACGTTCTAGTTCACTACGGTTGTGGAGTGAACTAGGTGCATGTGTTTAGACATGTGGTTTGAAATGTTGGCAGAGGCTACGTTGAGAATGTCAGGCTAAAGAGTTTGAATGAGTATTGTGCTGATGGAAATAGGGATCCTTTGAAAGATTTATTCAGGGGAGTGAGATCATCAGAAGTACAGTTTGGAAAGATCACACTGGCAGACATGTGGAAGATAGAATTGAGACAGTGGAGACAGCATTGAAAAATAAATGTATAGGCCAAAGCAGTGGGCATAGGGAGAAGACAAATTAGAAGTGTAAAGTGCAAATGGACATGGCTTGATGTCCAGTTGAATATAAGGGATGCTGAAGAGAGCAGCCTCCTGGATGCTGCTTGGCTTTCTGGCATGGATCCTAGGTGGATGATGGTGTCAGTCACTTCAGTGGAGAACACCTTAGGACAAACAAGTTTGGGGCAAGAGAATAAGACGTGCCATTTGGAGCAGGTTGAGTTTGAGTAAGTTTGTACATTATCCATTGGAAGTGTGCAGTGCACGGCTAGTCTGGGACCCAGAGGAAAGGCCTCAAATTATTTATGAAGTGTCTATCATAATGGACCATTTATGGAGTGACTGACCATAAGTCGCCATTATTCTCTTATATGACCATTTTAGCTGTCACATGCTGGGAAGGGATTTTCTTCCCTCTGCATGACATTTTTATTCTTAAGCAATGCTGTACAATGGTTGTTGACCTCCGCTTGAACAATATACAGAATTAAGCAAGATTCTCCATTCCCTCTTGTAAATCATAAACACTAACCTCACTGAACACTCCCAGGTAGTAGGTTTCTCTCAAATATAACCTCATACATCCCCTCGCACCAGTTGAGTTGAATACTTACCAACAGTTAACTTGATTGGTTCCCAGACCTATTTCATACCAGTGTAGTTGCTGCTGTAATTACATCATTTAAATAAATATTATATAGAGCCATGAAATATGGATGTGAAAGTAAAGATGTGGTTTCTATGAAGACAATAAAAATAAGTTTGCTAAAAAAATTGCTGTCAAATGAGTGGGTAAGACAAGTATGATAGATCAGGGGAAATCATCAGAGCTTGGAAGAACTCACTTATTCAGATTGCTTTGCATACATATTAATTTCTCACTCCACTTTGAGGAAAGAAAGCTGGAAACTGTGCAAAAGGATTGTGGCTATAATTAATGTAAGAAACATGTTGAGAGATTCTAACCAGAGGACCCATTTTCAAAAAGTCTTGACTCTCCATAGTAAAGTTAAATTGTCAGTGTCCATTTGTAATTTTACACTGAAATAAAACGTATAAACTAAGAACCTTTTAAAAAATATTTTTCTACTTTAAATGACTTATTTGATTAAGTAACCAATATTGGTCCTGATCTCTCAGTTAAGAGAGTTTCTATGATCTGTGATAAATGTGTCAAATGTTGTCTATAGCTTGAACTTTTGAAGAAACAAAGTGACCACGAAGAGCCTAATTCTGAAGGCCTCATAAAGCACAGGAGATGGGATCCTCTGGTTGTAGCTCTGACTTTAGTTTGTGTTTGGCCACAAACAAGTTTTCCTCCTCTCTACACCAGTTGTTTCTCTTGGAAAATGGTCATTTTAAGGCAACTGAACTACATTTAAAAAAAAAAAAAAGGCTGGGCTTGGTGGCTCATGCCTGTAATCCCAGCACTTTTGGAGTCAGAGGCAGGTGGAACACGAGGTCAGGAGATTGAGACAATCCTGGCCAACATGGTGAAAACCTATCTCTACTAAAAATACAAAAATTAGCTGGACCTGGTGGTGTGCAATTGTAATCCCAGTTACTTGGGAGGCTGAGGCAGGAGAATCACTTGAAACTGAGAGGTGACAGCGTGCTGGCAGCCCTCACAGCCCTCTCTCACTCTTGGTGCCTCCTCTGCCTGGGCTCCCACTTTGGCGGCACTTGACGAGCCCTTCAGCCCGCCGCTGCACTGTGGGAGCCCCTCTCTGGGCTGGCCAAGGCTGGAGCCGGCTCCCTCAGCTTGCAGGGAGGTCTGGAGAGAGAGGTGCCGGCGGGAATCGGGGCTGCGCGTGGTGCTTGCGGGCCAGCGCGAGTTCCGGGTGGGTGTGGGCTTGGCAGGCCCCCCACTCAGAGCCGCCGGCCTGCCCCGCCGGCCCCTGGCAGTGAGGGGCTTAGCACCTGGGCCAGCAGCTGCTGTGCTCAATTTCTCGCTAGGCCTTAGCTGCCTTCCCGTGGGGCAGGGCTCGGGACCCGCAGCCCACCATGCCTGAGCCTCCCCGCTGCTCCGTGGGCTCCTGTGCGGCCCGAGCCTCCCCTACGAGCGCTGCCCCCTGCTCCAAGGCGCCCAGTCCTATCAACCACCCAAGGGCTGAGGAGTGCGGGCACATGGCGCGGGACTGGCAGGCAGCTCCACCTGCGGCCCCAGTGCGGGATCCACTGGGTGAAGCCACCTGGGCTCCTGAGTCTGATGGGGACTTGGAGAACCTTTATGTCTAGCTAAGGGATTGTAAATACACCAATCAGCACTCTGTATCTAGCTCAAGGGGTTTGTAAACACACCAATCAGCACCCTGTGTCTAGCTTAGGGTTTGTGAATGCACCAATCCACACTCTGTATCTAGCTACTCTGGTGGGGACTTCGAGAACCTTTGTTTGGACACTCTGTATCTAGCTAATCTAGTGGGGATGTGGAGAACCTTTGTGTCTAGCTCAGGGGTTGTAAATGCACCAATCAGCACCCTGTCAAAACAGACCACTGGGCTCTCTGTAAAATGAACCAATCAGCACGATGTGGGTGGGGCCAGATAAGAGAATAAAATCAGGCTGCCTGAGCCAGCAGTGGCAACCCGCTTGGGTCCCCTTCCACACTGTGGAAGCTTTGTTCTTTCGCTCTTTGCAATAAATCTTGCTGCTGCTCCCTCTTTGGGTCCACACTGCCTTTATGAGCTGTAACACTCACCGCGAAGGTCTGCAGCTTCACTCCTAAAGCCAGCGAGACCACGAACCCACCGGGAGGAACGAACAACTCCAGACGCGCCGCCTTAAGAGCTAACACTCACCGCGAAGGTCCGCAGCTTCACTCCTGAGCCAGCGAGACCACGAACCCCACCAGAAGGAAGAAACTCCGAACACATCCGAACATCAGAAGGAAAAAACTCCGGACACGCCGCCTTTAAGAACTGTAACACTCACCGTGAGGGTCCACGGCTTCATTCTTGAAGTCAGTGAGACCAAGAACCCACCAATTCCAGACACAAAACTGAGAGGCGGAGGTTGCAGTGAGCCGAGATTGCACCACCGCACTCCAGCCTAGCGACAGAGCGACACTCTGTCTCAAAAAAAAAAAAAAAAAAAAGGAAAAACACACACACAGAGTGAGAGTTTTGCTTTACAAAACACAGCAACAAATTTTACAATCTCTTGCTCCAACACAACTGAAAGGGATGATGTCAGTCAGTATCATTTAGGATTTTCTGCTGCCATGTAGATGTTGGGCATCTAGGGATCCTCTAAAACATGTTCCTGCTCTCTTATTTACTTTGGCTTTTTGAAAAATGTATAGGCCAGGCGCAGTGGCTCACACCTGTTATCCCAGCACTTTGGGAGGCCAAGGCAGACGGATCACTTAAGGTCAGGAGTCCGAGACCAGCCTGACCAATGGTGAAACTGTCTCTACCAAGAAATAAAAAAAATTAGCCAGGTGTGGCAGTGTATAGCTGTAATCCTAGCTACTCAGGACTCGGGAGGCTGAGGGAGGAGAATCACTTGAACCCAGGAGGCAGATGTTGCAGTGAGCCAACATCACGCCACTGCACTCCAGCCTGGGTGAGAGAGTGAGACCCCGTCTCAAAAATAAATAAATAAATAAGTGTGTGTGTGTGTGTACATATATACACATATATAAACAAATATATAGCTATTTGTTCAAGTGAAAGCAATTAAAGCCGCCAGTAAATGTTTCCTGAGTTTCATGTATCATGCCACATTACACCAGCCTGCAGTGAGGGGACTAATGGGCTTAAGTGACACCCCAATGGCTAATCCCTTAGCTACATTTGGAAAAACATGGGAAAAATACTGCAACCAAACGTATCTGAAAAGCAAGCCTCTCTAGAAGCAGTATCCTCAACAACGATTTAAGAAAATCAGCAAAGAAAATATTCTCTTTCTTTTCTTGTTCTTTTGCTTAAAAAAAACCTTTATGAAGTTCACGTAGCACAAAACGATTTAAGCACAAACTGGTGGGCTCGTGGATCCAGGTTTGCTTACATTGCTCTGTAGGATCGACTGATTTTACATTTAAAAATTGGGAGATTTCATACAAGACTCTGAATCAGGATTTGGAGCTTTTTCACAAAATCAGAAAGGCTGACAAGAATCAGCTAGATTCAGCCATTGTGGCAGAGTATAGAATATTCCCCAAACAGGTGCCTGTATGTTGCCTGTTTGCTATAAACGTTTAAGTTTGTAACTCCTAAATTTTAGAAAGTAACAATATAAAATCAGCCACTGATATAAAACTCTGGCCCAAACTTCACATTCATTCAGTTATGCTCCTTCAATTATTTTCAGTTTACCTCTATCAATAATTGGTGTCTATCTGTATTTAGCCGTATATCAACTTCCGTCTTTTCTAATTAATAATATTATCCATTGCTGTCTATATTCATCTGTATAGCTGCTACGTTGCTGCTGTGTCCGGAATTGGTGGGTTCTTGGTCTCACTGACTTCAAGAATGAAGCCGCGGACCCTCGAGGTGGGTGTTACAGCTCTTAAGGTGCCGTTTCTGGAGTTTGTTCCTTCTGATGTTCAGATGTGTTAGGAGTTTCTTCCTTCTGGTGGGTTCGTGGTCTCGCTGGCTCAGAAGTGAAGCTGCGGACCTTCGCGGTAAGTGTTACAGCTCTTAAGGCGGCGCTTCTGGAGTTGTTCTTTCCTTCCAGAGGGTTCGGTCTCGCTGGCTTTAGGAGTGAAGCTGCAGACCTTCGCCGTGAGTGTTACAGCTCATAAAGGCAGTGTGGACCCAAAGAGTGAGCAGCAGCAAGATTTATTGCAAAGAGCGAAAGATCAAAGCTTCCGCAGTGTGGAAGGGGACCCGAGCGGGTTGCCACTGCTGGCTCAGGCAGCCTGATTTTATTCTCTTATCTGGCCCCACCCACATCCTGCTGCTTGGTCCATTTTACAGAGAGCCCAGTGGTCTGTTTTGACAGGGTGCTGATTGGTGCATTTACAATCCCTGAGCTAGACAGAAAGGTTCTCCACATCCCCACTAGATTAGCTAGATACAGAGTGTCCAAACAAAGGTTGTCCAAGTCCCCACCAGAGTAGCTAGATACAGAGTGTGGATTGGTGCATTCACAAACCTTGAGCTAGACACAGGGTGCTGATTGGTGTGTTTACAAACCTTGAGCTAGATACAGAGTGCCGATTGGTGTATTTACAATCCCTTAGCTAGACATAACCCAAGTCCCCACCAGAGTAGCTAGATACAGAGTGTGGATTGGTGCATTCACAAACCCTGAGCTAGACACAGGGTGCTGATTGGTGTGTTTACAAACCTTGAGCTAGATACAGAGTGCCGATTGGTGTATTTACAATCCCTTAGCTAGGCATAAAGGTTCTCCAAGTCCCCACCAGACTCAGCAGCCCAGCTGGCTTCACTCAGTGGATCCAGCACTGGGGCCGCAGGTGGAGCTGCCTGCCAGTCCCACGCCATGTGCCTGCACTCCTCAGCCCTTGGGTGGTTGATGGGACTGGGTGCTGTGGAGTGGGGGCGGCACTCGTTGGGGAGGCTCGGGCCACACAGGAGCCCACGGAGCAGCGGGGAGGCTCAGGCATGGCGGGCTGCAGGTCCCGAGCCCTGCCCCATGGGAAGGCAGCTAAGGCCTGGCGAGAAATTGAGCACAGCAGCTGCTGGCCCAGGTGCTAAGCCCCTCACTTCCCGGGGCCGGCTGGGCCGGCCGGCCAGCCGCTCCGAGTGTGGGACCGTGGAGCCCACGCCCACCCGGAACTCACGCTGGCCCGCAAGCACTGCGCGCAGCCCGGGTTCCCGCCCGTGCCTCTCCCTCCACACCTCCCTGCAAGCTGAGGGAGCTGGCTCCAGCCTTGGCCAGCCCAGAGAGGGGCTCCCACAGTGCAGCAGTGGGCTGAAGGGCTCGTCAAGTGCCGCCAAAGTGGGAGCCCAGGCAGAGGAGGCGCCAAGAGCGAGCGAGGGCTATGAGGACTGCCAGCACGCTGTCACCTCTCACTACCTGCTTCTAATATGTCTTGAGGGCTTTTCTCCCCTCTTTAAATAAGAGTCTTATTCTCTATATATGGTTTTGGAGGCTGGAGTTCTTTATCAGGCATCAACAAACTTTTGCTGTAAAAGGCAAGGTAGTAAATATTTCTGGTTTTGTGTATGACAGTTTCTATCCAACTGCTCAAATCTGCCATAGCCCAAGAGAGGCCACAGACAATGTCTTAGTTGGCTCAAGCTGCCGTAACAAAACACCATAGACTGGGTGGTTTAAACAACAGAAATTTATTTTCTGACAGTTCTGGAGGTTGTAACTCTGAGATCAAAGTGCCAGCAGGGTCAGGTTCTGGTAACGGTCCTCTTCCTGGCTTGCAGACTGTCCCCTTCCTGCTTAGCGCTCTCATGGCCTTTCCTCAATGCACACATAGAGAGGCCCCTATCTCTTCCTTCTCCTATAAGGCCACCAATCCTATCAAATTAAGACCCCACCCTCAGGAACTCATATAACCTTAATACTTCCTGAAAGTTCTATCTCCAAATACAGTCACATTGGGAGTTAAGGCTTCAACATATGCATTTTGAGGGACACAATTCAGTCCATAGCAGATAGTCGGTGAGTGAATGAGCGTGTCAATATTCCAATAAGACATTATTTCCAAAAGCAGGCAGCAGACTGGATTTGGTCTGTGTGCTGCACATCAGCAGCCCCTGTTCTAAATCATTTCTTGATTTATTTTGAAAGTATATTTTTAGGTTAAGTTTTTTCTTTCCATCTCTTCTTGCTGTTGAAATCAGTCTCTCCCTAGTAAGCTAAATGGAATGTGGTTTTTGAATTGCAAAGATAGCTCAGCATGTGCAATGTGTATTGATTAGCCTTGGAGAAAAATAGAAGAGGCGAAGATGTGGGGCTGCTCATTTACCTAACTGGCTTAAGTGTCCCATTCAGGTAAGTTGCATAGGAGGTACTGAAGGACCTAGGGTTATCTGAAATGAACCTGAAGGTCACGTGGAAATCATTGACATCCAGATCCCTACAGCGCTGGCGGCCATGACCACAGTCTGTTTAACAGAAATTATTCTTGCCTTACAAGCTTGGTCTTTAAAAAAATGATGTTGGTACACTTAAAATGAAAACTGGCCAAGAAATTAGCTGTAAAAAGTAATAAAACAAACCTTAGTTTAATATCCCAAAACGGAATCTTTTAATCTGATAGGATTGTTGCTTGGGGAAAAAAAAAATGATCTCATTTCCCAAAAACCCAGAGCGCTTCGCAAATTTCAGGACTTGCTTGGTAGATGAGTTGAGAATATATGTTTTAACCCTGGGCAGCAATGTTGCACCCTTGACAAGGAGGGAAGGAAAGGGATCCATCTCATTCCATGGCTGGGAGCCGCGTTTCCTTCCCAGTGAAACGCCCCACAGCCTGATGCTGAGTGGAGCACCCCCAGCCTCCTCCTCTCCTTGTTTACATTCTACCCACACGACCTTTGGCAGTCAGCATCAACAGTGTCAAAGGAATATTCTCTGTTGTTTTCATGGAAGGGATGTGTTGACATGAACTCCCTAGCTGTGAACGTAAACACGATGCTGACAGCAGTGAGGCAGATGGGTTAGCAGGTACCTCTGCTTACCAGGGGCAGATGTTTAACCTTGACATGAATAGCAATTAAGCAGAACCTCAGAAACCACAGCCTCCCCAGGAGCCAATTAATAATTTGGTGGGGGAAATGCCATATGCAAGTTTCCCCCACAAACCACTCCAGAGTGGGCTTTCACCCCTCCACTCAGTGGATTGAGCAGGGGAGTCATTTGTAACAAAGCCCTATGGTGTGGGTGTGAACAACTTGTAATTAGGCAAATTAAATGAGTGTTGCATGTACATCAATTAATCCCTGGTACGAGGTATTCAGTGATTGGTACTACCTGTGTTGTACATCGAAGGCTTAATCTTGACAGCAGCCTTTACCCGCCTCCCCTCCGTCCTGTCGCTCTACACCCACTCCCAACAGAAGCCTCACCCTCACTTAATTCTCCTTGAGTTACTTCTTCCCAGTTTACTTTTACTTTGTAACAACTAAGTATCAATACACACACTCCAAGCAGTCTTCTAAAAAGAAAAAAGCATCCCCTCCCCCGCTTCAAGTGATGTTTATAAAGTGCATGGATCTAGCCTATATTGCTCTTTCTGGGCACAACAGTGATAACATCCATTTCCCCTCCCACTGAGGCAAACAAAATAAAATAAGGCTTCTGTGAAAGAATGGCAGGCACAAGTTGGGGACTTCTCCACAGAGTAAATTGTTTGGGGAAGGCACATGATTCAACATAATTGTCCCAAGTTAGGTCCCCCTACTGTGGATTTATGTGGGACTGAGTCATCCCACTAAGAAAAAAGCCTTAGAGGAAATGTAGTTAAATAATCGGCCTCACAGTTCTCACTGCTTAGACAGATTGTGCGACGTTAAACCCCTTCAATGCTGTAGTCGTGCCCCTGTAGGGCCGTCTAAATTTGCACGCTAAAATTTTATGGAAGGAAAAACAAAATAATGCCTCTACTGTATAGGGCCCCGACAGGAGAAGAATATATGAAAGCAAAGTTTAGACCTCCACTGTAATTTAGTCCTAATGCTTCCTTCATCTTGGACTGAAGGTCCCCGATGCTAAACCCTCATTCGCCACCATTGTTTAGTTTTCTACAGAAGCTGTTATCTATTTTTTGTCCTGGTAAAACTGACCATTC
This sequence comes from Homo sapiens, assembly GCF_000001405.40. Classification (NCBI taxonomy): domain Eukaryota; kingdom Metazoa; phylum Chordata; class Mammalia; order Primates; family Hominidae; genus Homo; species Homo sapiens. The sequence goes on along the minus strand of NC_000007.14, from coordinate 22,025,766 downwards.
AAGAGGTAAGGGATTTCCAAGTAAAAAGGCCAACTGAAATGGAGCAATGGTGAGCTGGTGGGCTTTGGTGGGCCAGGTGTTTCTATCCTGGCAGATCAGCACTCCCTGAAGGGGAGGAGGGTCCAAGGCCAAGAGGAAGCAGCTGGGGGTGGGATGAGTGCCCAGTGGGCACACGGCATAGGACACCTCAGCCCTGGAGGCTGAAGCTTGGGTTGCCTCTTTGGGCCTATATGATTTGGGGCAAAGTATTGTATGGACCATGAGCAAAAGGACCCAAGGACACTCTGTTGAGCACTCATAGAAGAACCGATGCTCCTCCCCAAATCGAAGCCCCAGATTCAGCAAAATACTCAGATTCCATTTGGGAATGTTTTTTATAGCTAAGTGTTTTTCATTTATATTTATTATATATAATATATAGTTCATATATATTTATTATATATTCATTTATATTTATAATATAATATATTTATCATTTGTATATTATATATTTAATTTATATTTATAATATATATTTCATTTATATTTAGAATATATATTTCATTTATAATTAATATATATTATACTTAAATTATATATTTATATTTATATAATAAACTATATTTATAAAATAAAATTGATTTTATTATACAGCTGGCTGGCTGGGTAGATGAGTATTTATTGAAATTTTTTCCACCCCCCTGTCATGCATCCTATCTGCAGCACGACTTTGTTCCATCATCCTACACTAGACACTGTTGTCTCCATACAACCGTAAGCTCTTCAAAAGTAGACCCTAGGCCTTTTTTCTCTTTTCTACCACTTCCCCCAGTTGCACTGTTGGGCAGTGCTGAGCACAGCATGGCATGGGTGCTCAGAATACATCCTCAAGTATATATTCAATAGATCCAATATCCTCAAATTGAACCTAGCAAAGGAAAATAAAACCCTTAAGAATTTCAGGAGTTGGGAGCCAGGGAATTGCCTTAGAAAGCACTAAAAAGGAACAAAAAAAGAAAAAGAAAAAGAAAAAAGAATTTCAAGAGTCAAGGAACTAGAGTCGCGTTCATAGATATTTGGGATGAAGCTCCAGCTGCTAGGTGTACCCCACCTGGCTTCTGCCAGCATCACCAGCACCTCCTCTGACTACTCCCCACCCCTACTCTCTGCTGAATCATATCTGTTTTTCAGTTTTTCAGAAAACACCAAGTTCTTTCCTGATGCTATGCCTTTTCTTTCCTGTTATCCCTTTATTCTTGTCACACCAGCTGATGAGCAACTTCCAGTTGTTCTTTCTGTCTCAGCTTAAAACTCCCCTCCTTTGATAGCCTCCATCACCCTTTCAGAGAGAATTTAGATTCTCTTTTACAAACTCCCATATCAGCCTACTCTCCTCCTTTGTAATTCTCATCCCATATATAATGTTCAATAGCCATCCTTACGATAGGCTTTGGGTTTGCGGAGGGGAAAGGGACTGGCGCTGTCATGCCCATTATTTAATTCCCAAGCATCTAACATAGTAGACATATGTGTTGAAGGCATGGGTAGATGGATGTGTAGATGGATGGAAGGATGAGTGAATGAGAGGATGAATTGGTACATGGGTAGGTGGACAGATGGACAGATGAGTGAATGGATGAGCAGATGGATGGGTGAATGGATGGATGGATGAATGAATAGATTTTTCTTTCCTTCCCTGACTTTTAGGGTTAGAAACCCAGGCCTCTGCTGTGGGCTGGGCTCTCTGGGGCTGAGCTGAGAAGGGACTAGGGTTATGGAGGCCAGCCACAGCAGGAGGTAAATCAAAGAGCAGAACCAAAGATGTTAATCAGAGGTAGGGGCCAAAGGAAAAACCAGAAGACTATCTGAAGAGAAGACCCAGGGGAAGACAGACAGGTATGTTGTGGGGATGAGAGGCTGCAGCCAGTTTCCCCAAGGCAAGAAGGAAAAAGAAGCCTGGAAACTGTCTTCAGAGGGGCTATAGTTTATGTAAGCCTTGTTAAATGGCGTTTTCCTGGTAGGTCGGCACTCCCTGAAGGGGAGGAGGGTCCAAGGCACGGAGGAAGGGGAGGAGGGTCCAACTTTCTCTTCTTCCTTGTAGAATGGGTGCCCAGTGGGCACATGGTATAGAATGCCTCAGCCCTGGAGGCTAGAGCTTCTTCTGATGGTTTCCCAGCTTCTAATGAGGAAGGAGCTGTTGATCATGCTGAACTGTTTTAAACAAACATACAAACTTGGGAAAAGGGTCATCATTTCAAATATTTTCTCCCAGAAGTTTAACACTGGGATATGCTCTGTTGTTCCACATTTCTGATTTCCTCAAGTCAGTAGCCCAATGATGAAATATGAATCTCAAATGGGTCATGCCTAGCTCAGTGGTTCTCAAACCTAGCTGGAGATGAGAATCACTGGAGAGTTTCTGAAATATATTAATGCCCAGGTCCTGCCCACAGAGATGCCAATATATTACATTGCAAAGTTATTCTCAGTGAGTGATTCTAACGTGAAGCCAGAATCGAGAAGCCCCTTGCTACTCAAGAGTGCTGTGATCATGCTACTCACAGCGTGGTCTATGAACCAGTAGCATTGGCATCACCCAGGAGCTCACCAGAAATGCAGAATCTGGCCGGGTGCGGTGGCTTGCGCCTGTAATCCCAGCACTTTGGGAGGCCGAGGCGGGCAGATCACCCGAGTTCAGGAGTTCGAGAACAGCCTGGCCAGCATGGCAAAACCCCGTCTCTACTAAAAATACAAAACTTAGCCAGGCATGGTGGCGCATGCCTGTAATCCCAGCTACTTGGGAGGCTGAGGTAGGAGAATCGCTTGAACCCAGGAAGCAGAGGTTGCAGTGAGCCGAGATCATGCCACTGCACTCCAGCCTGGGTGACAGAGCAAGACTTTGTCAAAAAAAACAAAAACAAAAACAGAAATACAGAATCTCAGGTCTCACCTACTCTATTGGAATTTGCATTTCAGCAAGATCCCTGGGAGATTCACACGCACATTAAAGTTTGAAAAACACAGCTCCAGTTAACCCAGACGTTATGAGAATCCAAAGAACATTCACCAAGGACTGGACCAAGAGACATGGGCGCCTGTGTGAGTTTGCTAGGGCTGCTGTCACAAAGCACTACACCCTGAGTGCCTTAAAAAACAGGAATCTATTTTCTCACAGTTCCGCAGGCTAGAAGTCCGAGTTCAAGGGGTTGGCAGGGTTGATTCCTTCTGAGAGCTCTGAGGGAAGGATCTGTCCCAGGCCCTTTTCCTTGGCCTGTAGGTGGCCATCTTCATGCTCACATATGTCCTCACTGTATGAGTGTCTGTGTCTAAATTGTGCCTTTTTAGAAGGACACCAGTCAGATTCGATTAGGGGCCACCCTACCCCAGTATGGCTCATCCAACAACTTAACTAATTACATTTGCAATAAACTGAGTTCCAAATAAGGTCACATTCTCTTGGGGTTTAAGATTACTACATATGAATTTTGAGGGGACAAAATTCAGCCTATAACAATTGCCCAAGATTTTCCACACAGTTTAATCTAAAAAAACTTTTGTAAGAAAAAAGACAAAATGAGGAATTTGAAGTTCTCCTTCCACAGGATAAAGTGGGCATCCCACTTCCATTCCTGGTCTCTTTATTTGCTTTCATTCCCAGCACAAAACAATTGCAAAATGCTATCTTTCCTTAGCAGAGCCTTGAGTAAATCAGCAGCCAAATCTAAATTTCTACCTTTTCCAGATGAAATCCAGGGGCACTCCTGAAAAGATATGGCTGCCACCTTTTGACTTCATCATTTAGAAAATTATCTTCCCAAATGTCCTTTAAAATACCCAGGCAGCTTTAGTCCACTAAAGGATCAGCAACATTTCAAATGAAAAATAGCAAGCAATTTTACCTGATGTGGCCAAATAGATGGTTGGCAACAAATTCAAATTTTGTAAAACGTGACTTCACAGAAAGTCGTTTTCTCTCCATACTCATAGGTCTCCCAGACTTTGAAGGAGTTGGGCAGATGAGGTTCCAGTGTGCCAAAGTAACAATCTCTTCCCTCCTGGTGGTCTCCTAGAGTGGACTTTGAAAATAAAATAATGATAATGCATGAGACTTTTAATCATAGGGAGAGGTTTTGTACTGTTAAACCAGGGTTTCTCAACCTCAGACTATTGACATTTGAGGCCAGATAACCCTCTGTTGTAGAGACCGTCCCATGCTTTGTGGGTTTACCAGCATCCCTGGCCTCTACCCACAAATGCCAGTAGCATGTCACACCCTTATTGGGGGTGACAACCAAAAATATCTCCAGACATTGCCAAATGCCCCTTGAAAATTTAGCAGCTCTAACCCAAAAAAGCCTATCTTAATTCTCCTAATATCCTATATTGTTCTTATTTTTTAGTTCATGTAACAGTCCTGCTTTGATTAAAATAAGATTTACATAGATAGAGCTCAACTTTCTCTTCTTCCTTGTAGCAACCACCACTGTTCTGAACTTTAGAGAGATGATAAGAAATAAGGGACAATGTGATCAATAATTTTAAAACTACTGGCATAAGGACAACTTAAATTTGCCACAATGCACCACAGTCTAATAATACTGTTTCTTAAGAAGCAGCCAAAAAGCATCCTTAAGCCCAAGTGAATCTCACAGGAAAAACAAAGTCAGGTCAACCGTTTCTTAAGTTTCTTAATTTAATGGGTTCTAAAATCTATCTAAATACAACAGAGAGATTTGGGAGGCTGAGGTGGGTGGATCACTTGAGGTCAGGAGTTTGAGAACAGCCTGGTCAACATGGTGAAATCCTTTCTCTACTAATAATAAAAATTAGCCGGGTGTGGTGCTGGGCACCTGTAATCCTAGCTACTCCCAGTGGAGGCTGAGGAAGGAGAATTGCTTCAACCTGGGAAGTGGAGGTTGCAGTGAGCCAAAATCCCACCACTGCACTCCAGCATGGGCGAGAGAGACTCCATCAATCAATCAGCCAATCAATACAACAGTGAGAAAGTTAAAAAGCTGCATTAAAAGTAGCATATTTTTGGCTGGGCTTGGTGCCTCACACCTGTAATTTCAGCACTTTGGGAGGCCAAGGCCGGTGGATCACCTGAGGTCGGGAGTTCAAGACCAGCCTGGCCAACATGGTGAAACCCCGTCTCTACTAAAAATACAAAATTTAGTCGGGCGTTGTAGCACGCACCTGTAATACCAGCTACTCGGGAGCTAAGGCAGGACAATTGCTTGAATCCAGCAAGTGGAGGTTGCGGTGAACCGAGATGGTGCCGCTGCACTCCAGCCCGGGTAACAGAGTAAGATTCTGTCTCAAAAAAAAAAAACAAAAAAAAAAACTAGCATATTTTGGGATTCTTTGGGTCAGAGTGAACCAGCAGTCATTAGACCAAGTAAGTAATAAAACAGGACCAGCTCTTGTTAAGCATGGAAAGCAAAAATGATGTCTTTAATCAAAATTTCATTTAAAAAACAGTTAAAAGTCTATAGCTTTGCTCTCTCAGAATTTTCTTAAAACAAAATTTCACACTAAATTATGCGTTATCACAAATGATAGAAGGAACATTTTTCTGCAGTTAAAAAATACATGTAAATGCGTATGTGTGTGGATACACAGATGGTCCTCAACTTATGATGGAGTTACATCCAGTAAACCCACCATAAAGCTGACGAATCACAAGTCAAACCATTGTAAGCCAAGGGTGTGTGCATGTGTGTATGTGTGTGTGTGAGATATCTTTCTCTGTTTCAGTTTTGTGTTGCCTCAAATCCCATGGAATGTTATGTTATAAAAAGAAATGTGCAATAATATCTCTCTATATGGATAGATACTTTTTTCTTTTTTTAACTTTCAGTTCAGGGGTACATGTGCAGGTTTGTTACATAGGTTTGTTACATCATCCAGCTATTAAGCCTAGTACCCATTAGTTATTTTTCCTGATCCTCTCCCTCCTCCCACCCTCCACCCTCTGAAAGGTCCCAGTGTGTGTTGTTCCCCCCACGTGTCCATGTGTTCTCATCATTTAGCTCACACATATAAGTTAGAACATGTGGTATTTGGTTTTCCGTTCCTGCGTTAGTTTACTGAGGATGAGGGCCTCCAGCTCCATCCGTGTGCCTGCAAAGGACATGATCTCATTCTTATTTATGGCTGCATAATATTCCATAGTGTATATGTACTACATTTTCTTTCTCCAGTCTATCAGTGGTGGACATTTAGGTTGTTTCCATGTCTTTGCTATTGCGAATAGTACTGCAATGAACATATGTGTGCATATGTCTTTATAATAGAATGATTTGGCCGGGCGCGGTGGCTCACCCCTGTAATCCCAGCACTTTGGGAGGCCAAGGCGGGCGGATCACAAGGTCAGGAGATTGAGACCATCCTGGCTAACACAGTAAAACCCCGTCTCTACTAAAAATACAAAAAATTAGCTGGGCATGGTGGCAGGCGCCTGTAGTCCCAGCTACTCGGGAGGCTGAGGCAGGAGAATGGCGTGCACCCAGGAGGCAGAGCTTGCAGTGAGCCGAGATCGTGCCACTGCACTCCAGCCTTGGTGACAGAGCAAGACTGTCTCAAAATAAATAAATAAATAAATAAATAAATAAATAAAGAATGATTTATTGTCCTCTGGGTATATACCCAGTAATGGGATTGCTGGGTCAAATGATAGTCCTGTCTTTAGGACTTTGAGGACTCACCACACTGTCTTCCACAATCGAACTAATTTACACTCCTACCAACAGTGTATAAGCGTTTGTTTACAACCTCACCAGCAGGTGTTTTTTTTTTTTACTTTTTAATAATAGTCATTCTGACTGGTGTGAGATGCTATTTCATTTGATTTTGGTTTGCATTTCTCTAATGATCAGTGATGTTGAGCTTTTTTCATATGCTTGTTGGCCACATGTATGTCTTCTTTTGAAAAGTGTCTGTTTATGTCTTTTTCCCACTTTTTAATGGGGTCTTTTCTTCCTTCTTGTAAATTTGTCTAAGTTCCTTATGAATGCTGGATATTATACCTTTGGCAGATGTGTGGTTTGCAAAAAATTTTCTCCCATTCTGTAGGCTGTCTGTTTACTCCGTTGATAGTTTCCTTTGCTGTGAGGAAGCTCTTTAGTTTAACAGATAGTGTATCTTCCACATGTGTTGCACATAGCAGGTGCTTAATAAATGGCTTCAGAAGAACAAAAGGAGGAGGTTTAATTTCCCAGCTGGCAGGACTAAGGATCAGATTCAGAAATTAAATCAATTTTAAGAAAATACAGCATGTGATATTCTTGTACATGTGAATCTGTGGACAGAGATTCATGCTAGTTATGTACATTTATGCTGCAAGATGTAACAAAACCAGTGTGTTAGCATTTGCCATCTGGGAGCCTCTCACCTACAGACTACTTAATGCTATGGGGTTGCAGAGATAAAGTGCTCCAGGAAAGACCAGACCCTACTTACTGTCTGCTGTAAATAGACACAAGCTGTTTTGTGTAGCCTTCATCATCAATGCCTACCCAGCAACATGGATGAATGAACCCCTACAGGAGATTATGTTCTAGGCATTACAGTCAGAGATGATGAAGACACAACTCCTGCCCTTGGGGAGCTCATAGTCTCAAAGGGGAGATGGATTTTAATAAGAAATATTCAGCGACTGCATAAAGAAGTAAATAATAAATTGTTGGCAAGGACCAAGGGGAGGTCAGAGATGTTTTGCACAAGAGATGACTTTTTATTGAATCTAGCAAGATGTGTTTGTGTTCATCTGGGTGGAATGATGAAGGGGAAGGGAAAATATCAGGCATAAGAAATAATGCATGCAAAGACAGAGGATCATAAAATCAAGCTCAGGAAACAATGATGAGAAGTTCAGGGTTGTGTAGGGCTCTGGCAAGGCAAGACGTCATACACAGGAAAGGATCAGATAATAAAGGCCTTCTATCCCTGTGAAGAAATGTGGATTATATTTTGAAGGCAGCAGGAAGCCACTAAAGGAGAGGAGAAAAGTAATAAAACCCTCATATTGATTTTAGAAGATGAGGCAACAAGGAATCCATGGTCAAGTGTAGCTCTCAGAGACAGTGAGAACTTTCATTTCCATGAAAATGATGGGAGCACAATTATAGCAATTTTAGACCTAGGACATACAGCACTCAGTGTACTTTCAAATCAATAAGAGTCCAGGTCAGGAAGAAGAAGGGAGGAGTGCCCCAGGCTGGTATCTCGCAGTTCTTGACCTCAGGTCTTAACTGGCAACTGGGCAGCCCTGGGGTCCGGGGACAGCTTGTAACGAGAGTGGAGTGCAGAGCAGAAGAACATTGTAGAAGACAATGACGAGGTGATTTATAGCTGCAGTGAGTGCTCTTCTTCTGGAATGCTCTAACACACAGGAGAGGGCCATGGTCAGCCTGTGCTGTGTCCCAGGCCACCGCTGACCAATGGAGAGGTGGACACCTCACTGCAGCTGAGCCTGGAATGTGGGCATCATCTAAGACTCTTGCAGGCAAGAGGGGTTGGAGCCAAATCTCATCAACGTCAGGGCTCCACAGAGCAAGTCTACGTGCTTTATCATGTGACGTCCTGGGAGAAGGCCCTGTTCTGACCCCAGGATTATTCGTTCATCCTTTCTGTAGATACTGAGAGCTTCTCAAATATCTTTCCAATAAATCTCTACCTTTTTGAAGGAAAGTGGGAGAGCAGAGTTGTTTTCAGCTACCTTACGAAAAGAACCCAAAACCAAAAAACAAAAACAAAAACAAAAAAACCCACTTAAGTAGTACAGAGGATTGATATGTTGCAAATGCTTTAATTGTTTTAAATTGTGGCCCCCTCTACATTCAGAGCCATGTTTCCAGATAGACCTCTCATGCTGGGAGTGGACAGTGCCTTATGTGGCAAAAGCCCTGGTACCTTGACAATCCCAGCCCAGTGCTTGTTGAACCAGGACACCCAGGTGAGAGATGTGACACAGTCTTTTAGGTCTTCCTCTTTCACAGTCACTGGGATCCCCAGTCCTGCAGAAAAAGCTGTGGTCACAGAGCTAATGCCGGTACAAAGCCCTGTTCAATGAGGCAGAACGAACCCAGCTGTCAGCAGGATGGCACAGTCTCTCTTAGCTCTTTTCCTTCTTTAAAGCTTCCACTAAGATTTCCAGGAAACGTCAAGTTGCTTTTCTGCCCAGTCTCCCTGTTACTAATACTTGAGCACAAAGAGACGAAACACTTGGAACAGGACAGACTAGAAGTAGGAGAAAATCCGAGGTGAATTCCAAAGTAGATGGGCTTTTCTTTTTATGTGTGGCCTTAACACTGTTTATAAAATTTCATGACATGGAAAAAGCTGGGAGGTTGGGGATACTCCTAGCCTCTCCACTAGTAATTTGTTTCAGTTAGGTAGAAACGTATTCAGATTCTGAATTTCAGATGAATTCTTGTTTGATATGTATTTCTATTATATATAGAACCTAATTAAAATGCTTAATGTTAATATATCTTAACATATATTTATATAATGTGTAGAACTACTTAATTTAGCAAAATTATCAAAATGAACTACATCAAACCTTACAAGGAAATTGCAACCTGTTATAAAATAAGAGGACCTGTATTATAGCAGAGCCCTCACCCTGTGAGATACCCTGTTAGAAAAGCCAAATAGTGCAAATATATCCTCACTCCCCAATTTGATGCTGCTTTGGTGATTTGATTAATTATTGTGAAGTGAAACAGCTAACAAAGAAGGATAAATAAAAATAACTTCTTGTATCCAAAAAAGGGTGTAAATTTTAACTCCAATGCATGACAGCAATGTAAGCAAGAATTATAAACAATGGAGCCTGCTGAATGAATTAATATGCATCAGCCTCTGTTGCTAGAAATAGGCCCCTGTATTGTCCTGGTAAACTGTGGTTCCACTCAACCACAAATCTGGCTTTTCTTCTCTACTCTTATGGGAATTCAGAAACTGTCTTCTTATTAACAACAATGAGGAAACACCACAGCCGAGAGGATCCTGAAAGTGTCTGTCTGTGAGCTTTACCCTTTTTCCTAGATCTTACTATTTTTATAAAGCATTTCTGGGTTTGGTTTGGCTTCCATTTATCTTAATTCTTTAATATGGATTAGATAACTCTGCCGACATTCAAGTCCCACTACAAATTCCTGCTGGTCCATTTCCACTAGACTCTCACTGATCTACCTTCTGATTCATTGTTTTTTGTTGTTGTTGTTGTTTTTCTTTTTCTTTCTTTCTTTTTTTTGGAGATGGAGTTTCGTTCTTGTTGCCCAGGCTGGAGTGCAATGGCGCAATCTCAGCTCACTTGCAACCTCTGCCTCCCAGTTGCTTTCAAGCGATTCTCCTGCCTCAGCATCTGAGCAGCTGGGATTACAGGCATGTGCCACCATGCCTGGCTACTTTTTGTATTTTTAGTAGAGACGGGGTTTCACGATGTTGGCCAGGCTGGTCTCGAACTCCTGACCTCAGGTAATCTGCCCACCTCAGCCTCCCAAAGTGCTGGGATTACAGGCGTGAGCCACTGCACCCCAGCCCTGATTGATTGTTGAAAGTCAAATCCCAACCCCAAAAGTTACAGTAAATATCTTACTTTTCTACAAGCCCCCAGCACAAGCTGGTTTCTAAGCACCTACTTTATCGAGCTTAAGATGAGAGGCAAACACTGACCCAGCGACTACTAGGCACCTAATGGTTGTACATGGAGCAAGAGACCACCCTGACAATGTGTATCACATCCATCAGCACATTGTCTTCCCTTCATCCTCCATCCTCAATCCTATACTTTCCTGTTTCCTGAGTAACCTTCCTCCCACATATTTGCTTCTTCCACAGCTTCTTCAACTGCTCTTTCCTAACTGCTTCCTTTCTGCTTCTCAACATGTTGCAAAAAAAGTCTTTTTTTTTTTTTAACCAAAACAACCACAAAAGCCAACCAACCAACTGACTAAATAAACCAAAAGACATCATAAGCTTGCCCTTAGGACTCTGAATTCCTGGAAACCTCGGCAGGTCCAGTCCATCACAAAATAGGCCTACCCTCCTAGTGGTGAGATATGTATACAGTCAGGTCCAGAGGAGGCCGTACACTTTTCTTGACTGAACCTTTCAGCCCAGAAAAGCCCACTTTCCATGAGTGTCCAAGAATCCCCTTGCCCTGAGTCTCCATTATCCCTTTACCTCCCATGTGGGTGCAGCAAACATCCCCTTTCTTGCACTTGGATCCATGCAGCAACCCCCATTTGTCCTAGGTTGTCAAATTCTTCCATTAGAACACCTTCAGTACCAACAGCCCTCCCACTGCTCATCACATAGCTTTGATGTGTGTCCTTGCCAAAAAGCCCCATCCTACAAAGCTGGATGCTAGGGAGGGATAATAGCGGGTTCACCTGATCCAACTGCCCCTTCTGGCCAATACTACCCTTTGCCCCTGCCTTCCTGGGGTCATGCTCCAGCACCCTTCTGAGTGTATAGTTTCCTTGGCTTCCCTTTTGTCTGACTCCCTGGGCACCCCTTCCACATCTGCTCCAGGGCTCTCAGTCATCCCTTCTTCCTCACCCCCTAAACATTTCCAGTGCTTGTGACTTTAAAAATTCCCCTTTCTTCTCCCCATAAAAACTTCCATTCCCATTTCCTTGGAGAGGCTGATCTCAGCTACATATTTCACCTAAAAGGGAGATTCTGTGTGCTTTATGGCACAGAAATGGCTAAGCTGCAAATTCTAACTATTCATATTTAATAGCTTCTGCCTGGTATGCTAGGTTCAGAGTGCTTATGGACTGTGACTTCGCCCAGACTCAAACCAGCTTGTCAGGGAATCATCAGATTCAGTCACCTCTCCAAAAGAACAAGGTGCCAACATTTTTCTTTGGCATTGTGTTTAGTGGGCATCTGGTCTTAGCATTGCTAAGTACCCAATTTCACCAAGCCAGTCATGCGTTCCCACATCATCCACTAAAGCCAGAAGTGAAGCAGGAGAATGCTATGTTATAGTATGCACTTGTGTGCGTGTGTAGGAAAACACACACACACACACACACACACACACACAGAGCTACTGCGGGAAACTAACTCAGTTTGGGAGTCTTATTGCAACATGGAGGAAATGCAGCAAGGTCACATTAAGGTTTTTAAAAATACATGATACGTTTTCATTCTTTCCTACTATAACTGCAAAGTGCAAAAGCTACAGTTCTGTATTTTAATTTATTAACTATGCTGTGTCCTTAAATCTCCATTTACTTTTCATTCTTGGCACCGACTCCACTTTTGTGAGTGCACTTGTGACCACCTCTTGCTCAGGTGGTAGATACACCATAAAGTTGTGGCAACAGAGGCCTTGTCATCTTGCGGTCATCATCACCACGATTTGGGAGTGCCATGGTGGGACACGATTGAAGAGCTTCAGCACCAGGCGGTGTGAGGTGAGGGTGTCATCCTAAAGGGGCTACAACTACATGAAATGATAACTAAAATCTCGTAGTAGTATAGAAGTGACATGGTAAATAGGCGCAAAACCATGAACAAATACATGTGGATCAGAGCAGAGAGACAGAGAGGCAGAAAGGACTTCAGGGTTGAGTATGAAGGTATTAAACCTGGTGGGTTATTAACACATCTAAATAAATAAGCTGTTGATCAAAAAGGAGAGAGGTCAACAAAGAGGACACAACCCAGGAAGAGTTTGAAGACAATGTCTGGCAGGGTCCGTTGGAGCACTGCCCAAGACAGAAACCAGTGTGATTGCCCATCTAGTGCGAGGATGGAAGAGCGGGCCAGCAGAGACACGCCATTATGTACTCAGAGCTTCTCATTCTTTGCTTACCATGCAACCGCCTGGTAATTTGGCCCCCCCATGCTGCTTATGATATAACGTGGAACAATTGTACTAACAACCCTTCCATCCAGTCTCTTTGGAAGTAATATTTTTTATAATAATTTTTATTGCATTCTTATTTTATACATCACTCTCTTGTAAGCTTTTTAATGTGAGTCAGCCTCCCTAACAGTGATCAATTCTGGGACTTTGTAAAGGTCAGAGCCCTCTGAACTTCCACAGTTGAAGGCCAAACTTTATACCCAGAGCAGAGATTGCTATTTGTTTCTTAAAATATATTTCTCCTTCTTCTGTTACTAACTGTACTTCTAAATTTTAGCTGGCTACACGGCCCCAAATAATAAAAACCATATTTCCAAGCTTCACTGCTCTATGTGGCCATATGACTAGGTTCTGGCAGAAGAAATACAAGTGGAAGTGATGTGTACAACATCCAGTTCATGTCCTTAAAAGGAAATAATGTGCCCATGTCCTCTCCTTGTCCTTTTTCTCTTTCCTACTTGCTGGAATGTTGACAGGTAGACTCAGATGAGATGAAAATGTCCTAAAGGATGGTGTATCCAGGAATCCAGTTCTCTAACACCACAGAGTCACCAAATCATCCTTGAACTTCTTACTCTCAATAACTACATAAGAAATAACTAACTTCTTTGCTGTTTAAGCTATTATGATTTAGGTGAGTAATTGTTACAGCAACAGAAATTGTATGACCTAATAGTGTACCATTAGCAGTTGATCTCCTAGAGGGCTACTGTTAAAGTTCCCCCAGGCCGGCCGGGCGCGGTGGCTCACGCCTGTAATCCCAGAACTTTGGGAACTGAGGCGGGTGGATCACCTGAGGTCAGCAGTTCAAGACCAGCCTGGCCAACATGGTGAAATCCAGTCTCAAGTAAAAATACACAAAAATTAGCTGGGTGTGGTGGCGGGCACCTGTAATCCCAACTACTCAGGAGGCTGAGGCAGGAGAATCGCTTGAATCTGGGAGGCAGCGGTTGCAGTGAGCTGAGATCATGCCACCGTACTCCAACCTGGGCAAAAAGAGCAAAACTCCATCTCAAAAAAAAAAAAAAAAAGTTCCCAGGCCACACTATTCCATTCATCATGCTGGGAGCTTTCCCACTGGAAATGTCTAGCTAACGCAGTAATAATGAAACAAGCAGAAAATGAAATGGTGAAAATGGAAACCAAAGTGCTAAGGGGAAATATGCACAGGGACAGATTGAAAGGGAAAAACAGCAGCAGCCACCGTTATCCAACACTTGTTACATGTCAGGCATGTTAAAGGATTAGCGTAGCATTAATCCTCACAATAACCAGATGCAGTAGATATTATTTCTGCATCTATAAATAAGCCAACGAAGGAACAGGCAGTTTAAAAATCTGCCCAACGTAACACAGCTAGAAAGTGGCAACGTTAGGACTCAAATCTAATTCCATTTGAATCCAACACATGAAACTGGCCAAGTCAAGTCCCATGAGTGAGTCAAGTTGACAAAGCAGCAATTCTCATACCTTCAACATCAGCATCCTGGCTGGAAGGGGACAAGACTCAGAAACAGTCAATATTATATACTTTAGAAAGATTTTTAAATATACTCATTCAATCCCTAAATATATATGTACAGGAAGAGGAGGAATTATTCAAGACAGCAACTATAAAATTTCATCTGATTATTAACCTGTAGCATAAATAACCACCATTTCAATTTAGAGCTTTCTATGGAATAACTTAGGAATCTGGGCAACCTTGCTCGATGCCTGTTGTTCAATTGTGTCATTAACTGTCACTGTAACCATCACATTGATCAGCTCTCATGTTTTTAACAAAAAAGATTGTAAATGTTTTTAACCAAATTTGTAAAAATATATTTATTGTTAACCAAATGTTTTTATTTAGTGATTAACTGGAAAAGACTCCCGTATTTAAAATGCTTTAATTTTTTAAAATAACTTTTTTTTTTTTTCCTTGAGACAGAGTCTCACTCTGTCACCCAGGCTGGAGTGCAGTGGCTCCATCTCGGCTCACTGCAAGCTCCGCTTCCCGGGTTCACGCCATTCTCCTGCCTCAGCCTCCCGAGTAGCTGGGACTACAGGCGCCCGCCACTGCGCCCGGCTAATTTTTTGTATTTTTAGTAGAGAGGGGGTTTCACCATGTTAGCCGGGATGGTCTCGATCTCCTGACCTCGTGATCTGCCCGCCTTGGCCTCCCAAAGTGCTGGGATTACAGGTATGAGCCACGGCTCCTGGCCTAAAATAACTTTTTAAAAAGCTGTTAAATTAGAATCCTATTTGCTCACCAGTTGATTTTCAGAATCGATATTAAAACTGAGAGCTCATCATGCCAGGCAGCCTGTTGCTTCTGGGGGCACATGGAGGAATCCAGAATAGGCTAGCCCCAGAGCAGCCTATTGGAATAGGAGGCACTCATTCCTATTGTAACTGAGTACCCCCATTTTTCAAAAAAGAGAATGAGTTAATATTTTTAAACTTTTTCTATTCTTTTCTTTTTTATCCATTTCCTTCTGTTCCCCACCTCCTACTTAGTCCTTTAGAAATGCAATTATAACCTTTTACCTCCCCTTCACCAAACACTCCCTACAAGGCAAGTTGAGGTAAGTATGAGCTTAGAAGCTCCAGAGTAGAACTCTTTTTCCACCAGGAGACTGCCTCGAAGGACAACAGTCAATCCGCAGCCCAAATCTGCCCACCACGAAGTCTTCTATCTGCAGAGTTTCAGCCGCCTTTACAACCTAATTCTGCCCAAACAGGTGCTAACTTGACTGCCCAGTAGATAAGGCACCAAAGCGGGTACTCATATCCCCACCTGTTTGCTTCCTACGTTGGGTGTTATTCATGCTAGGCCCCCTTTTAAAAGTGCCCGCATTCCTGTTCCAGAGGCCACTCGGTACCCTTAAGGCAAGAAGACTGTGCTGCTTACCCTAAGCTAGCTTTGGAATAAAAGGTCACTTTCTTTCTACAAGACTTTGCTCTTGTTAATTGCACTCTGCAAGTGGTAAGTGAATGAACCTGCAGTTTGGTTATGTTATCGATGAAGAGTCACAGTCAAACCTGACGGGTGGAATCACAAAGGTAAAAAGCCTTGGAGCGTGGGAGAAAGAGCAAGCGCCATATGGGAGTGGTTCTTTGGCCTTTCTCCAAGGGGCGAGGTTTTCAGAGCAGCCCCATCTTCTCTCCCATTCTTACTATCCACTCTCCTCTGCTCCATACCCCTGACACCTTTGGAGAGACAGTGACTGTGACTATGTGTCAAGTTGATAGTTCCTTGTCAACTCATTATAAAATGTCGTATTTGTGCCAGGAAACTTAAAGTTGAAATATAGATGAGCTGGTCAATATTTTTCTTCGGAACAATTGCCCCATCATTGTTGCAGGAGAGGTGAAGTTCTGTTTCCTAGGAAAAATCTGTAGAGCTAAATTACCTTGGTAGTTTTTAGAAAATGTAATGTGCTTGTCTGGGTGTGGTGGCTCATGCCTGTAATTCCAGAACTTTGGGAAGCTGAGGCGGGTGGATCATCTGAGGCCAGGTCAGGAGTCGAGACCAGCCTGGCCAACATGGCAAAACCCCATTTCTACTAAAAATAGAAAAATTAGCTGGGAGTGGTGGTGCACGCCTGTAGTTCCAGCTACTCAGGACGCTGAGGCAGGAGAATCACTTGAACCCAGGAGGTGGAGTTTGCAGTGCGCTGAGATCGTGCCACTGCACTCCAGCCTGGGCGATAGGAAGAGACTCAGTTTCAAAAAAAAAAAAAAAAAAAAAAGAAAAGAAAAGAAAAAGGAAAGAAAGAAAGAAAATGTAATGTGCTAGATTAATCATCTAGCCATTAAAAAAAAAGATGTGATTTTCAACAGTTTGAATGTGTGAAAATACTAGTGGTAGAATGTGAATTTAAAAGACAAGATACAAAATTGAATGTGCGTTGTGATTTGAACTTTGTAAACAATGAAACGAGGTGAGTTTAGATGGCTGAAAGAGTAGAGAACAGATCATTAATAAAGGTTATTTCTTAGCGGGATTTTCGAGTAATTCTTATTTTCACTTTTGTATCTTGCTATGTTTTCCAAATCTCTATAACGAGCACATACTATTCCCTCCCCACTTCTTCCCCCCTTCCCTCTCCCCCTATTTCCCTCTCCCCCACTTCCTTCTTTTTATTGATTACCTAATAACTGCCAGGCAATATACCAGTTTCTGAGAATAAACAGATGTAAATAACAGAGTTCCCTGAGGAAGTAGTCACACTAAAATTTCCAAAGTGCAGCCATAAACAGACTAAAGGATTCCTATTCCAATCCATCCATGGGACAGAGGGTGCTGTTCTGAAACATATCATCATCTCTTTGGAATTTTCAGGTGCAGTATAGCCAGTGATTATGCTTATTGTAAATTGTGGATTCCCTTGGACAAATGTTCCTTTCAATACAGAAATGCACTAAATAGAGACTTTGGCACCTATTCCTGAAACGAGTGTTAGGAAGCACAATTCATTTTGGATCCTTTCCAGAAGATCCTGGACAAAGCCTGTTGCTGTGATGGCTTGGTGGGGACGTTGGTGCTCCTGTCACATCGTCCCACGCCCCACTTCTGGCTTACTACCAAGAGAGCAGACATCAGGGTTGAAAGGCAAGTCAGCAAGGCAGCTGGGCTCCCCCCACCCCTTGTATCCTGGTGGCCCCTGATGACTCCCAGCACAGCCTGTCTACTGCTGCTTCTCCTGGACTCCTCATCCTGTCCCAGGGACAAATTCTGGCTCTCCAGTGGGGCCCTCGGCAAGGACCCCTGAGGGTCTGTAGTTGGCAAAGACAATAGTGTTAAATACCTGGGGTCAAACAGCTGTAGGAGAAAATAAGTCTTTCTCTTTGTCTGGCCTGGCTACACATCTTTCTTTTTCTTTCATACTGTTCTTTTTTCTTTCTTTGGTCTTACAGACTGTTTTCAAAGCCCGGCTGAATGGTAGCTTGTGAGGAAAAAAAAAAAAAAAACAACCATATTGAAAAGACAAGTAAACGTCCAGAAATCTGGAAAGAAGAAAGAAAATCTCATGACTGTAACTCTGACCTCAGCTGACTCAAATAAGGTGTCCATTACTGCACGATTAGAACCACCTACACAAGACAAAGTGAATTTCTAATCAACAGGTAGTAATAACAAAACCCCTTCAAAGGCCAAGAAGCATTAGAGTGGATTATCCATGAAGAGAGGATTAGAAAAAGAGAGACCCGGAACCCAGCAAAGGAAACCCCAGCGGGCCAGCTGGCTAATGTTTGGGATAATAATTCCAAATGTATTAAAATAAATTGTTAGAAAGAAAAGGCTGAAGGCAATAAAAGCAAGCTTCACATGATACTGTATACTGTGGATAAAATCATGCACATTTGCAGTAGTCAATTCCCCAGAGGCAGCCTGTAAAGGCACCCCCCAGGAGAGACAGCAGAATTTAAAGAGACAGGAAGCCCACTGCTAATAAGAGTTGCTAGAATATGGATGGCGGAGGGAGGTGTTTATAACGAAGCCTGCCTCACGGAACCTTCTTGTCCATTTTTCCTGTGGCCTGAGGAGTACTGATTCATAAACAATGTTGAAATGGGAAGGATATAGCAGGAGTAGACAGCTTCACTCCTCCACAGTCTTAAATGCAGTCTTGCTTCATAAAGGACTTCTTCATTCCCTTAAGGAGAGAAATGTCTCTTTTTAAATTGTTATTATGTTTTTTGAGACATGGTCTCATTCTACCATCCAAGCTGGAGTGCTGTTGCACCTTCACACTCACTATAGCCTTGACTTCCTGGGTACCAGTGATCCTCCCACCTCAGCCTCTGGAGTAACTGGGACCATAGGTGCGCGCCACCACGCCTGGCTAATTTTTTTTTTTTTTTTTTTTTTGAGACAGAATCTCACTCTGTCGCCAGGCTGGAGTGCAGTGGCAAGATCTCGGCTCACTGCAACCTCCGCCTCCCAGGTTCAAGCGATTCTCCTACCTCAGCCTCCTGAGTAGCTGGGATTACAGGTGCCTGCCACCACACCCAGCTAATTTTTGTGTATTTTTAGTTGAAACTGGATTTCACCATGTTGGCCAGGCTGGTCTTGATCTCTTGACCTCGTTTTCCACTCACCTCAGCCTCCCCCTGGCTAATTTTCAAGACAATTTTTTGTAGAGATGGGGTCTTTCTATGTTGCCCAGACTGGTTTAGAGCTTCTGACCTCAAGCAATCCTCCCACCTCAGCCTCCCAAAGTGCTGAGATTACAGGCATGAGCCACTGCACCAGCCAAATGTCTCTTCTTTTTTTCCCACTTTAGGAGTTTCAGCAGAAATCCGTCTCAGTTCTTGACCCTCAAGGGAAGGACTAGAATTCGGAAGGCCACGGGAGGGTAGAGTGATCCATTGTTATTTTCCCTATATCCAGAGCCTGCCAACATTTTAAAAAACTATCATTTCTAAGTTTTCAATGATAAGATTTCTCACAGATCCATCACCACACTGAACCATTTGGGAAGAAGCCTGGAATGGATTAAACAGCCTCAGCTTCTCCAGAGTCATGTATATTCTGCTCCCCTTTTGTCTTCATTTCATTTAAACATTTTTTTAAGATCTAAGTTTCATTAGATATCAGCAAACCTTAAACTTTCTTATTTAATATATTTCAAATATACATAAAGTATAGAGAATATTTTTAAAAAATCTACCAACCCACCAGCGAGCTTTATCAACTCTGAATATTTCTGCCATCATTTTTTATCTTGAGTGACTCTTTTTTGGTTAAGTTTTTTTTTTTTTTTTTTTTTGCTTATTTGAGATTGCTTTGTTACTTCCAGGAAATCTGTACATGCTATTTATTGGAATGTTCCCCCTAATTTTTTCGATTTTTAGCCTAGGTCAGTGAAATAGAACAACTAGTCTAAGCTGGAGGAACTCACTGAGCCAAAGATTACAGGCTCCTTATATAATCACTGGGCCAAAGATTCCTGCAGTTACAGGCTGCTTCTTAACTGTTTTATTTATGAATCTGAAATTCCTTTATGGTTAACTTTTGAATAACTGGTGGTATTATTACTGAAGGATTTCGTTTCTGACTTGATTTGAGAGTGTGCATTGAGTCTTTGGGTCCAGTTTAATACCATCCATCCATCAATCCATTCAACTATTAAGTGCCCAACACTTAGTAGGTGCTGTTGAAGATGAAGTAAACACAAAGACAAATAAAAATGATTCTTGTCCTCCAGCCTTTATGGTTTATTGAGGAAACAAGACCTGCAACAAGTAATTTGAGCAGTGGTTTAAGAGAGAGGATAAAGGCTTTAGAGGGCTTTATGAGGATCTCCATGAAAAAGCTCCTGATTATTTTGATGAGTACTCAAAGAGGTCTCTACAGAGGATCTGAACATGAATTAACCCTGAAGAAAGAATGAGAAGCCAGAGGTCAAGATTATGTGTGGGAAGGACATGCCAGGGAAAGAACAGGAGGCAAATGCAAGTTCAAGAACTGGGAGGCAAGAAAGAGCACAGCTTGTTTAAGGATTAGCCATGTTTAGTTGCATGGCTGGAATGCAACTGTGTGTTGTTGGGGTTTTTGAGGTTGGAAGGGGAGGAGTAGAATAAGGAGAAATGACAGGAGATGACAGAAGAAAGCAAGCCAGGGACCAGATCTTGCCCGCTATTTTGCCCATAAAGGAATGTAGCCAAAGCAAAGTTTCCTGGATACAGTGTTCCTTTCACTAATCTCCCTTGGCTCCCAGTCTACCTTCCAGCTAATTAGAACTTGCTAAATGCTCCAGCATCCTCTCTTTTGGATGGCTGTGTATCTAGTTGGTTTTGATTTATTTGATACATGAGAATGTCATGAGGCCATTAATTTACCTCTTTGTAGATTTCTCAAGGAATAAGACCAAGATTAAATCTGTTTTTCCATACCCGGATGTTGCCTTGTATAATCTTCCAACCAAAAAGTTTCAAACCTTTCTAGCAGGGCTGAGGATAGAAAATTGGGGATCTAGATCCACACATATCAATTCAAAATTGAATGGTGCTCTCTCAACTTTACCAATCTATTGCACCACATAGGTGTTCAACTCTGCAAGAGACACGTGTACCTTTGTAAGGACGAGGAAAAGACAATCTAATAGGTTTAGCCTATTAACATAATAGTTCAGGTTCAGAACTTTTTTCTTTTTTATTAAAAAGCATTTATTGAATAACACTTGTTGAAACAAGTGAAGTAAAACATAGATAGGTGGGAAGGCAAAATTACAATTCAGGATAATCTGCATCAAACACAATAAACCTACATAAGATTGGAGGCACTGTGATGTAGTGGTTAATGGCCTGGGTATATTGGTCAGACAAATCAGGTTTAAACTCAAGGCAGAGCTCTTATTAGCTGGGTGATCTTAGACAACTTACTGGGTCTGTCAAATCCTGTTTTCTCATCTGCAAAAAGAGAATCATGGCACCACTCCTAGAGAATTGTAGTGAGGATTAAATAAGATAACATGTCTTAGGTGCATGCCACAGGCCAATCAGGTAATAAGCATGTGCTAACTGGGGCTATTTAAAACCCAGTGGGGTAAGTACAGTCCTAGTTCATTCATCAATTCCCCCAGGAGGTATTTTTGATGCCCCCACAGCACCCCACCTTCCACCCTGCAAGGCTGGGCTAATGCTCCTTCTAAAAAACATATTCCTATAACATTTTATTCCACGCTTACTTAGGAACCCATTCCATTTTCCAATTAGTGGTCTAACTCTCTCCACCAGCCTGTGAACAACTGAAGCACAGGACTGTGTCTTGTTCCCCACTGGCTCTCCAGGCCCTGCCACAATGCCGGGTCTATGCAAACACTCAGAAAGCAAAAAATTTCAAAATGAGTCGTAGGCCCTGCGCAGTGGCTCACGCCTGTAATCCCAGCATTTTGGTAGGCTGAAGTGAGAGGATCGCCTGAGGTCAGGCGTTCAAGACCAGCCTGACCAACATGGTGAAACCCCATTTCTACGAAAAATACAAAAATTAGCAGGACATGGTGGTGGGTGCCTGTAGTCCTGGCTACTCGGGAGGCTGAGGGAGGAGAATCGCTTCAACCCGGGAGGTGGAGGTTGCAGTGAGCTGAGATTATGTCACTGCACTCCAGCCTGGACGACAGAGAGACACTCTGTCTCAAAAAAAAAAAAAAAATTAATTAAATAAATAAAATAAATTGTAGTTTAAAAAGAAATTGTTGGCAGGCCACATCAGATAAGTAATGCAAAAAGGTTAACATAGTTTTGTCATCTAGCTTAGTGCATGGAATGCCCACAGGCTTTAGCAATGGAGGAGTCTGCATTTTAGGTCGGGCTTTACTGCTTGGTGGCTGTGCGACCCTGGGAAAATTAATTAATTGCTCTGAGATTCCCATTTGCCATCTCTAAAATGGGGATAAAACAACAAATAAAGTGTGTAATGTGTCTGGCATATAGTAGGCACCTATCAAATGGAAATAGCTGATTTTGTTAGTGTCATCTAAATTGTGTTAATACCTTTGCTGATGTTTTGGGAAACTTACAATAAATAGCATACAATTTCATTGGCCATGTAGATAACGGTAGCAAACATTTATTGAAGATTTTTTTTTAAATCTGCCAGGCACTGTCTCCAGTGCTTTATTAATCTGTTCAGCATCCTAAGAACTCTATGAGATAATGTGCCATGATGATCATCATCCCATTTTACAGGCGAGGATATTGAATAAAGAGAGATTAGCAACGTGCCCTGTGCATAGTTAGTAAATTACAGAGCCTAGACTCAAACCCAGACACCAGGTCCATACCCTTGACCAAGCCAAGAATATAACTTCAGAAAAATGCACTGTGGAAGGAAGACTGAGATGCCAGCCTCTACTCTGCTTTTTATGAGGCAAAGTCGCTCCAGCTCTGAGACTTCATCTCCCTTCTGTAATGTGAAGGATCATGCTTGTCCTCACAGGATTACAAAGTCAAGTACAGACATACTGCTTTTTGTTTCCATAATGGTCTCCTGGAAACCACATTGTGAGGTAAATCATTGCCAAGTGTTGCATATTTTCCCATAGGAATGATGTTCTAATTGCAGGTTATATTCCTGAACAAGGCCTCAGAATCAAGCAAATCATTAATATGACCCAAAATGTGTCAAAGGAGAAGATATTAAACAACTATAAACCTTTAGCATCCTTTTAAGAATAAAATTGTCTTCCAGGTTCTGCAAAATAGGCACATACAAACTATTCCCGGGTTAAGCAAGTACATGAAGAGAAAAAGCACTGCTAACAAACTGAGCCCATATGTTGAGTATTCTTGCCTTTAATAACACTTAATTAGTAATGGTATTGCTCTTTTTAGAATTTAGAATAGTTTTGGAGGCAATCATTTAATGGCTTATGGCTTACATTATTGTTTTCTGTGAAAAGCAGAGGCATTGAAAATAACTCCAGTGATCTCCCTGTTCCTCTTAAAATGGGGATTAGTGTTTTCCAGTTTAGTCACTACAGAGTCCAAATATTTAAGGCACCCCTAAGAACTGGCGGTTTGGGGGCAGAGATGCCTCTTGAAACTGGTCTTTTAATTTATTTTCTGTTCTGTGATTCAACTTCGCCTCCACCCCACTCCCCCTCTTCCATGTGAGGGACAGTTAGAAAGATGGGGAACCTAGCAGGTTGGAAAATATTGAGCTTCTTGTTCCGTTGCCGCTTTATTAATAGAAGGTATCTGGGGGTTGATTGAATGGATAAACACCCAAAAGAGACAAAAGTAGAGACCCTACTGTCCACATGAAACTGAAGTGAAATAGTGATGTACATTGACCTAAGCTGTGAGGACTAAAGCATTTGGAACAATGATGATTATGTCTGTTACTAAATAGAAAAATCCATTTACAGTACAATAAGCGTAATATGATTCCATCATTGTAAATAATTAAAACACAAAGAAATTTCAAAGCATAGCTATATTTTAGCAGGAGAATTACAGTGATTATGTTTTCCTTTTGCCGCTTCCCTAAATGTTTTTATCCTTCTACAAAGGGCAGATTCTTTGCGATCCTTTTTTTCTATTTCAAAAGAAAAAGAAACTTGGACTGATAGATGCTTGTCTGTTTCTATTTGCTCTGGTATGAAACCCTTCAGCAACATTTGTAGGCTGGTATGTGGTATGTGGTTTCAGTGCATACCCAGGAATTGACCATGTCTTGCCCTATGATAACATATTAATTAATAAAATAGGGCTGTTCATATCACTAACTGAGAATTGAGATGTTAACATTTTTAGCCCATATGAAAATTTCTAGAGTGTCCTGTAATTCTGAGTTACTCCAGTAGATGGCAGGGTTGTACAAAAACAGCCAATCAATTGAGGCTGAAGGACTAGAGAAAGATTTTTGCTGTCTTTCTAGAAGAGCCCTCCCTCCCTCAATGGACAAATCACCGGAATGAGGTGAATAATAAAAACGGTATTTTCTTCCGTAGTACAATGTGGATGGTGTTAATGGGAAAGTTATTTTATCTATTTAAATACGTATGTATTTGGTAATTCTCAGGCCGGATGTTTTTATCCACGATATTAACAGAGAGGGTTAACCCTCTCTCTCCCCGCCCACCACCAAGTTTAACAACTCTTTGGTTTAAAGAAAGAGGGTCTCAGAAACCTTAGCTGTATTTTTATTTCTTTTCCTATATTACTACTCTGAGGTAAAGGTACGAAGTGAGGGATTGACACCCTTTTTTGTTAAATGTTTTCCTTTGTTTTATATCTGAAAAAGTACAACTGGGTGGTGGAAAGATCAGATGCTTTGTACCCTAAAGGGTTCTCATCTTGGGTTTTCCACTCACCCCCTGGGCTGATTCCCTGATTTCTCCAAGCCCCAGGTTCCTCATCTGGGACAAATGGAGCTAGCAGCAAGTTCCAGATGTGTGTCTCTAGGGATTAGCTGTTTACATACACACAGCTTGCTGACATGCCCTGCACAGCATGGATCCCCAATAAATGGTGGCGATTCATACTAAAATCAGTATTGCCATAGGATCACATTGATGGATTAAACTATCCCACGATTAATTTCTGCTTTTATTCAATCTTCCAACATTGCCTTAAACTGAGGCAAGATAATTTTGCCAGCCTTGAGGTGGGATCTGTGTCTTTTCTTTTCTTTCTTTCTTTCTTTCTTTTTTTTTTTTTTTTTTTTTTTGAGATAGAGTCTCGCTCTGTCACCTAGGCTGGAGTGCAGTGGTGCGATCTCGGCTCACTGCAACCTCTGCCTCCCAGGTTCAAGCCATTCTCCTGCCTCAGCCTCCCGAGTAGCTGGAACTACAGGCGGGGGCCACCATGCCTGGCTAATTTCTGTTATTTTTAGTAGAGACAGGGTTTCGTCATGTTGGCCAGGCTGGTCTTGAACTCCTGTCTTCAGGTGATCCACCCGCCTCGGCCTCCCAAAGTGCTGGGATTACAGGCGTGAGCCACCGTGCCTGGCCCTATGTCATTTCTTAAAGAAGTGTGGACATCAGCAACTACCTTAAAGTGATATATGTATACTAGAGTGCTGTCTTCACCAGAAACAAAATACTGTTGTTTTTTGTTTCGTTTTGTTTTAAATAGGGTCTTACTCTGTCGCCCAGGCTGGAGTGCAGTGACATAATCATAGCTCACTGCAGCTTCAACCTCCTGAGCTCGAGCGATCCTCTTGCCTTAGCCTCCCAAAGTGTTGGGATTACAGGCATGAGACACCATGCCTGGCCACAAAATCCTGTTTTAGTAAAGAAGATGACGGTTATTGCTTAAGCACATGCATTGATGGTGGAGGGATGATGTTTGCCCAGGAGGGCGACTGGGGACTCATGATCTCATGCCCCAAATGGATCTTACACATCATATGACTCAACATACTCGTTGTACAGACAAGAAAACTTAGGCCCAACATGGGTTTCGTTTTTAAATTTTTCTTTTGAAATAATTTTAAACATACTGAAAAGTTGCAAAATTGTACAAAGAGTTTCTATATACCCTTCATTCAGTTTCTTCTAATACATGGCCATAACATAATCTTACATAACCACAGTAAGTTATGTAAAGAAATTAAGGCTGGGTGCAGTGGCTCATGCCTATAATCCCAGCATTTGGGAGGCCGAGGCGGGCCGATAACCAGAGATTGGGAGTTCGAGATCAGCCTGGCTAACATGGTGAAACTCCGTCTCTACTAAACATACAAAATTTTCTGGGCGTGGTGATGTGTGCCTGTAATCCCAGCTACTCGGGAGGCTGA
The DNA here is from genome assembly GCF_000001405.40 of Homo sapiens. Lineage (NCBI taxonomy): Eukaryota > Metazoa > Chordata > Mammalia > Primates > Hominidae > Homo > Homo sapiens. The sequence goes on along the minus strand of NC_000007.14, from coordinate 21,999,658 downwards.
GGAAGGAGAATCGCTTGAAGCCAGGAGGTGGAGGTTGCAGTGAGCTGGGATTGCGCCACTGAACTCCAGCCTGGGCGACAGAGTGAGACTCGGTCTCCAAAAAAAAAAAAAAAAAAAAAAAAGATTTTGAACACAGCTACAATACTGTGAACTGAATCTACTAACCTTTTTTGAATTCCTATTAACATCCTTTTTCTGTTCAAGGCTCAGCCTAGGACCCTGCGTGGCAATTAGTTGTCATGACTCCTTAGTCCCCTCTAGTCTATAACAATTTCTCAGGTTTTTCTTGCCTTTCCTGACCTTGTCACTTTTGAAGACTACGAATCGGTTATTTCATAGAATGTGCTTCAATTTGGGTTTATCTGATATTTTCTCATGGATAAAGGAGGTCAAGCATTTTTCGCAGGAATGCCATGGAAATCAGATTGCGCCCTTCTCTGTGCATCAAATGACGTCCTATGTCTCTTTCTACAGATATGAACCTTCATTCCCGGTCAAGGAGGTGACTACCAGTTTTTCCAAAGTAAAATGACTATTTTCCCGTTAGTAATTGGTTAATAAATGTATCTGGGAAGATACTTTATGCAAATATCTTGTTTCTCCTTAAACTTATAGCCACTAATTTTAGCATCCTTTGATGCCTACAACCATTTTTACTGTGGGGTTTCCCCCCATTTCCTCTTTTCCCTCTGCATGTATTAATAGGTTCTGTAACGAAGATGTGTCCCTTCTCTCCCATTTATTTACTACGTTACATCACTGTGGACTCATGGATATTTACTTCCGTCTATGGCTTATAATCCAATGCTATTACCCTTTCTTGATTGCTCAAAATTACTCCAGCTTTGGCCATTGGGAGCTCCTTCAGGTGGGCTCTGTGTTCTTCTGACATGGCTCCATCCTTTGTGGCTACTTCCTTGTATTCTGGCACATGATGTTCCAGGCTCTTTTTTTTTTTTTTTTTTTTTCTGAGACGAAGTCTTGCTCTGTCACCCAGGCTGGAGTGCAGTGGCACAATGTCACCTCACTGCAACCTCCGCCTCCCAGGTTCAAGCAATTCTCCTGCCTCATCCTCCCAGGTAGCTGGGATTACAGGCACCCACCACCATGCCCAGCTAAGTTTTGTATTTTTAGTAGAAACGGGGTTTCACCATATTGGTCAGGCTGGTCTCAAACTCCTGACCTCAGGTGATCCACCCGCCTCGGCCTCCCAAAATGAGGCAATTACAAGCATGAGCCACACTGTGCCAGGCCTCCAGGCTCATTTTATATTTTGCCTGCCCCAGTCCTGGAGTCACCAACTTCTCCAAGGAGCATGGTTCCTTTTATTCAAGAGTGATATTTAGAAACTAAGATCTAAGCACTAAATGTATTCATTGCTACTAGAGAGTCATTGTTTCTAGGACCTTCCAGCAGAGCAAGGAACTGTGTGTACGTATACTAACTCATGCAGGCACACACATCTGTATATGCGTGTGTCTGTCTGCCTGCCTATCTATCATCTACTCAACCGCCCACACACACATATGTATGTATGTGTGTGTATATATATACATATGTATATATATGTATGTATATAAATGTGGGTTTATACTGAGATCTGTAACTCGAATAAATTCCACGGGTTCATTTTTGCCTTGCCCCTTTCCTTATGTATAACATCTTTCTCCAACAGTGAGAAACTTGACTCTTTATCTGATCTGGTATATAATTCTAGTATCCTTGTTGGAAAACAAATTTACTAACTACATTACAATAATTTTACACTGTTTCTTTAGACGTTAGCCTTCCACTATCAAGTCAAAATTATGTTTTTCAAATTTACTTAGGTTTTTCTAAGGTATGGGAAATTTTGCTATGATTCTAAAATCAAAGTTATAAAAAGTCTATGCTCAGAGAAAGGTTACTTCCTCCTCGTTCTTGCTAGCCTGTTCCCATTCTCTCATCCTTTCTACCTGGTTCCCTGCCATTCTTTGTAGATAACCAATGTCTTTAATTTATGGTTTATAATTCCTATATTTCTTTTGCACAAAAAAGCAGATACAGTTATATTTTCTTATATCTCTTTTCTTACCTAAAAGGTAGCATATAATAGAAAGGCTTATAAACTTTGCCTTTTACACGTAACAATATATCCTGGAAAGTGCTCTATCTGTTCACAGAGATCTTCCTCTTTATCTTTGATAGCTGTGTAGTATTTCATTGTGTGGCTTTATCATAGTTTGTTCAACCCACATTCCTATAGACAGACATTTACATTGTTTCCCAAATTTTTCAATTATAAACACTACTGTAACAAATAGCTGATACATATAATTTTTAAAATGTTAGACGTGTATCTTCAAGGTAGATTTTTAAAAGCAGGATTACTGGGTCAAAAGGTAAGTACAGCTGTAGTAAACAGACTGACAGCTCCTCGAAATGTTACACAGAGTCCCAGCTACTTGGGAGGCTGAGGCAGGAGGATCACTTGAAACCAGGAGTTCAAGGCTGTTGTGCCTATGATCATGCCTGTAAACATCCACTGTACTCCAGCCTGGACAATATAGATCCTCTCTCTTAAAAAAAAAAGGTTAAACGTGAAGTTATACAATTTGGCAATTCCACTTCTAGGCATATAGACAAAATAATTGAAAGCATGGATTTCCAAATGGATACTTGTACTCCAATATTCATAGCTGCATTATTCACAAAGACTAAAAATGTCCATCAACAGACGAATGAATTAAAACAATATTGTATGTACATACCAGGAAATATTACTCACCCTTAAGAAGGAAGGAAATTCTAAGACATGTTACAACAGGGATAAACTTTGAAAACATTATGCTATGTGAAATTGGTGAGACACAAAAGGACAAATATTGTATGACTCCACTTATGGGAGTTACCTAAAGTAATCAAATTCATAGAGTCAGAGAGACAGAAAGTAGAATGGTGATTACCAAGGGGTGGGAGAAGGAGAAATAGAGTTAGTGTTTAATGGGTACAGAGTCTATCTTTAGGATGATGAAAAGGTTCTGGAAATGCATGATGGTAATGCTTACTCAACATTGTGAATATACTTAATGCCACTGAACTGTCTTTAAAATGGTTAAAATGGTGAATTTTATGTCATGTATATTTTATTAAAATTTAAAAACTGGAAAAAATAGGTTCATATGTAGTTTTTTTAAGGTATTTCCAAAATCTCCCAGCAGGATTTTGAGTCTGTGGTCCCACGAGTTATATAGGAGTGCCTGTTTGCCCACAGCCTCACAACAGCTATTATACATTAAAAAGTATGATAACAAGTATATCAAAATGTTATACTTTTTAATTATTGTGAATCTGATAGGTGAGAAATTGTATCTCATATTGTTTTATTTGCATTTCTCTAATTATGAGTGAGCTTGAATATATTTTCATATAGTCAAGGGCTATTCTTATATCATTTTTGGTGAATAGTCTGCTCATATCTTTCCCCAATTTTTAGTGAGTTTTTGGTATTTTTGTCTCTCAATTTTTAGAAATTTTTTTTTTTAATACACATTAGGGATATTAGCCTTGTGGTTGTAGTATATACTGTAAATAATTTCTTCCAGTTTGCCAGTTGTCTTTTAGTTGTAATTTTGATTATAGTCCTTTCACCATGCAAATGTTTTAACATTTATGTGGACGAATGCATTGATTTTTTTTTTTCTTATATTGCCTCTCAATTTTGAGTCATAGTTAAAGGAAGTTTCCCTACATTGAGGTTGAAGAATTCACCAATATGTTCTTCTAGCACAAGTACAGTTTCATTTTAACACTTAGATTCGCGAAAACATTTGGAGTTTATTCTTGTGTGTTTTGTGAGATATGGATCTAATTTAATCTTTTATTCCAAATGGACACCCAGTTGTCACTGTGCCATTTATTAAAATTTCCATTATTTCATTTGAGATGTCACTCTTATCATATACTACATTTCCATATATCCTTAGGTCTTTTCCTGGGCTTCCATTCCATTCTATCTATGGATGTGCGATTACCACACTGTTCAAATTGTAGAGCTTCGTAGTATGTTTTCATGTCAGTGGGATTCGTTCTCCCTCATAGTTTTTCTTTTTCAGTGTTTTCCTGGTTGTTCTTGCATTTTTGCTTTTCTATATGAACTTTACTATCAACTTGCCTAGCTCCATCAAAGTGCTCACTGACATTTTTACTGGAATTTTATTAAATATATATATTAACTTAGGAAGAACTGGTATCATATTTTTCGATTTACTAACATGAATTTAAATTTTTTAAATATATTTTTAATTGACAAATAAAAATTATATTTATTATGTATAACGTTTTGAAATATGAAATTGTGGAATGGCTAAATCAAACTAACATATACAGTACTTCATATACTTATCATTTTTTTGAGGTGAGAAACTTACAATTTATTCTTTTGGCAATTTGCAAGAATACAATACATTGTTATTAACTGTAGTCACACTGTTGTAAAGTAGATCTCTTGAACTTTATCCTCCTATCGAGCTTATATTTCATATCCTTTGACCAACATCTCCCAACTCTCCTGCTTCCCAGCCCTGGATAACCACCATTCCACTCTCCACTTCTATGAGTTCCACCTTTTTAGATTCCACATGTAGATGATATCATGCAGTATTTGTTTTTCTGTACCTGACTTACTTTACTTGACATAAGGTCCTCCAGGCTCATCCATGTTGTTGCAAATGACAGGATTTCATTCTTTTTTATTCTGTTTTCGTTATGTACATATATCACATTTTCTTTATCCACTCATCCATTGATGAACACTTAGGTTGATTCCATATCTTGGCTATGATGAATAATGCTGCAGTTAACATGACAATGCAGATATCTCTTCAACATACAGATTTTATTTCCTTTGGATATTTACCCAGTAGTAGGGTTGCTGGATCATAAGAACTAATATCTTTCTAATGTTCAGACATTCTATCCAAGAATGGAGGATGCTTTTCCATTGGTTCCTGTCTACTTTTGTATCTTTCAGAAGTGTTTTAAAATTTTCCTGATTAGGTTTGCAAATTGTTAAATTTATTCCTAAGTACTTTATCTTTTTGTTGGTTCTCTAAATAGATTTTTGTCTATCATAATATCCTCTAATTGGTTATTGTTTGTATACATTAAGGCTATTGATTTTTGTTTGTTAATTTTATATCCTACCACCTTATTATTTTTTGTTAGTTTGTTGATTCTGTAGGATTTTCTCATTAGATTATCATATTATCTGCAAACAGACAATTCTATTTGATGTGTCTAATTAATTTATCTTGTCTAATTGCACTGGTGAATACGCTAATATAATTTTCAGTAATAGGGAAGAGAGTGGGTATTCTTGCCTTGGTAGTAATCTTAGTGAAAACACTTTTAATGTTTTCCCATTAAATAAGATACCAGATTTAGGATTTAGACAACACACACACACAAGCATATGCATACATACACGTATACACATATAAAGAAAGCATTTCTCTTTTACTATTCTCTTGAGTGTTTCTATTCTCTGGAGTGTTAAAACATTTCTGAGTTCGGCTGGGCACAGTGGCTCACTCCTGTAATCCCAGTACTTTGGAGGCCAAGGTGAGCAGATCACCTGAGGTCAGGAGTTCGAGACCAGCCTGGCCAACATGGCAAAACCCTGTCTCTACTAAAAATACAAAAATTAGCCACACATGGTGGTGCACACCTGTAATCCCAGCTACTCGGGAGGCTGAGGCAGGAGAATCACTTGAACCCGGAAGGCAGAGGTTGCAGTGAGCTGAGATCACACCACTGCACTCCAGCCTGGGGGACAGAATGAGACTATCTCAAAAAAAAAAAAAAAAGAAAGAAAGAAATTCTGACTTAATGGCTTAAGAACATTTTTTTCCCTGTTAAAAGTATTTGAGGTTCAATTTTCATAATTTGGAGGGGAGGTTAAAGAATATTCAATTTGTATAAATGCTTATTTATTTAAGCCAATCAGAATAGAGCTCCTTTAGATTTTAGACTCTAATTTGGTGGTATTTGGAAAATCTTACACAGTGAGGAATAAAGGCCTTTCTGAATCACATAAACATATATACAGAGAGCTTCTAGCTTCAGTTCTAAAATTTCAGCCATGGATAAAGCATAAATAAAGAATTACAGAACCTACTGATCTATACCAAATAGCTGTTCTCTTTCCAGTTGGTATGAATTCTTAATTGATTTGAGCTCAAAGCAAACAAATAAATAAATCAACAGGAAAAGCTAACAAACCAGATTTTACCTAATAGAGATTTCTAAGAACCGTCAATCCATTTACAGAGGTCACCAAATGGTCAAGCCATAAAACCAAAAGAAGCAGGCACACGAAACAAAGCAAGCACTCAAAAATAATCCTAATCAAGTCTTGACTATGCTACCAATCTACCAATGGACAAGAATCTGGAGTATAAGACCAAGAGTTGGATTCACCACTGGGTCTCTGGTCACCGGTCAGGTATAGAATCACAAAAGGCTCCACGGGGCTTGTTGCTTAGATGGAGTTCATGGAGAACAGAAGGTGAAGTCCAAACCTATCCAAGTCACAGAACCAAACTGTGCAAGACAAAATGTACCTCAAAATTAAAGAGATTAACTTATATAGAGTATAGCATTGGGAAAAAACCTTCATTAATGCAGGATGTCTCAAAGAAAAGGAAGGGATCCTGGGGTTTTTTAGAATCAAGTGATGCAGGGCAGGCAAGCCCCAAATTGGGGCTTAGTCTGGGAGGGTTCTTTACTTCCCCCAGGAAAGAATTCAAGGGCAAGCTGATGGTAGAAGAAACAGCTTTATCAAAGTTGCAGTGTTACAGCTCCTTGACTGCTCCTGCAGAACAAGCCTATTTCATAGGCAGTGTGCTGAAAGTAGCAGCTCAGGGGAATTCTGCAGTCATGTTTATACCTACTTTTAATTGCTTGCAGGTTAAGGGGTGGTTTATGCAGAAATTTCTAGGAAAAGGGTAGTAACTTCTGTCATGTTCCGTATTGTTAAGAATACTTACATTGTTGTACAAACAATGTCCAGGACACTTTCATCTTGCAAAACCGAGACTCCATACCCTTTAATTGGCTCCCCATCTCCCCTTATCCCAGCTCTGGCAACTACTTTCTATTAGTTTGACTATTCTAGATACCTCGTATAAGTGGAATCATGTAGTATTTTTTTTATGACTGGCTTATTTCAGGTAGTATAATGACCTCAAGTTTCATCCAAGCTGTTCATCCAACTCATGTGTCAGAATTTCCTTCTTTATTTTAAGGCTGCATAATATTGTATTGTACGTATATATGACATTTTGTTTATCCATTTATTCATCGATGGACACTTGGGTTGCTTCTGCCTTCTGGATATTGTGAATAATGCTGGTAGATCTTGATGTTTTAAAGAGTAATTAAAAACCTGGGCCAGGCGTGGTGGCTCACATCTGTAATCCCAGCACTTTGGGAGGCCGAGGCAGGCGGATCATTTGAGGTCAGGAGTTGGAGACCAGCCTGGCCTGGTGAGACCCCATCTCTACTAAAAATACGAAAATTAGCTGGGGGTACTGGTGTGCACCTGTAATCCCAGTTACTCGAGAAGCTGAAGCAGGAGAATTGCTTGAACCTGGGAAACGGAGGCTGCAGTGAGCCAATTGTGCCACTGCACTCCAGCCTGGGTGACAGAATGAGACTCTGTCTCAAAAAAAGAATAAATAAATAAATAAATAAATAAATAATAAAAACCTAACTGGCTAGAAAATATCAGGAGCTTCAAGTCATACATTACGCATTCTTTCATTCATTGCTTCAACATTTACTGAGAAGTTACTATAAGACACTATTCAAAGCACATTATGGAGAAACAAAGATGAATTAAACATAAAGTCTAATCTCAGTAGAGTGTGTGTCTAATAAACTTTGTTTTATACTGTTAAATTATGCTCTCCTGTAAGTAAATCCTGGCCATTTCAAGGCTTAATCAAAATAAAAAATAAAAAAGACTAAAAGAAGGATAATATAGATCAAGGGAAAGCAAATGAGATCAAAGGCAAAACAGGAATTCCCCAAAATGTCATCTGGGAGAGTCCTTACGTGCATACACTTTTTCATGAATGTGTGCATCCTTGTACTCTACTCTCTTGGAGTGCCTTGTGGACTCATCAAAAAGCCCTGTTACTTTGTTTTTTACTTAAAATTTTTTTTAAGGTACCAAATAGTTGTACATATTTATGGGGTACAGAGCAATGTTTTAATACACGTATACAATATGTAATGGCCAAATCAAGGTAATTAGCATATCTGTCACCTCAAACACTTATCGTTTATGTTGGGGACATTCAAAACCCTCTCTCCTAGCTATTTGAAAATATACGATAAATCATTGTTAACTATAGTCACCCTCCAGTGCTATAGAACACTGGAACTAATCCCAGCACTTTGGGAGGCTGAGGCAGGCAGATCACAAGGACAGGAGATCGAGACCATCCTGGCTAACACAGTGAAACCCCGTCTCTACTAAAAATATAAAAAATTAGCCTGGCTTGGTGGTGGGCACCTGTAGTCCCAGCTACTCAGGAGGCTGAGGCAGGAGAATGGCATGAACCCGGGAGGCAGATGTTGCAGTGAGCCGAGATCGCACCACTGCACTCCAGCCTGGGCGACAGAGCGAGACTCTGTCTCAAAAAAAGAACACTGGAACTTATTCCTCCTATTTAGCTGTAATTTTTTTTTTTTTTTTTGACAGAGTCTTGCTCTTGTCACTCAGGCTGGAGTGCAGTGGCATAATCTCGGCTCACTGCAACCTCCACCTCCCAGGTTCAAGTGGTTGTCCTGCCTCAGCCTCCCGAGTAGCTGGGGTTACAGGTGCCCACCACCACACCTGGCTAACTTTTATATTTTTAGTAGAGACGGGGTTTTGCCATGTTGGTCAGGCTGGTCTCGAGCTGAACTCGATCACCTAAACTCAGGTGATCCGCCCAACTCGGCCTCCCAAAGTGCTGGGATTACAGGCTTGAGCCTCCGTGCCTGGCTAATTTCATATCCTCTAACTAACCTCTTTGCTTTCTTCTCTCCCTCCTATTCCTCCCCACCTCTGGTAACCAGTATTCTGCTCTCTGCTTCTTTGAGATCTACTGTTTTAGCTACCACATATGAGTGAGAACACATGGTATTTATCTTTCTGTGGCTGACTTATTTCACTTAATGTCTTCCGGACTCATCCATGTTGTTGCAAATGTCAGGATTTCATTATTTTTAAAGACTGAATAGTATTTAATTGTGTATATATACCACATTTTCTTCATTCACTTACCCACTGATGAACACTTAGGCTGAATCCATATCTTGGCTATTATAAATAATGCTGCAAGGAACATGGGAGTGCAGGTATCTCTTCAACATACGGATTTTATTTCCTTTGGATATGTACCCGGTAGGATTGGTGGATCATAAAAACTGTTATCTTTATAATGTTCAGTCATTCTATCCAAGAATGGAAGATTCCTTTCCATTTGTTCAAGTCTACTTTTGTATCTATCAGAAGTGTTTTAAAATTTCGCTGATTAGGTTTGTACATTGCTTCTTAAGTTTATTCCTAATATTTTATCTTTTTGTTAGTTCTCTAAATGGGTTTTCTTTATCATAATGTCCTCTAATTGGTTATTGCTTATATATAAAGTCTATTGATTTTCATTTGTTAATTTTATAATCTACCACTTTATTAAATTATTGTTGTTGGTTTGAATGTTGGTTCTATAGGGTTTTTCTATTTATGCTATCATGTCTGCAAACAGATAGGTTTTTTTTACCCATTCTTATGCCTCGAATTGATTTATTGTGTCTAATTGCATTGGCTAATACTCTAATACAATTTCTAGTAACAGGGATTCTAACAGGCATCCTTGCCTTGTTATAATCTTAGTGAAAACACCTTGAATGTATTTCCATTAAATAAGATGTCAGCGTTAGGATTCAGACACACACATATCACATATAAAGAAAGTATTTCTCATTTTCTGTTCTCCTGAGTATGTTTTGTTTTTTAAATCATGAATGGATGTTGAATTTTGTCAAAGGCTTTTTCGGCATATATGGAGATAATAATATGATTTTTCCCCATTAGGTTTATAAATTTTGTTTATGATGTTAACTAATTTTCTGATACTGAACTACTCTTGTGTTCTCCAGAAAGGTTTTGAAATGTATTAAAAGTAATGGTGAAAACTGCAATTACTTTCACACCAACCTAATAAAACTTAAATACAGTGAGTTAAGTTAAAATTTTATATACAAAGTGAAATATTGTATCCTAAAAATTGCTCAAAAGGCCTGAAAAGTTTATGCCCTCATCATTAGATGCATCAAAAAGATTTCCAGGATTATGTATGTTACTGTATAAAAGGAAGCTTACACAGGCTAACAATAATTTAATAGAAGAGTAATTTATGGAGTTATCCCGTGACTAAGTGTGCCATGCAAAAACAAACACTCATGTATATATAGAAGAATATACCACTCAGGAGTCAAAATCAGACCACATAATTACAATAACCAGGCGTGAGCACTTCTTTGCAGCACTGAAGCCAGGATGGCCTGTGTGAAGTGATATTTGGAGTAGGGTCTAAATCAAGCTTCTCTACTTGAAATAACCTGGGGAGCATTACAAACTTTTGATGCCCTCCAGAGAGTGCAATTTGGGTAGTCTGAAGTCCAGTCTGGTTTGCTGGATCATTAGAAATCTTCCCAGGTGATTCTAATGTTCAGCCAAGGTTGAGACCCTCTGATCTAAATGCTTGCTGTACCTTGTTATTCACTTCCTGAATATTTATTGGATGCCCACTGCATGCGTAGTGATAACTACTCTGGGAGTATGGTTGTGAATGAGTTTTCACAAATATTTTAGTTTTCCTTCCAGGTATATGATAGGATAACATTTCTCTTCCCTTTATGTTAGACATGGACAAAGTCACGTGCTTTAACTAATAAAATGTGGGCAGAAATTACGCGTGACACTTCCAAGCGAAACCTTTAAAAGCCAGTACACAATTTACAACACTCCCTTTTCTCCTACTTCCGTAATTGAGGAAGTCAGTGTTGAGATGGTCCCCTGTCATCCTGGATCCCTGATGGCTACAATGAGTGACGTTTCCCTGCTGACCCGTGCCAGGCAGGTATGTAGCATGAATGAGCAAGTTGTGTTGGGTTCCACTGGGATGTTGGAGTTCTGGCTGCAGCATAACCTAGACCATTCCTACCATTACACTCAAATACAGAGTTGAGTCCAATGTGGACCTGGACTTCAAAAGGTTCCATTCTTAAGGGGAGACAAGACATGTACATGAATAGGTATAACCCAGAATGCAAAGTGATACGAGTATGTGAAGCATTAGTCTTGAGTTTGATTTTTTGTTTTCATTCATTTAACAAATATCTGTATAGGCATACTGCACCTCCATTTTCTTTCTGTCTTTCTCTCTCTCTCTCTCTTTCTTTTTTTAGAGACGGAGTCCAGGCTGGAGTGCAGTGGCTCAATCTCTGCTCACTGCAACTTCCACCTCCTGGGTTCAAGCGATTTTCCTGCCTCAGCTTTCCAAGTAGCTGGGACTACAGGCATGCGTCACCATGCCTAGCTAATTTTTGTATTTTTTAGTAGAGATGAGGTTTCACTATATGATGGCCAGGCTGGTCCCGAACTCCTGACCTCAGGTGAGCTGTCCGCCTTGGCCTCCCAAAGTGCTGGGATTACAGGCATGAGCCATCGCACCTGGCCTGCACCTCCAATTTGTTATGAGGATCAAGATGCCTACATGGGAAGGGGGTGTTACATGCATAGGTGTGTGTGTGTGATAAATGGAATTATCCATGCAAAGCACCCAAAATAATGCCTGAATCATTTTTTTGCCTCTTGACAAATGCTGATACTAGCTAACTTTTGCATAGCACTTACTATGAGCCTGGTATGATTCTAAGGGCTCGACATATGTTAGTTCATTTAATCCTCACAACAATTCTGATACTATTTTTAATCCCAATTAAAAATGAGGAAACGGAAGCATGGAACGTTTAAGTGACTCCCCCAGGTTATTCAGCTAGTAAGTAGAGGAGCATATCTCCTCTAAAGCTCATGCTGGTAACTGCCTCATCATTATTAACCACAGGTGGGAGACCCTTCCGTTCAGAGTCTTGTCTTTTAGTAATTCGAGTCTGACCCATGACGTTTACTCATCTGTGGGTGAGTGACACTCCTCGGTGCTCCTAAGACTGTGATGCCATGAGCCATAATAGGTAACAGTGGCCCAAAAGTGCGTGGAGATAAACCATGCATCAAGGTAATTTTGATGATGTCGGGATATAGAGATTAATAGATATTAAAAAATAGGCAATTCTAAAATCAAAGCAAATGATCCTTCTTTCTATCCCCCGGAATATCTGTGCCTGAGAGCCTGAGCAGAATTTGGGGGAATCAAAAATGTTCTCCCCAGGCCAAGCTCGGGACCTGCTGATGAGCCCTTATATTCAATGTAAGCTCTCATTTACTTTAGCTGCATTTTAGATTTGTCTCCCAAGTGACATAAGGGAGAGCTTTTATAAACACAAAACACAAATTTGATGTTTGAATTCCAGCAGCCGGCCCTGCTCTCGGACTCCCGGATTTCCGGACTCCCGGACTCCCGGTTCCCGTTTCCTAAGGCCTGGGCTCTGCTGGTCTCCAGCCCTTGAGGTGCCACTTGGAATCCTTTACTTCTTTCTCTCCTCTCTTCACTAGATTTCAAGGCCTTATGAATGGCGGCAGCTCATACTTCGCAGGTGCTTTGGAGGCAGTTAATTAATGCTAATTAAGCTGAAATATTTAAAATTTAATTTGATAAACATTCATCAAGTTCCCCACTGCATGCCAAATACTCTTCTAAACACTGGTAATGAGGGCAGAAAGATCTAGCATGGTGATTTACACTAAATAGCAGTTCAATAAATATGTGTAGCATGAAGGAAGGGCTCTTAGTTTGCTCATCGTGGGGCTCAGTATCTGATGGGAAAGGCAGACAACTAAGAAAGTTCTTGCCTCTTAGAGTGAGAATTACCAGGGAGGAAGGTAAGCAAGAGCTGCTTGCTCAGGAAAGAGGTCACACCTGTGAAAGGACAGGTAGGAGCCGAGTTAGGTTATTGAGGGAGATTGGGCCTAGGATGGGGAGACGCAGAGCAGCAAGCTGCGTTCAGTCCTCTCCTGGGGCTGCTGCAGGACAAGAAGGCATTTGTGGGGATAGGGGAGGGATGAGGCTGCAGAGCGTGACAGAGACCAGCACAGGGAGGCCTCACTTGCAATTTAACCTGGGGAGTTTGGAGGAATTTAAATAGAGGAATGCATGACCAGATTTGTGATTTACAGCTCTCTGACAGCAGTTCAGAGGTGGATTTGGAATGTGGGGGCACAGGGCAGAAAACCAGTTACAGGAGCAATTGTGAAGTAGGCCCAGCAGGGATAAGGTGTGACCGAGACAGTAGCGGCAATGGAGAGAGGGTCAGAGCCTGAGACATTTAAGAGAGAAACTTTTTGAAGGATGTGAGCGGGGAGGGCAGAACAGAGGAGATTAGGAGCACTCTAATTGTTTTTGCTTGATCCCTTGGGAAGAGAGGAATAAATTTCACCAAGACAAGGTGAGTAGGAAGAAGAGTAGGTTTGGGAAAATCGGATAAGTCTTCTTATGATGGGTAGAAGCATCTATGACGCTTTCAAAGAGGTATCCTGGAGGTGCTTGGCTGTGTCCTGTATGATGACAACGCAGGTGATGATGGTGATACCATCCTGAAGAGAGGGTAAGCAGGTGGAACAACCCCATGTATACTATTCTTTGTAAAATGATCCTTTTTGGTCAGGTGCAGTAGCTTGTGCCTGTAATTCCAGCACTTGGGGAGGCTGAGGTGGGCCAATCGCTTGAGCCCAGCAGTTCCACACCAGCCTGGGCTACGTGATGAGATCCCCACCTCTACGAAAAATACAAAAATTAGCCAAATGTGGTGGCATGTACCTGTAGTCCCAGCTACTCAGGAGACTGAGATGGGAGGATCATTTGAGCCCAGGAGGTCGAGGCAGCAGTGAGCTGAGATCATGCCATTACACTCCAGCCTGGGCAACAAAGCAAGACCCTGTCTCAAAATAAATAATTTAATTCAATAATTTTTTATTGTAGTTAAAAAACACATAACCTAAAATTTATCATCTGTACCATTTCCAAGTGTACAGTTCAGTAGTGTTAAGTATATTCACATTGTTCTGCAAACAATCTCCAGAGCTTTTTTATCTTATAAAATTGAAACTCTATACCCATTAAACAGCAACTCCCCATTTCCCCTTCCCCAGTCCCCACAACGACTATTCTGTTTTCTGTTTCTATGAATGTGACAACTCTAAGTACCCCATATAATCACACAGTATTTTTCCTTTCGTGATTAGCTTATTTAACTTGATATAATGGCCTTGTTATAGACTGAATTGTGTACCTCCCGATTCATATGTTGAAGCCCTAACTCCCAGTACCTCAGAAGTTGACTGATTTGGAGATAGTGGTCTTTAAAAAGGTAGTTAAGTTAAAATAAGGCCATTAGGATGGGCCCTAATGCAATCTGACTGGTGTTTTTATAAAAAGAGGACATTTGGACAGAGAGACTCCAGGGATGCATGTGTGCAGAAAAAAGTCCACGTGAGGACACGGTGACGAGGCGGCCACCTGCAAGCCATAGAGAGTATTCTCAGGACAAACAAAACTAGCTGGTGCCATGATCTTGGGCTTCAAGCCTCCAGAACTGTGAGAAAATAAATTACTGTTTGTAAGCCACTTAGTCTGTGGTATTTTGTTATGGCAGCCCTAGTAAATTAATACAGGCCTCAAGATTCATTCATGTTCTAGCATGTATTCGAATTTTTTTCGTTTTTAAGGCTGAATAATATTCTGGTTTTGTTGTTGTTGTCGTCATAGAGACAGGATTTTGCTATCTTGCCCAGGCTGGTCTTGAACTCTTGGTCTCAAGCACTCTGCTAGCTTTGACCTTGCAAAGTGCTGGGATTATAGGCATGAGCGCTGCACCAGCCCTGTTGTATTTTTAGATTACATTTTGTTTATCACTTATTTGTCAATAGACATTTGAGTTGCTTTCACCTTTGGTTAGCGTGAATCATGCTGCTATAAATGTGGGTATACAATATCTCTTTAGTATCCTGCTTTTAATTCTTTTCAATATGTACTCAGACATGGAATTAATGAATCATATAGTAATTCTATTTTTAACTTTTTGAGGAACTGCCATATTATGCTATTTATCCCATTTTAAGTCTGCAGTATTTTATATTCCCACCAACAGAGCACAGAGTTCCAATGTATCTGCATCCTCACCAGCACTTAGTTTCTTTCTTACAGAAGCCACCCTGTGGGTGTGAGGTGATATTTCATGTAGTGTTGATTTATAGTTCTCTAATGATTCGTGATGTCGAGCATCTTTTCATCTGCTTCTTTAGGCCATTTTTACAAGATCTTTGGAGAAATGTCTATTCAAATCCTTTGACCTTTTTTTAATCAGGTTTTTGTTGTTGTTGCTGAGTTGTAGAAATTCTTTATATATTCTGAATATCAATCCTTTATCAGATATATGATTTGCAAATATTTTCTCCCATTCTATAGATTGCCTTTTCACTCAAAGGATTGTGCCCTTGATGCACTGAAATTTTTAGTTTTGAGGTAGTCCAATTTGTCTATTTTTATTTTGTTGCCTGTACTTTTTGGTGTCAAATCCAGGAAATTCTTGCTAATTCCAGTGTCATGAAGCTTTTCCCCTGTGTTTTCTTCTAAGAGTTTTATAGTTACATATACACTATTCTTCAAGAAGTTTGGCTATGTAGGAAAGGAGAAGAGGGGAGAATCTGAAACCAGGGAAGAACTATTTTGAGATGTGCAGAGACGTATCCTACTTCTAAGCTAAGTGAAAACACCAGAGCAGAGCTAGAGCTTAAAGATATAGAAGAAAAAGAATAATGAGTGGGTCTCAGACATCATGGAGGTATATGTGTGAGGGGGAAGAAGGTGATGTCCAAAGGCCAGAAGAAAGGGATGAACCAGATATAAAAGAAGTATCTTTTCCTCTGACAGGAGGTGAAGAAGGTAGGATGAGTGTGGTGGAGCTGAGGTTGTTAATCGAACGCATATTATGGCAAGATATGCTTTCAGAGGGCTTCCATTTTTTTCTGTGCATCAGTCCTAACATCATCTAATGAGAGTAATGGAAGAGACGATGGTGAATGGTGAAGTTGGGGGGAAGCTGCTTAGGGAAACGGGGAAGGGCTGCCCTTGGTCATGGTAGAAGAACTGTGAAACCCATTAGGCCAATGGATGTGAATTGATGCTGGTACCAACCCCATGTAGTTTTTTCACAGTCCCTAGCAGCTCAGGTGGAGGATGAAGAAGTCAGGCTGTTGGATTGAATTAGTGTCAGGGTTTTCATCTCTGACATTGTATTTTTCATCTTTGGAAATTTAATTGGGTCTTTTAAAAAAATATCTTTCATGTCTCTGTGTAATATGCACATGCTTTTGTCTATCTTAACATAATGTTGAATTGTCTTGTCTACAGATTTTATCATTAGTGTCATTTCTAGGTCAGTTTCTATTGATTTGTTTTTCCTCCTCATTATAGAGCATGTTTTCTTGCTTCTTGACATGCCCAGTAATTTTTTATATGCTAAGTCATGGAGGGTTTTATTTATACACTTTTCTTTTTTTTAGCTTTTATCACAAAGTTATCATTTAATATACATCCAACACCAGAAATTCTGAAAGCATAAAAAGAAATATATATTTCTGACAGGTAATAGAGCACAACATTTTCATTTCATGGAAATTTAAACTTATAATTTGGACTCTTTGTATATTTATTTTAAACAATTGATATTATTACAGCTTTTATCTTTGATTAATACATATAATCTTTCAAATAAACCAAGGCCTAAGATATATATTCTTTATGAAATTGCTCCAGATATATATGAAATTTTATTTTAAGAAGGAATAATCAGTAACTTTTCTCTCACCTTTTTTTTTAATCTAAAGAGACTGTATAGTACAGTGGAAACAGAAAGAGATTGGGGAAATCGAGAAATAGATGAGTTTCAATCCTGCCCTCATTTAATATTTCTCTGGGCTCAAATCAATTACCCTTCTACATCTCATTCTCCTTAACTATAAAATTATAGGATTGGAGTTAGTGATACTGAAGTTTCCTTCTATATCTAAAAGTACATGATTCTAACATAAATATTTTTAAAATATTGAATAATTCTTGAGAATATGTATATATACACGAATACCAATTAAACCCTAAGTAATTATCAGGAAAGCCATTGTAGATTCCAGTCTTCTTTTTTTTTTTTTGAAATGGAGTTTCGTTCTTGTTGCCCAGGCTGGAGTGCAATGGCACGATCTCGGCTCACTGCAACCTCCGCCTCCCGGGTTCAAGTGATTCTCCTGCCTCAGCCTCCCAAGTAGCTGGGATTACAGGCATGTGCCACCATGCCTGGCTATATTTATACACTTTTCAAAATTTCTAAAAATAATCTTGAGCCTTGTTCTAGGGTGCAGTTAACTTACTTTGTAACACCCATTTATTTATTCATTCATGTGTTTGCTCTTGCCATGTTTAGGGAAGGCCATCAGGCTGGGACAGCGCGAAGGAGAAAGGACAGTACTACTTTAGACTTTCTGGGAGTCTGTGCAGGGGTTCACCTGCAAAGAACTGAGCAGACCTGTATTGGGAAGGAGGCCAGGGGGTTGAAACCAGTGAAATGGCTGAGACATGCTTTTTAAGATATGACTTCATGCCCTGTGACCCACAAATATTCAGTGAGACCCCAAAACTCATGCTATGCTTAGTGTGATTGGGTTTCCTGTAGAATCCAGCAGGGGACGTCCATGTCACCACAGGGCCAAACCAAGGTGGCCCATGAAGACTTAATTTGTGAAATAGAGAAGATTAGGAAGAAATAGGTCTGGGTTTGCAAAAATTATGAGGACGATGGAAAAGGTACAGTTCTTCTGTTCCCACACATGAATGTGATGTTTGGATCTGCTCATACACAGTAGATAAGCAGGGGAATAAACCAAAAATATGCGGGTATTAGTCTGAGTACCCCCAAGAAGGAGACATCACAACAGGATTAAACATGCAAGAAACTTATTAGGTGAAACATCTGTCACAGAAAATGGGGAGGGAGAGGCTGGGAGAATCATCAGACCCTGAGTGAATCCAGAGTGCAGGAGAGAGGGAAGTAAAGAGGGGCGTGTGGGTGGAAGTGTCTGAGACTTCCTTAAATTCTATCAGGAATTTAACATGTTTAAAACTAGGGTCACATTTTTATTGGGCCAAGGGGAGCCTGGCAATGCCACCAGGCAGTCTTCTAGCCAGAGTCACCTGATAGAGGATTCTCGTGTCTCCTGGAAATGAGCCTGCCTCGTTATCACTGTCACCAGAAAGAGCAGATAAGGAGGTGATTATGCTTTTTGCTTGTGTCAGCAGAACCAAAAAAAAACCCATGACCTCATTGAAGACAGTGACCCATGGAGGAGTGGACCATGCACTGAGGCACATACGCAAACACACAGAGCCTCATCTTTTTCTTCTTAGCCCAGTTCACCTTCCCTGTGGTTATCTCATATTGTTGTCCCACGTTTGTATAATTTTCTTGATGCAAATGTTTAATAAATGTGCCAATGTCAATTTCCTGGTTTGGATCACGTACTGTAGATGTGCAAGTTGTTATCACTGTGGTGAGGGGTGGGGGCTAAGTGAAGTTTCTCCTAATCTCTCTGTATTATTTTTGCAACTTCTGATTAGTCTATAATGATTTTGAAATAAAAAGCTTTTGAATAATATTTAACACAGAATCCCAAACATGAGTAAGCCTACTGGTTTTAAGAACCCAAGTAAAACACACACAAAAAGATAGCCTTTATTATGGAAGCAAATCTTGATATAATAAAAGACGTCTGAATGAAATGGTAGAAGAATGAATGTCATACCACAGAGCAACAGGCCTAAAGGAATATACCATGTGCCTTCAGAGACAAGGCTGCAAACTTAGCAGAAAGGAGAACGGAACACATCACAGTTTTCCTGGCTTTAAGTGGGGTTGAACAGCACTTGCAGTGGATTGAAAATAATGACTATGATGTTAAGCCCAGCAGCCTACCATTCCATGGAATCTAGTTTTGCTTGGAGCCATACAAGCTGCTGCTTTAAGAAAGGAAGAAACCGAAAACAACAAAGGCAGGATTTCTCTTTGAATCCAGACCAGAAGAAACAAAATCAGGGCAAATGAGCCATCTACCTCTGCTACTGCACATCTGGCTTCTAATATGGTGGTCCCATTCACCACCTCTTTCTCCATCCTTTGGAAGCCACAACACCTCACCATATCACTATCACCAAGCAAACGTTACCTCTTTTATCCAGGCCGAGTCCTACATTTATTCTATTAGGAATTCAAGATGTTTAAAACTAGGGTCACATTTTTATGGGAGCAGTTTGTTTTATTTTCATTACTTTTTTCACATATTTCTTTTGAGGTTTTACTGTTTAATTTTTTTTTTTTTTTGAAGGGGGAGCTTATTTTTTGTTTGATTTAGAGAAAGGGTCTCACTCTGTCACCCAGCCTGGAGTGCAGCTGCTCAGTCATAGCACAATACAGCTTCAAACTCCTGGGCTCAGGTGATCCTTCCACCTTAGCCTCCCAAGTAGCCAGAACTATAGGCACACATCACCACAATCAGCTAATTTTAAAATTTATTTTAGAGATGGAGTCTCACTGTGTTGACCAGGCTAGTCTCAAACTCCTGGTCTCAAGTGATTCTCCCAACCTCAGCCTCCCAAAGTGCTAGGATTACGGGCATGAGCCACCATGCCTGGCCAAACTTTATAGTTTTTAATGTTGTGTCTGTAATTCCTTTTTCCCATTAGCCTATTATTTATATTGTACAAGATCCAATAATAACATGGTGATTTTTAGTAATACATGTCCCAGGTTGCTATTTCTTCTTGTGTTTTAATTTGCATTTCCCTGAGTACTAAAGTCATCCTTTCTTGTATTTTCTGGCCATTTGTGTATCTCTTTTGTTGTGACACAGATAGCCTAAATTTTTCTCATTTTTCTATTGCCTTATTACCTTTCTAATGTGTATGAGGTTTTTGTTTGTTCATTTGTTTTTGTTTTTTGAGACGGAGTCTTGCTCTGTTGCCCAGGCTGGAGTGCAGTGGCACAATTTCGGCTCATTGCAACCTCCACCTCCTGGGTTCAAGCAATTCTCCTGCCTCAGCCTCCCGAGTAGTTGGGATTACAGGCGTGTGCCACCACGCCCATCTAGTTTTTGTATTTTTAGTAGAGATGGGGTTTCACCATGTTCATCAGCCTGGTCTTGAACTCCTGACCTCGTGATTCACCCCCCTGCGCCCTCAGCCTCCCAAAGTGCTGGGATTACAGGCATGAGCCACCGTGCCCAGCCATGTGTATGAGTTTTTAAAAATCTACTCTCCCTGTAATCCCAGCACTTTGGGAGGCTGAGTTGTGCAGATCACTTGAGATCAGGAGTTCGAGACCAGCCTGGCCAACACGGCAAAACCCCGCCTCTACTAAAAATACAAAAATTAGCCGGGCATGGTGGTGCATGTCTGTAATCCCAGCTACTTGGGAGGCTGAGGCAGGAGAATCACTTGAATGAAGGCAGAGGTTGCAGTAAGCTGAGATTGCGCCACTGCACTCTAGCCTGGGTGACAGAGTGAGACTCTCTCTCAAAAGAAAAAAAAAAAATCTACTCTGGAAGTACATCTTTTATCTATCATATATGATCCAAATATTTTGCCAGTTACCCTTTATTTAATATGCTCTCTTCTCACCACTCTGTTTTTAATCAAGATATGTGCACGCAGTTTAAAAAAAATTATAAGCTCATGCCTAGAAGTAGATTTCCCTTGAAGCTAATTAAGCTTAAACTTCAGGGCCTTTACTTGCATAGTTTCTTCCCAAGGCCCTGGAAGAGGCTCTGTTATGAGGCCATAACAGAGTACCACATTGTCATGAGTTTTTGTAAAATTTACAAAGCAAGATGTATATTAATTTCTATTTTTGTTTTGTGCAGGTTTATTACAAGGTTATATGGTATTGATGCTGAGGTTTGGGCTTCTATTGATCCTGTTGCTCAGATAGTGAACATAGTACCCAAAAGGAAGTACTCAATAAAGTTCCCATCTTTATATCTGTGTTTATCCAAGTTTAACTCCCACTTATAAGTGAGAACTTGCGATATTTGGTTTTCTGTTTCTGCATTAATTTGCTTAGGATAACGGCCTCCAGCTACATCCATGTTGCTGCAAAGGACATGATTTCATTCTTTGCTGTGCCTGCATAGTTTTCTATGGTGTATATATACCACATTTTCTTTATCCAATCCATGGTTGATGAGCACCTAGGTTGATTTCCTGTCTTTGCTATTGTGAACAGTGCTGCGATGAACATATGAGTACCTGTGTCATTTTGGTAGAATGATTTATTTTCCTTTGGGTATATACTGGGTCAAATGGTAGTTCTATTTTAGTTCTTTGAGAAATCTCCAAATTGCTTTGCACAGTGGCTGAGCTAATTTATATTCCCACCAACAGTGTTTAAGTGTTCCTTTTCTCCACAGCCTCGCCAACATCTGTTATTTTTTGACTTTTTATAATAGCCGTTCTGACTGCGGTGAGATGGCCTATCATTGTGGTTCTGATTTGTATTTCCCTGATGATTAATAATATTAAGCTTTTTTTTATATGTCTGTTGGCTGACAAAGTGAGATATATTAATGACAGTCTGTTGAGACTGCTGCCTCTTCCTTCCGTTGTGTTCGGTGGTGTTGGAGCAGCTGCTGGAATTACTGGGATCTGGCCAAGGGGATATTAAATTGGGGACATATTCTGTTTGGGTTTAGTGAGATACATTTATGTGGTTCACAGTCACTTCCACATATAGTAAAGAAACTAGTCTATGGCTCTGCAAATTTCAAACCTCATTTCTCCTCTTACTCACATACTTCCAGTGCTAGGAGAATAGAACCCATTTATATTTCAATAAAACCTCTGGCCCCAAACCTTTGTGTCACAGTGCTAGGTGAGTTAGCATGATGAGCAGATGTATTTCTGAAAGCCACACCTACACTAAGATGTCCAACAATAACTTTACTATATGTGGAAGTGGCTGTGAACACATAAATGTATCATCATTCTCAGCAAACTATAGCAAGGGCAAAAAACCAAACACCACATGTTCTCACTCATAGGTGGGAATTGAACAATGAGAACACTTGGACATAGAAAGGGGAACATCACACACCGGGGCCTGTCATGAGGTGGGGGTAGGGGGAGGGATAGCATTAGGAGATATACCTAATGTAAATGACGAGTTAATGGGTGCAGCACACCAACATGGCACATGTATACATATGTAACAAACCTGCACGTTGTGCACATGTACCCTAGTACTTAAAGTATAATAAAAAAAAAACTAGTCCAAAATGGAAGTTCTCAACTGTAATAATGAATCACTATATCAATACACAGCACAATACTACAAGGAGAACATAGATAACAAGTTGGTTTGTGAATAGTTTCAATTCAGAGTATTAAGATTAATCACTGCCCAAGAAAACTTTAAATGCCCTGAAATTTTACTGTTCATGTATTAAAGAAATTTAACAGAGCTTTTCAAAAATTTTCATAAATTGTAGTAAATTAAATGGCATTACCAATAGCAAGGTGTGAAGCTTAGAGAAACTTTTCTGTTCTTTTCTTTTTTTAAAGAGATAGGTTCTTGCTCTGTCATCCAGGCTGGAGTACAGTGGTGTGATCATAGCTCACTGCAGCCTCAACCTCCTGGGCTCAAGTGATCCTTTCTCCTCAAACTCTGAGTAGCTAGGACTACAGGCATGGACCACCACACCCTGTTAATTTTTTATTTTTAATTTTCTATTGTAGAGACAGGGTCTTGGTATGTTCCATAGGCTGGTCATGAACTCCTGGCCTCAAGTGGCCCTCCTGCCTCAGCCTCCCAAAGTGCTGGAATTACAGGTATGAGTCACTGCTCCTGGCAGAAACTTTTCTAAACTGTCAATAATAAAGAACAATTTCAGTTATCTATGCTAAATAAAGACTGTTTTATTCCTCCAAAAGAAATAGTGTGACATTACTTTTATATTACGAACGAAGAGGCAGTCAAAAAATATGTACCAAATGGTCAGGAAATGTTTTAAAGGGATGTTTCAGGTAGTTAATGAATAAAAATATGTTTTTTCCCATATTTTGTGGTGTCTATGGATTTGTATTTTTAAAGTTTGTAACTTTTGTTTTTTTTAAATCCTAAATATTCACTTTTATAACTATTTTTATTTATAAATGTTTATTGTTTTGTTTAAACAGGACTCCCCTCTCCCCATATTGTAAGAACTTCAAGTGCCATAGAACCTATATGTGCCCCGGTGCTATTTTCAAAAGCTTGTAATAAAAACAATAAGTCTCCTCTACTACTTTTCCGTTCTTCCCAATCCCCAGAGTCATCCATATATATATATACATTTTTTTGAGACAGAGTCTCGCTCTGTCACCCAGCTGTGATTCTATTAGTAATTTTCATATTCCAAAATAATATGCTTATACTATTTCTTGATTTATCCAATTTTAGGTATTATCTAATGGCTTCTTCCTTGACAGATTCAAATTTAATCTAGTCATCCACTTTTACTTCTTTCAGCATCTCTATGTATTTCATCATTACTTTTAGTCAAATAAATAATGGTGCAATGGTGTGATCTCAGCTCACTGCAACTTCCGCCTCCCAGGATCTAGCAATTCTCCTGCCTCAGCCTCCCAAGTAGCTGGGACTACAGGCACGTGCCATCACGCCCAGCTAATTTTTTGTATTTTTAGTAGAGACGAGGTTTCACCGTGTTAGCCAGAATGGTCTTGATCTCCTGACCTCGTGATCCGCCCACCTCAGCCTCCCAAAGTGCTGGGATTTACAGGCATGAGCCACCACACCCAGACCATATTTTTCTTTTTTTAAAGCTGTGATTCTATTAGTAATTTTAATATTCCAAAATAGTGTGCTTATACTATTTCTTGATTTATCCAATTTTAGGCATTATCTAATGACTTCTTCCTTGACAGATTCAAATATAATCATCTACATTTACTTCTTTCACCAACTCTATGTATTTCATCATTACTTTTCGTCAAGTAAATAATCAATATTTATTTCACAACTCTGCAAACATCATACATTTCGGAACCAAGATTTAAACCACAATTACAGCTTCTTTGTAATACAGCTTCGTGTTTTTCTTGAAGTTTGAAGTTGCTCATCTCTTTCCTTGTATAATATGCTATCCTGTAGTTTCCCTAATGCTTCATTTGATCATTCAGTTTTCAATTTCCCCTTTTTTCTAGGGCTCTTCCCTTTGGAGTCCTCCACCCTGCTCTAATCTGAGCTGTTACCTCCTCTGCCTGCTTTATAGCTGCTGTTCAAGACTTTCCTTTGACCTTGTCCTTACTGGATCCAAATCTACTAGGTCTCTCTCTAATTTTCCTCCCCTGTTTTCCCTGAGATAATCCTCTAATATATGGGAAGTAAATTTTCATGTATCAAATAATGTTTTTATTTTATACTTACATCAAACTGCTAGTTTTGCTAGGTATTTAATTACAGTTAAAAAATCATTTTCTGGCTGGACGTGGTGGTTCATGGCTATAATCTCAGCATTTTGGGAGCTTGAGACAGGAGGACCATCTGAGACCAGGAGTTTGAGACCAGCCCGGGCAACATAGCAAGACCCGCATCTCTATAAAAAAAATTTTTTTTAATTAGCAAGACCAAAAAACAATCATTTTCTGTCTGTACTTTGGAAATATTGCTTCATTTTCTTCTAGATCCAGACTATCTGCTAAGAAGTTTGATGTTATTCTGATACTTGTGATCTGTTCTTTCTGTAAACTTTAGGATCTTTTTTTTTTTTTTTTTTTTTGAGACTGAGTCTTGCTCTCTCGCCCAGGCTGGAGTTCAGTGGCGCAATCTCAGCTCACTGCAAGCTCCCAGGTTCACGCCATTCTCCTGCCTCAGCCTCCTGAGTAGCTGGGGCTACAGGTGCCCGCTAACATGCCTGGCTAATTTTTTTGTATTTTTAGTAGAGGCGGGGTTTCACCATGTTAGCCAGGATGGTGTTGATCTCCTGACCTCGTTATCTGCCCACCTCAGCCTCCCAAAGTGCTGGGATTACAGTTGTGAGCCACCGCACCCGGCCAACTTTAGGATCTTCTTTTCATTCCTTGTGTTCTGAAATTTTATGATGATTTGGAATTGCATGAAGGTGAGGATATATCATCACTTGTTATGTTAGCTAATCAGTGGATTCTTTTGGTCAAGATATTTAGGTCCCTCATTGCTGGATTGATTTATTTGCCTGTTTGTCTATCTATATATCCATCCATATATCCATTTATCTACCACTTTATCTACTTACTTACTTACCTACTTCCTTCCTTTTCTATTTTCTCTGTTCTCTCAAACTCCCTTGGTCAATATTGGAGCTCCTGCATTCATTCTATACGTTTATCATCTTTTCTCTAACATTCTCTACCTCTTTTTCTTTTGCTTTACTTTGGGAAATTTCCTGGACCTTATCTTCAAAATCTTTCATTGAATGTTTCTTTTGACTATTATATGTTTAATTTCTAAGAGCTCTGTCTTTTTCTATTTTGTTCCTTTTTCATAGCATCCCATTCTTATATATGAGTATAATCTAACCTTTCTGAGGATACAAAACAAAGATTTTAAAAATGTTTCTTCTACTGTCTGTTATTTCCTTTTTTGGTGAGCTTATTTTTCCTATTGGTTTGGTCAAATTTGTTTCATGTTGGAGCATTCCCAAAAATATCTGGTGTTCCTTGTTGTATTGTATTGTTTATATTCAAGAGGAGCCCACATCATGCTGATTAGAAGCTCTGGTGGCATGGAGCTGACTTTTTGGCCAGTGGGCTTCACTTTTGGACAACAGAAGAGAGCACTGAATATTTCACTTGAAGACCCACAGATGTCAGTGTGTGTGTGTTTTCCTCCCACGCTGTCCAGCCTGCAGGTTGGATTCCAGACCACTGACATGCTGCGTAAGGAGTAAAGGAAGAAGTCTCGGGTCCAATCACAGTCCCTGCAGACTTTGAATCAATTTCTCTGTTTTCGGAGCCTCACTTCTCCCTGCCCTAGGCCATACTTAGCCATACTAACCCTCTTCTGGTTTTTGAAGTAAATTGTATCTCTTCTCTTCCATATCCTTCTCAGGATTTTGGCTGCAAATTCTTCCACTATGCTAAATCAGTTACCAGCCATCCATTTGCTGTGATTCTTCCAAAAGTGAATTGAAATCTCTCATCCTGATATATTTTCTTCTACATTTTTTTTGCTCTTATGGATTTATACTTTTGTTTATAACTTCCCAATCATTTTAGTGAAGACTTGAGAAAGGGGAAAGATAAAAACAGTCAATCTAGCATCTTTAATGGAAAGATTGCTTATCTTTTAACTTTGCTATGGCAATTTCTTAAATACAATTTTAAAAAGTTTTTAATATAGGTAAACTCGTCAGTTTAATGTAAAAAATTTCCCCTAAATGGCTCACCAATTTTCCCAACAATATTTGTCGATAGTCTTTCCAGTCCCTGTTAATTGTAAATGTTGATTTTGTCATTACTAAAATCTCTTGTGTACATGGTCCTCTTTCTCAACGTTCTATTATTTTTCCTGTACTAATGATGGCAGTGGTTGCTGCCATCATTCTGGCTGCAGCAGGAAGGTGTGGTTAGGGCTGCATACTCCATGGAGCCGGTGGGAGCCCTGCCCCTTCTGAGTTGGGAGGGGCACTCCCCGTGCCACTGTAGCCACCCAAACTGCAGCGTCATACCCAGGCCTCCTGCTCTACGGAGCAGGCAGGATTCCTGCCCTCCTGGGTGGGGCTACAGCCACCCAAACTGCAGCTGTGGATCTGAGCCTCCCTGTGCTCCTGGGGGAGCTGGGAACAGGTAGGATCTGCCCTTCCAGGTGCAGCTACAGCCCCTGCACTATGGCTGCAGACCTGGGCCTCTTGCTCCAGGAAGCAGGCAGGAGCTGGGGACAAGCGGGAGCTCCTGGATGCAGCTGTGGCTGCCCTCCCAGGCGCGAGACCTGGGTGTCTCTGAAGGCTGCACCCTCAAGTGCCCCAGGATGGACCCCCTGTCCCTGCAGGCTCAGGGGTGTCTGCTCCCACTACCTGGCCTCTCTCCCCTCTCAGCACTAACTTCCACCTGGGTTGGAATGGCCTCAGGAGGCAGACAGAGTCCTGGGTGGAAAGGGGTGGGGTCTGCAGTAAGGCCCCACCCTCAGGCTAGGGAGGTCCTAAAGGCTGGGGGCTGGGCTGCCAGTCCCAGGGACCTGAGTGGGGACTCATGGTGCCTCTTCCGGGCCCACCCATGGCCACCCATGGACCAATTGGCACACACTTCCTCCCCTCTGAGGTCCATAAAAGCCCTGGGCTCAGCTAGAGCAGGGCAGAGGACAGCCAGAGGACAAAGAGAGCAGAGGTTGGAGGGATGAAGAGACGACCGGCTGCAGAAAGGAGTGGCCTCTCAGCTGATAGCTGGAGACGATGGGATGACCAGCTACAGAGAGGAATACCCTCTCCACTGAGAGCAGCAGCTGCAGCAGAGAGGTGCAGAGAAATCAAATGTCCTGCCTGCAGAGAGGAGCCACCCTCTCCAGGGCCTTGTTTCTGCTGACAGCTGAACACTCGAAGGAGGACCTGCCTACAGAGAGGAGCTATCCACCCCTCTGAGCTGTTCTAACACTAAATGAAGCTCTTCTTCTTTACCCCTCGCTTGTCTGCATACCTCTTTCTTCCTGGACACAGGACAAGAACTCAGGCAAAGACACTGTGGCCACAGTTTCCACCCAGAAAAATTGACACCCCAGAGATCCTGTAACACTAATACTACAATAATTACTCTACATAATATGTTTTGGTCTTTGGTAGGGTAAGTCTCCTCTTTTATAGTTCTTTTCAATTCCTGAAGTCTCTTCTCACATATAAATTTTACAATTTAGGCCAGGTCCAGTGGTTCATGCCTGTAATCCCAGCACTTTGGGTGGTTGAAGTAGGAGGATTGCTCAAGGCCAGGTGTTTGAGACCAGCCCAGGCAACAGAGCAAGACCTCGTCGCTACAACAAATATTAAAATATTAGCCAGGTATGATGGCTGAGGAGCCTCAGCTACTCGAGAAGCTGAGGTGGGAGGGTGGCTTGAGCCCAGGAGGTTGAGGCTACAGTGAGCTATGATCACCACTGCACTCTGGCCACTCCAGAGAGGAGGCCCTGGAGAGGGTGGCTTCTCTGCAGGCAAATCATTCACATGTCTCTGCAGGTCTCTGAAGCTCTCCGCTGTGGCTGCTACTCTCAGTGGAGCAAGATCTTGTCTCAAAAAAAAAAAAAAAAAAAAAAAAATATATATATATATATACACACACACACACACACATATACACACACGTATGTGTATATATATATGTATATACATAATTTGTCAATTGGCACACAGAATTTTGCTGTATTTTTAATTATGGTTATTTTACTTTACACATTAAATACGGGATTTTGAAGAATGGAGTTTTTTCATTCATCAATATAGTATATCTGTCCCTTTATTCAGATCTTTTACATATTTCAGTAACATGTTATTTTTGTCATATACTTCATTTATTTATAATGGTTCATCATGTAGAGGCATCTAATAACACATTTCAGTTTTCCAACAGCTCTTTTGATTTTGAAGATAGGCTATGTGACACAACCACTTGGCATTCTTTTGGGCCATGTTTTCTATTGTTGACTGGTAGAATGTGTACCCTAGATGGAATAACATTAGGTTCAAGGTCCTAAGTAATTAAGATTTGCCCTGTATAGTGCTAGCTGCAAAGCCTCTGAAATAAGAAACAAAATTCCAAATCCAAAGAGACACTGGCTTCGTTCAGAGCACAGCGGACTCCTCTTGCTCTGTGGACAGGGGCCTGATATAGTCCATCTGCCAGCAGCGGGGAGTGCATATGCATTTGATTGTGCCTGATTATATTTGCTTTGTCCGTGTTCTGTACCACCCTTTTGGTCTTCAGAGATACAAAGAGATCTACCTCAGCATGACCTGTAGCCTGCCATGCCCTGACACCCTATGAACCCACTTGACATTCTGCAGGTTGATTAATAAAACATTCATTGTTATGTACTATTCAAACTTGACCTTGATAGGCCCCCATTTTCCCCCAAGTAACTGTCGAACTCAAATGCAGTCTGTTTTATACTACTCAGTTGTCCATGTCCACTTGACCTTATTGGACCTTTGGAAGTTATCCAAGAGTTGGTATGAACCTGTGCCAGATGGTCCAGAATCATGGCTGGCCACACTTTGGCCTATAGGCTGATTGTCTTCTGTTCTTCCCACTTAGGTGCTGCAAAGTTGGGCCACAGAGAAGCAGCTTTCCATTGACAGCCTAAGGCTATCAGTAAACCAAGCAAAGGCTATCAGTCTAAGGCTATCAGTAAACAAAGCTGTGGCTTGTAACTATTAAAAAAGAATCTCAGCCAGGCCCTGTGGCTCATGCCTTTAATTCCAGCACTTTGGGAGGCCAAGGTGGGTGGATCACTTGAGCCCAGAAGTTCAGGACCATCCTGGGCAACATGGTAAGACCCACATCTCTATAAAACATACAGAAATTAGCTGAGCGTGGTGGCATGTGCCTGTGGTCCCAGCTACTTGGGAGGCTGAGGTGGGAGGATCGCTTAAGCCTGAGAGGTCTAAGCTGTAGTGAACCATGACTGTATCACTGCACTCCAGCTTGGGAGACAGAGCAAGACCCTGTCCTCCTCAAAACAAAACAAAACAAAACAAAACAAACAAACAAAAAAGAAAGAATGTCAGAGGTATAGCCCATTGATCCACAAATGGAGACCACCGTTTGGATTTCATGAGAGGATTTCATGATGAGAGCATCATCTCTGAGCTCTGCTGGGCCTTATTCAAGAGCCTGGTTCTCTCTACCTAGGACTCCCATTTGGCTTGTTCATGACTTCCTGGCAGCTCCTTCTTATGTGAAAGTTGCTCTGACATACCCAAGACATGATTGTAAACAGTGAGGAGAGTAATAAAATGCCCATCAGTAGTTAGTGTGAGCTCAAATGAAGCTTAGTAATAATCACCACAATGAAAATATTGAAGGCTTACTCTGTGCCAGGTGCTGTTGTGTTTTATGTACGTTAACTCACAAAATTCTCACAACTACCTCTATCATTATTCTAACTTTAAAGATTATCAAATTGAGGTACAGAGGGCTTAAGAAACTGGCCGAAGGTAACACAGCCAGTAAGTGCCAAAGGTAGAATTTAAACCCAAGCCAGCTGGCTCCTGCGTCTTTAGATCTAAACACTTTCCTCCTTCCAGATTTAATGCAAATTGTGAATATCAGCTTCTGGAAGACACTGGGGTCAAAGCCAGTGCTACGCTGCCCACTCTCAGGCTAAGAAGTTGCAGCTGATGCCCCAAGCTTCATAGGATCACGTGGTTTGGCTCCCACAGTACAGCTCCTGTCATGGCCTTTTGGGAATACCCTACAGCAGCTTCTACTCAGTTCCCCAAGCAATCAGTCAGTCTTCTTTCCAACCTGGAGGACAGGACCCAAAACAATCCATGATCATGGGATACAACTTTGCCAAAATCTTAATGGCCTTACCAGGTGATGGGCTTATTGCATGGGTTTGGGCAGAATCAGGACCAAAAACTTATTCTATTTTTTTTTTTTTTAAGATGGAGTCTCGCTTCGTCATCCTGGCTGGAGTGCAGTGGCACAGTCTCGGCTCCCTGCAGCCTCCGCCTCCCAGGTTCAAGTGATTCTCCTGTCTCAGCCTCCTGAGTAGCTGGGACCACAGGCATGCACCATCACACCCAGCTTATTTTTGTGTTTTTAGTAGAGACAGGATTTTACCAGGTTGGTCGGGCTGGTCTCAAACTCCTGACCACAGGTGATCCACCCATCTTGGCCTCCCAAAGTGCTGGGATGACAGGCATGAGCCACCGCACCCGGCCCTAATAACTTATTCTTGACTGCATGTCCCTCTTATGTTGTTCCCCAGTGTAGGGCTGACATCCATTGAGCACAGAAGGCTGGGGCCTATGATACTTCAGGGCCTAAAAAAGTTTTAATTTTGTCTAAAATCAGAAGAAAAAAATGGATATAATAATAATGAACCCAGCCTTGATTATATTAATATTTGTCTTTATACCAACATAGTCACGACATAACATTTTTAACATAGCTTATGGAGGAAGGCACCTACAAAGGCACAAGGGTCAAGGCTCTGCAAAAGTCACCATGCAGCCCTGCCGGCGTGTATTAGTTATTTTTTGCTGAGTAACAAAAGTTATCCTAAAATTTAGTAGCTTTACACAACACACATTTATTATTTCCTGCTGTTTTTGAGGGTCGGGAGTCTGGGAGTGGCTTAGCTCGATTGTTCAGGCTCAGGTTTGTCCTAAGGTAAGGTTGCAGTCAGCTGAAGGCACTGCTGCGGGAAGATCTGCTTCTCAGCTCACTCCTGTGGTTGTCGGCCTCAATTTCCTCCTGGCTGTTGGCCAAATACTTTAATTCCTCACCGCCAAGCCTCCTCACAAGCTGCCTGGTGTGTTCACAAGGCGGCAGCCGGCTTCCCCCAAAGTGAGTGAGCCAAGAGAGGGAGAGAGACAGAGACAGAGATAGGAAAGGGAGAAGACACACAACTGACAGAAGCCAGTTTGTGCATTTGTTGCTGTTTTCGTTATTGCTTTTGCTTAACACAACAAAGCTTATTTCTCACGTCTGCCACATATATGTTGTGGGTGGCCAATGAGGTTCTGCTCATCACGGTTGCCCAGAGACCCAAGCTGATGTAAGTTCCATCTCGGCATAGGCATCCAGAACTGCAGAGCCCTGGAAAAGATGCTGAACCACATGCCGGTTTTTAAAACATTATTATTTTTTATGATTTGAAGCAATTATAGACTCACAGGAAGTTACAAAAATAGTACTGAATTTTTGATGTTCGACTTAGAAAGCAAGTTCTTCCAAATAGAAAAGTGCTTCCAAGACCCTGACCTCTGAACTCTGTTTTAAAATTCAGTTAGCTTCACCAAACCATATAGTTCCAAGGACTCCACTCTTTTTTTTTTTTTTTTTTGAGACGAAGTCTGGTTCTGTCACCCAGGCTGGACTGCAGTGGCCCTATTTTTGCTCACTGCAATCTCCACCTCCCGGGTTCAAGAAATTGTCCTTGGCTGGGCCCGGTGGCTTACGCCTGTAATCCTAGCACTTTGGGAGGCTGAGGCGGGTGGATCACGAGGTCAGGAGATCGAGACCATCCTGGCTAACACGGTGAAACCCTGTCTGTACGAAAAATACAAAAAAAAATTAGCTGGGCGTGGTGGCGGGTGCCTGTAGTCCCAGCTACTCGGGAGGCTGAGGCAGGAGAATGGCATGAACCCGGGAGGTGGAGCTTTCAGTGAGCCAACATCGCTCCACTGCACTCCAGCCTGCGCGATAGAGCGAGACTCCATCTCAAAACAAACAAACAAACAAACAAACAAACAACAAACGAACAAAGAAATTCTCCTGCCTCAGCCTCCGGAGTAGCTGGAATTACAGGAGCATACCACCACGCCCAGCTAATGTTTGTATTTTTAGCAGAGATGGGATTTCACCAAATTGGCCAAGCTGGTCTTGAACTCCTGACCTCAGGTGATCCGCCCACCTCGGCCTCCCAGAGTGCTGGGATTACAGGCATGAGCCACCGCGCCTGGTCTCTCTCTCTCTTTTTTTTTTTCTGAAGCTACAGGTTCAAATATGAAAAGAGGAAGATTGTTTCATAAACATTAAAACAGAAATCCTTCTTAAAAGTAATAGTGTGACATATTTGTAAATACACATGAAAAAGGCCTGGGCAGACACATACCTTTGATTCAAGATCCCCTCTGGGTGTTTGTGTGTGAGGGAGTGGGGGGTTGGGGAGGAGGTGACAGAGGTAAAGAGGAACTGTAACGTTGTCTTACACTTTGAGTAAGTTCATGCAAATGTCTTTGTGTGCTATATGTGTAACTAAATTTTTTAAGAAAATATAGAGAAGTCATTAAAACTTTCATTTTTTCATCCTAATCTAACTTCCTCTTTTTTTGATCAATCATGCAGGTAGAGTCACATCAATTAAAAAATTTTTAGGTCCATTCTCACTGTAACTACATCAAAAACATCAACAATTATCTAATTTCTGCCTGGAAGTCTCCATTCAGAAGTCTAATGGGGGCCTGAGGAGCCCTCAGCCCCTAGATCTTTCCTAATATCATGGCCCAGGTTTCAGATATTGGCGTTCACTCAAGGTACTTGGTCCAAACTTTAAGCTTCCCCCTCACTTCAAGGATCCTTGGCTACTTGGCTGTGTGCTTCTGGGAAACCAGGGAACTATATCTGGGGTAACTCTGCCCTCAGCTCAGATCTCTTTAACTACCGAGCAGGACCAGTTGGAGTTAGGAGAAAACTGGGTAAATTCCATTAACACAATTCCTTCAGTGGCACAAAGTCTAGCCTGTCTCTACACAGGGGTCCTCAGCATTTTTTTCTTCAGCTTCCAGATGTTCCTTCCAAATATAACTGAGGGGAGGTGGGGGCTGGGGGTGAGGCCAACCCCAGTGATGACACCAAATACAACATTTAGTGACTAAGGGGAGGGTGCACACACACACACACACACTCTTACCAATTTATGTTCCAAAGTCTTAACAGAAAGGAAGTGGCCATACGGGATAAGGGCAGATACAGATAAGATAATCTTATTTTAGGGCAGTTTCCCTTAATCCTTGAAATCCTCTAAGGGGAATGTGAAGTAACCAGAGACATTGACAATATCTGGTGAGAGGTCTGGGACAACTGGGAAGCCTCATTCTGTGCTTTACTGCTGACCTTGTTACATCACTCCTGAGGAAGAACTTGCCTAAATGCAGTGCTCAATGCTTCTATTTAAGGAAGTGTTTTAAGACCTTGGGCTTTCCTATGTCTTAAACCAAGCTGAGCATCTGGAAGGTCTCTCTGTCACTGGAGGGAAAAAGCAGTCAATGGTGGGGTGTTCTGAATCAGTATCCCTGCCTTCAGCTTCCTCGGGCTCAGGAAAGTCCACAGCCTGAACAGCATTTGCTCTTGTTTGTGTCCAGTGGTTCTTTATCTTTTCTCTCTTTTTGTCATCATCAGTCTTGTCAGAACTTTGTAGAAATTAGGTGTCTTTCCAAAGAATTGGCTTGGTTTTTTATATTGCTTTTACTCTTCACTTTGTTAGGAGTTATTTTTAATCCTTATTATTTCCTTGGAATTCATTCTGAAATGGGACAGTTCCCTAGCCCCCGTTCGCATGACATATGACAAGGGTGTGGCTCTCTGTTCGGCCACCATGAGCTCAAACCCCTTATGCGAGGAGGAGCACACAGTGGGGCGGGTGCTCGAGCCAGGGCTAGCACTTTGGGCTCCGGCCCCATGGTATCATCTAGGGGTGACTCTCGA
This sequence comes from Homo sapiens, assembly GCF_000001405.40. Taxonomy (NCBI): domain Eukaryota; kingdom Metazoa; phylum Chordata; class Mammalia; order Primates; family Hominidae; genus Homo; species Homo sapiens. The sequence goes on along the minus strand of NC_000007.14, from coordinate 21,964,952 downwards.
AGCCCGTGGGCATGTTACAGTGTCGCTTTTTTAGCTTTGCTGTCCACAGATGGCTTAAGTGTTAACCTGTTCAGTGCCCTCTTGGTACCCAGGTCCTTGTCCGGAGTCCAGGAAGAATCAGGTCACACACGGGCTTGAAGAGTGAATGCGGGGGTTTTACTGAGGGTTGAAGGTGGGATGGATGGAGAGCTGGAAGGGGGATGGAGTAGAAGATGCTCTTCCTCTGGAGTTTGGCTGTCCAGTGGCCAATCTTTTCTCTGATAGTCCCAGCTGAACTCCTCTCGGTGTTCAACATTCCTTCTCTTCTCTCCTTCTCTGTTGCGCTCTTCTGCTGTTTGTCTGTTTGTTTTCTCCTGGAGCTGGGGGTTTGGGGTTAATATGGGTACAAGATAGGGGGTGTGGCAGGCCAAAAGGCAACATTTTGGGCTTGAAAACAGGAATGTCTGTACCCATTTAGGGCCACCGGTTTCCAGGCTTGAGGGTAGGGTCTTTGCCGGGGAACTACCCTCTTCTACCCAGTATTTGCCTGTCTCCTGTCTGTATCAATTCTATTGTTTTTTTCTTAACCTTCAGATTAATGATTAGCTCATTTGTTTTAAATATGTATTGTATCCTAACAGATGCATTTAAAGTTTTACATTTTCCACAAGTTCGTCTTTAGCTGCATCCCCCAGGTTGTGACTGGAAATACTTTGAATGTTTTTGGTGCTATTTCATATTTTTTATTTTATTTCCTTTGAAATTATAAGTTAGTCAGAAATAAGTTTTTTATTTTAAGAATCTGTTTTTGGTTTCTTTTTCCTTCTGTTGTTGATTTCTTTTTTCTTCATTGAGACTAGAGAACGTGATAATTGTGATTCTGAGTCTTTGCAAATAACTGATACTTCCTTTATTCCTACTGAATTTTAAAATGTTTTAGGATATGCATATCCTATATGTGCACCTACGTGTATTTTAGATTCTTCCTAATAGTTTGTAAGCTTGATCAAAAACTTCCGAGAGTTGGATAGATTTAAAATTTCTCACACTAGCTTTATGGATATGTCAGTTTCTGTATTAGGCTGTTCTTGCATTGCTACAGAGAAATACCTGAGACTGCATAGTTTATTTTAAAAAGGAGACTTAATTGGCTCTTGTTTCTATCAATAACTCCCCAGCAATGTGTCTTCACCCAGGCAGCAGCAGTTACTTCCCAAAGAGGCAGCGGAATCTAGCTTGGGTTTTTCCCACCCTTGTAAAACCAGCTGTATTGGGCCCACCTCAGAGACATCAGCATCAGCTGAGCAGCATGGCCCTTCGGGGTGTGTGTGTTTCATTTCTGCAGGCCCTCTTCACAGCACCTGTGGATAATGGTAACCTCTTCCCCTCCTTCTACCCCAGCCCTAGGGTTGCTGGCTGCTTCCTGCAGTTGTCCTCTCTGTGATATCGTAGTGTTCTCTTTTTACTCTTTGCTACCTTGTTCTTTTTATATTTGTAGCTAATAATTCTTCATAATCAATCCTCTCTATTCAAATAACTGGCATGGTTCCTATCTCTTGCCTGGACTCAGACTGACACGGGTTGTGAAGATGTCACGAAATGAAACTCCTGGATGTTGAAACTAATAAGAATGAGGATAGGAAAAAGGGCGAAGAGCATGACAGTGCTTCAGAGGAGAAGGTCATCACGAATGTCAGGGATAGAGCACTAGAAGAAGAGGGACATTAGATGCAAAAGTCTGGCATATTTTGTATACTTAAATATTTAATCTGACATTTTCCTATCTATGATTCAGGCTCAAAAGTGACTACACTTAAAATCCATCAAGTTGTTTTCATAGCTACACTTGAATGACACCTTTCCCTTCCACCTAGTAAGAATTACAAGCTAACTTCAAGTCTCCAAGTCAGTGTTTCTCAAAGTATAGTCTGAGGACCATTGACATCTAAATTCACTAGAGCAGGGGTCCCCAACCCGGTACTAGTCCATGGCGTGTTAGGAACCGGCCGCACAGCAGGAGGTGAGTAGCAGGCGAGCAAGCAAAGCTTCATCTGTAAATATTTACAGATGTAAACATGGGCTGTATTTATAACTGCTCCCCATCGCTCGCATTACCGCCTGAGCTGTGCCTCCTCCTGTCAGATCTGCAGTGGTATTAGATTCTCACAGGAGCACGAACTCTACTGTGAACTGCACATGTGAGGGATCTAGATTATGAGCTCCTTATGAGGCTCTAATGCCTGATGATCTGTCACTGTCTCCCATCACCCCCAGATAGGACCATCTATTTGCAGGAAAATAAGCTCAAGGCGCCCAGTGACTCTACATTATGGTTAGTTGTATAATTATTTCATTATATATCACAATGTAATAATAATATAAATAAAGTGCACACTAAATGTGATGTGCTTGAATCATCCCAAAACCACCCTCAACCCATCCGTGGAAAAATTGTCTTCCATGAAACCAGTCCCTGGTGCCACAAAGGTTGGGGACTGCTGCACTAGGGTGCTTATTAAATGTGCAGAATCCTGGACTACACAGCAGATAAGAAGACCCAAAACTAAGGAGTTTCCCAAATAGCATGGTTTTGGGATGGCTGGTCACACTAATGCCAGACCTATTGAATCTGAATCTTAAAAGGTAGGGCAGATCCCTACATTTTGAACAAGTGCCTCTGGTGAGTTTCAGGCATAATAATATTTGGGAACCACTACTCTTGGTGTCCCTGGACTTGACAATCTGTGTGGTCTTCTTTTCTTCTGGGCTTTATGCTACCTTTAAATTGGGAGGCATTCCCTGGCCAGGACGGAGTGTCCCACTTGCTTGTCATGGGAACATTGTGGAAATCCTAGCAATAGTTTCTGCTGCTAGTAATGAGATCTTGAGGATAAAAAGCGAATGAATCACACTTCTTTATGGTCTCTTCCCTTGGTTCTTAGAATGAGATGTACCATTAATGTTGTTTCATGGTAGTAGAGGGAAGCAAACTCCACTTCCATCCTCTCAGGGTCCCAGCTGGGCCTGAGAATTAAATTGACATAAGATAAATTAACAGGAGAAAAGCACACAAATCTATTTAACACAAGTTTTATGTGACAGGGGAGTCCTCATAAGGAAAAGAAGACCTGAAGTTATAGTCAATCACTTACATGACGAAGTGGACAAAGAACAGTGAAGTGTGAAATAAGACAAGGCACAGAGACTTGGGCTAAGGTAGTTAATTGGGTGGAGAAGTGACTAGGAAGATAAGAGTTAGTTTAACAAGGTTTGTGGCCGGGTGCGGTGGCTCACACCTGTAATCCCAGCACTTTGGGAGGCCAAGGTAGGCAGATCACCTGAGGTCAGGGGTTCAAGACCAGCCTGGCCAACATGGTGTAACCCCTTCTCTACCAATAATACAAAAATTAGCCGGGCGTGGTGGCTCATGCCTGTAATCCCAGCTACTCAGGGAGCTGAGGTAGGAGAATTGCTTGAACCCGGAAGGCGGAGGTTGCAGTCAGCCGAGATCACACAATTGCACTCCAGCCTGGGCAACAAGAGTGAAACTCTGTCTCAAAAATAAATAAATAAATAAAAAATAAACAAGATTTGCTTGTACAGATTTTCCTTGGCTTCAATTTTCCGTCTTTGGTAAGGATGCTGCTTTCTTTCCAGGGTAGAGACGCCATCTTCCACATGGGAATTTCATCTCTGGCTTTTAAGAAATAGCATGAAGGTCAGAGTGATGTTCGTGTACCTGCTATGTATTTTTTTTTAAGTGCCTTTAACTTAAAACAGTGAATATGCCAGAGCAGCATATTTTGGTGTGACATATTCTAAACTCCTTTAATAGTGTGGGCTGGCTGACTGTACCAGGGGCCTTTTTCCCTGTGTGTGACCGGTACATATTTGATGTATTAGTCAGCTTGGACTGCCTTAACAAAATACCATTGACTGAGTGGCTTAAATAACAGAAACTTATTCTTTCACATTTCTGGAGGTTGAAGTCCAAGATCAAGGTGTTGGCCAATTGGGTTTCTGATGGGGGCTCTCTTCCTGGCTTGTAGATGGCCACCTTCTCACTGTGTCCTCACATGGTGGGGGGTGGGGGTGGGAAATGGTGGGAGGGGGAGAGAGAGAGAGAGAGAGAGAGAATCTTTTCCTGTTCTTATAAGGCCACAGTCCTATCAGCTTAGGTTCCCACCCTCATGACTTTATTTAACACTAATTGTCTCTTAAAAGGCCTGTCTCCAGATACAGTCACATTGTTTGGGCTTCAACATATGATTTAGGCATGGGGTGGCAGGGGCACAGTCCAGTGACTCTAATTCACAATTCATACAAGCATTCATAATATCCAACAAAAATGTACGAGTGTGCAGTTGCCCCATACAACAGTGCCACAATGAAAACATATAAAATGCTTATTCATTCAACCCTGTAAGAAGCACTACATTGTTCGTCCATGTTTAAAACAACTACATCTGTGAACCACTATCTAACATTCTAAATAATGTCCAGGTGCCAGATGTTGTGGTCATCAAGAAGAAGGGGAGAAGGCACACGAGACAGAAAGGTTGGAGAGGCATTTTGCTCTTTACCAGAGCCTAAAGCTAAAGTGAGAAGCGTTTAGAAAATGCAAGCATTTTAAATGGCAGTGTTATTCAACATTGTACTAGGAATTCTAGCTATTGTAATAGGGCAAGAGAAAGAAATAAAACACCGTTTGGAAAGGAGAAAATAAAATTGCCTCTATTTGAAGATGAGATGATTGTTTACTTAGAAAATACCAAGGATTGCTGGGTGTGGTGGCTCATGCACGTAATCTCAGCACTTTGGGAGGCCAAGGTGGGCAGATCATGAGCTCAGGAATTCGAGACCAGCCTGGCCAACATGATGAAACCCTGTCTCTACTAAAGATACAAAAAAATTAGCCAGGTGTGGTGGCATGCACCTGTAATCCCAGCTACTTGGGAGGCTGAAGCAGGAGAATCCCTTGAACCTAGGAGGTGGAGGTTGCAGTGAGCTGAGATTGCACCACTGCACTCCAGCCTGGGCAACAGAGCAAGACTCCATCTCAAAAAAAAAAAAAAAAAAAGAAAAGAAAATACCAAGGACTCTCCAAAAAAACTTCAGGGCTAAGTTCAGTTAGGTCATGGGATAAAAGATTAACATACAAAAATGAACTGTATTTCTATATAGTAAGAATGAATGAGTGGAAACTGAAATTAAAAACGCTTTATAGGCCAAACATGCTGGCTCGCACCAGTAATCTTAGCACTTACCATCCTGGGCAACATGGCAAAATCCTGTCTCTACAAAAAAATACAAAAATCAGCCAGGTGTGGTGATGCATACCTGTTGTCCTCCCAGCTACCCAAGAGGTTGAGGTGGAAGGATTACTTGAGCCCAGGAAGTTGAGGCTGCAGTGAGCCATGTTCATGCCACTGTACTGCAGCCTGAGTAACAGAGTGAGACCTTGCGTCAAAAGAAAAAAAAAAGAAACTACTTATAATACTATTGTAAAAGTACCACTTACAATTGCTCCAAAGAAAATAAATACTTAGGTATATACTTAAAGAGCATATACAACATGTATACTGAAAATTATAAAATGCTGCTTTAAAAAATTAAAGAGGATGTCTTAGTCCATTTGTGTTGCTATAAAGGAATACCTGAGGCTGGCTAATTTATAAAGAAAAGAGGTTTAATTGGCTTATGATTCTGCTGAGTAGATTGGGCATCTGGTGAAAACCTGTCTGCTTCCACGCATGGTGAAAGGCAGAAGGGTGTGCAGAGATCACACAGCAAGAGAGGAAGCAAGAGACAGCAGGAGAGGTGCCAGGCTCTTTTTAACAATCAGCTCTAGCAGAAACAAATAGAGTGAGAACTTGCTCATTACCACAAGGACACCACCATTCATGAGGCATCTACCCCTCTGAGGCAAACACCTCCCATTAGGCCACACCTCCAACACTGGGAATCAAATTTTATTTTATTATTTATTTATTTATTTATTTATTTATTTATTTATTTATTTTTGAGATAGAGTCTCGCTCTGTCACCCTGGTTCAATCTCGGCTCACTGCAACCTCCGCCTCCCAGGTTCAAGTGATTCTCTTTCCCTCAGCCTCCTGAGTAACTGGGATTACAGGTGCCTTCCACCACACTCAGCTAATTTTTGTATTTTTAGTAGAGACAGGGTTTTACCATGTTGACCAGGCTGGTCTTGAACTCCTATCCTGCCCTCAGGTGATCCACCCACCTCAGCCTCCCAAAGTGCTGGGATTACAGGCTTGAGCCACTGCGCCCAACCGGAATCAAATTTTTTCTTTTTTTTGAGACAGAGTCTCGCTGTTTCGCCCAGGCCGGAGTGCAGTGGCGCTATCTTGGTTCACTGCAAGCTCCGCCTCCCGGGTTCACACCATTCTCCTGCCTCAGCCTCCCAAGTAGCTGGGACTACAGGCGCCGGCCACCACGCCCGGCTAATTTTTTGTATTTTCAGTAGAGACGGGGTTTCACCGTGTTAGCCAGGATCGTCTCGATCTCCTGACCTCATGATCCGCCCACCTCGGCCTCCCAAAGTGCTGGGATTACAGGCGTGAGCCACTGCGCCCGGCCGGAATCAAATTTTAACATGAGGTTTGGAGGGGTCATATATCCAAACCAATAGCAGAAGACATAAATTAACATACATACCTTGTTTATAAATTACAAGAATCAACATAATAGAGATATAAATACTCTGCCAATTGATCTGTAGACATAATACAATTACTATCAAAATTCCAGTGGACACAAGCAAACTTATTCTAAAATTTATATGGAAAGGCAGAGGCCCTAGAGTAACTAAAACAATCTTGACAAAGGTGAATTGAGTGGGAGGGCTCTATCTGATGTTAAGGCCTAGCTACACAGCTGTAGTAATGAGATAGTGTGATGTTGGTGGAGAGAGACACACAGATCAATGTGCCAGAACAGAGAACCCAGAAGTAGACCCACATAGATATGCTCAACTGATTTTTGACAAAGATGCTGATATGGTTTGGATTTATGTTCCCACCCAAATCTCATGTCGAATTATAATCCGCAATGTTGGAAGTGGGGCCTGGTGGAAGGTGACTGGATCATGGAGGTGGATTTCCTCCTTTGGTGCTGTTCTCATGAGATCTGGTTGTTTAAAAGTGTGTAGCACTGGCTGGGTGCTGTGGCTCATGCCTGTAATCCCAGCGCTTTGGGAGGCCGAGGCAAGCAGATCACAAGGTCAGGAATTCGAGACTGGCCTGACCAACATGGTGAAACCCCATCTCTACTAAAAATACAAAAATCAGCCGGGCATGGTGGCGGGTGCCTGTAATCCCAGCTACTTGGGAGGCTGAAGCAGAAGAATCACTTGAAACCAGAAAGCGGAGGTTGCAGTGAGCCAAGATCGTGCCAATGCACTCCAGTCTGGGCGAAAGAGTGAAACTCCATCTCAAAAAAATAATAAAAAAAAAAAAGTGTGTAGCACCTCCCCGTCTTTCTTCCTTCTGTTATGGCCACCTAAAAACGTGCTTGCTTCCCTTTCTGCCACGGTTGTAAATTTCCTGAGGCCTTCCCAGCCATGCTTCCTGTACAGCCTGTGGAACTGTGAGCTAGTTAAACCTCTTTTCTTTATAAATTGCCCAGTTTCAGGTGTTTTTTATAGCAGTGTAAGCACAGACTAATAGAGGTACAAAACCAATTCTACAGAAGAGAGATTTTGCCTTTTCACCTAATGATGTTTACACATTTCGATGTAAGCCAAAAAAAAAAAAGCCTCAAATTAATCTCATCTTATAAAAAATTAACATAAAATGGATCATGGACTTAAATATAAAAGGTGAAATAATAAAACTCAAAAAAAAAAAAAAAAAAAGAGAAAATCTTCAGTATCTAGGTCTAGGCAAAGAGTTCATAGACTTAACACCAAAACTGGGATACTTAAAAGGGAAATTGGCCGGGCGCGGTGGCTCACATCTGTAATCCCAGCACTTTGGGAGGCCTAGGTGGGTGGATCACCTGAGGTCAGGAGCTCAGAGACCAGCCTGTCCAACATGATGAAACCCCTTCTCTACTAAAAATACAAAAATTAGCTGGGCGTGGCGGTGGGCGCCTGTAATTCCAGCTACTCAGAAGGCTGAGGCAGGAGAATCTCTTGAACCAGGGAGGCAGAGGTTGCAGTGAGCCGAGATCGCGCCATTGCACTCCAGCCTGGGCAAAAGAGCGAAACTCCGTCTCAAAAATAAATAAATAAATAAGTAATTAAATAAAATGGAAATTGATTAATTGAAGGTCATGAAAATTTAAAACTTTTGCTCTTTGGAATCACCTGAAGAACATGAAAAGACAAACTAAAAATTGGCAGAAAATACTTGCAAACCATGTATCTGACAAAGGACTAGTATCTAAAACACAGAACTCTTGGCCGGGCGCGGTGGCTCACGCCTTTAATCCCAGCACTTTGGGAGGCCTAGGTGGGTGGATCATGAGGTCAGAAGATCAAGACCATCCTGGCTACGGCGGTGAAACCCCGTCTCTACTAAAAACAGAAAAAAATCAGCTGGGCGTGGCTGCGGGCGCCTGTAGTCCCAGCTACTCCGGGGGCTGAGGCAGGAGAATAGCGTGAACCTGGGAGGCGGAGCTCGCAGTGAGCCGGGATCGCGCCACTGCACTCCAGCCTGGGCGATAGAGTTAGACTCCGTCTCAAAAAAAAAAAAAAAAAAAAAAAAAAATTCTCAAAACTCAATAGTAAAAAGAAAATCCAATTAGAAAATGGCAAAAGGCATTGAATAGTCAATTAATCCAAGAAGACAGACAGATGGCTAATAACAAATGTAAAGATCTTCAATATCATTAGCCATCAGGGAAATGCAAGTTAAAAACCACAGTAATCTATCACTACATATTTCTCAGAATGGTTAAAATGACAAATAGTGACAACACTGAATGCAGGAGAGGACGCATTTGGAGAAGGACATTGGGATCCCGGAGACTGGATCACTCATATATTTTAGTTGGAATGTAAAACAGTATTGCCACTCTGGAAAACAGCTCAGTAGTTTCATGTAAAACTAAATTTCAACTTTCATATGACCCAGTAACTGTACTCTTGGGCATTTACCCCAGAAAAATGAAAATTACATTCACACAGATATTCATACAAGCCTTATCTGCCAAACCCTGAAACCAAAATCAGCCCAGATGCTCATCCACAGGTGAATGGTTAAAAACTGGTGGCACATACATACCATGGAATACTACACAACAATAAAAAGGAACCAGCTGATTAATACTCATTGCTACTTGGATGAATCTCCAGAGAATTGTACTGAATTTTTTTAAAAGCCAATTCCAAAATGTTATATACTGCATGATGCCATCCATGTAACATTTTTTAAATGAAAAGGTTTTTGAAATGGAGAATAAATTAATGGTTACCAGGGGTTAAGGAAGGAGGAAGGGATGTGGGAGGAAGGTGGATGTGGCTATAGAGGGCAACAGGGGGAACTTCATGTCCTCCTTGCGGTGGTGCATGGACAAACCTACACAGGTGGTGCCCACGACAGACAAGTAAAACTGGAGAAATCTGAGTAAGTTTGGTGGATTGTATCAATGTCAATATCCTAGGTGGGACAATGTACTATAGTTTCCCAAAATGTTACCATGGGGGAAACTGGGTAAAGTGTACACAGAGTCTCTCTGTATTATTTCTTACAACTGTCTGTTAATCAGCTATTATCTCAATAAGTGTTGTAATTAAAAATGACACTTCTAGAGGTCTATTTCAACCTTGATATTTGTTCCCAAAGAAGATAAAATAAGAAACAGCTGACTTACAGCTTTTGCCACAGGAGCACATGCTCTGTCATGTATTTGTAGCTGTAACTTGCGCAGAAGCTGTTAACACAACTGTTTTTGCTCACCTCCTGGGTTTCAGTTAAAAGATTTCATGAGGATGAAAAAAATCTAAACAGTTTCAAGCAATTATACTTTTGCCCAGAAGTTAATAAATTTCAGAAGGTGCTGATTTTAGCCTATGACATCTGCCTAACCTATTTTGATACGTTTTCTTTCCTTTTTTTTGAGGGAGAGGAGTAGAAAGCCAAAGATACATTTATGATGTCAAGTAAACGGCTTGTTTACATTGCTGTTTCTTTCAGTTTTTCAGTCTTGTAGCTCAGTTCCTTTTTGTTTGTAACATAGACACTGCTTTACCTTCTCTTCTCTTGGAACATGGTCTATAAATATCCCAGGCACTAGTAGGTCAGAGAACACAGGCAGTTTCTGGAAAAAAAAAATAGAACTCCATCTAATAATATTATCACTTTGACTTTGTTTGATTGGTTTTCTCTTTTTCTGTTTTTTTTTTTTTTTTTCAAGACAGAGTCTCCCTCTTTCGCCAGGCTGGAGTGCAGTGGCACGATCTTGGCTCACTGCAACCTCTGCCTCCCTGGTTCAAGCGATTCCCCTGCCTCAGCCTCCTGAGTAGCTGGGACTACAGGTGCTCACCACGACGCCCAGCTAATTTTTTGTATTTTAGTAGAGATGGGGTTTCACCATGTTGGCCAGGATGATCTTGATCTCCTGACCTCATGATCTGCCCACCTTGGCCTCCCAAAGTGCTGGGATTACAAGCGTGAGCCACTGCGCCCGGCCTGTTTTGTTTTTCTTATTACTTTGGGGAAGCTTGTTTCAAGTATGATAGATTTCTGTCTTGGCCCTCACATGCCCCAACTTTTCTAAGAAATTGCAAAACCTATGCTTCCTTCTAGAAAAAAATCATCTATGCCTCTCCTGATCCCTATGGAGAACTGCAAGTTCTCTTATAGAAAATGCTTGAGAGTTTCAGAGTGTTCTGAAAGAAAATGGAAGCGAGAGATGGAGTGGGAGCAACCGCGGGAAAAAGGCAGGGAAGCTTTTGTTGCTTATGTTGCTTTTCTTAAAAAACAAAAAGACTCAGACTGTAACATCATTACATTTAAGTTTACTTGGTCAGAGTCTGATGGAAACAGTCCAACTCCTGTTTATAAGAGCAGTGTGGAAAGGCTGAACATAACAAGCCATATTTAACATGCTTTCAGACTAGCAGACTTTGTTGTATTTCATATACAGATATGATTTGCTTTGGAAGTAATGGCCAGAAATGCCAAGTCCTGTTGTCCTGAGCCCATCTTGGAATTTATGGTTATCAATTTCATTACATAGTCTTAAGATTAGGCCTTGAATTTTATACTGTCAGAAATCTCCTGGTGCTGGGCTATAGTTAGCAAGGTCAGGAGCTTGTTTGGATTCAAAAGCTATAAAAGAATCCAGACATGACTTGTAGGTCAGAGCTGAAAGCTGTTAAAGACATGATGATCAGATTATCAGATTCGAATAACCAACTGAGGCAAATTTTACAGCATTAAAGTCTAGAGTATGTGTAGATTACAGAAAAGAGAGCTGGGGTGTGTGTGTGATGAAGTGGGGAAAGTCTTTTGAAAAGAATTCAGGAATACCTGTTAAAAAATGGCCTATAAACAGATAAATAATCGTTTTCAGAAAGAAATAGGGGGAAGGTATCGGAATCCTAGGCACAGTAAATAAACAGGTTGAAATGGTAGTATATAAAGAGCCTAGTTCCTCAATTTTATTCTTTTATTAACTTGATCTTTTAATTTAACGCTTTCTGAGATTTATTCTTATTGATTGATAAATGCAGATCAATTTATTCATTTGAACTGATATACAGTATTCTAGTATATGAATTAAACAGTTTACATCTACATGCCCGTCCTGATAGACAAATTAGGTTGTCGTTAGCTGTTTAAATATTTTTAGTTGACATGTAATAATTATACATATTTATGGGGTACAAAGGCATATTGGATACATTTTATACCATGTGTAATGCTCAAATCAGGGTATTTAGCATATCCATCAACTCCAACATTTATTATTTCTTTGTGTTGGGGACTTTCAAAACCTCCTCTTCAGCTTTTTAAACATATACAATAAATCATTGTTGACTGTATTCACCCTACAGTGCTACAGAACCCGTAGAACTTATTCTTCCTCTATAATCTTGTATCCATTCCCAGTCCTGTTTTAATTAATTAATTATATATATTTTTGAGACAGGGTCTTGCTCTGTCCCCCAGGCTGGAGTGAAGTGGTGCCATCACAGTTCACTGCAGCCTCAACCTACAGGGCCCAAGCGATCCACTTACCTCAGCCTCCTGAGCAGCTGGGACCACAAGGGCATGTTACCACACCTGGCTAATTTTAAAAAAGTTTTTTGTAGAGATGGGGGTCTCACGATGTTGCCCAGGCTCCATTTTTAAAATTGAAGTTTGAATTTCTTCTCCCTCTCTCTCAGGCTATCTGAATAAGGCAAAAATGTGAGAGGGTATAGCCTGATAGTAGCACAGATGTGAGTTCTAACTTGGCTCTGCTGGGTCACCCTGAGCAAGTGTCTTAAACCCTCAAAGCCTCAGTTTCCTCATCTGAACAAAAATAAAGGATGGTATTCTGTACAACACATGTTTGTGGTAATGACTGAGTGGTATAGTGTGTCAACAGGTTCTGGAACATGGTTAGTGATCAATAAATGGAAGGATCACAACTATTAATACTACTTTACAAGTGTAAAACACTCTAGGCTTCTCAAAATACAATCGCACTTGATACTACATGTTCATGTTTGTAAGAATACTGTTGAAAGCGGTGGGAGGACTGGGGAGATGTTGGTCAAATAATGCAAAATTTAGACTTGACAGGAGGAATGAGTTCAAGAGAGCTCTTGTACATCATGGTGACTACAGTTAATAACAAAATATTGTGTATCTGAAAATGCTAAAAAGGCTGACTTTAAGGTTCATAAAAGTGTCAACTATGCAAAGTAATGCATAAATAGCTTGATTTAGCCATGCCATAATGTATACATATATCAAAAATCTCATGTTGTACACCATAAACATATACAATTTTTACTTGTCAAATAAATAAATAAGAACCTCCACACACATACAAAAAGAAGAATACTGTTGAGGGGGTTAGGCAGGTACATAGTATCCCGATTTTACGGATGAGAAAAATGAAGCTCAATGATTAGCCTCTAGATTGCCTGGTTGGTGAGCAGTACACCTTGGATTACAACTACAGAGGTTTGTAAATTTCAGTGAGGATAAGAATCACCAGAATAGTGACTAAAATCTGGATTGCTGGGCTCCATCCCCAAAGTTTCTGATTCAGTAGGTCCAGAAGGGGGCCCAAGAATGTGAATTTCTTACCATAGCTCAAGTGATGTGGATGCTGCTGATCTTGCCACACTTTGCAAGCCACTGAGCTGTACTAGAGCAATGATTCTTGAATATGCCTGCCCATTAGAATCTGCTGGAAGCTTAAAGGACTAAATAAACCCATAACTGCCTCACTTCCATAGGTGTTCTGTTATCACAAATGGGATCCAGCCTTATGACTCGTGTACAAACACTTGATTATTGCAAATAAAGAAGGATAAGTCTGTAACAACTTTGGAAATTCTGCAAAGCCTGGAAAGTTGTGTTTTTCTTCTCTCAGGAATATGATATTACTATATTCCTTGGCCTGGTGCGGTGGCTCATGCCTGTAATCCCAGCACTTTGGGAGGCCAAGGCCGGCGGATCACTTCAGGTCAGGAGTTCCAGACCAGCCTGGCCAAAATGGCGGAATCCCATCTCTACTAAAAACACAAAAATTAGCCGGGAGTGGTGGCACATGTCTGTAATCCCTGCTATTCGGGAGGCTGAGCCAGCACAATCGCTTGAATGTGGGAGGCAGAGGCTGCAGTGAGCCAAGATCGCGCCATTGCATTCCAGCCTGGGTAACAGAGGAAGACTCCGTCTCAAAAGAAAAAAAACAAAAAGAATATAGTATTACTCTATTTCTGATCCCAAATTTTCCATTTTATAACCTAAGATTTTCTATTATTGCCTGTCAAATACTGAATCAGGGCTAGCAAATAGAGATTACTTACCATACCTGAAGCAATAAAGTTTTCCAAATATTATAACAAATATTGATACTTTGACTTTCATCTCTGAAATACTGTATGGTTGGTTATTTTAGCCTTGACAAAATAGAAATTAAAAACTGCTTTTAAAAATATCCTGCATTTATCTATTGAACTAATGAAATATTTTATGACTTTTTGTTATTTAAGAAGTAAAAGTTATTTTTATAGATACATTTATTCTGAGCTCTGTATATTGACATTTTATAGATTATTTTTAAGTATGCTGCCTAAATGATTATGAAAAAAAGTGTGGTTCTTTAAAAACTACGTACCAGAGTACTTTTGTTGATACCACTAATTGGAAATTAAAAATTTTCTTTTATAAGACCTAAATTCATAGAAAGGTAAGAATTATTGAATAAGATGTTATTTTCGCTCATTTGTTGTCAGTGCCTAGTCAAAATAATATTTTATGTTCACATACTAAATGATAAATAATGCACCATCTATTACAAAAACCTATGTAATATGGGTTGCGTTAATCGTATTTGGAGTTTACATAGCATCTCTAAGAAATCCCAAATGCTTTGAAAATATTGTTTCACTTACTTTTACAGCACTAGTTTTGAAAAGATGTAGAACTCTCAGCTGAAGGATTCAAGGAGGGAACACATTCAAAGGTTAATTCAGCACAGGGCTTAGAGCATAGTGAGTACTCTTTAAATTAGCTGCTATTCTTGATATCACTATTACTATTGACTTTTTGAAAGACCACAGGCATTAAAGTTTCATCATGATGTGTATTTTTCTGCATCTGATATATGGACAGATCTGATTTTTGATTGTCCAGGTTATTTTGTCATAAGCCATTAGGGTGATTTTCATCACAGTGTTGTGACAACATCATCTTGACATACCAAGTCAGGAAGATGGAATACCGGGTTGTAATAATAATAAAGAAAAACGTTCCAGAAACGCACCCAGTCAGTGTTAGATGATGATTTTACAAAAGACTCAGTTCTAGATCTTTGATTCTGTAGCAACTTGGAAATTTTATATCTGAATGTTTCAAATTTAGGGAGGTCTCCCCATTCTAGGGTAGGTGTTATCTGATCACAATGAGATGGAAGTTTCAAGAGACCAAGAGCTAGAGAACAACCAGTGATGTTTTCCTGTTTAACGGTCACTTTATTTATTCACGACCACATACAATGCCAAGTGGTACTCAGATACTGTTACCAGCTAGGTCCTAGTCTGTTCTGCCCTGAACAGTAAATCAATTAGTGTGACATGGGTTTTGCAAAAGAAAAAAAAGATTTATTCACAAGGGCATGGAGTGAGGAGGTGGGAGAATAGCTCTGAAGTACGCCTCCCTGAAGATAAGGCTTAGGGATATTTATGGGTTAGGGAAATGGGGTGGTCTGAGTTATGGGGAAATGTAATCGGCACTGGGAAAAAAACGAAGTAACAGGCTCATTCTGCACAAATGTAGCCAGAGTTCATGGCATTATATAGGACATATGTACAGAAAAATGGCAGTGTTAGCATGATCTCAGGGTGGAGTTTTTGACCCTCTGACATCAAAAGGCCACCTCTCAGGCACTTGAAGAGTCAGTGGCCTCAACCAGTTTGAACTGGACAGAAGCTGGCCTAAGTTTCTGAGAAAAAAAAAAAATGGAAGCAACAGTTACCACGGTGACCTATGAACGTTATCTATAAAGTAGCCAGTGAAGTTAAGTCTCAGTGT
This sequence comes from Homo sapiens, assembly GCF_000001405.40. Lineage (NCBI taxonomy): Eukaryota > Metazoa > Chordata > Mammalia > Primates > Hominidae > Homo > Homo sapiens. The sequence continues at coordinate 21,949,248 of NC_000007.14, read as the reverse complement.
TCAGTGGTGCGGTGTTCAGCTACTGCAGCCTTCAACTTCGTGGGAAAAGGAAACAACACCAAGAGGCAAATGACCAAAAGCAAGCAGGGGAGGCAGACCTAATGAAATTACCTCTCAGTTTCTATAGACTCATGCTGCTTCCAGCTCTCTGCAGAAGGCAGATTCTCTGGTGAGTTGTCCAGAGCACCAAACCAGCACGATTTTCTGTTATGTGGGGAGGACTAGGGAGTTTGCCCACAACTAAGCTCTGTGGGGACGGCAGAGATACTACTTCAGATAGAGGAGAGATGTTTGGGCTCCTTTTACAAAGCAAAAATCGTGGGCCAGGGTTGACATCCAATTACAGCTCTCTCACATCATTTAATGAGGTTCAATAATGGCTTTGTAGGGGAGTAAAACTTCATCTCCATCCTTTTGGGTCCTGGCTGGGTCTGAGGATTAAACTGACATAAAATAGATTAACAAGAGAAAAGCATATAGATTTGTCTAATCGAAGTTTTATGTGGCATGGGTGCCTTTTTAAGGAAATGAAGACCCCAGGATGAAGTTTGAGTTGGACATTTATATAGTGAATTGCACAGAGTAGTAAAACTGAAAATGCGATGAGGCAAAGGGGCATGGGCTAGTGTAGTTAATTGGGTGGAGAAGTGACTGAGAAGATAAGGGTTAGTTTAACAAGGTTTGTTTGTACAGATTTCCCTCAGCTTCAATTTCCTGTCTTTGATAAGAATGTGGCTTTCCTTCTTGTGTAGGGAGGACAGCTTTCATAGGGGAATTTTATCTCCTGCTTTTAAGAAACAACATTAAGTTCAGAGTGATCTTCTCCTACCTGCTTTTTTTTTTTTTAAGTGCTTTTAACTAAAAATAGTGAATATGCCAGAGCAGCATATTTTAGTGTGGCATTATTAACTCCTTTGGCTTCTAATCACAAATTTCTTACCTTGTTCAAGGTACTGGGGACCAAGTTTTTACTCTCTCATGGAAACATTTAAAAAGCAATCAAGCATGGATTTCTAGACAGACTTCTTAAAAGAAGTTGCAAACATTATGTCTTCTTTTTCTGTGTTGCAATATGTATACTGTTGCATCTGGAAGGGACACTCATTCTTGCAGTGCCATGATGAAACCCAGTGCTCACATCCCGTGAACCCTATCAGTAATAATTATTAGAAAGTATTACTGCAGTGCCATGTTTAAATCCTCTGGTTCCTTAGAGATTTTCCCAAAGCCTGACCAAAACAAAACAAAACAAAACAAAACAAAACACACCACTATATAATCAATTACTAAATACCATCAAACGTGTACAGGCTTTGCTAAGCACAGGAAGAAAATTTAGGGGTTGTCATCTGAAGACTTAGGGTTAGTTATGGCAAATTTCTAAACAGAAAGGTTCAACAGCTTACAGGTTTCCTGATACAGAAGTAGCTAGTCTAGGCTGCTTCAAGTGTTTTGCAAAATCTGACCTGCTTCAAATTTGTGCTCCCTTTTCCAAAATTGATTTGATTTAACCTACAATGAAAAGAAGTGCAAACAAGATCAGCAGTTCATGAGGAAGCAACTATCTAAAAAAAAAAAAAGAGGAAGAAGAGCTCTGATTGAATTAATTTTCACTCTAAGCTTCCTGGCAGCCAAAGGGAAAAAATACAGAAAAATGGAAAGAATGTTGGATCTGGAGGCATAAGGAATGGTTTTCAGTTTGGCAGTCTGCTGCTGTCACTTAGTGGCAGGGTGGCAGGGATCTCTTAATGTATTTTCTTAGATTCTGTTTCCTTATTTTAAAAATGTGGACAATAAGGATCTGGAAGGATATTGAGAGGATTCAAGGAGATACTGCATGTGAAGGAAAACTCTAAAGCATAATAAAAATGAAGTGGCCATAATGAATAAATAACATTATCCAATAAAAACAAAACATTTTAAGTCACACAATGTTGTATTGGTTTTACTACCACCAGGAAGTGAGAACACTGAGGGCTGGAACATGAAAGCACATAACACATGTTGTTTGCTGAACTAACCAAAGGAAGGAAGGAAACCTTTTCCATGTTTTCTCTTCAAGCTTGAGTAAATGTTTGGCAAATTTCATTCACTCGTTCAATAAAGAAAAGATGAACGTCAGATCCTAAGCAGCTGAGAGGGGCTGCAGAAGGTCCTATGCGTACAGGATGCTCTACTGTAAACCTATGACCACGGTTCTAAATAGGTGTGCAACACTGTCCAGCAAACCTGCTGTGATTTCAGGACAACTTCATTTACCATTCTCCCCACTCTCTACTTCAACTCTCCCACAATTTCCACAAACTTAATTCCTCACTCTTCATATCTGAACTCTAAGAAGTATTCCCTGACCTCTATCAGATTGTCTTCCTATTTCACACCACCATTAATACCACTTGCCTTTTTTCTCATGGCATCATCGCTCCAAATTTACATTTATTTGCATCATCATTACATTTGTCATTGATAGTGGTATCAAATTAATATTAATTATAAATCTAATTTATAAAATTTACATCGTTATTACACTTATTTGCATCATTATTGTATTTATTTAGAATAATGCAATTAGGTTGGTAACTGGCTCTCAGGCTGTAAACTCCAACAGAGCAGGGGCCTGTTTTTGTTCACCCTTCTGTTCCTAGGACTAGCCCAGTGCCTGATGCTTAGTAGATGCCGGGGTCAATTCTGTTAAATTAGTCAGCATTCCTGACCTCTACAAACTCTTTGTCTGGTGGGTGTGGAGGCCTACTGTGTAATGGCCGTCTAAAGTTTCAGGCGGGTTTGCATCTGTCCACCTGGGCCTTGGTAAAGAAACCTGGGTTGCCTGTTCTGCAAAGTGAACCCTGTAGCAAATGTTTTGGGAGACAGAATCTTCCCAAAGAGAACCCTGCCCCGTTACAACAACAAAACAAAACAAGCCCCAAAGCCGCCCTACAATATTTGCCTGGATCAGAGACAGGGGTTGCAGCAGAAGCTCGCGCCCCAGGGCATGACCTGGAATAAACCCTGCCAAGTATCCAGCGCGCGTGCCAGCTGGAGGCTGCGCCGGGACAGCCCCCTCATTTCTCCCGCGCTAAACCCCGCCGGACGGCTCCACTCCCTCCCTCTGCTGCAGGGGGGAGCCCGGCGCCCTAACACTGGTAATTGCTCTTGCCGCGCCCAACTGCAGCCCCCTCTCGCGCCGCCTGCGAAGACAAGGTCAGTGGCCGCGAAGTTGGAACGTGATCGGAGCCACGAGGCCCAGTGAGGCGGCACCGAGGGGGCAGCGCAACGCGCTCCCCCTGTCCAGGGCGTCAAGTGCGCCCCTCCCGGGGCCCGCCTGTGCTCCGGGCGGAGCGCGCTAGCTGCTCGGGCGCGGGGCGTTCTTGGTGCGCCGGGCCGTGGTGAGTCCGGGCTCCCGTGGCCGCGTGCTGGGAGGAGACTGGAGCCCGGTTAGGAAGAATGGAGTTGGCGACTCGCTACCAGGTGAGGGTCCGGCCGCCCGCCGCCGTCCGGACGCACCCACAGTTTGACTTCCCTTTGCCACCCGGTCCTGCTGGCCTTGGGCTGGAAACGTGGCCCTTGGCTGCGGCACTGGGGATCTGGCGCGCCCAGCCGGTTGAGTGCCGGAGTGGGCGCGCCCTGCAGGTGTGCGCAGTGGGTCACGTTTGTGCTACGCGGACCACAGAGGCCGGTCGCCCCAGCACACAACCGCGCTCAGCCTGGCGCTCTGCTCAGTCTCGGGTGGCCGCCGGGGGTGCAGGCGGGGAGCTAGCGGGGCGCAGCGCCTGCGTTTGCAGCCCTCGTGAGACGGGGGAGGGGCTTTTTTTGTGCACTCCCCACACTTTCTCCGGGAATTGGCACAGAGATCAGGAAGCTTAAGAAAGTTGTAATTTTTTTTTTTTAACAGTCGATCGCCAGACCAGTCCAACTTGGATAATGGAGTTTAAAAATAATAACTTTAGTGTTTATTCTAGAACTTTTGTAAACGTTTTCAAGGAATTAGTAACCATTTGGGGGAAATGGTAACGTCATTGGGCCGAGTTAAACAAGCTGCAAGATCCCAAATCATATGCACAGCACGACCCCAATTACGCGTTAAGGGCCTAACTCGTCTTTAAAACTCATTAGCAAACACTTGAGTAAGTTCCCCCAAACGTTTCAGTGAGTAGTGGGAATGTGAACGTGACTTCAGTTTTCTCTTTTTACTTCTTAAAAGAGCTTTTCTCTACGTTATCGTAATGGAGATACATGTTTACTTAGAAGTAAGCAATAAAAACATTTTTCATAAGAACTAAAAATACAACCTTTAAAAAGGGAAACAAGCAGCCACGCCTCTGCTTGTGGGAGCACGGAGATGCTTTGTGCGAGGATTGTTTTTTTTTTTTTTTCCACTTGTTTTATTGAGAGTCGCGAGACTCACTGCTTCCACCTTGCTTCCGACTGGTGTTTACTTTCCTCCACCTGCGTGCCTGGCCCGGGAGAAGGGGAGGCGGGGCCGCCAGCGTTGGAAGGCGCAGAGTGCCCGGCGCCCGAGCCCAAACCGCTGTCACCTGCCCGAGTCTGGCGGCAAAGACTGAGCCACTAACGGTAGCTTTGGCCTTTTAGTAATTTCTGAAGCCTTCCTGAAAATGGTCGCTTGAGAAAAATCTGTTGTTGATGTTTCTGAGAATATTTTTAAAATGCCTCCTGTGAGATAAACTATTAAAAGCAAGGGAAACAGTAAAGCCTACGGAATGAGACAGGGTTCGATTTTTTATTTTTTGCCACTGGCTTTTACCGTGTATTAGCATCCTTTTTTTTTTTTTTTTTTTTTTGGAGACGGAGTTTCGCTCTTGTCCGGGGTGGAGTGTAATGGCGCGACCTCGGCTCACTGCAACCTTCGCCTCCCGGGTTCAAGCAATTTTCCTGCCTCAGCGTCCCGAGTAGCTGGGATTACAGGCGCCCGCCACCACGCCTGTCTAATTTTTTGTATTTTTTTTTTTTTTTTAGTAGAGACAGGGTTTCACAATGTTGTCCAGTCTGGTCTTGAACTGCTGACCTCAGGTGATCCACCTGCCTCGGCCTCCCAAAGTGCTGGGATTACAGGCGTGAGCCACCACTTCCGGCTGGCGTCCTAACCTTCTAGGAGTTTCTGTTGCTACAGGACTAAAAACAAAAAACAAACCCTCTGGATGGAGATTTGAGCTCCTTGTGAGTTTAGTCAGAAAATGTATCTGGAATTTATCACTCCGGAGCTCCTTGTGAATGTAATCAGAAAATGTTTCTGGAATGTGTCACTCCTGTTGTTAAGCTGGAGAGTTCTTTGCACTTCCACTACTGATATTCATAATTCATGCTTAGGAAACTCAGAAGTCCCAGAATGTGTAGTTGGAAGTGAGCGTTTACTGCCACACAATGAGGCTAATTTTTGGTAGTTCTAAAATGTTAAATAAACTATTTATCATGTAGGGGTTACCCACAAATTATATCCGATCCATTATGCACCAATTAAGGCAAATTACTATATGTAAGATGATCAGGGTTTTTTTTTTTTTCCTTTTCTGAAGACCTAATTGGCAGTGCAAATCAAAGATGTGTGATGGTTTTTCCAGTGGAAATGTTCCTGTTCATCGTAATTTAAATGTGCACAGATTATAGTCTCTAAATTAGTGGAGAGTGGTTCTGTGGGGTGGGCAGGTGACTGCGGATAAGAACACTTAATGAACATTTCAGGCACAGCAAGATGTTAAATTCGTGTGGTTCCACCCTGTCCCCCAGCCTTATGAATAAAGCAATGTGATGAACCACCTGAAGTGGCATTACTGCACATCAAATGTCGCTCAGCTCAGTGTGCAGTGGGTTTTCATCTCACACATTGGAGTAAGTATAATTTCTATCGCTTGGAAAGCGCAGAGCTAAGTGTTTCAGCAAAGCAGCTTAGGCCTAATGTTATGAGTAAGAAGCAAACAAGGAGACTCATTTACTCTGAACTACTTTCGAGTCTGCTTTCCTGCCATCCCACCAGTGTGTTGGATTTGATGTCCTCTGACAGTGATTACGCTTCCCCCAGGCTGTAGTCTTGTCGTGCTGACCACTGTGTCTTTGTGCTTTTATATAAAATGACAGAAATAGCTCGTAAAGGCAAGGGTGTGATCCCTGACTAAGAGCTGTCAACAGTGCAGCTCATGGGAGCTCCAGCTTGCTGCAGCTCCGTAGGAGAGAAACTGGTAGGCACTGAATGTCAGTGTTCTCCTCGTACTCTGTTCTAGCTCCAGAGTACAGGATGGCCCATTTGAGAAGGAAATGATGCTAAATGTTCTTGTAAATAGGCAGGAGCACGCTGTTGAAGGGGTAAAGGGGTATTTTTCTGGTATTGGTCTCTTAGCTGCAAAGTGCTCCCATCTGATCCTGTTGTTTAACATGTAATTCCAGAGCCCCAGAAGCTGGTCACAGAAAGGACAATGATTTGCCACTCTAATAGTCTTGTATTTAAAACGCTCCTTGGTTGTTCTGTGTTCTGCTGGCTACCCCATCCATAGCAGAGCAGGATTCTCAAAAATCAGGCGAAAACCTCAGAGATCATAATGATTCTGATCAGGTACACAGGCCAGGAAACAATGAGATAATTGTGGCCTAAAACAATTACAAACATTAGAGTAAATTAATGAAAAAGATTAGAACATCATTGGAATAGAATAAGCCAGGCATTACATTTAAACTGCTCTTGAGAGTTTTCCTTTACTCAAAGTTATGTTTTAGAATATTTACCTCCAGTATACAGTTTTGTTTTAGAAAAGACTCGGCTTTATTCACCAAAATGGAATAGATTACAGGCTACTTAAAGTAGGTAGGGATAGAGATAAGAAAATACTACTGGGGCCATTTTGTTCTTTTTGTTTATGAAAAGCAGTGCTTTCTGTAGTTTTTTTGAAATAGGACCATTCAGAGGCATATTTGGTAAATACCACTGAAGTTAACACTCAGAAAAATGTATCTTCCATAGTAGTAAATGCTAGCACCCTGCATGCAGCACAGAAATAAAGTGTGGAGTCTCACAGTGCAAGGGGCCTGAGCTTTAGTTCAAATAAATCGTTGATGTTTCCTGCCTGTTTTCCTTCATGATCATCAGCTGAGGATAGAGGGCTTGCTGACTGGGTTAGTACACTGATCAGATAGTCAGTTGAGCACCGGTTATGTGCTAGGCATTGGTAGGGTGGAAGAACAAAGACACAGAAAACACGCCTCTTTCCCCACACTCTCTACCAGAAGGCCATGCTTGAACTCCCTTCCTCTTCTGCTTTTGCCAGAGCTCAGCTGGCTCCTGCTCTGTGCTATGGGGACCTGGGGGACCTTGGGTTTGGAGAGTAGAGGGAGACCTTAAGAGCCATCCTTTTTTGCCCCCAAGGAATGGAAACTATCACTTCCTTTTAAAAGTCATGCTGTGCTAAGTACTTAAAAGTTATCAGATTTAATCCCCACTGTAGTTCTGTGAAGTAGGTTGTGTTATCTGCCTTTTAAAGATAAGGCTAAATTGACTAATTTGCTCAGGGCAATTTGTAAGGAATTGGCCCTTGCTGCTGGAATCACCGGGCCTTGGTGAGTCAGGAAACTTGCCCTGTTCCCTCCTCCCTTTAACTAGAAGGGCTGGAGTGTTAACAGCAGCTAGTCTGGTTCTTTTTTAGGAACTCACCAGATTATGCTTTATACTGCCTGTAAAAGTCAGTTTGGGAATGTGAATAAGATCCACCAAGCTTTTACATAGGAATGACTTTTATGTGAAATTTGCATTGTACAAACAATAACATGTTACCGTAAGCTGCACTGAACCACTTCTCTGCTTCCCCTACTCTCCGTGCCCCATTTTCTGCAGTTTCCATGAAGTGTTTGCCTGTAGCACAGTCGTCATCTTTGTCTAACCTTTACAGTATGATTGCTGTTGGAATCTGCTTTCCTTAGCACTATCAGCATTACTTTTCCTAGTAGCGTAGAGATCTTTACAGTTTTCATTTTTAGTGACTGTCTAGTGTTTCTAGATGTGTATTTTATGTATTTTCTGTTGAAAAAATATTTTTTTCTTTATTAGAGGAAATAAATATCTCAGGGTGGTATACTGTATATCTTACGGCTTGTGTTGGAGTCTGCACTATTTTTAATAACTCTTTATAATGTATTTAATATCTCATAAAGGGAATGTGCCTGATTTTCAATGGTTAGGAGCCTCTGACACATTGTTTTCCTAGGGCATTTCCCCTTTTGTTGCGCTATATTAGCTGAAAGAAAGCAGTTTTTGCTGAGGTTAGAACCAAGCTTATGATAACTGGACTGAAAGAATGTTGTCTCCTTGAACTTAGAGCATCTCATAGAATGTTCTAGTTGGGGGGAAAGTGGAGAGTAGTCCCAGAAATCTGTTCTTTACATCCGGTCTGCCTAGAAAACCAAGAAAACCTATAAATGTGTCAGTGGACATTTAGTGGAAGTGACTGCAGATTAGGGCTATGGGGAATTTGTGGCAAGTTGGTCTCATTGACTTGGCGGAAGGCAGGGACACCCCATCCACAGCGCCCACATTCATGCTTCCACCTGTGCATCTACAGCAGGTTCTCCAGGGTGACTGCATCCTGCAGCTATGTAGGTTACTGCTCCTGGAAGTCTTCCCATCCATTGCCCCCACCGCTGGCTCAGGTGCTCGCCCTGGGAACTTCTGGAGTACCTGGGCTGACTTCCCTGATCACATTTATCATACCACACTGGAATTGTTTAAAGATTGTTTCTCTTACCCTACCACTTACGACTCAGTTTTCATCAGCTCTCTTAGCATGGTGTCTGGCATATATTTGATGCTTAGGAGACGATGTCCAGCATGTATTAGATGCCTAATAAATATCCATTGAATGGATGGAAGGGCAAAGTAGTATTGTTAGTAATATACTCTTTTAATTAACATTTATATAGCGTTTTCTACTTTTCAGAGCACTTCGCAGGCATAGTTTGGAAGTCATCAGGGCTGGTTCTTTTCCTTCCAGGTAAGTGGTGTAGGGTTGCACTTTCCTGGCCCTGAAACAGTCAAGGCTATTTGACTTGCTTTGGCCAGTGGAATATGAGAAGTACTATATGTCACTTCTAAGTGAATTATTTAAATGCCAGCATACCACTTACTGTATCTCATTCCCTCTGCCACTGCATCTGTCAGCATTCTGCAGAGTGGTAGCTCTATCAGCCCAGGTTCTGGTGTGAGGACAGTGTGGAATAGAGCCTTGGGCTGGCCTGTGATGGACATGTAATGTGAACAAGACGGAAGCCTTTTTTTTTTTTTTTTTTTTTGGTTTGAAGCTATTGATTGAGATTTAGGGTTGTTTGCTACTGCTTTATAGCTTGTCATATCCTAACAGACCAGGGTGCTCCTATTTCAGTTTTGGATTCAATCACTCTGTGGTTGTCATCTGAGTGATCTGGGGTCATGGTAGTCGTGGTAACAAACGTGGGTGGGTTTCTTTTTGATTGTTAGAGTGATGAGGGTGAGGGGAATGCCCCTGGTAAGTGGTTTGGAGTTCAGGGGTATTAAGTACCATGTGGCAGGCAGGAGAGTCCTACAGGATGAAGCAGTTGTTCTGTCCAAAACGTCAGTTGCACCTTGTTGGAAAACACTGAGAACAGACTTGTCCAATTTGATAATCTTTTAGACTCCAGAGAAATCTTAACATTGGCTTCACATGTTCTATCTGCTGACCTCCCTGGAGGAGGAAATTACTTCACACTTCCCAAGTGATTTGGTTCACTTCACTCCCAGGATCTCTGCCAAAATTCCAGTTCATTAGGTACTCATCTGCTGAATAGCTCTTCTAAGACCTGTGTAAATACATATCTAAAATGACTTCCCATTTATTTCTTCTCTTTTAAACATAACATTGACTACCCTGTGGGGCTTTTTATTGTGGTAAGATATACATAATAAAAGGTACTATTTTTAACCTTTCAGTGTTACTAAGTATAGTCACAATGTTGTGCCGCCATCACTGATCTCTCATGAGCTTTTTCATCATTTTAAACTGAAACTCTCTACCTACTAAACAATTACCCCTATGACCTCTTCCTCCAGCCCCTGGTTACTTCTGTTTTAGTTTCTGTCTCTGAGGATATGACTATCCTAGGTATCTCATATGAGTGGAATCATATGGTATTTGTCCTTTTGTCACTGGCTCATTTCACTTAACATTGTTATTAAAGTTTATCCATGTTATAGTATGTATCAGAATTTTTTTTCAATTATTTCTCTTTTGAGACAGGGTCTCACTCTGTTGCCCAGGCTGGAGTGCAGTGGTGCTATCGTGGCTCACTGCGCCTTGACCTCCTGGGCTCAAGTGATCCTCCCACTGCAACCTCTTGAGTAGCTGGGACTATAGGTATGTACTACCCTGCTTGGCTAATTTTTCTTTTTAAAATTTCTGGTAGAGATGGAGTCTCTGTGTTGCCCAGGTTGGTCTTGAACTCCTGGGCTCAAGCAATCCTCCTGTCTTGGCCTCCCAAAGTGCTGGGATTAGAGGCATAAGACACTGTGCCTGACGTCATTTCTTTTAAAGTCTGAATAATACTCTTATGTGTACATACCATCTTTATTTACTCATCTATTTATGTTGTCGGTTGTTTCCACCTTTTGGCTATTGTAAATACCAATGAATAAACATTGGCATACAAATATCTGCTTCAGTCCCTGCTTTCAGTTGTTCTGGGTGTGTGTTCCTAAAAGTAGAATTGCTGGGTTATATGATAATACTAAATTCAATTTTTTCAGAAACCACTATACTGTTTGGCACAGTGGCTGTGTCATTTTATATCATCATAAGCAGTGCACGAGTGTTCCAATTTCTTCACGTCTTTGCCAGCCCTAGTTCTTTCCTGGATTTTTTTTTAATGGCCATTCTAATGTGCATAAAGTGGTATCTCATCGTGGTTTTGTTTTGCATTTCCCCAATGATTAGTGATGTTAAGAATTTTTTTCTTGTGCCCGTTGGTCACCTGTACCTCTTCTTTGAAGAAATGTTAATTCAAGTCCTTTGCCCATTTCTTAACTGGGTTTTTGTAGTTGTTAAGTGAGTTATTTATATATCTTGGATATTAATCCCTTATTAGATATTATTTGCAAATATTTTCTCTCATTCTATATAGGTTGCCTTTTCACTGTCTTGATAGCGCCCTTTGCACAAAAGTTTTTAATTTTGAGGTCTAGTTTATTTATTTTTCTTTTGTTGCCATATCCAAGAAATTATTGCCAAATTCAGTGTCATGAAACTTTTCCCCTGTATTTTCTTCCATGAGTTTTATAGTTTTAGCTCTTATATTTAGATCTTTGATCCATCTTGAGTTAGTTTTTATAGATGGCTTAAGGTAAGGGTCCAACCTAATCCAATTTTCCCAGCACTGTTTGTTGAAAATACTGTTCTTTGCCATTATTCTTGGCATCCTTGTTGAAAATTAGTTAACTGTATATGCAAGGGTTTGTATCTGGGCTCTTTATTCATTTCCATTGATATATATGTCTGCCTTTATGCCAAGACCACACTGTTTTGATTACTATAGCTTTGTAGTAAGTATTGAAGTCAGGAAATGTGAGTCCTCTAACACTGTTCTTTTTTTTTTTTTTCTTTTTTAAGGGATGGAGTCTTGTTCTGTCACCTAGGCTAGGGTGCAGTGGTGCAATCTCGGCTCACTGTAACCTCTGCCTCCTGGGTTCAAGCAATTCTCCTGCCTCAGCCTCCCGAGTAGCCGGGACTACAGGCACATGCTGCCATGCCTGGCTAATTTTTTTTTGTATTTTAGTAGAGATGGGGTTTCACCATGTTGCCCAGGGTGGTCTGAAACTCCTGAGTTCAGGCAGTCTGCCCACCTCAGCCTCCCAAAGTGCTAGGATTTCAGGTGTGAGCCACTGCGCCTGGTCTGTTCTTCTTTTTTAAGATTGTTTTGGCTATTTAGGGTCCTTTGAGATTCCACATTAATTTTAGGATGGACTTTTGTTTTTACGAAAGAAGTCACTGAGAGTTTGAGAAGGAATACATTGAGTCTGTACATAGCTTCAGTTAGTATTGTCACCTTATATTAAGCCTTCCAATCCATGAACATGGGATGGTTCTCCATTTCCTTGTCTTCCTTGATTTTTTCGGGGATGTAGTTTTCAGTGTACAAGGCTTTTTTCGCCTTTTTGGTTAAACTTATTTCTAAGTACTTTATTATTCTGATGCCATTGTAAATGGAATCGTTTTCTTAATTTTCATAATTGTTCATTGTTAGTGTGTAGAAGCATAGTTGATTTTTGTGTTGATTTTGTGTCCTGCAATGTCTAATTGTTAGCTCTAACTACTTTTTGTGTAATCTCTAGTGTTCTCTACATATATAATCACGTCTCTTATAGCAGAGATAAATTTTGCTTCTTCCTTTCCAATTTGGATGCGTTATTTATTTTTCTTGCCTGATTGGTCTGGCTAGACCTCCCAATACTGCGTTGAATAGAAGTGGTAAAAGCAGGCATATTTGTCTAGCTCCTGATCTTAGGGGAAAAGCTTTCAATCTTCCATTCATCATTGAGTATCTTGTTAGTTGCGGGTTTTTCGTATATAGCCTTATGTTGGTGAGTTTAAGTTTCCTTCTATTTTTTTTTTTTCTGATGAGGGAAGGGTGTTGAATTTTGTCAGATGTTTTTCTGCATCAGTTGAGATGATCTTTGTTTTTCCCCTTTATTCTGTTCATAGGGTGTACTACATTAATTGATTTTTATGTGTTTGAACCATTTTGCATTCCTAGAATAAATGCCACTTGGTGATCTTGTATAATCCTTTTGCTACACTGCCGAATTTGTTTTACCTGCATTTTGTTGAGTATTCTTGTATCAGTATTCGTAAGAGATATGGCTGTATAGTTTTCTAGTATCTTTCTCTGGCTTTGGTATCAGGATAATGCTGGTCACATAGAATGAGTTTCAAGTGTTCCTCCTTCTTCAAGTTTTTGGAAGACTTTGAGAAAGACTGGTGTTTGTTCTTCTTTAAATGTTTGGTAGAATTACCCATGAAGCCATCTTGTCCTGGGGTTTACTTTGTTGGGAGGGTTTTGATTACTACTTAAAATCCTTATTTCAAATATATTCAGATCTTCTGTTTCTTCATAATTTAATCTAGCTAGGTTGTTTGTTTCTCGGGATTTATCCATTATATCTAGATAATCCAATTTGTTGGCATACGGTTGTTTATAGTACTCTTAAAATCCTATTTATTTATTTATTTATTCATTTTGAGACGGAGTCTTGCTCTGTCGCCCAGGCTGGAGTGTAGTGGCACAGTAGCGGCTCACTGCAACCTCCGCCTCCTGGGTTCAAGCAGTTCTCTGTTTCAGCCTCCCAAGTAGCTGGGATTACAGGCGCCCACCACCAAGCCTGGCTAATTTTTTTGCATTTTTAGTAGAGATGGGGTTTCACCATCTTGGCCAGGCTGGTCTTGAACTCCTGACCTTGTGATCCACCCACCTCTGCCTCTCAAAGTGTTGGGATTACAGGCGTGAGCCACAGCGCCTGGCCAGTCCTTTTTATTTATGTAAAATTGGTAGTAATGTCCAATTTCATTACTAACGTTAGTAATTTGAGTTTTCTCTGTATATTTTCTAGTCATGTAGCTTAAGATTTGCCAATTTGTTGATTTTTTTTTTCAAAGAATAAACTTTTGGCTTCATTGATTTTTCTCTTATTCTATTATCTATTCTATTCATATCTGTTTTAATCTTTGTTTCCTTCCTCTTGCTAACTTTGGGTTTGGTGTGCTATACATTTCCTGTTCCCCTAATGTGTATGGTTTGTTTTTTGGTTGGAGATCTTCATTTTTATTGTGTTTACAGCTATAAATTTACCTCTTAGCAGTGCCTTTTGCTGCATCCCATATATTTTGGTAAATTTTGTTTTCATTTACATTTGTTTCAAAGTATTTTCTAATTTCCCTTGTGATGTCTTCTTTGACCCATGGTTGTTTAGGAATATGTTATTTAATTTCCACATATTTGTGAATTTTTCATTTTTCCTTCTGTTACTGATTTCTAGTTTCACTCTACTGTAACAAAGGATAGTATTATTTCAGTCATTTAAAAATATATTCACACTTGTTTTGTGGCCTAACATATAGTGTGTCCTGGAAAATTTTCTGTAAGTACTTGAGAAAAGTGTTTATTCTGTTGTTGGGTTGAGTGCTATTAGTTTTAGTTGGTTTATAATGTTGCTCAAGTCTTCTGTTTCCTTATTGCTCTGTCTTGTTCTGTTCACTGTTGAAAGTGGGGTGTTGAAGTTTCTATCTGTTGTTGCAGAACAGTCTATTTCTTCATTCAGTTCTGTCAGTGTTTGCTTCATATATTTGGGATCTTTGATGTTTGGTGTGTGTATATATTTATAATTGTTCTATCTTCTAGTGAATTGGCTCTTTTATCAATCTGTAATGTCTTTGTCTTTCACAACAGTTTTTGACTATTTTGTCTCATATTAGTATAGCCACTCCATCTCTCTTTTGGTTATTATTTGCATCGAGTATCTTTTTCTGTCCTTTTACTTTTAACCTATTGGTGTCTTTAGATCTAAAGTGAGTCTGTTGTAGATAGTGTAGAGTTGTATCCTATTTTGAAAAAATCCTTCCTGCCAGTCAATTTCTTTTGATTTGGAGTTTAACACATTTAAATTTAAAGTAATTACTGGTGGGGAATTACTTAATCTTGTGATTTAAGAAATAGGTTTTCTGTATATCCTATGGCTTTTTTGTCCCTCATTTCCTCTGTTATTGCCTTCCTTTGAGTTTAGTTGATTGCTTAGTATTGGCACATTTTGACTCTCTTCTCATTTCATTTCCTTTTCTTCTTAGATAGTTTTTGTGTTACCATGGAGATTACATATAACATTCTAAAGTTATAGCAATCTGGTTTGAATGATACCAATTTCACTTCAGCGACATACAAAAATTCTACTCCTATATAGCTCTTTTTCCATCATTTTATGTAATTGAGATCAGGAATTACATCTTTATGTGTTGTGTATCCATGAACAGATTCGTAAGTATTTTTAATCCTTTAGAAAATAACAAGTAGAGTTATAAGCCAAATTTACAATAATACTCTAGTTTTTATATTTGTCCATGTATTTACCTTTACCTGAGAACCTTATATTTTTGTATGGCTTTGACAAAGTTACGGTGTAGTGACTTTCATGTAAATGTGAAGTACTCCTTTCAGCATTTTCTGTTGCAAATGCCAGTAGTAATGAATTCCCTTGGCTTTTGTTTATTTGGGAATGTCTTAATTTTTATCTCATTTTTGAAGGGCAGTTTTTTTTTTTTAACCAGATGGAGAATTCTTGTTTGATAGTTTTTTTCCCTTCTACATTTTAAATATGTTACAAATAAATCATCCTACTGCTTTCTGACCTTTAAGGTTTCTGTGATAAAACGGCTGATAATCTTTTTTTTTCTTTTTTTTATACTTTAAGTTCTGGGATGCATGTGCAGAACGTGCAGGTTTGTTACATAGGTATACATGTGCCATGGTGGTTTGCTGCACCCATTAACCCGTCGTCTACATTAGTTATTTCTCCTAATGATATCCCTCCTCTAGTCCCCCAACCCCGACGGGCCCCAGTGTGTGATGTTCCTCTTCCCATGTCCATGTGTTCTCATTGTTCACCTGCCAACTATGAATAAGAATATGTGGTGTTTGGTTTTCTGTTCTTGTGTTAGTTTGCTGATAATTTAGCTGGTTTCCTGCTTCATCCATGTCCCTGCAAAGGACATGAACACATCCTTTTTTATGGCTGCATAGTATTCCATGGTGTATATGTGCCACATTTTCTTTATCCAGTCTATCATTGATGGGCATTTGGGTTGGTTCCAAGTCTTTGCTATCGTGAACAGTGCCACAATAAACATACATGTGCATGTGTCTTTATAGTAGAATGATTTATAATCCTTTGGGTATAAACCCAGTAATGGATTGCTGGGTCAAATGGTATTTCTGGTTCTAGATCCTTGAGGAATCGCCACACTGTCTTCTGCAATGGTTGAACTAATTTACACTCCCACCAACAGTGTAAAAGCATTCCTATTTCTCCACATCCCCTCCAGCATCTGTTGTTTCCTGACTTTTTAATGTTCGCCATTCTAACTGGCACGAGATGGTATTTCATTGTGGTTTTGATTTGCATTTCTTTAATGACCAGTGATGATGAGCTTTTTTTCATATGTTTGTTGGCAGTATAAATGTCTTCTTTTGAGAAGTATCATATCTTTCGCCCACTTTTTGATGAAGTTGTTCTTTTTTTTTTTCTTATAAATTTGTTTAATTTCCTTGTAGATTCTGGATATTAGCCCTTTGTCATATGGGTAGATTACAAAAATTTTCTTCCATTCTGTAAGTTGCCTGTTCACTCTGATGATAGTTTCTTTTGCTGTGCAGAAGCTCTTTAGTTTAATTAGATCCCATTTGTCAATTCTGGCTTTTGTTGCCATTGCTTTTGGTGTTTTAGTCATGAAGTCCTTGCCCCTGCCTATGTCCTGAATGGTATTGCCTAGGTTTTTTTCTAGGGTGTTTATGGTTTTAGGTTTTACATTTAAGTCTTTAATCCATATTCAGTTAATTTTTGTACAAGGTGCAAGGAAGGGGTCCAGTTTCAGTTTTCTGCATATGGCTAGCCAGTTTTCCCAGCACCATTTATTAAATAGGGAATCCTTTCCCCACTGCTTGTTTTTGTCAGATTTGTCAAAGATCAGATGGCTGTAGATGTGTGGTGTTATTTCTGAGGCCTCTGTTCTGTTCCATTGGTCTGTATATCTGTTTTGGTACCAGTACCATGCTGTTTTGGTTACTGTAGCCTTGTAGTATAGATTGAAATCAGGTAGCATGATGCCTCTAGCTTTGTTCTTTTTGCTTAGGATTGTCTTGGCTATACAGGCTCATTTTTGGTTCCACATGAAATTTAAAGTAGATTTTTGTAATTCTGTAAAGAAAGTCATTGGTATCTTGATGGGGATAGCATTGAATCTATAAATTACTTTGGGCAGTATGGCCATTTTCATGATACTGATTCTTCCTATCCATGAGCATGGAATATTTTTCCATTTGTTTGTTTCCTCTCTTACTTCCTTGAGCAGTGGTTTGTAGTTTCCTTAAAGAGATCCTTCACTTCCCTTGTAAGTAGTATTCCTAGGTATTTTATTCTCTTTGTAGCAATTGTAAATGAGAGTTCACTCATGATTTTGCTCTCTATTATTGGTATATAGGAATGCTTGTGATTTTTGCACATTAATTTTGTATCCAGAGACTTTGCTGAAGTTGCTTATCAGCTTGAGGAGTTTTGGGGCTGAGACGATGGGATTTTCTAAATATACAGTCATGTCATCTGCAAACAGAGACAGTTGGACTTCCTCTCTTCCTATTTGAATACTTTTTATTTCTTTCTCTTGCCAGATTGCCCTGGCAATGGAAAATGGAAAAATATTCCATGCTCACGGATAGGAAGAATCAGAATGTTGAATAGGAGTGGTGAGAGAGAGCATCCTTGTCTTGCGCTGGTTTTCAAAGGGAATGCTTCCAGCTTTTGCCCATTCAGTATGATATTGGCTGTGGGTTTGTCATAAATAGCTGTTATTATTTTGAGATCTGTTCCATCAATACCTCGTTTACTGAGAGTTTTTAGCAGGAATCGGTGTTGAATTTTATTGACGGCCTTTTCTGCATATATTGAGATAATCATGTGGTTTTTGTCATTGGTTCTGTTTATGTGATGGATTATGTTTATTGATTTGCATATATTGAACCAGCCTTGCATCCCAGGGATGAAGCCAACTTGATCCTGGTGGATAAGCTTTTTGATGTGCTGCTGGATTTGGTTTGCCAGTATTTTATTGCCAATGTGAAAATCTTCGTTCATCAGGGATACTGGTCTGAAATTTTCTTTTTTTGTTGTGTCTCTGCCAGGTTTTGGTATCAGGATGATGCTGGTCTCATAAAATGAGTTAGGGAGGATTCCCTCTTTTTCTGTTGTTTGGAATAGTTTTAGAAGGAATGGTACCAGCTCCTCTTTGTACCTCTGGTAGAATTTGGCTGTAAATCTGTCTGGTCCTAGACTCTTTTGGTTGGCAGGCCATTAATTACTGCCCCAATTTCAGAACTTGTTATTGGTCTTCAGGAATTTGACTTCTTCCTAGTTTAGACTTGGGAGGGTGTATGTGTCCAGAAATTTATCCATTTCTTCTAGATTTTCTAGTTTATTTGTGTAGAGCTGTTTATAGTATTCTCTGATGGTAGTTTGTATTTCTGTTGGATCAGTGGTGATACCCCCTTTATCATTTTTTATTGTGTCTATTTGATTCTTCTCTCTTTTCTTCTTTGTCTGGCTAGCGGTCTATTTTGTTGATCTTTTCAAAAAACCAACTCCTGGATTCATTGATTTTTTTGAAGGGTTTTTCATGTCCCTGTCTCCTTCAGTTCTGCTGTGATCTTAGTTATTTCTTATCTTCTGCTAGCTTTTGAATTTGATGGCTCTTGCGTCTCTAGTTCTTTTTTTTTTTTTTTTTTTTTTTTTTGAGACGGAGTCTTGCACTGTTGCCGGGGCTGGAGTGCAATGGCGTAATCTTGGCTCACTGCAACCTCCGCCTCCCAGGTTCAAGCGATTCTTTTTGCCTCAGCCTCCCAAGTGGCTGGGATTACAGGCACCCGCCACCACGCCCAGCTAATTTTTTTGTGTTTTTAGTACAGACAGGGTTTCACTATCTTGGCCAGGCTGGTCTCGAACTCCTGACCTCGTGATCTGCCCACCTCGGCCTCCCAAAGTGCTAGGATTACAGGCGAGAGCCACTGCACCCGGCCACTCTCTAGTTCTTTTAATTGTGATGCTAGGGTGTCAATTTTAGATCTTTCCTGCTTTCTCTTGTGGGCATTTAGTGCTATAAATTTCCCTCTCAACACTGCTTTAGCTGTGTCCCAGAGATTCTGGTATGTTGTCTTTGTTCTCATTGGTTTCAAAGAACTTATTTATTTCTGTCTTGATTTCGTTAGTTACCCTGTAGTCATTCAGGAGCAGGTTGTTCAGTTTCAATGTAGTTGTGCGGTTTTGAGTGAGTTTCTTCATCCTGAGTTCCAATTTGATTGCACTTGGTCTGAGAGACTGTTTGTTATGATTTCCGTTCTTTTGCATTTGCTGAGGAGTGTTTTACTTCCAGTTATGTGGTCAATTTTAGAATAAGTCTGATGTGGTGCTGAGAAGAATGTATATTCTGTTGATTTGGGGTGGAGAGTTCTGTAGATGTCTATTAGGTCTGCTTGGTCCAGAGCTGTGTTCAAGTCCTGAATATCCTTATTAATTTGCTGTCTCTTTGATCTAATAGTGACAGTGGCGTGTTAAAGTCTCCCACTATTATTGTGTGGGAGTCTAAGTCTCTTTGTAGGTCTCTAAGAACTTGCTTTATGCATCTGGGTGCTCCTGTATTGGGTGCATATATATTTAGTGTAGTTAGCTGCTCTTGTTGGATTGATCCCTTTAGCATTATGTAATGCCCTTCTTTGTCTGTTTTGATCTTCATTGGTTTAAAGTCTGTTTTATTAGAGACTAGGATTGCAATCCCTGCTTTTTTTTTTTTTTTTTTTTTTTTTGCTTTCCATTTGCTGGATAATATTCCTCCATCCTTTTATTTTGAGCCTATGTGTGTCTTTGGGTGTGAGATGGGTCTCCTGAATACAGCACACCGATGGGTCTTGACTCTTTATCCAATTTGCCGGTCTGTGTCTTTTAATTGGGGCATTTAGCCCATTTACACTTAAGATTAATATTGTTATGTGTGAATTTGATCCTGTTATTATGATGCTAGCTGGTTATTTTGCCTGTTAGTTGATGCAGTTTCTTCATAGTGTCAGTGGTGTTTATAATTTGGTATGTTTTTGCAGTAGCTGATACCAGTTTTTCGTTTCCATGTTTAGTGCTTCCTTCAGGAACTCTTATAAGGCAGGCCTGGTGGTGACAAAATCTCTCAGCATTTGCTTGTCTGTAAAGGATTTTATTTCTCTTTCACTTATGAAGCTTAGTTTGGCTGGATATGAAATTCTGGGTTGAAAATTCTTTTCATTAAGAATGTTGAATATTGACCCCACCCTCTTCTGGCTTGTAGGGTTTCTGCCTAGAGATCCGCTGTTAGTCTGATGGGCTTCCCTTTGTGGTTAACCTGACCTTTCTCTCTGGCTGCCCTTAACCTTTTTTCCTTCATTTCAATCTTGCTGAATCTGATGATTATGTGTCTTGGGGTTGCTCTTCTCGAGGAGTATCTTTGTGGTATTCTTTGTATTTTCTGAGTTTGAATGTTGGCCTGTCTTGCTAGGTTGGGGAAGTTCTCCTGGATAATATCGTGCAGAGTGTTTTCCAATTTGGTTCCATTCTCCTCGTCACTTTGAGGTACACCAGTCAAACGTAGATTTGGTCTTTTCACATAGTCCCATATTTCTTGGAGGCTTTTTTTGTTCCTTTTTCACTCTTTTTTTCTCTAATCTTCTCTTCATGCTTTATTTCATTAAGTTGATCTTCAGTCTCTGATATCCTTTCTTCTGCTTGATCGATTTGGCTATTGATACTTGTGTATGCTTCATGAAGTTTTCGTGCTGTGTTTTTCAGCTCCATCAGGTCATTTATGTTCTTTTCTAACCTGGTTATTCTCGTTAGCAATTCCTCTAACCTTTTTTCAAGGTTCTTAGTTTCCTTGTATTGAGTTAGAACATGCTTCTTTAGCTCGGAGGAGTTTATTACCCACCTTCTGAAGCGTACTTCTGTCAATTCATCAAACTCATTCTCCATCCAGTTTTGTTCCCTTGCTGGTAAGGAGTTGTGATCCTTTGGAGGAGAAGAGGCATTCTGGTTTTTGGAATTTTCAGCCTTTTTGTGCTGGTTTTTCCTCATCTTCGTGGATTTATCTACCTTTGGTCTTTGATGTTGGTGACCTTCGGATGGGGATTCTGAGTGGAAGTCCTTTTTGTTGATGTTGATGCTATTCCTTTCTGTTTGTTAGTTTTTCTTCTAACAGTCAGGCCCCTCTGCTGCAGGTCTGCTGGAGTTAGTTTGCTGGAGGCCCGCTCCAGACCGTTTGCGAGGTTGCAGAACAGCAAAGGATTGCTGCCTGTTTTCTTCCTCTGGAAGCTTCATCCCAGAGGGGCAACCACCAGATGCCAGCCGGATCGCTCCTGTATGAGGTGTCTGTTGACCCCTGCTGGGAAGTGTCTCCCAGTCAGGAGGCATGGAGTCAGGGACCCACTTGAGAAGGCAAGTCTGTCCCTTAGCAGAGCTTGAACGCTGTGCTGGGAGATCTGCTGCTCCTTTAGAGCTGGCAGGCAGAGACGTTTAAGTCTGCTTAAGCTGGGCCCACAGCCACGCCTTTCCCAGGTGCTCTGTCCCAGGGAGATGGGGGTTTTATCTGTAAACCCCTGACTGGGGCTGAACAGCTGATAATCTTGTTGAGTGTCACTTGTATGTGACTACTTTCAAGATTGTCTTTAGGCTTTTAATATTTGATTATATGGTGTCTTTGAAAGGACCTCTTCCGAGTTGTCCTACTTGGAATTCCTTGAGCTTCTGGGATGTATTCCAATTCATGCCTTTCAGCCAGTTTGGGGAGTTTTCATCCACTGTCGTATCAAATAATCTTTGTCTCTTTTTCTCTCTGTTTTCTTTCTGAGTCTCCCATCATTCCTATATTGGTGTGCCTAAAGAAGTAGTTTAGGCTGTTTTCACTCTTCTGTATTCTTTTTAACTTTTTCTCCTCTAATTTTTTTCTCCTCTGACTCAGTATTTTCAAATGCATTATCTTCAGATTTGCTGATTTGCCTGCCTCCTCAAATCTGTTTTTAAACCACTCTAGTGAAATTTTCAACTTGGTCATTCTATTTTTTTCAGCTCCATAATTTCTGTTGGAGTCCTTCTTCATTTCTCTTTGTTAATAGGCTCATTTTGCTCGTTTTCCAGATTCACGTTAGTTCTTTGTGCTTTTTGTTCTTTCAGCATAGGATAGTTTTCTTTGTCTAGTAAGTCCAGTGTCTGTCTAGTAAGTCCAGTGTTTTCCTCTGGGAAAGTTTCTGTCAATTAATTTTGCTTCTTTGAATGGGCCAGGTTTTTCTTCTTTTTTATATGTCTTTGTTCTTTTGTTGAGAATTAAATATTCGAGAAGTGGCCACCTCTTCCAGTCTTTGCAGACTGACTCTGTGCTAGGGAAATCTTTAAAAGATTGGCTGGGTATGTTCTGACCCTGAAAACTGAAGATCATCTTAGATCTTTTCTGAACATACTGTCTTGCCTGGACCTGTGTGTGGCTTTTTTCCACTCCCCATGGCTTCTATTCAATGTCTTTATTATTATTGTTATTATTATTAGTTGTGAGCCAGGGTCTTGCTCTGTCACCCAGGCTAAAATGCAGTGCCTTGATCACAGCTCACTGCAGCCTCAAACTCGCAGGCTTAAGAGCTCCTTTTGCCTCAGGCTCCCAAGTAGCAGGGACTACAGGCATGTGCCATCATGCCTAGGTAATTAAAAAACATTTTTTTTTTTGAGATGGGGTCTTGCTACATTGCCCAGGCTGGTCTAGAACTGAGCTTAAGTGATCCTCCTGCCTCAGCCTTCCAAAATGCTTGGATTACAGGCATGAGCCACTGTATCCAGCCAGTATTACCTATTTTTGGTTTGCAGTTCCTTAATGACCACTGATGTGTGTATTTTTATGTACTTGTTTGTCATTTGTATAGCTTCCTTGGAGAAAGGTCTGTTCAAATTCTTCACCTATTTTTTGATTGGTTGTTTGCCTTTTTCTTGAGTTGTAAGAAATCTTTATATATTCTAGATAGTAGATCCTTATTAGATACATGATTTGTAGCTATTTCTCCCATTCTGCAGATTTTTCTTTTCACTTTCTTGCTGTCCTTTGATGCACAACAGTTTTTAATTTTGATGAATTCCAGTTTATTATTTTCCTCGAATTGTTGCTTGTGCTGTTGGTGTTAACATGAGTTTGTATTTTTTTTATTAACTGCTGAATACTAATTAATATATAGTTATAGAAAAACAGATCGTTTTCTTATTTAGATGCTTGGAAATGTTTTTAATGTAAGGACACTAACAAGCTACATGCCTTTGAGTAAGTCTAACTGTGGTTGCCCTAATTTTACTTTATTTTTATTTCTTATAGAGATAGGGTCTTGCTTTGTTGCCCAGGCTGAACTTGAACTCTTGGACTTAAGCTATCCTGCCTAGGCCATCTAAGTAGCTGGGACTACAGGTGTGTGCCTCTGTGTCTGGCTGTCACTCCCATTATATGAAGCACAAACTGATGGATGAGATCCCATCACAATCTGATGATCTTTTTTTTTCTTCTTTAATTGTTTGAGATAGGGTCTTCCTCTGTTACAGTGGCAGGATCATAGCTAATAGCAGCCTTGAACTCCTGGGCTCAATCAATCCTCCCTCCTCAGCCTCCCAAGTAGCTGGGACTACAGACATGCCACTATGCCTGGCTAATTTTTTATGTTTTGTAGAGCTGGAGTCTTGCTGTATTGCCCAGGCTAGTCTTGAACTCCTAGGCTCAAGTGATCCTCCTGCCTTGGTCTCCCACAGCACTGGGATTGCAGGCATGAGCCACCACACTTGGCCTGATAATCCTTGATTTTATGATTCTCTTAACTGCTAATAGTAATTCATATACGCCTTCACCCTGAGTTTAGCTACATTTTCCTGGCAGTCTTGAAATTGCACTGTATTTAATTTTTTAAAAATTAACTGCCCTATTTTAGATGTATATGATGGTACTTAGTTTCTGAAGCCTTGGGTTCAGTGTCCTCATACCAGTTCTGTATAGAAGTGTTTGTCTCCTCACACCTTCCCCATCATTGAGCATGCCCTTAAAAATGGAAGCAAAATGTTGCTAAATTGCTAGATGAAAAGAATACTTGTTTTACTTGCCATTCTTTTCATTACTAGGTAGGCTGAGGACTTTTAAAGTGTTTTTAGCCTCTTTTGTTTTCCCTAGTGAGTTTTCTTTGTTTTGCCATTTTGTCTGTGTGGCCATGGTATATATTTCATTTTGTATGAGGTTTTTAGCAATTTTAATAATTTGTCATATTTTTGTCAGATCTTTGCCCTACCTTTTTTTGTTTGTTTGTTTGTTTTTGTTTCTGAATTTTCTTCTTTTAAGTAGCAAGCTTTAAACTGTTACATGGTCAGTGATCTACTTTTCCATTTTGGTCTCCTTTACGTGATTGGTGAAAGTCCTCCCCATTCAGAGGTCAGATGCATGTGTGTGTTAATTTAATTCTCTTTTGTGCTTGTTTACCATTTAACTCGTCGACCATCTGATTTATTTGTTTTCTTTTTATTGAATTATGAGAATTCTTTATATTTTCTGGGTGCAAATCAGAGACAGCATTTGCAGATATTTTCTCCCAGTGTGTGGCTTTCCTTTTCATTCTCTTAACGGTGTTTTCTGAAGAGCAGAAGTTCTTAATTTTGATTGTTTACTTTACACATTTTAAAGATCTGTATTGTGTTGTATCTGGTGTTGTATCTTAAGAATTCTTTGCCTAACTTAAGGTCACAAAGATTTTCTCCTCTTCTAAAAGTTTTATAGTTTTATATTCAAGTTTGTGATCCATTTTGAGTTAGTTCTTGTGGTTGGTGCATGGTATGTACTTTTCTTATGGGCCAACAAATTTATTTGTAAAAAATTCAAAGAAATGATTTTGCATAAGAAAATAACAGTTCTCGCCCTTCGTGGTGTGTTAAAGAGGAAGGAATGCTCTCCTCTGTGTAGATCTCTTTTCATAGATGCAAGATAGTACACCTTGCAAATTCTGCTGTCATTGCTATCAAAATTGCTTTCAAAACACTTAATAAGGAAAATGCAGTAGTGTGCATAAATATCTTTTGTCTGCTTTTTAAATCTTAAAATAGAGCTTGCTTCTAGGTGAAATGTACACTGAATATTCTTGGAGTATATCAGAATCAGCCCTTGTATCAGTTGGCCTAAAAAGTGAATCTTATTTTCTTTCTCTTCAAAAACTAATACTGATAAATGTGTTCCTTCTGGGTAGGAGGTTGTATTTTTTAATCCAGGAAGGATGAATTTAGATATCATTGAGTTATGGAAAAGCTTTAATTTAAAAAATATTATACTTAATTTCACAATATAAAGTTTTAAATGAACAATACTTCACGTTAAAATATTTTCAAAGGTAAATACTTGATTGAATACCAACTGACAGTTTGATGATCTTTTTATAGCTTATTAGTTTTTTAAATTGAATTTTAATGGAGACTCAGGCTGACAAAGGTCAAAATGGTATGGAGACCTCCAGAGCACTGCTTTGTATGCCTGAAAGGCACCTACTCAACGAGAAGCCAGCAGCAACTCAGCAGGGTTTATTTTTATTAGTATAGCTTAGCTGGGATAGAACAAAGCTGGATTTCAGCCAAGTGTGGTTCTGCAAACAGCTTTGTCCTCCAGACTATCAGTTAACTAATGGGCTTACAGGCTCAGATACCTGGTTGGTCAGACACTAAAGCTGAAGCCTTGGCACCTACAATGATGTATCTGAACCTCCCTTAGGTGAGAGAGTTGGGTTCTTAAGCCACATGCCCCTAAAGTGATGGTACCATTAAAACTAGGCTAAGGTCTGGACTTGTTCTGTCAGTTTGGAAGATTTCATTCACTTAAGGAAGGAAAAATTCCCCTCTACCCCGGTTTTTCTTTTTTTCTTTTTCTCTTTTAGAGACAGGGTCTCACTGACACCCTGACTGTAGTGTAGTGGTATGATCATAGCTCACTGCATGCAGCCTCTAACTCATGGGCTCAACCGATCCTCCCATTTTAGCTTCATGAGTAGCTGGGACTACAGGCACACGCCACCACAACCCAGCTGATTTTTGTATCTTTTTTGGTAGAGACGGGGTCTCACCATGTTGCCTAGGCTGGTCTCAAACCCCTGGGGTCAAGTGATCTTCCTGCCTCGGCCTCCCAGAGTGCTGGGATTACAGGTATGAACCACCATGCCTGGCTTAAATTGTCTTTCTTGTCTTTTTTCGTTGAATTCTTTTTAAATTGTGCTAAGATACATATAACATAAAATCTCCTATCTTAGCCATTTTAAAATGTATGGTTCAGTAGTGTTAAGCATATTTAAATTCCAAAACTCTTTCCATCTTGGAAAGCTGAATCTGTATCCATTAAACAGTAACTCCACGTTTCTCCCTCCCCTCAGCATCTGGCAAGTGCCATTCTGCTGTCTCCGAGGATTCAACCACTCTAGGTACCTGTTATAAGTAGAATCATACCGTTCTTGGTTTTATCGAGACTGGGTTATTATCATTTAGCATAACGTCTTCAAAGTTCATCCATGTTGTGGCATGTGTCATAATTTCCTTCCTTTTTAGTGTTGAATAATATTCAATTATATGTATGTCTCACATTTTGTTTATCCATTTATCCATCGATGGATACTTGGATTGCTTCCACCTTTTGGCTCTTGTGAATCATGATGCCATGAATAAGGGAAAGGATATAAAGTTTTTCTTAATCTTCTTAACACTTTGATGCCCTCTACTATTACTACTAGGCACTAGTAGATATATTAATACTGTTGGTAATATTTGGAATTCTGGCATTTGCAGTTTCCTTGGTGTCCCACAGAGCCCTATGAGTTCCACCGTGCATGTTCCCTGAACAAGTTTGAGATCCAGTCTGTAGATGGGAAGTTTCTTACCAACACTCAGATTCTCAGGTTCTCTGGGAATGTTGGAGGTCAGACACACCAGACCCCTGTTCCTGCAGGGCAGTGATCAGCTGGAGTGGAGGAGTGGCCTGCCTTCCCTGATATATGTGTTCAGCCTACCAGTCAGCACCATCCCATATTGTCCTACAGCTGACCTACTGCCCTGTTACCCACCTGCTTGGCCCCAAAGCCTGTTGAGTTGGCATAATGTATTTCAGAGAAAAGCTCTCAGGTAATCTGTATGGCTTATAAGGGAAACCTGCAGTCCTTTCTGAAAGGGGAGCTGTGAATATGACTGCTTTGTAGAAAGATGTCTTAGGATTCTGGGTGAAAATTTTTAATTCCCCTCATGTAGGAATGTCACAGAGTGTACCTTTTTGACTTAGTATTTTCCTAGTAAAATACACCTTTCTTAAGAAAATGGCTACAAAGTCAGATGCATGTAAATGCTTTCAGCAAGGGTTTGTTGATCATCTGCTTTAGGCTGGGCTCTATGTTAGGTGCCTGTGGATTCCATTCTAGTACCTGTGTTCTCATAGAATTGAATCCTGGTCCCCCATATGACTTTTGATGATATTCACACTGTTAATTCCAATAAAGACAGAGTAGACAAACAGAAACTGTACATGAAAGGAATAGCATGAAGTTGTCGATTTTTAACAAGTATTATAAATAATGAAACGGTCTTTTCACTTTCAGATGAGAATTTTCCCTTTTTTTTTTGGTTCACTAGATAGTAGTTATCCTAATTCAGAAGTTCAACTAATGTAAATATCCATTGATTGAGAAATTTTGTATTTTTGTTGTTTTCAGTTACTTGTTGTAGTTTTCTTTTTGGTGAGTCTTATGATTGGCTTTATTGTAATAGAATGGAACACAAACTTTGAAAAAAAAAAAAAAAGGTCTTGCATTTTTGTCTAGACTATGCAGCTACCCAGTGGATCGCTGCTGAATGGAACAGGAAAGTGACAGATCCTTGGGCCTAATGTATCACTGTGTTGTGGAACTGGTCATTCATTAGAAGAGGTCCCTGTGTATCCTTTCTATCAGGTCCTTCTCATATAAATCTTGCTGCCTTTGTTGCATCTGTTAGACAAATCAGTTCGTTGCATTGAGGACACTTGAATATTTTACAGTTTTTTTTTTTTTTTTGGCAAATCTTGAAGCTTGTGACTATCTGAAACTCTTTTAATACCTTTTGAAGGATCAGAGCCCTGCGTACCCCAGGAATGCACACCGTTTTTTTGAAAGTGTGCTCTTTCCTTTTGTTCCTAATCAGTAATTATAGCCCCCTAATGGTACCTCTGGAGCAGATGCAGAAGTCAAAGATGCAGAAGGAGGAATTAGCTAGTCAGACACAGGCTCGCAGCAGTGGTGGGGCTGAACACAATAGCACAGGGACTAATGCAGTTGCTGCTGGAAGCAGTTTATTCCTATCACCAACCCTCTCCATTCCTTGTATGTATTTCCATTAAATCCATAAATGGGGTGCTCCTCCTCCTTTAAACCATTTATGTTAAAAGAAGCTTCTGGGCCAGCAGGGCTGTTTGAATTTTGTAGAATGGTGAGAAGGCCAAAAGAAAAAGACTGAAATTGACACACTGTCCCTCTTAGTGCCTCTGCAGGGACTGAACTCAGTGGCTATTATGTAGCTACAACATAGGCACACTTTCATAAGTATTGTCTGTGTTTCTCTAGTCTGGGTGTTTTCCTTGCGTATTAGTTCTGAGTGCTAAACAACAACAAAAGGTGTCTTTGAAAAGATAAGGTGGCAAACATTGTTTAACATACCTCCTTGAGAAAAGTTTCAATATTTTCCCCAAGAATGATGTCAGAGTTAGGCTTTGCTAGTGCTGCACTACGTGTGGCTGGTAAAAAAATTGTTAGTGGAACTCTACTTCTGTAAGTGTTGTTCTTGTTTGTCCCTTGCAGTGATTTTATTAGATGGTGGGAAAGTGTTTGTATTAACCCTTCAGCATCACTGAACTTGGGGTATCCCATTTCTGTATTTATGTTACACTTCCTTTGATTGAACCATTATTTTCTAATTATTTTTAATCAAGAAGCATTAAAATAAGGATGAAAGTAAATAGATTAAGGATTACCAGTTTCCTAAATGGAACCTGACTAAATGTAAAATTAAGTCAACACACCCACACAGAGAATTCCACGAAGCTAAGTAGCTTTTGAATACACAACTCTGTATATGCTAGTGCAGTGGTCAAAGTGTGAGATGGAGGACCTGAGACCCTTTCACGGGTCCATGAGGGCGAATGTAATGTCATAATAATACTAAGATTATTTGCCCTTTTTGCTGTGTTGATATTTGCACTGATTGTGCAAAAGCCAAAGTGGAGAAAACTGCTGATCTTTAGCATGAATCCAGGTGGTAGCAACAAACTGTATTAGTAGTCATTGCATTCACCTCCATGCACTCAATTTAAAAAGAAAATGTCAGTTTCACATAAGAATGTTCTGATGAAACAGTAAAAATTATTAAGTCTCAACTGTTAAGGACATCTTTTTAATATACTGCATGATGAAATGGGAAGTACATGTGAAACATTTTTGCATAACCATGTACAATGATCATCTGGTTAGCTGAAGGAAAAGATCCTGTGTATAGTGAGACTATGTTCCAGGGCTAGAAAGAACTGCAAAGAAATCTTGAACTGCACTGTTTGTTGTTGGTAGTATATTGGTGGCGTCAGTTTGGCGCTATTTTGTGTTTATTGTAGATAGAGCACCACATGGATAAGTATATTAAAAATTTTGGGAATCGAGGGTTTTCCTTGTGGTGGAACGGCGATGCTAATGTGAGATGAGGGAGAGATGAGGGAGCAGAGGAAGAAGCCTCCGTGTTGGATTTGAATTCAGGGTGTCACCATGAACTTGTGATTTACCTATTTAAAATATCCTTGCTCTGTCCAAAGAGCCTACAAGCAGTGATACTTAATTAACCGAGATGCATTGTGTTCTCCGAGCTTGGTTTTTAAATGCCATTTCCCAGTGAAAGGTTTCAGGGCTCCTTGGAGAAATGGCTGATTTGAGGTCTGGGACAGGAAACATACAAGGTTAGCTTGCCATGCTTGTGTCAGAAAGCAAGGAGGTGTTGAAAGACCCTTAGTGCCATGTCAGAAAGACAGAGGATGACTTTCCAAGAAGCTCCCAATGGCCAAATTTGGGACAGTCAGCATTATGAGAGTATGGATTATAACACATTTAATAATAATTTTTAGAAATCCATGGATATACATGGTAGAAGAAAAGGGGGAGAGTGAGAGAAAGACTATATTATACAAGAATGCCAGCTACTTTGTGAAGGAGAGAGAAAATCTGAAAATTTCTCTTTTGCAGTCCCTAATGTAATAATTCATTCAAGGGTGCCCTGGCTCATGCCTGTAATCCCAGCACTTTGGGAGGCTGAGGTGAGAGGATCACTTGAGGCAAGGAATTTGAGACCAGCCTGGGTAACATAGACCCTGTCTTTATTAAAATAAAAAATATAAAAAAAAAGAATTGTCAATGGACGCTGAAACTGTTGAGCAAGATGTTATCAGGGAGGCTATTCACAGAATCTCAAGTCTCACTCTGCATATTCCTTATTAGTGACAAAGGAGAAAGGGTGTTTTTTGTTGTTGTTATTGTTTTTTGTTTTGTTTTGTTTTAAAAGCGAAGAACAAATCAGGCTGATTCCACCTTAACTTATTGACCAAACAGCAACATCACTAAAAAAAGAGACAGCCAGACCTTATGTGCTTTCCAAAGGAAGAACATAGCACTTCCTAAAAAGTAGTCTTGGCAAAAGCAAGCCAACTAGAAGTAAAGCCTCCGGATTCAACTCCCAAATTGTAAACCCAAATGAGTCTGTTAAACACCACCTTGGGGATGCAAAAAAAATAAAACTTCAGACTTGGACAGACTCCACAGTCAAGTGACCCAGCTTCTTCAAAAATAAACTGCAAGAGAAAAGAGATAAAGGAGTGATGAGAAGGGATTTAAGAGCCATGTTGATCAGTGTGAACCTTATTTGGATCATGATGCAGATAAACTAAGTTTTTAAAAAATGAGGCAGAAGAACTGTGAATACAGACTGCACATTTGATGATGATACAGAGTGACATGATACTATGTCTACAGTTGCCTCACAATAATTTAGAAGAAGGGGAGTTGGGTCGGGATCCAGGGGAAGCACAGTTAGCCTTGGGCAGATAATTACGGGGAGGATCAATGTGTGCTCATTACAATATCTTCCCATCTACTTTTGAAATATCTTTGAAAGTTTTTATAATGAAAAATTTTTTAAAAATTACTAATTAATAGTGGGATAACTTGACATTTTGTGCCCCCTTATGCAATGCATTGAGGAGTACATGTCACCTATGTAGAATGGTGACAAAAATACATAACCTGAATCTAATCATGAGGAAACACTCAGATAAGCTCAGAATACATGACATTCTACAAGGCAGTTGTCATGGTCTATCTAAAAAGAAAGTCAGTGTTGTGAAAAACAACAAAAAACAGTGTCATAAAAATCAAATAGAACAGTTGCAGATATTAAAATATAGAGTTACAGTAAATCGTACTATTGAATTAATGTTAATTATTTTCGGTACAATTATGGTTTTGTGGTTCTATGGGAGAATGTCCTTATCCGTGGGAGATATGTGCTGAATTATATTCGGGCCAATCAATACAATGTTTGCAAATTACTTTAATCAATGTGTGGGAATATATGGATTAGGTTGGCTCATATTAAATTGCTATTTTCCTAAGTTAAAAACAGCCAAATATCAGCAAATGCCCATGGTTCAACCTAATATTTGTTGAAACAGAGAAAGAAAGCAAATGCAGTGACCAATAATGGGTCTAGATAAAGAATCAACAGGTGTTTGTACTATTTTTTCACATTTCTGTGTGTTTGAACTTTTTTAAAACAAAGAATTGGGAGAAAATAGTCAACTTACAAAAATGAACTCCAGCAGATACATATTTGTGGATTAAGTGTGCTGACATTGTTCTCTCTGGGATCAATTATCCCCTAATAGCATTTGAATTCTGTTAGAATTAATCCCCAGCTACTTAAGTTGACTTACAATATAGAAAAGAAGAAAAGCTACTTATTTCATTGTATGAACTTTCTACTTTCTGAATCAGCCTATGACAAAGAAGAGAAAAATAAATAGTGTAGGTGAACATTAAGAAAAGTGCTTAATGATATTTTATGGCATCTTTTTTATGTAGATGACATTTAAAGATGCATCCACTGTAGGAGAAAAAAGAGATCATTGGTTCTTAGAAACAATTTTTCTTTTTGTCAAGAGATCAAACATGTCTTCTCTCTGGCCTGGTTTTAACATTCTCTGTAAAATAGGGTGTATATCTAGAATTTTAAGTTTTATCTCCCCCACCCACCCCACACCTTATTTTGCCATGAGTTCTTAGCTGAAGAGTGTTTTGCTGAGGGTTACTGGGGACTTCTGGGCAACCGTGGCAGTTGGATGAAGTGATGAGATCTCTCCTCCCCTCCAGAAAATGTCCCTAAGTGATTAGCAAGAACCCCTGGTTTAATCCTGCCTCTTTTGAATCCAAAACAGATCCCTAAAGAAGTGGCTGACATCTTTAACGCCCCCAGTGATGATGAAGAGTTTGTTGGCTTCCGAGATGATGTTCCCATGGAAACCCTCTCGTCAGAGGAGAGCTGCGATAGTTTTGACTCACTAGAGTCAGGGAAACAGGTATGGATGATTCCTTCCAAGCAGATGTGTTCATCTGGAGGCCTGAATCTTGGTTTGGATGTTCTTTTATTTGAACATGGTGTGAGATTGGTGATATCAGTTCATTGTCTAGCATTTTATTTTAGAAACATTATGTCTGTGTCTTCCTGTTTTAAAAAACTGGTGAGAGAACCTCGTTCACTTTGCTGTGTTAATCCTTCCCTGTACCATAATTCTTTTTTTTTTTTTTTTTTTTTTTTAAATAAAGGGACCTCACATGATCAAGTGCATTTTCTTGGCTGCCTTGGGGCTGTAACCTGTGGCGAGGCTGTGTTCAGGGTCTTCCCACAGAGGCGAGGCTGCGGCGAGGCATGAGGGATTGTGTGGTTACGGGGAGACAATTACACCTCTGTGGTCCCGTGGTGCAATTCTGTTGGCATGTCCTCTTGGAATTGCTGGGGAGAGCCTTATTCTTGCGTTAATTACTTTGATCTCTAGCACTCACAAGTTAGAGTTCTCTGACAGGTAGATTCCTGGAGGTTCACATTGTGTCCTAGTAGTAGAATGGCCAAAATCTCTACCCTTCAGTGGCATTTTCTTCTGAGTTAATTGTGGCACTCAAAATTCCTCATTCTGCCTTGACCATGGCCTCTCCAAAAAGGCAGCAAATTAAACCCACTTTGCTTCCACTGGGCAAGTCCAGGAAGGGAAGCAGTTAATTATATGTAAGTGAAGTGCCTGCTTAATTACGTGGGCCACTGTAAGTTCTGGCCTGGTGGGAGCTGTGCTTTCTGAGATCTCTGGAGGCTCCCTGGTCTCTGTCGTCCTCATCTCATTTGGCATCTCCACAGCAGTTGACCCCACCAGTAGACCTCCTTCTAACCACCTGGGTTTCTTCCTCTCTGTTACACCTTTTGCTCTTTGTTATTATTATTTTCTTTCTTTCCAAGATGGAGTATCATTGTGTCACCCAGGCTGGAGTGCAGTGGCATGATCTTGGCTCACTGCAACTTCTGCCTCCCGGGTTCAAGCAATTTTCCCAGCCTCAGCCTCCCGAGTAGCTGGGATTACAGGCTCCCACCACCACGCCTGGCTAATTTGTGTGTGTGTGTGTGTTTTTTTTTTTTTTTTTTTTTTTTAGTAGTGATGGGGTTTTGCCATATTGGCCAGGCTGGTCTCAAACTCCCGACCTCAGGTGATCTGCCCGCCTTGGCCTCCGAAAGTGCTGGAATTAGAGGCGTGAGCCACTGTACCTGGCCTGCTTTTTGTTACTGTCACTTGTTTTCCCTGTTCGTGTCCCTAAATGCAGATGTTCTCTAAGGGTTTGTCTTCAGTCTTCTCACTTAGTGAATCTTGTCTGTTGTCCTGCTTTGAGCTGTTACTGTATTCTTTTGTGGAGCTTGTCTTCTCTCTCCAGCCCCAGGTGGTTTCTGACTACCAGTTGGACTGGTCCTGGTTGCTAAGGGAGATCTGAAACTCACTTCTCCTTCCCTTGGTTGTCTTTCTGGCTTCCCCCTTTCCCCATCTTGATTTCCATCTTTTGTTCTTGGCCTTCCCTCCCCTCTTCCATCTCCTTGACTCCCGTCCAGGAGTTGATGAAACTTCTGCTGTGTTCCTGGTGTCCATCCTTCCCTTCCCTCTGCAGCTGCCGTAGCCCTCGTAGCTCTTACCCGAATGCTCATCCCTTCCTACTAGGATCTGTTATAGGATTGACCTCCGGTCAGCTCCTCCCTTAGCCCTCCATCTGAGCACAGTCAGGCGGTGGGGAGAGCAGAGCCTGTTGGATCCACCTTGAGGAGCATTTGAGCAAGGCAGAACATGTCTAAAGGGCCGAGCACAGAGCCTGGCAGGCACCGGGCATTAAGAAACAGAACAGCTGCTTCTGCTGCTATGATGACTCCTTTTGTAGTCAGGTGTGTTCTCCCCAGGGAGGACAGTGTGCCAACTGCTTTTCATACAGATACTGCATTTAATCCACAGACCTCCCTGGGAAGCTGCAGTTTTGCAAGTGATGAAACTGACGTTCAGGAAGGTGTAATGACTTGCCCAAGGCCCCACATCTGGGAAGTACCAAGCTGGGATGTTCCAAATCCAGGGCCACCACTTCTCAGCCTCTTACCCCGCCGGGTCTCTTTCCTACCTGCTATGCTGCAGGGCACAGGAACTGAACTGACACTCTCATTATCCACTGTTCTGCCCTTTCTGCCCACTGGTCCATGCTGTTCCTGCCTATCTGTGCTCTCACCATTTTTCTAGCCTCTACCGTGGCTCACATCCAGTTATGCTACTTCTTCCATGAAGTCTTACTGGATTTTCTTTCCCTCCGTGTGCCATATTGCTTTGTATCCCTTAGAGCACTGACCCTCACCAGGGTTATTCGTGGACCTGTCTGCCTCCCTGTTAGATTATAAACTCCTTAAGAAGGGGAGACCTCATACTTGAATGGTGCTTTCTAGCTTCCCTGGCTCTGACTTTTCGTCCTCATGTATTGTTCCTTTCCTCTGATTTCAAGCATCCAACACCCCACCTGACTGTATACAGTGAGCACGGGGGGTGTTGTTTGCTGGGTGCAGTTGAAATGGGGTGCTTGTCTGGCTGTCTGGTTCAACAGGCCATTGCTCTCTGGTCTGTTTCTTCCATGTCACATGGACTTCAAAATAAGTTTATCCACCTATGTTAGCTTCTCCTCTGATGTGTTATTTGCTTATGGTCCTGATCATGGTAGATGACCAAGGCCTATAGCATAGCACCCAGTATTGATTTTGAAGATGAATGAACCAGTGCCAGAGAGCAATCAGCAGTGCCAGGGTTTCTAACTCAGAATGCAGTGGAGCAGTGTGGAGTGGAGATTGGCATCATACAGACCCACATGGAAAACAGTACTTACACACTTTGGA
The DNA here is from genome assembly GCF_000001405.40 of Homo sapiens. NCBI lineage: Eukaryota > Metazoa > Chordata > Mammalia > Primates > Hominidae > Homo > Homo sapiens. The sequence continues at coordinate 21,913,877 of NC_000007.14, read as the reverse complement.
GTAAGGAAACTAAAGCACAGGCCTCAGTTCAGGACAATGGTAAGTTGTTTTTCTCTATCAGGACTGACCATCAAAGATGGTAATCTCTCCCAAGATGCCCATTGCCCTGGGAGGCCAGCACACAGGATCAAAATAGCCAGAAAAACTGGAAGATGGGAACTCATAGCTTCAAGGCTTGCCCTGTTCCCTTCAGGCCCTAGGCAGGGGCTTTAGGTAGTTGATGAAATTTGCACACAGAAATACCACTCTAAATTAGCCTGCAGGGGCTGGCCCAAGGCTCTGTGAGCCAGATGTTTCTTGCACTGAGAGGCCTCAGGTGCATGGTGGGTTTCCTTAGCAGCAGCTGTGTACCATTCTTCCTTAATAATCAAGCCCTGGCTGCTTCTCTACCCCGACCCCACAGGCTCATGATCCATTTTAACCAATAGAGAGAAGCTGCATGAACTTGCACACAGTATGTGTATGCTAACTCTGGTCTCCCTTAAACACGATTTGAATTTCACTTTAAAGAAACTTCCCTTTTGTGTGTGCAATTTTTTTTCTCAAGCAGCTGCACTACAGCTATCAACAAAGGAACAAAGTAATTCAGCTCTGAGCAAACTCACTCCAATTACCCATAATAATTCATAGGAGACATTTTTAAGCTTACAGAATGCTAGATGTAGGCATTTCTTTCTGTGTGCCCCTGTAAGTTTTTCCACTTGTCTATTATATCTATCTTTCCCCAGAGATATATGAGCTCAAAGAAGTATATAATTAAAGGCGGGGAAACGCAGTGGGGTAGATACAGATTCCCCGCCAAGTGTGGTGTTACAAGGGGTCATTGCTATATCAGAGATGGGGGGAAGAGACGTCAGAGGAAACTGGGGACAGACTCTAGTCTTGATGAGGTGTGGCGGGCTTGCAGGGGGCTGGTCTCGTGGGTCTCCCTTTGGCCTGCAGTTTGTTATTTCCTCTTTCTTTCAAGTATACTATTAAGAGAGTTGGGTTTCCATCTTTGCACTATTTCAAAAGAAAAAGTATTAGAAAATGCCTTTTCTTAAAGAGTCACATTGCATCTTTCCTTCTGCTCACTTGCCACCTAGCCATGGTTGTTCACCTCTCACCTCCTGCACGAGAGAAATTCCTGGGGGTGACCTTGAATGAGCTTTCCATCAGGCCCCCATGGTGTCTGCTCATGGAGCAAGTCTAGGCTCTCTGGTGGTGGGCGGTGGGGGCTGAGAGAGGCCCCAGCCTTTTCCTACAGAGAAGCTCGCTGTTGGTGAATGGGAGGCATGCTCACCCACTTGGAGGAGACTCCGGCTTTGAAAGGCTGTTGGAAAGGGAAGCCAACACGTGGGAGGGAGCCAGGTTTTCTCCTCATATCTTCTTTCCATGTGTTTTGGTTCTATGTGAAAGCAGACGTGTCTGGTTGCCAGCTTTGGCAGGAGAAGCTGAATTCCATGAGCACTTACCAGTCACATTAGAAGCTGATTGAGACTACACCCAATTTTTAAAAATTGTCTGTCTTGTAGGTCTGAATTTTGTAAGCTTTAGAAAATGTGTATATATGTAATATATACGTGTACGTATGCGGGTTTTTTTGAGAGAGGGTCTCACTCTGTCACCCGGCTGGAGTGCAATGGTGTGATCTTGGCTGCAACGCAGGCTGGAGTGCATTGGTGTGCAGCTCACTGCAGCCTCGACCTCCCAGGGTTGGGTAATCCTCCCACCTTAGCCTCCCAAGTAGCTGGGACTACAGGTACATGCCACCAGACCCAGCTAATTTTTGTATTTTTTGCAGAGATGAGGTCTCACTATGTTGCTCAGGCTGGTCTTGAACTCCTGAGTTCAAGTGATCTGCCTGCCTCGGTCTCCCAAAGTGCTGGGATTACAGGGTGAGCCACTGTACCCGGCCAGTGTTTTTTTTTTTTTGTGGTAAAATACACATAACATGAAGTATATCATTTCAGCTGTTTTTGATGTGTACAGTTCAGTGCATTAAGTACATTCACATTGTTGTCCATCCATTTTCGTCATCTCCATCAGAAGCTCTGTACCCGTTCAGTAGCTCCTCATTCTACCCTTCCCTGGTAACCTCTATTCTACTTTCCGTCTCTGATGTATGTGTGTCTTTAATTTAGCAGGATGTGCGCTTTCATTCCAAATACTTCACAGAAGAGCTAAGAAGAATTTTTATAGAGGACACTGACTCAGAGACTGAGGATTTTGCAGGATTTACGCAGAGTGATCTGAATGGAAAGACTAACCCAGAAGTAATGGTAATAATTACAACAGGAAGGGATGTGGGTGGTAACGTTTTTAATCCTGTTTCTGAAAGAGTTTTACTTGTAAGCAGTCACTTCACAAGTGAAAAGATTTTTCTTACATATTTATCTTACAAGCAATTAACATAACCTAAAAAAATTGCTCCTGGAAGGCTAATCCCTGGTCCACCAGTCCATTATTCTCTTAGAGAAAATCCATTCATCTTCTCCTCGTGCCTTAGGGGGTTTTTGGGGATGTGTCCCAGGCGTCCTTTATTGTCCTTCTCAAAGAATTTATCTCTCTTGGCCAGGCACGGTGGCTCATACCTGTAATCCCAGCACTTTGGGAGGCCGAGGCGGGTGGACCTGAGGTCAGGAGTTCAAGACCAGCCTCACCGATATGGTGAAACCCCATCTCTCCTCAAAATACAAAAATTAGCCGGGCGTGGTGGCGGGCACCTGTAATCCAAGCTACTCGGGAGGCGGAGGCAGGAGGATTTCTTGAAGCCGGGAGGCAGAGGTTGCAGTGAGCTGAGATTGAGCCACTGCACTCCAGCCTGGGTGACAGAGCGAGACTCCATCTCAAAAAAAAAAAAAAAAAAAAAAAAAAAAAAAAAAAAAAAAATTATCTCAAGAGTTCCTTAAACCTCTTTTATCTAAAAGTTTATCTTAGATGACAACTTTCTTGAGATACTTTCTTACTGTGTGTGAAGTGACAGTTTTTGGTTTGAAGTTAATTTGGCAAAAATTTGGCTGTGGTACAAACTTGGTGTTCCCCATGCATTGTGGATTTGGATTTGTCATGCTTTTTAGTGTTAAAGATGACCCAGGCCTGCCTGGATTCTGGAGGGAAGTCTACTCTCAGCACTTCCTATGAACAGACTTGTTAGTTATTTGTTTGTTTTATCCTGCACAGTTAGGCTAGTTTACTGCCCACTCGTGTTTGAACCTGAAGGTAACTTTAAGGCACAGCCTTCGGATTTAAGTGCAGAAATGTTTTCTGCTAAAAATAGCATACATTTATGCAAAAAATAAACATGCTACTATCTTCTTCAGTATGAAGATGGAACGTAGAGTTTACGCCTCTTCACAGCCAGAAGCTGCTAAAGACTAACTTTTGGCAGAGACTGTGTAGAGGTATAAATAAGCCGTGACTCCTAGCCTGCCATGTCCCTCACTTGTCCTAGGAGAGAATGTAGAGCATAAAAGCCCGCATGGTAGGCTGCTTCGTTTGATAGTGATTTTTTGCTATGAGTAGCAACATAGAGCTGTGCCAGCCTGGAGGCCCCAGGTCTCCTTTGGCTTTCTTTGCAGAAGCTGTTTGTGTGGCAGTTCCATCAGTTCTGGCCAGCAAGTCCCTAGCTTCTTGCCAGCACGATATTAAGATGCTTCTAAAACCCTAATGGGCATCATCAGTTAGCAATGTACTTATTTTCTGTTCTTTAGTGAAGTGATGTCTGGTTATTCGAAGCATTTGCATTTCTAGTGAGAGAAAGTGAATTACCCCAGAAGTCTTCCCTCCCACCTGCCCCCAAGTCTATGGACTGTGTGATGTAGTTACATAGATCATGATATAGCTTACAGTTCAGCACAGGCCCTTGCAAATTTTATTTTAGAATCCAGTGAGAAGAAAAGCATTGTTGCCTCCCAGCCCACCCTCCTGCCCACCCCTGTGGGAACTGGCGAACCTATCTTTCTTGATAATGGGACATTGCTGTAACTTGGTTTCCAGGGGTCTGCTGGCCGGATGCGAAATAACCACATCCATGTACTACACTTGTGCTCTTCTCTTGGGTCTGATTCTGGGCTGCTGTGTACCATTTGTTCTTTCCTTCCTTCAGGCCTCTGTAGTGAGCTGTTCCACATCTGGTAAAGAGAGGCCTGTCGATGATGAGGATGGTAGATAAATGGATCAAAACTGAAGTTCTTCCCTGACAGTGTCCCCTGAAATTGGGTTCCTTTGCAGTACACCATTTTGAATTCTGAAGCTATTAATATGGGAAGTTCAGGGTATTAAAAAATAGATAAATCAGTGCCATATAGTCTTACTCCTCACTTGGCTTGGTGTGGATATACCAGGGTTGGCAGTTATCTGCGTTTTTTTTCTCCCTGTGTCTTATTTCTAACTTTAGTCCAACGAGAGTTTGGGGTTGATGGTCGTCACCGGGGAGGAAGCAGAGTCCCTGAACTGATCCTGGGTCCGTATCGGTGCCATTCCGTGTTCTTGGTAGATTTTCAGAATTCCCAGATAATGGTTCCCAAAGTTTTCTAGCTTCTGGTCATGGAAGGATGCCCAGAAGACGTCCTAGATCTTACATACTTAAACCTGTCTCTGTACCACTGCTAAGAGTCCCGTCACATCCAAGCTGTCACCTAGGTGATGTATCCCTGTTACTGCCTTCCATATTTACTGTGTTCTCACTTGTAAAACAGAGCAATGTTTGAATGCTGGAGACCTCTGCCATGTGGAATTTGAAAATGTCGGGTGAGGATTTCTTGAGTTGACTGAGTGGTGTTTTGCTACAACCTGTAGAGCTTTGTGACCTGGTTTCACCTCATGGCTCTGAGGGTTCCAGAGAAGGGAAAGGTGCCCCTTGACTGAGGACGCAGTGGCAGGTCATCTGCCTGTCCTGGGTCACTGCCCTGAGGTGCAGTCAGCTCTCCCGCCCTGTTATTCAGGAGTCTGGTTCCTGCTATTTAGAGGAGACCAGTCAGCATTTTTCCCCCGTTGCGTCCTTTCCTGTCTGAAGATCACATCTGTCATGCTGCTGTCTCTCCTTTTCTGTGACTGTCTCTCCTCTTGCTGGTGCTCCCTGGTTGTCCCACGGTGGAGGAACCCACCCTGTCAGTGTTTTGCTTACAGCCCTCATGCTCTGAATGGAACCCATTTCTGTCGCGGGTATGATGGTGCACAGTTCAGTAGTAGGTTGCCTGCTCTCTGATTTTATTCATCAACCAATTTCTTGCACATTTAAAGGAAATTCAGAGGGAACTCATAATATGAAGGGGAAGCTTTTCATTTTTCATGTTTTTTCTCATAATGCTGTCAGTTGTTTTAAATGCATGTCTTTTTTGTGGGTCTGTAACAGTGTCTTTGTGCTTTTTCTTGCTCTTATTTTATTAGGTCGTGGAGTCAGATTTGAGTGATGATGGCAAAGCATCTTTGGTGAGCGAGGAAGAGGAAGATGAAGAAGAAGATAAGGCTACCCCTAGAAGAAGCAGGTCTAGAAGAAGTAGTATTGGTCTTCGAGTAGCCTTTCAGTTCCCCACCAAGAAGCTGGCCAACAAACCAGATAAAAACAGTTCTTCCGAGCAGTTGTTTTCTAGCGCACGCTTACAGAATGAGAAAAAAACAATTCTTGAAAGAAAGAAAGACTGTAGACAGGTGATACAAAGGGAAGATTCTACCTCTGAGTCTGAGGATGACTCTCGGGATGAGAGCCAGGAGAGTTCAGATGCTTTGCTGAAAAGGACCATGAACATCAAGGAGAACAAAGCCATGGTGAGGCTTCACGGAGGGCGTCCTGGGAGTTGGCACCAGGCTCTGGCAGCAGTTGCTGGGCTCCCAGAACCACTTTGCTCCTACAGCTGCTGCTGTTGCTTTGGCTTCTGTCAAGAAAATATACTCTGGGTATTGTGTATCCTTTTACTTTTCCAGAACCCAGAGCAACTATTACATGATCAGCTCTGGTTTGGGAACAGAAAGAGATTCCCCAGCACCATTTTTAGCCCCTACATGGTGCCATAATGCTGCTTACTGTTGACCAAGCTAAGTTCTAAGTATATAGTTGTGTTGGGGATGAGAGGGGCTGAACAACTAGCCCGTTCCCAGCAGAGTAAAGCAGGGGAAGTGGGATGTCACCAAGTCCACTGAGAAGTTGCAAGGAGCAGGTTGGGCAGGTAGCTTTTCACCACAGAACCACTCTTCTATGGTGACCAGCACTGGTTCTGAGACTTCTGAAGGAATGGAAGAGGTCTAGGAATTAAAACAACCTCAACAGTGTTAATTCACTCTACATTGTCTTCATTAGAACAATGAATGGAACCAGGTGAAATCTTTGTTACATATATTTGGTTTTTCTGTATATAATCAATTACTGTTAATCTGATCATTGTAGAGAATCATTGTTTGCTTCATAATTGTTTATCTACAGTTTTTTTTTAAATAGTTCTACCACTTATCCCTTTTAGCATTTTGGTAATTTTTTAATCTTTTCCTTTTAAAAAAAGAATGATGCAGTGATACTGTATATGCAAGCTTATATGTCTAATATAAATTACTTACAAAAATGGAATGCCTACTTTCGGATTATTTTTATCCTAAGAAACATTTTTACTTAGCTAAGGGAAATTTTCAGCACTGTATCCATCTGCATCTTTAAAATAAGCTATTTTCTTTATGATTTTTTTGGTGGCACTCATATAATTGTATAAACTAAAACGAATCCTAATTAAATTCTCTGGCATATTAATGCCTATTATTTGGTATTATTAGTTCACGTAGGAATATCTTCATAGATTACTTTGATTGATGAGAAATTAATCTATTTAAAGAATCAGACTTTTGGAGTTCTAAATAACCATCGAAATAATCTAGTTGAGCTTTTTCTTTTTTGAACATCCTGAAACTTGAGACTCACGTGTGCAAAATGAATTGTCCCAGGGTCACACCGCCTTGGATTAGCCTCCGAGTCGGGATCGGAACCTCATGCTCCAGGTCTTGATCATTCCAGGACTGTTTTCATAGTGTTGTGTTGTCCTTATATATAAGGAATAGGCTAGTGTTCATTCATATGAATGATGACATCAGCATCTCAGGTCTGGAGGTACAATCTTTACATGTGAGGTTAAAAGTATAACTGTTGTGGGTTATATAAACTATTCAAGTTAGGTTTCTTATGGTGGCAAAATGGAAGACTTGAGATAGGTGTTGGATGACCTAAACCTGGAGCCCTATTTTTGTAAGATTCTTTCTTTTGTTCTGAACTTCAGCTTGCCCAGTTATTGGCGGAATTGAACTCGATGCCAGATTTCTTCCCAGTACGAACCCCAACCTCAGCTTCTGTAAGTAGAACTCCTTATAATTATACCAATACTGATATATGGTGATCAGCCACCAGACGGCTTTTATTCGAGAGAGTCCCCAGTTGTCTCTGTCTGTGCTCTTGATTTCAGAGGAAGAAGACAGTGAGGCGGGCCTTCTCGGAGGGACAGATCACGCGGCGTATGAACCCAACCCGGAGTGCGCGGCCTCCTGAGAAGTTTGCTCTAGAGAACTTCACTGTCTCAGCCGCTAAATTTGCGGAAGAGTTTTACAGCTTCCGAAGAAGGAAGACAATTGGGGTATTTTCTGACTAATACATGAATTAGTTTTTGTCTGAGCTACCATCCCTCCAAACGTGAACGCACGTCACTGTCACCCCAGGGCTGGTTCTGACCCCGTGGGTCTGCGGCAGCTGAGAACTTGCATTTCTCTCTGCTTCCCAGGTGATGCCATTGCTCCTGAGATCACACTTTGAGAAGCAGCCCTGGTCTAAGCTGGAGGTCACAGAGAGAGTCTTTTATCCAAGCCGAGCTGAGAAGCAGCTCATTTGTTAGGACCCTGCTTTAATCTCTGCTGCAGGCAATAAAGAAAAGTGCAGTGATTCCTCCTTGCCTTTCTGTTTTAGGCATGAGGCGTTTCAAGCGCTTTCAGTTTGGAGGGAGCAACTGTGGACCCATTTGTGGGTTTGGCTGTTCAGTGTGGTTCACCTCTCCACAGAGTTTACAGCAAAGAACCAAAAACCTTGAGTTCCTCCTTTATGATTGTATCGCCTTGCTGAGAAGGAAGCTTGGCAGGTGGCAGGAGCTCAGTAAATAACTAAATGAAATGGCTGCAGGGAAATAGAAGAGGGACGGGGTTAACATTAATGGTGCTAGATCTTTGAGAGTTTAAAATATTTATAATTTTTTTATAACTGCTCAACACATCTCCATGTTCTGCTTGTGTTCATTGTGCAGGGGAAATGCCGGGAGTACAGACGACGTCACCGTATATCTTCTTTTCGGCCAGTGGAGGATATCACCGAAGAGGACTTAGAAAATGTTGCCATAACTGTTCGAGATAAAATCTATGATAAAGTTCTGGTAAAGTATACATTAATTGTCATTCTTATTGGGAGTCGAAGGCATTGGTATTGAAATCTCACTTGTTTTTAAACTCTATCAGGGCTTATGCCATCTCACCAAGGGCTCAGAGCCAGGCTCTGAATTGGAGGGTCAAAAGTCAGCTGTACCTGGGAAAGGGGAGGCAGCCTAGTGCAGTAATTCCCATCTGGACGGCGGTCTCTCTTAGGGATGCGTAGAATCTGGGGGAAGGGAACGGTATAGTTTAAAAGGGATTTTTATATGTAACTGTTAATGGTTTAAGCATATAGTTTTATGTTCTAAATATTGAAAAAAGTATATTTGGGGGGTAATATAACCATAGAAATTAAAGTTTGGCAGAATATCTTTGGTAGGAAATGGGTTAAATTTCTTCTAAATGGTGATTTAGAGGGAGGCTTTGCGTTCTGCATTTTTTTTGTGTTTTTCTGGATATGTAACGGGACACTGTCAAGTTTTAAATTTAGTTGCCAATATTTAAAAAAAAATAGATCTCACATTGAAGGTATCCAGGTCTGCAGAGCTAGGCTGGGGCCGAGGTGATGCCACCCAAGGCTCATTGCCCCTCAGTCACCTGTCACCTTTCAGGGGCTCTGCCACCCCTGCCTCAAGCTTTTCTCTGGTCTCTCTTCCTGACAGCCTGATCATTTCATTCCTTCTGGGTCTCTGCTCAGCCTCATCTGACCTAATATGTTTCTCTGGCCACAGACCTGTGATGGTTACATTCTAGAGCAGTGGTCCCCAACCTTTTTGGCACCAGGGACTGGTTTTGTGAAAGACAGTTTTTCCATGGATTTGGGGGGCAGGAAGGGGATGGTTTCAGGATGAAACTGTTCCACCTCAGATCATCGGGCATTAGATTCTTATAAAGGGTGCACAACCTAGATCCCTCACATGTGCAATTCACAATAGAGGGTTTGTGCTCCTATGAGAATCTAATGCTGCTGCTGATCTGACAGGAGGCAGAGCTCAGGCGGTAATGCTCGCCCGTCCGCTGCTCACTTCCTGCTGTGCAGCCCGGTTCCAAACAGGCCACAGACTGGTTCTAGCCTGGGGGCTGGGGACCCCGGTCTAGAGACAATGCTGTGGTTCTTAGGAAAACAGTCCTGCTTGATTCGAGGAGACGGGGGTATTTCTTCATATACTTGGAAATGCACATGGTGGCATCTGGCCTCATTGGGCATCAGCATATCCCTGTGTTCACCTGCTCACTGCCTTCCCCCTGTAGGGTAACACGTGCCATCAGTGTCGACAAAAGACCATCGACACCAAGACAGTGTGTCGGAACCAGGGTTGCTGTGGTGTGCGAGGACAGTTCTGTGGACCATGCCTGCGGAACCGCTATGGGGAGGATGTCAGATCGGCATTGCTGGACCCGGTAGGAACAGTGTTTGCATTTGTTGTAAATTGTATTGGTGAAGGAAGCAAGCTATAAAGATGGGCCTCCTGGGTTCTCACTGGGAACTAGGGAGCTCCAGAACTCTGGTTTTTCCCTTCCATTTGTATCTTAAGGCTCCAGGGAAAATGAAAAATAGGGATTCCTTCTGGAAGGAGAGCAAGCTGACCAGTGAATAGAAGAATTAATGTTGTTAGATTTTCCATTGTCAGAGCAAAACTTGCTTACAGTCCTCTAGTTTTATGCAAGTAATCCCTGTACCTGTCCTTCAGCAAAGTGATTTCCCTCTGATTTGTTTTGTTTTTCCTGGGCCAGGCTGAGAGGGAGGTGGAGATTGCAGTATAGAGTGCTCTCTGTGTGCCTGGCACTGTGCAAGCTGTCGCTCACTCTGTTACCATAAATTTGTTTAATCCCATGAAATAGGTGTATAACCTCTCTCAGCTCCCTCGGTAAAATGAGACATAGTATCATGGTGAGTAGGCACGACCTTGAGCCTGGGGCAGTCCTGCTCCCGAGTGTGACCTCTTAGGCAGCAGTCATGGGGTAAATATATGGTCCTCAACTGACAGACAAACAAACTGCTGCTCAGGTTAGTCATTCAACAATAAGCACACATTGAAAGGGCTGAAATTCATACCTTGATATTTTGGAAACCTTGTGCTCCTAAACCAGGGCTGACATCCTGGGCCTGTGACCTGCATGCTCGCACAGGGCCCTGTGCTTGGCCAAATGCTTGTGAAAATCTCCATAATTTTTAAGCAAGGAGCCCTAAAAGGTGTCATTTTTCAGTGTTTGCATGTGACGTGGGGTGATTCAGCCTTCCTGCCTTGTGAGGAGCCCCCTGGGACGTAGACTGAAAGATGCCATGTGATTAAAGGTTGGAGGAGAGGCCAGCTGAGCCATTCTGGATCCGAATCCCAGTTCTTGCCAGACCCTGTAGATAATGAGCGAAGTGTCTGCTGTCATCTCTCTGTTAGGATTGGGTGTGTCCCCCCTGTCGTGGGATCTGCAATTGCAGCTACTGTCGGAAGCGTGACGGCCGCTGTGCCACAGGAATCCTCATTCATCTGGCCAAGTTTTATGGTTATGACAATGTTAAGGAATATCTGGAGAGGTAAGTAAGTCTCTAGCAGCTTACAAAACAGCTTGAAATCTTGAGGCTGAGCACAGGAGACCCTCTGGGCAAGTAGTTGTTGCCTTCCCGTGTGACTTACTTACTTATATAAACCACGAGTACCATCCATTCTGTATCTGTTTGCATTGGAAAAGCTCAGGCCTGATATTTTCCCTATTAGGGAATCTTCTCCTTTGCTAGATTTTTCAACTCAACTCCACGTTGCCTTTAACCAAAATTTCTCCTTGAGGTGTATGACAGAAATGGAAGGAACAAACAAACAAGGCAGGCTGAGGGGAAAGACACAGATTATGAAGAGGCAGCCATAATCCTAGTGCAGAGAGAGAGTTCAGGGCAAGAGGACAGAATGTGAGTTACAAGTTTCATTTATGTAATTAATAAACTCTGAATCGTGGTTCTGGAATGCGGGAGTGAGGCAAGTCATGCTTGGGGCGTACTACACCAGAGGGTATACGGATATTGATGCATAAATTGTCAGGATTTCGAGTGTCAGGAGATCTGGGTTCTGGCTTTGTACTCTTAGATGATTGTGGAATCTCTCAAGCCTAGAATGCCATTTGTGTATTTGTACTACTTTACCAAATACTTCTCATCTTTTTCCCAGCTTACAAAAGGAGCTGGTAGAAGACAATTAAGAGGAAAACAAACAGAACCAGCCACCTCACCATAGAGTACTCCAACAAGACATGCATACCATTGGTGCCTAAGAAAGATTTTTTTACAGTTGTGTTTTTATACAGAAATTCTTTGTAGAAATTACTATTTTTTGTTAAAGATTGTTTATATGCTTACAAAGATTTCTCAGGAAGACAGCAGAGCAGAGGAATCTATATAGATGTATGCACAGACCTGTCTGTATGCTGAACTTTGTTAAAAATATCTGCCAGTTATTAAAAAGCACAGTTTAAATGGGGTGGGGTTAAAGTTCAGGTAAGTAAGTTAGAGAGAAAACATTGTATGATCAGCTCCTGCACTTGATCTATCTATCTTTGGCTTCCCAAACAGTAACTCACTCCAGGCCAAGTGTGCCTTAGCACGAGTGACCACAGTTTAATAGACCACACACATCGTTTAACCTGCTCTTGGTCATTGGAAATTTACACTGAACAAAGTGCAATTAACTGTAGAACAGTTTTATTTTTATTAAAACTTGACTGAACAAAAGGGGACCATCAACATTGTAGACACTGGACACTGGAGGCCTTACAGAGTGCTAGCCTCTTCCTTCAGGACTCACCTGGGGCCTGCTGCTTTTATATTTTGAAAGAGTTTAAGGGCTAATAATTTAATTTGTTGTTTGTTAAAAATTAAAATCTCCGTTCTTTCCGGCTGCATTGCTTTTGCATGTTCACATATGATGTACTTTTATGATGTACTTTTTTTTTTTTGAGATGGAGTCTTGTTCTGTTGCCCAGGAGGGAGTGCAGTGGTGCAACCTCGGCTCACTGCAACCTTTGCCTCCTAGGTTCAAGTGATTCTCCTACCTCCTGAGTAACTGGGATTACAGTCGTGTGCCACCACGCTCAGCCCTGAGTTAGTTTCTAGTATTTTTTTCTGACTTTCACTCTAAGGATAGCGTTGAAAAAAGAATGCACGTGTGAGTTACTAAAAAGTTAGAATAATGTGCATGGGAACAGTGCAGCAACATGCTAGAAAATCCTCACTGCACTCCAGCAGAGGCTAGAGGAATGCCAGTGTTACCTTACGCTTCTAGAAGCAGAGCCACTCCAGCCAGAACCCATTTTGCAGTCTTCTCTTCGCTCTTCAGCCTGAAGGTCCAGATGTAGCTGGGGCCTCTCAGTTTGGTTCTATACACAGGGCACTCGTAGGTCTGTTTGGTTTCTTGTCTGTCCACGGGGGTGGCTTTTGCAAAGATGACCGGCATAGGGCATGCCAGCTCCTTGAGACGGGCTTCAACAATGGTTCCTGCTTGGGTGTCCCAGCGGGCGCCTATGGCAAAAACACAGCGGTTGCAATTGTGTGGCAGCTTGCTACTAATGATAATGATCAAGTAAGTTGTTTGATGCAATAAACATTCAACATTCTGGTTTTGTCATATTTTTGCTTGTCAGTGGTATTTTTACTGAGCTGGCCGGACTGAGCTTTGAAAGGTAGGTTACCCTGCCTGCAGCGGAGGCACCGCTTTGCTTCCATGCGTAGTGGTTAAACTTTCCTGTGGAAGTAAGCTGATTTTATGAAATGGGATTCTAAGAGAATTCACATACACTGAACTAGTTTGCCCTCCCTTTAAAAATCTCCAGTTCACCACATTTCCTCCCCGTCGCACCTTATTCTTTTACACCAGAACTTGTGGCACTTGCTTTAAACTGAAAAAGGAACATCTTGGTAGGGACTAAGTGTCCTGTGGAATAAATGCATGGCCAGATAAATTTGGAAAATATTGCATAGTCTAACCCCCTCTTAGAGATTCACCCTACGCAGTAGCATCTTCCAGGCTTGGAGAAGTCTTGTAGTAAAACATTAGAGCAAATTTACTGACAGTTTTTAAACAATAGAAGAAAGATTTTGAAATGATTATATTGAAAAGCAAAAAGAATGTAAATTCAGTCTAAGTCTAATGATGTTATTCAGTGGCATTAACATCCAGATATATGTGCAAAATTTAAGTGATAGCCATCACCCCAAATATTACAGTTTGGTTCACAGTGGACACACATCCCAGCACTTAAATTATTTAAGAGGAAGAAATGAGATAATGACTAGCATAAGGTTACTGTGTGAGTGAGGAGATGCTGAGAAACAGTAAGCAGAGGACAAACACTGATCTGAACCTGAGTAAGAAAAGGTTCCCCACTTACCCCTTGGGGTGTCTTACCCTCCATGAAGAGTCCGTGGAGGTATGCACCTTCCCTTGGCGGGTGTCCATAATCTTCCTTTGTTTTTTTGGTAACATCAGCAGTCAAGCGCGTTTTATCCAGGGGCCACTCATTTTTTCGAGCCATCGTCTGCATGATTGCTTTGGAAATATAACAAAAATTGAATAGGATAAAAGTGTTGCATGTAAGGTTCCCGGGAGCTACCAGTAAATTGAGGCATCCTTTAGTCCCATAGGGTGTTTTAGGTTCTTGGGCATTGGCACATGGCTGCGCTGGAGCAGGGGGTTGGCCAACTAAGGCCTGCAGGACAAGCTCGCTGTTTCTGTAGATAGTTTTATTGGAATAGTCACAGCCATTTGTGGATTGTCTGTGGTTTTCGCACTACAGTAGCAGAGAAGCTATGTGGCCCTTTCCAGAAAATGTTTAATAAGAGCACACCGTGCCCCACCTCACTTGGCTACTCTTGCTGCTATAGGAGGTCCTTTCCCTCCTGCTGCTACTCGCCTGCCCAGGACTCTGTTTCCTCTATAGCTGCTGGTCCTTTCTATAATGGCTGCTGCTTGAGGATTGGTGAGCAGGGCAAGGAGACGCCATCATAGGTAAACAAAGCAGGGCTTCTGGTTAGGCTGTGGTCCTGTGTGCATCAGGGGCTGCACTGCGTCAGCCCTTACCAGTTAAGAAGGACTGAGGGTTGAAGAAGCCGGAGAGCCACACGACAGCCGGAAGGGTAAGGTCTTGTGTCCAAGTATCGAGTTCTCGGCATCGCAGGAGGAGGTCATTGAACCTGGTTTATGGGAGGGAGGAAGAAAAACTTGCTGTTCAGTAAAATAGCCATTTTCCAGTATGTTCTGTTGTGGGCGGTTAGGGCAGGGTGGTGGTGGAGGAGAAGTATACCACTGCTAGCTGGTAAAATCCTTCCCTGACAATTTGCAGGGCACTGTCCCTTTAAAGGGCTAGTTTGTTTCCCATTGGAGACTTGATGACTGTAGCGTTTACATTAGAGCAAGATACACTGAGGAATGTGGAAAACTCATTTCCATTTATGCAACAGCTTTTATTAGAGCCTCTTCATGCTATGTGGTGACTATACAAAGGTCATCACCCTATGACTTGGACTGACAAGCGCCAACTTGGAGGTATGGACAGGGTGTCTGAGGACCAGGGATGGCAAGGCTGTGATGGTGGTTACAAGACCAGAGTTGCCGGGAAATCTGATTGATAAGCAGAGGGAACAGCATGTGCGGAGGCAGTGGAGCACGTGACGGCAGTCTAAGCACGTGCAGTAGCTGCCTGAAAGTGGGGAGGAAAAAGGTTAATTAGGAAAACAAGTCAGCCAGGAATGGCACGCCGGTGGGTTGAGAAACGCTGCTGTTACGTACATGTTCTCTTCTCGGCTCCTCACAATTGGGCAAGGTAGGAAGTATTTGCAGTTGACCTATAAGGAAGCTGGCTCACAGAGGCTAGGGACAGATGAACCTCTTCGATAAAATTAAGAGAGAAGTGAAACCTTGAATTGTAAGTTTCAGAGGCTGCTTAAAGGGGACCAGGAGAATGGAGTAGAGAGCATAGCCTCAGTGTAAAAGCCAGAGTTCTCTAGAAGGAAAGGCTGGCACTGAAGTTTTCTAGGACCTTGTCTGCTTCAGATATGCAAAGGAAGTGGGGGTGAATGAGGAAACACCCTGACAAACCACATGGCAGAACATGTCTGCCTGAGATACTTGCCTGACTCTGGGCCGTGAAGAAGAAAAGGCTCAGAATGCTCACGGTCAAACTTACGTCACCACAAGGAAAATCTCTGTGCCCGGACCTATATTAAGTTCTTCCAGATAGCTGGATCCGAAAAAGCATACTCGACGATAAGAAGAAGAAACAGCATAGGCACCACACAAAGGAAAAAGGCGAATGAGAAAAGCAAAGGCAGGAAGACATTTCTCTCAAAATGTTGCCATCATGAGGATAAACACTGCAGACAATTTGTAACAACTAAAACAAGTGATTGTTGATATAAACAAGATCATGACTTAGAAGGGATCAGGTAGGAAATAGTAAGGAAATTAAGTTTGAAGACCCCAAATAAGAAGTAGAAAATAAAATTATAGAAATGAAAGCAAAAGTGAAACAGCGTAAGGGAGAATAATAAAAACAAATGGAAATAAAGAGGTAAAGGGTTAGAGTGAAAGCAATAAAATGAAAGCTGAAATGAGGCCAGACGTGGTGGCTCACATCTGTAATCCCAGCACTTTGGGAGGCCGAGGCAGGTGGATCACTTGAGGTCAGGTGTTCGAGACCAGCCTGGCCAACATGGTGAAACCCCATCCCTACTAAAAATAACAAAGTTGGCCGGGCATGGTGGCACATGCCTGTAATCCCAGCTACTAGGGAGGCTGAAGGCAGGAGAATCGGTTGAACCCAAGAGGCAGAGGTTGCAGTGAGCTGCGATCACGTCACTGCACTCCAGCCTAGGCAACAGAATGAGAATCTCTCAAAAAAAAAGTGTAATTCTAGAAAATTTGAGTTTTCCTAAATTATACCTTTGAATCTATACAATCAAGGGCACATCATGTTCCAAGAAAATTTGGTAGAGAGTAATCAATACTAAAATATAAAGAATAATATGAACAATGAAGAATCCCTGGATGGCCAGGGGAAAACATGAAGCCATTTATAAAGGGAAAAGAAGTATGCTAGCTTTTGACATCTCCACGGCAGCATTTGACAAGAGGAGAGTGATGGCTACAAAGGCCTCCAACTGAGGGTGTTATTATATTTTAATAACTGGCCAAACTGTCATTCAGGTATAGACATAAGAGTATAGGGCATGAAAAACCACCAGCAAATCCAACAAACAGGAAGGTTTATAACCCAGGAAATAGAGAAGTCTTGAAGAAAATACTTACTTGTAAGTATGTTTAAACTTCTCAGGAAAAGAGAATAACAGTCATAAAAACGAAAACAGGAAATTATAAAACTAAGCTAGGCACCCTTCCAAAAATATAAAAAACCTGGAACTGATAATTATGGACGATGAAATATACTTTATTTTTTGAGACAGGGTCTTGCTCTGTCACCCAGGCTAGAATGCAGTGGCATGATCATGGCTCATTGCACCCTTGACCTCTTGGGCTCAAGCAATCCTACCACCTCTACACCTTGAGTAGCTAGGACTACAGTCGCATGCCACCACACCTGGCTAATTTTTATTTTATTTATTTTATTATTGTTTTTTAGAGACAGGGTCTCATTATGTTGCCCAGGCTGGCTTCGAACTCCTGGGCTCAAGTGATCCTCCTGCCTTGCCCTCCCAAAGTGCTGGGCATGAGCCACTGCGCCCAACCTGGACAATGACATCTAAATAATTAAGAAACAGATTGGAGACAGTTGAAGATATAATGAAGATCACCCAGAACTGATGAAGTCTACAAGTATACAGCCGAAAGACACACTGAAAACGTTAAGAGGTCAGGCAGATAAATGTAGACATGAGGAGAATACGATATTCAGAGAAAAAAGTGCTAAGACTTTTTCAGAATAAAAGCTATGGATGGAATCTCACATTTATGACAGTACTTTAAAAATCCATACCTCAGTACAATAGTAAAATTGTTGAACATCAAGGGTAAAGAGAAACATTTTAAAACTTTACTTGGGAAGGAATGGCAAATATTTAAGACCAGATCCACCCTCTACAATCAAAGCTAGAAAACCATGGAGTTAGAACATCAAAGTGCTGAAGGAAAAATAATCGTGTCCTATAATTCTACGTATAAGTAAACTATCAATCAAGAAGGAGAGTGCAGTGAGGACAGTTTCAGAAACACAAGATGATTTACACCCCCACCCTCCAAGCCCTGCTCTATATTTTATACTCTGATAAAAAAAGAAAAGCCCAGAACAAGATACAAAAAAAGCAATGATGAGCAAAGAAATCAGTACAGTATATTAAAACAAAAATAATGATTGACCACAAACAAAACACAACAAACATAATGTGGCTTAAAATAAGGTGGAACTACAATTCCAGACCAGAAGGAGGTTGATGTTCAGAGGGAAGCTGAAGGCTCTAACATTGTGTTAGAAAAATCAAAAGTGTGGGCCAGGCGCGGTGGCTCATGCCTGTAATCCCAGCACTTTGGGAGGCTGAGGCGGGCAGATCATGAGGTCAGGAGATTGAGACCATCCTGGCTAACACGGTGAAACCCCGTCTCTACTAAATATACAAAAAATTAACCGGATGTGGTGGCGGGCGCCTGTAGTCCCAGCTACTCGGGAGGCTGAGGCAGGAGAATGGCGTGAACCCGGCAGGCAGAGCTTGCAGTGAGCCGAGATCGCGCCACTGCACTCCAGCCTGGGCGAGAGAGTGAGACTCTGTCTCAAAAAGAAAGAAAAGTCAAAAGTGTGCATGCTACAATGTAAAGAGTCTCCACTAAAATAATAGGAATGGTACAGGGATAGTTGAGGTTCATGGAATAATGATTCAGGAAAGCAGGGGGAAAGAAACTCAGCACCAAAAAGCCAGGAATCAACAGCTTTGTGAAACTTCCTGAATTGCTTGCCAAGACCAAGGAGCAATTAGGTGTAACATCAGCACAGATTACATTCAGTAATCTGTGAATTTCTGCCCTAGCTTTGTGACACATCTCTGCAGTTATACCCCCAGTCTAGTTTACTGCATACTGCATACCATATTACAAACTTTCAAAGGTTGTCTATGAGAAGGCAGAGGAATCTCAGGCTTGCAAAGTAAAGTTATAAGATGACACAAAGGCAAATTCAAGTTGCTTTCCATGGCCATTCAACTCTTAACAACAACTCAGGGGATTCTATTGCCATCTACATTTTTCAGATTTAAAAAAGAGACAGGTTATTTTGTCTAAGATCATGTATCAATGAGTGAGCGACAGAATTTCAGTCTTGCTCTGACCCTGTCTTTTAACTATTTTTGCCTTTGATGCAATATACCAAGTAAACTCAAATGAAATTGGTGGAAGAATTTTTTACGGTTACAGGTTGAGAACAGTCACAAAGCTCCGTCTGCATAGTTCTTAGGAAGCATTATTCAGAACACTAACCCAGCACCGAGGCTGCTCAGGGCCAGTGGCAGTGAGGATGGGGTAGCTTACCACTGGGCTAGGCCATAAGTAGAAGGATAAGCCAGTTTGCTCCAAGTGTCTGGTACCGTGTCATAACTCAATGCAAACTGCTGGGCTTCCACAGCAGGAGATAATGCCAATTCCCCCTTGCATGGAGAAAAAAAGCCACACAGTGAATATCTTCCAATGTGCTGAAGTCTACTATAGCCTCACTTTAAGCTTACCTTCAAACTAAGGTCCAGTTGTTCAAGTGATATACGTATTTCCCGAATGAGAATATTCATCCTCTCACATTCTTGGAAGCAAACAAGAACATATGGGCTTCTATTTGAATTTTTTTGCATTATCTCTGCCATGTTGAACTCTTCTGGAAGTTTCTCCAAAATGTCATCCAAGACATTCTTAACCTTAAATCAGTAACACAAAGATTTAGCTCCTTTCTATTTCAGTTTTCGTCATGGTGACTGTGTATATCCTCTACTTTTTGAAGTTACAGAATATATCATACGACTTCCGAAGGTGCCTGCAAATGCATGTGAAGGATGCCTACGGCTCCCAGGAGGTGGGCAGCATGGCAGTGCCAACTCCCTCAGCTGCCTCATTGGTGCCTCTGTACCAGTGCCAGCACTTCCCCTTCCATGGAGCCCCAAATCTGGTCAAGAAGGAGCTACAGTTGTTTGCAGTTTACTCACTTAACATTTAGGGAGTATAGAACTGTCATCAGCTACATGTTATTTATATGTAAAGATATGATCAGAGGAAGTAGAAGCCTATTATTAGGGTACCATATTTTATAATCTGCTAAATTAAAAAGATCCTTTTAAAAGCCACACAAACCAGGGGCTGGGCACAGTGGCTCACGCCTGTAATCCCAGCACTTTGGGAGGCCAGGATGGGCAGATCGCTTGAAGTCAGGAGTTCGAGACCAGCCTGGCCAACATGGTGAAACTCTGTCTCTACTAAAAATATAAAAATTAGCCAGGCATGTTGGAGCATGTCTGTAATCCCAGCTATTTGGGTGGCTGAGGCACGAAAATCGCTTGAATCCGAGAGTTAGAGGTTGCAGTGAGCCAAGATGGTGCCACTGCATTCCAGCCTGGGCAACAGAATGAAACTGTCTCAAAAAATAAAAAATAAAATAGAATAAAAGTCACATAACCCAAATAAGCCTTTTAAGCGTAAGCAAATTCTGCTGAACTATGATGCTGCCCTCCCAACCACGGCATCCTAAAATTCCTAGACCAATTTACATCAACATTTTTAACAAAGAAACTTCTATCTTCTGTAATTGTTGCTCTGAAAGAATGAAAGACATATATTACAGGTATGAGTATGCACATGGTACTCAGACATGCATACTAATTCTATGTAGACAGCTCCACCGAGCTGGAAAAACCAGTCAATATCTAGAAAGGAGAAAAGATGGAGGAACTTTGCCTGTCCTTAGCCTCAGGCAGCTTTCCTTCTTTCCTTGCTTTCTCAGACTACTGCCTCTGGTTCTGACATCATGCCTGCCAGCTGGCATCACTCTGACCGGCAATTTATCAGGTCCTGAAATCTTAAACTCATTTACAGTGGAGGTAGACAGTATATCCAAACGGCCATAAGCATGTGAAAAGATGCTCAATATTACTCCTCAATTGAGGATTGCAAAATTAAAACCACTGTGAGATATCATTACCCTTACAAAATCACAAAAAAGATAGAGCAAGTGGAACTCACACGCACTGCTGGTGGGAAAGTAACTGGTACAGCCACTGGAGAAAACTGATTGGGAATACTATTAAAGCTACACATTATACCCTGTTATCTGGCAATCCCACTTCTGGGTATAGAGAAATGGGTAGTATGAATGGATGCCTTTGGGAGTTACCTTTGCATATTGACTGCAGAAGAATGTTCATGGTTGTGATATTTCTATAAAAGTGAAAAACAAGAAACAACCCAAACATCCATTCACAGTACAATGAAGAATTTTATATTCATATAGAATTCAAAACAAAAATGAACCATTGGTACATGAACAACATGGATGAATCTCACAAATCTAATGCAGAATGAAAGGAGTTAGACATGGATGAATGCGCACTGTATGATTCCATATATTTGGAATCAGGTAAAGCTAATCTGTGATGATAGAGGTAAAGATACTGATTATCTCTGGGGGAGGTGAGGGGTATGTTGACTGATAAGGGGCATGAGTATCCTTCTGGAGTGTTGGAAATGTTATTTTGATCTAGGTGGTGGTTGTATGAGTAAAACCTAGGTAAAAACTTATTGATTTGCACAATTAAGATTAGTAGACTTCAGTACAAGTAAGTTATACTTCAATGAAAAAGAAAAGGAAGGAAAGACCCTCTACCTTTTCTTCTGTAGACTGCCCCAGTTCATCACCACTGAGTGCATTCCTGGGCTGCATCTCCAGCAAAGTTCTGAAGAGAGTGTTGGATGTCACTGTCAGGAATTCTATTTCAGCATTTGGGTGGAGGCCATACAGTGCCGGGCTTTCTGGAGGAAGCATCTCCTCTATGTACTGGTGGTAGCCTGCATAATCTAGGTAGGGTGGGGCAGCAAAACCTGGTGCCAGCATCAGTTCATCTTCAGTCTTGAACCACAAAGGAAAAGTCAGTTATTCCAAATGTAGGTAGGCATCCATTTTCACTTCCTCAACACTTCGAGAAGACCCTGACAAGAAGGCTCCAGCACAATGCTGTCTGGGTAGCAGGCTCCCTAAACTGTTTTATAATCAACAATTTTGCTCTATATGCAACACCAGACTGATCTCTGCGGAAGATCCCAAGGAACACACATTAATCCTATCCCTAAGAAGACTCAGTTTGCAGTGTGCATGGGGCAGTGTGATACATGCACACAAAAGGAATGAGCCATCACAGAGCCTGGGCTACCCTATAACACACTCCCATTCATTGATTCTCCCAACCATCCCCATTTCCCAGAGAGGAAATCAAGACTCTGATGTGAATTTGCTGAGGTAGACATTTGATTTTAATCATAATTCTGAACTCATTTTAGTAGGACTCTGTAGCCTGTACTTCCCCAGGGCACCATACTTTCCACAGTACTGCATCACATCATTTTATATATGATGTGAATTTATATACCTGAATTTTATAATTATAAATAATGATATGTGCATTTAATGAAAAATGTGTGTGTATATAAGTACCATGTATAGGCCATATATACTAAGAGTCAGACCGATCCTACCTTCCCAGGACTTTGAGCTACTCACAGCAAAGTCTGTTGTTTAGGATCCACAGACCCTGAGAGCTCAATACACAGTTACCTACTGAGTGAAAGGCTGGAGAAAGCGGGCTTTTATCGTGCCCATCTACTTCAATAAGGCTGGGGCAAGAGGGTAGACATTCAATTTAGGGGGAAGTTTTGAACAAAGGCAATGTGAATAGCAATAACAAACCCTCTAAACATTAGAATGTAGAACTTCAAAATGTAACAAAAGAATTTATGAGCCTGAGTCTCTGACCAGCCATAAACACAGAGTCAATCAAGTGCTTACAATTTTCTAAGTAACAGTATAATCTCAGATTTATTTTTCCCTGATTGCTCTTTAGTTTCCAGGGACCATTAACCCCTCTGTTTTAATTCTCCCAGTCTCTTGCACCGTAAATCCTGTCTGTATGTGCACTTAAATGTACAGAGGAATGTTATTTTTAAACTATCATCGAATGTAGCTATTTTCTACCTAGATTTTCTGAGTCAGTTTCTGAAATGGGATTTGTCTGTAACTGTGTATGCTACACTGTGGTCCCCTCACTATCACTTGGAGACAAAGTGAATATTCTTTAATTCATTCAGTAATATGTACCCACCACCCAGTACACTACAACAAACCTTAGAAGTATAAGCTCCATATGACCTCGTTATTAAGGAACTCAGAGTCTAAAGAGGACAAAGTAAGTGTGAATTTCCACACAATCATGTGTGTAACAGTGGTTTTCTCTTTCCTTCTTAAACCTGCAATCCAGGTTACTTAGAAAGCCTATGTCCTTAATAAGGATGCTCGACTGCTTTCTGCGAATTCCAAGTGCATTTAAAACATTCGACACAGCATTTTTATTTTTATTTTTATTTTGTACCGGGAGGATTTTCAAGTTATCTAATCCTTCATATTGCCAGAAATGGAAATCTTGACCCGATGAATATGGGAAGGAAGAAGTTGGACTATTTCACCACCAGTATCCATTGGCTTGGCTTTATTTATTCACATTTGTATCATTTCATGTTTATATATAAGAATAATGAAAATTTAAATGTCACCTGGCTCAGGGCGACCAAAATAAAATGGTACAGGAGAGTTAAACTCATTATTATTAGTCTATGATGGATAAAGTAGCCAGAATAAAAATATGGGCAAAATATGAATAAGAAAACCAAAACCTAGAATCCACATATCCCAACTGAACATTATTCCCTAAAACAAGTAGTTGGTCTTCTCTGTTTGTGCTTACTAGGAAATTGAAAGAAATTTCAGAAGCCACAGTTAATCTGTCCTTAATAAATCAAAAAGTTAAAAACAGAACTTCAAGCAAAGAAACTGACCAAAACCAAAACCACTTGGAAAGGTTAAGCTGCCATGGGGACATTTGTTTGAATGCGTGCTCATGTACTGCTGATGGGATTGCAAATGGCCCATGCTCTTTGGAAAGAAAATCAGTCTTTATAGACATGTGACAAGTGCCTTCCATATGGTAGGCAATGAGCGAAGGCAAAAGAAAACAGCCAACTCAAAAGGGCCTGAGGTATACAGCTAGACAGCCTGATTCAGCTTCCATCACTTAATGGGTTGGTGGCCTTAAGAAATGACAATTTATCTGCATTTCAATCTTTTCATCAGTAAAATATTGCTCATAACAGCAACCTAATGGTTGTGGCCATAAGAATTTAATAAGGTATGCAAACAGCTCAGCACACAGCAGGCTCTTATGTAAGTTTTGGTCTTCCTCGTACCCTAGCAGCAGACTTGATTTTAGTATATCTTGCTTTTTCTAGAAGGAAAAAACAAACAAAACCTGAGAAATGTCCTCCATACATAGACTTGTGTTCCCTTTTACTTTAAGAAAACCATCAAGACTTTAATATACTCAAGGAGCCCTGTGAATCCTGATGCTGAATCTAGACTTTCTCCTTTCCCACTCAAGACTTTTTATGAAAAGATGCTTTTTGCTAATGGGGCCATCATTGTAGAGCTCTCTACACAGTGGCCAACTTTCTTGCCTTTGGAGGAGGTTTGTCTGAGAAAGCTGTTATAATGCCTCAAAGAATAAAAAATTCTAAATAGACATTTCTCCAAAGAAGATACACAAATGGCCAATGAGAACATGAAAGGATGTTCAACATTGTTAGTCTTCAGGGACATGCAAGTCAAAACTGTAATGTGACACCACTGTACCTCCACCAGAATGGCTAAAATAAAAAAATGTGGACAGTAGCAGTCTTGGTGAGGATGTGGAGAAAACAGAACTGTCATACATTGCTGAAGGGAAGATAAAATGGTGCAGCCACTATTTAAAAAACAGTTTGGTGGTACTTGCAAATGATAAACATAGAGTTATCACTTGGCCCAGCAATTCCACTCCAAGGTACATATCCGAAAGAATTGAAAACATATGTCCACACAAAATTTGTACATAAAAGTTCATAGCAGCATTATTCATAATAGCCAAGAAGGAGAAACAACCCAAATGTCCACTGACAGATGAGATAAACAAAATGTGCTATGTCCATACAATGGAACATTATTCAGACTTAAAAGGAATTGAGTACTGATATATGCTACAGCATGGCTGAAGCTTGAAAACATTATGCCAAGTGAAAGAAGGCTACATATTGTATGAGTCCATTTTTAAAAATGCCCAGAACATGCAAATCTATAGAGACAGAAAATAGATTAGTAGCTGCCATGGGCTGGGGTATAGGGGAATATGGGGTGGGAAACAAATGGTGCCTGACTGCTAATGGCTGCAGGGTTTTTTTTTTTGGGTGGGTGGGGCGTGGGTAATAAACTGTTCTAAAACTTGTAATGGTTGCAGAATATACTAAAGACCTTTGAGTTGTATAATTTAAATTGGTAAATGTTACAGTGTGCAAATTATATCTTAGTAAAACCTTTTTTAAAAACAAAAAGAATCGATAGAATCATGCTCAGGCAGAAAGAACCTCCACATCATGAAAATATAATCAAAAATTTGGATGATATTTTCGGCCAGGCATGGTGGCTCATGCCTGTAATCCCAGCACTTTGGGAGGCCGAGGTGGGCAGATCATGAGGTCAGGAGTTCAAGACCAGCCTGACTAACATGGTGAAACCCCATCTCTACTAAAAATACGAAAATTAGCCCAGCGTGGTGGCACATGCCTGTAATCCCAGCTACTCAGGAGGCTGAGACAGGAGAATGACTTGAATCTGGAAGGTGGAGGTTGCAGTGAGCCGAGATCACACCACTGCACTCCAGCCTGGGCGACAGAACAAGGCTCTGTCTCAAAAAGAAAGAAAAAAAAAATTGAAATCATCTTTGTTGAAATCAGGGGCAGGCACAGTTATTAGAAACTGGAGAACCAGCATCCAGCCCACTATGTTGGACTCCATGAGATTATTGTCTTTTTTATATTTTCCTTTCTGGTATTTAACAAAAACCGACCCCCACTCCACTGCCTCTCCAAGTAGTGTTGGTAATGACAAGAAGCTCCAGTTCATTGTGAATTTAAACAAATGCATTTGCCCTTGGCCTTCTGGGTCAAAAATGCCATGGCCCCAAAGTGCTGTTAGGGATTTTTAGACATTACTCAAGATTGAATTATCATGGTGTCTTGAGAATGAAAAGGTACATTGGTGATTTTCTAGGCAATACCTTAATTTTATAAATGAATGAAGTGAGGCACAGGGAAGCCATGCACAAAGCCAGACAGCAAGTCAGTAGCAGAACCAGAACTCTGGTCTCCCGTATTGCCCGTGTTGTTCTCAGTGTTGGCCTGTACACCATCTACATACAAATACGAGTCATTGTTTTGGTGACCTGTGCTGCAAACAGCTCAGCACTCCAGCCAGGGCAGTATGGTGCAGAGAAAGACCAGCCTTTGGAGTCTGATTACGAGTTTAAATTCTGGTTCAGCTGCTTGACCTCTCTAAGCCTGAGGTTCTTTTTTGATTAAATGGAATAATACTTACTCTTCCAGATTATAGTGAGAAGAAATCATACATATAAAGTGTGTGGTAATGACCCTTGGCACAGAGCAGGTATTTACTAAAGGATTCCCATTGTTATCACAGATTAATGTATAGCCAAATATTAAATATATATAATGAAAATGTATACTTTATAATAAAAAGATTTCCCATTTATTAAGCATATTGTTCTAGCATTGTACCAAAGTTTAAACCTGACAGCAAACCTGTAAGTTGATCATTCTGGTTTTGTAGATTATGAAACCAAGGCTAAGAGAGGGTCAATTACATCATACGGCAAATACATAGAGGTACTTCAGTGTGAACCCAGGTGTTTTTTGTCTTTGTTTTTTACTTCAAACCCCAGATTCTTGTTATTCTATATTACTAAAATAGTTTGTATTATATGATAACTTTAAGGTGACCTGGTACCTTATTCTCTGAAAGTGATTTACTGTATTTCTTAATTAACGCTGCCAAATACATGCTTTATGTGAGAAGATGTTTTCTTTCTTGACTTTGGCCAGAGACCCTCTAAAGCCCACTGGAGAACTCTCTCTGAGAGCAAACTCATTTATTCAACAAGAAACTCACTGATCCTCCTAACAGCAAGATATCACTGAAAGCATTCTGATTCTTTGGATAAGAGCAGCAGAACTTTAAACCCCACACCATGAATGGGTTGCTTTTTGATCATGTTCCAATGCAACCAAAGACACTAATTTCCAAATATGTTAACCACTTGTGGGAAGTGGCAAAAAGATGTCCTGCAGATGAAGTGTTAGATCATGTTGCTAATCATATAAACAGCATAAACAGGAGAAACGTGCATGAGAACAAAATAACTGGGATTTGCAGCCTCTGACAGCAAGTCAGTTAAGTGCTTTAATTTCCTTTGGTGAGTTGAGGAGGTACCTCTCCAGTGAGGATGCCAGCTTGCAAAATGAAGCATTTCAATCCTGGAAACCTCGCCAGATCTGTATGTAAGGTCAGGTACCTAAATTTCTAAAGGGCTTACACACATCACTGATGCCCCTTCAGGTTTCATCACCTATATTTATTTTACAATTATTTGAATGGGAGTTCAGGCTTGTGAAGGTTAATGGACTGCTGCATTTGGCAACAGTAATTCTCCCCTCAGCCACAGGCCAGAGCTAGGGGAGCTCCTCGCGGGCCCCTTGCCCTCCACCATCATTCGGAGAAATCAGCCTCTGTAAAGGTCGCATGCCTGGCACTGTTTAGCTTTCCCATCTCCATGGTAACTTGCTCCCAGACCTTTCCTGAGGAGTGACTTCCAATTGTGCTAAATTGGAAGTCTCTCTCTGACATGTGAAATCTTGCTCATTAGAACTAAGGAAAGACCATGAGACTCACAATCAAAAGAAACAATTACATAACATTGTGCATTTTTTGCACTGTCTCCAAACTGTTCCACATTATTAAAAGTAGTAACAAAAGAATGTCCCCAGTTTTCTATATTAGACTAAAATACACTATGTTTTCCTGGTGTATTTTAGTCTAAAATAGACTAAATATTAGACTAATATGATTTTAGTGATTTAATCTAATATACACTAAATATTAGACTGATATGATTATATTACTTCTCAAAATGAACTCTAGGAAGGTGATCAAATCTATATAATGCTTCTCTGAGGTGAAATTTTCAGAGAAACTATAAATAGGACATCACTCAAACTATTCAAAGCATTGCTTTAAACAGAGTTGGTGTCTCGCCCAACTGGAAATAGACATGATATGGTGTACAGGTGCTTTACGTTTCCAAGAAATAACCAGGAATGGCCATGAACCTGGATGCCATGAGGGAGAGAGAGCATGAGAAAACTACAGCCACCACGCTCACCCTCTGTAGTACGAGAAACAAAAATGGAGTACTTTTTCCAGAAAACACAGCCCCGGGCTGGAACCATTTCTACACAGACACAGGGTTACTAAGATGAGAAATGGGAAAAGGATGCTTGGTCTTTTAAAACTCCACCTACAGGGGTGATCTACCTCTTCCTCACGAGAGAAGGAAGAATGAGGTTCTCAAATCACCATACTTGTCTTTTTAACTGACACATAATAATTGTACATATTGATGGGGTACAATGCGATGTTTTGATACATGTATATGTTGTGTAATGATCAAATCAGGCAATCAGCAGGCCCATCATCTTAAATATTTCTCATTTCTTTGGGGTGGGAACATACAAAATCCTCTCTTCTAGCTATTTTTAGATATACAATATTGTATTGTTGACTACAGTTACCCTACTGTGCAATAGGACACGAGAACTTACTTATTCTTCCTTTCTAAGGATGGTAACTTTGTATCTGTTGACCATTCATTCCCCATTCTCCCCTTCCCCAGTCTCTGGTAACCACTGTTCTATTCACCATTTATAGGAGATCAGCTTTTTAAGAGTCTTTATGTGTGTGAGAACATGTATTTGTCCTTCTGCGTCTGACTTATTTCATTTAACGTAATGTCCTCCAGGTTCACCCTGGAGCATCTTTTCTCTTTTTAAAAAACATAACTATATTACTTTATTATCACACATAAAATATTAACGGGAATTCTATATTACCATGATATGTTAATGTTAATTTCCCATTGTGTCATAAATGTGTGTGTTTTTTTTTTTTTTTTTATAGTTCATTTGGAACAAGATCCAAATAAGGTTCTTACCTTGCCCTTGGTTGATATATATAATCTTTTTTTTTACTATCTTGTTAGATTTAATTTTATTTTAAATTGACAAATAATAATTATATATATTTATGGGGCACAGTGTGATGTTTTGATACACGTGTACATCGTGGAATGGTTAAATCAGGCTAATTAACAAATCTATCACCTCACATACATATTGACCACATTTTTCTTGAGCACATATTATAATTGAGTAACTGATACTGGTCCAACTGTAGACTATTTTCTAGGACTTCCATGACAGGCAGAAAAGAAACTTTAGTGAAATAAACTCTGGAATAGAAATCAAAAGACTTCTATCAAAAGACGCACAAAACTCTTGCCTGTGCCAACCTAGTGGCCTGGGGCAAATCCCCATGTTTCAGCATCTCGGTCTAGAAAAGGGAATAACAGCGTCAGCTCTGCATACCTCATAGGGTTTTTATAAAGAGCCGATGAGTCAGTGCATGTGAGGCTGCCTCACGCTGGTGCACTCTCTAGCACACACAGAGATCACCTGGAAGACTTGTGAAAATGCAGATTCTGATTCTGTAGGTCTGGGATGGAACCCGAGATTCCGCTTTTCTAAGAAATTTCCCAAAAGGCCAAGCATCCTCAATAACATTAAGAATTGCCCATAGTATAATTAGTTTATAAAATTCTTACCAGAATTTTTTGCTCAGTGAAATTTATTTACAAATTAATTTACAAATGTCTTACCAGAGATGGATTCATGAATTCTTCTAAATACACCCGACACAGTTTGCGATCCCAGTCATCTGTGATGTGGCCTCCATACATGATCTCACCAAAGAGATAACGGAGATCTTCCCATGGGACCTGTGGAGAAAACCACACAAATATTCACTGCTGGGTGCAGAGTCTGCCTCAGAGTAGCCAACCAGTAGCACGTGCCCCTCTAACACAATGCCCTCCAAGCCTCCGTCAATAGGAGGATTTAAAGGTGCTTCAGAAATTGTCTAAGTTTCTGCAGAGAATTTCTTGGGAGAATTATTTTCAGTGTCTTCTAATATAGTCAGTGAAAATTCACTAACATTGAGCTGTTTATGAAGATTTTTTTTCTTTAAGAGATGAGGTCTGGCTTTGTTGCCTAAGCTGGAGTGCAGTGGCACAATCACAGCTCATTGCAACCTTGAATTCTGGGGCTCCAGCAATCCTCTCGCCTCAGCCTCCCAAGTAACTAGGACTACAGGCACAGGACACTACATCTCGCTAATTTTTTAAAAATTTTGTAGAGATGGGGGTCTCACTATGGTGTCCAGGTTGGTCTCGAATTCCTGGCCTCAAGCCATCCTTCCTCCTTGGCCTCTCAAAGTACTGGGATTTACAGGCTTGAGCTGCCATGCCCAGCCTTAGGCAGATTTTAAAAGAAACTGAGTCATCCCTAGAACATGTTTGCAGGGAAAGTTTATACATTCAAATTCTCATCTAAAAATTGTGAAAGGATGTTGGTTCACAGGGCCTTTGAAGTATGACATGTTTTTATTATCTGCTTTATATCAGCTTGTATTATCTGATTCAGGAAAAGAAAGCAACATCCACACAATTTGAATTTGGGGTGTATTTAGAATCCTAGTATTTTCCAAAAGTCCAGGCAAACAAATCCCCTTGCCACAGATGGAGCTGAGGGCTTGTCTTACGGCATGACTGGCCTAATGACTGTTCTAAGGGTTGTAACTAATGACTATACCATGTTTTATTCAAGAAATCACTGTACCTACTCTTTATTTGGCTGAGCAGGGTTTGAAGCCTCTCTTTGCTATACTTTAGCTTCTTCTGGGTTTGCAAAACATGCCAGTGTGTGATGAAGCCTTTCTAGACAGGAACCTTTACACCTTCGGGGGCAGTATACTGCCTCCCAACAGTTTAAGTAAAAACATAATTATAATTATAGCCTTCGCTTGTTGCGTGATGTGACAGAACAGAACAAGTAAAATTGCTTCAACTATGCCAATGTACTTTTCTACAAGTTTATTTGAATTTGAATAAATGAACCTCAAATATGTCTTTTAAGCTGGGTTGAGGTGAATGAAAAATAAGAGAGGGGTGCCTAGACCGCAACATGCTCTCTCAACCACTGCATGGACTACCTTCCAAATAGCTGAAATGGATGGAAAACAAAGGCTTCTGACTTTTAGTTCTTTTTCTGCTTACATTTAATCGATGCTTGCAACACATTTCAGTATTCAATATGTATCTCTTTTTAATTTTTATTTAACTAGGGATCTGTTCTTTTCAATAATTATTTAAATAATTATCTGTTCTTTTCAATAATTATTTAGCTAAGGATTTGTTCTTTCCTCTTTTGTTTTTGAGACAGAGTTTTACTCTGTTGCTCAGGCTGGAGTGCAGTGGTATGATCTCAGCTTACTGCAACCTCCACTTCCAGGGTTCAAGCGATCCTCTCACCTCAGTCTCCTAAATAGCTGGAACTACAGGCGTGCATCACCATGCCCAGCTAATCTTTTGTATTTTTTATGGAGACTGGGTTTCCCCATGTTACCCAGGCTGGTGTCGAACTTCTGGACTCAAGCGATCCGCCCGACTTGGCCTCCCAAAGTGCTGGGATTATAGGCATGAGCCATCACGCCTGGCCTCAGATCTGTTCTTTTCAATAATTGATTCTCTTTCCCTCAATCCTGGTCTTTGTTTTTTACATATACTTTCTTGAAAAGGCCATTTTGTACAACCAAACATGTGCTCATAGGAATTTAATTCCCAAATCCTGATAAGTCGCCTTGTGATGTGCAGAAAATGACTGAGAAACATGAGAATGTGTTAAAAACTTAAGGCTGTGCTGATCCTGGAGCCCCAGGATGAAAAAAAAGCAGGACACAGTGTGACTCGGTTGGTCAACTGGTGTTTCCAAGACTCAGGATGTAAGAGCTGGAGAGAAACACGTGTGTCCACTTCCCTCTTCCTCCCCTTCATTTCCACCTCAATGGTGTATAGGATTCAGCTGAAATACGATTCTATTCCCGGTTGCAGCCTCACAGGACAGTTATGAAGGACATGAATAAAAGTCTTAAATGGTCCATTCCTTTTTCTACCTAGAACTGTTATAATTTTATGTGCAATAGTTTAGACAAAATGTGCTGGGAATCAACACAAAAATATTACTATTTAATAGAATGGTCAAAATATGCTCAAAGTATTCAGAATTACTTAATTCTATAAATTGAAAAATGAGAGATATGGAACACTGAACATCAAATACCATATTAAAACCATTTATTTTGGATACAACTTATTTAAAATTTGTTCCTTGGGAAAATATGCCTGTTAGGTACCAAGGGTATCTATTCTAATAGCAATCAAATCACCACCGAAGCCTGAGAAAGCTGACCAAAAAAGTTATAACAATCATTACTGAAGGAACATAAAACAATAGTTTCCATTTAGAAACAGAGACGGGTGATTTTAAAAACGCTTTATAGAAAATGTGGCCTAGAGTACAACACTTGACTGGTTTTGACACATGTATCCTAGTCTTAACGGATTTAACTTAATGAAAAAAGTTTCCCTTGTGAGGATTAAGCTAGAAAATCCTTAGGAATGAATGGTTCTTGCTTTTTGAAATCCAATCATTGGGTTTATGAGAACTTACACAAATGTTCTTGATGAGGCATTCCCATTCCCATCTGTAAAACACATTTTAGCTACGAAATAAAATCATTCATCTACCTTTAACTTCAAATCAAGGGGAACATTACTGAGAAAGTCACAACAAGGTGGCATCCTTAATACATAATAATGACATATGCAGGAAATGCACCATTATTTATACATGTGACGCGCTGTAAATTGCTTCCATCATCAGAACTAATTGTAGTGATTATTAATGCAGTGTTATGAACTGTCAGAATTGCTGTATGTAATTACATTTGTGCAAATGCTTCATTACCTGCCTAATGAATCTGGCATATACGCACATGTAAACCACTGTTTTTGTTAACATAATGAAGGACATTTTTTGTTTTTTTTTACACTAAGCTGCTGATGTAGAACTGGTTTGACCTATCTCATGAAGTGCAAACATCCACTGCTGGAAAACCTTTGATCTGGTTTATTTTCACACTTGGCAGAAGATACATACATAGTGTCAGCTATTTCAATAATAGCTTCAAAAGAGAAATTATGGTCAATTTTGATAGTGCCCAAAGACTGACAGCTTTGTAAACTCCTTGGAAGAGGTTATTTGACCACTAGCACTTACTTTAGAGTTTGCCTCTAAGTAGTTGTAGAGGACACTGGCACAAATGGTGAGGTCTCCAGGATTAAAAGGATAGCTTCGGCTCCAGCCCTGGGGGCCAAACCTCAGTCTCCCAGCAACACAGGCGTGGAAGTAGCAGAGAGAAAAAAGGATGCTTTTAAACTCCTGCTCCTTGGAGCATATTTCAAGTGTATCCTGGGAAAAAAGAGAAGAAATGCTTGATTATCCATCTGTATGGTTTCCAAGAGCAAGGGTCTGCGTTTTCAATAATCTTGTAAAGAACTTTGAGAGTGAGATACTACAGAGGCAGTCTTCAGCATGGCTACTTATCCAATGAGAAGCTTAACAGGAGATTATTTGGCATTTGCCAGTCTGTTGGCTTAAGAGGAATACTTTTATTTTGCTTCAGTCATGCTTCTGAATGCTTCTAAGTTCACTAGAAAATGAGACAGTTCATTTTAACCATGTCATACTGCTTGACATCATTTTCCTCTGCAAAATTTTCTTCGCAGAATCTGGATGACATAAAGCCATCATCTTCATTTCATCACTGTAGTAGAATGCTATTACGGTTGGGAGAATGCTAGTTAACCACAACTATCCATTCTTCCCTGGTTCTCTGGGCACATGGACACCCTTGACTGTTTCCCAGCCTCCCATGAAGCCATTTGTGTCATCCAACCAAGTTTTTGCCAACAGAATTTCAGCTAAAGTGTTGTGTATAACTTCCAGGTCATTTGCTGAAAATGAAATTGCTTGTCTTAGTTGTCACTCTTCCCTTTTTTTCTTTCTTTCTTTTTTTTTTTTTTTTTGAGACGGAGTCTTGCTCTGTCACCCAGGCTGCAGTGCAGTGGCACCAACTCAGCTCATTGCAACCTCTGCCTCCTGGGTTCAAGTAATTCTCCTGCCTCAGCCTCCTGAGTAGCTGCGATTACAGGTGCATGCCACCACACCCAGCTAATTTTTGTATTTTTAATAGAGATGGGTTTTTGCCACATTGGCCAGGCTGGTCTTGAACTCCTGTCCTCAGGTGATCCACCCTGCTCGGCCTCCCAAGGTGCTGGGATTATAGGCACGAGCCGCGGGGCCCAGCGAACTCTTTCCTTTTCTATGGCTAGAAATGATGATGATTGGTCAAGTCTGGAAAACTTGAGTTAGGTATGGCAGGGGCACCCATCAGCTTGGGCGTATGAATGATCTCATGGAACAAAGCTGCCTAATATGTGTGAGAAAAAAACTCCTATCTTGTTTGAATCCCTATAGTTTTGATTCTCTTTCTTACAGCAGCTTAGCCTGTACCTTAACTAATAAAATCACCACGACACATTATTTCCTTCCAATGAACTAAAAGTAAAATTCATTGTTGGGATGACTGGGTGATATATGGAAAATTGGGAAACATGTGTCTAGACCTGTGAGGTTTTTTTTTTGTTTATTTGTTTTTTGTTTTTTTGAGATGGAGTCTTGCTCTGTCACCAGAGGGGCTATCTCTGCTCACTGCAACCTCCGCCTCCAGGGTTCAGGCGATTCTTCTGCCTCAGCCTCCCGAGTAGCTGGGACTACAGGCATGCACCACCATGCCCGGCTAATTTTTGTATATATTTTTAAATAGAGATGGGGATTCACCAGATTGGCCAGGGTGGTCTCGAACTCCTGATCTCATGATCCACCCACCTCGGCCTCTCAAAGTGCTGGGATTACAGTCACAAGTCACTGTGCCCAGCCTAGACCTGTGAGATTTTTTTTTAAGAACGCAGATGGAAAATGGAATCCTGGCATGCTACATGGATACGGTTATGGCCCAACAGCCATAAAATTAAAAGAAAAATAGCTGTCCAATCTATGGCTTAAAAGTCATATTTCACCCATGTTCAGATTTGGCAGTTCTGTGAGGCAAGGAAAGGAAGTTGAGGACTATTCCTTCAGCTGGCATTGAGCAACAGGGGAGGAAGAGGCCAAAATCTGCCCTTCCCTGCCTTGTCCTTTAAAATGGGCAAACTATAGCCAGTTCACATTTGAAATGGATCTGACAACTTGGGCCATATATGAAGTATATGTAGAACCAGTGTGAGTAGTTCAGACCTAGTCTTCCAGAGGACTTGTGATACTAAACCAAGACCAGATTTGTTCTCTGTGGGTCAGGATCAGAGAGCTTTTCAGTTTCTTTAGACAGTGCTTTTAGCAGAATCCAGGGCTCCCACCAAATACGGTTCTAGAATTGGCCAGGAAGCATGTAGCGCAGATCCAATTAAATCACTAGGTCACTCTAAATCACTAGGCCATTTTTAGGTCATTTATGGGGCTTGGAAATATACAATCATTAAAAAATAACTTTTCCACAAATAAAGGGCAAGCTTGTGAAGGCAGAAAAGAGAAACCGTATAACTGGAATTAACCTTGAAGGGTATAAAAAAAATTTACTTTTAAATGTGAGAAATTTCTAGGAGATCCAATATATGTATCAAAATTTCACTTTGGAATTATGATCTAACAAATCACTTAATACCTTTCTGAATTACAGATAGTCCACATAAAACCCAAGGTACTATAATAACTAAGTACATTACTTCAATCTGTACTTTATATAAATGACTTGGCTTTATCCTCAGTGCTAAAAGAAACAAGTCAATCCATTTCTTTGTGTTCTGATAACATAAATGATGCAGGAAAAAAATATGAATCAGGCTTTCTGAAGAAAAGGTATGAGTCTACCTACCATTCCACAGTTCAGGCCAGTTGTATTTTTGCAAACCAAGTGATAAGGAAATATTTAAAAAATACAGACTCCATTGTGAACAAAGAACAGGCATCTGCATACCCATAGTAGTGCTATTTGTACACAATTACCAATTTTATATGCACAATGATCAATTACTTGTTTCTGCCTGCAAATTTTACAGAAACAGAAATCTATCTTCTTACTCTAAAAAAATATAGTTATCTGGGTGTGAAGGGAGCCAAAAGAGTACTCCTTTACTACATCTTCCTCAAGAGGCTCTTTTTTTTTTTTTTTTTTTTTTTTGAGATGGAGTCTCCCTGTGTTGCCCAGGCTGGAGTGCAGTAGCGCGATCTCTGCTCATTGCAACCTCTGCCTCCCGGGTTCATGCCATTCTCCTGCCTCAGCCTCCCGAGTAGCTGGGACTACAGGCGCCCACCACCACGCCTGGCTAATTTTTTGTATTTTTAGTAGAGATGGGGTTTCACCTTTTTAGCCAGGATGATCTCAATCTCCTGACCTCGTGATCCGCCCGCCTCGGCCTCCCAAAGTGCTGGGATTACAGGCGTGAGCCACCGTGCCTAGCCTCAAGAGGCTCTTTAGCTGAAAGGCGTAGGTAGATGGTATCCTACAAGAAATGGTTCTTTATGTCCCAGCCACTTGATTAAATTTACATAAATATTCTGGAATGCTCAGGATAATAAAGCACTAGTATTAAACAAACTGTTCATTTTGAATACACATGCCAAAGTTTGGAGGTAAATTCTAAATTGAGGGGAAAGATTAAAAATATGGATTTAAAAATTAGCCAGGCATAGTGGCATACACCTGTAGTCCCAGCTACTCAGGAGGCTGAGGCAGGAGGATTACTTGAGCCCAGGAGTTCAAGGCTGCAGTGAGCTATAAGTGTGCTGCTGCACTTCAGCCTGGGTGACAGAGCAAAAAAAAGAAAAAAAAGGTTTAATTAGATTTGAAAAATACCCTAGCAGTACAGTTGACTTGTCTAAACCTCTTGGGTATTTTACTCCACTGTGAGGGACACCCAGGCAACAGGAACAACTGGTCCTCATTTACCTAACCCATATGGGTAACAAGAGAGATAGCATTCATCAATCTATCCATACACAGGCTTTAACAAGATTGGACCACAGCAGCAACACAGAACACCCCAAATAATACAAGGAGATGTGGGAAAGGACATCTGTGATGGAGACTGCTGATTGCCTTCCTTAAAATGTCTTCTTGCTAATTTTTAGCTGGGCATATGGTTGCTTAAGATAAATTCACTTTTCCCAGCCTCTCTTGCAGCTAGGTAATGCAATGTGACTAAGTTTGACCAATGAGATGAAAGGAGAATTTCTGTTTGTTAACTTGTAGGAAGCACTTGCACAACAAAGCAAACACCGTCCTTTTCCTTTTGTCATCTTGTTTGTTTCTTCTTCCATCCTCCTGTCAGGAATGTGGATATGGGGGCTGCAACTCCTGCAGCCACCTGGGACCGTGAAAAGCCCATTCTAGAAATGGTGAACTATAAAGAGCCAGATTGATGACAATTTGTGGTAACACATGACTTCTGAATGGACTATCTGTAAAACTCTCATGTGGCAGGACTACTTTTTGACCTTGTATAAGCCACTGTTATTTTATAAGAACTTTTTTCAAAAGTAGCCAACCCAACATTCTAACTGATAAAAGGGCAATGGGAACATATTCACAGAGAGCCAGGGAGCACAGGCTAAATCCCTTGAATTATATAATCTGATTAAAAACTGCATTTTGTTTTCTAACATAATGACAGGTCAGCATTCATAAAAGACTCTAACATTTTAGATTTTCTGCACATTTTTTATTTTGTTGGTTGGCTCTGGCTAAGATAGGTTTGATGAGAAGATTATTTAGTGAATCACTTTGGTTATCTTTGCTTTTGCTACTTAACATCAAGTTCAGTCTTAATATTTCAGAGGATCCTCTCCACTAAATAAGCAATATTCTTCCTTGGGCCAGGTGCGGTGGCTCACGCCTGTAATCCCAGCACTTCGGATGCCGAGGCGGGCAGATCACAAGGTCAGGAGATCAAGACCATCCTGGCTAACACGGTGAAACCCCGTCTCTACTAAAAAACTCAAAAAATTAGCCGTGCATGGTGGCAGGCACCTGTAGTCCCAGCTACTCGGGAGGCTGAGGCAGGAGAATGGCGTGAACCTGGGAGGCGGAGCTTGCAGTGAGCCGAGATCGTACCACTGCACTCCAGCCTGGGCGATAGAGTGAGACTCTGTCTCAAAAAAAAAAAAAAAAAAAAAAAAGAAATATTCTTCCTTGAAGTTCCTAAAAGCCCTTCTAATAAAAGTAACCTTCAATTAATAAAAGTGGCTTTCCAGATAGCAGTCAAAAGAATTGACAGGTTCATGAAAAGACCAGAACAGGTGTTCTTAACTAGGGAATTCATGCATAGGCTTTGGGGGAATCTGTGAATCTTTATCATTATATGCAACATATTTTTAACACTTATTATTATTTTTTGAGACAGTGTCTCGCTCTGTTGCCCAGGCTGAAGCACAGTGGTGTGATCATAGCTCACTGCAGCCTCGAACTCCTGGGCTCAAGTGATCCTCCTCTCAGCCTCCTAAAGTGCTGGGATTGTAGGCATGAGGCACTGTGTCTGGCCCAATGTGCAGTATATTTTCGAACGTGTATTTCCCTGGGGAGAGTGTCCACAGTTTTATGAGATTCTCGAAGTGATCTTTACCAAAAAAACAAAACAAACAAACGAACAAAAAAGCTGAAGGATAATTGGGCTGAAGCATATTTGTTCATGAAATGTTCACTTTCATGAATAAAGATACTTATTTTAGGGGGCAGATAAGTCCTATTTAAATAAATCAAATTCCTCTTTGTATGTACTTTGGGAAATAGCTTGAAAATGTCATAAATAGCCAGAAATTATAAATTAAGAGATGATTAAAAAACATATATGTCTGTCATAGTGGATTAAATAAGGCATATTGCAGATACTTAATAGTTTCAAAAAGATTTTTTGAGTCCTACTATTTACACAATCTTGTGTGTATATATAGGATAAAAATTACTCAATTATTTAATGAAGTAATTAACTGCATTCTTCAACACTGTATTCTTAGGTAGTCAATTATCATAATTCCTTCATAATGTTGGTTTACGTATTGACCCAAAAGTTACGAGAAAAGAAGCTAAGGATGTTAACATGCTTCGTAGAGAATGATATTTCTAAGAGGGGGCTGAATATTTATCACCAAATCATATGTATTTCCTCTTTAGGGTTCATTCTACTGTCCTAACAAGAATGCGATTTACCAAGGATTTCCAAAAAATTAGAGGAAGGAAGGAAGATCTCAGAGCAATAGCAAGAAAGGAAACTGAAAGACTTGACAATGATGTTGATAGATAGGATAGTTTGGGTAAAAAGAGTAATGGTAATAAAGGTATCATATATATATCATATATATGTGTATATATATGTATATATACGTATGTATTTATGTATTAATTTATATATGTATTTGGCCAGGTGCAGTGGCTCACACCTGTAATTCCAGCCAAGGTGGAATTGGGAGGCCAAGGTGAACAGATCACCTGAGGTCAGGAGTTCGAGACCAGCCTGGCTAACATGATGAAACCCTGTCTCTACTAAAAATACAAAAGTTAGCTGGGCTTGGTGGTGGGCGCCTGTAATCCCAGCTACCTGGGAGGCTGAGGCAGGAGAATCGCTTCAACCTGGGAGGCTGAGGTTGCAGTGAGCCAAGATCATGTCATTGCACTCCAGCCTGGGCGACAAGAGCAAAACTCTGTCTCAAAAAAACCAAAAACAAAAAAAAACCATGTAAGTATTCATTTGTCTTATCTTGGAAAAACATGAACATATAAATAAGGTGTCATAGATATAACCCAAAAAGAGGCCTTTAAATTTACTCATATCAAACCGGGCTAAAACACTACACTGAAACTTTTACCATGTCATTACTGTCGCCATCATCAACAAGAATAACAATGGCTTCTTCTCTTTCTGTGGTCAGAGATACTAGTGTGCCACATTTGTTTTCAAGAAGCAAGTTCCGGCCAGGCGCGGTGGCTCATGTCTGTAATCCCAGCACTTTGGGAGGCCGAGGCAGGTGGATCACCTGAGGTCAGGAGTTCAAGACCAGTCTGGTCAACATGGTGAAACCCCATCTCTACTAAAAATACAAAAATTAGCCGGGCGTGGTGGTATGCAGCTGTAATCACAGCTACTCAGGAGGCTGAGGCAGGAGAATTGCTTGAACCCGGGAGGTGGAAGTTGCAGTGAGGCAAGATCATGCCACTGCACTCCAGCCTGGGCGGCAAAGTGAGATTCCGTCTCAAAAAAAAAAAAAAAAAAAAAAAAGCAACCTCCTCAAGAAGTTACCTAGTTAGCTTTCCCTACACAGTAGCTGAAGTTTTCTTAATGTTAGGGTGAGACTGAAATATATTTACTGGTCATTAGAATCGGAAATGACAGGGGCAATTCTTTCAAGAGATTAAAACACGCCCACCCCTACCCTTCCACATGCGAACATTAAGAACTTGCTTCATCCCTCTCAATGACATGCCTGGGTTGATTCTGGGCCCCACAGTCTTGTGAGATGACTCTGACTTCATTGTCTGCCTAGCCTGCTTCGCTTTCTTACCTGATCAAAGTTGTACAGGGCGGCATGCAAATTGGCCAGCATCCCTGTTGGGGGTTCATTAGTGATCTTAATGGAATTTTCCAGGAGTCCTTGAGGGATGATATGCTCATCTGGTGTAGGTGCAGACTCAGCACTCATGAAAACCCTGTAATCTCTGTGGCTTCCTTGGCTGAATCTTTCAAGGAGCTTCTCCAAGGTTCCTAGCCACTTGGCTACCAAATGAACATTCTGAAAGATAGCATGGTGCATAATTCCTGTGAAGGTGAGGCATATTACTTGAATTATAAGATTACATTTTCCTATATATAATTGCACTGAAAACTCAGAGAACCATGATTCAAATTTTCCTTTATCAATACATCATAAAAATTTTCCTTTATCAATACATCAATACATCAAAAAAAAAAAAAGCCAAAAGGGAATTGAACCTTGAACATATTAAATGTTCCCAATCAACACAGACTGTCTTTGTAATCCAAAATCTCCACGCAATACACATACCTACTTCAAAAGCCCACCAGTCACTTCTGAGATGGAGTTGCCTAGTACTTTTCTTTGTTATGGTTCAAATACAATTACTGAGACATATTGGGGTTAGTTTGAGAAAATATGAAAACTAAAAGCCAGAAATGTGCCTGACACCCTCTTCATTGGTTTCTGATGGAAACCTCTTCTACTCAAACTCCTACTCATAAGCATATGAACTCAAAAGGAAATAAGGGAAGCAAGGCTAGCTGAAAGCAAGCAATCATTCATTGTTAAGATGTTTTGTTTATTCCTAACAGATGATTTTCCTTAAATCCTAGGTCTGTTGAAAATCACACACAAAAAATTAAATGCCACCACCGTTGTCATTCTTTTCTTTTCCATTTTATGATTCACAAATTTGCTCTTCCAATACCAAACACCTACAGGTTATAGCTTGGTAGTTGGTGCTGGGAGGGAGATATAAAGGCTGCACCTTACATGTTCTCTGGCTTTGGAGAAGTCCTTGATACAGTAATTGAAATGTCACACCCAGATATATATAATTATTTCCAACAAAGAAAAACATTTAAGATTATAACAGCTACAAAAATACAGAGAATGAGGGCAAACATGGAACAAAATAATAATGCAAGTATCCTTCTTTAAAATTTCTATTGCAAAAAGATCTAAGCCCACTCAGTCATTCACATTATTGGCTTTTATTCCCTTGGCAAATAATGAACACTGGTAGATGTGGTGGGCAGAATTATGCACCCCCAAATTCATATGGTGAAGTCTTAACCCCCAGCATCTCATAATGTGACTGTATTTGGAAATAGGGTCTTTAAGGAGATAATTGAAGCTAAATGTGGTCATTATGAAGGTTTTTTTTTTTTTTTTTTTTTTTTTTGAGACAGAGTCTCGCTCTGTCACCCAGGCTGGAGTGCAGTGGTGCGATCTTGGCTCACTGCAAACTCCGTCTCCTGGGTTCACACTATTCTCCTGCCTCAGCCTCCCGAGTAGCTGGGACTACAGGCACCCACCACCACGCCCAGCTAATTTTTTTTGTATTTTTAGTAGAGACGGGGTTTCACTGTGTTAGCCAGGATGGTCTCGATCTCCTGACCTCATGATCTGCCCTCCTCGGCCTCCCAAAGTGCTGGGATTACAGGCTTGAGCCACCCCATCCTGCCAATGAAGGGTCTTAAACCAATATGACTGATGTCTTTATGAGAAGAAGGGATTAGGACCCAGAAACACAGAAGACAAATCACATGAAGACACGGAAAGTTGGCCGTCCACTCTAGCAAAGTAATACAGTAGGTAAGGACTCTAAGTTCCCTCCTTTACATGCTTACTAACAGGTTATAAGGAAAGCGTATTTCTCATTCCTAATTGTGCCAATCATAAAAGAAAACAACAGAAACAATAATAAAACCTGCTTTGTAAACTCAATTATATCTTCATTCTCTGTCTTATGGGCTACAACAGTACCTTACTTGAAAAGTTTACTTGAATCAAATGTAAAAATATTCTAGGTAGTGACTTTGGAGTCACTGAAGGGGACAGAAAAACCTCTAAGCAAGCCATCGTGGAGCACAGGCACACTTTGGAATCTAGCTTGGCAGCTATTCTTGAGGGTACTGGCTTTGGGACTGGCTAGATTCTTATGCCTATTTTTCCAAGAACAGCAATGCTTGTGCAACACTTTTAGACAATCTATATGTCTTGGAAATGCATGAAAAATGGTCATTTTGCCCTTGAAAAATGGTTTTTAATATCTGTTATGTTAATTCACAAGCCTTCTGGTGTGCATGTGAGATAAAGATAGTTGCCGGCCTGCTACTTTTATAATAGTTTTCTCTGGAATTTGGGCTTTCGATTAACTACTATCTAAACACCTTTAGAGGGCTCTATCTAATCATAATAATTGATCACATTGGGGCTTAGGTAAGAACTAATTAACATGTACATACATATCATATACCCACGTTAATGTAATTTAATGTAAATTATGAACAGTATAACAAGTTTTCATTATGTTTGCCTTCTCTTTCTTCAAAGTCCTGCTTCTCTTTTTCCTGCTGATCAAATGGATACTAGCAACTTCTAGACACTGGGATGGCCCAAAGCCTGGTATAATCTCTCCTTACCAATTACTGTATGTGGGTACAGGGGTGGGGAGTGAAGAGGTTTAAACAGTTAAATTCTTGGTTACTGGCATAGCTCTAACAACAAAAATCAAAGGTCTGAAACAAATATCCAAAAGTAGATCCTTGACAAAATAAGATCTTTTAAGTTTTTTTTATGTTAAAATTTACAACTTGCAATTTTAGGGGCAACAAATAGCTCAGCACAGATACAAAAGTAATGGAAATAGTTTATTTTGAATACGTTCTTTTGAGGATGACTATAGCCCTCCTAGTGTTCTCTCCAGTCTGAGCCACTGGGAGCATGAGAATGCTCAAAGAGCTCTTTCCTTTCTGAGACAACCTTAAAATTTACCTAACTGTCTGAGTGTCAACTGTTTTCTCTGAAAAAGCGAACCCTCCTGTGTTTCTGAGCCTCAGAAGGGGATGCACTACACTGCCCTCAAGTCCCCTTACAAAGGTCTCTATTAAGGCCTCATCTAAGCAGTGGGTATTATCATCATCCCAGAAGGTTACATTCCTGCAATCATAAGCCTGCTTGGACTCTGGAAGCTTCTTTATGAATCCAGTTGCATTTCAAGCAGAAATGCCAAAGGCACCGAGCCTGGATACTGGAGACACTAAGGGAGGCCAACGCTGTATCTTGCATGAGGGTGGCTATTTTCAGGAATGTCACCTGCTGCTAAACAGTCCTAGACTGAAGTACCAGCTCTGCCATCCAATCAGCCCTGTGGCCTTGAGGCTCTCCAGCCACTCGGATGCTCACTTTTCTCATCTTTATATAGAGAATCACGACTCCTAACCTAGGAGCTTTGTTGTAATGATTCCAGATAAGGCAGCCTGTGAATTGCCTACTGACGAGAACCTTTGCATGACTCAGCTGAAAACTAAATAGCCATTCCTAGACCTAGTGAGACAG
Organism: Homo sapiens; assembly: GCF_000001405.40. Classification (NCBI taxonomy): domain Eukaryota; kingdom Metazoa; phylum Chordata; class Mammalia; order Primates; family Hominidae; genus Homo; species Homo sapiens. The sequence goes on along the minus strand of NC_000007.14, from coordinate 21,869,964 downwards.
CTAGCAGAGCTTGCTGTGGATGGAGTCAGCACATTCCTCAGGTGCCCCCTAATGCTGGCCTGTGCTCCACTGGTTCTTGTAATACTCAGCCAAGGGGGGCATCCCAGAGGACACTGGGTGGGAGAACCAAAGGTCTGTATGATGTTTGCCTGAGAAGGGATAAAGGAGTTGTCTACTCAAACCCCTATAATTTACAATCAAAGGGAATGTTACACACTAGGTAGGGGCAGAGTTGGACTTGTATGAGATAATGATTGATGCAGGAGCCAAGTATTGGGGAAGGTCCCCAGAGAATCTCTGACCTGCCTGTGCATTGGGAGAATGTGGTAGAGCCATAGGAAATTCACACCATTTGCAGCGGGGAGGAGCCTGGCCTCCACAGCTCCTGGGCAGTGGCCTGGTATTCAATCTGTGAGGTTGGGGTGTGTTAGCAGGATCCCCTCTCACTTTGCTGAGACTTTTTTTTTTCTTTTCGCTCAATAAATTCCATTCCCCCCACCCTTCAATGTGTCTGTGTTCCTAGTCCTTTCTGGTTGTGTGACAAGGACCTGGTTTTAGCTATGCTAAGGAGCAAAATTCTGCAACAACAATATACATTAAAAAAGAGTTCTGTCGACTCTAACGTCAACCCAGATACTATGATAACACTGTTAGCAATCTAAACAAGCCTGCGTGTTCTCAGGCACTACTGAGTGTTCCAGATATCTCTAAGTGAGGGGAACGACGAAGTTCTTCCTAATAGTTTTAATTTTAGAGTACAATGGCTAGACAGTCTCTCAGAAGATGACAGCCATCGCTGTCCGCAGAGCCCCTCACCATCTTTGCAGGCATCATGAACACTGACAGTACTGCTTGCACTCTGCAAATCGCCATGCACAGCGGTGTTAAGGGAGCATTCTGTTGGGCGGGCCAGCTCTGCCCTGGCCCTCCTCTGTGTTTATGCCCAGTGTCTTCCCTGAAACTTAATACTCACTTGGAGGATGACCCAGTGTCCTCCTTTGGAAGCTTTCTCCAGGGCCACTTCTGCCACCGTCTCCTGACCTTGTCCTAAAGACACATTGTGGAATTTTCCAGAGTCAATTGTAAAGCCAAGTCTTTTGCCTGTGGGAGAATACACCACGGTGAGAGGAAATGTCTATGAAGGAGGGTGAGAGGAGCCTGGAATTCTGTGGTCTAATGCACATCTGTGGTCACCGCAGCCATCTTCTGAGTGACTTTCCTGAAGAATCCCAAAGAAACTTCTGTTGTATCCACAAGCAGCATTTTGAGCTCTCCACAGCTGCCTCATTGCAAGCATTAGAAAAGCCGTGGAAGCCAGTTCCTTTGGTTTTATGATAATGAAGCTATTGACATTTTGATAGATGGCAGGCATTGTTATGGAGCTTTATAAACTCTTGCAGGAGTAGCAAAGCATTTCTCTCATAAAAAGGAGCAACATGTGGTAGATATCACATCATTTTTTTTGAATGGATCTGTTCATTGGGTAAATGCACAAGCCTCTCACCTTGTGAGACTGCATTTAAATTGAGCACAGTCAGGTCACAGCTATATTAACCTGGTATTCTTGGTGCAGGCCGTGGGGAATGGTAATCCAGAACACAAAGGCGACAGTGCCTTGCGCAATCAAATACACTTGCTCTAATGACCATTATTTAGTCACAGGGGGCACAAGATTACATGAGCATGTGGAAAATTGCCCTCTGGCCCTCATACAGTCAAAAGGTGGAAAACAGTACAAAAGAAACTTGCATTATGCCAGCCACATGAATGTTCCATTTCAACATTTCTTCAGACTATGGGGTTATTAGCTTTACATTTTCCATACACCCAATCTTCAACAAATTAAAAAAAAAAAAAAAAGAAACTAAGATCACTGTGAACTGAAAAGAAGGGCAGGGGTGGGGGTGAAAGGGAGGGAGGGAGAAGGGGCGGGCCAGCGAGCCTCCCAGCCACTCACCAAGAATCTCCAGGTCTTTAAGGGCATCTACCCCCGGAGACAGGATGAAGAATATGGGGGTGGCTGGGCTGCTTTCTTCGAATGCTTTAACTAAGTCCAATCTGGTCCTCTCCACATACTTCGCACCCAGTTTTTCCTCTACAAAATTTCTATAAAAAACAAGAATATAAAAACATGATCAGTGGTTTTGACCTTGAAAAGAGTCACCATTTGGATAAGCTTAAACCACACAGGCACACGATAGAAGTAACCAGGTTTATTACATGGGATGTCTTGTTAGAATAACAATATGAATCCAGCTAGATGTATGCGGTAGGTGTGTCAATGAAATCCTTCTCTTCCTTAGAAGCTCTGAAAATCAGAAGCCTACATTCCATTTTGGGGGGCTACTGAGACCCCCCTGAGTGCCATCAGCTGTCTGCTATGGCTTTGTATCCCCCAAATCCCCTGCCAGATTCCCCCATTACTTATTAACAGTTCATTAGATTTGCCACAGTGCAATTTTCCAGCCTGCTGGGCTTCTCATGAATATACAAATGCTTTTTGGGGTGTTTCTAACACAGGGAGGCTCAATTAAGCAAGGATTATTTTCCAGCAGCATCAGATTTAGCAGAAAGTAAGTACTACTAAGCAGAATTAACTTGTAAAGTAGAGTTCAGCAGAGGTTTCTGCAAAGGGAAAATTGGCTGAACTAGACAAAGCAAAGGAAAAAACCTGAGGCACATGAATATTACTGAAGAAACACAATAGGGAAGGAAGTTGAGAACTCTTTGGTTGGTGAATTCAAATTAGAATGAGACTTGTGTGAATTAAGCAGCACATTACCATTTAGAAGCCAAGAGGGCAAAGAAAAAGGACACTTAAACCAAGATGTAGACAAGGGTTTCTGCTTTGAAACTGCATTGGTTGTAAAGTTATAGGGACTATGAGTGACTCCATGAAAGGAATGCATTTTTGTTTGACATGCAAAATCTTCAGAACCAAAATGCCATCACTGAAAGAAAACGATGGAAATTACACTTGGATAATGCATGAATGCATGTTCCTGGCCTCTGAACTCTGCTGACACCCATTTCTCTTCCAGGAATATTTCCATCAGTCCCCTGTCTCCAGTACTGATTTCAGAATTAAGCTTTTTTGGGAAGAATGTGCTGAGTCTGCCTAGCACATGGTTTAGTGTTTAGCAAATTTTAACAGTAGCAGTGATTATAATATCAAAATCTCAGCAGAATCACTCCCCATCAAAATGGATGGTAAACACTTCCACCAGATCCTCCTAACTCTTCAGACTACATTTCCTCTATGTTAACTAATACATGTTTCCAAAAATGCTGACCACCCCACCTGAGAGCATACGTCATTCTGTCAGGGCGCATTGCTCTCAGAAGAATCAGCTTCTGTATTAAACTTTTCTTCTTCCATTCTTGAGGTAATTTTTCTTTTTCTGGACACTCGGATTCTACCCACTTCCTCCACTGCTTGGCAGATCCTTCCACATCTCGGTCTATGCCTCGAAATTCTTCCATGACGGCAATTGCCTGTAATATGATAGGGAAACAAGTAGGAATGGTGTGAACGATACTTTACAGTTTGAGAAGAAGACTTGTGAATGTATCTAATCTTATGTAAAAAAACTGTGCTGGATAGTATTCACTCTCCTCTTCAGATTTCCTTTTTTTTTTTTTTTGCTCTGCTGAGAGGGTAAGCTCAAAGGACACTTGAGCTGAGTTCCCTGGTTCCCTGACCTAGTTGGGTTTGGCCAACAGAAAGCAATGGCAGGAGCCTGGAAGACTGGAGAAGAGAGAGGTGGGGGTACTTCTGTCAGAGGCGTTTGAACCACAGCAACTCCATCTTGAATAGGAGCTGGGTAAATTGAGGCTGAGACTTGCTGGGCTGCATTCCTAGGAGGTTAAGGCATTCTAAGTCACAGGATGAGATAGGAAGTTGGCACAAGATACAGGTCATAAAGATAAAACAGCTTGCAGTAAGGAAGTTGGCTAAAACCCAACAAAACCACGATGGTGATGAGGGTGACCTCTGGTTGTCCTCACTGCTACACTGCACCAGTGCCATACAGTTTACAAATGCCATGGTAACGTCAGGAAGTTACCCTATAAAGTCTAAAAAGGGGAGATATGAATAATCCACCCCTTGTTTAGCATATCAACAAGAAATAACCATAAAAATGGGCAACCAGCAGCCCTCAGGGCTACTCTCCCTATGGAGTAGCCATTCTTTATTCCTTTATTAATAAACTTGCTTTCGCTTTACAGACTCACGCTGAATTCTTTCTTGCACGAGATCCAAGAACCTCTCTTGGGGTCTGGATCAGGACCCCTTTCTGGAAACATTTCTACCCCAGCTCTTTCTCGTGGGAATGTGGTTTGGGAGGGACTATGTTTCTCTGCCACAGGCCACAGATCCTCTAAGGTTGGCTCTCTCCCATAACTTCATTTCTTATGAAGTTCCAGTAACTGTCCTTTTCCTCCTTTTTCCTTCCCCATCCCCTGGTTGATTTCCTAATCCTTCTTGCCCATACTATGAAAACAGACTCTTGGTTAAACTTTCTTCATCAACCTTTTGAATGTGCCATCTGTTTCCTGTTAAGACCCTGACTGATACACATTTGAATTTGAATTTTGAATTCTAAAGTTACAATCTAATTACAAATACTACTTTAAAAAGCTGAACATATATAAAAATAAGAGGTAACAGTTATTTCCAATGCACAGAAATGTTTCCTTCTTAGAAAAAAGAGTAGGGCAAAGCTTAGCATATGTTGAACATCATTAAGATACTCCAGATCCTGGAAGAATTAACTTCTAACAATAGGGCCTTTGACAGAAAAATGCAATGAGGATTGATAATTGAGGTTTAAGGCAACTGTCACTTATTTCTCTAAAATATTCTGTTTTTCTTAAACATTTTACAATGAGAATAAACGACTCCACTGTGGTGTAATTTAAAGAACTATTTAGAAAAATGGTGAAACGATTTAAAAAGAAAACAAATTTTTAAGGAAATTTAAAAAGAAAACAAATTTTAGATTTAAGGAACTTTTTAAAAATATTCATTTGTATCACTTGGCTTTTATCAAAGGTCCTGACAGATTGTACATATTTATTAACTTTTCCACGCATACATAAGCCAAAAGCTCCTTTACATCTAAATGAGAAATTAACCAATTGAATAATACAAAGATTAATAACATCACATTATACAGTGCATTTCTACAACTGAAATGGTGCTTAATACATCACCTGTATTCTTTAATGTTTACATTTCAACACTGGAGAGAGCTAATATTTTAAATAAGATCCAGAATTTGAGAAACTGTATTCCTAACATACCTTGATAGCACTCCATGACTGAGAAGTTAGGAAGTCAACGGGACTCAGATGAGTGTGTTCAACTGTGAATCGAAGCAGGAAATCCAATTCAAGAGGGTCTATCTCTTTCTTTCTCAACAAAATCTTGAGAGTAGACAAAATTGAAAAGGATTATTAGGTTTACATGAAAATCGTCACACAGGAAGTAGTCACACATTTAACAGACATGACTGAGTAGGCAGAACCATACCTGCTGGGAACTCCACTTGACATCTGTTCTACTGTTGAAATAGGGAATCTTAGATTATGTCAATGATCTCAAAACCATGATCAGAAATCTAACAGGAAATAATTATGAAGGCTGATTTATTCCAATTCTAACACCTATCACTATTAGCAACATATTTAAAATATGCATTCGTATTAAGTGTTTTATTATTAGATCAAACTTGTCTTAACACTTACACAAAATGAGAAAGCCTCCAGTGACAATGGATTAAATTACTAAACAGAAGGTAGAACCAGTATTATTAGTTAATTCTGGTATAGTAGTTATTCAATAAACTACAAGGTACATGAAGGATTTTTTAATATGTAAGATTATATTGAGAAGAATGAGAAAACCTTTTATAGGTATAACTAAACACATTGTGAAGTGGAATAAACTTTAGACATTCTGGTCACAGAACTGATAAAAAACCCAAAGTATATTTTGGAGAGTACAAATGAAGTATTCCTAATTTCCACATAAAAACCATAACACACCACAAAGCTAAACAGGTAAAATTTTTGAGCTTTATATTATCTTAAAATTCCAGATATCTTCAAAAGGTGTTATGAGTGATAACATGCACTAAAATATTTTATTAGATATTATTTTTTCTTGAGTTTATTTCAACAAACGTAATTATCCATATAGTTATGAAACTTTGATTTATATAGATTGTCAGGACTTAAGATTATGATATAGCTATGGCTTCCAAGGGGAAGTTTTAAATAGATGTTCATGTCATGTATTATCATCCCTGGTCTTTTTCTATTAATGAGCAGTACATACAAAACAAGTATTTCATGCCTGTAATCCCAGCACTTTCGGAGGCAGAGGCGGGCAGATCATGAGGTCAAGAGATCAAGACCATCCTGGCCAACATGGTGAAACCCCATCTCTACTACAAATACAAAAATTAGCTGGGTGTGGTGGTGCACGCCTGTAGTCCCAGCTACTCGGGAGGCTGAGGCAGAAGAATCGCTTGAACCTGGGAGGCAAATGGTGTAGTAAGCTGAGATAGCACCACCGCACCCCAGCCTGGCGACACAGCGAGACTCCGTCTCAAAACAAACAAAAAAACAAGTATTTCATTGTGTAATGCCTTGCTCCTGTTTATTACATACACAGTTCATCATTAGCTGCAGATATGTATAAAGTGCCTTCTTTGGCACACACAGAATAGGTAAGACATAGACCTTTCCTTAACATTTGGATAGAAAAAGACATAAAGCAAAATGGCTGATAAAAGGACAATCTGCTTATTTTATCTAGGAATGTGGTCTGCAAGGGTTTCTTTTTTCTTATCACGAACGCTTTTTCTTTTCTTTTTCTTTTTTTTTTTTTTTTGAGACGGAGTCTCGCTCTGTTGCCCAGGCTGGAGTGCAGTGGCGTGATCTCAGCTCACTGCAAGCTCTGCCTCCTGGGTTCGTGCCATTCTCCTGCCTCAGCTTCCCAAGTAGCTGGGACTACAGGTGCCTGCCACCACGCCTGGCTAATTTTTTGTATTTTTAGTAGAGCCGGGGTTTCACTGTGTTAGCCAGGATGGTCTCAATCTCCTGACCTGGTGATCCTCCCAAAGTGCTGGGATTACAGGCGTGAGCCACCGTGCCCGGCCATGAACGCTTTTATTTAAACAAAGTCTTTCATAGAAATTCATGTGAAAAAGGAATAAAAAGGAAGCAGGTTTCACTGAAGGTGTGGGTAAGAAACCTGGAGCTCTCTTTACCTAGTCACTGCTGTCATTTTCTTAATTTTAATTGACAAATAATAATTATATATATTTAAGTGGCACACTGTGATGCTTCGATACATGTTTATATTGTAGAATGGTTAAATTAAGCTAATTCATATATCCATCTCCTCACATACTTATCTTTTTTGTGATGAGATTTAAAATCTACTCCTTTAGCAATTTAAAAATATGCGTTATTAATTACACACAATGAAAAAAGGAAAATTCAGTCATTTTTGACAACATGGACGAACCCAGTCGCTGTTTTGTAAGGAGCCCAGCTCCACTCGGATCTGGACTCATAACCCTGATCTCAAAGAACCTTCCTGGTAGTGCCTGGAAGTTTCTTTACAGGACCCGAGAAGGTGAGAAGAATGTCTTATGAATATTTTTCAGGGTGACCGCTGTGGTAGGAGCATAATGTGTATACCCACCCCACCGGCCCCACTCCCCAAACCAAAGCACTGGGACCTAGGAGAAGGCTGTCACATGCCCAAGTTCCCTGTGGGAAGCAAATTCCCCTCATGCCACCAAGGGCTTCCAAAAAAAAAAAAAAGTCTATTATATTTTGCTTCAGCAGAAATAAAATATATAATAAACAGAGGCATCTGCCTTTGGTTCTGGGGATCCTTTTTCAAGTAACTGATCTCCTTACCTGAAAAGCCATCTGGGACAGGAAGGTGAGCTTGTCCTTCTCAAACAGCGCCTGGCTGGTGTAGAGGAAGACAGCATGGGTGATGCTCTCCATCAGGATAGAGATGCGTCCCTGCATGTCTTCCACCTTGTCAGCCTGCTCGATCGCTCTGTGGAACAGCACGTTAAAAGCCTGGGAAATTTAATGTGACCATTAAAATGTGACAACTGGTGCCTGGATGTCTAGCTACCCCCGATACACAGGGCAACAGTTTAAGGTTTATCTATAGGGAGTGAGAATGAGGCAAAATTTTTAGGAGGATTATAGTTTCTGGCACATGGTACATGCTCATTAAATGTTTGCTGTCATTACTGTTATTATGAATATGATTCCATGAAATCCATTCAATCTCCTTCCAAGCAATTGAATTGCATCATTTTCTCTCCTTCTGCCCATGTACTTAAAATAATATTTTAGTATTTGATTGTGGTAGGATACACATAACATAAAAGTTACCATCTTAACAATTTTAAGTGTACATACATTCAGTTCAGTAGTGTTAAGTATAGTCACATTCTTGTGTAACCACAAGAAATGTGGAATTTTTTTCTCATGAACATAAATTATACCGTTTAATGCAGATTCAAGGCCATACATTTTTGGGGGAGTAGGTTTTACTTGCAGTACAGATTCTCTTCACGTAAGATTACAAAAGTACAACACAATGTGATGAGCTCAGTTTAAAAATTACATGCGGCAGTCCATACTAACACAAATAGCTCCCAAAGAGGAACAAGAAAAGCTAAATCCAGTGTCACTAGGATGCCAGAGCTTTTTCATGTTGCAAAACTGAAGCTCTGTACCCATTAAACAACTGTATATTCTCCCTTCCCCGCATCCCTGGCAACCACTTTTATTCTACTTTCTGTTTCTATGAGTTTGGCTATTATAGGTACCTCACTGATGTGGTTTGGCTGTTTCCCCACCCAAATCTCATCTTGAATTATAGCTCCCATAATTCCCATGTGTTGTGGGAGGCACCTGGTGGAAGATAACTGAATCATGGGGGCAGTTTCTCCCATACTGTTCTGGTGGTAGTGAATAACTCTCATGAGATCTGATGGTTTTATGAGGGGAAATCTCTTTCACTTGGCTCTCATTCTGTCTTGCCTGCTGCCATGTAAGAAGTGCCTTTCGCCTTCCACCATGATTGTGAGGCCTCCCCAGCCACGTGGAACTGTGACTCCACTAAACCTCTTTTTCTTTATAAATCACCCAGTCTCTTGGGTATGTCTTTATCAGCACTGTGAAAACAGACTAATACACTCATATAAGCAGAGTCACAGTCTTACTGTGACTGGCTCATTTGAATTAGGATAATATCAAGGTTCATCCACGTTGCAGCATGTATGAGAAATTTGTTCATTTTTAAGGCAAAAGAATATTCAACTGCACGGATATACAACATTTGATTCATCTATTCATCCACTGACGGACATCTGGGTTGCTTCCACCTTTTGGCTATTGTAAATAATGCTACTATGAATTTGGGTATTTGGATATCTCCTAAAGACACTCTTTTGATTCTTTTGAATAAACAGCTAGAAGTGGAATTGCTTGATCATATGGTAATTCTATTTGTAATTTTTCTGAGGAATTGCTACACTGTTTTCCATAGTGGCTGTGCCATTGTGCACCCCCACCAAAAGATTCCAATTTCTCCACGTCATTACCAACACTTGTTATCTTTTTTTTTTGATAGTAGCCATTCTAATGGGTGTGAGGTGATATCTCATTGTGGTTTTGAGTTGCATCTCCCTAAAAATTGTTAATGTTGAGTATTTTTTCATATGTTTGTTGCCTTTTTTGTTTGAGACAAACTTTCATTCTGTCATCCAGCCTGGAGTGCGGTGGAGTGACCGTGGCTCACTGCAGCCTCAACCTCCCGGTCCTAAGCAACCCTCCCACCTCAGCCTCTTGGGTAGCTGAGACCACAGGCATGTGTCATCACACTTGGCTAATTTTTGAATTTTTTTGTAGAGACAGGGTTTCTCTGTGTTGCCCAGGCTTGTTGATCATTTTTATAACATCTTTGGAGAAATGTCCACTTATGTCCTTATTTTAAAATCTGGTTATTTGCTGTGTTTTGTTGTCGTTGTTGTTGTTGTTGTTGTTCCCATGTACTTTCGGGATGCCCCTTGGTCACCTCTTCTTCCTTTAAAGATCACTCTTGATATTTATTACTCTCATTCATGCCTTGGTGATAATGGCGTTGTATGAATTGCTATATCTCTCTATATAAATATAAATTTGAAAAATATATCTATATATATAAATAGCCATCAATATAAAAATATCTATTTATTTTTGGATGATAGGGACCAGAGACCACAGATTAATTCACCTTGAAGTATGTATATTTGAGTGAAAGTAAAATCCTACAATGACAGATATATACAGTAAACATTGGTAAGAAGGCATTAACAAAGTATAGCTTGAATATGTCTTATCTGAAATGCTTGGGGCCAGAAGTGTTTCAGATTTTGGATTTTTTCAGATGTTTGAATATTTGCAAATACACAATGAGATGTCTTGGGGATGGAACCCAAGTTTAAACACAAAAGCATTTATAGGTTGGGCTTGTGGCTCATGCCTGTAATCCCAGCACTTTGGGAGGCTGAGGCAGGTGGATCACCTGAGTTCAGGAGTTTGAGACCAGCCTGGCCAACATGGTGAAACCCCATCTCTACCAAAAATACAAAATTTAGCCAGGCATGGTGGTGGGTGCCTGTAGTCCCAGTTACTTGAGGGGCTGGGACAGGAGAATCGCTTCAACCTGGGAGGTGGAGATTGCAGTGAGCCGAGATTGCACCACTACATTCCAGTCTGGGTGACAGAGTGAGACTCCATCTCAAAAACAAAACAAAATGAAAAAAAAAATTCATGTATGTTTCATAGACACCTTATACACATAGCCTGAAGTTAATTTTATACAATATTTTAAACAATTTTGTGCATAAAGTGCATGAGGTCAGGTGTAGAATTTTCCACTTGGGGCATCTTGTCAGCATTCAAAAAGTTTCAGATTTTGGAGCATTCTGGTTTTTGGATTAGGAGGCTCAATCTGTACTAACCTGATATTTACACTTTCTTAAAATCAGTTTTTCGTTTACATACTATAAAATGTGCCTATTATATGCACAGTTTGATGAGTCTTGACAAATAGATATATTCTAACAATAACCGTAGCAATCAAGATAAAGAACCTTTCTACTTACATTACCAGAAAAAGTTCTCATGTGCCTATTTACAGCCTATTCCCACCACCATCGCCAGCCCCAGTCAATTACTGACCTGCCTCTGTCACTGTAGAATAATTTTGCCTTTTCTATAATTTCACATAAATAGCATCATATGGTATATACTCCTCGGTATCTGGCTGCTTCTTTTCAACATAATCGTTTGGTGACATATCCACGTTGTTGTGTGTACCAACAATTCATACCTTTATGTTTTGAGTAATAGCCCACTGTGGGAACATGCAAAATCTGCATGACTATTAATGTGTCAGTCCTTTGGATTGTTTTTAGACTTTGGCTTTTATGAATAAAGCATCTATGAACATTTGTTAAGCTTTTTGCAGGCATACATTTTTATTTATCTTAGGTAAATGCCTGGAGTAAAAGTGTGAGATCATATTTTCTAACTGTATATTTATCTTTACAAGAAACTGCCAAACTGTTTTCCAAAATGGTTTATTGCATTCCTTCCAGCAATGTGAGAGAGCTGTAGTACCATATCTGTGCTACACTTGCTATTAAGAGTCTTCTGAAACTTTAGCCATTCTGTGGGACATAGAATAAGACCTCATTCTGCTTTTATTTTGCATTTTTCTGATGCCTGATGAGCATTTTTAATGTGCTTGTGGATAATTCACATGTGTTATTACATGTCTGTTCAACTCTTATTACTGAGTTGTACAAGTTCTTTTTATATCCTGATACAAATTCTTTGTTTTATATATATGTATTGAGAATATTGTCTTTGCTTGTCTGTGGCCTACCTTTTCATCTTCATATCTTTTGAAAACCATAAACTTTTAAGCTTGATAAGGTTCAATTTATTAAGTTTTTATTTTCTATTGTGTCCTAAGAAATCTTTGCCTAACCCAAAGCCCTCTCTTATTTTTCTCCTAGAAAATGTATAGCTTAATAAATTCATTTTGAATTTTTTTATATAGTATAATAGTTTGAGGTTTATTTTATGTCATGTGGATATCCAATTGCTCCAGCACCATTTGTTGTAAAAACTGTCCTTTCCTCATTGAATTGTCTTGGCACCCCTACTGAAAATCAATTGACCATGCATTTGTGGGTGTACCTCGGGATTCTCCAATCTGTTCCACAGATCTATGCATTTTTCTTCAGGCCAGTACCACAACATCTTGATTCGTGTAGATTTAAGTCTTAAAATCAGAAATTGTAAGTCTTCCAACCCTGTTTTTTTTTTTCTTTTTCAAAATTGTTTAGCTATTTTAAGTCCTTTGAATTTTCACACAAATTTTCAGGATAAGCTTGCCAATTTCTACCAAAAGGAAAAAGGAAATGTCTTCTGGTGTTTTGATTGGGACTGAATTGAATCTATAAATCAGTTTGGAGCGAACTGACATCTTAACAATATTGAGCATTCCAACTGATGAACATGGTGTATCTATTTAGTTAGGACTTCTTTAATTTTTCTCAACAATATTTTGGAGTTTTTAGAATACAAACCTTGCATATATTTTATTAAAATTATTCCTAAAAAGCTTCACGGCTTTGGAAGCCACTGTAAATAGTGCTAAGACACTGATTTTATTTTCCACTTGTTTCTCATGTATAGAAATACAAGGTACATTGTATATCAACCTTATATCCTGCAACCTTGCTAAAAATTCACTTCTTAGTCCTGGCAGGGTTTTGGTGAGTTTCTTGGGATTTTCTATATACATAATCAGGTCATCTGTGAAAAAACACAGTTTTTCTTCTTCTTTTAAATCTCTTGCCTTCTATTGTCTTACTGTACCGACTATAACTTCCAGTGCAGCGCTGAATAGATGTGCTGAGAGAAAGATATCCTTGTCTTGTTCCTGATTTTAGCGAAAAGCATTCCATTTTCAACATTAAGTATAATGTTGGTGTAGATTTTTTCTAGATGCATTTTATCATGTTGAGAAGTTACCATCTATTCATTAGTTGAGAGTTGGTTGGTTTTTTTTTTAACTCATTTGTTGAAATTTTTCAAGTTCTTTGCATCAACTGAAATGACCATATGAGCTTTTTTTTCTTTTATTCTGTTAACTGATTAATTACACTTCGTGATTTTTGAATGTTAAACCAATTTGATTCTTGGCATACATTCCACTTGGTCATGATACATTGTGCTTTTTATATATGGTTGGATTCAATTTGCCAACATTTTCTGGAGGAGTTTACCAACAATGTTTACAAGGGGGGACTGCCCAGTATTTTTCTTTTATTGTAATGCCTTAGTGTAGTTTTGGAATTTGGGCAATACTGGGCTGACACTGATGATTTAGTTTTACTCTTCTCCTCACACATGGTTACTTTCAAACTCCAACCACACTGTGCTTGTTAGAAGTTTTGCATACTAGTTCTGTACTGTTAGGAAACCTGCTAGTTATGCTTGATCCTTTCCTCTTTATTATTGCCCATAACCAGTCCATCTCCAGGAGCCAATGATTCCAGCTTCAAATCATATCTCAGGTCTGTTCACGTAACTCTGAGTCTTTTGTCATCACATCAGTTATCTGCTTGAAATCTTCCAATGGCTTCTTGTTGCACACAGATTATAATCCCCAAATTCCACACACAGTGGTCTACAAAACTCTGCGTGATTCAGTCTTTCCCACCTCTCTAGATTCATTTCTTGCTACCTTTCCCCTTGCTCATTACCCTGCAGCCACAGAAATTCACTCACTACCTGGAATCCCTGAATTCTTTCATCTCACACATTCCTGTTTTCTCCAAACACTCTTTACATAGCTAAGTCCTACTTATCCTTCAGAAATAAACGTTACTTCCTCTGGGAGGCCTTCCCTGAGCCCCCAGTAAAAGCAGCCTCTCCACCTCTATCATTCTGTCTTACAATACTTTCTACTTTTATAAACAAATGTATGATCATAAAGGTGGAACTATATCTATGTGTACATATATATCTATATGTATCTACATATAGATATACCTCCACCCTTATGTTTTGTCCAAAACTATACACTCAAGTGACAAGCATCTGACGTGATTGATCATAATAAACATTTGTCTAAAAACGGATGAACAGATGAACAGAATGAATGAGCACTGCCCAGCAGGCAGCAGCATGGTACAAGGTATGGAGCGTGGGCTTTGGAAACAGTTACAGGTTGAAATGCTGGCTCTTACAATAACAAATGTAAATTCTTGGGCAATTTATTTAAAGTTTGAAAATGTCATCCTTATTTTTTAAATGGGGATATTATATTCTTTATTGAGATGTAATAGGGATAAAGAATGAGCCAAAGTATAAAAATGCCTTGCATGTAATAGTGACTCAATAAATAGTTGTTCTTATTATTTTTCTTTCTTTAGCAAAGAAATATGAGCATTCTCTTTCCAAGACATATTTTCACAAAGACAAAATAGGAGCCTCAAGGAAAATTCCCTTAAAGAGTCTGCTGGCCAGGTGCGGTGGCTCACGCCTGTAATCCCAACACTTTGGGAGGCTGAGGCGGGCAGATCACGAGGTCAGGAGATAGAGATCATTCTGGCTAACACGGTGAAACCCCATCCCTTCTAAAAATACAAAAAATTAGCCAGGTGTGGTGGCGGACACCTGTAGTCCCAGCTACTCAGGAGGCTGAGGCAGGAGAATGGAGTGAACCCGGAAGGTGGAGCTTGCAGTGAGCCAAGATCGCGCCACTGCACTCCAGCGTGGGCGACAGAGGGAGACTCCATCCCAAAAAAAAAAAAAAAAAAAATTAAGAGACTGCTCAGGAGCAATACACCAATATAATATGATACCGTATGCACAGTTTAATTACCTCAAAGCCTTACTGAAAATTATAAATGAAAATTCCTGAGAATAAGAATTTTGCTTTTGTTATTTTGTTAACCAGATCCTCATGACTCCTTACTGGGTACACCGATGGCTTAAAAATACATTCTGGCTGTGCGCGGTGGTTCACGCCTGTACTCTCAGCACTCTGGGAGGCCAAGGAGGGGAGATCATTTGAGGTCAGGAGTTCGAGACCAGCCTGGGCAATGTGGCAAAACCCTGTCTCTACTAAAAATACAAAAATTAGCCAGGTGTGGTGGCGCACTCCTGTAGTCCCAGCTACTCAGGTGACTGAGGCATGAGAATTGCTTGAATATGGGAGGCAGAGGTTGCAATGATCACGCCACTGCACTCCAGCCTGGGCTACAGAGTGAGACTCTGTCTCAATAATAGTAATAATAGTTATTATTATTATCAATAATAAAATAAATTCCAATGTTCCAGAAACAAATTGAACTCCTAAAGTTTCCCATATTTCTTAGCTCATTCAGCATTACCTTCAAAGAGAATTGGTAGAGGGGGTTGATTTTTTGGAGGTCATTAATAACAAAATAAAGAAGAGATGCTCTTGCTGCCACTGGTCTGTAACATTCTCGGGCCTCGTTGATTTTTCTTTCATTTTCTTTGGCTTCAATCACCTATGGTGGGATCAAACAAAATAAGTAACTTATTTACTCTTCATATTCTCTACGCATATCCAAGGAATGGAAGGACGTACCTGAAATGAAAAATTATGAGTATTAAAATAGATAACATGCATGGCATCCATGTGCTCGAGCTTTTCTAAAATGATTACATTCATATTTTAAAATAATTTTTTTAATAAACTGAGTTTCAGTGAGAATGGACATAACTCTAGCGGTTTTCTAGGTTACAGATTAAACAAACCTAGTTGTTTTCTGTTCTACAGAATTTGAGTAATGTCACCTTCCTGCCTCCCCTCTCTCTTTCAAGGCTTAATAACCCAGCTATATCACCTCCCAGGGATGGCTCTTAAAAGTCTGCTGGGTCAATTCAATGCCAATAACTTCATTAGGCAACAAAGCATACAAAAGCAGTCAAGGTCAATAATATACCCAGTAACTTATGCTTACTAAAAAGCCTTAATATAGAGACTCTCATGCCTAATTCTAACTTTGCACTGGATCATCCATATGTCCATATATTTCCATTTAGTTTATCTTTATGTATTAGCCTCTGGGTACATTCAGAGAGATAATTTAAAAAGAAAAACCAGCACCACCATCAACCAACATATCAGTTTTACCCAAGGCTCAAATATCTATTTCTTTTATCTAGGACTACTGCTGGTCCCATAGGATACAGTATTTTCCCCAACCTTCTCTATAGAGTTGACTCATAATATTTGTGTATAAAAGGAAATAAAATGTAGGGCAGAGAAGGAAGTCACTACATGGTGATATATTAAGAAGATAGGAAGACACATTTTAAGAGACAATTAGAAGTTAACTTCAAAGCTAAGTTAATTTACTTAATTGTTCTAACTTTACCATCTTAGGAGCCACCTAATATTCACTTACTTGAAAAGACAGAGTAATTTGGGATTCCATTTCCTCGCTTAATTTAAGACAAATATAAAGGATGCGTAGTGACACAGCTTCTGCTGGGTAATTAATAGATTACTTAGTAATAAGGATATTCCAGAAAGCAAATAAGGGTCTAATTCACACTGAAACAATGGCATTTTAAGGGTTAACGGTCATCTGTGAAAGTCCAAAGTGCACATCACACATAAGGCATATTGGGACCCATGTTGGACATTAGCAGGAAGCCTATTTAATAAAAATTTCTACTGGCTTTTAGGAAATGTCATTTTTCCTGGGGTGAATAGTGCATTTGAGTACAGCAGGAGATTATCCTTTGCTCGGTATCCTGCCACGGCAGGCCTGTAAACAAAACTTTCACTCTAAGAATTTCTTTAAAATGTCCAACAGCTTGGAGAACCTGCAGAGAAACTGTAGGATATGAGTTTGGAAGAGCCGGATGCTAAGGCTTTTCAGATTTTCAGCCATAGAAGCCAGCAGGCCTCAGCTTTTCTTCACATTTGGTCACCCAGGAAAAATAATAGCCGGACAGTGTCTAATTTGAATGACATCTCTATGGAATTAGGAGAAGCACACATTCAACCATCTCCATCTCCATTTACAATCCCACACAGTCCAACTGCAGCTTATTAAATCACCTGAATTCCACACGCTGGTCCTCTTAGAGGAATTACCAAGTCTGATCACACTGCCCACCCCACATGTCTCATTCGAACAGAGCATTAGAATCTGCCAGGCACCCTCTGCCCTTCCTACCTTGTGCTCTATCTCTGCCACGGTGGTCTTTGTTGCCTCCAATCTCTCTACCAGTTTGGTGTCATCCAGAAAGCTTCCCTCTGCCGCAGAAAGGCGCAAAAGGAGATCGTCTTCCAGATACTTGAGCTCAATTTTAAAATCATTTTGGTGCTTTGTCAATACCAACTAATAAAAACCAAGAAAAGTGTGGGAAATGGTGGTTAAGTACTTTTTTTTTTTTTTTTTTAGAGGAAGTCTTGCTCTGTCGCCCAGGCTGGAGTACAGTGGTATGATCTTGGCTCACTGCGACGTGTGCCTCCTGGGTTAAAGCGATTCTCCTGCCTCAGCCTCCCGAGTAGCTGAGATTACAGGTGCCTGCCACCACATCCAGCTATTTTTTTTTGTATTTTAGTAGAGACGGGGTTTCACCACGTTGGTCAAGCTGGTCTCGAACTCCTGACCTCAAATGATCCACCCACCTAGGCCTCCCAAAGTGCTGCCATTACAGGCGTGAGCCACTGCGCCTGGACAAGTAAATGTTTTTAAACCAGAGTTTCCTTAATCACAAATTTCATGGAATCAGTATATAATAAAACACCCTTAACATTAAAATCATACCAATCACAATTTTTAGAAATTCTTTAAAAAACTTCAGAAGGTATGTTAAGATCTAGTTGCACTCCAGGGTGCAGAGTATAAACGCTTAACAATAATTTAACATCATGAACCACAGGAAGAATCTGTTTAAGAAAACATCAGAAACTTCTGGTTTCTGCTCAGACATATAAAGGCTTAGAAGTCTCATTTCCGTTCTCAAAATAGGAAAAAAACTCATCAACAATTCTTCCTACATACATCAGAGAACGGAGGTCACAGGACAAATTGCCATCCTAAAAACAGGCAAACACAGAGAATCACAGCTTCTCGGGAACACTGACATGCAAGTAGAGCTTGAATTAAAACTTCAGAGGGGCCCAGTCTTCGTAGTCTCTACACTTCTTTGAGTTTTACCTCCAGGAAATGCCATCCGGTTCTTACAGTGAAGGTCAGATAAAATCTACACCAGCTCTGGGCTAAGGATGGGAAAAGTAACCATTATGACATAAGCTCAGAGGGAAAGTAACCATTTTAAATATGTCCAGAACTTTCTGTTCTCCTTAACCAAAGCCTGCCCACAAGGGAAACTACTTGGCCAGTGCCTAATATGACCTGGATGTATTAATCTGCTCTCAAGGTGCGATAAAGGACTTCCTGAGACTGGGTAATTTAAAAAGAAAAGAGATTTAATTGACTCATAGTTCCGTATAGCTGGGGAGGCATCAGGAAACTTACAATCATGGTGGAAGGGAAGCAAACATGTCCTTCTTTCCTTGGCGGCAGCAGAGAGAAGTGCCCAGCAAAGGGGGAAAAGCCCCTTATAAAACCATCAGATCTTATGAGAACTCACTCACTATCACAAGAACAGCATGGAGGAAACCAATCCCGTGATTCAGTTACCTCCCACTGGGTCCCTGCCACAACATACGGGGATTATGGGAACTACAATTCAAGATGAGATTTGGGTGATGTCATAGCCAAACCATATCACTGGGGAAGGCAGAATTCCTGTCCTTTAAAAAAGGCTGAGTAACTCTTCTGAAGGCCACATCCCAGTGATTCACAGCTCCTAAAAAACCCTGAGATGTAATTATAAGAGAAAAGAATGCTTCCCCTCCATAATACCTTACCAACACATTGACAGACTCCAGTATAATATCAGTGGATTATAACTGAGAGATTTGCAAAGCACAGATTCTATTTAAAAATCAGTTTTTAGGGAAACCTAAGGACAACAAGGGAGACAAAAACAAGGACACCAGGTAAAACTGCAGCTAAATGAACATGAGACACAGCCGTAACTCCTAGCCCTGGAAACATAAAACCTCACACTAAACCTCTGTTTACTTTTGTGACAGTTATCTAATACATCATGTCTGGTTTTCAAGGTTTTCAACAAATAAGTACAAGGTATACTTAGAGGCAAAAAAAAAAAAAAAAAAAAAAAGAAGAAGACAGAACGCAAACCTCAGGACAAGACTCAGATGTGGCAGAAATTTTGGAATTATCAAACTGGGAGTTAAAAATAACTACTTAATGTGCTAACGGGTTTAATGGAAAAGTGAACACCATGCAAGACCACATGGGCAATGTAAGTAGAGATAGAAACTCAAAGAATGAAAAGGAAATGCTAGACATAAAAAACAACGTAACAAAAATGAAGAATTTTTTTTCTTTTTCTTTTTCTTTTTTTTTTTTTTTGAGACAGAGTCTCCTCTGTCGCCCAGGCTGGAGCGCTGTGGCGCCATCTCGGGTCACTGCAAGCTCCGCCTCCCGGGTTCACGCCATTCTCCTGCCTCAGCCTCCCGAGTAGCTGGGACTACAGGCTCCCACCACCACACCTGGCTAATTTTTTGTATTTTTAGTAGAGATGGGGTTTCACCGTGTTAGCCAGGATGGTCTCAATCTCCTGACCTTGTGATCCGCCTGCCTTGGCCTCCCAAAGTGCTGGGATTACAGGCGTGAGCCACCGTGCCCGGCTGAAGAATGTTTTTGACGGGCTCATGAGTAAACTAGACACAGTGACAAGAATCAGTATGCTTAGACATATGTCATTAGATACTTGAAAAAAAAAAAGAATAAAAATTAAAAAGGAAAGAATATCCAAGAACTGTGAGATGCTTACAAGGAGAAAAAAGAAAAAAATGAGCAGAAGAAAGATTGGAAATAATGGTAGCTAAAAATTCTTCAAAATTAATGAAAGATACCAAACCAAAGATCCAGGACACCCATAGAACATTAAGCAGGATAAATGCCAAAAAATCAACTCTTAGTCATTGCATATTCAAACCGCATAATATCAAAGACAAAGACAAAATCTTGAAAGAGTCCACAGGAAATAAATTACCTTACCTATGAAGGAACAAGGATAACAATTACATGGAACTTCTCTTGAGAAACTATGCAAAAAGGAGAGTTGAGTAAAATATTTAAAATGTTTAAGGAAAAAAACAATCAACAAATAATTTTGTATCTTATAAAATTATCCTTCAAAAGTAAAGCGTAATAAAAGCTTTCTTAGACCAAGAAGACTGAGGGATTTTGTTGTCAGTAGACCTGCCTTACCAGAAATGTTAAAAAGAAATTTCTTCATAGACAAGAAAAATGATATAGGTCAGAAACTCACATCTATGTAAAGAATGAAAGAGTACTAGAGAAGGAGTAAATGAAGATAAAATATGTTAGTTTATTAATTGAGCTGTCTGTTCAAAACAGTAATAAAAGCAATACAGTCAGTGATTATAACTTATGGATAAACGAAATGAATGACAGCAATGTTATAAAGGATGAGAGGGAGGAAATGAGAATAGTCTATTAAAAGATAACTGCATTACCAATGAGGCAGTAGTGTTATTTGAAAATGGAATTAGAGGCTGGGCATGGTGGCTCATGCCCGTAATCCCAGCACTTTGGGAGGCCGAGGCAGGTGGAACACCTGAGGTCAGGAGTTTGAGACTAGCCTGACCAACATGGCGAAATCCCATCTCTACTAAAAATACAAAATTAGCTGGGCATGGCGGTACATGCCTGTAATCCCAGCTACTCGGGAGGCTGAGGCAGGAGAATTGTTTGAACCAAGGAGGCAGAGGTTGCAGTGAGCCGAGATTGTGCCATTGCACTCCAGCCTGGGCAACAAGAGTGAAACCTCATCTCAGAAAAAAAGAAAAAAGAAAATGGAGTTAGATTAGTTGTAAATGTATATTGCAAATGCTAAGGTAACCACTAAAAAAATTTTTAAAAGAAATACAATTTATATTGTACTTACATATAGCAATCTATTTTGCTAAGAGAGAAGAGATACTAGAATCATATAAAATGCTTAAAACCAAAGAAGGCAGAAGAGAAGGAAAAGAAAAATTATTACAAATACAAAATACATACATCATGTTGTAATATATAAATATTACAGCTATATATACAGAGAGAGAGAGCGAGTGAGAGTGAGCACCCAATATATATAGCTAAGAAAGAAGACACTGGAATCATACAAAGTGCTCAATTAAAACCAAAGATGGCAGAAGAAGAGAAAAAGACAAAACTAGTGAGAAACAAGTATAATGAATAAAACCCAATAAAAATACGGTAGATATTGATCTAATTATAGCAACAATCTCTTTAAATGTGAATTATATTGACATAGTAGATAAAAAACAAGACCTATCTGTCTATAAAACCCACTTTAAATATAAAAATTAAAAGTAGAGAGAGAGAGAGAGAGAGATGGAGAAAGATATACCATGCTAACACTAATCGAAAGAAAGCTGGGGTGGCTATATTAAGACAAAGTAGTTATCAGAATAAGAAAAATTATTGAGAACAAAGAAGTGCATTACATAATAAAAGGGTCTACTCTCCCTGAAAGCATAATAATCTTTTTTTTTTTTTTTTTGAAACAGAGTCTCGCTCTATCACCCAGGCTGGAGTGCAGTGGTGCAATCCCAGCTCACTGCAAGCTCTACCTCCTGGGTTCACGCCATTCTCCTGCCTCAGCCTCCCGAGTAGCTGGGACTACAGGCACCCGCCACCACGCCCAGCTAATTTTTTTTGTATTTTTAGTAGAGACGGGGTTTCACCATGTTAGCCAGGATGGTATCGATCCCCTGACCTCGTGATCCGCCCGTCTCAGCCTCCCAAAGTGCTGGGATTACAGGCGTGAGCCACTGCACCCGGTCGAAAGCATAATAATCTTTAATGTGTATGCACCTAATAATGGAGTGTCAAAATACAGAAGGCAAAAACTAAGAACTGCAAGGAGAAATAAACAAGTCCACAATTATAGCTGGACAATTCAAAACCCTTATATCATAATTGACAGATCCAGCAGGCAAAAAATCAGCAAGGATATAGTCGAACTGTGCATCATCATCAATCAACCGGATCGAATGTCACTGACAGACTACTTCATCCACTTACAGAAGAATATACATTTTTCTCAAGCTCACATGGAACATTTGCCAAGATGGACCAAGTAACACACCAAAAAGGTTTAAAAGAATAGAAATCATACAAAGTATGTTCCAGACCACAACAAAATTACGTAAGAAATCAGTAACAGAACGCTTAAAATTCAAAAATATTTGGAGATTAAACAACACAGTTTAAAATAACACATGGGTCAAAGAAGAAGTCTCAAGAAAAACTTAAAAATATTTTGACATAAATGCAAACAAAAATACAACATATCAAAATTTGTGAGATTCAGCAAAAGCAGTGGTTAAAGGGAAATTTATAGCATTGAATGCATATATTAGAAAAGTAGAGAAGAAAACCTAAAGGTATTTATCTAAGCTTTTACCTTAGAAAATTAGATAAAGGAGCAATGTGAACCTAAAGCAAGCTTGTGAATACATAATAAAAATCAGAGCAGAAGTCAGTAACATTTTAACCAGAAAATCAGTAGAGAAACTAAAATCCAAAGCTGATTATTTGAAAGGATCAACAGAATTTATAATACTCTAGCCAGGCTAGCCAAGAGACAAGAGAAGGCACCAATTACTAGTATGAGAAATGAAAGAGGGGCATAAATACCAATTCCATGAATATTAAAGGATAATAAAAGAATCTTATAAATCATTATATGCTTACAAATTTGATAACTTAGATGAAGTGAACTGAAACTTTGGAGGGCAGAATCTACCAAAAATACATACATAATCTGAAAAGGCCTATATGCATTAAATAAATTAACTCAATAATTAATAACCTTTCAAAACAGAAAGCACCAGGTCCAGATGATTTCACTGGAAGAAAAGAGTTAAGGGAGAAATAGTATCAATTCTCTACATTTTTTCTAGAAAATAGAAGCAGAGGGAACATTTCCTATCTCATTCTATAGGGCAAGCATTACCCTAAGACCAAAACCAGATAAACCCATTACAGGAAAAAACAAAACAACTACGGACCGATATCTCTGATGAGCATAGTTGTGAACATCCTCAAAAAATTAGCAAATCAAATCCAACAATGTACAAAAATAATTAAACACCACGACCAAGTGGGATTTATTCCAGGTATGCAAGTCTGGTTCAAAAGTGAAGTAATGATATATAACAAGCTAAAGAAGAAAAATGTAGTCATATCAATAAATGCAGAAAAAACATTTGATAAAATTTAACAGTAATTTAATGATAAAAAAACTCTCGGCAAATTAGAAATAGAGGGGAACTTTCTTAACGTGATAAAGAAGATCTAAAAGAAGAGAATCATAGCTTACATTGTACTTAATGGTGAGAAGCTAGATGCTTTTGCCCTAAGATCAGGAACGAGGCAAGGTTCCACTCCTACTCAACATTGTACTAGAAGTCCTAACTAATGCCTTAAGACAAGAAAAGGAAATTAAAGGTATATGGAATGGGAAGGAAGAACAAAAAATTGTCTTTGTTCACGCATGACATGATAATCTATGTGGAAAATCCCAAAGTATGAACGTAAGGCCTCTTGCAACTAATAAGCAGGTATAGCACATTTGCAGGATACAGATTAATATACAAAAGCCATTGCTCTTCTATACACCAGCTTTAAACAATTGGAATTTGAAATTTAAAACACAATGCCATTTACATTAGTACCAAACAACTGAAACACTTAGGTATAGATTTCACAAAGTATGTTGAAGATCTGTCTGGAGGACTAAAAATCTCTGATGAAAGAAATCAAAGATCTAAACAATGGAGAGATATTGCATGTTGATGAATAGGAAGTCTCAATATTGTTAAGCCATTCTGAGTATTGTTAAGCCATTATTGTTAAGTCATTCCTTTCTGAAATTCAACACAATATTATTCAAAATACCTGTACATTATTTTATAGATGTTGAAAATCTGATTCTAAAGTTTATATTAAAAATCATAAGATCCAGAATCATCAAAAATATACAGAAAAACAAAGTCAGAGAATTGACACTACTTGGCTTCCAGACTATCAAGCTACAGTAATCAAGGCGGTGTGATATTGATAAAAGGATAGACAAACAGATCAATGGAATGAAACAGAGAACGCAGAAATATGAATAGATCCAACTGATCTATTCATATGAAATATGGCCAACTGATCTTTAACAAGGATCAAAGGCAATTTAAGGGAGAAAATATAGTCTTTTCAACAAACGGTGCTGAGACAACTAGATAGCCACAGGCAAAAGAATGAAGGTGCACCCCTACTTCACACCACGTACAAAAATTAACTCAAAATATACAACAGAGCTAAATGTAAGAACCAAAACTACACAACTCCTAAGAGAAAACATAAATCTTCACGAACTGTCAGTTAATGATTTCTTAGATATGATACCAAAAAACAAGCAAGAAAAAATAGATAAACTGAACATTACCAAAATTAAAAACTTTTGTGCTTCAAAGGACACCAACAAGAAAGTGAAAAGACAGCCCACAGAATGGGAGAAAATTTTTATAAGTCACATATCCAATAAGAGTCTGACATTCAGAATACAAGAACTCCTGCAACTTTTTTATGCTAACATAAAAAAAAAATACTATTTTCTTATATGGTCTGGTGGTGCCTTGATTACAGACACGGTCCCTGATCCAGCTTGGCAATTAGTGCACAAGGCAGCAAGCCAGTGGTCCTTTGAACTCTGACTTGGTGGATGACTCACTCCTGGCATGTTGCAGTTCCACTGAATGTGAGCACATTTGTAAGGAGGCCTCAGGGAACCATATCCACTGATACCCAGCCTTGATCCCATGGCTGTCTTTGCCTACATGGCAACTGCTGCAGTGGCAAATCCAAGTAAAGCAGCCTCACACAGACTATGAGCATGGACCAGAATTTCCTGCATGGCTTAGTAAAACATGATTGCTGGACCCCCAACCAGAGTTTCTCATTTAGTGGGATCTGGGGTGTGGCCAGATAATTTGCATTTAAAGTGTATTTGTATCAGCACCAGCTGATGGTGATGCTGCTGTTCCAGGACCCCCAGTTTGAGAACCACTGATTTATACCAGGGTGGCAATCGTTTTCTGGAAAGGGCCAGATAATAAATACTTTTGGCTTTGTAGGCCATAAGGTATCTGTTGCAACTACTCAACTCTGCCATTATAGTGCAAAAGCAGTCATAGACAATATGTAAATATATGAACAAGTCCGTTTTTTGTTTGTTTTTGTTTTTGTTTGAGACAGAGTCTTGCTCTGTCCTCCAGGCTGGAGTGCAGTGGCACTATCCTGGCACACTGCAACCTCTGCCCCTGGGTTCAAGTGGTTCTTGTGCCTCAGCCTCCTCAGTAGCTGCGGCTACGGTTGCACACCACCACACTTGGCTAATTTTTTGTATTTTTAGTAGAGATGGGGTTTTGCCATGTTGGCCAGGCTGGTCTCAAACTGGCCTCAAGTGATCTTCCCTCAAGTGATCCAGCCTCAGCTTTCCAAAGTGTTGGTATTACAGGTATGAGCCACTGTGTTTGGCCATGGCTGTGTTTTAATAAATTTTATTAACCAAAAGAGGTGGCAGGCCAAATTAGGCATGGAAGCCACAGTTTGCGGACCCCTGATTTATACTAAGAAAAAGTATTCTAGCTTACTTCTTCAAAATATGAATAATGTTGTTCATCTGTGTGAAGAAATCCTTTCAAGTTCCAAAATGTAGGCCATAAATCTCTAACATCTGAAATATAAATCCTTGTTTTAATTCTTAATGTATCTCATTTAAATTTTTGAGACACACTATTGCCAAATTTGCCCAGGTTAGCACATAAATTCTTTTTATTTTTCACATCACCATTTCAATACTCAAATTTATTATTAGAAAGCTGGGCACAGCATGGCCGGGCGTGGTGGCTCATGCCTGTAATCCCAGCACTTTGGGAGGCTGAGGCTGGAGGATCACAAGGTGAGGAGTTTGAGACCAGCCTGGCAAATATGGTGAAACCCTATCACTACTAAAAATACAAAAATTAGCTGGGCGTGGTGGTGCATGCCTGTAGTCCCAGCTACTCGGGAAGCTGAGGCAGAAGAATCGCTTGAACCCAGGAGGCGGAGGTTGCAGTGAGCCGAGACCATGCCACTGCACTCCAGCCTTGGTGACAGAGCAAGACTCTGTCTCAAAAAAAAAAAAAAAACAAAAAAAACCTGAGCATAGCATTCCTTTATAGTTTTTAATC
The DNA here is from genome assembly GCF_000001405.40 of Homo sapiens. Taxonomy (NCBI): domain Eukaryota; kingdom Metazoa; phylum Chordata; class Mammalia; order Primates; family Hominidae; genus Homo; species Homo sapiens. The sequence goes on along the minus strand of NC_000007.14, from coordinate 21,843,440 downwards.
TGTGTGTAGTTATATGCCTTTGTCTTCCCTTACTTGCCTTTTATCTTTTATTCTTCACTAGTCCTTATGGAAGTATATCTACTATATCACTTCCTCACCCCTTCTTGCCAAAGAACTAGCTTTTTTATTTTGTTAATCTTTTGTCTATTTTCTATGTCAGTATTTTCTGATTTTATCTTTATTATTGCCTTTCTTCTACATTTTAAGGCTATGTTGCTTTGTTTTCTGTATATAACACTAAATTTCAGTATTTTCAGCATTGTTTCTTAATATACTTAAGGCCATGAATGTCCCTTTGAATACTAGTCACAACTAGCTACCAGGTCCTTAATTCTTCCAAGCTTGCTTCATTATACCTCTTTTTCATTCTTTAGCCCAGGCTAAATTAGTCGATTACATTCCAACATACCTGGGCACATACCTCTATTTTACATGACTCGTATGCCTCTTTGTTTGCCCTCAAACAAGATCCAGAGCCACCCTATCTCCTACGTGTGGCATAACCGTAACAATCTAGCATTTATGAAGAGCAACTTTGAATTGTTTAACTTTTAACATGTATACTTATTTTTCCCAATTAGGTTGCAGGATTCTAGAGGGCAGGAATCCTATTTTATACTTCTATGTCTAGCACTGTGATTTGTGCAAAGCAAATGCCGACTAAGTGTTGGTGGTGACGTAAACATTTTTACCTTAAGTTTCTCCAAATCTGGCCTTTCAATACTGACAACCTCTGCCAGCAGCTGGGCTTCTAGACCATCTTCTGTGACTGTGAAATTGAGGAGAGTTGTCTGAGCTTGTAATTCCGGCTTATAGTGAGGATTTGCCAATTTTGTGTGAAGGATAAGGCGAAAGTTCTTGTTAAATTCACATTCTTTATCTCCAATCCTGATATACCTAAACGGAGCAAAACACAGACTTTCAGGAGACTCCTATGACCCATAACTGATACTACGGTGTCATTCCATTCCTGTATTCTTATAATGGACCTTGGCCAGAAGCTCAGGTGATTGAGAATTTTTCAGCTACTCCCAAATTTCCTAAAGTACAGCAGGATCAGCAATCACCCAGCAAATCTCTATATGATTTAGTTTCCTCATATGTGAAATATTGACAATAATAGTACTCACCCCATAGTGTCACTGTAACAATTAAATACAATCATATAAAAGACCTATAACAACAAATATTAGCTTTTATTATTATACAGTAAGTCCTCGATGTAATCGATAAACTTGCAAACTGTGACTTTAAGCAAAACAACATATGAAGAAACCAGTTTTACCACTGACTAATTGATATAAACAAGAGTGAAGTTCCTATGGCATGTTCCTGGTCACAAAAACATCATCAAACTTCTAAATAAAGGCCTCAAACACCTCTAATATTAAACACTGAAATAAATGTGAGCTACATATACATTTTAAAAGGTTAATAAAAACAAGATAATTATTTACTCAATTTTTGGTGCATTAGTGAGAAATGGTGGGCATAGAGGGGGCAGGTTAAATTGAGAAATAAATGTGTACAAAGCAGAAAATCTTAAGCAGCACCTCCTACCACCACACAGTTCAAAAGCAATGACAGATCTGGCAGGCTTGAGAAGGGCTTTTGTAGTGCAATGTTCAGTGTCGTGCATTTGTATGATTATCGTCTAATTTACAAATTTTTATTTGACAATAGTTTGTATTCACTCATTCATTCCTTTTCTAACCCACTGATTCCAGTTCAGGCTCCCGGGTGGCTGCACACTACCCTGGAAACTCAGGGCACCAGGTGGGAACCAGCCCTGGACAGGATGTCATCCCATGGCAGGGACACTCACACACCCCCACACTCACTCACTCACACTGGGACCATATAGACATTCCAGCTCACCTAACATGCACAGCTGTGGGATATGGGAGGAAACAGGAGGAAAAGAGAAAACCCAGGCAGACATGGGGAACGTGTGCAAACTCCACACAGACAGTGGTCCCAGCAAGCAGGAAGTGATGTTTTTTTCCCTCATCAACATTAGCATGAAAGTATGTTATTTCAGGGCCAGCTGTACTTTCTGTGATTAAACATACATTAAATGTTGCAGTTCTTTAAGGATAAGATGTGTATGTATGTGTTTATGTATATCTGTATATATATGTATAATGCATCTTAAGTATGTATTTAATATACTTATGTATCTTAAATAACGTATTAAAATATTTTATTTTTATAAAGATGAAATATTAAAAACACATATATTCTTTTTTGTGTGTGTGTGACAGTGTCTCACTCCTTCACCCAGGCTGAAATGCAATGGTACAATTTTGGCTCACTGCAACCTCCACCTCCTGGGTTCAAGTCATTCTTGTGCCTCAGCCTCCTGAGTAGCTGAGATTACAGGTGCATGCCACCACGCCCAGCTAATTTTTGTATATTTTTAGTAGAGATGGGGTTTTGCCATGCTGGTCAGGCTGGTCTCCAACTACTGACCTCAGGTGATCCACCCGCCTTGGCCTTCCAAAGTGCTAGGATTACAGGTGTGAGGCACCTCACCCAGCCCAACACATATATTTAAAAAATTACTTTCCAATACTTTCTGCATTGGCTTCCTGTAACTGCAAATCCTTGTCTGCCTCAACATCTCTACTTAACCCTTTCCTCTGAAAATTATTTCTGTAAATAGTCACTAGGCTAATTCTATTCAAAACTCCCAGCTTAATTCATGTTATTTTTTTAATTTAAGGGTACGTAGTAATCATATGTATTTATGGGGTACATGAGATGTTTTCATACAAGCTTCATGGTCTCTTTCCTGCTAGGAACCTGCTATGAGGATCTAGTAAAGGGGGAGCTTTCTAATTCATGCAAGAGACAGAGAAGCCAAAACCACGAATACTGGAACTTCTCAAAGCGGCCTAAGCTGCTTAGAGTGAAACTTCTTATGAGGCCTAGAGGCATGGCTGCAGCAAACAGTCTCGGCTCAGTCTTCTATTTTACCTTACATATGAAAATTTTGGATTCTTCATTATTAAGTGTATAAAATATTTAAATTGTATAGATGTCATGATAGAAAATTAGCCAGAGCCCAATTATTTTAATTGAAATTATTTTAAATAGCCATGAGAAAAAAATATTTATTGCCTATCTCATTGACTTCCAGGTGAGATGTTATTTCACTGAATTTGTCAATTTTGAACAACTGGGAAAATTCTAAAGAAAAGATGTTCTATCGCATTCAGACAGGGCTCCTTTTTATCGAAATGTCACAATATTAGCAACAATTTTTAATTTGAGGAGTGATATCCAGAATGCCATAAAGTGGCAATGTTTTCTGTGGTTCTTGGATGATGTTTTATAATTGTGTCTTGCTCAGAGATTAGGTCTCTTGTGTCTATGGTAAGGAAAGTGCCTCTGAACCACTGGCTGTGTTATTTGACTGGAAACATTTTTAATGAGACAACTGGTTTTAATGTGTAAAGACTATTTAAAAATTAAAATTTTCTTACATTACTAAAGCTTTTGTTGCCTGAATATGAATTTAAAATCCCAAAGGACTGATCAGACTTATGACCTATTGTCTTCATCTAATTCTCAAATGTTGTTTTCCCTGCAGAGTGATCTTACACTGACAACAGAAACCTTCAGAGTTGTTGATTAAGTGTCTAAACTTGAAAAAATTCTGCCAGATAAGCCACTTTTGAAAACCCTATTAGTTGAATGGTGAATTTATTCACTTTATTCAGTTTGGATTTGTTTTTACCTTGTCAGTACCTCCTACTATTTAATTGTTTTCCAAGAGGAGAATAAGCAATTCAGCTAGCAACCCTCTTCTGCCCAAGCCAGTATATACCTGTGCATTACATACGTCCCCTTTTTTTTTTTTTGAAACGGAGTCTCACTCTGTCGCCCAGGTTGGAGTGCAGTGGTGTGATCTCGGATCCCTGAAAGCTCTGCCTCCTGGGTTCACGCCATTTTCCTGCCTCAGCCTCCTGAGTAGCTGGGACTACAGGCGCCCACCACCACACCCAGCTAATTTTTTGTATTTTTTAGTAGAGACAGGGTTTCACCATGTTGTCCAGGCTGGTCTCAAACTCCTGACCTCGTGATTTGCCCCCCTCAGCCTACCAAAGTGCTGGGATTACAGGCGTGAGTCACCATACCCGGTCGGCATCAACTTTTAATATAGTGATTTATTCTTCCATCTATTCAGCCAATAAATATGTATTCAGTCATGTTTCTATAATTTGATAGGCAAACAATGATCAAACATCTGTACAAGTGAAAGATGGGTAAAAGAACTAAATAAACATTTCTCCAAAGAAGAAACACAAATGACCAATAAGCATATGAAAAGATGCTTAATATCATTAGTCACCAGGGAAATGCAAATCAAAGCCTTAGTGAGGTACCAGTTCACACCAATGAGAATGACTATAATAAAAAAGCAAAGACAGTAACAAGTGTTGGTGAGGACATGGAGAAACTGGAGCCCTCATACACTGCTAATGGGAACATAAAATTGTGCAACCACATTGGCAAGCGGTTTGGCCATTCCTTAAAATTAGCATGGTGTGGTGGCACACACCTGTAGTCCCAGCTACTTAGGAGGCTGAGGTGGGAGGATCACCTGAGCCTTGGGAGGTCGAGGCTGCCGTGAGCTGTGATCAGGCCACTGCACTCCAGCCTGGGCAACAGAGACCCTGTCTCAAAAATAAATAAATAAATAAATAAATAAATAAATAGTTTAAAAATCCAAACAATGAAATATCATGGAAAAACCCACAATTACTTTTGCACCGACCTAATATTTGGCCATAGAATGGAATGAAGTATTGATACATGCTACGACACAAATGAAACCTGAAAATGTACAAAGTGAAAGAAGTCACAAAAGATCACATATTATATGACTCCACTTAGTGAAATGTCCAGAACAGGCAAATAAATACAGAAAGATACAGCAATTTCCATTTTAAAACAGATTGTGTTGATGTTGGCCCAACTCTGTGCATATACTAAAAACCACTGAATTACACACTTTGAGTGGGTGAATTATATAATATGTGACTTATATCTTGATAAGGATGCTACCAAAAAAAGGGAACAATTATCAGAGGTCAAATCATTAACATTTGGGCTTTTATCAGTCTGTAAGTTACCATGCTAATACAGTTTCTCAGAGGTTCACGCTTGTCTTTTGAGCATAGCAATGTGTATCACAGGATAATCTTGTTTGATAAGGACATCTTTCTAAATTAACCTGCCTCTTTTGATGGACAATCTATTCAAATATGTCTACAGTGGAGAGCATCATCAAAATTCCTTCTATTATTTGAGTTTCCTCTTTCCAAGGATTTCCAAAATGATCTCACAAGCAGCTTTGAGAAAATCTTTGTTAGTGCTATTCACTGTATAGTTCACGGCTAGTTCTTTTGACTCAGCCTAACTTCAGGATGTGTATGACTGACTTTTTTAAAAACTGTTTTTAATTGACACATAATTATACATATTTATGGGGCCCCATGAGATGTTTCAATACATGTATACATTGTATAATGATCAAATCATGGTATTTAGCATATCCATCATCTCATTGATCATTTCTTTGTGGTGGGAATATTCAGAATCCTCTCTTCTAGTTATGTTGAAATATACACTATAATATTGTTTACTATAGTCACCCTACTGTGCTACAGAACACCAGAACGTATTCCTCCTAACTAAAAACCACTGAATTGCATACTTCAAGTGGTCAAATGGTAATATAGTATGTAAATTATATCTTGATAATGGTGTTACCAAAAAAAAGTAACGATGATCTATTAAAATGATCAACGGGCAATTTTGTAACCATTGACCAATCTCTCCCCACCATCCTCCCTCCTTTTACCTCCCCTGCCTCTGGTAACCATTTTTCTACTCTACTTCCAAGATCAGCTTTTTTAGATAACACGAATGAGAGCAGGCAGTATTTGTCTTTTTATGCCTGACTTATTTCACTTAACATAATGCCCACCAGGTTCATCCATGTTGCCACAAATTACAGGATTTTATTCTTTTTTATGACTGAGTAGTATTCCATTGTGTATATATACCATACTTTCATTACGCATTCAACTGTTGATAGGTTGACTCCAGATCTTGGCTAATGTGAACAATGCTACAATAAACATGCAAGTGCAGATATCTTTTTGACATGCTGATTTCATTTCCTTTTGATACATCATAGTAGAACTGCTGGATCATACGGTAGTTCTTAGTTTTTCGAGGAATCTCTACACTCTTTTCCATAATGGCTATACCGATTTACATTTCCACCAATGGTGTATAAGCATCCCCTTTTCTCCACATCCATTCTAGCAATTGTTATTTTTTGTCTTTTTGATAATATCCATTCTAATTGGGGTGAAATGATATTTCATTATGGTTTTGATTTGCATTTCCCTGATAATTAGTGATGTGGAATATTTTTCATGTACCTGTTGGTCATTTGTATGTCTTCTGAGAAATGTCTATTCAAGTCCTTTGCCTGTTTTAGAATCACATCCTTTTCATTTTTTTGCTACTAAATTGAGTTCCTTATATATTCTAGATATTAAGCTCTTGACTGTCAGAGGCATATTTTGAACATATTTTCTCCCATTCTGCAGGTTGTCTCTTTACTCTGTTGGTTATTTCCTTTGTTGTGCAGAAGCTTTTTAGTCTGATGTAATCCCATTTGTCTATCTTTGCTTTTGCTGCCTGAGCCTCTGAGGTCTTACCCCAAAAATCTTTGTCCAGACCAATGTTATAAAGCATTCCCCTAATGTTTTCTTCTAGTAGTTTTATAGTTTCAGGTATTACATTTAAGTCTTTCATCTACTTTGAGTTGATTTTTGTCATTGATGATAAACAGGGGTCTAGTTTCATTTTTCTGCATGTGGTTATCATTTTTCCAGCACCATTTATTGAAGAGATTGTTCTTTCCACAATGTGTATTCTTGGTAACTTTGTTGAAAATCAGTTGACTATAAGTGTGTGATTTCTGGGATTTTTATTCTGTTTCATCTGTCTATGTGTTTGTTTTTACGCAAGTGCCATGCTCTTTTGGTGATACAGCTTTGTAGTATACTTTGAAGTCAGGTAGTGTGATGCCTCTAGCTTTGTTTTTTTTGCTCAAGGTTGGTTTGGCTATTTGGAGTCTTCTCTGATTCCATATAAATTTCAGGATGGTTTTATCTATTTCTGTGAAGAATGTCGTTGGTATTTTCATAAGGATTACATTGAACGTGTAGATCACTTTGGGTAGTATGGACAGTTTTACAATGTTAATTCTTTCAATCCATGAACAGGAAATATCTTTCCATTTGTCTGTGTCCTCTTCAATTTATTTCATCAATGTTTTGTAGTTTTCTTTGTAAGGATTTTTCACCTCCTTGGTTAAATTTCTTAGGTTTTTTATTTATTTGGTAGCTTTTGTAAATGGAATTGCTTTCTTGAATTTTCAGATAATATTGGTGTATAGAAACACTACTGACTTATGTATGTTGATTTTGTATCCTACAACTTTACTGAATTTGTTTATTAGTTCTAACGGTTTTTTTTTTTTTTGAGGAGTCTTTGGGGCTTTCTATATATACAATCATGTCATCTGCAAACAGGGACAATTTGACTTTCTTCTTTCCAATTTGGATGCCCTTTAGTTCTCTTACTTACTTGCTGCCTAGAACTTCCAGTATTGTGCTGAATAGAAGTGGTGGAAGTGAGAATCCTTGTCTTGTTTCAGATTTTACAGGAAAGGCTTTCAGTTTTTCCCTGTTTAATATGTTAGCTGTGGGTTTGTCATATATGGCCTTTATTGTTTTGAGGTATGTTCCTTCTATACACAATTTGTTGAGAATTTTCCTCATGAAAGGATCTTGAATTTTATCGAAGCTGTTTTCTGTGTTGATTGAAATAATTGTATGTTTTTTCCCCTTGATTCTGTTAATGTGATGTATCACATTTATTGATTTGTGTATGTTGAACCACTCTTGCATTCCTGGAATAAATTCCACTTGGTCATAGTGAATGATCTTTTTAATGTGCTGTTGAATTTTGATTGGTTTTATTTTGTTGAAGATTTTTATAGCTATGTTTATCAGGCATATTGGCCCATAAACTTTTGTGTATGTCCTTATCTGGTTTTAGTATCAGGGTGATGCTGGACTCAGGTTGAGTTTGGAAGAACTCCCTCTGTTTTTTTTTTTTTTTTTTGGAATAGTCTGAAAAGGATTGGTATTAGTTCTTCTTTAAATGTTTGATAGAATTCTGCAGTAAATGCATCAGGTCCTAGGGCTCTTCTTTGATGGGACACTTTTGACTATTGATTCAACCTCATTTCTCATTATTAGTTTGTTCAGATTTTCTCTTTCTTCATGATTCAATTTTGATAGGTTATACATGTCTAGGAATTTATCCAGTTCTTCTAGGTTTTCTATTTTGTTGGCATATACTTGTTCATAATAGTCTGTTATTACTGTGGTATCAGTTATGTTTTGTTTTTCGTCTCTGATTTGAAACTTTTGAAAATTTTAGTCTAAGTAGAGGTTTGCTGATCTTGTTTGTGTTATTTGTTTTTTTGGGACAGCATCTCACTCTGTCACCCAGGCTGGAGTGCTAGACTGGTATGCAGTGGTGTGATCATAGCTCACTGCAACCTTGAACTTCTAGGCTTGAGCTATCCCCCTGCCTCGGCCTCCAGGTAGTTAGAGCTACAGGCATGCATCACTATGCCTGGCTAATTTATCTTATAATTTTTAAAATTTTTCATAGAAATAGGGTTTCTCTCTGTTGACCAGGTTGATCTCAAACTCCTGTCCTCAAGCGACGCTCCTGCCTTGGCCTCCCAAAGTGTTGGAATTATAGCTGATTTTGTTTAACTTTTCAAGAAAACCAACTGTCTTGTTGATCTTTTGTATTTCTTTTATTCTCTATTTTGTTTTTTCTATTCTGATCTTCATTACTTCTTTTATTCTACTAATTTTGGGTTTAGTTTGTTCTTGTCTTTTTTAGATCCTTGAGGCATAACCATGGGTAGTTTGAGATCCCTTCAATTTTTCGATGTAGGAATTTATTCCCTCTTAGAACTGCTTTTGCTGTGTTCCATAGGTTTTGGTATGTGCTTCCATTTTTCTTTGTTTCAAGAAATCTATTTTAATTTCCTTTTTCTTTTTGACCCGTTTGTTGTTTAGGAGTACATTTTTTAATCTCCAAGTATTTGTATAGTTTCCAAAGTTTCTCCTGTTATTGATTTCTAGTTTTATTCTGTTGTGGTCACAAAAAAGACTTGACATAATTTCAATTGTGTAAAAAAATTTCGTTGGGACTTGTTTTGTGGCATAACATATGTCCTATCCTGGAGAAAATTGCATTTGCTGATGAGAAGAATATATATTCTGCGCTATTGGGTGGAATGTTCTGTAAACGTCTGTGAGGTCCATTTGGTCTAGAGTGTGGTTTAACTCTGATGTTTCTTTCTGATTTTCTATCTGGATGTTCTGTCCATTGCTGAAAGTAAGGTGCTGAGGTCCCCTATTATTATCGTTTTGCTGTATTGACTGACGTTTAAATGAAATTTCAAGAGTGAGGGTTTCATGTCATTAGGGCCTAGGGTTCTCACACATAAGAGATACCAACATTTATACTCATTTGCATCTCTACAATAAAACTTATATTTTAAATACACCTCTATGTGCATCCTGTGATTTTTTATTTTATTTATTTATTTTTATTTTTTATTTTTTGAGGTGGAGTCTTGCTCTGTTGCCCAGGCTGGAGAGCAGTGGCACGATCTTGGCTCACTGCAACCTCTACTTCCTGGGTTCAAGCGATTCTCCTGCCTCAGCCTCCCCAGTAGCTGTGATTACAGGTGTGTGCCATCATGCTGGGCTAATTTTTATCTATTTTTAGTAGAGACGAGGTTTCATCATGTTGGCCAGGCTGGTCTTGAACTCCTGACCTCAGGTGATCCATCCACTTTGGCTTCCCAAAGTGCTGGCATTACAGGCATGAGCCACTGTGCCCAGCCCATCCTGTCATCTTTTCATTGCCACTCTACCTTGGGTTGAATTCATTCATCCCCTTGTGGAGAGTCTTAGAGAAATTCCAGTGTGTCACCACCTTCTATCATTTCAGGTTGTTTGAATATTTCCTCACTTGCTTAAGAATTTTCACCAGGTTTATGTTCATACTTCATGAACTTCATGTTTCAACCACTAACATATATTCCCTGATGAAAAGAGAATTTATACATTCCTATAATTAAAAATTAAACAAATACAAAATGTAAATTTAAGTCAAGAACACTGAATCAGAGAAGTCTAGAATTTTTGTTATTGTTCAATGGGACAGTTCACTGTCATGGGATTGGGAACTATGGTAAGAAGTCAGGTTAATTTAGAGATTTGTGTGGTGTATGTGTATGTGTTTGTGTTTATGTGTGTGTATTCACATATGCATGAGAAGCGGCACAAACCACCAGCAAGATGATTAACTTATTTTTTAAAGTAGCAGGTGTTCAGGCTTCAATAAGAAATCCTTCTAGAGCAGGGGTTGACAAATTTTCCTGTAAAAGGATCAGAGAGTAAATATTTTAGGCTTTGTGCGTCACATACATCTCTGCCATATATTCTTCTTGTTTCCAATCCTTTAAAAGCCATTCTTGGTTCCCAGGCTGCACCAAAACAGGCCATTTGTCCACTGCCACTCTAGAGGATCACATTGGCTAACGGTGCTAGTGTAATCTCTTCTCAAAGCAATAGCAGCTAATTTTTCCAATTAGCCACTATATATAACGATGCTCCTTCCTCTAGGCTTTCAAGAATAAATGTGTGAGACTAGTCATCAGGAAGCATGAGGTTCTCAGACACAGATTGGCAAATTGGATAAAGAGTCAAGATCCATCAGTGTGCTGTATTCAGGAGACCCATTTCACGTGCAAAGACACACATAGGCTCAAAATAAAGGGATGGAGGAATATTTACCAAGCAAATGGAAAGCCAGCCAAACTAAGCTTCATAAGCGAAGGAGAAATAAAATCCTTTACAGACAAGCAAATGCTGAGAGATTTTGTCACCACCAGGCCTTTCCTGAAGGAAGCACTAAACATGGAAAGGAACAACCGGTGCCAGCCACTGCAAAAACATGCCAAATTGTAAAGACCGTCGACATATGAAGAAACTGCATCAACTAACAGGCAAAACAACCAGCTAGCATCATAATGACAGGATCAAATTCATACATAACAATATTAACCTTAAATGTAAATGGACTAAATGCCCCAATTAAAAGAAGCATGAGGTTCTCACAATTTTGCTTCTGGGTGCAAGTGACAGAAGCTTTTTTTTTTTGAGATGGAGTCTCACTCTGTCACCCAGGCTGCAGTGCAGTGGTGCAACCTCAGCACACTGCAAGCTCTGCCTCCCGGGTTCAAACAATTCTCCTGTCTCAGCCTCCCGAGTAGCTGGGACTACAGGTGCCTGCCACCACACCTGGCTAATTTTTATATTTTTAGTAGAGATGGGGTTTCACCTTGCTGGTCAAGCTGGTCTCAAATCCTGACCTCAGGTGATCCACCCGTCTCAGCCTCCCAAAGTGCTGGGATTACAGGCGTGAGCCACTGCGCCTGGCCAACAGAAGCTTTTAACTGGTTAAATGTTTAATCAAGTATCTGAGTTAACCTCCGTAAGATGCTTCATGGATGACTTCCTCACTCTGTGTCTCTCTTGCATATCTATGTATATCCTGAAGCATACAGGATTCCAGTTTGAAAAGCAGAAATGTATCTGCTTGGGGAATAGGTGTTATTTTCTCTGTGAAAAGAGAGGTTAATAGAGGGGGGGAGGATGCTGCCATGCTGTTGGAAAGGAGAAGGATGTCTGCCTATAAAACTGGGTTTTACATCTTGCTCTGAAACATTATTTGATATGTTTAGATTTCCCAGGGATAGTAAATTATACTCAATTGGGGTGTTTATGATCTATGAGAGGCAAAAATTATATAATGACTCAGTGGGTTTTATCATTGCTGCTAAATTAATTTTTGGTTAATTTCCTATCTGGGAAAATTAAACAGACTGCTAATGTTCTCTCATGACTTGAAGGATCAAAAAGCTACAAAGTTAACCAGAGGGGTGGGAAAAGCAAACAGAATCACTTTGTTGTTTCTGTGAAAGACATGAATCCAGAGGTTATGACTTCTAGAACACTGAAGGTAGCTATGAGCTCTTGAACTTAAATTCCAAATAGGAGCAACAGCAGGTGTGAAGAGCAACATAAAATTTGGAAGTGTGGCTACTTTCTTAAAACAGAGGTTAACCTTAATCCATCTTCCAGCTCCACTCCCCACAGGAACAAATTACACTGGCCCTTGTCACTGCATCACACGGAGAGTCAAGTGGGTGTGAATCTCCAAATCTGGCACGGGGCTGCTCCCATAGGATTTTTATACATCCCTCTGCAGGAGTGAGCTCCTCCTCTGTCTCTTCCCACTGGCTGAGATTTGCTGGTTTGGAGATGAGAAGCTGCTTAAGTAATCTCAGAACAGAAATAAAATTATTTTTCTGAGTACAAATACCATATATTTGTACTGAGTACCTATTATGAGTACATAAATATAATATGTACTCCTATTTCTCTGAGTACAAATGGTTTAATTGGCTAGGACATGGGGTGAGTAAAAAACATGCTGTTTCATCTAGCAGAGCATAATATTAGATCAAGAAGAGCCACTAGAGATCACTCAACTGATTTTTTTTTTATGGACCTAAAGAGTTTATGGCTTGGCCAAGGTGGCTTAGCTTAGAGGCAGAGCTGGGACTAGAACCTGGGTCTCTAGACTCCTAGTATAAAGTTCATTTCACTGCATAACATTGCAGGTTAATTTGCTCTGACAGTGGCAGCCTATAATGTCAGCCTCTGTCAACCTGCCTGACTTTCTATCACAAGAGGGTACTGAGAGAATATGATCGACTCAGTAACAATTGACTGCCACTAGAGAAAAACAACAGACACAGTTCAGAGCACACGCCCTGCTAGTCTTTGGTCAGAAACTCTGTCCTTGTTTATGAAGGGGAATAGCAACAACTACCGAAGTATCAAATCCTCATCTGAGATCTATAATTTCTGGTCAATAGATTCATAAATTGAATTATTAATTCATAATTTTTTTACAATAAATCATTCAACTTGTATAAAAGTTTTCTACTGTTTAGCTCTCAGGGAAAGAAAATGTATTAAGTGTGCCAAAATGTTTGCTAGTTAACCAAATGAATTATTTTATAATAATGACAACCGTCTTCAAATACGTATCATCTATAAATTAACCTTTCAAACGTCAGATATGCATAAAAGCCAGGTACACTGGGAATATCAAAATGCTTTCAATGTTTATTCAAAACCCAGCCAAAAAATTAGTGTCCTGGGGCAAAAAGACGTCTAACTTCTTCAAATCACGGAAAGTCGTTACTGTTGGAAGATAGCTATGCAAATCACGTTAAAAACACTTGGGAATGATTTCTTGGCTAGTTTTCAAAGTACTTCTGTGACAGAACAATTCAAACACTGTTCCCAATGATCAGTTTCCTGAAAACAAGAATCTCTGTGAGCTGAGAGAGGAACCATTATCTTAATATAACCAAGACGAGAATTTCAATTTAGAGATTATTATCTGAAATTCTTATTTCTAAAATCTTCATCTGAAAACGAATGATGCCCCTTTTACTTTTATTGGAAACGTTCTCAAGATTTAGTATAGTTACTGTTGGAAATGTCATCAGTATTGATTATAAAAACCAAAATGCATTTATTTAGCTATCAGATACTCTGAGTACCTGAACAAACACCATCACTATTTTCCATTGCCATCTAAAACCAAACATGGAAAGCAACATATTTAATTTGGAATCAAGACTTACTATTGTGGTAGACCAGAGTCTTTATTAGAAGTGGCTTTATTAGAAATGGCTGCAGTAGGAATCTTTTCAAAAGATTTGCAAAACCTGCTGTTTGGAGAGAGATTTCCTAAGATATTGTATTATTATATTGAAGGTTCTCACTCTAAGTTGGACAATTCAGATAGCCAACATGTTCTCTGAATAGGAGAAATTCCATTCTGGAGGCTTCATCAGAGGCATTTTGTCAAGGTAAAGAGATAGTAGCTGCTTTTTAAGATAAGCAAATAATATAGCCTACTAATTGGCGGGGGGTGGGGGGAAACACATTTAGGAGAAGAAATAAACTTTTCAATGGACATCTAAAAGCCTTACTGCACATCCTGCTGTTTAAAATTAAAAGCTTCTAGATTAGACTTGGGAATTCCAACAGCTACAGTCAAGAGTGCAGCGGAAAAGATCAGGTGTAGCAAACGTAGCAAACCACAAGAGGGGAGTTGTTACTTAGCAACCTCAGCGGGAAGGGCTGTGCAAGTTGGTCAAACCCATTTCCCGAAGAAAGGTTTTGGTTGAAAGCTGCACAGCTGGCAAGACGCTCAAGGAAAAGAAGGAAAGAAAACCCTGAATAGAAATGAGTTAATTGTCTTGCTGCTTCATACAGTTAATATAACCAACACGCCCTTCTAAGATAAAAGCAAACTTCAACCAGAATTAAACAACAACAACAACAACAACAACATTGGTGTTTCAGGAGTCCAGGTAACATTGTACAGCAAAAAAAAAAAAAAACCCAGAAAAATGAAAAAAAAAAGTCATAAGTAGATTATTTCTCTTTTGATACACACCTACACACGCTTCAACATATCCATATTTAAACATCATAATGTAGCATCAAAAACAAAGACAATTTCATTTGTTTGTTATTTTATTGGAAGACTGCTTTTTAAAAAGAAAATAAAAGAATCTGAGGATTCTTTATCTGAAGCCCTGTTTGGTATTTATTTTCAGATAAAGTCAAACAACTATTACCAAGATGACTGAATGTGAGAATGCTTTATCTGCAAATGCTAAAGATTACACTATTAAGGGAAAAAAAACTTTACTAAATTTAGGAATAGAAAAGCTGTTGCAGATTTGTGGCAATTAAATTTTATTTTGAATTTGGAAATTAGAACAGACTGGAATGCTGAAGTCTATTATAGGAGAGCATGAATGAACTTGAAAATAAATCTATTCTTACCAGCAAAGGAAATAATGAGAGAACTACATAACTCTAGAGTTTATTTAAAATCCATAAGCTAGGCCAGGCGCGGTGGCTCATGCCTGCAATCCCAGCACTTTGGGAGACCGAGGAGGGTGGATCACCTGAGGTCAGGAGTTCAAGACCAGCCTGACCAACATAGTGAAACCCCATCTCTACTAAAAATACAAAAATTAGCCGCGCATGGTGGCGCATGCCTGTAGTTTCAGCTACTTGGGAGGCTGAGGCAGGGGAATTGTTTGAACTTGGGAGGTGGAGGTTGCAGTGAGCCACGATTACACCACGGCACTCCAGCCTGGGCGACAGAGCAAGACTCTGTCTCAAAAAGAAAAAAAAAAATTAAAAAAAAAATCCGTAAGCTTCCAGCTCAAGAAAGTACATTCTACTACAGTGTAGCGTTCAATTTAACATGTTTCTATCTTAAATCTCACCTAAGTCCTCATTTGAATAGATCTACAGTCAACTATAATTGCATGGCGTCAACTCCAAGAACAGAAACATAATAATAGTTAATAAACTGGAAAGCTGCTAACTGAAAGCAATTCTTCTTAATCTTAGCATAACTTTCAGGAAATCTAGTCATTATAAAATAAATAAATATAAAATGCCATCTCCCTCTATTTCTGTAAAAATAAATTTTTTAAATCATATAGTTAATATTTCTATTAGCCAATTTTAAGTTCCTTTCTAGAGCATGCTACTTTAAGACTATTATTAAAATAATAATTGTATGAAAAATACAGAATGAAGTATAAAATATCTTTTAATAATATATGTATATACTCCAAAACAACCGGAAATACATATTGCAGTAAAGTTACTCCAGTCTTTCAAAAATTATAATAATATTTAAATAATATTTTAAAAAATTCAAAAATATTTAGGGGTATTTGAAAGATTAAAGAGAATTTTATGAAGATGCTTCCCAGATCAGCAACTTCTCTAATATGTAAGCCAGTAAATTTGCTTTGGAAAAATTACATGTTGATAAATCTTTCCAGATACATTTGCTGTCGATTGATATAAAATATGTTTTATTTAAAATTAGGATTGTCTGGAGCTTGGTGGATTTAATTATTTGTAATTACCCAGCTGTTGTCGGCCTGTGGCCATTTTATGACAGTGGTATCTACTGTGTGGGCCAGGTTCACCTGTATATCTTCTCAAACACAGATTTAATGTGCTATTGATGAAACCATTACTCGAACCAAATTAAAGTCTGGGCTGATGTATTGGTCCACAGGGAGCTGTCAGACATGAAAGGAGTAATTAGTATTCATTACTTCACACTCCACAACATTCCAATTATTAATGAACTTCAACTTTTGGACTATGCTTTATCTATCACAAACATTTCTCAGACATTCATTATTAGGAATAAACTAATACTGGTTAAACAACAACAACAACAACAACTCCCCCAAACAAATAGAACTAGAATAAACAAAAACACTATTGATAGCCAAAAACTTTCTGAGGGATGTGAGTTTCTCAAAGGAGGATGGTGTTATCCCACCTGAGTTTGAGGACATGATAAAGACATTCCGGGTGAATGTGGCAGCTCAACAGTCCCTGTAGGTTGTTTTCCTGGCTTTCTCTTTTCAATGCTATCTCTTGTCTTTACAATACCAAGGAAAATGTTTGTAAACCCACAGGTTACACAGAGATAGTCACATAGGAAAAAAAAAAAGAGGATAGAGAAATCAAGTAAAATGTTCATTGTTGGAGGTAAACAGGAAGATCCATTATAAAATTTACAAACATGTAGATTAATTTTCAAAAATTTTCTGTTCTTGTTATAACACTGCAAATCAGTAGCTCTATTATTAAATGAATACATAGCAACATTTTCCCCTTAATTTTCTTTTATATTTTCTCCCAACTTTTACTGCATTGAAAAAAGAAACATAATTCCTATTCATACCAATCTAATTTTTATTTTACCATATCTCCTACTTTGCATATGTATGAATACTTTTTAGTTTCTCTCCTTTCTTTTAAAGAGTTAGATGAGGAAATAAGAAAGTCTTTATTTTGTTTTAAAGATACTTCTTATCAGGCAAAAATAATGCAGTAACAAAAATATCAAAATTTATTCAAAATGCTTTTTAAGAAAATGACTTTTATAGATTTATGGGGTACAAGCGCAGCTTTGTCACCTGGATATATTGTGTGGTGGTGAAGTCTGTGCTTTCAATGTAACCATCACCCAAAAAATATACATTGTGCCCATTAGGTTACTTCTTATCCCTCACTCCCCTCCCACGGTCCACCTTTCAGAGTCTCTAATGTCTATTATTCCATCAAAACACTTTTTTTTTTTTTTTTTGGAGACAGAGTCTCACTCCTTCGCCCAGGCTGGAGTGCAGTGGCACCATCTTGGCTCACTGCGAGCTCCACCTCCCAGGTTCATGCCGTTCTCCTGCCTCAGCCTCCCGAGTAGCTGGGACTACAGGCACCCGCTACTACACCCAGCTAATTTTTTGTATTTTTAGTAGAGAAGGGGTTTCACCGTGTTCGCCAGGTTGGTCTCGATCTCCTGACCTCATGATCCACCTGCCTTGGCCTCCCAAACATCAAAGCACTTTTTAAGCATTTGTAACACAACTATTTTGAAAGCTTAGAGTGCCCTCAATTTGTTCATTCAAAAATAAAAGTGGGAAAAAAAAAAAGGAGGCAGGAATAGTTCGTCATAGGAAGAGGTGGCTAATAGTATTAAATGTGGGAAATCTTTTGGATTATAAAAAACAGCAGAAGCATAAAAGTCTCTCTCAGTTCTCTGAAAGACTCCACAATTCTTATATACTACTAGTGAGCATGTACATTTCTAAACACTTTGGAAAACAATTTGGCATTATCTTTTAAAGTTGATTGTGCATAAGTTCTACAACCCAACTATCTCACTATAGAACATAAACACTGAAGAATCTTGCTATGTGTACCTGTAGTTGTATGCATGAATGTGTGTACCTGTAGATGTATACATGAATATTCAGTAATATTCATAGCAGCATCACTCATAATAGCAAAACATCTAAAAATAACCAAAATGGCCTTCAATAAGAACGCTAAATAAATTGAGGAATAGTCAGTCATATCATTGAATATCACAGTAATAGACCCGGTGTGGTGGCTCATGCCTGTAATCTCAGCACTTTAGGAAGCCAAGGTGGGCAGATCATTTAAGGTCAGGAGTTCGAGACCAGCCTGGTCAACATGGCGAAACCTGTTTCTACTAAAAATAAAAAAATTAGCCAGGCCTGGTGGCAGGCGCCTGTAATTCCAGCTACTCGGGAGGCTGAGGCAGGAGAATCACTTGAACCTGGGAGGTGGAGGTTGCAATGAGCCAAGATCCCGCCACTGCACTCCAGCCTGGATGACAGAGCAAGACTCTGTTTCAAAAACAATATTATAGTAACGAATTTGCAAGAACTAGAGCCAGAAGGAGCAATGTAGATTAAATCTTAGAAACATATGATTGAGGGAAAAAATCAAGTCCTTTTAAACTATATACACCATAATGGTATTTTTATAAAGCTCCAAAAGAATATGTTGTTTCAGAATACACACACGTGTTAAAACATTATTTTAAATAAAACAATGAAGTGATAAGCAACATTCAGAATCTTCACCTTCCTATGTCTTTGATTTGCATGTTCCCGATGACTAATGATGTTGAGCATATTTTCATGTGCTTATTGACTATTTGTAGTTCTTTGGAGAAATGTCTATTTAGATCTTTTATTTATCTTTTAATGGGACAGATCTTTGATCTTCATATGCCTGTCACATTCTAGAAACTTGACTAAATACATATTTATTTACTGAATTAAAAATATATTTTATGTATGTTATTAAAAATATTAAGTAAATAATATTTACTATGTCCTGTCTGTTAGACTTTATGGAACTGATACATCATTCCAATATGTGAACATTGGCTACCTTTGGAAGTGGAGGCAGAATTGTCAAGGAGGGGAGCACAAAGGTAGCTTAAAGGATATTGGCAATAATCTGAATGGCAGATACATGTCTAATTTATTATGCTTTATAACTTCATATATTATGTATTTTATAGGTATCAGTATTAAATAATAAAATTAAAACACCCTAAAAACCCAAAATACTCCTCCTAGGATGCAACTAGTATAGGACATTTTTTCTGCCTCTTCTCAGTGCCAAGCTAGAAAAGGAAAGTTTTCTCAGTTTAGCAATTGTTTGTGTGTGTTTATTAATTTTAACAAATTTACCCTTAAACGGAAGGTGTGTCCTCTAGCTTTATACAGGAATCTCTTAGCAGACTGCATATCCTGAACAGGCTCTAGGCTTGTTCAAGCTTTGTACATCATCAAAAGAGAACCCCAAGGTCATCAGGTTTTAGCAGGCACCCTGAAGAAGGAAACCATCTTTGGTGTTCCTTGTCTCTCGGAGTTCCTGCTTTTTAGTTGCACTTTTTCTTTTTGTCAACTCAGTAACACATTTCGAAAGGTGTTTTTAATATTTTAACTAATATATTTAGTTTTTGTCTAGTATTTGAATACTTAATCCACCTAGTAACAGAAATAAAAGTTTTATGTTTGTATTGCTCTGTTTTTGTTTTGGTTAACCATCTTTTTAAAGGCATATAGTATATGATTCTTATGCATAAAGAACTTATTATAATCAAAGTTATGTATGAGTGAAAAAAATTAAGCATATTGTAAGGGGGAGAAAAAAATGGCAAAATGACACAGGGAAAATATACTATGTAAAGGAGACATTAAATAAGGCAAATTAAAATTTCCAGTTAACACTTAACTGCTATTGGCTAAATAGCAGTTAAATCCTAAATATAGTGAATTTAGGCTGTGAAAAGAAAAGTTAAGTAAAATAACATATCACAGGAGGGGGGATTATCTGTGTCAAGAAGAAATGAAAGGGCTGGGCTATGTTATAGGAAACTGCAGGTATGAAAAACATAGTTTCCAAAACATTGATGGGGAAACAAATGAGGCTTAGGAAAAAACCGAGGGGGGAAGAGTTAGACTGGTAAAATGGCACTCATAAAAACCCTATCAAAAGATAGTAGTGCCTGTTTATTTGAAAAAGCTTGTTAAAAGATTTTGGGGATAAGACCTCAAAAAGAACAGCAACAAAAGCAACAATATACAAATGGGATTACATCAAGCTAAACAACTTCTGTACAGCAAAGGAAACAATCAATGGAGTGAAGAGACAACCTACAGAATGGGAGAAGATATTTGCAAACTATCCTTCTGATCAAGGATTAATAACTAGAATATATAAGGAACTCAACCCGATAGCAAAAAAAAAAAAAAAAAAAAAAAAAAAGCAAATAATCTGATTTAAAAATGGGTAAAATACCTGAGTAGATCTTTCTCAAAAGAAGACATACAAATGGCCAACGGGTATATGAAATGTGCCCAACATTATTAATCATCAGAGAAATGTTAATCAAAACCACAATGAGGTACCGTCTCATTCCAGTTAGAATGGCTATTATCAAAAAGACAAGAAATAACAAATGTGAGAAAGGGGAACACCTGTACATTGTTGGTGGGAATGTAAATTAGTATAGCCACTATGGAAAACAGTATAGAGATTCCTCATGGTCATGCCACATGATCCAGCAATATGGCTGCTGGGCATATATCCAAAATAAATGAAATCAGTATATTGCAAAAGTATCTGCATTCCCATGTTCACTGCAGCAATATTCACAATAACCTAGATAAGAAACCCTTTTGAGTGTCCAACAATGGGTGAATTGTGATACAGTTTGGATATTTGTCCTCTCCAAATCTCATGTTGAAATGTGACCATCAATGTTGGAGGTGGGCCTGGTGGGAAATGTTTGGGTCATGGGGGCAGATCTCTCATGAATGGCTTGGTGTCCTCCCTCCCTGTGGGAATGAGTTACCTTGAAATATGGTTGTTTAAAAGAGCCTGGCTCCTCCTGCCCATTCTCTATTGCTCCCTTTCTTGCTGTGTGACATGTCTGCTCCCCGTTTACCTTCCACCATGATTGTGAGCCTCCTGAGGCTTCACCAGAAGCAGATGCTGGCACTGTGCTTCTTTTACAGCCTACAGAACCATGAGTTAAATCAAACTCTTTTTAAAAAAAATAAATAAATAAATTACCCAGTCTCAGGTATTCCTTTATAGCAATGCAAAACAGATGAATACAAATGGGTAAAGAAATTGTGGTATATATACACAGTGAAATACTATTCATCCATAAAAAGGAATGAAGCTGTCATTTGCAGCAACATGGATGGAACTGGAGGGTATTATGTTAAATGAAATAAGTCAGGCACAGAAAGAAAAATATGGCATTTTCTTACTCATATGCAGGAGCTAAAAAATCGGGTCTCATGGAGGCAAAGAGGAGAATGGTGGTTACAACAGGCCAGGAAGAGAAGCTGGCGGGGGAGGTGGAAGATAAGGAAAAGCTGGTGAGTGGGTACAAAAATACAGTTAGAAGGAATAATTCTAGTATTCAATAGAATAGTAGGAAAGTTATAGTTACCAATAATTTATTATATATTTTAATATAGCTAGAAGAGAAGAACTGTAATGTTTTCAACACAAAGAAAAGTGTTTGACGTGGTAGATATCCCAGTCATCCTGACTTGATCATCACACATCGTATACATGTATCAAAATATCTCATGTACCCCCAAAATATGTACAACTATGACGTAGCAATTAAAAAACATAAAAAAGAGAAAAACCTGTTTAAGAAACTAGGTTTTCACATAAACTTCATATAGCGATAAGGTATGCAAGAGGACGTTAATTAATGTCTCTGGGTCCCCATTTTTCTCATGGGAAAAGAGCAGAGGCAAGACAGGGTACCCTCTGTTTTTCTGGCTGTACAGAGTCTCCCTAGATAATCACATCCACCATGATAGCATAACTGCTTCGCCAGATAGATATTCCCCAATCTACGTGGTCAACCAACATCCTTTTACTAAGCTCCATACTCAGATATCCAACTGCTTTTTAGACTTCTGTTTTAGAAATGAGTGTTAAAGAAGTACCTCAACCTTTGCATGTCTAGTAAGAGAAATTATTAGTTCTTTCCCTACACTTACTCTCATTCCTATATACATCTCTCCATAAAGCACAGTATCATTTACCTGACAGAAGGCAGAAGAAAACATCCTTAAATCTTCCTTTTTCCCCACCATAATATCCAATTAATTACCATAAACTGGTGGTATTAACTCCTTGATATCACACTGATTTGTCCCCTCCACTCTTTCCACTGTCACTGCCTAAGTTTAGGCTCATACCATGTCTCAAATGGATTACTGCAATTATTTACTAACTAGACTCTGACTCTAGGTCCACGCCCCTTCAGTCAATACTTTCAGAAACATTCATCTGATCACATTGCTTCCAGTGTGCCCAAGAGTTCTTACTAGCTTCCCCACTGACTTATGATCATGATTCTCAAGTGAAAATATGGAGACTCCAGGAAAGCATGGTCCCTTAGTTAAAAACAATTGGTACTACCAACTAGTGTAACTGATAAAAACAGGCCCCTTGAGTGTATTTAGGAGGGGTTGGAAATTATCAACACATAGCAAAAGGCCAACCTAGGGATCAACCAAGGAAGTCTGTGCTCTGGGTCCTGCTCTCCTCTCCAGTCTCATCTGTCCCAGTCCACATCCTTCTCTCTTCCTCCCCAACACAGACTCTCCACCCATTTGGATTCTATTTGCAGTTCCCCAAAGCTGTTGGATTGTTTTGTGTGTTTTACTATTTGAAATTAGGGCTCTCTGTCCAGGATTCTCTTTTCCCACTTGTCTACCTCACAAATACCTACTTAACTTTTGAGTCTTGCATTAAACAAAATGTAATCAAAGGTAATTTTTTCCAAGAAGTCTTTCCAAGTCTCCACTATGGAACTGACAACTCCTTGCCATGTATACGTCTATCACCACACCAACGGTTCTGCTTTACATTCACTGATTGTTTATAGGTCTATCTTTACTTATGGAAGTGTAGCTTCCTCAAGTGCAGGGTCTGTGTCTTATCACACTAAATCTGCAGCCCCCAGTATAGTACCTGGCATATAGCAGTGCTCAGAGAAGGTTTACTCAATGACTGACAGGATATATAAGGACTCCACTGGCACTCATAGTCTCTGGGTGAAGATAGTCTAAAAACATCTGCATGGAAGAGGGAAGGAGGAACAGCTGATGATAGAGAGTTGAGATTCACCCTCAAACAAGTGGTTGTTCCCACACATAAGGGTTTAGGAGCCAGGATTAAGGTAAGAACTGCATGCAATCAGCACCATTTGTTACATTCTTAACAGATTATCTTTAATCTTCTTGGCCTTAAAAGAAATGCAAGAATGATATGATCAATTCATCAAGGCTTAACAGAGAGTACATATTCAGTAAATATTATTAATTTGAATTAAACTGTTCTGGCCTGATATTTTGTGATAAAGACTTGAAGCTCTATGTAAAATCTGTTTCTAAAATTGAAGACCTCTAGAATCCTCACTGATAGTTAACTACGTCCATACTGAGAATCATGACTCAAATTTATCAGCCTTTGGAAATTTCTGATTATCCAACTATATATGTAATAAGAGTCATCAAATTGCTTACACCTAAATTGTGCTATTGAAAGTTGAAATTGAAGCTCAGAGAACATGCATTTCACTGATAAAAATTTTAAGTCTTCATAATAGAGTCAGAACCTTAATAACAAGGATTTCACTTCAGTGACATTCAAGATTTTACACTATATTTTTAACACATCAGACACAGCTACAATTATATTTATGTTAAGAGTTGCAGTTTGTCAAGTGGCTTGTTAGATTGTTCTAAATGTGTGCCTGGGTAAATTTTGGTTTATTAAACAATTATAAGTTGTCAGTCACTCTAAATGGATTTACTTAGTGATTGTATGATAAATACCATACTAATCAGTTAGAGACCAAGAAGTTAGTCACCCTGATGTAGGCCTATTTCCACTTAAAATTGACAAGAATAATCTAGTGATGAAAAAGGGGACAGATACCTTAGAGGCAGAGCGTGGGCGTTAAGAAAGAACAGGGTGGGGGAAGTTCTGAAATTATATATCTTTGAAGAAAAAAAGAAGAGAGGGAAGGAAACTCAGTGAATTAAGTCTAGTGAATGTCGGTTGTGTGAAGAGGCATAAGGAGTCTCTTGAGTGCCAGTTTCCCCTATGCCCACCCAGACTTGATTGAAGACACAATTGCTGCACCTGACCTTTCACACATTCATAGGAAAGTGACATGATGACTCCTCAGAAATGGCTTCAATGCCCCTGAGAGAATGTTCTGGAAAGTATATTGTCTTGGGGGAATGGCAGTCTCTTAGAAAGTCACATATAGCTCCTGGAGGGGTAGGGGGAAGTATTTCTCTGTTGTTGACAATCCATTACTGTTGGCATAAGGGATGATTTCAGGGACCCACTAATGAACTCTCCTTTTCCGAATGGTTACATTTTAAGTATATTAGAAAAAACAGAGCTAGCACAGTAAACCCATGCTGATTTTAAAAAATAGTGAATGGATTTAAAATCTAATTAAAGAAAAACATTAAACAGGGTACAAGTGATATGTAGATAGGCAGCCCTATTCAAGGTGTTCTGCAAATTACTGAAGTTAGAGAAACATTGGTATAAATTTAAAAAGAGGCAACGATTCTCAGATTTATAACAATACATTTTTTGGCCCATAAATCAGGAATTGGATAAAACAAATCTAAATCCATCAAATAAATAGTCTGAAAGTCTGGATAATGTTGCAGTTGCTTTGGTCTTGGAGTGTAGGTGCATGAAATGGAAACTCAGAAATATCACTAAGATTTCAATAGACTGCTTGACTATGAAGCTAAGAGATGCTGCTGCTGAAAATCATTTAGCAAGATATATATGTTAAAAATTCAAGAATACTTACTTTCCTTTTTTAATTGTGTTCCTGCCAAGTAGTGGATCCAGGACTGGATCTATCGTTTCCTCGAGATTTTCAATTAAGATGACATCACCAAAGGCCAAAGCAGTTTCAATGGCATTCAAAAACCTTAAAATTCAGTGGGATTTGAGATAATAAAATGTAAATTGGCACAAAATGTTCAAAATTTTTTAAATGATCAAATTATATTTAATGTAGATATTCTAAATGGGACAAACTTAGAGAAAACTATTTTATAAAGTAGTAGTTCCCTTCCACTAGATTACACAGAAATTAAAGATGAGATTTTAAGATACATTTTAGTCATATTTTCGAAGTGAAATTTAATAGTTTGAACTAATAAATCTATGTATAGATTAGTTGCTTGTAATAGCAACTGTAGTTGAAATAAGTGTAAGTTATCCAACTATCATACATTTAAATTCATTTGATGGCTCTTTTTTAAGTAAAGTTTCATGTATTAAATGCTTTAAACTTGATCAAACTTTTATTTTTTTAAACCTTTACATTTAGTCACTTAAAATGGTGAGCTATCATTTTATTTTGGTCTTACTTTCCACAAAATATCTCCCTACCAAAAATAATTTTCTCCAAGTATTCAGACAAACAAAAACTACATCAAAAAAAAATAGAGATGGTGGTCTCACTCTGTTGTCCAGGCTGGAGTGCAGTGGCATGTTTATGATTCAATGTAGCCTCAATCTCCTGGGCTCAAGTGATCCTCCTGCCTCAGCCTCTCAAGTAGCTGGGACTACAGGTAGGCACTACCATACCTGGCAACTTTTTTTTTTTTTTTTTTTTTTTTGGTAGAGATGGGGGTCTCACTATGTCGCTCAGGGTGGTCTTGAATTCCTGGCTCCAAGCAATCCTCCTGTATCAGCCTCCTAAAGTGCTGGGATTATAGGCATGAGCTACTGTACCTGGCCTAAGAACTACATTTACTTGTATAACTACAGAAATTTCTTATTTCACTCTACATATAAAAAGAGGATGGAAGGGTCAAGTGAAATATCCATAGTTCTAAAATAATTTATTCAACATTAACTGAATAGCAACTGCATACAAGACAGCTTTCTATCTATCAGACAGTATTATCATGATGACTCAGTAACAGAAATTCTTGGAGTAGATTCAGGTCTCAAAAGTGACATGTAAATCTTGACTAAGATAATAAATTAACTTCAGGCACCCAATGTTGGGACTTGTAGCCATGTTAAGATCCTTCTATAGGCGGAGTATAGATTTAGAAATATGACCGTAAACATCATGAAGCCCGGAGGCACCCTTGACAATTCTTGTGTTACTATCCAAACACTCCAGAGAAGGAATATAATATATATCCATTCTTGGCTTTAGAAAATTTACATATTTTCCCCCACAGACCCAATGTTTGTTCTAACCTTCAATCTTATCTCTTCTTCAGATAATTGGGTGCCATCCAACAAGAATGCCTTTTCAACAGAGATACTTTATATGAAACATGAACAGGCAGATAAACAAATAGCACCAAATTGTAATACATCAATGTGGTGGAGAGGTCTAAGAAACATCACGCCTTTATAAAAATCAGACCCACTTCACAGCAGGTAAACAGAAAGCCAGTCTCTTCAAACTTCACATACCCTTTCTGGCCCAAATGTGTGACTTTCAGGTCCATTCCATACTTATTCTTGATCCACTTAATTCCCTGTTGCTGGGGATCTATCACCAGAGGCCAGCGCTCACAGTGTGTTAGGATAGCGGCATTTTCGGTGGACATTCTGTCACTGGGCAGTCCTTCGTTATTCCAGGCGGCAATTGTAGCATCATCCGTCAACATGGATATCAAGTCCAGGCCTTCGGTTAGTGGAATGGAAACCTTTAAAATCAGAGTTGAATGCAACAAATTGGTCATGTGGCAGAGAGAGAAGACAGACAAGAAAAGAAGAGAACAAAGTCATGAGAAAGTAACCCTAGGTAAACACATGATAATTTTCTGTGGATTCTCAGAAGCCAAACACAACTCATCATTAGATGCAATTTGACTTGATAAATCCAGTATTTACATCTCAGAATTCTGTGAACTGTGGGATTCAACATCGGTTTTATCAACTGCATCTACTGGGCTTCAACTGAGAGAGACTTTGCCCCACACTTAGGTAAGAGTGAATTTACACCCCAGGAAGAATGGCAGGACACCAGAAATATATTTGCCCATGGAGCAATCCATGCCCCCCACCCCCACATAAGCAATGCTAAAATTCAGTATCTTGCTCAGGCACTTCATTTTTTTTCTACAGACCAGTGCTACAAAGAGATGACCTATCTCTCTGGGATGGATTAATGGAAAGTATTCAGTTCACTGGAACTCCATCAACTCCTCAGTTGTGCAAAGGAACTTAGGATGTCACTTCTAGGCTGAGAGGAAATTATCTATGCCTTGATTGCGTTGCAAAGTAAGGGGTTGGGGAGGGGCAATCGAGGAGGGAGGGGCAAGTGGGGTGGAGAGAGCAATCCATTTTAAAGAATAAGGATACTTCTTTATAAAAATTGACAACAATAAATAACGTTGTGGCAAAAATTGTATTAAAGAATGTATATGTTCACTCCGCCAGTCATCAATCACCAAACATTTATTGAGCATTTTCTACGTACATGAAACACTGTCTAGAGACACCAAAATGTGCAGGATGAAAACCTAGCTAGCCCCCTAGCTTGGTGGGGTGGTTAACATGGAAGCATGCCTCCATAAGAGACTGTAGTAAGAACCCTACCTGTAGTAGGTAGGGGAGGCTGTATCAGCATTAACAGTTTGGTTCATTGGTTTGTCACAGAGCTTCAAAACAAAATGCTGAAAGGATTCCCACATTAAGGCTGGGATGCAATTTGATACGAATATAGGAAAAGTAGCACAATATTCTTACTGCCTCTGACTACAATGTTATCTTAAAAATGAATCAAACCCTATCTCCGAGTGATATTGAACAAGTCTTGATATCTGACTTGATACATAGTTCCCTTAGAGACATAGGCAATTTGATCTTTTAGAATAAGCAATCTTCTATCTGCAAGAGGTATGTGCTTTAGTTTGTTACCTTCTACTTAATACAAACAGCTGAAACAATTGGGGGCTGTAACTTTGATTTCTGAAGCTAAAAGGACTAACAGAAGGGGCACCTGCAGATCTCATATCCAAAATCCATAGTTTGAGTACCTACTCTGTGCAGAGTAGAGAGCCAGGGATCAAACAGAATACCAATCTCCCCCTTTTTTCCTGCTCAGTAGGGGAAATAAAACCCAGTTCAATATAAATGAAGAAATAAAACCCATCTTAATATAAATGAAGACACCTACATTAAAGAATATCATAACTATAGTGACTACTTTGAGACTCAAATTTTTAGGATGTTTCGATAGTATTGTGTCCAAATAACCAGCAGCATAGCTACATACAGAATTTTTTTCATAAAAATATTTTTTGATAGTTATAATACAGGCATCATTTTCACATTAATATTAACCTAAGTGTAGGGTGAGGAAAATAAGCATCATTTCATATACAGGCAAGCGCCATATGATATTTTGGTTAATGATGGACTGCATATACAACAGTGGTTTCATAAGATTATAATGGAGCCGAAAAATTCCTATCACCTAGTGACACTGTAGCCATCATAATGCTGTAGTACAATTACATTATTTTAAAAATAAATTTTGTGAAAAAACCAAACACCGCATATTCTCACTCATAGGTGGGAATTGAACAAGGAGATCACATGGACACAGGAAGGGGAACATCACACTCTGGGGCCTGTGGTGGGGTGGGGGGAGGGGGGAGGGATAGCATTGGGAGATATACCTAATGCTAGATGACGAGTTAGTGGGTGCAGTGCACCAGCATGGCACACGTATACGTATGTAACTAACCCGCACAATGTGCACATGTACCCTAAAACTTAAAGTATAAAAAATAAAAATAAAAAAATAAAAAAAAAATAAATAAATAAATAAAATAAATTTTGTGTAGGCTAAGTGTACAGTGTTTACAAAGTCTACAGTTGTATACAGTAATGTCCTAGGCCTTCACATTCACTCACTGACTAAACCAGAGCAATTTCTAGTTCTGCATGCTCCATTCGCGATAGGTGTTCTATGCAGGTGTACCAATTTTAGTCTTTTATGCTATATTTTTTGTATATCTTTTCTATATTTGGATAGATTTAGATGCACAAATACTTACCATTGTGCTACAATTGCCTACAGCATTCAATAAAATAACATGCTGTGCAGGTTTGTAGCCTAGGAGCAATAGGCTATGCCATGTAGCCTAGGTGTGTAATAGGCTGTCTCATCTAGGTCTATGCAAGTACACCAAAAGACATTTCTCAGAACATATCCCCTTCATTAAGTGACATATTAGAGTATACCTTCTTTTTATTACAATTAACTTGTCTTTTCAGAATTTCTTGGAGTCTGCAGCAAGGAAAATGGGTTTGGAAACCACGTGCAAAGAGGGAACCCTTTAAGTTCAAAGTCTGCTTCTAGAGTCAGACTGTTGTAAGGCTCCATCTAATTGCTCTATTAAGTAGTGTCAACATGTTGTGAGTCAGGATGTTACTATGAGGTGGAGCTGAAACAAAAAAGGAGGCTCACTCTTTGGAAAAGAAGCATTTGCTAGAGAGAAAAGACAAGGCTGGAAGCACACGCCACGAGCCAAAGTGAAATTAGTTATAACACCAAATGCCCATCTGGCCTCTAAAAACTGACCAACTGGCATATTCCTAAGAAAAAAGGGTAATTTCCTGTGGAGGTAATACTGCCAGTTTCTCCTAATGTTACAGTAACGTAACAACTCATGTTTATGTAAGGCTTTACCTGTTCACAAAATTTATTCATATAGATTCATTCTTTCCATTTTTTCATTTAACCCTTACAAGAGTTCTGCAAGGTAGATATCTCTATTTTATTGCTTAGGACACAGAGGCTTAGCATTAGTGCTTGTAATAACTAATTAATAACTAATAACTAATTATTGGCACTAATAACTCCATGTATTTGCTCTGTCTATAAACTGCTGGGTCAAAGCAATGAGTGGAGTGCAAAGGCTGCCTTGAACTTGCCTATGACTCTGTCCATCTGCCCAGCAAACAACAACTTTGGATGGAAACAACAACTTTGGATGGAAACAACTTTGGAAAACAGTGTAATTTGAACCCTCAAGGCCATGTATGCCCACAGCCCCTGTCCTTTTCAGCCACTACCCTCTGTGTTACTGTTTGCTCCCTGTCCCATCCCTCAAACTCATGCCCCATGGTTGTACTTTCTGACAACCCTTCCCCCATACCCTTCAGTATCTTAGTCTTGTTTGGACCAAATTGCCTTATCTTCTCTACCTGCTTGTCTTAAGCAAAACCAGGCTCTCCCCCAAGGGTAATGGCCGTCAACCCCAGGCTGGATACTGGACTTATGAGAGAGCTTTAAAAAGCTGCCAACAGGCCTGGCCCTTCCCCCAAGTGATTCAGCATCAACAGGCATCAATGCATTTCAAAAGTTCCCTCTCACATGATTTTAACAGGAGGCTGGGGTGCAAGAGCCATTGTTCTAGAGTCTCATTTCACTTGAGGGCCTTCTGAAGTGGAAAGAGTTCATTTTCCTCCCTTCCCACCTCTCTCTCTCTCTTTTCTTTCTTTTTGAAATAAGGTCTCACTCTGTCACCCAGCCTGGAGTTCAGTGGTGCCATCATAGCTTGCTGTAACCTCTAACTCCTGAGCTCAAGTGATCCTCCCTCCTCAGCCTCTTTGCCACCACACCTGGCTGGGTTTAAAAAAAATTTTTTTTTCATATAGATAGTGTCTCACTGTGTAGCCCAGGCTGGTATCAAACTCCTGGCCTCAAGAGATCCTCTTGCCTTGGCCTCCCAAAGCACTGGGAGACGTGAGCCACCACACCCGGCGGACAGTTCATTTTCTTAATCCCATTACTGAAAAGTGGGTGTGGGAAAGAGTTGCTATTCCTCTTTCTTCCCTGCAAGTCAACCCAAATCATGATTCTTCCATCCTTAAGTCAAAATGCCACCTTTAAGACCCATGGACTCCAGATATACAATCTCCAATCTATTTCCCCATCTTATGAATGATATAGCTATTGGTCTTTCTCGCCTTTCCAAGTTCTGCTATCAATCCTTGACAACCTCAGTGCCCATGTAGATGATGATTCCACTCTCTGGCCTTGACATCTTTCATGTTAAAGCACTGTATTTCCTTTCTATTCCAGTTGGGGGAATTGGGGGAGGAAGGGGATGATATCAGAATCACCCGGGAAGATTATACAACACCCCCATCCCTGGCTTCCGATATGCACATCCCCACCCCCCATGATGGTGATATGTCTTTGGAGGGGTATTAGAGTACCTCCTTTTTTGATGGGAAATGTAGTCCCAGGCTTTGTAACAATCTGAAATTATTTCATCATTGAAACCTAAAATTCCTGTACCCAACTCTTTGATTATGATTGTCTACATCTCTTTCACATCTTTAAACATAACACTTACTCTAAATACTATTAAGACACCAGGACTTTACCCTACTATTTACAGTTTTACTGTGGTAAAATATACTTAACATAAAATTTGTCATTTTAACCATTCTAAGTGTACAGTTCAAGTGGCATTAAGTACATTCACATTGTTGTACAACCATCATCATTATCTAGCTCCAGAACTTTTTCATGTTCCCAAACTGAAACATACCTATTAAACAATAACTCCCCATTCCTCCCTCTGCCAGCCCCTGGTAACCACCATTCCACTTTCTGTCTCTGTGAATGTGAATGCTCTAGGTCCCTCGTAAAGTTTGAAGTATTTGTCCTTTTGGCTTAATTTTTTTTTTTTTGAGATGGCATCTCACTCTGTCACCCAGGCTGGAGTACAGTGGCGCGATCTCGGCTCACTGCAACTTCCGCCTCCTGGGTTTAAGCGATTCTCCTGCCTCAGCCTCCTGAATAGCCTGGATTACAGGCACCCACCACCACGCCTGGCTAATTTTTAGTAGGGGGGGGGGTTTCACCATGTTGGCCAGGCTGGTCTTGAACTCCTGACCTCAAGTGATCTGCCCGCCATGGCCTCCCAAAGTGCTGGGATTACACGCATTAGCCACCAGGTCCAGCTGTGACTGGCTAATTTCAGTTAGCCTAATATTGACAAGGTTCATCCATGTTGTAGCACATACCAGAATTTCCTTCATTTTTGAGGCTGAATAACATTCTGTTGTGTATTTATACCGTATGTTTAAAAATCCGTTCTGTCCATGGACACAAGAATCGCTTCCATCTTTTGGCTAATGTGAATAGTGCTGCTATAAACAATGGCAAGCAAACATGTGTTTGAATTCCTACTTTTACTTCTTTGGGGTATATACTGAGAAGTAGAATTTCTGGATCATGTGGCAATTCTGTGTTTAAGGTTTTGGGAAACTTTACCATATTTTAACACTAACTTCTGGCTAACCTCCCATCTCTTTTCAGCCTAAAATGCTCCTTCCATTTCTTAACTCTTCTGCTAGTCACTGCTTGACTTTCCTCACCTCCTTTCTTTCTGGCTTACCTGCCTATAAACCTGGCTAGATTTGGCATTCTCTTTCCTCTCTTTTTACTCCTAGACTTTGAGTATTCTGATGAAAGCTTTATTACTGTGATTATAAACTTATCTTGTCCAAATACGTCTTGGGTTTCTTAAAGCTGTGTGGCGACTCTTACCATCTACTCCCCTGTTGCCCTTCACAGGTATTTTTGATATTTTTACCACTCTCCTCAAAACTGTTCTCCTGATTTCAATTTCCTTTGGTTTGGCCAGCTTGCACTGCATTTTCCTACTTCCCTAAAGTAACGGAGACCAGCAGGTGTGAGTGCTTCAATTTTCTAATAATATCTGTGCCCATGTCCATCTTTGTCTCCATACTCCAGAAAGGGCTGGATATATAAACTAAGAATCTGTTTTAATCAACTGAGATGACAGTGTTGTATAGAAAATAGAGTCCTGGAAATCAGGAGGTCTGATTTTCTATTCTCTATGACAGAAGTGGAGTCATTTGTCTGTCTCAGTTTTCTCATTTGTACAAGGAGTATCTTAAACTAGATGATTTTACATCGTGCAAATCTATTACTTCACTTTGCTTATGGGTTTGAATTTTCAAATTTAGGGTAAGCTACTTTATACTTACATATAAAATGCTACACTTTAAGTCTGAAAGTAGTCTTTTAAAAATCTTTAACAAATAACCCATAATATTAGTAAGAAAACAAAAAGTTTCATGCTATTCAATAACATGATGATCTGAGTTTGATTTCAGTTATCACTTCTGTTTAAAGCACTTTTCCAACTATAACTCTAAAGTTTACATAATTAATTTTTATGTTCTTGTTGAAACCATCACTAAAATAAGAAAAACTATTTCCATCTTTCACCATATGCAAAAATCAAATCAGGCCAGGTGTAGTGGTTCACACCTGTAATTCCAGCATTTTGGGAGGCTGAGGCGGGTGAATCACCTGAGGTCAGGAGTTTGAGACCAGCCTGGGCAACATGGTAAAACCCTATCTCTACTAAAAATACAAAAAAATTAGCCAGGTGTGGTGGCGGGTGCCTGTAATCCCAGCTACTTGGGAGGCTGAGGCAGGAGAATCACTTGAACCTCGGGGGCGGAGGTTGTAGTGGGCTGAGACTGAACCATTGCACTCCAGCCTGGGCAACAAGAGGGAAACTCCGTCTCAAAAAAACAAAATATAACAAACAAACAAAAAACAAAACAAAAACCAAAAATCAAATCAAAATGGATTAAAGACTTAAATATAAGACCTGAAACTATAAAACAACTATAGGAAAAATTGGGAAAATGCTTCAGGACATCTGGGCAAAGATTTTTTGGTTAAGACCACAAACAAATGCAAAAGTGGGATCGTATCAAGCTAAAGGCTTCTGCTCAGCAAAGGAAACAACCAACAGAGTGAAAAGATAATCTACAGAACAGAAGAAAATACTTGCAAACTATTCACCCAACAAGGCATCAATAACCAGAATACATAAGGAACTCAAACAACTCAATAGCAAATAAAGCAAAAAACTTGATCGTAAAATGGACAAAGTTCTTGAATAGATATTTTTCTCAGAAGAAGATGTACAAATGGCCAATAGGTAACATGAAAAAATGCTCAACATCACCGAGTCATCAGGGAAATGTAAATCCAAACCACAGTGAGATATAATTTCACCTCAGTTAGAATGGCTATTATCAAAAAGACAGAAATATCAAATGCTGGTGAGGATGTAGAGAAAAGGGAAAGCTTGTATACTGCTGGTGGAAATTTAAATTAGTACAGTCACCACAGAAAACAGTATGGAGGTTCCTCAAAAAAAATAAATAACTACCATATGATCCAGCAATCTAGCTACTGAGCATATATCCAAAAGAAAGGAAATCAGTATGTCAAAGAGGTACCTGCACTCCTATGTTTACTGCATCACTATTCACAATAGCCAAGACACGGAATCAACCTAAGTGTCCAACAACAGATGGGCAGATAAAGAAAACATGATATACATGCACAATGGAATACTATTCAGCCATAAAAACAATGAAATCCTGTCATTTCCAGCCACATAAATGGAACTGGAGGACTTTATGTTAAGTGGAATAAACCAGGCACAAAAAGATAAATATCGTATGTTCTTACATGTGGGAGCTAAAAAGGTGGATCTTATGGAGGTAGAGAGTAGAATGATGGTTACCAGAGAACCAGAGGGAGGGAAGTGGAGGAGAGGGGATGCAGAGAAGTTGGTTAGTAGGTACAAAACTACAGTTAGATAGAAGAAATAAGTGCCAGTACTCAATAACACAGTAGGGAAACTGTAGTTAATAATTTATTGTATATTTCAAACAGCTAGAAAGGAAGAATTATAGTGTTCTTAACACAGAGAAAAAATAAATGTTTCAGGTGATAGATATCTTATTTACTCTGACTTGACCATTACACATTGTATACAGGTATCAAACTATCACATTACCCCAAAAATATATATGAGTATTATAGATCAATAAAAACATTTTTAAAAATAATGAAATATTTATTATGAACTTTGTAAAAATAAGAAAAACTGCAGCACATGAGAAACAATTTCACCATGGAATTTCTGGTCAGTTCTCATTACAGACGTCCAAAAGCGCCTGGCATATATGTGGGTTTTACTACTGAAATTTCAATGTGATCTTTCTACCTGCTGACAAGGTAAGGAACTGAACTTACCTTCTGTTGAAGAAAGGGAACCCACTTGCAGTGCACCAGCTCCTGGCGATACTGCCTTGTGAAGGGTCCGACGTAAGACACAAATGCCGCCGTGAGAAGAACATCTCCACAGAGTGTCTTCTCTTGAGCTTCAAAGGACTTAATGGATTGACCCCAGCGAATCTTCTCTGACTGAAAGATGAAATTACTCAGCTGTAATTGCAGGCTGAATGTCAACTCCACAAATGCTTAATGCAATTACCTTATGGCAAGGTTTACGTCCTTCCACACAGTCACTATAAGGAACAGAGTGTAACGGGTTGGTGTGACTGTTATAATCTTTCATGTGTTTGAAATCCATCATTATGATGGAGTTCTCATACTCTCCTCAGTGGAGTTTATCACAAAGTGACATTAGTTCTTTAACATCTCTTCTCACTGGACATCCCAACTCTTCCATTATGATTGAGGTCCTTCTTGAAAGGCTGACAGTCTCTCCCCTGTCCCTCTGGGAATGGAAGATGACCAAGAGCTGTGGCCAAGAACGAGTGATGTTAAGATTATTTATTTATTTGACAGGGTCTGGCTCTATCACCCGTGCTGGAATGCCATAGCACCATCTTGGCTCATTGCAACTTTTACCTCCTGGGCTTAAGCCATCTTCTCACTTCAGCCTCTCAAGTAGCTGGGACTATAGGCATGCACCACCACGCCTGGCAAATTTTTGTATTTTTTGTAGAGACGGGGCTTCACCATGTTGCCCAGGCTGGTCTCAAACTCATGAGCTCAAGCAATCCACCTGCCTTGGCCTTCTAAAGTGCTGGGATTACAGGCGTGAGCCACCGCACCTGGCCTGATGTCAGGATTTTTAATGTCAGCCTGGCTGCTCTCCATTCTTCCCACTACACTGCCCTAGTCAAACTTTTTATTTACTTACCTATTTTTAACATGCTGGCAATGGTCTGATTACAGACAAAGGGAAATGACAAACACAACTCTACTTAATTAGTTAAAACATAAAGCTGAAATAGCCATCTATCCTGGATTCTACTAATTAAAGAGTAGCATTGGTAGTTACTAAACTCAGGTTAGTTTTCTAATATAATCATTAAATCAGTGGAGGAAGCTATGACCTATATAAAAAGGTGGAAATCAGGACTTCACAATACTCCCCAAGAATGCTGTTGAAGTCCTTATAGCTAGTTGGATGGCCATTTAAAATCTGATTTACAGGTTAAGTATGTGAAGCCCTTAATATTGGATTTGAATAAAACTGCAATAAATATGTATGGATTGACTGAACTGCAGGGTAGTTCACTAATTTATTTTGTTTCAATGTACGCTAAAAATACATTTTAAGAACATGCAAATTAATAGAACCTGAAAAAAAATCAGCAATTTGTTAGTACAAGCAAAGAAGCACCCTATGGAATTTTGCTTTCCCCATGAAAGTAGATTGACCACAGAAAACAAAAATGACGTCAGAATGGATTGGAATGCCAGTTCCCTGCAAGCTATCTTAATATCTACAACCCTGAGGTCGGAGGTCATGAAATTAGCATGTGAAAATGGTTATCAAAGTGGTTTCAAGATCATCTCCCTGCTTTGCTTATTAAAGATCACCCCAAGTTAACTATATAATTAAACACTAAGGAACTTCAGCTCTCTAGCCCTCTTTATAAAATTTATTACTTTTGTTCCTCAGCCATAGACAACATATGCATTAATTTTCAGGAGGAATCTCTCATTCACCTACCCTCTATCTTTGTTGTTTTTGGTTTGTAAAGGATAAACAATAAAATGTATCCAACTCATTCTCCAAAACAGCTTTGAGATTTGAAGATTCACTAAACATAGACTGATTGGCTATCGAAATCGTCAATAATTTTGCTATAGTATCCATGCAACATAAATCATTACTGACATTGGCTAACAAGGGTTTAAGAGTTGGAACATGTCCTGTAATAAATTTCAAGACAGTTAAAAATCACTATAATTTTATTCTAATGCATTATAGATTGCCTGTAATGTCATCCTGGCTGGGGTGACCCATTTCTAATTTTGAACAGCTGCTCAGCTCAGGAGTTAGTTAATGATTAAATATAAATTGCCTGATTTATTAGTCTGAATGGCTGAGCTTCCAGGTCAATGCGATATAGACAAAATCATCAGTCTTGATGTTTTTCAGAAGTTAACTGTCTCCTGTTCTAGTCAGAAAGAATTTATCCTGAAAGAAAAAGATCTGACATCTTCAATTAATCCTTTAAAAATATATATTTTTCCTTAGTTAACATGATACAATTTTCTTTTCCCTTCCTTGTCTAAATCATCATGAGTAAGTAAAGTCTTTGGAAATATTGCTATATGTTAGACACACATGGTAGGGCCTACTTTTCCCTTGACAAAACTTTCAGACATTCTGTAACTAGTCCCGGAAAACAGTCTAATTATATAACAGTTTTTCTCAGGTACCTCACAAATGGAGAACTCTTCAAACTGCTTAAATCTTGCTACTTTAAATGGAAGTAGTTTTAAGTACTAGTACTGGTGAAATTTCTCAACTCACCTAAGAAGAGCAAGTCTTCAAAAGGCTCCAGAATTTTAATACAGGAGGCTCCCAAAACTCACCCATTTAGTAACTCATTCATTCAGCAAATATCTAGTGATGCCTATGACATGCCAGGACTATTCTATATGCTTGGGATCAAGCAGTCCACAAAAAATGGTGAAGTTTCCTGTTCTTGCGAAGCTCATATTTCAGTTGGGGAAAAAAAGACCAAAAAAAGTATTTGTGCGTATGCATACACGGACAACTACGTTCATGCAATAAATGCTATCAAAAAATGTTAACAGAGCAAGTGGAGAAAATAGAGATGCATATGTGTGCATGTATGTGTGCGTGTGAACGAGTGGGGGTCTTGTGTGTTGGATGAAGGCTCTTTTATGTAGGGAGGTCAGAGAAAACCAACTGATAATGAGAACTTTCAGCAGGGCCTGACAAAGTGAAGAGCCAGTGATGTGACTGCCTGGGAAAGGCTAACGCACAAAGAAGGAGCGTGCCTGGAAGTATGAGGGAGAGACAGAAGGCCAGTGAAGATGGGGCAAGAGAGAAGTGGCAGAGGTGAGGACAGAGGGGTATCCAGGAGACAGATTATCATGTAGGGCCTTGCAGGTCAGTAAAGCCTTTAGGCTGGACTTTGAGTGATTAATTAGCTATTGGGGAGTTCTGAGTGAAGGAGTGATGTGAATGTACTTAAGTTTGTAAAATATCACCCAGCTACAATGAGGGAAATAAGCTTTAGGAGGTAATGGTGGGGCCTGCAGAGGTACCCTAGGGGAGAGATGCCACAGCCTGGACCAGCATGGTAAGGTGAAGAGAATGAGAAGTGCTAGGATTTGGAATGAACCTGAAAGGCAGGGTCAATAGAATATCTGATGGATTTGATGTCACACAGAGTCAAGGGTGATTCAAAAGCTTTGGGCCAGAAAAACTGGAAGAACAGAATTGCAGTTATTGAGATGGAATGGAGAGAGGGGATTTGCAGGGTGAATTATGAGTTTTTGCATAATGAACTATGCATTTCAGAGAGATAGTGTATTTAAACTTGTGGTGAATTAGTTAAATTTGTGGTAATAAGTTAGGGTTTTAAAAATGTACTATAGGCTGGGCACGGTGGCTCATGCCTGTAATCCCAGCACTTTGGGAGGCTGAGGCGGGTGGATCACGAGGTCAAGAGATCGAGACCATCCTGGCTAACACGGTGAAACCCCGTCTCTAATAAAAATACAAAAAAATTAGCCGGATGTGGTGGCGGGCACCTGTAGTCCCAGGTACTCGGGAGGCTGAGGCAGGAGAATGGCGTGAACCCGGGAGGCGGAGCTTGCAGTGAGCCGAGATGGTGCCACTGCACTCCAGCCTGGGCAACAGAGCAAGACTCCGTCTCAAAACAAAACAAAACAAAACAAAACAAAACAAAACAAAACAAAAAAAACTACTACAAGAAATGAGGCTATCACCTAGCCATCCCGAAACACGTACCCCCTCGTTTCTTGCTAAGAGAACCCTGAATCTGAATAGGATGGTCGTGTGCCCAGTCCCATGAGATGAACGGTGGCTTGCTAAGCCAATGATGACAGCCCCATTCCCCACTTTTCCAGACTTCAATGATGATAGCCCCATTCCCCACTTTTCCAGACTTCAATGATGATAGCCCCATTCCCCACTTTTCCAGACTTCAATGATGACAGCCCCATTCCCCACTTTTCCAGACTTCAATGATGACAGCCCCATTCCCCACTTTTCCAGACTTCAATGATGACAGCCCCATTGTCCACTTTTCCAGACTTCAATGATGACAGCCCCATTCCCCACTTTTCCAGACTTCAATGATGATAGCCCCATTCCCCACTTTTCCAGACTTCAATGATGATAGCCCCATTCCCCACTTTTCCAGACTTTTTTTTTTTTTTGGGCAGGAGGTGTGGGGTGGAGTTAGCAGTTTATCTAGTTCTGACTAAAGAAACTTAAGTGGGAGTCTGTCAGAGACATTTCCAGAAAAACATCAGCTTTTCTCATAAAAGGAGAAAACCCCAGCTGATACAGATTGTTCCCTTTCTCTACTGTCTCTTTGAATCTGAAGGTGTAGCAGACATCTTGAGACCATGAGGCAAAATGCATGAGGGTGAATGTCCACTTGCTGAGCGTGGAGAGGCAGAGGGCAACAAAGAGCCTAGGTGGCTGATCACTAATCACCAGGATCAACACTGATAATGGTCCAGCCTTAGCATTTTTTGTAATATGTGAAAAATAAGCTCCCATTTGTTTGAGCCACTGTAAAAGTTTTCTATCACCTCCAGCCAAATGCATTTCTAATAGTGCAGTTACATATTTTAGTGCAGTTCTATGCTTGTCAGCTAAAGGCATTTCTAATAATGCAATTATACACTTTTTAGTTACACATTTTATTACTTTTTAGATATATATGTTATATGCTTTCTAATAGTGTAGTTACAGACTTTATACTTTAAAAAGTAACTGCTTTATTGAGATATAATTCACATACCATGAAATTCACCCATTAAAATATACAGCAGTGTTTTTTACTACATTATATATATATATTATATATATATAGACTTGCACAATTATCTCCTCTAGCTAACTTTAGTACATTTCTCTCACCCCAAAGAGAAACCATGTATCCAGTAGTAGTCACTCCCCAAACCCCACACCCTTGTCCAGCCCCTGGCAACCATTAGTCTATTTTGCGTCTATAAATTATCCTGTTCTGGACATTTCATACACAGGCACATTCTGCCTGTGTATCACATGATATCACATACCATGTGATATGTGGCCTTTTGTGTCTGGCTTCTTTCTTTTAGCATGATATTTTCAAGATTCATACATTGTAGCATGACTCAGTATTCATTTTTATAGATGAATGCTATTAACATTATATGGATATACATTTTATTTATCCATTTATCAATTAAGGGACATGTGGGTTGTTTCTATTCTTAGCTATTATGAATAATGCTGCTATGAACATTGCATATGAGCTTTTTAATGGACATTTATTTTCTTTTCTTTAGGGTATATACCTATGAGTAGATGATTGTATCATGTGGTAACTTTATGTTTAACGTTTTGAGGAACTGCAGAACTGTTTTCCAAAGACGCAGAACAATTTTACATTCCAACCAGCATTTCCCCATAGCGTTTGCCAATACTATTACTGTCCATATTTTTTATTATAGTCATCCTGGTGGTTATGAAGTGGTATCTTGTTGTGGTTTTAATTTGCATTTCTCTAACGACTAATGGAGTTGAGCATCTTTTCAGGTGCTTACTGGCTATCTGCATATCTTTTATGGAGAAATGTCTATTCAAATTCTTTTCTTATTTTAAAATTTGGTTATTTATCTCTTTGACTTTTGTTAGGAAATACTTGAACGTACATTATGTCTTTTGAGAATCATCACAACCTTGTAAGGGAAACGTTATCCACATCCCTGTTTTAGATACAAGAAAACAAAGTTGAAGACGTTCAGTGATTTCCCCAGAACTGTTAAATGCCACGTTGTGGAGCAAATAAAATCTGTGAATACTGATATCAAAGAACGTATGTTCCTCTACCACTCATGTTCAAGCAAGAGAATGTCAATAAGAATTATAAAAAACCTTTATCTAATGGAATAACTATTAACATTAGCATGTCAGTCACCCATAAAAAGATGTAACAACAAAAACATAAACCAACCAGGTTTAACTTGAAAGAAATCATTTGCTGGTAGAATTCAATGGCAAATGTATATTAAAAGGATCAGACAACAAACAGTTCAATTTCATAATTATCTAGCAGCCATCCTGAGTTTTATAACTTGTTTTAAGAAAAACATGCTTTATTTTTGTTTTTAAAGGATTTCACAATGTGGTAAGAAAGAAAGGAAGAGAGAAAGTAGAAAAAATAAGTACATAACCCACCCACAGCTGATGTACTCCATTGTCTTAAAGTGGATACAAGACCACTAAATTCTGATAAAGTATATGTCTTCCCTGTTTTCGTTGGAGATCAGACTGATGGCACATTGAGTTCAGGACTATAAATTAAAAGATATGTACTTGAACATTTCTTCCTTCTGGTGAGTTAGAGCCACAGGATGAGTGATTATCAAATATTATCCTTTGTTGTTAATTCCATGTCTATTTAGTTATTATTGATGGCAAATAATAAAATCCCCACAAGCTGATCTGAACATTTTAGTTAGAATGTTTGGAAGAAAAGGTTTAACTTGCCTCAAGTTCCTTGACAAGTCTGTTAGCTAATTTGATGGTTTTGTTGGTTTGGTTCACCTCTTCTTGACACCGGACTTTCTCAGCTGTTGCTTTTTCAAATGAAGCCGTGAGTCTGCTCAGATTTCGATCCAGATCCTGAATCAGAGTTGAATTAACTTTTGAGTCATTTTTAGTTAAAACAGAGAGATTACCATCATCTTAAAACATCTGTTACTGTAAGGTAAATGGACAAACCTCTTCCCCCCATTAACCTTTGCCCCTTTACCATACGTATTTTAGGGAAGAAGGAAAAGAAGGATATAATGAAATAAACACATCAGTGCCACCATGAACTAACAGTTCACGATGTGGTCTTCTCTCCCCTTCTGCCTCCACTGGGCAGAATGCAGGGAGCGACTGGGGTGAATGGATGTGCGCTGAAGATGCAAATACGCCGTGGGTGCACTATCATCCCCCTCTGCTCTTGCACCCAAGCCTCATCCTCCAACCAGCTTTATTAAAGACAACAGTGACTTGTTTGGTTTCTCCACCCACGGATTCTTTTCTCTTTGGGTTCATAGTTCAGGCAGTGAAGAGGGGTGTTAATTACTGAGCCCTTTAGACCCAGCTTCGCCAATCGGATTTTTCTTTTTCATTTTTTTTGGAATGAGTATTGCTCTGTTGCTCAGGCTGGATGCGATGGTGCAATCTCAGCTCACTGCAACCTCTGTCCCCCAGGTTCAAGTGATTCCTGCGCCTCAGTCTCCCGAGTAGCTGGGATTACAGGTGTGCACCACCACACCCGGCTAATTTTTGTAGATTTAGTGGAGATGAGGTTTCGCCATGTTGGCCGGGCTGGTCTTGAACTCCTGGTCTCAAGTGATCCACCCACCTTGGCCTCCCCAAGTGCTGGGATTACAGGCATGAGCCACTGTGCCTGACCCATATTTTTCTCTTCTGGACGTAGGGACTGAAACTCAGAGATAATCCATTGTCTTTAGCATTGAAAGACCTGGGAGGATGTGTGAATCACAGGGCTGCGTTTAAAGAGGGAACACCTTCCACTGGGGCACAGAAAAAACCAGAGAAAACCATTGTGGAGAAAGAGAGAAGGACGAAAGGGATGTAAAAGAGAAGCAAGATGAGAAGTCACACAGCCCTAGAGACTCCAAGAGAAGTTCATGGCAGCTTCTTGTTTCCTGGATCTCTTGGGTCCCCTGGTCACCTTTTGTCCATGAGTTTGTCTTTGTGCCTTTTTTGACTAAGGTATTTTGAATGAGCTCATATAACTTATAGACAAAAAGTCTTGACTAAGTTGTCAAATGCTTGTGAGACTCCTCACTATGGTATCTTGCTAGCATATTAAGTTCCAAGAAACCTAATAAGATTTATAGCATTGCTTTTGTAGATGCATGCAAAGTTCCAAGAAACTTTAACAAGAAAACTTACAGAATATAATCTATTAATAATTTAGAGACAGACTATATTTGTCGATGACCCAGTTATTTCACCATTACTTTATATTGCTAAAGCAATATGTATATATACACAAATATGTATATACATCAAATTTAAGATTAATATGCAAAATAGCATTAACTTTATGAGAATTGATGGAGATATTATACATCACCAGTTAGAAATAAGATTGAAATATGGCCGGGTGCGGTGGGTCATGCCTGTAATCCCAGCACTTTGGGAGGCTGAGGCAGGCAGATCACGAGGTCAGGAGTTCAAGACCAGCCTGGCCAACATGGCGAAACCTTGTCTCTACTAAAAATACAAAAATTAGCCGGGCGTGGTGGCGGGTGCCTGTAATCCCAGCTACTCGGGAGGCTGAGGCAGGAGAATTGCTTGAACCTGGAAGGCAGAAGTTGCAGTGAATGGAGATCATGCCATTGCACTCCAGTCTGGGAAACAAGAGCAAGACTCCGTCTTAAAAAAAAAAAAGAAATAAGATTGAAGTAAAAATATTACAGGTCTATTCTGGGTTATTAAGAGTACTTATAGTTTTACCAAGCACAGAAGCACACGAAGGCTCTGGTATCAGACTCCTTGGGTTGATATTTGGATGCTGCTACCAGCTAAGCAGTATCAAGTTGGGGCTATTTATTTACCTTCTCTATGCTT
Organism: Homo sapiens; assembly: GCF_000001405.40. Lineage (NCBI taxonomy): Eukaryota > Metazoa > Chordata > Mammalia > Primates > Hominidae > Homo > Homo sapiens. The sequence continues at coordinate 21,799,162 of NC_000007.14, read as the reverse complement.
CAGCTTCATTATCTTAAAAATGGAATTAATAATGTTACCTAGCTCAAAGGGTGTTTTTTTGAGGATTAATTTTGATGATTTATAGAATAATATCTAGGACAGTAGAAGGCAATGGTTCTCAAAATTTTTGGTTTCAAAACTCTGTTACATTCAGAACCCTAAAGGGCACTGGTTCATACAGATGATATCAAGTAATATTTGTGGTATTAGAAGTTAAAACTGAAAAAAATTTAAAAATTTATTTATTTAATATTAATAAGCTCACCATGTATTAGCATAATTTTATTAAAATAACAATATTAACAAAACAAAAATAATTAAAAATGACATTTAGATTTTTGCAAACCTAATTTTAATGACTTATTTAACAGAAGACTGTTAGATTCTTATACCTGCTATTGCATTCAATCTGTTGAGGTGTTGCATGTCATACAGCAGCTGAAAAACTCTGCTGTATGCTTGCTGGAGAATGAAGGTGAATAAAGCAGACAATGCCTTATATAACTTGCAGGTGAGGAAACTGAGACAAAGATCAGTTGAGTGATTTGCTAAAGTTTCACTAGCAAGTGAGTGAAAAAACAAGGCTATGAACCCAAACCTTCTGAGTCCTGGACCAACTTAATGGAAGGCATTTCACAAAATAGATGTTTGAGAAGTTCCAGTTGTGAAGAGACAGAGTAAATACTTCCAGGCTTCCCAGTCAAATCACACATGGTATACTGTATAGTTAAGAGTATCCATCTTCGAGTTTAAAAATGTCTTGGTTCTGCCAGGCACAGTGGCTCATGCCTGTAATCCCAGCACTTTGGGAGGCCGAGGCAGGTGGATCACCTGAGGTCAGGACTTCAAGATCGGCTTGGCCAGCAGGGTGAAACTCCATCTCTACTAAAAATACAAAAAATTAGCCGGGCATGGTGGCACAAGCCTGTAATCCAGCTACCCAGGAGGCTGAGGCACAAGAATTGCTTGAACCTAGGAGTCAAGTTTGTAATGAGCTGAGATCGTGCCACTGCACTCCAACCTGGGTGACGGAATGACACTGTCTCAAATGAATGAATGAATGTCTTGGTTCTAGTTCCTCTGCCTCTTACTGACCCTGGTGGTGTGGACTCATTTTTCACTTTATGTGAGCTTTACATTTTCTCATGTGTAAAATGGGACTACTCCTAGTAATACCTACTTCATAGGTAGGTGTGCTATGGAATAAAATGTGTCTTAATGCATGTAAAATATGGCACAGCACATTCAGCAAGCACATGGTAAGTTAGCTTGGTGTGCAAATATCACTGGAGTTTATTTCAAATGGGATACAAATTCACTTTGGTTCCTTTTTTTCATTGAATGAAAACGTAACTTAATGGCAAATGTTTGGGTAAAAGTTGGCCCTTGGCATGTAACTCTTAAGGGCATGAGTGAATGTTCACCAGGAATAAGTACTAACCTGGTATAATAGCCAGGATTCCAAGCATGCTTAAAGGTGACAATCTACTACTTTCATAGGAATGTCTAATTGTTGATTTGAGCTTACACTGACTGTTTTATGTGTATTCAGAGATTTGAAAGGAGCACTAGTGTCTCACATGAATACAGTTAATATAAACATAAATATGTAAACTGTACATGTACTAGAAAAAATAGTTCAAGGGCTGGGTGTGGTGGCTCAAGCCTCTAATCCCAGCATTTTGGGAGGCCGAGGCGAGCGGATCACCTGAGGTCACGAGTTTGAGACCAGCCTGACCAACATAGAGAAACCCCGTCTCTACTAAAAATACAAAATTAGCCGGGCATGGTGGCGCAGGCCTGTAATGCCAGCTACTCGGGAGGCTGAGGCAGGAGAACTGCTTGAACCTCGGAGGTGGAGGTTGTAATGAGCTGAGAACGCACCACTGCACTCCAGCCTAGGCAATAAGAACAAAACTCTGTCTCAAAAGGAAAAAAAAAAAAGTTCAAAGCAAATATATAATCATCAAGATGATTTTACTCTAAAATAAGTAAGATTAAGTTTCCAAAATATTTTCTGAGGGACTCTTAATATTGTTTGTACCTTTCTCCTTGTTTTCAAAAAATTTTTCTCTATAGAAAACTCTATTCCTGCTGTTTTCTTTTCTCACCACCCATTCTCTCCTTCATCTATTTTAATCTGACTTTCATTCCTATCACTTTTTTCTTTGTTCTTCTCTACCATTTTACTGAAACATGTGATCTGATAAACAAACTTTATTCTCTCAAGTTACTAATCATTGTTTGTAAAAAAAATAAAATAAAAAAATAACAACTAACAGTTATTGATCCTCTAGCAAGCACCCAGCACTATTCTAAGTATTTGACATGTGTTAATGCATTTGATCAGTTCGTTAAGTCTCAGAGAGATTTTTTCATTTTATAGGTGAGGAAATTAGAGAGTCCATGAGGCAAAAATGTTACTCAAGCTCACAAAGATGGAAAGTACTGGGCTAAGATGTAACACGTGATGTTTGGCCCCACAGCCTATGCTCAGATGCACTGTGGTATCTGGCCTCTTTACTATTTGTTCCAGGTGATGGTTCCCTTCCCTCCCTTGGCCGCCATGATAACAATCTCTTCTGGCTCCTCATTCACCTTCCTAACCATCTCTTTTTCTTGCTCTTTCAGATATCATCATTCTGTACCCAGTTTATAAACTGTTTATAACCCAAGTTTCTCTCCTTGACTTTCTTTTGTTTTCATTCTGCTTCCCTCATCCATGTTCATTCTGCTTCCAGTCTCTTCCCCTTTGTTCATTGGCCCACAGCTATCTTTCCAAAAGGCAAATGTGATCGATTTATCCCTCCTGTGCCCAACTGCAGTTCTTCAATTGCTCTCCCTGTCTGACAGTGGCAGTTCTCATATATGGCTCACAGATCCCTACTGGGGCTAGTTTATTCTGCTAGGGCCCACTGAATCTACGTTTGCCTTAATCATTGTCTATAACACGGTTAAAAGAAAATACAACTACTATTCATGACTGTCAGGGACTCTTTTTGGCATTAAGAAGAGTCTTCAATATTAGGGAGCTTAGTATATTCTGGCCTATAGGACAAACACTTACCTCTTAACCAACACCTTGCAATTTCCCGTGTGATCATGTCCCTGCCTCACTTTTCACCACAAGAGACCCCACACACTGACATTTATACTCTACTCTTCAGTCATGTTGAGGTACTCACTGTCCACAGGACACGTGACCCTCTTTCTTGAAATGCCCTTTCCCTATCTTCTGGGTGAAAACCTATTCATCTTTTAAGACTGGATTCAAGAGGAAACTGCTCCTCCAAACCTTTCCTGAGCACCCAACCCCATCCTCACGTGCAGAACTGACCAACTCCATTCTTTGTGCTCCAGTGGTAGCCAATGCAACCTCCCTTGGCAGCACTTGGCAAATTAAACAGCATTTAGTAAATCTGTAAGATTTTTCAGGGCAGGGACTGAGCCTTCTGTGTCCCTCTGACTCCAGTGCCTAGTCCAGTGTTACAAAACGTTCGTTGATTGCTAAAAGGAAAGTGAGTCCTTCAACTAGAACAAATAAACCTTTTAATTAAAATATAAAATATGGTTCTGTTTGTTAATTTAACTAATAGTTTTTGAGTTCCTCTCATGTGTCAGGTGCTAGGCATAAAAAGTTAAAAGACTTTAAGGAGCTCATAGTGTGGAAGACAGAAAGGAAATGAGAGTTCGCATGTTAGGATGAGGTGTACACTGATGTGTAGGGTGTGTGGAATAACAGGGAAACTGATCAAGTATTTTCTCCAAGGAGTTCCCCTAAAGTCCAAGCTTGATCTAGGAGAACAGGGAGAATTAGCAGATGATAAAGTACCAGATCCCAAATAGCTTTCAGTATTAGTACACAGCAAAGGTCAGTACCCACTAGGTACTAGGTACTAGGATCCGCACACCAAACCTAGCAGCCAACTGGTTTTGTGTGGCCTATGAGTAAAGAATGGATTTTACATTTTTAAATGTTAAATGTAAAAAAAATTAACCTTTACCTAAGAATCGTTGTGCAAAAGTTTGAGAACACAAAGGGATGTCACCAGAAAGGCAGAGTGGAAGTAATCTGGCTTCACTCTCCCCTACAGAAAACCCAAAACAAATATCCAGTGCTAAGACTATCACCAGCAACATCCTGGAACTCAGAGACACTACCCAGAGCCACAGAGAGGTAAAAAACTCTGAGCAGCAGAAGAAAGAACGTCCCTATTTGCAATGCCCCTACCAAAATCTACTCAGGTACTGCACGTAGAAAATGCCCCCCAGACTCGTAGTTCCTACACTGGAGAAAGTGAGACTGAGGTGGACAGCCATTTTTCCCACTCAGCCATCTTACATTCCCTTGCAAGAAAACTGCTTTTTACCGTAACCCAGAGGAAGTATTCCAAGTGCCTACAGAGACAAAAATCCCTGAAAGCATCTAGTGATAAAGAGGGAAGGTCAGACTAGCAACTCCAGCCCATGAAATTCTCTTCTTCATCTCAGTCAAAGGAGATGCCAAATCAGAGTGGCTGTTCAACAGCACCACACTGTACAAGGCACACTCCATGGGTCTTCTGGGCACAAACCCCCAGCTAGCTTTCACACAAAGCCAGAGTATCTTCTTGGGGCCCCTTACCCTCAATTCAGGATGGTCAGTACTTCAAGCATTTCTAAGAGTCAAGGCAAACCTGAGCTTAATGTTCCATATAGTGCTGAAAAGGAAGCAGTGATCTAGAATTAAGGAACTCAACAGGTGACTACAAATAACCTCTAAGCAAACATACTCTAGAAAGACCAAAACAAGCCAGTCAGCAAAGACTAGCATAAATAACTAATCCTTCAATGTAAAGCCATAGAAGTATATCCACAAGAGACAGCAGCAAACAGGGAGCCATGACCTCTCCAAATAAACAAAGCAAGGAGCGAATGACCAACTCTAATGAGATGATGATGTGGGAGCTCTCAGATCAATAATTCAAAATAGTAGTTTAAGAAAACTCAGCCGACTCCAAGATAATACAGAAAAGCAATTCAGAAATTTATCAGAAGTTTAAGAGATTGAAATAATTTTTTAAAAATCCTGGAACTGAGAAATACGTTTGCTGAAGTAAAAAATGAATTTGAGGCTTTAAAGAGCAGAATGAGTAAAGCAGAAGAAAGAATCAGTAATTTCAAAGACAGGCTATTTGAAAATACACAGAGGTGAAAAAAGGAAAAATGATGAAACAAACAAATGTCTACAGAGAATGACCTCAAAAGAGCACATCTAACAGTCACTGGAGTTCAAGAGGGAGTTTAAAAAGAGCAAGATGTAGAAAGCTTGTTCAAAGAAAGAAGTATATATAATAAACATGAATAGATCTAAGTGGATAGACTGAAATACAGTAATAGCAGGGGACTTCAACACCCTACGCTCACTAACAGACAGATCATCCAGACATGAAATCAACAAAGAAACATTAATGATAAACTAAACACTAGACTACATAGGTCTAAGCAACATTTATAGAACATTTCATCTAACAGCTGCAGAATACAAATTCTTTTTTTTTTTTTTTTGAGACAGAGTCTCACTCTGTCATCCAGGCTGGAGTGCAATGGCACGATCTCGGCTCCCTGCAGCCTTCACCTCCCAGCTTCAAGTGATTCCCCTGCCTCAGCCTTCTGAGTAGCTGGGACTACAAGGGCGTGCCACCACGCCCAGCTAATTTTTGTATTTTTAGTACAGACGGGGTTTCACCATGTTGGCCAGGATGGTCTCAATCTCCTGACCTCATGATCTGCCCACCTCAGCCTCTCAAAGTGCTGGGATTATAGGCGTGAGCCACCACGCCCAGCCTGACAAATTCTTTTCATCAGCACATGGAACATTCTCCAGAACTGACCACATATTAGGCCACAAAACAGGTCTCTACAAATTCAAAAAAGTAAAAATCATATCAAGTACCTTTTCTGATCACAATGGAATAAAACTAGAAATGAAAAACAAGAGGAAAGTTGGCAACTATACGAACACAGGAAAATTAAACATGTTCCTAATCAGTTGGTCAATGACATTAAGAAGGAAATTTAAAAATATTTTGAAACAAATTAAAATGGAAACCTAATATATTCGGTCTATGGAATACAGCAAAAGCAATACTAGGAGAGAAGCTTACAGCAATACATCAAATGCCTACATAGAAAAATAAACAACATTCAAATAACAAATCTAATGATACACCTCAAGGAACTAAAATAATAAGAACAAATCAAACCCAAAATTTTTAGAAGGAAATAAGAAAAATCAGAGCATAAATAAATGACTGAGACTAAAAAATACAAAATATCAATGAAATGAAAAGTTCATTTTTTCAAAAGATAAACAAAATCAACTAACCTATAAAGCAAAAAAAGGAGAGAAGACCCAAATAAAAAAATAAATGAAAATGGATATATAACAACGGATACCACAGAAATATGAAGGATCATTAGAAACTACTATGAACATGTATATGCCAACATATTGGAAAACCTATAAGAAATGAAAAAATTCCTGCACATATACACTCTACCAAGATTGAACCATGAAGAAATAGAAAACCCGAACAAACCAGTAATGAGTAATGAGATTGAAGCAATAATAAAAAGTCTCCATCAAAGAAAACCCTAGGACCTAATGGCTTTACTGTTGAAATCTACCAAACAGTTGAATAATACCAATTCTACTCAAACTTTTTCAAAAAATTGAAGAGGGAATACTTCCACACTCATTTGATGAGACCTGCATTACCTGACACAAAAACTAGACAAGAACACAGCAAGAAACTACAGTCAGTATCTCAGATGAAGACAGATGCAAAAATTCTCAACAAAATACGAGCAAACTGAATACAACACACACTGAAAAGATTATTCAGCATGATCACGTGGGATTCAACCCAGGGATACAAGAACAGTTCATATGCAAATGAGTAAATGTGATATATCTCATTAAGAGAATAAAGAACAAAAACTGTATGATCATTTTAATAGATGCTAAAAAAACACTCAACAAAATTCAATACCCCTTTATGATAAAAATGCTCAGCAAACTAGGTATGGAAGGCACATACCTCAACACAAAAAAGGCCCATCTGTCACTCCTGCTTCTGCCATGTAAGATGCCTGATCCCCCTTTGCTTTCTGCCATGGTTGAAAGTTTCCTGAGGCCCCGCCCAAAGCAGGAACTGCTATGCTTCCTGTACAGCCTGCAGAATCATGGGCCAATTAAACCCCTTTCTTTGTAAGTTACCCAGTATCAGGTATTTCTTTATAGCAATGTGAGAACAGACTAACACACCAACCATTCCCAACTATATATTCCTGACCCAGACTTTTCTCTCAAACTCCAGTCATGACTGCGGCACACTTACATATGGATTTTTCTATAGGAAGAGGGTGGGAACTAAGATTTATGAAGTGTCTACTGTATGTTGCACACTAAATAGTATCTTAATGCATCAGGAATCATAGGTGGGAATGATGGAAAGAAATACCTACTCCCTTCTAGCTAATGTAAGCTGAAGGAGCTTGCCCGAAGTAGATGGGGGAGCTCTTAAGAGGGAAAGAAAGGCTGAGAACCACATACAGGCACCAAGATGCTCCAGAGGGTCTTGGGAGCAGGAGCTGTTTACAAGTCTCATCAGGACACTATCTTTGCAATGTATGCACTCTGTTTTCAGTCTTTTATTCCTTTTGCTCATGACTTAAACTCTAGAGATGGGGGATCAAGTTGCGAAAGGTTGGATCATATATCTAGTCCTTGAAAAGGCAAGGTCACTCCTGCTAAAAGCCTCACCTGAGTGCATCCAATGCAGAGAGATTCTTCCCTAAAGAAAATCAAGCTGTTTTCACTCAAAGGTGGCAGACTGGAAGCTGGGTAGCCCCAAATCACACATGGCCACCTTGAGAGTTGCTGTTACCACTACTTGACAGATGAGAAACTGAAGCTCCAGGGGTTTCTGTAAACTGCCAGGGTTGTGCCGCCTCATCACTCTGCTGGCTGCCCTGCCAGGCACCTCACGCTCCTCATCCTGCTCCTGTATTCCTCCCGTCTCTCTGTATCTCATCAGCCAGCCTTGAACGTAATCTCTCTCCCTCCATCATGACTGCTCCTGCCTGAGCTGAGGCCATAACAGGATTCACGACAGTGGCTTTCTAACTTGTCTGCCTGCCTCTAGGTTCTTTTCTTCTTCCAGCATCCATTCACTTTGGTTGTATCATTAACTTGTTAAAATCTTTCAAAGGCTTAATATCACCAATCGGATAAAATTTAAATTCTGTAGTGTGAAAGGCAAAGAAAGCCTATGCTCACCTTTGCAAGTTCATCTTTCATGATTTCCCTGTTCATGATTCCCTCATACTCGCCAAAACATTCATTGCAGGGCTCTGACTTGCTGGACACTTCAAGTGTCCCAACTGCTCCTTCCCTCTTTTCCTTGCCTTCTGTCAGGAACACCTTTCCCATCCTAGTTATCCTGGTGGTTCCTAACCAACATCTAAAGCCCATGTCGATCCACCTTCACTAAAGAACTTCCTCTAATTTCTTCGGGCTCGGTATTTCATGGTGTTTTCTGTATATAGCCACATATATATTGATAATGCTGGACTAGGATGAGTGGTTTACATATTTGTAAAAACAGTAGTGGTATTTAGTAGTACATACAATATTCATTGAAAATATTTTCTTTTCTTTTTGTTGTTTGAGACGGAGTCTTGCTCTGTCGCCCAGGCTGGAGTGCAGTGGTGTGATCTTGGCTCACTGCAAGCTCCACTTCCTGGGTTCACGCCATTCTCCTGCCTCAGCCTCCTGAGTAGCTGGGACTACAGTCACCCGCCATGACGCCCGGCTAAATTTCTTTTTGTATTTTTAGTAGTGACGGGGTTTCACCGTGTTAGCCAGGATGGTCTCGATCTCCTGATGTCGTGATCTGCCCGCCTTGGCCTCCCAAAGTGCTGGGATTACAGGTGTGAGCCACTGCGCCGAGCCGAAAATATTTTCTAAGCACTTACTATGTGCCAAGTACCATGGTAAATTCTTAATATGAATTACTCTTATTTAAATCCCCACAGTTCTACCTAAGAAATGGACACTATTCAGGAAAAATAGCTAATGAATGACAGGCTTAATACCTAGGTGATTGGTTGATAGGAGCAGCAAACCACCATGGCACATATTTACCTGTGTAACAAGCCTGCACATCCACCCTGGAACTTAAAATAAAATGAAGGAAGGAAGGGAGGGAGGGAGGGAGGGGAAAGGAAAGAAAGAAAGAAAGAAAGAAAAGGAAGGAAGGAGAGAGAAAGAAAGAAAGAAAGAAAGAAAGAAAGAAAGAAAGAAAGAAAAAAGAAAGAAAGAAAGAAAGAAAGAAAGAAAGAAAGAAAGAAAGAGAGAAAGAAATGCTTATTATTATAATACCTGTTTCACAGATGAGAAAACAGAGGCTCATAGAGGTTAACTACCTTGTACGGGATGCAACAGTAAACAGTGGAGCCAAGATATAAGCCAGATAGTCTGACTCCAGAAGCCTTACCTGGAATCACTATGTGCTGCCCTCCCCTTTCCACTATCAGACTGCAAATGTTTCTTAGCTGTAGAAACCATGAACATTTGCACTTTCCCAGTTCAGCATCTACCACAGAGCAGATAAGAAATACCTACTGAATGGTATATAAGGAAATACACTCATGGAAGATCGAATTCCTTTCTGCTTGATAGGGCTCAGATATGGTGCTGTCTGAGGGTGGAATCCTAAGGTGGAGGCAGCGACCACCTCTTGGGAACCTTTTCAATGTCATAGTTTGCACTCACCACAAGCTTTTTCCTGATAGCCTCTAGTTTTTCAGTAGCTGCAGCCAGTTCTAAGTTTGCTTGGGCTAATGCTTGGCGTTTTGGCTCCACATCACAGTAGACCTGAAAATTCATGAATTAATACAGATACAAAGAGGATAAGTAATCATTCAATCCCAGATAGGATGGATGCTTTACAATTAAAATCTCTAATTCATCTAGCAACTTCTCTTTTTTTATTGAGATGGGGTCTTCTCATGTTGCTCAAACTGGTCTTAAACTCTGGGGCTCAAAGGATCCTCCCACCTCAGCCTCCCAAAGTGCTGAGATTACAGGTGTATGCCACCACACCTGGCCTGTTATTTTTCAGACATGGTAATACCTAAAGGCAGAGCACAATCCACATAGCCTTCCACATTCTCTCTGGTCCACCATTATTTTACTTATTTAATCTGGACCTTAGAGTTACAAGTACTTGCATAAAATGCGATATAAGTCAAACACCATTAAGATATTAAAATCAATTTGTCATAAAATGTGAAGATACGCCTCATATTACTAGAAATTGCATTGTGCAGGAACTATAGCCAATGCTGAGATCATGTCTGGCCTTTAAGGCAGAAAATAAGTGTGGAAAAATTCTCAACACAGAAAGGAGGGTGGGAGATATCCACACAACATCAACCACATTGTCACTTTCTTGTCTAAGTTCCCAACCACCTTAAGCACATGTTGTTTGAATGGACCATCTGAGAATTTAGGTGGATCAATTTTTTTTCTGCTGGTGGGGAGAGAGGAAGGAAATTAAATTTTCTTTCCTATTTTATAGCAAAATAAACACAGAATGCAGCCACAGTCAAGCTCTATGCTTGTCTTTTCACCTACTGTACAAGTAGAAGACGGGGCTGAGACATTTTATTATGCAGAGAGGCCGTACATCAACCACAACCTGTCTAAACTCTTGCCTTATGAAGATTGCCACTAAAGAGAGAGAGAGATCAAGAGAGTCCTATCCCTGTGGGCCCCACAGTATAAAGGAAATAACCTGGCTTTATGAAAATTACTTTGGGAATTGAATTGACTACACTGACTTTTTCTCAGTAATTCCATATTTGAATATAACATACAACCCTCTAAGACAAAAATGAGAGTTCTTCAGAGTTGTGAGCCATGCATTGTTCCCTTATTAGATCAAGTACTCAGCAAAGTGCTTGGGATACAGTTGGTCGGTGATAAATATTTGATAAATAAATGACTACATGAAAGTATAATCTATCTCTACACTGCCGAAAAGTACAAATTTTAGGTTAGATCACATATAGGCACAAAACTTACCTGTCATTAAAATACTAAAGCAAAGAAATGGTTATTTCCTCATCTCACTATGTCAACAATACAGATGGTGTGAATATTTGCTTTGAGAGCAGGCGCTACATTTCATTTGATGTGAATTCAGATTTGCAGTTGTTTCAAGTCAACATGAATTAAATATTTAAATGTAAATAAGTAAAATTCATATAAAAGTTTTCATCTAATTACTTACTGCTCTTTAATCTAAAGGAGCCAATCACTCTGCCCAAAAAAAGATAGTTTCTAACATTTCAAATATCCTCCTGTAGAGAATTGTTTACTCTAACATGCTCATGTCTTAGTCTTAGAACTACATATCCTTATTCAGAAAATGAAATAACAAATTTTACTCTTCTCGCTGACCTAGAAATTGATGTGTTTGCAGCCCTTTGTGGAGAACATCTGTAAACAATCAATTTAGGATTGATACCTCATAGAATTTAATGATGTTGATGACCCAGGCACACAGGCCAGCTGCTGCAAAAGATTTGGTTCGAATCAGGTTTGGATTAAACTCTGGGTCTTTCAAATAGTGTTCATTCACCACTTTTAGACAGTTCTCTGGAATGTGCTCTTTGTCATAGTTAATTAATGCTTGCAAAAAATCATCAACCTGCAAAGCAAAAAGATTTATTGCAATGAACCCATTTTGGCTGCAGAGAAAATTCCAAGATCAAAAGTTAAAATCAGCTTTTAGGACTCACATTACAAAAGCAAAATTGGCAAGCTGCATTTATCCTACTGTTTGACTTTTTCAGTCTTTATAGTACGAAGTCAGAATTAGCAATGGACACTTTTAAAACCTCTTCTATCCCAGGGTAAAATATTCAGTCCCAGCACAGGAGGTATTCACATTTTGAAGAAAAGAAAGGCAGAAAATAAAAAGCAAAAAACACACCAAAAATCCCCTGTGCTTCACCTTCCTATACATTAGCAACATTTTTCCAGCCTAAGAAATCCATGTCATTTTCTCCCTCCTACACTTAACTGCTTTCATAATTTTGCAAATAATTAGCAACCTTCCACCTGCTGCTGGCATTGACTTAGGTATGCCATAACCCCAAGCTAACTTCCAACTTGGCAAACAAAAGCTGTAAGTCTAGAGAACATATACAGTAGATTACATTCAGCAACTATGAAGATGATTTCTTCTGACTTAAACATCTTTTGCTATTAAGCATAACCACAGTACTGAAAACAGTATGGAAATTATCAGGATTTTCATCTTGCCAGGCTGGGCTGATACCTTTCCCATGAAGACTTTAGCTGCTTTCCAACTTCGGTCTTTGGGCACTCTTCCCCGAGGAGCCAGAAGGACCATCACGGCTGCAGTAACATTGGTAACTGCGATGGGAGGGTTGGGAAAGGCTTTCAGCTCACTGAGGTTGACCTGAAGAAAAGCACACAGAAACACGTACACAGACAGGATTAGCGGAAGTCTGGAGAAGCTCTGTAAGTTGCCAAGCAAGGCTTTAGTGGACTCCCACTTCTCCTTATCAAACCAGTCTCAATTTGGCAATTCTTTGCCACCTGGGGACTCCACCTTGGAACTCCAGGAGGTTCAGTTCTTGCTGGGCACTTCTCTGATACTCTGGAGACATCACTGCCCTTTCTTGCCTTCAAGAAAAATGATCTATATATCTATATATCAGTCCTGCAGAGCCCTGCTCACTGAGGCCAGGATACACACACACACACACACACACACACATGTGTATATGTTGTAAGATATTTATAGGTTCTATCCCACTATGTAATAGATTTGCATCTTAACCAAGCCCCTCCCAGACACATAATTCCTTAATTCAGTGTCTCTTAGGTTTGTTTTTCTGTCTTACATGTACAAGAAAGAAATATCTTCCATTACACTACAGGAACTCTCAACTAGGAGAGGGCCAAGATAGGCTGAACTTTCTTCTCTACTCCTTTGTCTCCTCAGGTGATGCCACTGATTAATCCAACAGATGATATTAATAGTATAAATTATATGTATCAGGGCAAACACTTTGAGGCAGGTAATAGCACATATAAGAAGCTCATGTAGGCTTATGATATTTAATACATGATTTGAAAAACAAAAACAACCAACCAGGTATTTCCTGTGATACTTTATGTGCTACATAATACACTCTTGCTTATAAAACCTTATCAAATGTTGAACCTGATTCTGCTCCCTTATCAGAAGCTGCCTATTTATTTGGTATATGATTACAAAGAATGGAAACAGAGTGAAAGCAAGAACAAAAACAAAGTCTTAAAATATGCTAGTAAGAATTGAGAGCTGGCTAACCAAGATTCTTTTATAACTTATACATATACACAGCTTCATATTTTAAGTGGAGCTATTTTGCCTGAGTAAAGAGTAATTATTCAGAGAAAAATTTGCAAATTTAGAGAAACACAATAAAGAAAATAAATATTCCATTACTCAGAGACGACCAATTACTCTTACTTTTTGCCAATCTTTTTCTGTGCACATATTCTTACCAAAAGAATTAGTCATATAAAATACCCTATTTTATAATCTGCTTTATTCACTTAATATATCATGGTTAATGTGTCACATTGCTAATTAGCATTTAACAATATTATTTTAACGGCAGCAGGCTATTTGAATGCATAATAATCAGAGTTCTGTCATGGTATGTTTCCATTTAAAATTTTTCAGTTTTATGGTACTCTAAGAAATACCCATGTAAGTATCTCCTTAGTCACAGTCAAAATTATTTTCTTCAAAAAATACTTACAAAACGAATTCAGGATTTCTATGAAGAACAGTGAAAATCTCGATTCTTTCCTTTTTGAAATGGAATCTTAAGAATCTCAGGCCCAGTGATTTCCTGAGCTCTCCCCAGAGGTCTGGCAGAAGACCCCAGGATGAGATTAGCTGCAGGCTCTTAAAAGAACATTGCCCCCCATTTCACTTTCCCTAACAATATGCTAGTGATGAACACAGCTTACTTTCTCTTATAAGAATGTGAACGCTTAGGGAGGTTTCACAAACAACATGAAGCTCGAAGAAATGGTGGGGACCAAACCTAGGTATCTTTGCTCCCATTGTTCTTTCCATGAGGGTCTCTCATCAATGCTACTCTTTATATTCCAGAGGAAATAAAGAATCCTTCGCCTAGTTCTTAAAGCAACACATGATATGAAAAATTGGATTTGGGTCAAATCCAGTTACCAACAATCCAGTTGCCTTTCCTAAGAGTATAAATCCCACACTGTTGGAAATATTCAAAAGGAGACTGCTTATTGGGGTGCCGTAGAACAGGGTCCTGGATGGGGAAAAGAAGTTGAACTATAATGATGACCTCAATGGTTTGTTTCAACTTTAATATTTCATGGGTGCTTCTTTCCTTTTAAAATACTTTTTGGCTGTAATGGGCTACTCTCTCAGCTCAGTTATTCAAACTCTAATAACCTTTAAATATTACTTTGAGGAAACTCAGGGACCAATAAATTATCTTTACCCTGTTGAGTGTATTGAGTGCAGCTGTAGCAGCCACCAGTGCAGGCTCAGCCTTGAGTAAGTCAGCTTCACATTCTCTCTGTTTCTGGAACACTTCAGTCTGAATGGCTGTCACCTAATTAAAGAGGAAAAGCACACAAACCCGTATAAATTATTATCACAGATATCTCTAAAGAAAAATGGAGGTTGACTCAGATGCACTGTTAAATAATTCATTTCTCTGTACTTTGAACAGGTGAGGAATTTGTTAAACAGACTAATTTTCCTTTAGACATAGTATATATACAAAGTTTTGTACATGTAAAAAACACACAGTAACAAATCTCAACATAAATGGATTCAAGTTCCAAAATGCTCCAAGAAAAGCTTTGACTAACTCAATTATAAGGTACCACTAATAGTAAAAGCAAGATTAAGTGATTCCTCTGTTCTTCAGTTTTCTTTTTCAGAGAGTCCTGGATTAACAAACATCTGGGCTAGCTTAGTAACCTAGACCACAAAATGTTCTTCCTAGGATTCTCTAATTTTTGCTAACTTTTGCTTAGAAGCCATGTTGGCTATTCCTAAAGAACAGATCTGAAGCTCTTTTGATCAACTGGCTAGAAGATATTCTATTCTGTGGTCATGGATCGCATGCCTAACTATAAATAAAATTTTAGTGAAGACGAATTACTGGTTTCTCCACGGACATGATAAGAAACCAGAGATGCAAGAGCCCACATCTGCCTTCGGTATTGGAACAATAACACTGATACCCACTCTCCTCTTGTGGATCCAGTGGCACCTCTTCCCAAGACACAGAGGGTGCTGCATCAGCCTTCTGACATGATATATAATATAGAGGAAAGTCATGCTGGTAAACTTGAACCAAACCAAAATGAGAAGACAGGGCGGGGGTGGGAAGTGGCTTATCCTCCTCTCCTTAAGATACCTATAGAATCTGAAAGGCCAGGAAGAGTGAATTTTTAGTCCTCAGTAGAAATTTGAGTTTCAAAGCTGTGGCACTGGGCACCAGGATCTAGCCACCATGGGAGACGGTTCCCGTGGTGATGGTGATTGTGGAATATAAAGTGTGAACAAAAGTATATTTCTTCAGATGTATTTGAAATGAACAGGTTTAACTATACCATAAAATTAAACACTGCTCACAACAAATTATGTTGTCTACTACAGCTTTATTAGCAGTAATTACCCTTCTCCTGATTAACCATTATTTTGCTGTGTACTGTACCTTTTATAAACATAATTGGTTCGGGGTAGATATGTGGCCTCCTGCTAATACACACACAGCTATTGTTAATGTAAATCGGAGAACCCTGCATGCTTACTGAGAACTACTCCAAAACCACAACCCTCAAAAGCTGCCAGGAATGGACCATGAAAATTTTCTGTATGCTACAGAACACTGCTACAGATAAAAGAGTTTATGTGAGTGAAGGAGTTATCATCTCAGGTTTATTTATTTTCCATAAGGACACAGTGAATCTATAAATGCTGTTTGTTAACATTTATAATGGCATCATTAAAAAAATCATTTTAAATTGGAATCAGGATCATAGATTTTTGGTACTGGATAAAACCTTAAAGAGTATTTCTTTTAAGTGCTCTTTCTTTCTTTCTTTTTTTTTTTTTTTGAGACAGTTTCGTTCTGTCACCCAGGCTGGAGTGCAGTGGCATGATCTCGGCTCACTGCAACCTCCGCCTCCTGGATTCAAGCAATTCTCCTGCCTCAGCCTCCCCAGTAGCTGGGATTACAGGCACGCACCACTACACCCGGCTGATTTTTTATATTTTTAGTACAGGGGCTTCACCATGTTGGCCAGGCTGGTCTTGAACTGCTGACCTCAAGTTATCCGCCTGCTTCAGCCTCTCAAAGTGCTGAGATTACAGGCATGGGCCACTGCGTCTTGCTAAAGTGCCATTTCTATCAGCCTAGGAGCTGCTACTCTTTTCTGACTCCTTTACTATTAATGGAGTATTTTTCCTTTGGGTAATTTTTATAAACAAAACAATCTTGAACATTAAATAAAAACTCACTTATACAAATGAACAGGATTCTCAGGTTGGTCAACTGATTTCTCATTCTCAATACCGTTTACCCTAAGGTGCGACAATACTAGAAGAGTGAAAATTCTGTATATCTCAGTAAGCTGTTAAGCCAGTGTACAATTTCCTTTGCCCAGTGGCTCCTAGGCAGTGGTCAGCAAGGCTCAACCTATAAAACAGGAGAAGAGTTGCAGGGAGTGCCTAGAGAGTGTGCTTTCCCCCTACAACTGTAAGTTAAAGCAGGAATTTGGAGACAGTTTCACCCTTGGGTAGACCAGAAATTCTCTGCCTTGCATTAGTCAACAGCCCCTTGCAGATGTTCTTAAGATTAGTGGTGATCACAGGGAGAGAATAAAGAGAATGAAGTCCCAATAACTGCTTGTTATGAGCTAAACTGTGTCCACCCAAAATTCATATTTTGAAGACCCAAGCTCACCATGTGACTGTATCTGGAGACAGGGCCTTTACAAGGTGATCAGGTTAAACTGAGGTCATTAGGGTGAGCCCTAATCCAAACTGACTGGGGTGAGAAGTTTGGACACACACAAGACACATCAGCAGAAGTAATCACAGTGAAAAGATCATGTGATGATACAGCAAGAAGGCAGCCATCTGCAAGTCACAGAAGGAGAAACCAAACTTGCCAATACTTTGATCTTGGACTTCCAGCCTCCAGAATTTGGAGAAAATAAACTTCTACTGTTTAACCCTCCCAATCTCCCAAAATACCCCATGTGGTATTTTTGTCATGGCAGCCTTAGCAAGTGGATACAGTGCACTTGTCTGCCTTTAGATTATAAGAATTTCCTTATGATCCTCTAAAACCCAGGCCCACCCACATTCAGAACAGAAACACACACAAAAACTGATGGCCATTCCAAATCAAGATTGATGCTCAACTTTTGAAGAGATGATATTAGCGCTTCAATTTAGAAGGCGCCTCTACTCATAAAGGTTTACACTCTACTCAAGGGAGAACACAGTTTGAAAGCAATGAGAGAATTCTCAGCATTTTAGAATTTGGAGCTGAGAAGCCAAACAAAGGTGGAAGAAGAACTAATTTTCACAGGCTTGATGATGCTTGTGTGATTTGGAAGTCACTGCTGGCAATGCCCAGTGGTTCAAATCGCCCTTGATTACCTTATAGATTTGAAGCAATGATTTCAACCTGCCTCTCTACATGGGCTGTCAAGGTTCACGGCAAGACATTCTCTAACCCCAACATTTATTTAGTCATGTTAAACGTGGCTGTGTACTTTGTGAGTTATGCAGCATTACTTTTAAATTACTGCTCATGTTTGAAGACTTGAGATCCCAATTTCATAGGACCAGAAACAGTCCATATTCACCCCCTTTAGTATGGCATAGCATAGTATCTAGCACATTGCTGAACATATGACAAATGTGAACACAGAGCATGGATTCAGGTATTGATGAATTTCTAGATGCTTTCTAGTTTAATTACAAAAGAACTTTCTTCCATGAATATCCAATTTACAATAGTTCCTTCCCACCATCATGTCTCTCTACTGGATTTTCATCAGAGCACTTATCTCAAAATATCCAGCTTCTCAATGTGTTACTTGTCTCATGTCGGTCTTTTCCACTGCAATGTAATCTACATGAGAGACCCCTGCTTGTCAAATATCCCTAATAGTCTACAACACTGCCTGGTGACAAAATAGATGTTAATATTTGTTATTAACATCCAGCTCCATGGATAAAATGAAAATGTTTAGAAGTTTTATTTTTATGTCTTGGTATGGATTAAACATAAAAAATAGTATGTCCCTTCTTTGTGTTTGAAGAACTTCACTAAACAACCTGTCAGATGAGTTCTAATTTGCTAAAACTTCTTTCTCCTTTTATGAGGGTAATTTTTCCTTGGGAATTCAAATGTAAAAATGCAAAAAAAAATCTCTAGAGTATTTATATTTTAAGTTTCCAAAAAGTATCTGTGATGATAGGTTATGATATAATTACTAGAACATCACATGTTTGTGTAATGCCTGAAAAATATTCCCTGGGTAGAATTAGCTAACGGTGACTGTATCATGTGTGATACCTAATTGCTCAATGGAATAACACGCTTTGTCTTTTTTGCCCCTCTTTTATGGAGAATGGGGTCTCATTATGTTGTCCAGGCAGGTCTCGAACTCCTGGGCTGAAGCTATCCTCCTGCCTCTGCCTCCCTAAGTGCAGGGATTACAGGCCACTGTACTCAGCCCAATAATATACTTTTAAGGACATTCTCCACTTATCTGAAACTCAACAGAAACATTTACAACCCAAATTAGGAATTACATGCCCGCTGATCACATAGGGCATGCCAAATGTGCCTTATCTTCAATTTTAATGCCATAATCTTATTTCTTAAAACTGTCCTTTTAGAGTTTTGATGTTCAATATACTTTTCAAGCCTTTAGTTGTGCAAGGAAAACATGCTCAATATGCATTGGAAAAAAAAAAAGAAAATCAACTCAATTGTATATGAATGGCAACACCACTGGAAAAACTCAAATATTTTCAGGTAACATAAAATACAAGAAAAATGGCATAATCACTACCGATTCAATGGCTGTGAGAATGTTAGCAACTTATAACTTTTTATTAATTAGGCCCTGATTATACTTTTTTGTCTAAAATAAGAATTTTTTACCTTACACATATACACTCAATTTTTAAACAAGTATGTATTAAAATTTTTCTGTTTACTATGGTATTTCTTTTGAGATATCAGATGTACAAAACTATGTCTTCCATTTGTAGCTGACGTTTTGGTAAAAGAAGATGACAAAAGACAGTGTACTTATTTCAGAATTGCTAGAAACCTGAGTAGAAAGAAAGCAGAATCTATATAATCTTAAAGGGAATTATTTCCAACAATAAAACATAATACAGAATGCCAGGGCCTCGATCGAATCAAAAAGAACAAATTTAGCTTAGGACTTAATAATAAACTCCAGTTGTATTATTAAAATGCAAAATTTGAAAACCATCTTGCAAAGTGACGGAATGGGCTTTGTTAACAATTGAGTTGTTCAATTTGCCTAAAAAGTGGAAACCTTTAAAAACCTCAGAGGTGACTTCCTGACCTTTACTGTATTACAAATAGGCCTGATGTTCAAGATCCACATCCATTATATGCTTGAATGAGCTCAGTATTTATTGTTCTTTCATATCATTAAAAGAGCTAAAAGGTTGGGGAAATGCATAATGTAAAGAAAGGTCAAGTGGTAATCACGGTGTGAAATGCTGTTACATGTGTAACTATAATAATTCTTTAGACTTTATGCTCCCTGGAGAGGAAGTTGTTCAAAATTGTTCACCTACCAAGGTTTATTTTGTGCTAAATATAGCTCCGCACTCTAAATGTTGGAATTAGCCTGACCTTTCGCTCCTCAGCATCAGCGATGGTCTTTTCCCGGCTCACTTTCTCCGTCTGAAGGCCGATCTTTGTGATCAGAGCTTCGGCATCATGATTTCTCAGTTGCAGCTCGGCTTCTTGAGAGGCAAGTCTGGCTTTTAGATCTCCCACCTAAAGCAAAAGTCATTATTCTTACGTCACTGGCCTTGTTCACAACAAATCCCAGATAGAGCTTATTGCTGGGAATGAATTCAGGGATCTCTAACAATTTGTATCTTGCATCTGTCTCTACCCTGATTTTCACTGTCTTCTGATTTGCAAAAATGCAGCCACATTGTTTTTCTCCACATGAGAACAAACAGAATAATATTTTCCAATGATTTTGCAGGAAATATAATTAATTTTTGTCAGCACTAACAGGTTAAGTAGGGAAGTTGCTCTTCCCTCTGTCTGACCACATGCTCCTTTACCCACGTCTGCTTTTGGGTCCTAGGCAGCTCGGGCTCAAGGAAGCAGAGGTTGTGGGAAGACATACTTGGTGATGAGCTGGAAGAACTATGCCTCTCACTGTCCAACAGAAGGTTGCTGGAGGCTTCAGTAAGTTGACGACATGAATGCTCCTTGCCTGACTGCAGATTAATTGGCTGCATATTAAAATGCCCACTGATAGGTCTCACCTCTTCCCATCAAACAGAAAATAGGCCTCTTGATTTTTTTCACCTCATTTATGATCATGAAGCTAACCCAATATTCAACTTAATACCTGCTAAGAAGAGCAAACTGTGTGTTTGGGGTATTAGTATGCTGTGGCCAAAACTCAGTGAGCTTCAGAGGCATACACGTCTCCCATCAGTCCATCACTAAATAACCTTACTCAGCTCTTGGAGAACTCAGCCTTCCGAGGAATCCATGAATTCATCTGCTAAAAAGAACTGTCCATTTTTTTCAGTTATAATTTCATCAGGTTCAGAAAGCATTACTAGGTTCCTCAGTTTGAGGGTCATGTAACTAAAAGCAGAAGTGAGGTACTAGAGAAAAAAAACATGACTCAGTTCTCAGAAATATCTGAAAGCAGCTTTACACATCACAATAATTATCTCTCCACTGCACTTCTTTTCCAAAAGTATAAATATTACCATTAAAAAATCATAGCAGCAAAGAACAATCATAACCATTTACATTTATTTTAACTCAAATGCTAAAGACATTTCAGTGGTTTCATCTTGTGGAACGACGCCCCATTACTATATCCAAGTAATCTTGTAGTTTCCACCCAACACAGTATATTCACACTCTATCTAAAAAGCATGATTACTACTATGGCTGCTACTTGTACTATTATAGATTAAGCTATGACTGATTTTTCAGCCTGTCTATAAATTCAGGGTAACTTTGCATAGTGACATGCTTCTCAGTTCTTTTTAGCCATATGAAACTAGTATTAGATTAGGCCATAGTCAAAAGAATCATCCATCAGGAAAATTCAAGTAAAACCACCATATCACTACACGCCTATTAGAATGGTTAAAATAAAAATTAGAGATGCCACCAAATTATTGCAAGCGAGCTGAGAAACTGGCTCTCTCATACACTGCTGGTAGTAATGTATTATGTCACAGCCATTATGGAAAGAATTTGCCTGTTTTCTATAAATGTAAACATCCAAGTACCACACAATTCAGTAATTTCATTTTTGGTTGTTTGTGGATTTATGCCTACAAAAAAAAAAACCTGTACACGGGTATTCATAACAGCTTTATTTATAATTGCCAAAACCCAGAAATAACCCAGATGCCCTTCAGTGGTTGAATGGTTAAATTGTGCTACCTTCATTCTGTGGAATACTGCTCAACAATAAAAAAGGACAAATTATGGATACACCCAATACCTCGGTTGGATCTCAGGGGAATTATGCTGAATGAAGAAAACCAATACCCAATGGTTACATATTTGTATAGCATTTTTGAAATGACAAAACTATAGAAATGGAGAATAGATTAGTGATGGCCAGGAACTAGGATTCAGGAGGTGGGGAAGAAGTGGGGGGTAACGTAGGTGTGGTTATAAAATGGCAACATGGGATCTTTCTGTAGATGGAAGTTTTCTGTGTCTTGACTGTGTTAGTGAGTACCCAGACCTACATGTGATAAAACTGCATAAAACATACACACACACACACACACACACACACACGTACAAATAAAACTGGAAATCTGAATAAGGTCTGTGGATTGTACCAATGCCACTTTCCTGGTTTTGGCATTGTACTAGTTATGCAGGATGCTACCATTGAACCTATAAGATGTGACAGGGACCTGTCTGTACTATGCTTTGTAATTTCTTCTGAATCTATTATCATCTCAAAATAGAAATAAAGCAAAAAGAATCACCCAAGAGACTAGGACAAAATTATGTTATTTCAAGCCCTAATTTCAGTTTCTAAGGAAGCTGTTAGCTCTGAAATATTCAAAGTGACTGAAGCCGTGGAAGCAAGGCTTTCTCTATGAAGAAAGGTCACTAGGACTATCTGTGATGACCTAAGCTGACATCTAGAGAGAGGTTATTTGGCTATAAAAGGTGCTTACAGCTTTACTGTAAAGAAGGAACATTGCTAATGTTTTCAAATGATGTGGCATTCCTTAAGGCAGACCCTTAGAGGATACATGCCCCAATATACAGGCATTACGCTCTCCATACAACCTGATCTTCTGCAATATGGTTCTCCAATTCTCCACATAGGAAACCATCCCCTTTTTATAACCCACTTATTTCTAAAACTGCCATGTAGCTATTGAATATTCCAACCACTTTTTTGATAGTAAGAGCATTCCATGCACAAATACCTAATGAAAAGAAATCACCGTCAGTCTTTCCATCAGACTTCATGGTCAATCAAGATGTCTTGTGTCTTTACAGACTTTCTGCCTGTGGTTCTTAGCTAAGGGGAAGTAAAGAGACCCAAGCAGCCCTGGACTTGGCAGACATAGTGAATCGGCCCTCCCGTCTCTCTCCTTGCCCATCCCCCTGACTCATCAATGTGTAACTGAGGTGACTATTAAGAAATCACAGTCTCTCTCCTCTTCTTTTTTCCTGTGGCTGAGATGCTGCCACCACTGGAATGGTCCAGGATGGTACCCCACTTGCTTTTAGCTCACAACCTTTAAGTATGGCAGAAGCACTTATCTCTTTGCTAAGGATGCCCCCACAGTATTGAAAGCTCAGTTTGGGTGACAATACTATCATTTCCTGATAGTGGGCAAAGTCAACAGGTTCAGTTTAGGACGGCATTCAAAGGGATATAAATGCTTTGTGAAACAGAGCTCCTTCCTCGTCTTATCTAGCCCAACAGGACTCCAGGGAAAATCTTTCTTATGGAAAGGGGTCTTGATTTAAATGAGACAGAAGAGGATAGACAGATAGAAGAAAACTGACATGGAGAGGGGCAAAAGTTAAGAAAGTAAAATAAGCTGTGAATAAAAAGAGACAGGAAAGACAGACTTGTTTTTTTTTTTTGAGACAGGGTCTCACTCTGTTGCTCAGGTTGGAGTTCAGTGACCCACTCAACACACTGTAACCTCAAACTCTTGGGCTCAAGGGATCCTCCTGCCTCAGCCTTTCAAGTGGCTGGGTCTACAGGTGTGCGCCACCATGCTCGGCTCATTAAAAAATTCTTTTGTAGAGATTGGGTCTCATTTTGTTGTCCAGGCTGGTCTCAAACTCCTGGACTCAAGCAATCCTCCCCCTTCAGCCTCCCAAAGTGCTGGGATTAAAGGTGTGAGCCACTGTGCCTGGCCTAGACAGACGTTCTTTGAGAGGAAAGGAGAAGGTGCACAAATATGGATATGCTATTTGTGGGTTTCCTAGAAACTATTCTTAATATCACTTGATCCCAACCGTCCTGGAAACCTACTCACCCTGGTTTCTCTTTCCTAATTGTGGTCCATCTACTCACTATTAGTACAGATCACAGTGTTTTGTCACAGAGTCATTCTTGGTATAGAAAACTAAGAGAAAAAGAGGCAAGTGGTGCTTTGGCCCAGAGTGACTGAAGGACATGGCCAGAGAGCCCTTCAGAGTGAAAAGGTGCCCATTTGAAAAGGTGCTCCCTCCTTCGGGTCTCAGTTCATTTCTAGCCTAGCCACAGGTGGGTTACCCAGGCCACTCGGGGAAACCACTGCCCCAATCCTTGTAAAGCATATGAGAGTCTGACCTGATGACATGACTCTGAGAAGGCCACCAGTATTTCTAGTCTTGAGGTGATCACTAGTGAGGATTCTTCTCACTCCAGCTCTAAGTCCTGACTGGCTCAGAATAAGGCTGGGCTACTCTTCAAAGTCTTCAGAGTCTCTCATTCCAATCTCTTCTTTCCAGCCACAGAGAGGCAGCACAGTGCCATGGACAACTCATGGGCATCAGAGCAACACAGACCTGGGTCTAAAACCCAACCTCACTGGCTCTCTGGCCTTAAACTCTTTACGCCTCATATATAAAACTATAGTAGTAACAACTACTTCATGAAATCCTTTTTTAACAACGAAATAATGATAATATGTGTACAGACCCACACATGATTAACATCCTGTGATGATTCTCTCCTGATTTACTCCTGCAAGTTAGAGGCATCGCCCTTCGAGGGAGCAGGGGCCTCAGGACTGAGGACACAGATGTGTAAGAGGAGCAGACAAGTCACTAAGGGAGGAACAGCTCTACCTTGGGATCTCGCCACAGTCATTAGCCAGAAAATGATGCCCTCACTGGAGGTTGAGAATCTGAGACCAAAAAAGATACTGGTCCATCCTAGGATGATAAGAACCTTGACGACAAGTACCGTGCACTGAAGAAGTCAGAGACAAGAGAGGCAATCCGCTGTGTCTGCTCCCTTCAATATCCCACACTACCTTACACTGAGTCAGGCCAGGAAGAGAACGTTTCACCCTAATCCAGCTGTGAGTCGGCCAATCCCATTGTAGGCTTTTGAAAGCAGTAGCAGTGTATTCTTGGTGTCATGAAACTGTAAATTTCACCAGCTGGCATCTTATAGAAATGGATTTAGTAGTGCTTCAAAAGGAAATATATTTTTCTGTTAAACAGCATAAATATTACTCAGTAATAACACATCCTGGTCATACCTGAGAGGCTGTGGTTTTTAGCTTTTGGATGCCGTTCACCAGGCGTTCTTTTTTCTCGGATACCTCATTTTGCTTCTTCTTCAACAGGTTCTTAAACAGTGATATTTGTTCTAGAAAACTCTTTGGGGTGGTATAGTTGTGTCTTCTCTCATTCTGGTAATATCTGGTACTCATTTCATTTACAGTGGTGTGAACATGTGCCATGAAAAGGCTAATAGAGTCTTTGTGCACTGGCTGAAAACACAAACATTACAGTTCATGTGAAATCCTCTCAAATTAAAAATACAACTTAAAAAAAATCAAGTAAATGATCATTTTTTTTCTAAAAGTCAGAAAAAAAAATGATAGTATAACCTACGAAAACTTATTTAATCTTTAAGCGCTATCCACAGGATTTGGGAGATTACAATAAAGCATTCAGCTTGAGTAACCTTCTTCTTGCCAAGTAGGACAAAGGGTTTTTATGTGCTCCACATACCAAATACAAAAGCCAGCATATACAGATCTTCACAACTTGATTTTTATCTACCGAGTGTGTGAAAGAGAAGGTGGAGAAACAGACACAATATCCTGAGAAATATTTCTGCCATTGCTTTCAAACTAAGCTTTAGACAAAGAGAAGCAATAACCCTGCAAAGTCACTGAAAAAAAAAAAAAAGCCAAAACTTAGAAACTCACAGTTTTATGAGAACTCATGTAAAAACAAACTGGATAGTAGGGTATAAATGTCACTGCTT
The DNA here is from genome assembly GCF_000001405.40 of Homo sapiens. Taxonomy (NCBI): domain Eukaryota; kingdom Metazoa; phylum Chordata; class Mammalia; order Primates; family Hominidae; genus Homo; species Homo sapiens. The sequence continues at coordinate 21,773,262 of NC_000007.14, read as the reverse complement.
CTGGGAGAAAAATATCATGATCATTTCTATTCATATTTGGGAAAGAAAACCCACAAAAAGAGCAACTCTCCTTCAATGAGTTACTGGAAGACCCCCCACTATACATTCTTTCCATTTTGTCCTCTATGACTTCTGAAGTAGTTAACTTTTTAATTTGCAGAGTCACATCTCCCTCATTTTAATGATTATTTATTGCATTCTGTACAAGATGAACCAGGTTCAGTTAATCAAGGGAAGCCTACAAATCAATTAATATGAATTAAATGAGCTACACCAACTCTTAGGAAAGTCACACATAATTTACCAAAGTGTTGTCAATAATGCTCAGACGTCTTTGGGAAAATTGCACACACGTGGCTGGTGATGCAGTCAAACATTTCAAACCTGCACCATTAATATTACAAGCAGAGGTGTGAAGAGAGACCAGCCAATTCTTGGTGAAAAACAACTGCTCCTGAACAATGTCTTTAAACAATCAACTTTCCAACATCACGACAAATTCCCGAGTGGGTTTGGAATACCCACATATTGCATTGTGCTGCGTATTAAAAATCCATCTCACTAGTAACTGAAATAATGTATTACTAAAACAAAAGTTAAAAATAACGTGATATAAATTCCAAATATTCTTGGTTTCTAGTGGACCCCAGATACAAATATATTTCCAAACAGTGAACTCAGAAAAATAAAATTTATGAAGAAGTTTATATAAACTTCATATAAATCATAATCCTTTGGAGACTTTATTTTTACAAGAGCTTGACTTCAATACAGACATGTGCAGGAATTTACTCCTGTCCTGTCTTGTTTTAATGGGAACTAAAGGTACACACATACCTTTCTACAATATAGATAAATAATTCCTCAGCCAAGTGTAACCTCCTTACAGGAAGGGAAAAAAAAAAAGAAAGAAAGAAGAAAAAAAAAAAACACTCTGGCCTCTGCCCAACCATGATCCTTATGAGGAGGCTCCTTGGAGGCGCTGAAAGCTCTCTTTAACAACAGTTTCATTTGTAAATCGGGGATGGAAGAAGTGGTTTCCGGTAGAGCTGAAAGTGGCCTGAGACAACTTGTCTCAATGGGGCAAAATAACTATTGTTATCAGGCTTAACAAAATGGCACAGCATGGGAGACTCGCTGAGCCAGGGAGCAGCTGGTTGTAATTCACACTGTTTTTCAGAAAACTCTAATCGTTCCAGAACAGACCTCTTTGATGACTGGTCTTCCCTGCATTCTCAATTTGTCACTTTCTCTTATGATAAGGTCAGTAGTGACAGCACTTCCTGACATTAACAGCTGTGGCTTTTAAAAGGGTCATTGTAGAACTACTAATTGCAGTAATTTCATTAGCATAAATTATTTATTCTGCCATTCATTTATCTCCAGTTATTTTATTTTATTATTTTTTTTTGTGGGGGGCGTTGGGGGAGAATTGAGAGGAGTTGCTGCTGGTGCTGCCGCAGCGAGGGCTACGCAATGCTGTATTTTTCACTTTGAGAGACGTGAGGGGAGAATATCATTCCTGCTAGATTTGGCCTCTTAATAAAAACCAGTTGATAACCACTTATAGTCATTTAGCAGCTAATCATGATGATGGCAAAAATAAAAATAAGCAGAGTGCCAGTATCGAATGGTTATAAACTCAAGGTTTCCCCACTAAGATGCTCTGGAAAACGATGCTGTCTCCAACGCATAATCAAATGCAAAGATGAAACTGCTTTCCCTCACATTAAGAAAACGTGTTTAATTTCTACTCTCTCAGTTGGCTCACTGTCAACACAAAAACATAAACAGATCTCTGCTATTTGGTGTGACAGTTCTCGGGCAGGAGTAGTCTCTGCCACACCAAGTACTCCAGCCACCTGGCACTTCAAGCAAGTGCCCAGTATATTCCTCTTGAAAATGACAAACAGCAGAGTTGAATATAAACCAATACCCAGAGGTCAGCACTAAATCAGTTTAGGATTTTATACCTTCCCAAGACCAGCAAAGATGACTACATTGGTCTGTAATACTAAATTTGGGCTTTCAAGAGCACTGTATTCAAGGGAGGGAGGGAGGAAGGGCAAAAGAGAAAGGGGCAGGTGAAAGAATCTATTTTCTCTCTTTTTGAAGTGTAACTTGGGACAATTTTGTCACATTAAATGCCATATACCTACAGTAAGTCTTGAACATTTTTCTCAGAAATTATTTCTGTGTTAAATTTTAAATATGTCAAACTGATGTGCTACACAATCTATTTGATCTTTTTGCTCCTTTTAGGGCTGGTAGAAGAATATATTAATAAGATATTTGTGGTTGCATGGTGGCTTATTAAAGAAAGAAAACTTACAATGCATAAAATGGGCAGTGTTGCATTTTAACACTTGTCCTAAGCTCTTCATAGTGCTGTTTTGCTCTGAGAAGAAGATTCCGGAGGGAGCCAGGGACAAAGGGTTTGAATCCTAGGACCTGGGCTAGATTTCCAGTTCTGAAAAATCTGGTAAGATACTGCATACCCTCCTGTACTTCTTCCTGCCCACAAAATTGCTCCTTTAAAAATTCTGTTTCCTTTCTTCTTTTACTGCTTTCCCAATAGTCAAACATTCATGCAATAGTCAAAAGAAGGATTTAAGACTATGGGCTCTGGTGTCAAACTGCAGATGTACCCCTTACCAGCGGCATTATTTACTCTTGGGCCTCCATCCCAGGGGAAACTACTGGTCCCTCCTCATGAGGCTGGTGATGAGAGGTGGTAAGCAGTGCAAATTCACAGCAGGAACTGGTTGAGCATCCCTAATCTGAAAATTGAAAATCTGAAATGCTCCAAAAGCCAAAACTTTCTGAGTGTGAATTTAACACCACAGGTGGAAAATTCCACATATGACCTCATGTAATGGGTCACAGTCAAAACTTTGTTTCACGCACAAAATTCTTCAAAATCTTATATAAAATTACCTTTGCACTATGTGCATAAGGAGTATATAAAACAAAAATGAATTTTGTGTTTAGATTTGGGTCCCATCCCCATGATATCTCATTATGTAAATGCAAATATTCCAAAATCAAAAAAAAATCTGAAACCCAAAATATTTCTGGTACCAAGTATTTTGGGTAAGGGATACTGAACCTCTATCAGTTCTGCTACTGTGGTAGCAGTAGCACCAACAGCAGTTGCAGTAAGATTACTGCCATTACACAGGGCAGCAACAAGTGTTAAATGTAGCACCAAGCACAGTTTTCTAAATTGTATGCTGTTTTTTTGTTTTGAGTTGTCTGGTGAGTGCATTATTTTGTTATTTGCTTATGCTTTTTGTATCTTGCCTTTAATTCTGGAGCTCAACTACTGGTCAGAGGCAAGACAAAGTCCAGCAGAAGCCAACAATTTCCTAGATGAGCTTGCAGTCATTGAAAAAGGTACCTTCAATGGTTCTCTGCCAGAAAGTTGAAACAAAGAAGCAACTGAAGACTCAGGAGGAGTGGAGGAAAAATGAAATCCAGGCCGGATGCAGTGGCTCATGCCTGTAATCCAGCACTTTGGGAGGCAGAGGCAGGCAGATAACCCGAGGTCAAGAGTTTGAGACCAGCCTGGGCAACATGGTGAAACCCTGTCTCTACTAAAAGTACAAAAATTAGCAGGGCGTGGTGGTGTGCACCTGTGGTCCCAGCTACTCAGGAGGCTGAGGCAGGAGAATCACTTGAACCCGAGAGGCGGAAGTTGCAGTGAGCCGAGATCATGCCACTGCACTCCAGCCTGGGTGACAGAGTGAGACTCCCTCTCAAAAAAAGAAAAAAAAAACCAAAGAATAAAAAAGCAATCCAGCTACCTCTTTTATAGCAAGAGGACAGAACAGGAGATGGTGTGAATGGTGTGGCTGCTTCTGGTAAGGTCAGCACCTAGAGAAAAGCCACAAAACTACAAACTTATAGGGATAGCTCCATTTAAGTCAATTACACCTTCAACTGAATATTCATGTCCAGATTCCTGGGCAGCTACAAAGTCTGGACCCTACTTATGAGGTCGAGGCTTGAAGAATGGGGAAGGATGTTTACAACTACTTGTGTCTTTCCTCAGCCATCTGAAGATATGCTTAAGCCAGTATAAGACTTAAGCAGAATCAAGATAAATGTGGTTGCATTTATATTTGTCTTAATATTTTTAAATGGCTTCAATATTCCTTAGAAAGAGGATTATTTTCCTCAAATTCACACAATTTCTACTGCATAAGGTTATCTTTCTACTTTTTATTCATATTGAATAATCCTAATTTATATTTCTTTTTTAAAATTATTATACTTTAAGTTTTAGGGTACATGTGCACAATGTGCAGGTTAGTTACATATGTATACCCTAATTTATATTTCAAATAAAGAACTGTGCTTAAAGTCATTAATATGATAGAAACTCTGCTAAGATAGCTATCACTGACAAAATGTTGTCTTATACCCTTTGTGTTTGGCATGCCATTTTAAAAATGAATTTACAGACCATTGGGGAAACAAGTCTTTAAATATAGCAGTAAAATAACTTTCCTCTTAGAGTGGACTTTCTCGCCATCAGTTGTGGAAAACAGTAGTAAAATATGTCCTTCACAAGCTACCAAACTGCAACAATTGAAGAGGTGGTTGCATGGGGAATAACTGCTTTTCCCTGAAAAAGCTGATGATACGGAGTTTGTGTCATTACTTTTAAGTGGCACCACATAAGGACAGAGGATTTTAACTCATCGGTTGGTCAACATGCCCCCAAAGATGACCTCTTTCACCTTGCTCAGATCTACTCTACACCATCCAACAAACATCTCACTCCTTCACCAGACAGCTCACTGTTTCATTTCCATTCAGTAACTTCTCCTTTCATCTGGCTCTGCTTTCAAAGATGTCTATGATTCATTTTACCTTGAAAAGCAAAAACATCACTTGTTTTTCAACACCGCAGCTTCTCTTGATTTTTCGTTGTAGAAACCGTGTACTAATCACTAAGCTCTTCACACAGTTCTCTCTCCAACGAGCTTCTCACAGCCTTTCCAACACTGTTCCCAGGTTTACCCAGATGGCTTTTCCTTCTCTCCCTCCTTACACACCTCCTCCCATCTCCATTTCAAAATCTCCTTGGAGAGGTAGTGTGCGTTGACACAAAGTCTTCAGATAAATACTTAAGTGTCAAACTGTTTTGGTCATTATTTGTCAGCTGTCATTTAGTTCAATATTAGGCAACAGAAAAATAGCACAAACATTAATTTAGATGCAGTCAACCCGTACCCCTGGGTGCTGAGTGTGTACTGATGGAAAATTACACGCCAACACACACAAAACTGCTTGCCTTTAACGACTCCTTTCTCTGTGGCCAAAGGGGGTCACCTTGTGTAAGCACCTTACACTCAGCAAATGACGTCAATAATTAAGAAGTGCCTAAATTATGCTGATAACTTTCAGTCTTAAAAAAGGAAATTAAAACTAAGAAAGTGATCAAATTAGTGCTCATTCAAAAAACTTAAAAGCTGTTTTTGACCTCTACAGAAAAGACACCACAGGTTTTTAGAAGACCATGGACACATTGTACTCTGAATTATAATTATTGCTCCTGCGCAACAAATTAGGAAGGTGGGAAAGTTAAATAAGCAGCTTGCACTGAAATGAAATCATCTGACTCATTTGTTTTGAGGCACAATTCAGTTCAAGAGAAATGGGAAAGTGTTTTTAAAATTCCTATTTGGCACTCAGCATCCTATAGGAGGCGTTATGACACCATCAGATCCAGCTTAGCACCTGACAGGAGCCCTCTGGACTTAACACGATGCAAGTCCTGCCTCATCCAGCAGATGTCAACGGTCAACGGCATATCAAACTCCTTTAGCTGTTTTCAAAGTGGCACCCACCTGGACAGGAAAAAGCCTGCACAGAGTAGCAAAGGGAAGAAACTGTAAAAAGCACTGTGCCACATGCCAACTTAAACCATGCTACTAGCTCTAATTTCCTACCATTTGACAAAGTAACATGCAGAAACAAAGTGCTCTGGCCCCTTTCTCTTCCTTACCAAACCAGCCTGATGAAACACAAATTTGCTATCAGAAGATACATACTGACTCTCTCCCTTTAATAAAGCAGCATTTTGAACCCTTCTTGTAACTATCACAAGATAAAATGATGCCCTAGAAAATTCCAGAAATGCAGCAGACCTGGCAATCACATACGAAATTTGTGTTAATATTTATGACAATTATTTGTCACATTTAATGATTTTCCAGATGTTAGAGTACAAAATGTTTCTGGCAGACTTTAGAAGAGATCATTTCTTATTTTCATTTATTTGTGGAAACGTTTTAAGTGCAAGTGTAGAGGAGAGAAGGACAGGGGAGGTATATGAATATCCTAAGGCCTCTACCATATATATATCTTCCAAGTTAGATGTTGCTTGACGGCTCTTCCCTAGCAATCCACCACCAAATAATTAGATTAATAAACATTTCAGGAAAAGACTAAAGGAGAAGAGGTCTCCCTCCACAAAATTCTGTAGGTGTTGGTGAATACTTGCATGTGTACTTACCTCTATAGCTGCTTTTTTTTTTTTTGTAGAAGCAAAGGAAAATGATATTATGAACAATAAAGCTAGCTGCATACAAACAATTAAATATGTAAATATGACCAGATTTTTAACCATATGGCCGCTGAATGATACAATATACAACAAAATGTAAAAGGATTGCTTTGGAAAGGTGGCAGTTATGCCTTTTGGGTAACGGTGGGGCTACAATGGGTTGTACCTGTTCATGATAATCTTTCAACTAGAAACAGACATCATTCCTCACATATCTCCAGTTCTGTGTTTGCCTCTGAGAGTCACTTTCAGTGTCTGACCTATTCTAGGAACCTTTCACCTTATCACTCAATGGAATGAGAAGACAAAGCTCCCTGGGAAATGTCCACAATCACTTTTCCAAGCTATGTAATCAGAAAGGCACTAGACATGAATAAAACTTCATCTCCAGGAAATCTAAATCATAACCTCATATCTACATCCTTTTTCCCTCTGAATCTGAATGCTTGAAGCTTTTGTTGTTTTGTTTTGTACAACCATTTTAAAATGCCATGGGATTTTAAATTTGATTTTAAATTTTAAATTTGTCATCATGAAGAAATGACAAATATAACCCATAAAACATAAATCTGTAAAACAGTAAGTAGATATATTATTTGACTTAGTGGTTATGGGATACAGGGGCTGATTTTTCAACTATTGCTACTATGAGAATAACCACAATTCATTGCCTTACTTGGTTAAGAAGCAAGCAGTGCGTGGCTACGGTGACTACATTTCTGTTTGGGCTTTTAGTTTGGACTTAAAGGATTTATAATCAGCAAGCCCCATTATGATTCAAGGAAGTAATGATCCTGGGCTTCCAGTGAGTCAGTGCATGAGTGAGAACATACTCAAGTGCTGTGTGCGTGCCCGTGTTCACGCACGTGTGCACATCCTCCTCAGTATGTATGGTGGAAAAAAGGTCAGCCATCATATTCCTTAGAATGTAAACTAACAGATAAGTTTAGCATCTTAAACAAATCAGGATAGCTTTCTGATAGGAGATGTACTGTGGAAAGCACTTACCTACTGAGGATTTTCAGAGTGTGTGTGTGTGTGTGTGTGTGTGTGTGTGTGTGTGTGTGTGTGTGTGACGCAGGCTGACACGGCATACCTCAATTCCCTTGGTTTCCTCAATGAACCTCCTGCTGACGGAGACCAGAGCCTCCTGCGGCCACGCATGAAACCAGTCAATAGCCGTGCAGTTAACTATGGCTGGGAACTTCCGAGCTCTAACTCTCAGCGTGCGACCAACTGGAGAGAAACACAAAATGATCTGTGGAGACATGGGGGCAAGGCAGAAACAGGCGGGTGATGAATGAGCAGAGAATTACATTGCAATCTTAGACAATGAGAGAAAGGAGTGCAGCCAACTGTGACATTAAACTACCCTAAAGCCCTAGAGAGTGGACAGCAACATTAACCTCCTTGCTAATCAAAGTGGAAACCTGTCCAAAGAGGCTGCTCCACTGGACACAGAAACACTGCTGTGTACTTTCCTTAAAACTTGTCTCTCTTTGCTTAAACATTTTTGGTTATCATTAATAGGGGAAAATTTTATTCATTTACATTACACAAGTAACATTATAATAAAAATAAAAATTAAGAAGAAATCACCATGATACAATAATACCAATGTTTTCATCTTCTGTTTCTTCCATTTTGTAATTCATCAGGTTCCATAAAGCTGCATAATACACTTTAAAAACAATGTCTTATCATCTTTAATGTTTGTGTTTCCATTTAAAATGAAATACATCTACTTGAGCTTCCGCTTCAGATTTTTAAAGGAATTAAAAATTCTGTTTATACCATCACACTGGTCTTTAAGAAAAAAAATCAGTTTAAACATTCTCCTGCTGAGAATTTTTTAAGTTTCTGCTGTAAATCTAAAGTTTTGTGTAGCTATGTAATGACCTAAAAGTTAATTTAAATCTAAATATACTTCCGTACTTTTTTTAGGGACACAAGGGATTCTGTCGGAGTCCTGAGGGTGGCTGTGACATCTGGCTATGACAGTAGGTCACAGAAACTCAGTGAGAGGAGCACCTGGTCAGCTCCTGTGTGCTTCAGAGGGTTCATCAGAGACACCCTGTGTAAAGTGCTAAAACAAAGGAGGTGTTCAGTGAGCATCCTTTCCTTCTCTGCTTTTATTCTCAAGTCCCTGCGTACGTGAGGACACTGGGAAGAGAACTGTCAATCAGGGAGTAAGGTCTAAGAGGGAGAATCTTGGTTTCCTCTTCTCTAGAAATGGCTCAGACCTGATGATATCAAGCTTTGTGGCTGCCTCTAAGTCTCTAACACTTTGAGATCAGGCAATTGATGAAATCATTTTTCAAAGGATGTGATTTTTTTTACCTATAGCATTTAAAAAATCCATGTCATAAAAAATTCCAGCATACGTGCACCCATATCTCATTTAACAAGTGTTTTATTGTTTATTTTATATGCCATGTGTATTCAACAATTCAAGCTATATAAATATTAAGATCAAAATGTTTTCTTTTATTGTGTCAAAAAACATGAGATCTACCCTCTTACATTTTTAAGTGTACGATACAGGATTGTTAACTGTAAGTCCAGCGCTGTGCAGCAGATCTCTAGAACTTTTTCACCTTGCATTACTGAAACTCTACACCCATTGAATGGAAACTCTCTATTTCCCCTCCCTCCAGCTCCTGGTAACCACCATTCTACTTTCTGTTTCTAGGAGTTTGACTACTCTCAATACTGCGCATAAGCAGAATCACATAGTAATTGTCCTTCTGTGACTGGCTTATTTCACTTAGCATGATGTCCTCGAGGTTCATCCATGTTGACATATGACAGGATTTTGTTTTATAGATGAAAATATTCCATTGTGTGTGTATATATATATATGTATATATATGTATATGTATATGTATATGTATATATAGCACATTATCTAGTTGCCTGTTGATGGACATTTTAGTTGCTTGCATATCTCAGCTATCGTGAATAACGCTGCAGTGAACATGAAAGTGTAGATATCTCTTCAAGATCCTGGTTTCAATGTCCTTGGCTATATACCTAGAAGAGGGATTGCTGGATCTTATGGCAATTCTGTTTTCAATTTTTTGAGGAACGACCATACTGTTTTCCATAGTAGTTGCAGCATTTTACATTCCCACCAATAGTGTACAAGGGTTCCAATTTCTCCACAGCCTCACCAACAATTATTTTCTGCTTTTGCTTTTTTAAATAATGACTATCCTAACCTATGTGAGGTGATGCTTCATTGTGGTTTTGATTTGCATTTCCCTGATTAGTGATGTTGTGTATCTTTTCCTATACCTGTTGGATATTTGTAAGTCTTTTTTTTTTTCTTTTTTTTTTTTTTTTTGAGACAGTCTTGCTCTGTTGCCCAGGCTGGAGTGCAGTGGCACAATCTCGGCTTGCTGCAACCTCTGCCTCCTGGGTTCAAGTGATTCTCCTGCCTCAGCCTCCTGAGTAGCTGGGACTACAGACACTTGCCACCACGCCAGGCTAATTTTTGTATTTTTAGTAGAGACAGGGTTTTACTATGTTGGCCAGGCTGGTGTCAAACTCCTGACCTCGTGATCCACCTGCCTCAGCATCTCAAAGTGCTGGGATTACAGGCGTGAGCCACCGCACCTGGCCTTGTATGTCTTCTTTACAGAAATGTCTACGTAAGTCCTTTGCCCATTTTAAAATCAGATTTTAAAATGTGAATTAATTAATTCCTTATCAAATACACAGCTGGCAAATATTTTCTCCCATTTCACATAGGTTGTCTTTCATTCTGTTGATCCTTTCCTTTGCTGTATAGAAGCTTTTTAGTTTGATGTAGTACACTTGTCTGTTTTTGCTTTTGTTTCCTTGGCTTTTGGTGTCATGTCAAAGAAATCATTGCCAAGATGAATCTTCTGAAGATTTCCCCTATATTTAAGTCTTTAATTTATTTCAAGTTGATTCTTCCATAGGTTGTAAGACAAGGTCCAATTTCATTTTTTTGCATGTGGTTTAACATTTTTTAATGTTGCATAAGCTGAGTAATCATTTTTTCATTATGTAAAACTCTAGTTACAAACGAAATAATTGCTGTAATATTTCATGTGCTAACTTAACAAGCCTTAGTTAAAATGCATAGTTTTTACCTATATCTCAATTCTTGGGTTTCTTATCAGCTTTCTCCTTATACTTGAATATTTCTCCTTTCTTCCCAAGAAGTTGGTTTCCCACACCCAACTCATCTGTCATTTGTGCCAATTTTAGAAATGTCATTTACACATAATGTTAGCAAAGGCAGAGGAAAAAAAGCATCTTTTATTTGACAAGATCCCAAATATTTCCATCACTTCTACACTTATTTCCACACTTGTAACTGGCATAGTATCCAATCTTAGGAATGTGTTAGAAAATACTGTATCTGAACCATATTTGTTCAACCTCAGGCAAAAATGCTTTCCCTGAGTTACTTGAGTGATAAGGCCTCATTATTGGTATGGTTTGCCTCTGTGTCCATACCCAAATCTCATCTCGAGTTGAAATCCCCATAATCCTCATGTGTCGAGGGAGGGACCAACTGGGAGGCGACTGGAGCATGGGGGTGGTTTCCCCCATGCTGTTCTCATGATAGGGAGTTCTCATGAGATATGATGGTTTTATAAGCATCTGGCATTTCCCCTGCATGCACTTCAGATGCGGCCATCTGAAGAAGGTACTTGCTTTCCCTTCTGCCATGATTATAAGTTTCCTGAGGCCTCTCCAGCCATATGGAACTGTGAGTCAATTAAACCTCTTTCCTTTATAAATTATCCAGTCTCGGGCATTTCTTTATAGCAGTGTGAGAATGGACTAATTATTTATTGAAAAATAATACAGAATGGTCACTTAGAGAACCATTATTCTTTTCTACAATTTTATGATTGAAGATATTTTCTCCCATGTTATGTATTATTGCTTAAATAAGGATCCTCACAACACTATGTAAAATTTCATATTGTGAGTGGGCCTGGGAGGGTGGCATGGAGACCAGTTGTTGTCAAAGAACTGTCTAGGAGCTGGTTGGAAATGCAAATCCTTGGACCAACTCCAGACATAAATAATCAGAAACTCTGGAGGTGGGACTCAGCAATGCGTGCTTTAAGCAAACACTCTAAGGTGATTCTGACACCCACAGTGATAGCCTAATAGTTTTAAATTGTCTACAGCAATACTTAAATGAAACATAGACTTTTCTAATGTTTTTGCAGTTTGTTAAATACGCGTAGAATCTAGGTCTCTACACACAGAGTAAGATGAAAACTTTAGAGAATTTTAAATAAATAATTACATGTAATCTAAATTCTATCAGCTAAACCAGACTCTGGGAATTAAATTATAGACATATACTTGTTCATTAGTAATTCTTTTGAAGGGAAAGGGGAGTGTCACGCTAGCCTTGAAAGTGCAGTTATTGACCCAACTCACTGCTCAATAATTTCTAGTTTTGCTAAAAATTGAGCATAAAATTTCTCCTGCCATCCAGCTTTCCTTGCTAGTGGTGTCATGTGAGATTTTTCCAGAAACCCATGGTAATGTCTGGAAACCGTTGGTTATTCTGCTCTTTTCTAAGACAGTTTACACGACTTTACAGATAACCTGAAGTAAACCCCAGTTGTCACAAGGAACATTACTGTGAGGGAAAAATCATTCCAAATAATTTTCCCATTATATTTCCCATAATTTAATGAAAGCTTAATATAGCAAAGGGCTTATAAGAAATAAAAACAAAATAAATCATTTTAAAAGGGTGTTATATTGTCTATAATTTAATTACTAGTATAATATGCACGTGAATAGTCATTTTATTTACACCTTAGGGGCTGTTGGTTAATATCTGGAATACACCAATAAGGGCTACACAGACTGGTGGGAAGGTGGCTAACCAGCATTTCATGGACTCTAATGGAAGCCCACACTGCAGATCCAGCTACCAGAAGCTCTTAGCCAACTACTTCTCTCATCAACATAAATGGTTGGTTAGGCAGCATCATGGATGGTAGACATGATTTTTCACTGATGAAATAAGTAGTGCTCAAGATATATGAAGCAAAACCTCCCCCATCAAAAATGTGTGCATAGCTCTGCCAACGTATCAACAAAATTTCAAAATCTAAGTATCAAGGTATCTCAGTAATTACATTTGGGGCAGTGGCCCTTGGGATTTTGGAACTTGACCAGTCATGTGGTAAAATGCTTATTAAGAGTCTAGTCTTTTGATGTGATTACGAGGTCAGCTGAATCCTTCCATGGAAATATTGCCACATGTGCCCCAAAGAAACCTTCCAAGGATGGGCAAGTCGGGTCCCCAAAAGAACAGAGCTGGGATTACACTAAACTCATCTATAGAGCAGGTTGTAAGGCTTGGTGTGTGCGTCTCCTTATTATCACCAATCAACTCTCTGTAGGAGGCTTCAGTCTGAGACATCCTTTCTTGGAAGCATACCTTGAGTTGGGACATTTGGGGAAAAAGCCCTCTCCCTCACTCAACAGATGTCATCTACCTCGAAGTACCTAAATTCACTGAACTACACCCTCCCTTCTCCTCCCACCCCCACCAGAAAGTTCTTGACAATTGCAAGTGAGCAAATTGGCTTAAGTTAGTTTCCAACAGTGGGATTAGAAAGTCCGTGAAAAAATAAAGTTAAAAACGCCTCTGGCAGCTGTGCTCTTTTCTCAAATTCTCACAAGTAAAAAGCAAACCCAGAAATCACCATCTACGTACTTCCTGCAGCTCTCACATTTGGATGTCAGGAACTTGCTTTTGGAATTCATACCATAGAATTTTCTATTCTTTTTTTCTTTTGCCCACACAGGTGTTATGACTCATTTGCAGGAGTCCACTTTTCCCTGTGCTTTGTAATATGTTTTCGTTTCTTTTAGATAAGATCTCATCGTAAGTACATATTTATTTGTATATTACTAACAGGGCTCAGTCCATTTCATCTGGTAATGAAAATGTGAATTGCTACAGTCACTCTGTATTTTTTTTCCAGTTGATATAGTTTATTCTCAGATGGTAGTAACCCTCCTACATATTTACTTCAGAAGCTTCCATCCATCACTTACATTTGCATTTATCCTCAAAAGCCTCAGTATTTTTCAAGAATAATCAAGTCTAAACCTGAGGAAACCCTCGCAGGAATGGAGGTTTAGTGCAGAAAACCTTCCCAGGTTTGACTGCTTCGGTGTCACTTTATCATCGTCCTCGTATCTTCCTGTATTACCACCCCATCTAATTACCTTTCAATTTCAATTTGTTTTTAAAAGATCCAATAGCTTCAACATGTGCACACTCAGTACATTTTCTTATTTATTTCCCTTTTAGATAGCACACAATAAACTCATTCCCATAACCTTTGACTTGTGTAAATATTGGACATCACAGATTTTTGCTAGAGGTAATGTTTGACATCAGCGAGTTTTAGTTAATTTTTCTTTCTTTTTCTGAACAAAACTCTCCTATTCAAGAAGAAAATTGTGTGTGGAATCCCAATAGATAGCAAAGAGCAAACCTATTCCTGAGGGGAAAGACAGGAAGCAGAGCCCTCGTCTCAGCTGCCATGCTTGTCACCAGGGCCTGCACTGGTCACAGACTGCGTTCCAAGCCAGTCTCTAGCCCCATAACAACGTATAAGTTTTGTTTTGTTTTTAAAGAAAATCAGATGCCTATTTTTCTTTCTTCTGGATAGCCCCGTATTCGAATTGTGTCATGCCAAGTTTCTGGCTTCTGATCAGCGCTGCTCTGTTAGAGTAGATGGTGTTTCTGCTGACGCAATGGGATAACTCTACACACATGCACCATTGCAAGAACAGGCCTCAGACTCTACCAGCAAACCCCACAGCTGAATGCTAGCAAAATGAGAAAAGCACGACATGCTTTCCAAAATGCAAAGGCTATTCAACGTACAGTGATGTTCTTACTCAAGGGATTAAGCACTGGATTTCTGCTGCAAAAATTTTCTTTTACAATATAAAATAATGGAAAGACTTCTACTCACTCTTTGGAATTCTCTTCTTGATCATTACTTTTTCGTGATATCTTTCTTGCCCTGTCTTCTGTTATCTTACATAACCTTTATCTCTCAAGTACATCGTTGTGATTTTACTTTTTGTGTGTGATTATTGGATTGAATGAGGTGGCTCTAGGTGGGCAGTGGCTGGGTTGGCCTTTGCTCCCTGTCACATTCCAAGGACTCAGCACATCACGGGCACTCAGTACATATTTGCTGAATGATGAATGGCTACATGAATGAGTAAATATACAGCAGTTTGAAAAAAACTTTTCTGGGTAAAATAAAACATTGATATTTGTATCCTAATTCTTTTGAGGTTTTGCTGTTTTATCTAATCTCAAAGAGGGTAAACCTCAGATACAGAGTACAAGGTTGCACCTTTTGTCTTTCTCTAAAGTTCTTTTCATTCTACTTATGTCAAATAATAACAGAAAATGGAGGACAGAGACTAGAGCACTGTATCCAGAGCGATGTGGTCCTGCAAAGCAAAACACAGTTGGCAGCATAGAGACTTACAGAGCTCTGGAACCAGTGCTGGGCAAGCCAGTTGTTAGAGTGTTTCTTGTTTCTCATTAGTGCATGTGTCAGAATGTGCTGCAGGAGGGGTGAAGAGTGCCTCTCTCATGGATGAAGCCGTCGAGATGGCTATCTGCATAAGAGAAAGAAGCCAAACGTTCTGCTCCTCAGCCAGAGGTAGGTTTGAAGAGACTCGACTTTACAATCTTGCAAGGATAAGGTTCTGCGATATCTGATTTTCCACTGGCCAGGTGAGTAGTTGAGCTTTTACACAAAATGAGAAACATACCCTGAAAATTACTTGCGTTACCACTAAGTTTTTTGGCTTATGTCATGTGTGTGTCTGTTAATCTGTTGCTTGCATACAAGTGGTGCTTGACATTTTTTGTTGAGAGTCTCAGGTCCCTGCACATGACGCTGTGTGAGCCAGGAGGAAATCACCCACCTTGTCTGTCGCCAGACTTTAGCTGTGAATTACTGTCTCTACGTGCAAAGAGGAAAGAAACCTAAGTGGAGCCAGAGGAAGAAATACTTTACAAAACCAAGAAAAATAGAAAAGCATCCTGCAGATTGAAAGGCAGATAATTCCTCCGAAGTTGATTTAATATAAGAACCTGAAGAAAGGAATAAAAACTTGCATAGCACTCTCAAAAGGCTGGAAGGAAAGAAAATAATAGAAATCCATAGTCAGAGAACATGCCAAGATGAAGAAAGAAGGTAAAAGAAGGGGGTTTAAATAAAAACGGATAGGATAAACTGCAACACCTTTTCCTAAAAAAATAATATTTAAAATACCTCAGGCCAACATTTCATCCCATACTCAATGATGGAAAGTTAATGGCATTCCCATTGCATAAATAAATAAATGAATAAAGAGGATCACTATAGTTACTTAAAAGTTTTAAATGTTGTTCAGAAAGTATGGCTGTCCCAAGATGTAGGAAAGTGGTGATTATTATAAAGGATTAAAAATCAAAAGATGATCTGTCTACGCAGCAAACTCTAAAGAACAAAATGCAGAAGCTAGTGGAATTAATGTGTGCACTGAATTGGTTGGTAAAATACATAACTAAATATCCATCCATTCCTCCTTCCCTCCATCCAATGGCTTTCTTTTATGTCCACAATGATCAGTTAGAAATTTGGCAGGAGTGGAAAATGCTGTAAAATATTGAGAAAAGAACTTAATGAGAAATGTGTAAAATGAATTGAAGATAATTAACTGCTTTTTCAAAGCTCAGTTAAAGACACTTTGACTAAAGGAAGACACGTGCCACATTCCCGGAAGAGGTCAATTATTATAAAGATGCTAATTCTTCCCACATTCATTAACAAATTTTAGGCGATTCTAATAATTCCCAACAGGATTAGCAGAATTTAGCAAAGTGATTTTAAAGTTCAGCCAGAATAAAAACGAGTAAGAAAATCAAAGGATATCTGGAAAAATATCCTTTGTTTTGGGAAAGAACTCACACTATCAAGAAAAAACCTTAAATTATAACAAGGAAAACAGTGTAGGTGAATGAACAAAAATACTCAATATTGTAATTATATCCATTATCCCCTAAATTCAATTTTCATTGAATTTTTTAAAAAGTCATCAAACTGATTTCATAGTTAATCCAGGAAATTAAAGGTGCAAATAACTAAGTAAATGTAGAAAAGGAAGGTGATCTTGCTCTACTAGATTCCAGAATATACTATAGGGCTATAATAAACACACCAATTATCTGTGTTTATTATGCAGTGTGGCAATTATGCAGGAACAAATTAATGGGACATAACAGACAGCCCCAAATAGAATCTTATATATTTAGGCATTTAATATATGAGATAAACATCATTTCAAATCAGTGATAAAAGAGAGATTATATAATAAACGGTGTTGAGGGTATTCAGGGGTGGAACAGTAGGAAAGCCATCTTATAATTTACACAAAACTGTATGGCTGAACATTAAAAATATTATAAATTAATTTAAAGAAAATTCAGAATAATAGTTTTTATAACCATGGAGTGCAAAAATTGCTTCCTAAAAAAGCCTTAACACATGAAAGCCATAAAATAAAAATTTAACATTTTTAATAAATATGAATGTAAAACAGGAGGTCATCATAAAGTTAGCAGAATTATGATAAATTAAAACTGGAAACACCTAAAACCAGAACATTCTGGACATATAAATAACATCGATTATATAAAGTGCTCCTATAACCAACAATAAGAAGTTACAGCAAACCAACAGGAAATTTGGAAAAAGCTATAAGTGGATAAAGGACATTTTCTACAAATAGTTATTTAGAATAAAGTATATTTCAATTAAATAGTTCATTCCATACACCAAATTCTTGATCATTTGATTTTTACCTCCTATGGGAGCCTTCTAATCAGAAAGACAAATGGGAAGGTAATTAAAGAAGACTGCGTGAGAGGTAAATAGAAATTTTTTAGTTCTGAATATATACTTCATGTTTATGTGCACATAGAAGACTGAGAGGAAACATACCAATATGTTATCTCCAGACAATATTATTAAGGGTAATTTAAAAATATTTTTTACATTGTTTTGTATTTTTAAATTCTCTCCAATGAACACATATTTTTTAAATTATCAGAAATGGATAACTATATATATATATACTTAGAAAGATAATGAGGCAAATATCTAAAATCTTGGGATGGAATCAGGGGCTGCTACATAAATCAAGTGTCCTTTGCCCTACAGCATCATATGGCCAGGAAGGAAAGTAAGAAAGAAAAATTATTGGGTGAACTAAGGTCCACTGGAGAGGAGATGAAAGTTCTATATTCGAGCTGCAAGATGAGAACTGTGTGGGAAAAGATGCATATAGACAAATGTGAAGGAGAGAAGGCATTTGGCATTGCTATTCATTGCCTTATTTGAGGCAATCCAAGGACACACATCTGATGGTTGTTAATGGGAACTGCCCTCTGGCATTCAGAGGTCACATTTTGCATGCCAACAGGTTCTCATTGTCTCTGCATTCCAAGTGGGAACTGACTTTGGGCGGTGAGCATGGGTAATGGGGTGGCAACTTCACATCATTTAGCTCGACCTGCCAGGTGTGTTCACCAACCCCCTGTAACACATTAAGCTTTCCATGATGCCTGGTTTGGAACTTATGCAAAGGAGATATCAGCTCATCAGAAATTCTGAGTCTTTAGTACACACTGGTGAATATCATGATATCTGAAAATAACATAGAGCAATTTGGAATTCTTTAAAATTCCAAGGATGTGGGGGTAACATACATAAATTAAAAGAAAGAAGCTGGTATTTTCAGGCTAAAAGACTGCCCATTTTTTACCGTAATATTTCTCCCTCAAGGTAAAGAGGTCATGGTGCTGACCATTAGCCTTCCACAGGGTGGATCAAACTGAGTGACAAGGCCAAAGGGGATCAGAAGTGGGATCCCTTCTGACAGAGATATCCTATTTCTACTTGATGTTAAAAACAAAACAGCACAAAACAAAAACAAAAAAAACCAACTTCCTACTCATTTTAGTAGGGAAGAGACAGGTCATTCAATTAATAGTCCTGTGATGATGGGGTGGGGGGGGAAATTATCCACATCTAACTCAAAAATAAATTCCATCTTGTATTGAGTTAAATAAAAAATGAGACCATAAAAAGGATTAGACAACAATAGAGATGAATATAAAACTGATCTCAGTTTCAGTAAGGTCTGCCTACACACAGACCCAAAGGAAACAAAGAAAAAGGCTGATGGATATAAAAATATAAAAATGTAAAACTTCTGTATATCATTCTGTATTATATGAATATTAGTAAGTCCAAGGGAGAAAAACATATACATATCTCAATAGATCCTGAAAATGAATTTACTAGGTAGATACTTCTTTGACAAGATACATATTCTGAATCAAAAGCCAACATAAGACCTAACAGTGAAACATTAGACACATCCCCATTAAAGTAAGAATCAAGACAGAATTCCTACTATTATCAAAATTATTTAATGTTCTGTAATATTTACCAATGCAATGAGGGAGGAGAACAGAAAAACAGAATAACAGGAGAGACAAAATATCTTTACCTGCAGGCTATATGATATCAACCAACTATTATAAACTATAAGAGAGACAGTAAGGTAGCTGTTTATAAAGTTAAAAATCAACAGCTCTCCTATATACAAATAATACACCGTTACAAAACTTTACGAAATCCTTCTATAAAAGCAATAAAAGACATTGTACCCTGAAGATTAAATTCTAATATAAAATAAGCATTCAGCATGATTTCGATCAAAATTGACATGGAGTGTGTTTAGAATTTGACAAAATGATGCTAATCCTTATCCAAACATATAAACACAGGAGAATAAGTAGAAAAAGCTTAACAAGAAAGAGCAATTGGAAATGAAAATAAATGATAAAGCTTTACTAATTTATAGTGCAATGCTGAAATCAGTAGCAGACAGTTAACAAGAAAAGAGAACAGAGAATTTAGAAACAGACACAATTAATATGGCTATTGGACATACACTAAAGATGGTATTTGAAGCTGATAAGGAAGAAATACATGTTGTTTAGACAAGAAGACATCTTTTTGGGAAAAATAACCTGAAACCTCTCAGCTCACACTTTACCGTATTTAATAAAAAATGTATTTCAGAGGTAGAAAAGTTTTAAAGAGCATGAAAGCACATAGGCACTGGAATGACTGATACTGCTCCTTTTTAAAACTATTCCAAAATCCATTTCAAATTGTACTCATAAAGGCAATGTCCCCAAATTAAATATTTACTCCCTCAGACTCCTTAGTAGCCGGAGGCAGCATGGGAAGCATTTGCGGCCAGTAAGACATGAGCTTAGGGTTTGGGGGAGGAGCTTAGGTTTCCTGGTACAGAGTCTCCAGGTCCTCTTCCCCTTCCTTCCCCCTGCCTGGAACATGAACATACTGCACCCACCTGTGATCAGGAGGCAAGAGGCATCACGATGAAAGCAGGCAGAAGGGAAAGATGAGACAAGCATCTCTTCTAAAGGGCCTCTAAGGGTAATACTGAGCCAGTCTGGACTTGCTATTGTGAGAGGCTTTAAGAAACTGTTGAGTTTTCTCTTACTGTAGCTCAATTTGAGTTCCGACTGCTTCTAGTAAAGATTATCTTGCTCATGCCTGTAATCCCAGCACTTTAGGAGGCCAAGGCGGGTGGACATGAGGCCACGAGTTCAAGACCAGCCTGGCCAACATGGTGAAACCCCGTCTCTACTAAAAATACAAAAAATTAGCCAAGTGTGGTGGCAGGCACCCGTAATCCCAGCTACTCAGGAGGCTGAGGCAGAAGAATTGCTTGAACCCAGGAGGCAGAGGCTGCAGTGAGCTCAGATCATGCCATTGCATTCCAGCCTGGGCAACAAGAGTGAAACTCTGTCTCAAAAGATAAATAAGTAAATAAATAAAAATAAAAAATAAAAAAGATTATCTTGAAGAGTAAAATACTTTTCTAAATTTACAAGAAATGGATCTGAGGATCCATTAAGGAAAACACTGATTAACATGTAAACCTTTAAAAAATTGGAAAGTTACAGACCTATAAACAAACATGTGCCATAAGTACATTTAAAAGACAAACAAAAGAATAGGAAAAATATACATGAGACACATATATAAGAATAATTGCCTAAATACATAGAACTCTTACAAAAATATGTACAATCCAATAGAAAAGTGAGCCCTTTATGACTCAGCCTTAGTTGTTGCTCAGCATCACCTCTGCCATACTGGATATTAGCTGAAGCAGTCACAAGCTACCCACCCAAATTCAAGAAGAGGGGATCTAGATGTCACCTGTAAGTAAGAAGAGCATCTAAAAATTTGAAGGCATGTTTTAAAACTACCACAAGCTGTAACTACTGAATCTAGCAATATCCATTCTAGGAATTTATCCTGTAGAAGCAAGCAAAGTTGAGCATGAAAGATATACACAAACAATGCTCATTCTAGCACTATTTATAACAATGGCTCTTAAATTTCATCATGCCTCTGAATCACTTGGAGGCCTTGTTAAGACAGATTTCTGGGGCCACCCAAAGTTTCTGCTTCAGGAGGTCTGGCTTGGAGTTGGAGAAAATGCATTTTTAAAAAGTTGCTTGTTGATGTTGATTCTGCAGCTCTGAGCAACAGATTACGATAATCATTGATTTATACTATTACTACCTCAAATTCTAACACTGTACTTGTTTTCCCATTCTATAAAGAAAATTTGATCCTAGTATATCACCATGGAACAGGAAGAAATCCCTGGCCTTGTTACTACCTGACAAATGTATTCTTAGTCCTATTTTTGATGGAGAAAAAGCTCTTTGGGCAACTGAATCTTAAGTTCTAACCTTCTAACCTAGAATTGCTCAGTAAGATTAACGTGAAACTTGAAATAGCAGAATGTTGGAGAAACTTAATGACTCTGCTCCTTAACCTCCAATCTAAGGCATATTCAGGGCCAATGCCAGTACCCGTCTCCTATCCTTAAATACTCCAGCTCTATAGCCGCCGCAGCCTGCCACTAACTTGACAGGCATAACAATATGAGAAGCAACAGTAAAGTAGCAGCTTTCCTAGTTTCCATACTAGAAAGCCTGAATTTTCCCTAGCAGCATTCTTAAATTGGCTTCCTGATGAGTTTGGAGGCTCTCCCTGTTTTCTTGTGATACTTGACCTTTACTGATCTATTATCTGGTTATATTATCTGCCTATGTGATACACTATAGCACAGAGCAGCCAATGAGGAAGAACACTGGGGTAATCCTTCAGAACATCTGAGCATTACTTCTTTTGTTTTTTGAGACAGAGTGTCACTCTGTCACCCAGGCTGGAGTACAATGGCGCGATCTTGGCTCACTGCAACCTCTGCCTCCTGGGTTCAAGTGATTCTCCTGCCTCAGCCACCCAAGTAGCTGGGATTACAGGCACATGCCACCAAGCCTGGCTAATTTTTGTGTTTTTAGTAGAGATGGGGTTTCATCATGTTGGCCAGGTTGGTCTTGAACTCCTGACCTCAGGTGATCCACCCACCATGGCTTCCTAAAGTGCTGGGATTACAGGTGTGAGCCACTGCACCCGGCCCATCTGAGTGTTACTTCTAAATTCCTTTCCCTGAAGTCACTGACATCATCATCACTTTCTTAATTCAAAACTCTCCTCACTACTCACTTCATGATTTAGAAACCTCTTATCTCTTCCAATTTACTTTTCCAGATTTACTGATCTCACTCTCCCTATAAGAACTCTATGTTCCAGGCCTTTAGAGGTAATCTGGGTTTCTGCAAATCCGTACCGTGCAGTTGACCTTTATATAAATGCCATTTCCCGTCCCTGAAAGTTCCTCCCCTTGAATTCTTCTCCATGCTAAACACGTGGCCCATCATTTCCTCCAGGATGACCAGCTCCAGTGAGGAAGGATGCTGCGCTCCTCTGCAATCCCACAGCACTGTTTATATTTATACTGTATGATAATTATTTGTGATGTCTCCTGTGTTCTACAATAGTGTAAGTTCCTCAATGGCACAGACCACATGCACTTCAGCTGAGGACTGCACACACCGCTCAGCAATGCTTTGCAGGAGCCCAGCATCATGGGACACTTTAGGAAGGTACGCTCCAGATACAGGCGTGTAAAAATGCACACGTCCTTTCAAAATGCATGACTGAAATTCAAACTCATAATAAAAAACTCAGAATAGAACCAGAGAGTTGCAATAGCAGGTTTTAACTAACATGCAAATTAAGCAAGTATTTCTTACTTTGAGCTGTAGTCGCACCCTGGCCATAAAGAATTTCCAACAGTTTTCCCTGGAGTCTACCATGCCCAGAGCATGAACTTCATTATGAATTCCAGAAATTATCTTGTCCACATCTTCATCGCTGAACAGATCTGGGATTTCTCCTGCCCCAAAGAATGAGTAGAATTACTAAAAGATCATTGCAATTTAAATTTTACATATAACTTTTAAACGTTTGAAATGTTTTACAAGACAAAGTTCAGCATAAATGGTAAGAGTTTAAAATCAGAAACGTCATGTTTCTTTTTTATTTACGAGACATACAACACGTTGAAGACGAGCCATGGTGAACACACCCTCTACACCCGTACGTGTAAGAATAACATTTACTTCACTGAAGGCCTTCTCATCCATAAACAGACTAAGAAAGCAATACACCTCAAATTAGTTAGGTTTATAGGTTTCTCCCCAAAGACTGCCCAGCAAACATCTCAAAGACGAATTCTCTCTCTTTAAAGTTCACTGAAACTACAGATAATTTGTCATTGGGGAAGATCTTTCAAGAAATGTGTTGGTTTAATCACCTGATGCCAGCAAGTCATTAATCAGCACGAGGAAGCTCTCATCTAGAACCTGGGCATCTGTCAGCAGGAACACAGTGGGCATGTTCTTGGCTCCAGTTCGGATGTACAAATTGGCAAGATCTACCTGTAAGGAAAGGCCATCACTCATGTTTTGTTAAAATGCTGATGCGGCGTTGAGAGGTTGTGTGTGAGTGCTGGGGAGAACTCAGTAACTGTATCGCCATAGCACTGTGGGGTGCCTTTCCCTGGTTTACATATTCCTTCTCTGAGAGACCCCATTCTAGGGGACAGCACTGTGACACCACCTCCATTGCTGACTCGTAAGGTTGAGTGTCGTGTTTCTGGCTTACTGGAGCAGAGGGATGAAAACAGGCTACAGATCACCAACTCCCTTCTCACTGTGTACAAGTGAATTCAGCGACGCCTTTTTCAGGCAGGGCCGTAAAAAGAAGCCTGCTCATTTTAACAACTGTCCTATTTTTTCGAAAACGGGTTTATTTCATTAGTAATATTAAAAATATGTGATTTTTTAAAACTTAAAATATCACTTGGCACAAATTGTAGGTACTATTTTGTAAGTACTATTGTTATTAAAAAGCAAAGCTTGAAAAACACACGAGAGTTTCCTAAACGTGTTATTCCTCTTGCATCTTCTTCTCCTGTTCTTATCCAATGTGGAAGAAATCTATTTTTACTTGTGAAGTTAGTGTCTTTTTTCCCCAACCTATCATACAGGAACACTAACAGCAATACGCATCAGGTTTGATTAATAGAAAACAGAAAGACATTTGTGTAAGCAAGTGTTTAAGTAAATATTTTCTGAGCCAGGTTTACATGTTATTAAACCTACACAAAACTTGTAGAAATTTATTATTACTAATTTGACCATAAAGGCAAAACCGCCAAAGGTCAATTACTGCTTTAAAGAGCTCCCGCTCTCCCGTGGTTGGGGAGGCCTTGGCCAAATCTGGGAGTCACAGCCCACACGGGCGCACTAGGAGCCTCGGCTTTATCTGCCAAGCAGAAGGGTCAGAAGAACTGCCTGTCCCCTTGACTCACCCGAAGTTCCTGGATTCCATAGCCCTCGGTCAGAGTGATCTGAAAGACCTCAAGGCCACGAAGGTAAGCTGCCAGCCTGGACAAGCTCTGCTTGCCACTGCCCCCAACTCCAACCAAGAGAGCACAGCCCTGAGGGGTTCGTAAGATCCGGCTGATGCGACACCTGAGGAAAGGAAGCGCCCATTATGGCACAAAATCGAAAATGCCCCGGGACTATGTCTGTTCTGTTTATTTTTATTTATTTATTTGCTTTTGAGATGGAGACTTGCTCTGTTGCCCAGGCCGGAGTGCAGTGGCGCGATCTTGGCTCATTGCAGCCTCCGCCTCCCGGATTCAGATTCAAGTGATTCTCCTGCCTCAACCTCCCAAGTAGTTGGATTACGGGCACTCACCACCATGCCCAGCTGATTTTTGTATTTTTAGTAGAGACGGGGTTTCACTATGTTGGCCAGGCTGGTCTTGAACTCCTGATCTCAAGTGATCCACCCGCCTTGGCCTCCCAAAGTGCTGGGATTACAGGCATGAGCAACTGCGCCTGGCCTGGGTCTGTTTTGTTTATTCTTTAGATAAATAGTATAGTGAGAGACTAAATTCCAGTTTTTACTGGAAACCTCTAGTCCTTGTTCATTTGTTTCCCCATCAAACAAAGACGCTACCTTCACCCTAACCCTTGAACTGCTCCCAAGACAAATCATCCTCTGCTAATAACACTTTGGATTCTCTTAGAGCTTTGTTGTCACCACCAAAAGTCCAAAAAGAAAATATATGCAAAGGCCTTGTGTTAAGGGCTTCAAAATATTTTGATTAGCAAGAAAGATCCGAATTCCACATCAGCACCCAAGTATGAGGACATCAAAGGGGGAATAGCCTTGTGCCAGAAATCTTTGCTGTAGAATTATTTTGGAAAGAATGGATTTGTTTAGACCAACAGATCTCTCTGTGTGATTTACTCAGCAAATCAAGCACTTGTTTCTTAATGTGATTCTTGCTTCCTTCACACTAAAGCCTTCCCTTGTAACTACACCATTGTAGAATAATTTGCTGAAGCCATTCAGTAACACAAAGTTAAATTTCCACCAAGGCCAACTAATCCCTTGTTCTATAATATCCAAGGCATTCTGAATGCTTAATCTATTTATATTATGCTATATTTTACAGCTATAAATAAACTCGCTTTAACTTTAGCAAAAGATGGGTTTGAAGAAATAGTTCATAATTATGTTATAAATATTAAGAAAACCAACAAAACAAAATATAGGCATGTAGATAGTAAAACACCCCAAATTTGATGCCATCATTTTGCTCTAGGGTGCTTTTCTGAAATGAACTTAAACTTCAGAACCTGAACAAACTGCATAAATTGTTTTAAATAGTGCTTTTTGAAAAAACTAAGTTGGGATCACTTATATTAGGACCAGCACATGTGAACATTTTCTGAAAACCTCCAGTAACAGAGAAGATAGGTTATTTTTACAAGCTCAGTCATCACATTAAATTTTACTTCACATGACCACACAACAAAACAACCTTGGGGAAAGCTATAAAATTACTCTGACATGAGAGATACCCCAAGCTATAAAACAGGGTTTTCATTTCATTTTAATGTATGCTTTGAGGCTTTTAACCTCACAAGATTCACTAAGTGGCAAAGTCCCTTTCTATAACACTCAAGGACACGCTCTGAAATCACCTCTAATGCTGAGTAAATCAGCTTCTAGCTCATAATCCCTGATCAAAGAAACAGCCTTACCTTTTAGGCCACTGAAAATTCTGTATTGAGGGATTATATGGGAAAACTCTTTTCCTCAGTATCAATGGGAGGTTTCTGTTTCACCTCAGCCAGGACGCCCATACACAATGACTGTATATTAACCCAACCCGAGACAGCATTACTAATAGTTGATTTAACACCATGGTTTTAGATTCCAACTGAAACTTCCTTTGCACAATCAGAGGAAGGATCACAACTGCAAAGGGATCAATAAAACTACCAACAGTTAGTTGTGGTGACAGGAAGGGCTCTACAATTTTTGTAGGTTCTAGGGCCTAAGAAAATTTTAAAGATTAATTCTTCTAAAAACTGAATTCTCCACATCTTATTTTCTCTGGATTTTTCCTTCTTCTTGTCTTTTATTTTTGAGAGACAGGGTCTCACTCTGTTGCTTAGGCTAGAGTGCAGTGGCATAATCCTAGCCCACTGCAACCTCGAACTCCTGGGCTCTAGCAGTCCTCCCTCCTCAGCCTTCTGTGTGGCTGAGACTACAGGCACATACCACCACACCCAGCTCATTAAAAAAAAATTGTAGAGATGGGGTCCCACTATGTCACCCAGACAGGTCTCAAACTTCTGGCCTCAAGTGATCCTCCTGCCTCAGCCTCCCAAAGTGCTGGGATTACAGGTGTGAGCCACCACACTCAGCCTCTTCTTGTTTTCAATGATTTCTTTTTTCTTTTTCTGTTTAAGTCTTTGGCTGTTGTCACTTATTGAAGTCTTCCTGCTGGTGTCAATGACAGATGAAGGTGACTTGGACTAGGAGAGCAGTATCGGATGTAAACATGTGATCAACTTTCTACACAGCAGTGGCAATGTTAAGCTGTTTAGCCCAGACACAATGAACTGTGTCATCCCCAGGGTAAAACCCATCCAACCACTTCTCACTGCACTTAGAATAAAATCAAAGTTCCTTATTCTGGTTACAAGGAAATACTTCGTATTGGTAAGGCCAGTTCCTGCCTCTCCATTTTTGTTATATTTTTCTCTATGCTGCAGCCTAACTGATCTTCTTTTCTGTATCTCAAACATTCTTGCCTTAGGGTCAGATGCAATCTGCTCTCTGTCTAGAATGTTCTTCCTCCAGATCTTTCCATGCTTAGCACCTACTTATCATTCAGGTCTCGCTTTAAATGTCACCTCTTCACAGGGATGCCCAGTCCCTCTTTGGAAATTCACTTATTGTATTTCTCACAGAATCAACCTATTTTCCTTCTTGGCATGACACATCACTTTCTGATATTTTTCTTGCTTATTCTCTTGTTTAGTTGTTCATGTCCTTATAAATGTCCATTTTCGTCGCTAACATGTAAGCTCAACTACAGAGGGGACTGGATTGTGTTCACTGCTGCTGTATCTCAGCACCTAGAACAATGTCCCATAGGAGGGCTGCAGATGGTTGCACAGTCTGTGCACTACATGAGGTACCAGGTCTAGGAGGTGAGCGAGAACCTTGTCAGCCATGCTCTATCCAAGGACAGATGCCTTTTTCTAATTTTCTGCCAAGAAAGCATGAGCCCTCCCCCATTTTAAAGAATTTGCACAAAATTGCTGAAAGGCTGGCAATGTTCCTATCTGGCACTCAACAAAACCTGCTTAATCAATGAAAATTAGTCCTTTGTCCCTTATGAACTATGTGACTTTGAACAAGTAATTTATGTTTCCACTTTCTTAATATTCAAGTAAAATAATGGATATGATGGCATCTCGGAAAACAGTGTGCCTATGTAAGACATTATTAAGATTGTGACATTAAAAAGCGACCCTTTTATATTTTAAAATTATATGTCAAACAGCAGATAAGAACTGATGGTTCAGAGTGCTTAGTATGATCTATTGAAAAATGACAGTAGTGGATATCCAGCCATTCTTCCTTTTGTGGAAAAGCATCGTGACTAGTTAACTCACACATGTTGCATGGCATCTTCAAACAAAACTAGGTGCATGGCAGCATTTAGTTCATTGTAGTTGTCTAACGTTTCTGTAAGAATCGTCTTCAGCACTTCCCAGTCCTTCACTGGCATGTAATGTGGGTCCTTCCCTCTATCAGCAAAGTGGCAATAAATGAGGGGCTGTTGAAGCAGCATGTGACTATCTATACCCTGCAGGATGAGAAAGAGAAAAATATGGCATGTCAACCATCCATAGAGGTCCAGCTGCAGGCAGCATGGCCTAGCAAGGGAAAAGCTTGCAGACCCACACATGGGTAGGTGGGTGGAATGTTCCCAAGCATAGACCAAGTGTATTCTGGATTCACAGCCATTGCAAAAAGGTAAGCCCTTGTGCACTTCTCTCATACCCTCATCTAACTTTAGTCCCAATACCCAGTTGGTGTTGGAGTAAGTAGTGACCTCTGACATTCATACGCTTACTTCAAAATATTTATAAGCAGTTTCCAGCATTCTTCTCTGAAACAAATCACAATCTTTTTTGTCTATCAGTTTGTCTCCATAAACACGGGCAGATTCATGAAGCCACAGATGTATTAAATCAAGTGGACCTTTTAAACACTCAGGAGAAGCAAATAAAATCCCCTACAAGGCAAGAATGGGGAAAATACCTTTAATTCAGAGGCTGATGACATGTCAAATGAGTTTAACACTTTTTAAACTAAAATGTGAACTTAGCAAATGGTTAAAAGAAATATCATCAATAGTAATGTGCGTGTTCGTGTATAAAAGTAGGTTTACTCTTTGATAAGTGCAATATTTTAAAATTTTAGTATGCTTATACCCATTTTTAGGTATGCGAGTAAGACCATTTCAAGTGCCAGCACAGGCACTAAATATCACATCTGAGTACTTGAGCCTATTAAGCCTTACAATGGACTAAGTTTACAAAACCAGAGTACAAACAGCTAACATGAAAGTCACAGAATCATATTTTTTTTACTATAAAATCACTTGATATCAGTCTAATCATTTCACAGATGAAGAATACAAGACCAAGAGTAAAGTGCCCAGACTCATACTTCATGGGTAGATGTGGGTCTAGCACCAACACATTGTGACTCCCTTGCTCACTCATGGTGCTTTCAGTATCTTAGATTCACACGCACTCACTCCTCATGGAGAGAGGCAGCTTACTCTGGATGCACAGGAGAACAGTAAGGGAGTTGTGGAGAACTGAGCTGCAAAAGGCTAAAAAATTATTTGGTAGTGTCAGGTGCAGCTGACAGGCAGGATATGAAGGGTGAGCAGGCAGTCCTCTCGTCCCATTTCACCTATGACCTCTCTTCCCTTTCCTTCTGAGATTAAAATTCTGCTTTTAAACAGCACGGTATTAAGCAATCTTTCTGGCAGGAGCTAGATACACAGACACGAAAAGAATTGCTCCGTGTTCATAAGAAGCTACTGCCTAATGCTGTGTTATGGTTTTGAGGCAGTTGTGGAGTGATACTGAAAAGACGGTTACAAAAATATAAAGAGGTCCTATGGAGTTTTCGTATTTCATCAATATACCACCTCTGTCACAAAAGAAATTTCAGCCATCCATTTTTACTGTACAGGGTAGACCACATTAGTCGGATTTAAAAAAATAATTCCAGACTTTCAATTTCCCCTTCAGAATTTCCTAAGTCAAATACATAAACACTGTCCTTTTACCAGGTAAGCAAGGTAATTTTCAATATTAAACCAAAATGATCCAACTATTTAAAAGTTGCTATTTCTCTTCATATATGTTTAAAATCACACATAAGTGCCTTATGCAAACACATGATCATTTATCCTTCTTACTTGGCACTCAAAACAGTAAGCACTCACTCACTCAATCTAAAGAGCCCAGACATCTACCTTTGCTTCCACTGCCAAGTCACCATATGCCATGGCCTGAACGGCCCCTACAATTCATGTCTTGAAACTTAATTGCCCATGTAACAATATTAAGAGGTGAGGCCTTTAGGAGGTGACTGTCATGAGGGCAACGTGATCTAATGAAAGGGGTGCTGGGCATTTGCCCGATTTGCTCTGTCCTTTCTGCCCTGTGAGGATGCACCACTTAAGGCACCATTTTGGAAGCAGAGACCAGGCCCTCACCAGACACTGAATCTGCCAGTGCCTTAATCATGGACTTCCCAGCCTCCAGAACTGTGAGAAATAAAATTCTATTATTTATGAATTACCCAATCTCGGGTATTTTGTCACGGAAGCGCAGACAAAGACATTATATGACCTGAGGAGAAGCACCGTTCTCATTGATGAAATGGAAATAATAAACCTGCCATACTTACTTCCTGAGAAGTTTATGAGTAAAGTTAAAGAATACATACAAAAGTATATAGCATAGTTTTAAGCTGTTTTATAAAGGAACACCGTTAACAGTATGGTAATGGTTTGGATGTGTGCCCCCTCCAAATCTCAGGTTGAAATGCGATTCCCAGTGTTGGAGGTGGGGCCTGGTGGGAGGTGACTGGATCATGGGGGCAGATCCTTCATCAATGGTTAGCACCATCCCCTCCGTAATAAGTGAATTCTCACTCAGTTAGTTCATGCAAGATCTGGTTGTTTAAAAGTTTGGGGACCTGCCTCCACTCCCTCTCTTGCTCCTGCTCTTGCCATGCAAAATGTGAAATGCTGGCTCCCCATCACCTTCTACCACGATTGTCAGCTCCTGAGGCCCTCACCAGAAGCAGATGCTGGGGCCATGCTAGCACAGCCTGCAGAACCATAAGCCAATTAAACCTCTTTTCTTTATAAATTACCTAGCCTCAGGTGTTTCTCTATAGTGACATAAAAAATGGGCTAATACATAGTATTATCATTATTTCTCTACTCAAGAGGCATAACATAGAGCAGTCAAGGTACCTGGAAGACGTTTGATAAATCTCTCAGATTAAAGATGTAGTGGAATTTAATAGCCGTGGGTAAAAAGTTACACATCATTGTCTGATGGAATGCTATTGTTGCCTGGATCAAAGTGGGGCCACTCCTGAGAATTGATGGAGCAAATGCTTGCTGTTGGAAATGGAAGCTAAAGATTTGGCCATAGATGGTGTTTAGTGCATCCAAAGATGGAAAATTGAATGCAAACACTGTGAAATGTCTCTGAAAAGAAAAGCAAATATAAGAGTGTAAGGATTACAATTGTACCAGAAAATTGCAAAGACCTGATTTTTTTTCACTCCTCCCTGTATCCAGGCCCATTACCATGTAGCTTTTTAGTGCTCCACTCTGACTCTGGGGTTGGCCATGTGATTTACTTAAGCCAACAGAATGAGGTGGAAGTGACAGTGTGCCACTCGTTGTCAGAGGTGTATATTTCTCCTTACTTTGTTAAGCCTCTGACTTTGCCATAAACTCTGCAGGCCCTAAAGTATGAGGGACACATAAAGCAGGGTCATGTTGTCACAGTCACTCCAGCCAAAGCCACATCAAATTAACTGACAGTTTATCCCCAACATGCACAGATGAGCCCAGCCAAGATCAGCAGTCACTGAGCTCAGTCTCAGCTGAGTCCAGATGCGTAAGCAACCACTGTATGCTACTGAATGTATGCTGGGGGTAGCTGTTGCTGTTGTCATGATTAAAAAGCTTCTACGCAAACACAAAACCTGCAAACAAATGTTTATAGCAGCTTCTTTCATAATTGTCAAAAGTGAAAGCAACCAAGGTGTCCTTCAGTAGATGAATGGATAAACAAGCTGTGATGCATTCATACAGTGACCACTATTCAGCAATAAAAACAGACGCACTATCAAGCCACGGAAAGACATGGAGAAATCTTAAATGCATAGTTAAGCTACGTGGAAAAAAAAGCCTATTTGGAAAGGCTACACACCCTATGATTCTCATCATATGAAATTCTGGAAAAGGCAAAATTTATAGAAACAGAGAAAATATCAGTGCCTAAGGGATTAATATCCAGAATACATTGAGGCTTCTTATAACTCAATGACAACAAAATAACCCAATTTAAACATAAGCACAAGACTTGAATAGACGTTTCTCCGAAGAAGATACAAAAATGAACAATAAGCACATAAAAAACATCACTAATCATTAGGAAAATGCAAATCATAACTATGAGATACTGCCTCACACTCATTAGCATGATTACTGTCAAAAAACAAAACAAAACAGCAAATAAATATGTGTGAGGATATAGAGAAACTGGGACCCTGATGCACTATTGGTAGGGAATAAAATAAGGTATAGTTGTCATGGAAAACAGTATGATGATTCCTCAAAAAATTAAAAGTAGAATTCCGATATGATGCAGCAATTGTATTGCTGGGTGTACACCCCAAAGAATTAAAAGCAGGGTCTTGAAGATACATTTGTTCATCCATGTTCGCAGCAGCATTATTCACATTAGCTAAAGTGTGGAAGCAACCCAAGTGTCCATCAACGAATGAATAACTAAGGAAAATGTGGTAAATACATGTACTAGAATATGACTCGGTCTTACATAGGAAAGAAATTCTGCAATATGCCGTAACTGGATGAACCCTAGACATTATGCTAAGTGAAATAAGCCAGCCACAAAAAGACAAATACTGGATAATTCCACGTATATGAGGTACTTAAAATAGTCAAAATCATAGACACAGAAAGTAGAATGGTGGTTGCCAGGGGAAAGTGGGGAGGAGAAAAAGGGGAGCTCAGTGGGTGGAGTTTCAGTTTCACAAGATGAAAAGAGTTATGGAGATGGGTGGTGATCTTGGCTGCCCAACATTACATATGTAGTTAATATTACTGAACTGTACACTTGAAATGGTTAATGTGGTAAATTTTGTAACATGTATTTTACAACAATAATAATAGAAAAGAAAAGACAAAAGATCAATTGTTACCAGGGACTCAGAGGGAAAAGAGAGAGGAATGAATTGGTAGAGTACAGAGATTTTGGGGCAGTGACACTATTCTATATGATACTGTTAACAGCTGATACTTGTCATTATATGTCTGTCAAAAGCCCCTGGAACGTATAATACAAAGAAGGAATCCCGATGTAAACTCTGAACTTTAGTTAATAATAATGTGTCAATATTGGCTGATCATTGTAACTAATGCAAGATGTTAATAATAGGGTAAAACAAGTGGGGGCATTAAGAGAGTACATAGGAATTATTTGTACTGCCAGTTGATTTTGCTATAAACTTTGATATAAAAAATAAAGTCTACCAATTAAAACAAAAAGGCTTATTAGAACCCCTGTCTGTTGTTAGTGGGAATAAAATATAGTACAGCTGCCATGAGAAACGTGCTTAACAAGATGTCCCATAGGAATCCTAAGCTGTACTCGAAAACAATACAATACAGACCTACAGTTTTTGAGAGCAGTATTCAACACCCTACCTGTAGCCTGGGATTGATGGTGAAGCTGCCCACCATCGGATTCATGCAGGCGACATACTGGCAGTTATGGATTTCTTTAAGCATCACCTTCTGTCTATCATACCTGAAAGACAGAAAACAGAACCTTAAATCCAAAAACTGGAGATGACAAAAGAGCAAAATCTAACAGTTCATAAAGGTCTTCATCGCAGATTACCTCCTTATCTTCATAATCACTCTGTGAGGTTGACCTAGTGAGCCTTATTTGAGAGACATCAAAACTGAAGCTCAAAAAACTGAAGTTGACTTAGCTCATTTGATGACAAAAATCAAGATCTGGAGCTGCGTCAATGTAAACTATTACTGCTTATTGATTCTCATGTTACTCTGTAGAAACTATCTTGTACCCATAGCAAGACTCCATGGATGTGCTGGGGGCTGTCCCTGTAGTTAATTGTCAGGGATTGCAGACTACAGTGCCCAAACATTTACACCCTGCCAAACAAGATCAAATTTCTCTTAAATAATTAAGTGTGAGTTAATTCTTAAAGAGGACATGATTTCCGGACAGTCTTAACATTTCTGAGACACTTTTCAATCCAATCTTCCAAAGATACAAAGGGAAACTATTACACTTAATATGATGAAAAGAGATACAAAGCAAACCCAAAAGATATTCCTTAGAAGAAACTGGGGATAATTGCACTTGAATTCATCCATAATAATTCATCCATAATAATTATTCATAATAATTATTCATCCATAGTAATTATTATCCATAATAATTATTAGATTTTGGGAGAGAGTAAACTACAGAGACTTGCTTACCAATGTCCATAATCAATATGCTGCCGGATCAGGGTGTGAGGCTGAACGGTGCCATATAAGTCCACTTCAGGCATGTTCATGTCGTCGATAAAATAAATCAATTTTTTATTTCCTCCAGGACCATAGTTATGACCAGCTTTTTTCTCTAGGGGTTTCTCAAGAATTTCTGAAATAAACATATATTTCTGTCCACCCATCAACAGAATGTAAATGTTCATTTAGTCATTTTTCTCTTGTTCTTAACTTCTTCTGTCGATTTCATCCACCCTGTGGTTTCAGGTATCGCCCCTTCATAGGTTAAGAGACCCGGGATGTGTCTCTGGCCCCTCCTTTTGTGTCGTGCTCTCCTGCCAATCTCCCTCCTGTTGCCAGAAGTCATTCCACCTCACCTTTTATGGAGACTGCAGCACGTGCAGCATGACATCACATTGTCATCACAGCTGAAACAACCCAATTGCTGATCTGCGTACTTCCTCCCCCGTACCCATTCTATGTGGCCACTGCTAGTCCAGCTATGGCCTGGTCTCTCAGTTCTCTTCTCTGTCATCTCTGCGGAAGAGTCTGAGAACAGCTCAGGAAAGTCTCCCATACCTGTCTTCTTAGGCCGCTGGAGTGCAGAGGCACAAGAACAGTGTGTGTAGACACTATCCACAAGGTAGTCACTATCCGTGAATACATAAACTTACATTTCTTCCTGTGTCTATATGACTTTGTGTCTATTTTTTTAAAGTCCTGGGTGAAGAAAATCCAGAACAGTGCGTGTCTGAGATGTAGTATCTGATTACTTGTTGACTCTCCAAACAGACTATAAGTATTTTGAGACCAAGGAACTATGTCATATTCATTGCTATACCACCGACAATGGCCACAATAAGTACTTTTTTTAAATGAGCAAACAAATAAATGAATGAATGAACAAAGAATCATAAATAAATAAACACCTTTTCCAAGAAGCAGACCCACATTTCCAAACACTTGCTGGGCATTAATTCTTACTAGCCATTACCATCCAACGTTCAGCCAACACTAAATCTGCCTCTTTTCCAACTCAGCTTAACATCATCTCTCCCTCACTCGCAATTCACCTCTTTCCTTTTGCCTTTGTGGTCCTGCTTAGGGGGTTAACATGCCCAGTCAGGCAGATGCAAAGCCTCCAGTAGTCTCTCTCTCCTGGTCCCATGTTTGTCCAACCACAGCCTATAAATGGTACTTCATGTCATTTCCATATGTTCCCAACTTGCCACCTCCTTTTCTACAATTCTGGTCCAGGGTCACATTACATATAGCTCTTATACTACTCAGGGGGACTGATCTCCCCAACTCAGATCTCTCTTCTCAAAAGACAGTGCCCACCTTGTCAGTTCCTTGCTTCCCTATCAATGGTTCACCATTTTCCATCAAATGAAATACAGTCCCCTCAGTTTGCATCTCAGCATTCTCTATAGTTGGTGTGATCAACCATCGGTGGTTGCCTGGGATTGTCCCAGTTTTAAAACTACAAGTCCCATGTTCCAGAAAACACTTTGGTCTTTTGGTGAACTGGACAGGTGGTCACCCTATCTGCAGTATAACTCCAAATCAGTAGCTTAGCCTTTTCCATATCTTGCACCCAATCACTATGCTTCAGTCATCATATTCAATTCATTGAATGTGTCCCACAATTCTCTCTCTTCCATGTCTTTGCTTAAGCTGGTCCTTCTATCCTAATCTTCTTTGCCCATTTGTTGCCCCAGCTCAAATGTTTGAAATCATAATTCTCTTTACAAGTATACTGACAACTACAGCTCTTTCTATTCCTCGCACTAATAGGCCATCTCTAAATCGTATTCATGCCTGTATTCCTTTTAGGAAATAGCAAGATGCACTCACATCATAGGTAATTTGTTCAACTACTGAACTGTAGCTTAATCTTCCATTTATAAATCATAGAGTCTTTCTTTCATATCTGCAAATGAAAAACATACCCTACACAATGCTTGGGAAAAAGTAGGTAAATAATATGTATTTTCTGAATAGATGAATGAAATAATTGGCTCTTTTTGGGGGACAGGTATCTCAATACATTGCCCGGGCTGGACTCAAACTCCTGGGCTCAAGCAATCCTCCCACCTCAGCCTCCTGAGTAGCTGGGATTACCAGCATGTACCACCACACCTGGCTTGAGTTGGCTTTCTAAGGGTTCCATTCATAAAGACAAGACCAAATGATTAACAAAAAAGATGACGGAAAAATCACTATTGGCTGTTAATGATGTCAATGAGTAAGAACATTTATTATTAGTCTCCACTGATATAGCTAAGGAAACAACATATATCCACATGTAAACAGATACCCCAGGAGCCCACATTCAAGGCAACTCAACAGTTTTAATAAACAACCGGATATCAGAGAGTCTGGTTGCCCCCCAACAGAGCCCCCTTTCCCTGCTGGAGATTGACTGGCCTTCCGACATCAGCTCTTTCGGTGATTTCCTCTCTACATCCCATGTCTCTTTTGCTCACCCTACCTAACTCTGGGAATGCCCCAAATCTGTGTGGTTCTTTTGATTACGTTGATTAGTTATTCAATAGTTCAAAACTAGTTCTAGTGATTTTAAGATTTCATTAATGACTCTTGGCTCTGTCATTTACTCAACACAGTTTTAATGAATTTCTCCTAAATTAATCTTTTACTTGAAAAAGTAACCAGAACATCCCTCCTTGAGTATACCCTTATATTGGTAAGACTCCATGCAATTAAAAGCAACCAGTGGTTTCGAGGTAACACATTAACACTATTGATGTATATTCTTGCTGTTCTAAAGCATAATCACCCAAATAAAGCCATGAGTGACATAAAAAGCCAAAATCACAACAATATTTAAACAACGTATATTTAACAAGGATGATAAGTACAAATTCATCTAAGGCCCAAGCAACAACTCTAAATTCTAGGGAAAGGCATTATTAGTCTTTTGGGCTGCATGTGCCCGCCTTGATGATTTTTGATCCCTTGTTTCTAGAAAATAAACAGGTGCACTTACTTTGCAGAGCTGTGGATGTCGTGTAGTAGTTGAAAGGCACACGGGATACTATGTAATCCTCAGAGAGACTTGCCAATGTGTCACCTACAAAGACTGTTTTTCCCACTCCTGCATTTCCTACTAGCATTAGAGGTTTTCCTTTCTCAAGCAACAACTCCATGAAATATCTAAGACGAGCTGTCTCTGTTGTGTGAACGAGAACTGTCTGGGAGGAGAAACAGAATGAGACAAAGATCAGAAAGAGAGAGAGAGTGCGTGCGAGAGAGAGGCATTCCAAAATTTTATATCAAACTCAACACAGTCACTTTATAATTGAAATCCAAATAATTCATAGTTCAGATTAGCACCCAACAGGAGAGATTCCACCTTATTTTCAATTTTGAATGGTTAGAGTTCAGACATTGTAGCTTGAGGAGAGCAATTGGATAATGCCATCAAAGTACCATAAAGTAAACAACTGATTTATCATTTCCAAATTAAGTACTAGCCCCCAAGGCTCCTAATTCCAAAATACCTACTCTCTGCCCAACATTGGGGTAAGCACAGAAGGGAATATAGTAACCATATAAGAAACTATCTACAACATTTCAGGAGATGAGAAAATGTTCAAGAAGTCAAGCCACACACAAATGAAAATCGGGACCAATGCCTTAGCCTGGTTTGTTTGTTTGTTCTGAGACGGTGTCTTGCTCTATTACCCAGGCTGGAGTGCAGTGGCATGATCATGGCTCACTGCAGCCTCGACTTCCTGAGCTTAGGTTATTCTCCCACTTCAGCCTCCTGAGTAGTTGGGACTACAGGTGTGCACCACCACGCCCGGCTAATTTTTTTTATTTCTAGTAGAGATGGGGTTTCACCTTGTTAGCCAGATGGTCTCGATCTCCTGACCTTGTGATCCACCCGCCTCGGGCTCCCAAAGTGCTGGGATTACAGGCTTGAGCCACTGCACCCGGTTGATTGTGAGTTTTTTGAATGACTATTTTTTTTGAGACAGGGTCTCACTCCTATACCCAGGCTGGAGTGCAGTGGCGTGATGATGGCTAACTGCAGCCTTGACTTCCTGAGCTCAGGTTATTCTCCCACCTCAGCCTCCCAAGTAGCTGAGACTACAGGCATGCACCACCATGCCCAGCTAATTATTTTGTATTTTTTGTAGAGATGGGATTTTGCCACGTTGCCCAGACTCGTCTCAAACTCCTGGGCTGAAGTGATCACCTGCCTCAGCCTCCCAAAGGGCTAGGATCACAGGTGTGAGCCACCATGGTTGACTCAACTGAATATTTTATACACAATTCTAGATCATCTTCATGTCTGAACATTTACTCTAGAACTTCATTTTAATTCAGTGATACTCAGGGCTTACTAAAAGACAGACTGTTCTGTGCTAAACAGTCCTAGACAACTCTTTAAAAAATATTCGAGCTGCATCTCATATTTTTTCCCTTTCTTGCTGCTAGTTGTCATCATTTGCTTTTAAATTTGTCTGCTGGCCTTTCCCACATATTAATACCAATAATTCACACTTACTTGGAAATGAGTATGTGGCAGGTACCATGCTAAGCACTTTACATGTATAATGTCATAAGACACCCATAACAAACCTATAAAGAGAGTTGTTATTTTTATTTCAGAGGTCATGAAACTAAAGCTTAAAGAACATAACTGACTCGGTCAAGGTCATAGCTACTAGTAAGTGGCAGTACTTCGATTCAAACCCAAGTCTGACAGAGCCTGACCTCTCTTTTATCTACACATAGAATGCTCTTCAGAGCACGGACTCTGGAGCCAGGCTGCCTGGGTGTGAATCCTGCTTTGCTTGTTTTAGTGTGACGAACTCTTGTTAGTTTGCTCAGGATTTCCCAGTTT
Organism: Homo sapiens; assembly: GCF_000001405.40. Lineage (NCBI taxonomy): Eukaryota > Metazoa > Chordata > Mammalia > Primates > Hominidae > Homo > Homo sapiens. The sequence continues at coordinate 21,733,978 of NC_000007.14, read as the reverse complement.
TAAAATTCAAAGTCCAATGTTCCCAAAACTCCTTTAATTCCAGTCAAACTAGAACTGTTGGTCATCCTATACTTACTACCCATATAGCTGTGGATATATTTCTTCTTTTTGTGCCTGTTTCTCCGTATATATATATAAAAAAGGCTAGCGACAGTCCCTGCCTTAGAAGGTTGATGTAAGGATTGCATTACGTACAGCACTCAGTAAAGGGCCTGACATATAATGGCATAATATTGTATTTGCTATTATTATTGACTTTCTATGGTTCTCTTCTACTATATTAAGATGCTGTTAATTAAATAATCACATTTGGTACAACTGTGTGGAAAGAAAGAGTACAAACTCCTCATAGGTTCTCTGTTGAATACAAGATATCATCGCTAAGGTGCATCAATCTTGTGATACCAGTTTTCAGGTCTTCAGCAGTCTTGGTTGATAACAGGTTCTCAGCCTTCAACCAGCTAGATCATACTTGTAGGTAGCTGAATTCTAGGCAGACTGAACAAAAAGCAAGATTTCCAAATACATAAAGTGGAGGGAGCAGGCACTTTTGGCTCTTGGGACCCCCATTTCCCTGCTTCTTTTTTTTTGAGATGGAGTCTCGCTCTTGTTGCTGAGGCTGGAGTGCAGTGGCACGATCTCAGCTCACTGCAAACTCTGCCTCCTGAGTTCAAGCAATTCTCCTGCTTCAGCCTCCCAAGTAGCTGAAATTACAGGCGCCTGCCACCATACCCAGCTAATTTTTTGTATTTTTAGTACAGAAGAGGTTTCACAATGTTGGCTAGGCTGGTCTTGAATTCCTGGCCTCAGGTGATCCACCCACCTCGGCCTCCCAAAGCGCTGCAATTACAGGCTTGAGTCACTGCACCTGGCCTTCCCTGCTTCTTCTTTGCTGGGAGAGCCCCCACTTTGTCCAAGTCCCCACCCCTCCCCCACATAGCCACGTGCTCCACGGGAAGCTCTGCCTGGCTCCTGCAGGATGTGAGGAATCATCAAAGCCCATCATGGCAGCCCCACTGCCCAGGCCTGAGACTGGGTTACAGGTGGCACATGGCCCAGTCTGCAGAATTAGATGCAGGAGGCAGTCAGCTCCAGGCTTCTGAGAAAGGTTTCCTCACTCTTAACAAAAAGATATGAGAAAGTCCCTGCCTCCTTTGAAGTTGTCTTCTGGAACCACTAGAGACATCTTGAGACCAAAGGGATGGCTGTCTTAAATTGAAGTCAATGTTAAGAAGAGCAGTATAGAAAGATGGGATGATCACAATCCTTGGTGATTCCACCAGGTCACAGAATTAATCTGCATTGTGATTATTCGACTTCTGAATTCCTTGTTTGTGAAATAATAAATTTCCTCATTGTTAGGGGTTGAATTGTCTCCTCCTCAAATTTCTATGTTGAAGTCCTCATCTGCAGTACCTCAGAATGTGATGTTATTTGGGAATAGGGGTGCTGCAGATGTAATGAGATAGGATGAAGTCATACCGGAGTAATATTACAGGCTGATAATATTGTGTCCCCCCAACATTCATGTCGTGAAGCCCTAACCCCGGTATTTCAGAATGGGACTGTATTTGGAGACACGGGCTTTAAAGAGGTGATTAAGTTAAAATGAAGCCATTGGACTGAGCCCTAACCCAATCTGATAGGTGTCCTTATAAGAAAATTTGAACCCACAGGGAGATATCAGGGATACACATGCACAGAGAAAAGCCATGTGAGGATGCAGAGAGAAAGTGGCTACGAGGAGTGAGGCCTCAGGAGAAGCCAAACTTGCTGACACCTTGAACTTGGACTGCTAGCCTCCAGAGCTGTGAAAAAAGAAACTTCTGTGGTTGAAGTTGCCCAGTCTGTGGTATTTTGTTATGGCAGCCCTAGCAAACTAATACACTTGTCCTCCTTTAACCTGGGCGAGGTATGTTCCAAGGCTCCCAGGGAATGCCTGAAACCACAGACGGTACAGAACCCCATATATACTGTTTTTTCCTATACCTATATATCTGTGATAAAGTTTAATTTATAAATTAGGTACACTAAGAGATTAACAACAGTAAAATAGAACAATTCTGTCAGCAGCACTACTCTTGCACTTTGGGGTCATTATTATGTAAAATAAGGGTTACTTGAACGCAAGCATTGCAGTACACAACAATCGACCTGGTCACCAAGACAGCCGGATGAAGATGGTTACCATCCTCGGTGGGATAAAGTGGGGCGGCATGAGATTTAATTCTGCTACTCAGATCAGTGTGCAATTTAACTTATAAATTGCTTATCTTTGGAATATTCCATTGAGTATTTTTGGACCAATGTTGACCAAACCAAAACCTCAGAAAGCAAAGCCATGGATAAGTGAGGGACTACTGTACAGGTTTGCTTTTTTGTTTGAACTTTTATTTGTAAATTTATGCAACCAGTTTCAGAAAATAGAGATTATTCTGTACGTTGCTTTTTTCAATCAACATTATACTTTTGAGATATGCTGATATTGGTGTATCTAGGTCTAGGTAATTTTTCTTACTGCTGTGTAGATTTCCATTCTACAAATATATTACAACTTAGTTTTTCAATTTTCCTTTTTTTGGTTGTTGTCAGGAACAACATGGCCATGATCATCTTTCTATGTGCAGTTGGGTTTCTCCAGGTTACAACTATAATTAAATTTTTTGGATCACAGAGCTAAAATATGCTTTATTTTTTAAAAAAGTTAATTTTTAACTGACAAAATTGTATGTATTTATTGTGTATAACCTGATGTTTTGAAATATGTATATATTGTACAATGGCTAAATCCAGCAAATTAACATACGCTTACAATTCACATAGTTTTTTTTTTTCGGAGACAGTTTCACTCTTGTTGCCCAGGATGGAGTCCAATAGCGCACTCTCGGCTCTCTGCAACCTCTGCCTCCCAGGTTCAAGCAATTCTCCTGCCTCAGCCTCCCGAGTAGCTGGGATTATAGGCGCACACCACCACACCTAGCTATTTTTTGTATTTTTAGTAGAGACCGGGTTTCGCCATGTTGGCCAGGTTGGTCTCGAACTCCTGACCTCAGGTGATCAACCTGCCTTGGCCTCCCAAAGTGCTGGGATTACAGGTGTGAGCCACTGCACCCAGCCCCATGTGCTTATTTTTTATGGGAAGAATACTTACAATTTTTTCTCTTAATGGTTTTTAAAAAATACTACACATTGTTATTAATTACAGTCACCATGTACGATAGATCTCTTGAACTTATTTCTCCTAACTGAAATTTTGTATCCCTTGACCAACATCTCCCCAGTCTCCTAACTCCAGCCCCTGGTAGCCACCATTCCACTCTCCGCTTCTATGAGTTCAACTTTTAAAATTTCACAAGTCAGTGAAATCATGCAGTATTTGTCTTTCTGTGTCTGATTTATTTTACTTAATGTCCTCCAGGTTCATCCAAGTTGTTGCAAAGGACAGGATTTCCTTCTTGTTAAAGGCTGAAAGGTACAAGTTGAATATCCCTTATCTGAAATGTTTGTGACCACAAGTATTTTGGATTTCAATTTCTGGGGGTTTTGGGACATTTGCATTATACTTACTGGTTGAGCATTCCTAATCTGAAATGCAAACTATTCCAGTGAACATTTCCTTTGAGCATCATGCCAGTCCTCCAAGTTTTTAATTTTGGAGAATTTTAGATTTCTGAATTAGAGATGCTCAACCTGTATGCCATTGTGTGTATGAACCTCATTTTCTTTGTCTGTTCATCCACTGATGGACACTTAGGTTAACTCCATATCTTGGCTATTGTGACTAGTGCTGCAGTAAACATGCGAGTGCAGATATCTCTCTGACTCACTAATTTTGTTTCCTTAGGATATATACCCAGAAGTGGGATTGCTAGATCATATGGTAGCTCAATTTTTAATTTGAGGAACCTCCATACTGTTTTCCATAATGGCTATACTAACTGATATTTTCACCAACAGTGTGCAAAGGTTCCATTTTCTCATTTTTGTTGACAACACTTGTTATCTTTCGTCTTTTTGATAACAGACTTTCTAACAGGTGTGAGGTGGTATCTCATCATGGTTAATACAGATTTTGATTCTAAGAAGTGGGCTGCTATGGTAACAGATACCTAAAAAAGTGGAAGTGACTTTGGAACAGGGTAAGACAAAAGGATAGAATAGTTTTAAGGTGCAGGCAAGAAAATGCCTAGATTGCATTGAAGAGACTGTTGGTGGAAATATGGACATTAAAGAGGCTTCTGGTGAGACCTCAGATGGTTCTGGTGAGACCTCAGTGTTACTTGACACTGGCAGAAAAGCAATTCTTGTCATAATGTGGCAAGGAACACGGCTGAATTGCATTCTAGTGTTCTGTGTAAGATAGAACCTGTGAGTGACTAACTCAAGTACTTAACTGAGGAGATTTCTAAGAAAAGTGTTGAAGATGTGGCCTAGTTTCTCCTTATTGCTAGCAAAATGAAAGAGGAGAAAGACATACTGAAGAAGTAACTGTTAAGCAGAAAGGAACTAGAACTTAAAGATTTGGGAAATTCTCAGCTTGTCCATACGCAGAACATGAGAAAGTGTATTCTGGAGAGAACACCAAAGTGTGGCCAGACAACGACTCCATAAAGAAATTAGGGGTGTAATTCTTAGACAAAATCAGCTATTTCAGAAGAAGCCAGGGATAGAGATGGGGTTATACCAGCAGAAATATTGCCAGCTTGGGGTAAAGAGGATGGAAACAGGACAAAATGAAGGATGGTAAGACTTCTTAGATTCTACAGGACAAGACAATTTAGCAACCTGGCTGCAAATAATGTATTAACCTCCAAGAAAAGGGAAAGTAACTCCAAAGGCAATTCACAGATCAGCAGAACATCTACTGCCACTGCCACCACTGGCCGGCCCGAAAGGTACAGATCAGGGAGATGAGGCTATTTCCCCCTCACTTTCAGGGGATGGGGTCACCACTTCTGTCACTGAGCCAGGATGCTACCGCCCAGTGCCCCAGGGACAGGGCTGCTGCCCCCAAGGGCAATACTGCCGCCTTAGTGTGTCCAGAGGCAGGGCCATCATCCCAGTGGGCCCCGGTACAGGGCATTGAGCCAAAGAAGATTATTTTGAAGTCTTAAGAATCTAAAGGAATTTGCTCTGCTAAGTTTTGGACTTGCTTGGGACCTGTGACCCCTTTCTTCTGATTTCTCCCTTTTGGAATAGAAAGGTCTATCCTATGCCTGTTCTACCACTGTATTTTGCAAGCAGGTAACTTCTCTGGTTTTGTAAGTTCACAGCTAGAGAGGAATTTTGCCTCAGGATGAATTGTACCTCAATTCATGAAATGAACTGATAGATGAAATGTATCATGTAGATGATATTTGGATTATATTTGGGACTTAGAGTTGATACTGGAATGGGTTAAGAATTTTGGGCTGTTGGTAGGCCGGGCGTGGCGGCTCATGCCTGTAATCCTAGCACTTTGGGAAGCCAAGGTGGGTGCATCACTTGAGGTCAGGAGTTCAAGACCAGCCTGGCCAACATGGTGAAACCCCGTCTCTACTAAAAATACAAAAATTAGCCGGGCATGGTGGTGGGTTGCCTGTAGTCCCATCTACTCGGGAGGCTGAGGCAGGAGAATTGCTTGAAGCTGGGAGGCTGAGGTTGCAGTGAGCCAAGATTGCACCACTGCACTCCAGCCTGGGCAACAGAGTAAGACTCTGTCTCAAAAAAAAAAAAAAAAAAAAAAAAAAAAAAAAAAAAAAGAATTGTGGGCTGTTGGAATGGGTGAATGTATTTTGTATGTTAACAGGACTTGAATTTTGGGGGTCAAGGCGGCACATTGTTACAGGCTGAATTATGTCTCCTCCAAAATTCATCTCTTGAAGCCTTAACCCCTCATACCTCAGAATGTGGCTGTATTTGGGAATAGGACTTATAAAAGAGATAATTAAGTTAAAATGAGGCTATTAGGCCCTTATCCAATGTGACTGGTGTCCTTAGGAGAAGAGGAAATTTAGACACACAGGGAGACAGTGAGCATGAATGTGCACAGAGAAAAGGCTATGTGAGGTCACGGCAAGCGATGCCTATCAGCAAACCGAGGAGAAAGGCTGCAGGAGAAACAAAACCCCTCAGTGTCTCCATCTTGGACTTCTAGCCTCTAGAACTTTGAGAAAAACACGTTTTTATTGTTTGTGCCACCTGGTCTTTGGTCTTTTGTTATGGCAGCTCCAGGAAATGAATGCACTGGGCTTTCTGTTATTTGGCACTAATTGCCTCCTAATAAATGCCACAGAAATCACCTATATGCCACTCATACAGCACTCCCAAAATAATAAGCTCCAAAATGAGTCAGAATGACATGATTTTGAGGAAGAAATAATATGAAAAGGAAAACACATTGAGGTAGAATACGATGATCAAAGAATACCTGAATCTAAGGGAAATGCAGAAGAGCAATCTATGAAAAGAAACAGTGAAGAAAGAGAGAAAGGTTCATTTGGATCATTAGCTGTCACATGACTGTGAAACGTGAATAGACGAGATTAAACATATTCATTTGATAGCTGGAGGGTATAAGAAGAACGTTATACGTGAAAAGTACTAACTAAGAAGTTTACAGTAAGTTCAGAAATAACAATCACTGAACAGAAATATGCCTTCAATTTTTACAAACTCACAAACTTTCTAGGAAAAATTATTATTTCTTTACATTTTATAGTTATTACAGAATTAAGTTGTTATATTTTTTAAAAAGAGGATGCAGAGGCCAGGCACGGTGGCTCACGCCTGTAATCCCAGCACTCTGGGAGGCCGAGGTGGGCGGATCACGAGGTCAGGAGATCGAGATCATCCTGGCTAACACGGTGAAACCCCGTCTCTACTAAAAATACAAAACATTAGCCGGGCGTGGTGGCGGGCACCTGTAGTTCCAGCTACTTGGGAGTCTGAGGCAGGAGAGTCACTTGAACCCCGGAGGTGGATCTTGCGGTGAGCCGAGATCGCGCCACTGCACTCCAGCCTGGGCGACAGAGCGAGACTCCATCTCAAAAAAAAAAAAAAAAGAAAAGAGGATGCAGAAATATAACAGACATCTCACTAAGCATTCTTTTTTTTTTTTTTTTTTTTTTTTTTTTTTTGAGACAGAGTCTTGCTCTGTCGCCCAGGCTGGAGTGCAGTGGCGCGATCTCGGCTCACCGCGACCTCCGCCTCCCAGGTTCAAGCGACTCTCCTGCCTCAGACTCCCGAGTAGCTGGGACTACAGGCGCCCGCCACCACACCCGGCTAATTTTTTGTATTTTTAGTAGAGATGGGGTTTCACCGTGTTAGCCAGGATGGCCTCGATCTCCTGACCTCGTGATCTGCCCACCTCGGCCTCCCAAAGTGCTGGGATTACAGGTATGAACCACCGCGCCTGGCCATCACTAGGCATTCTTATAGCTGAGATTCTTCTCTGCCAGTGATATATGTCATATGCTGAGCATATTAACACAATAACTTATTCATCAGGCAAGAAAGAAAAAAAAAAGACTTTTTTTTTAAAAAGGGATCACATCAGCACACTTCACTTGAATATCGGTGATATGGTTTGGATCTATGACCCCACCAAATCTCATGTTGAATTGTAATCCACAATGTTGCAGGTGGGGCCTGGTGTGGGGTGATTGGGTCATGGGGGCAGTTTCTCATAAATGGTTTAGCACCATCCATCTTGGTACTATTCTAATGAAAGTGAATTTGTTCTCATGAGATCTGGCCATTTAAAAGTGTGCAGCACCTCCCCCCTCACTCTCTCTTGTTTCCCCTTTGGCCAAGTGAAGTGTCCGCTTCCCCTTCCCCTGTGATTTTCTGAGGCCTTCCCAGAAGCTCAGCAGATGCCAGCATCATGCTTCCTGGGCAGCCTGTGGAATCATGAGCCAATTAAACCTCTTTTCTTTATAAATTACCCAGTTGCAGGTATTTTTTATAGCAATATGAAAACAGACTAATACAATTGCTATGTTCCACACACCTACCTGCAGAGGCACATCTGGATCCATAGTAAACTGGGCAATTTTGTCAGCCCAGGGCAATAATTTCTTAGTTTTGTGGTCCACATAATAATCAAAGATTGTTCCCTGCGACGGAAATTTCACTGCTTTCATCTCTTTCTGCCACCACCGACTGAAGTCAGCTTGATAATCAGAAATCTAAGGAGAACAAAAGAAATCCTTATTGCAGACTCAAAGTAATTAAAACTGTAAAAAAAGAAACAAATTATGAGTAACAATATCATAGGGGTAGAAACCTAAAATTGCCATATACCCATCAAGCACAAATTTTGTGAAATAATTAACTTAAAAAGCAAGGTAAAGTTAGGTGAACGCCAGATTACCTGTTCGTTATTCAATCTAATGACAACGTATTATGCAAATTCCTATGCTAGGTAGTCACTATTGTAACGGTGGTGTTCACTTCTACCAATGTTCACATCAATTTATGGGAAAATGGGAAAAATAAGAATGGCGTACTTTTTAAAAATTAATGACATTATTTGATTTAAATACTGTCCTTTGTTCTGAGCTTATAGCTTCTCTGGCCCTTTCAATGATAAAATATTTTTCCCTTATAAAATTATGGTGATAGTTATTTTCATAAATGCTCTTGCTTAGAAAAGTAAACAACTGGCAACTCTATACCATTCCTACACATCATTACTGAAACTCTGTTGATCTCTGGAATTCTAAATCTGGGAATCCCTGCCATGAGAGATGGAGGAATGGATAAACGCATGGGCTTGGTTTCCCACCAGACCAAATCTAAGGGGTCCAGCTGAAAACTGCATAGGGATCAACTTTCAGCCTCCAGAGAGATTTATATTGGCAAGGAACAGGCTCTCTTTACTGGGAGGTGCTTGCTTTAATATCAGTATAGATATAAGCCATTTACTGCTAGATTAGGGTTGGAAAATAAAGAAAAGGACAACTGTGAGCAACAACTAGAAAAACCCTTCTATATCCACAGGATGACCTGGCCCAGTGATGCCCATGTCTACAGGATGACCTGTCCCAGTGATGCCCATGTCCACAGGATGATCTGGCCCAGTGACTCCTATATCCATAGGATAATCTGGCCCAGAGACTCCTATATCCCTAGGATGATCTGGTCCAGTCACTGCCATATCCACATGATGACCTGGTCCAGTGATACCTCTATGCATCCACAGGATGACCTGGCCCAGTGACTCCTATATTCATAGGATGACCTGGCCCAGTGACTCTTATATTCATAGGATGACCTGGCCCAGTTACTCCCATATCCACAGATGACCTGGCCCAGTGTTTCCTATATTCATAGGATGACCTGGCTCAGCGACTCCTATATTCATACGATGACCTGGCTCTGTACCTCTTATATCCACAGGAGACCTGGCGCAGTGACTCCTATATCCATAGCATGACCTAAAATAGTGAGTTTGATGAACTCTTAAAAATACTGTGTGTGTCTACTGCTTTCAGCAATCTCATTTCTATCTATGACTTCAACCGTGATTTTTCCCCATAGAAGTTTTTAAACTTGCTTTTACTTTGACGTCCCTATGTCATTGGATTATGGCCTATAAACTGGGCAGAAGGAGGTGATCGGTGTTTGCAGGGAGAGCTTGCCCCACCATCTTCCAAACCAGCTGAGAGCATCCTTCTACCACCCCATGCATGAGTTATGACTTTAGGTTCATTTAAATTATTTTCAGATTGGTGGTAGAAGATACTTCTTCACCCTACAAAAGTTGGTCTTGAGCCAGGACAGTTCAGATGATATTACTTATGTGACACCATTCTCTGCAGGCAGACTACATTTAACTTTTACTTGATATCAAACTTTGCTTCACCTAACCACTACATATAGGCAAAATGATTTTGGTGACAAATCTTTCATTCATTAATTAATTCAACTAAAACGCATCTGTTCTAAAGTAGAAAAGAAAACCAACAGAGTCTCTCCTCTCACAGAGTTTATGGGGAACATAGAGGAGAGGAACATGAAGATGTGTCGTCCAGCTGAGGCTAAGCCAACAAACGCAGACATCAACAGTTGCCTTGAAAGTAAAGTTTGCTGTAAGTGAGAATAACAGAGGCAACCTATTTTAATTGGATGTTCAGGGAAGGCATCTTTAAGTGCCGTTTAAGGAAGAGTCCAGCATGTACAAAGTTCCTGTGGTATGAAAGAACTTGGTGTGCTCAAGAAACTGGACCCTGTAGCTGGGGGTGGAGGGGTGGGGGAGTGGGGGAGTGGGGGAAGTGGCAGAGGAAGAAATAGGGAGAGCTAAGCAGGGCTAGATTCAGAGGCCTTGTAAATAGAATTAAAATTTGAAATGTAATCTTAAAGGCAACAAGGAGCCATTCAAGTGTTTTCAACTCTGGAGTATATCATAGGATTTCACGTGCATTTCAAAAAATCACCCTGACTGCTGAGTGGATGATGAATTATCAGAATAAATGCAGAAATAGAAAGCCCAGTGAGGAGGCTACTTCAGAAGCCAAGTGAGAAATGACGGCAGTTTATGGGAGTTCAGATAAAGTTGATTTGAAACTTGTTTTGGAGGTTGGCTGCAATGGCTGAAGAACATAGGTCCTGAGTCAGTCCGCTGCTGTTTGAACCTGGCTTAGACATGGGTTAGCTTTGTGCCTGGAAGCAGATTAAAATACCTTTCTAAGCTTCAGTTCCTTATTTGTAAAAGAAGAGTTGTACCAATCCATATAGAGTTTTATAGTTTTTGAAGAGTAAATGAGGTGCCCTATGAAAAGCTCTAAGCACATTCCCTGACACATATTAGACACTCAATTTGTTAAGCTACCAAGTGGCTATCCTGAGAACATTTATTGTGTCTGTTTCATGCATATTGCCAACCTCATAGCCTCTGTTTTAAATGCTCTGTAGTTAGAGCCCTTTTGAAAATGTTAAGCTGCTATTGCTGCTCATGTTGACTATTAATTAGCGAAGGGAAGGTGCCAGTGATATCCAGCTTCTAGCTTATATAACTAGGGGGTAAGGCTGATACATTTGGAAACTGGAAAGATTAAAAGAGGGTCAGCTGGGAGGGAGGTGAGGGGTTATGAGCAGGAGGGGGAAGATGTCCGCTATCAACATCCCACCTGATTTTACAGTCCCAGAAAGGGAGAAAAGGGTAAATATTGAAAGAAATACCTGGTGGAGAAGGAGGGTTGCCTTCTGTCTGCATGTGGCCTCCATTAACAAGAAACCCACACATGTTGTAAACCGTGCCTCTGAGAAAGCCACATGAAGTCCCTGACACGAACACTTGACTCTCACACAGTATTGGCTGCTAATCTTTAGAAAGCACTTGGAAATTACAGAAGGAATCTGGCTTCTGAGAATGGCTGAAATAAGATCTAGGAGGCCAAGTGAATTCCAACTATATTATTATAATAATAGGCATGAGTTATGGTAACCTAGTGGCGAGAAGTGGAACTGGCCAACAGATTATATCAACCATTTATTTTCTGATCTACAGTGAACAAACCAACAGAAATATAGGTCACTCTTGGCTGCGATGCCTTTCAATGTAAATGCCCCATTTACACCTGGAAAGAGCAAGGAAGCCTGGAAAATGTGTGCTATCTATTTTTAATGTAAAAATTCAGGGGTACCCATAGAAGCACTATGAACCATGAGAGGCCCTGAGGTACCATGGAAGGTGTGGCTTTTGGAGAAAGACACACTTGGGTGGGAATCCTGATGTTGCCATTTCCCATCAGCGTGACTTTGGGCAAGTTACTTTGCCCCTCTGAGCTTTACTTTATTTGTGCAATGAGGATACCTTGAAGAACCATTGTAAAGATCACATGAGAAAAATTACACATAGAGGTGCATGGTGGCAATTAGATCTGCAAATTTCTAAAGTTGAATAATTCCCACTTTGCACTTTGGTAAGTCTAAGCAGTTCGTGGGATCTGTGTGCTGGTGCAAATGTTTGTCTCAAGTGTTTTCCCACAGGAAATCAGAAGACACAAAAGGGCTATGCAAGCAATCTGTACAGGCATGAATATTTCACTTTCAGCTAAAAAAAAGATCAGTGAAAAAGGAATTGACCCAGGGTTGACTATGGTTCACAAATGACTATCCTGGGAATAGTGTGTGAGACTGGTTAGAAGTAAGAGGGACTGGAGAGAGGGAGACCAATTTGAAGATTATCAAATGCTACAAACCGAATTGTGATCCCCCCTCCCACATCCCACCCCCAAATCCATATTTTGAAGCCCTACCCCACAGTGTGATGATATTTGGTGGTGGGGCCTTGGGACATAATTAGATTTAGATGATGTCATGAATACAGGGTCCTCATGATGGGATTAGTGTCCTCATTAAAAGAGAAACCAGTATGTCTTTCTCTCTCTGTCACATGGGGACACAGCGGGAAAGTGGCGGTCTGAAAGGTGGGAAGAGAGTCCTTGCTGGAACTCAACCATGCTGACACCATAATCTTGGACTTTTGGTCCCCAGAACTGTGAGAAATAAATTTCTATTGCTTAAGTCACCCAATTTGTGGTATTTTGTTATGGCGATCTGAGCTACTAAGACGCTATGATAACCAGAGCAATCTAAAGATGCTTTGCTCCTGAATTTAGGCTGCAGGGATGGAGAAGAGGGAATAGGGTTGGCAGCTATTTCACAGGTGAAACTGAAAGGGTCTGAGATCACAGGACACAGAAATCAGGAAGAGTGATGTCTTCCACGTTTTTAACTGGAGCTACCGGGAAGAATGTACCACTGAGCAAAAGAAAAGAAGGAAGAGCAGGGGCAAGTTGGAGTATGGGGCAGAGGAGGAGATCTGTCTCAGGCACACTGAGTGGGGCTTCTTGTAGAACAGCATGCTGAAGGCGAGGCCCCAGAGCAGCCAGAAACACAGAACTTTCAGTTCAGAAGACACAGCCAGGCTGGAGGGTATGGATTTGGCATTGTCAGCTGGGGTTAGAACCATCAGGGATGGGACTACCCAGAGAATGCATAGACTTAGGAGAGAACAGGGCAAGCAGTATAGATCTATAACATAACAAAAAGGTACAGATCACATGTTTTAACCTCCCCATGACCCTGTCCCACACAAAACTGGAAACTGGTCCTGTAAACTATTTCTAAACATACCTGATCTTGTAGCAGGGTGCCTCCAAAAGCCCAGATACAAGCAAATACAAAATAGACTTCATAAACTTCTTTTGGGCTGTCAGAAGGTACATTTTCAGGAGTCAGCAAGCACTCCAAAAGAACACATAGAGTCTAAAGAAAAAGAAATAGTCAAATAAGGCAACATTTTTTTAAAATAGTGAAGTTCAAAGAATATTTTTACAACTCCACTTTATCCTTAAGAGAGTACATAGTTTTTCCCAGCTGTGATTTGCTACATTGGGAGAGACAAAAATTACCACCTTGGGTGTCTAAGTTAACAGTAGAAAACTTGTCACTTTCAACCAAAATGATCTAGGTAATAAACTATTTTTTAAAAACAAAATTTTAAACAATCCAGTTAATAATCAGTATACAAACCAAAATCACACATAAGCAAAAAAAAAAAAGGGTACATATTCACTTTTTTATAAATAGGAAATCATTTTCTAAATAGTATTCTATAATCCACTTCCTTGATTAAAAACTGAAGACATCTTTCCTTATCAATAAGTGTTACTCTACACCACCACTGGAATGGATGCAGAGGATTCCATTGGATGAAGAGGCATTTATTTTACTATTTCCTTCTTGTTGGACATTCAGATAAACCACTTTCGGTAAGCGCTTTGGCAGCCAGTTTCCCACCCGTTGTCATAAATTTAGAATGTTGGACTGGCAGCTTAAGCCTGTGGCAGTTTTTTGGACACCGAACTAAATTTAACCTTGAAAGAAATGCTGTTCAGGAACTCAGGAACGTGTTCTTCATACTCTCCAGGTGAAATGGCAACGTGCTGGGCGGTCCTCATGTACCTAGCCCATGCTTAGGGCAGTTGCGCCAGCAATGAGGGGAATGCGGCTGCTGCAGAGGCCTTCACCATGTGAAATAATAACCAGTAATGAACAGGTTCTGGGGCTAGCTCTCTAAAGCACAGAAAGTCGTCATTAATTAGCACTGTTACAGATCCTAAAAACTCAAGAGACTCTTCCCCCAGTTTTTGCAGGCAACGATAGATTTTCATCTCTATTATACACACAGCAACGCAAGCGATCACAGATCAGGTCAGCACTGTGTGTGTGCCTTTCCTTCCTTGCCACAGAAGATGGGGAAATACTTTTCATTTAAATTATTGAGCACCTATTATATTCTTTAATCTTCTTTCTTGGCTTCTATTATTTCATGTTGTGCCACATTTGCCAATTTGAAATAATCTTTTAATAGAAAAAAACTCACCAATTTGCTATTAAGAAAAACAGTGTAAAACTCTGAGGCTTTGTTATTTTTTAGTAGAAGCCATGTTGTTCTAAGGCACTGTTGAAATCAAAACAAAAAAGACTGAAGGGTCTCAACGTGACGCTATCTGCTGAGATGAACACACGAATACGGCCATGTGTTTCTTCTATTTTCTCCCACAGTACTTGAAATATATTTTGAGTTCTGTGTCAGCATTTAACGTACTTTAATGAGTAATCTGAAAGAGTTAATAAACCTTACCAAACTTAAAGAGGCGTCATATATCGGAAAACAGAGTGCATTAATTTCTCAAGATAGCCATTTCAGGTCACTATCTTCTTATACCCATTTTTGTCTCAAATTTCCATACTTATTAGTAACCACAGAAGAGAAATTACTCTATAAAACAACAGCTTAAAAGGAGCTAAAAATTAAATGCCCTTTCTGAATACAACAAAAGAAAGAAGTAGAGCAGAAATCATATTAATTCCTACTGACCTATTTTCACACTACTCTTGAATGGAAAAGTTCACACCACAGAGAATCACACAAATACACAAGTGAACTTGAGAAAGAACACGATAATGCTTTTTTGCAAGTATTACACCAGAGGGAGTCTAATTAGGCTAACTACATAATTAATTCATAATGAACAAATTCAGACCTGCTTTCGGAAATAAATTATACCTCAGATAATTACTGTTGAAGACTATCGTTTATTTAATTGGTGTGCGAATTATCCAAAAACCTGAACTTTCTCTTCTTATTATGCTTGTGACTATTTCTAATTTTGCGTCAAACAAATTTGGTAACACACTCACTTAATGGTAACAAAGTACTTAGAAAGCAATTTTGCTCTTATAGCAAAAAAAGGGTGTGGGGGTTTCTAATTGTAAACCTTTTCATGAAGTCTTCTACTTCTAAGGGCTGGGGATAGTTTTTCTTCATGCTGAGATGAAGATCACAGCCTTCATTTCTGTGTGTTGTGAATTATTTTCATTGGCTTCCATGACAACATATTATGTGTAACCCTCACTCTTACCAGCTGTCTCAAGATGAAGATGAGAAAAAATATATCCCTGGGATATTATGAACTCTTCATCCAGACTGACACTCCTCCATGAATATTTTTGGGAGGGGGAGGCCTGTGAGTGGTGGCACCTAGGTGGTAGAATTCAGAGGCTTTCTCTTACTCACTGGCTGGCATCTTTAATTGCACAAATTTGTTTTATTAGAAAACATACTGAGCACCTTCTCTGGGCAAGTTACTTAGGAACCAGAAAAATAAATAAAGCTATTGCAACTTTGTTCTTCTAATTCTGTGCAAAGACACTGGAAAGGAACACAGTGATTCAACAAACACATATCTGGCACCTACTATGTGCTAAGAGCTATCTGGGGATACTAAAAAAAAATCAGTAAAACATGGTTCTAACCTTCTTTCACAAGATTGTGAAAAGAAGGAGAGCACAAACTTAAACACTAACAGAATGTGATAGAGGTTTGCAAAAAGATCCAGGGAACATGGGGGACGGGGGCGGGGGCAAGAGGGTTGCAGCAATCTAACAATTCCAGAAATCTTCTCACTTTCTTGGGCAAGGCAAGATCTTCTGTTGTCTTGATCAACAAACACTACCGCATCAGAACTAGAACGTTAAATGGCGTAACCGAAGACAAACCTGCACCAGGCTACTCTCAGGAATTGAAGTGATGGTTTTAAAGCTTGTTCTCAGTTTATCCAAGCATGCAGGGACATATTTATCAAAAAGAATAGTCAAATTGGCCTTTTCTGATTGATGCCGCCTTCTGTCTATCCAACTGGCCACATACCTGAAAAGGAACACAGAAAAGCTTTTATTGAACACTAGGCTTGAAAAGCAGAATTTCACCAAGTCAAAAGCTTCCTCCTTTGACACAGCTTGGTGCAACACTTCAAGGACACGTTTAGTGAGTTCGTTCTATTTTTCAAACTGCAAATATTTTAAAATGGCCCTTTAAAAACTTGTTTTAATGGCCATTTTACCTTAATGAAAAGACTGTAAAAGAAACTCCTAATAGCACTCAGAAGCCAAACATAATGGAATATAAGTAGACCATTACCGAGCATTTATGAGGAAGTGCACTATGTCATTTCCTGAAGGGCTGAAACTATTCCCATAGTGTAGGCCTTATTTATGAAAACAGCTTGTGATTTTTCTTGATTAATCTTGGCATCAATTATTTAGTAATAAGAAATCAGTTACGAATAAAAAGATGAAAATTCCGTAGGGGCTATTTCAAAGTGTCTCCTTTTTCAATGGACTGAATGTAACTCCAATCTGATAGCTGCTAACGAGTTTCCAATAGGTGGCTCTGATATGGCGTTTCATGCTTGGGTGCTGGGGTGTGTGTGTGTGTGTGTGTAATCTGAAACATAAAATGTTATCAATTTGATACATTAAATATCCTTAATGTATTAGTAAAATAATACTTATCAGTAAAACAAAGCATGACTTAGTAGCACCTATAGTAGTCTACAGGGCAAAAATGTATGATGTTAAACTAAAAATAATCCCTCAGAAAGTTCTCACTAAGGATGAAGCATGGGGAATAAATACATTTAGCAGCCAGCAGAGAAGGAGTATGACCACAGGTCAATTTCAGCTACACCTTGCATTTTGAGCATCAGGAGACATTAAGGCAAGATGATTATCTGACAAACGGCTCCTTTCACTTTTCTCAAGGCTTCACAATAGAGTTTATTAAATAGCCGGTTATGTTACACTCTGATGAAATTTATAAAATGTCAACTGTCAAAACTTTTTCAGGTCCAAGAGAAATGGTTTTCAGCAGAAGTCCAATTGCATAAGAGTAGCCTGATAGAATGTCCCTGTGTGGTAGCGACAGTGGGAACCGCGGAACAATGGAAAGCAGGTGTCAGTGCCTGGGGACAAAGGAATGAAGGCCACCATCTCAACTACTGATTTTACCCCATATCAGCTGCCAGAGTGGAAAGTGGAATCTTTGTATCTAGATCTTATCAAGAAGAGGTGAAAGAGGATTGCTCAGGGAAAGGAAAGTCTAAAGTGAAACTGCCTGGATATGCTACTTGGTTCCACCATTTTTTAAATGTGTTACCTTGGGCAAGTTACTTAACCTCTCTGTGCCTCAATTTTCTCCTCTGTAAATGGAGAGGGTAATAATATGAACCTCCTGGGGTGGTTGTGAGGATTATGTAAGTTTGCATGTATAAAGTGCTTACATTAGCATCTGACAAATAAATTCTCAATAAACGTTACTCATTAGTACAGAGTTGGTGGCATTCGGAAACTCAGGTTTAGATCGCGGCTCCGTCTCCCTCTGTTTCTCCTAAAGGCAGTAGCGTCCTATTGGGCACAAGAGTTGGCATCCTGGATTCTGGTGGATATAACAAAACCCACACCCCACTTTCCAACAAAGTTTCTTCCAGGTTTCTGTGGGAGCAGAAAGCCATTGCAAGCATTACTAGGAGCAGTAACTTCAAAAAAATAGCCCAGAAGGAAGAAGTGGGCTTTGCACTTAGGGTGCAGGTAATAGCGGTTTCATGGAGTCACATCAGCAGCAACTAAAGTCTCAGAGAAAATCTACCGATCCCACTAGCAAATGATGCTTTTGCACAAATTACTTCCACAAGTGAGAGGTGCTCCAGAAAAAAGTCAGTCCAACCAAACCAGGAGATGTGGTAAGAGCCGATTCTGCTTGAGAGAAAAAAAGTGGGGGTGGGAGGGGGAAATCAGATAAATTACCTCTACTAGGGATCAATCACACCACATAGCATAGGATAGAGAGTAAAAATGGCTATGTTGCTGGAGAGTTTAAAAATTTATGTAGAAATTATTGCTAAACTTACATAGTTTAGGAATAGACATTAAAAGACAGTAAATTTAGAAGGAGAAACTGTTACCTTCAGCAAACACTGAAGCCACAGAGCTGCATTTGTGTGCAATTCTTACAACACTGCTTCATATAAAAAGTTCCCTATGATTTTTAAAAGATGTGATAGATGTGGAACATGACTACTATTATATTACATACAATTGAAAATGGCATACTAAAATGGCATATTCTTTCCTTGCCCACAGAAAAGACCACCCACATTGGTGCCCCACCTCAGGAAATGGCTACATTGTAATGCCCCAATGTATCATCTTAATGGCAATATGCAGGTCATTAACAGAGAATTGTGGCTTTCCAGAATTTGCAAATGAGTCCTCCTATCAGCAGCTCAGTTGTTTCTCCTTCCTGCAGAACTGTTCCAGGTTTATCAAGTGAAGTCTATAACCGCGTGGTTTCTAAACTTTCTAGAGTAGCCAAAGTTCTCAGACCTCTGAAAACTTTTTATTTATTACTCAGGCCTCTGGGGTTGGATCCTGTTGTATAGGATAGAAGGAATTGAACAGACTCTAAGTCTACCCTTAGAGCAAGCTTCAAGTTCTCTGTCATTCACCGTGGCCTGGAAAAATGGCAGACGTTAGCAGTACATGCTGACTAGCAGTGTATACCAATTATTTCTGAAGTTGCATGTTTGTAAGCATATACAGTATCCCAAGATGAGACAGTGGGATTGCAGGGACAGAAGACAATAAGGTCATTTGATACAGGTGAAAGTACTAGTGACACAAAGCCAGAAGAATATTTTAAGCTCAAGTAATAGAAGAAAGAGTATGATCTAAAGTTGTGGCTTCCAAGAGTCATCTAGAAGTATCTAGTCTTTTGTAATCAGACTTAGGGATGACGTGTCTTAATGTCTCCAACTTACTTTCATATATTTCAGCAAAAATTAATAAAAGTAGAAAATGTGCCTCTATGCCAGAGAAAGAGAGAGAGAGAAAGTAAATGAGGTAAAATGGTTAGTGATTGCAGGAAAAGCGTCTCTGGCTGCGCATTGTACTACCTTTCCAACTTTTCTATAGTTTTGAACTTTATTTCAAAGTTTTGACTCTGAAGAAAACACTGGTGAAAACTGAGACTTACGAGATTCGCTTGGAAAATTGGGTTAATAATTATGTCTATCTCAGAAGGTAACTGAGTATTAAATGAATTAATACGTATAAAGCTATCATTTTGTTAATATAATGACATTAAAGTAAGATGTTAAAGTCTCCAATAACTATGGAGAGGAAAAAATACCCTTTATTCTAAAATAGCCATTTCGTGACTTATTGAAAGTTTATTGCAATGGGAGGTGAAAATACAAAAACGCCTTCTAGAGAAGATTTCCATTATTTTGGAAAATGACCTGGATGAATTATTTGGTCACACATATGAAAATTAACATCTACCCATTAATTCTGGATAAAACAAACAAACAAAAAACCCAAAAGTAAAATCTAATGGTGAAGACAGAGTTGTTTAACTCTCTTAGGAATATAAATTGGGTGTCTCTTTAGCCAACCCGTGACCTTTGATGTACTGCATAGAAGTCCTTCTTTAGGGATTTGGACCAAGCTTTTGTTAGCACAAATCTCCACAGGATAGGACTGAGACTGAATTACATATGCCTTGGGAGCTGTGAGATTCACTGCTGAAATCAGAGCACACCCAGGAGGGGTAAGAGGTCTCATGAAGGAAATGAATGCTGCCACGCACTGTGGTGCCTGGGTTCTCTGTACAGAGGGAGTCAGGGCTGCTGGAGAGACTCCCTCATGTAGCTCCCAACCAATAGAAGCATCCCAGGAGACAGAATCCTAGGTGTGGAAAGGAGTTATTATCCCAAGAAAAACACTCCATTTAAGACTTTTGAAAATCACTCCTTCCCCAAAACATATCCAATAAAGGCTCTGTCAACGCAAAAGCCTGTGCATGGCTCTACTACACTGTAGAGGTAAGGAATGAGACTTTTAGCGAGCATGTCAGTACACACAGGAAAGGCAGCCTGGAGAAGTACATCAGTTAGACATCTGGCAGGAAACCAATGTCATCCCTAAATCAGGATAACAAGGGAAGGATCAATAAAAGGACTAGTCACAGAAGTGTGGGCAAGAAGTAGAGGAAATGGAAGGGACAGTACCATGCCAAAAGGGTAATCACAAGGAATGGGTATTGTATCTATGCCTGGAGGGACAAGAGAACGAAGGACTGCCAGAACCTGGAAGGAAAGAACCTTAATGGAGAGATATAAGAAGAGCTGTGACCTGCAGTCACAGAGGGACAGAGCCATCCTGACATGACCCTGTTGGGAAGGAGAATAAACAGCCTGACCTCACTGTCCTCTCTCCCTCTCACTTCCTGCCAGGATTCTTCATTGGCCAAACCAACCAGAAGCCGGAAGGCAAGGAGCCCACTAATGTGGTCCATACAGACCACAGAAGAGGGTGAGAAGGATGGAGTGTGTGTCCAGAGAGGTAAACAGAAGATTTCTGATGTAAGAAGCATGCCAGGCACAAGCATGGGTTCACTGGCAGAGCTCAGTGACTCCTACAGTTCGAAGTGCAAACGCTGGAGGTGACAAGTTACAACCAGGATGAACTGTAGAAAATGTAAGCATTTGAGGAGTAAGCAACTGGGCACCATAAAGTTGCTCTAAATCAAAGCATTACAACTGTTCATGTATGGATAGTATACATACATGCAAACATACATAACCTAAGTGATTTCTTTTTATGTAAGTGTTCCATATAAGCTTTCATTGTTTATTCACTTACTCAACAAATATTTACTGAGTTCTTAACATCTTCAAGGTATGTGAACCAGGTAATGTCCAAGTAAAAATGACAAAGGCATTCCAGTGCTAAGTTAATTAACTTTTAATTAGCCTAATTAGTTAGCCTTAAATGTAACTGCTAATACCTTCAAGTGAGCATATAGATATTTAGAATTTTATACCAACATTTTAACAAGATCCAGGCACAATTTTAAAAAGCACCGATTAAAAACTGGGCAAAGAACTTAAAGAACTTACATGAACATTTTTCCAAAGAAGACATACAAACTGCCAATAAGCACATGAAAAGATGTTCAACATCACTGATCATCAGGGAAATGCAAATTAAAATGAGGTATCACCTCATGCCCATTAGCATGGCTACTGTTAGAAAAAGGGAAAATAACAAGTGCCGGCACAGGTGTAGAGAGATTAGAAGCCTTGTACACTGTTGGTGGGAATATAAATGGGTAGCAGCTGTGGAAAACAATGTGTCAGTTTCTCAAAAAATTAAAATTAGAATTAACATATGATCTAGAAATTCTTCTGAGTTCTACCCGAAAGAATGGAAAGCAGGGTCTTGAAGAGATATTTGTATACCCATGTTTACAGCAGCATTGTTCACAATAGCCAAAAGGTAGAAGAAACCCAAGTGTTCATTTATAGATGAATGGGTAAACGAAATGTGGTATGTACACATAATGGAGTATTATTCAGCCTTAAAAAAGGAAATACTACAATATGCTGCTACGTGGATAAACTCTGAAGACATTATGCTAAGTGAAATAAACCTGTCACTAAAAGACAAACACTGTATGATTCCATTTATATGCGGTACCTAGAGTAGTCTAATTCATAGAGATAGAAAGTAGAATGAAGGTTGCCAAGAGCTGGGAGGAGGGGAGAATGAGGTGTTATTGTTTAATGGATAAAGAGTGTCACTTTGGGAAGATAAAATCCTTCCAGAGATGGATGGTGGTGACAGCTGTGCAACAACATGAATGTGCTTAAGCAAAAATTATGAAAATGGTAAATGTTATGTTACATACAATTTACTACAATAAAACAAAAAGAAATACTCACGGATTCCAGCCCAGATCTTGTGGGTTCACATACAGAATACCAGCTCTGGAAACAGTGGCCGGGGTTGCGCTCCTTAAGTGATGTATCTCAAACAGAAGCCTCATGAAGGGAGTGAGTGCAATGCGCTCATTGCTGGCGAGGGTCAGCACCTGGAGTGAGCAGCACACTGTCACCCATGGGCAAAAGCAATGCCGCAAACATCCAGAAGCAACAAGTACTTTCCCCTACCAGAAGTATCACAGGCTGTGTGCTCACTCTCCTGAATCAGAAGTGCAGTCTGAATAAAGATCTAAGCTCACCCCTGAGATGACCTGACTGACCCTTGAACAAACTCACCTAAATGGACTTGTGAATGTCGACCTTTACATAATTGTAGTAATTTTTATTGCTAAGCCAAATATAAGACATGTATTGTAAAAATTAATCACATGAAAGGACCTGAATACCATAAACTTTTCTTTAGAATCTGAAATACCACAATTATCAATTGTCCAAAGAAACTTACACAAGTATAAAGATCCCAAACCTGTATTTTATGATGAACAGTGTCTCAGTTGAGTAAGCAGTAATTACTGTTAATTTAAGGTGGTTACTAAATCTTCTCTGGAGTAATGATGATTACTGATTTCTCTCTGCTGACCCCAACAACAGACCCTGTGTTGCTTGACTGATATCTCACAGACCTGTACCGTCACCTTTTGTTTTTGCTGGGAATGCTGAATTAACTGTGGCAAAAAAGCTTGGGAAAACATTTTAACTCAATCCATAGCCAAAGGAACTAGTTAATTTCAATCATCATATGGCACAAACCCGTTCTTTCATTGTCTAAGTATTTATACTTAATCAAAGATGACAAGATACAATAATTTACGGCTACCTCTTAGAAAGTGGTAAGATCTGTAAACTAAATTCTTAGATCTGTATCTAACTCTCAGTAAAGGTGGCTGAATTCAAAGAAACAAAGAGAACATATTCCTTGAAATTCTTTAATGGTGAAATTAAGAAAATTATCAGGAAAGCAACACTTATCAAAATAATAATTACATAAAGAATCCCAGGTTAATGAGCAAAAACTAGTATTAACATCGACAAGTGAATCGAACTCTTAATACACTCAGGATGTTATATTTAAGGTTGAGAACAGAGGTTTTATTCACCTTGTTATCATCCATTACAGTATTCAGTGATTCAATCCACATGGGGTCAATATCGCCATCCAGGACTATCCATTTTGGTCCATCATGCTTAAGATTTGCTTGTTCTCGTAGAATGGATGAGAAGAGACCTATAAAATAAGAGTAAACAATCCTAATATATAATGTAGTTGAGTGCTGTTTATTTCTACGATAGATTGATATTATTCATCTTGGAAGCTCTTTTATTAACTAAATAAAAACGATTTTGCTGCCTCTTTCTTGCGGGCAGTGTGTAACACCTTTTCAGCCACACATGGGTTCCAGATTCACC
The DNA here is from genome assembly GCF_000001405.40 of Homo sapiens. NCBI lineage: Eukaryota > Metazoa > Chordata > Mammalia > Primates > Hominidae > Homo > Homo sapiens. The sequence goes on along the minus strand of NC_000007.14, from coordinate 21,710,393 downwards.
TCTATTATTTACCAACGTGTAAGTTTCACCTCACTGAGAAGGACCCTTAACTTCCACGACTGAGCTTCCCATATGCCAAACAGAGATAACAAAAACCTTCCTTCATGAACAGTTGTGGGGATTTATAGAAGGTAACGTACCTAAAACTCAAAACTTACACCAACTGAAGACATGATCCTTCTTCATACACATATGTTCAGTATCCATTTTAGATCAAATATTTGTTTATTTCACCTGTCTCCATTTTTCTACAACAATTTTCAAGGGCATAATTCTGAAGCTAAAGCATTCAGAAGCACCATACATCTCTTACAGAAATGTGTTCACTGGGATACTAACTCATCATTCCTTAACAAGATGTATAGGCAAAAACATTTTAAATCTACAGTCCCTTTTGCCATTACTACATATCTAAGCACTGTGTATTTGATGTGACATATTTAACAGTTGCAAATTTTTCAAGCTCTAGTAAATCTAATAGCATTGTGAGCAAAACTGTTTTGATGCATATATCTAGAATGTTTCTTCTGTGAAGTATTTTGTGCCAAAAGTGACAGTATCTAATGGAACTTGCCACCACAATTCATATAGCAGCCAGCAAACTTTTCTAATAGTCACTGATTTGAACAGTTTCCACAGTTTTTCAGCCTAAACAGATACGATTCTCTCCCTGCCATAGTTCTTTACAAAAAGACAGAAGCTAGGCTGAGACAGTAAAAACTGTCCCACAGAAAAAGGAGTGTACACAAGACGAGAGGATAGAGAATGATGAAGGGTGTCCTGCTTTATTATTACTATTTTTAAAATTTCAACTTTTATTTTAGGTTCAGATGATACACATGCAGGTTTGTTGCATGGGTATACTGTGTGACATTGAGGTTTGGGATACAAATGGTGCCATCGTCCAGGTAGTAAGCATAGTAACCAACAGGTAGTTTTTCATCCCCTGCTGCTCTCCTTCCCTCCCACCTCTAATAGGCCTCAGTGTCAATGGCTCCCATCTTTATGTCCACATGTACCCAATGTTTAGCTCCCACTTGTGAATAAGAATATGCAGTATTTGGTTTTCTGTTTCAGCATTAATTCACTTAGGATAATGGTCTCCAGCTACATCCATGTTGCTGAAAAAAACATGATGTTGTCCTTTTTTATGGCTACATAGTATTCCATGGTGTATATGTACCATGTTTTCTTTAATCCACCATTAATGGGCACTTAGGTTGATTCCACGTCTTTGCTATTGTGAATAGTGCTGCAGTGAACATATGAGTGAATGTGTCTTTTTGGTAGAACAATTTGTTTTCCTTTAGGTATATACCCAGTAATGGGATTGCTGGGTCAAACGGTAGTTCCGTTTTAAATTTTTTGAGAAATCTCCAAACTAATTTCCATAGTGACTAAACTTATTTCCCACCAAGTCTATAAGCGGTCCCTTTTCTCCACAGCCTCACCATCATCATTTGACTTTTTCATAATAGTCTTTCTGACTGGTATGAGATTCTATCTCATTGTGATTTTGATTTGTATTTCTACTTTAGATCTGCCATCAGGGAAGTCTTCTCTGATATGACATTTCACCAGATGCTGAAATAAGATAAGGGAGCAAGTCATGCGGGCATCCAGAAGAGTGTTGCCGACGGCAGGAACATGAGGTGCTGAGGCCCCGTGATGGGAGCAAGTTCAAGGAATAGCAAAGAGGCCAGAATGAATGGCTTATAGTAAGTGGTGGGAAATGAAGTCAGGGATGGTGGGATTTGGGGACGGGGGCAGGGATCCAATCCCATAGAGCGTTATAAGCCATGGAAAAGGTTGGATTATAAAGGTGATTGGAACCCACTAGAAATCAAAAGCAAAGAAGTAACATTTGAAGCCCCTCTGTCTGCTTTAGGTCAAATGAACTGCAGGGAAACCAGCAGGAGGAGATTACACGCTGCTGTAGTACAGGCGAGACATGATGGCAGCTTCAACTAACGTGGCATCTATGGAGAAGGCGAGAAGAACTGGAATTCACATACATTTTAAAGGCAAAGCCTATAGGATTCGCTGTGAGGTTGGATGTAGGGTATAAGAGGGAGAGAGGCCTCAAGGATGATGCCAAGGTTAGCGCATTTACTGTAACAGGAAATCTTAACAGATTGTCACAAAGGGATCTGCTTGCTTACAAATACTCTCAGGGCAGGCAACATGCCCTACTGACTTTTGTCCCTGGCACCTGGAATAATGTCTGCCTGAACTTCAGTGCCTCATATCAGGTACTTTATAGATGTTTCCTGAGGCATTCATGTTGACTTCACTCCTGATTTACAGGGAGCCCTGACATAATTGACGTGGGATAAAATACAACAGCTCTGAGTACAAATCTGCTGAATGCAAATCAAGTATTTATTCAAATCTAGTCTTAATTTATACATTATAAATGCTGTTGTGATCTGCTATATTTCCAATAATGCCAACACATAAACAGTAAGTCTGCGACTATGACTAAAATTGGCTTGTACTGAAAAACGGCTTTCTGGATAGAAAAAAAAAATTGAGCACTTCTAAAGGGGAAATACTACTTGCCATCTTTCCATTCTCGGGTAGCATGATGTATGAAACCAAAGAGTTCATCTGTTGTCACAGCTTTAGGGTTTAAGTCATTCCAAACCGGCTTCTGTTTCATGTTAACATATGTTCGGTTCAGTGTTCTCAAAATCTGAGGGGAAGGAGGAAAGAGCCAAAAAAATTAATACTAACATAAGCCAAATGGAAAGTAAAAGATTTCTGAAGAGTTTTCCGTATTCATTATATGTTCCTAGATGCTGTGTGTGTGCTAAGATCGAGAAGGGGAAAAATGCACATGTGTGCATTCCCATTACCATCTTGAAAAGCTTCATCTTACAAATACTCAGCAAGACAGAATCAGTTCACTTGACTCTTTGAACCATTTAGACTAAAGGGAGTCACTTTCTCACTTGAGATTTTTAATCATGTGTACAAAGTGGAGGACCATACATAAATAAGCATTTATGTTGATTACAAAATCTACCCTGCCTGAATCAGCAAGATTGGTTTTTCTCAAAATGTAGCCTACAACAGAACTGTTTGGAGGGTATTAAAATACAGATTGCTGAGCCCAATCCCAGAGCTTCTATTTCAGTAGGTCTGAGGTGGGGCCAGTAATGTACAGTTCCAACAAGGGCCCAGCTAATGCCAATGATGCTGGTCTGGCCATGCTTTGAGACCTAGAGACTTAGGGCAGTGGTTCTCAAGAAAAGACTGTCTTGACTTGGGGGAAGAAGGGGGAAGGAGCTTCTGGACATCCAGTGGATAGAGACCAGGGAGGTTGCTAAATATCTTTCAATGAGCAGGATAGCCTCCTACAGCAGAGTTATCCAGTCCAGAATGTCAACAGTGCTGAGGTTGACAAACCCTGATCCTGGTAATTGAGGAAAAGCCTTGATAATGAGAACTCACAGAACAGGTGCTCAGTGTATGTCTATTCAATTAATTAATACTTTAACTCAAATATCTGCCCTAACTCTCCCTTTTGCTCCTTTGAAAAGCTGTGGCTTTTGTCTTAGATATTTATCATGCTGACCTACTCACAAGGGTTGTGAAAAACTGATAAACAATTGGCAAACACTTTGAAATGATAAGATGCTAAAGAACGTCACCCTGAGCTGCAGTGTTCCGGGTATCTCGGGTTACGTACCTGTTGAGTAGAACAGAACTGGTGAAGACTAGAAGAAAGTAAATGCCTTAGGAATATTAAGCTTATATTTTTAGAAACCATTAATCCACTGGAAAGTATAGAATTTAACTTTATCCTTCCTTGAACTGTGGCCTACATCTGTAACTTACTCTAACAAAATAATTACAGGTCTATCAGTTATCTACTTTAATATTTCATTTATTATATTTTTCACTAGAAAAATGTCTATACAGAGATTTTTTTTCTTACAGTTGTTCCACTTTGGGTTCTGATCTAAATACTGGCAAGTTCCATATACTGCCATCCTCTAAAATCTCATATGCTCAATCTGATTATTTTTAGCTGCTGGCTACCAAGTATGTTTATACCCAAGCATCCTGAATTAAAATGCATGCAGTTCTGCATATACCGTCTGCCAACCGAGAAAATAAGTATGTTTCCAGGACTGTCAGTAAGACCAAACAAAATCAAGCAGTGAACTAAAAATGGGGATAATAATACCCATAGTATATCATTGTTGTGCCGAGTAAATCATACATAATGCACCTAGCACAGCACATAATAGGTACATCAAAAATGTGGGTTTTGCCACTTCCTTTTATTTTTAGGTTTTGTTTGGCCATATAGAGGGTTATATTTCTGAGGGAGTACTGAAGGAAAATATTTCGGTTTGTTTTTCTGAATGATATGGGGAGGAGAATCAAGGATGACTTGGAAAAGAAAATAGGTTTGATAAATGTGGCTAGAGCCAATCCAATCTTCCAGCCAGATATCTTATTCCACAGTCTCTTAATATGTTTATCTTTGATAAAAGAATCCAAGCATAAATGTATTGAAAGGTGCATAAGGTAGGATGGTGTATATCGAAATGCCTGCATCTGATACTGAACATCTCACGTGGAAAGTTCAATCTTCATGTTGGCTTGCTTTTCCTATGTGAATGCAATCCTCTATTTGTTTCTTGTTCTCCCCCCGCTGACCCAATATAAAGGAAAAGAATGTCAATTGATCAAGCAGCAAGATTCCAGTCTCAGATTCTGACCCAAAATTATGGTGGGCTTCATGGAGGGGAATTCTTTTGAGTAGCATTGAAAATAGGCCGAACCACAATGACAACAAATGTTCTTTCCATAGCTGTAAGCTATTAGGCAATTTACTATACCTTACTCTTTCCTGTGCCTGCATTTCCAACTACAAAGACCGAGTGCCGCACAGCCAACAGTTCCTCAAGCTGGACAACCTGCAGAGCAAACAGCTGGTTGCTGGTTTCCTTTAAGGAGTTGGTGACAAAAAGATAATCTACCATTTTTGCCCAATTCTTCTTTCCTTACACCCAAGCCAGCCCCCACTGACAACAGTATGTTCAGAGAAAGTTAAAATAGACCATAAGTGAAAAGTATAGTTTTTCCTGGATCTCCCATGTAGACCACAGGGCTGAGACTAAAGCCAACCCACGATTTTACGCAGTACTCAGTATATGGCAGGGGTTACTTACAAAAATCATTAACTCTTCATGAGTTTTGAACAAACACTGTACATAGCCAATCACTATCTACAACTAATGATTTATATCCTATAAAATATCTAAAATGGATAATGTATATAGTGTTCAATATCCATGCATTCACTGAATTCAAATTGAAAAATATGCACGAGGCTTTGATATGTCAGATAATATCTACTTAAGTTATTCTCATACATGTTGTCATTCTTCCCTCATTAAAAGCAGGCACTAATGATTTTACTTCCAATGTTCTCTAAAAAGGAGGAAAGAACAAAGTAAATTTTTAGTGCATGTCTCGAAGAACCAACAAGTTTTGTAACCTAATTAAAAGCATGCTTACATTTAAAGCCATGAAAATCATATCTATGTTTTCACCTTACGGAGAGGGGCTACTTAAATGTTTACTTATGTTTACTTAATCCTGCCATATGAAAATGCTTGAAAGCATATATTAAGATCCTATTAAGGTTAGGGTACAAGTTAACATCTTGCTTTAGTATCAATTAGCCACAATTATTTCCACTGACAATCCCAACAGCTGCCATGAAAAGCAAATGCTCCTTTTACTTTGAGGATGAAGCTCTCTTCAGGCTGCAGGCGGAGCTCCAGGGTAGACTGCCTGACCATCTGTTCAAAGTGCAGCTTCCTCCTCCGGGGCACATCCAGGGCTGGAAACAGGTCACCGACCAGGCCCAGAAACACTGGGATGTCGTCAGTCACTATTTTGGGCATATTGAAATCCCTTAATGCTCTCATGAGTACCTAGAAAAAAAAACATTTTATAAAAAAGCCAATACAAGGTCTAACAAACACCTAAAAAACTAAAGATGTTTGTTATTTTTACTCCTCATATGTGAAGCATGAGATATTGGTACTGTTCTCCATTAAGATGGCATTCTATCAATAGGGAGGTTAAATGTTTAAAATTGATGTATCAGAACATGAGAAGGCTGAACTGATACAATGAACAATCCTTAGAATAAGAACAGCAAAGAGGCCTTTTCCTTCCCTGCCAATGATCTGTTTTGATCTTCAGAAACAATCTAAGGGCCTTCTCTCTTGAATCCTCAAACTCCAGAATTTAAATTAATCAAGCCCATCAGATCATTTTATCCAAAGTACTCTGAGAATCTTAGAATGATAATCTCAAACATTTTTAGTTTTGTTGTTGTTGTTCTATCTTGGCTGTAAGCTAAAGATTTTAAAAGCAGTAACTCAAACGTCAGGATAACTTCTACAGCAGGAGTTAAGCATTCCAACAAAAATTTTAAAAAGCAAGAGAAAAAATAAATGAAAGAAAATCTTGACCTAGTACTAAATTACGAGGAAATTAAGAGGAAAAGAGAGAAATATTGGCAAAGAAAAGTACAAAAATACGTAATAAATATCCCACAATTTAAAAAATCACACAGAGTAAAGTTTTGGGTTTTTTGTTGTTGTTGTTGTTATTTCCCAAGTCATATTGCACATACACATGGTGATATGTATTGATATGGTTTGGATTTGTGTCCCCACCCAAATCTCATGTCAAATTAGAGGAGGGCTTAGTGGGAGGTGATTGGATCATCAAGTGGGTGGATTTCCTCCTTGCTGTTCTCACGAGATCCGATGGTTTAAAAGTGTGTGGCACTTTCCCCTTCATTCTCTCTCTCTCCTGCCACCATGTGAAGAAGGTCCGTGCTTGCCCCTTGCCTTCCTCCATGATTGTCAGTTTCCTGAGTTCTCCCAGTCATGCTTCCTGTTAAGCCTGTAGAACTGTGAGTCAGTTAAACCTCTTTATAAATTTCCCAGTCTCAGGTAGTTCTTTGTAACAGTGTGAAAATGGACTGATAACACATATCCATTGCTCTCGCTACTTAAGGGAAAAATTCATGAAGTGTTGTTATCGTTTCTCCCCAGGAAGGAGAGCAGAACATTTCTCTAGTAGCTCTGACCAACCAATCACGCATTTCATTGGTGTCAGGCACCCACCCTTCCTGTTTCATTCTGCATGTCCATCTTAGGTCCCATGAAATGGATGCTCTTTCTCCCATTATGTCTTCGCTGACTTTCCAGGATTAATATCCCAATTCAATCAGATTTCTTAAATGTTCCTCAGAGGAAATCAAACAGTGATTACTGAATTATTTGATTATGACTGTCAAAATACTTTTTGTGGCTATTTCAAAACTACTTGTAAAATCACATTTTCTTTTCCAGATTCATATCTTTGTACTCAAGACCACTTGTGACCTCTTATAAGGAACGCCAATCCTCAAATTTCCTGCATTAACAACAGATGTTATGCTTTTTAAAAGTTGTGCTGTCCATGCCCCACCATCCAGGCATATACTTTCATGTCTGTGAAGCAGGCCAGCTACTCACTCAACAAAATCATATTAGCATTGCAGTACCTGATCTTCGGGTCTATTTTTATCTCCTCGTTTCAGAGATCCAGCCACAACCAAGACAGACTTAATAGCACGAAGTCCCCAGTCGTAATGATCCTAAAATCAAAACAGGTTTATTTTCTCAAAAATTGTATGAGGGAAGAAGATTCTCATTCCAGAGGTAAGAGCTGAAAGTTTTTAAGAAGGAGTTCAGATAAATACACACTTTAATGATTCAAAATACTATTTTCTTCTGCTCTTTGAAACTGTGAAAATCATGTCCCTGTAGTGTCGTCCTGTTTCTTTCACCTTTTTTTTTTTGCCTCTGTCAGCAAGTCTCTTCTTTCCATAGCGCTTAACTGCAGTATTTGCCTAAGGCTCCATCCACCTCCCTTGCTGTACTCTCTCAACAGACCTGCTAACTCAGTAGCTCAGCAAATTCCCCGTTTTCACCTCCAACCAGAAGCACATTTCTCCACCTGTGCTGGTTTCATCAAGGGCCCTGGTATTCTACTTCTCCCCAGACTTGGATCCCTAATGGCCCCAATTACTCCACCTCTTAATCAGATACTTCTGCCTAGATGCCAGCACATAATATAATAAAAACCATGTCATTAAAATTCAATTATCTGTTTTTGAGACTACAACGTTATCCCTAATGAAGACTCCTCCCACAGGGTCTGAGCTCTTAGAGGATCTCAGAATATTACTTCTGAGATTGGATACAATTGCAACTCCATGCTCCCTGGGACCAATTACATTTTTTCTTCTGGCTTTTTCTCATGATAAACTTATTTCCCATATATTCACTGTCTTCTTGGGGCTAGCACATTGCACGGTGCTCAGTAAAGGTATTCCTAACGAACTAACTGCTTACACGGGACTGGCCCTCTTTCACCGTCCAGCTACAACCCACACAGTAACAACCCATCTCTCAAATGTCTCTCAGCTGTGTCTATGGGAAAGACACTTTACCTCCCAGAGCCTCAGAATCATCATCTATAAAAAGGGAGATAAAAGCACCCACCTACTTTATAAGTGGTTGTAGGAGTAAAGTGAATTAATATGAGTACAAATTTTTTGTGGGCGGTAAAACAATATTACATTACAAATATCCCATTTACTCCACTAGTGGATAATAAAATCAATTTAGTAGGTCTCGACCATCATTTTTGTCTGTAATAAAAGGGAACGAAATGAAAAACACTGCAGTGTGATGCAAATGAGAGCAAAAAGTGGCTGAGTGTGGTGGCTCATGCCTGTCATCTCAGCACTTTGGAAGGCTGAGGCGGGCAGATTGCTTCAGCCCAGGAGTTCCAGACCAGCCTGGGCAACAGGGGGAAACCCCACTCCTGCAAAAAATACAAAAATTAGCTGGGCGTGATGGTGCACGCCTAGAGTCTCATTTACTTAGGAGGCTGAGATGGAAAGATCGCTTGAGCCAGGAAGGTCGAGGCTGTGGTGAGCTATGATCACATTACTGTACTCCAGCCTGGGTAACAAAGCGAGGCACTGTCTCAAAAAAAAAAAAAAAAAAGTAAAAAGTGTTTGGTGAAATTTTTGGTTCAGTTGTACATGTGTGTATGCACTGAGTCACAATAGAAGAATTATTTTTTACTGTGGGCCATGGAAAAGATCATTTGAAAGCCACTGATGGAGTAGGCTGAGGCTTGAAGAGGAAAGGGAGGGGAAAGAACCAGAGGTTTTGTTGTTGTTGTTGTTGTTGTTTAAGTTTCGGGACACATGTGCAGAATGTGCACATTTGTTACATAGGTATACACGTACCATGGTGGTTTGCTGTACCCATCAACCTGTTATCTACATTAGGTATTTCTTCTAATGCTATCCCTCCCCTAGCCCTCCACCCCCAACAGGCTCCAGTGTGTGATGTTCCCCTCCTTGTGCCCATATGTTCTCACTGTTCAACTCCTACTTATGAGTGAGAATATGTGGTGTTTGGTTTCTTATTCCTGTATTAGTTTGCTGAGAATTATGGTTTCCATCCTCGTCCATGTCTCTGCAAAGGACATGAACTCATCCTTTTTCATGGCTGCATAGTATTCCATGGTGTATATGTACCATATTTTCTTGATCCAGTCTATCATTGATGGCCATTTGGGTTGGTTCCAAGTCTTTGCTACTGTAAATAGTGCTGCAGTAAACATATGTGTGCATGTGTCTTTATAGTAGAATGATTTATAATTCTTTGGGTATATACCTAGAAAGGGGATTGCTGGGTCAAATGGTGTTTCTGAGAATAAGAACTTTGAGGGCAACAATGGGAGGTGGCTAAGTTATTGCAGTAACAATAAAAGGAGTGGATGCAGAAGAAATTTTGGACCACAGATTTCAGAGGACTTGGTGCCTCTGCTAAACATTTAAACAATGCAAATAGCTAAAAGTATCTTCACCATTTTCATTATATCATTCCAATGGTCAAAAATGTCTGCTGATTCTTTTCCCAAACCCATTTCTGTAGCACAGGAAGTTATCCTTGAATTGTGTTCCTAACCCAGCTCTTCTGTCCTGGCCAGATTTCTTTTTGCTCATTTGTGACATTTCTGAGTTAGCAAACTCTTTCCTTCTTTGTTCTACCTGTACTCCCAACACCTTCCTCTTGTAATTGGCTACAGGTGTGTCCTAGACAGAATTAGAACTGAAGTCAAATCTTGCCCTTATCCCTTGTTAGCTATATGGACTTGGGACAGGTTGTTTTGCTCAGTTTTCTCATATGTAAAACAGGGCTAATAAAATCAAATTTGTAAACTTCTTTTGACAGTTTTGTAACATAACACATAGTACTCATTCAATAAATATTGGTTCCTTTCTTCCTTGAAAACTCTGATAATCTTTTCATTCTCCATTGTCTCCCAATTTTTATGTCATGTAAACTGAATTACCTAAATTCTTCAAAGTCAGAAATCTGGGTGTTTGTTTCATTTGTTTTGAATCTTACACATTCAACATGGTCAGCAAAAAGCACATTATTAGTTATACTAGATGCTCATTAAATGTTTAAATATTACTACTGAAAATAGATATAGTTGAAACTCCACATTCCCTGGGCTCTATTACATTTTTTTCTTCTGACTTGTTACCATGATAAAATTAAAATAGGCTCATTAAAAAAAGATTTTAAGAATAAGGAAAAAAATAAAAACACCCATAATCTTACTATCCAGAGACAACTGTTAAAAATTATGATTCCACCCACCCAATGTAAATTCACAGTTACTAAAAGGACAACATAAATCACTCTCATATTCCATATTTTGCCCTAACAATGAGCAAGTTAAAATAAATACGTGGCAGTAAGGTAACTGTGTGGTTGCAACTGTGGTATTCTGATGCTTTCATTTTGACTACAGAATAATGTCACCAGTAATTAATGAAATGTTATCAAAAGACCAAAAGTCAAAAATGATCATATGGCTGAATTTTAAAATATTGATGCTGATATATATGTAATTTCTGTGGCTTATCAGCAACTTCAATAGATCTTCAAGAAGCTTATGATTGGAGAGTAGAGAGTATGTAAATCTGACCCATTTTAGAGACAAGGAAATTGTAGAGCACAAATTTAAAAGAACAAAAAACCAGTCAACCCTACCTTTAAATAAAGAATTACCAATAAATGAGAATAATTTTAACATTCCTTGAGATACTCTTCAGAAAATTAGCCTTATCTTACTCTTTTGAACACTCCTGCCCTATCTTATTAGAAAATAATATTTTCACGAAGAAAGGGAGGCAACATAAAATTCCATTTATGATTACAAAATTGACAAAGAAAATCACACAGCTCGTTGATTTAAAAAAGTATTAATACAAATAAAATATCAGAACTAAAATATCTCAAAATTTCAGAAAAAAATAAAAATTATAAAATAAGTTTTTCGAATTTTATAGAAAATATAAAAATATTTCTAATGTCAAATGAAATGGTAGTTTTAGTTTTTAAAGGAATCTCCATTTGATCTAGCAATCCCACTACTGGGTATCTGCCCAGAGGAAAAGTAGTCATTATATGAAAAAGACACTTGAACATGCCTATTTATAGAAGCACAATTTGCAATTGCAAAAATATGGACTAGCCTAAATGTCCATCAGCCAATGAGTGGATAAAGAAACTGTGGTATATATACACCATGGAATATTACTCAGTCATAAAAAGGCATGAAATAATGGCATTTGCAGCAACCTGGATGGAGGTGGAGACCATTATTCTAGTAAAGTAACTCAGGAATGGAAAGCCAAATATCGTATGTTCTCACTTATAAGTGGGAGCTAAGCTATGAGGATGCAAAGGCATAAGAATGATATAATGGCCTACAGGGACTTGGGAGAAAAGGTGGGAGGTGGGTGAGGGATAAAAGACTACACACTGGGTACTGTGTACACTCCTCAGGTGCACCAAGATCTCAAAAATTACCACTAAAGAACTTATCCATGTAACCAAAAAACACCTGTTCCCCCAAACTATTGAATTTTTTTAAGTACAAAAAAATTTTAATGTCTAATGTAATTTGAATGATAAATTACCTAAAATCCATACTTCAAAAGCTTTTTCAATGGTATGTAAAAACAAGAAAACGTAACAAATGATCCCTCACCTGCTTGGAGAGAAGCTCCTTGCAAAGCGTGTACAACGTAATGAACTTTCGGGCTAATGCACGCGCATCCACAAAACCTTCAGCAACTAACAAGATTTCACAGATTAGCTCAATGTCAGGGGCCACCATGGCACAGGGTCTAAAAAGTAAATAAGAATTTTAGTTTTAAAATGTGACAAGGTGATAAGTACAAATTGCTGAAATCAAGTGGTTATTTCGTACCAACATTTTAACCATTCCTAAGCAGATCATAATTATGTCTGTCAATCACAGCTAATAAGACCCTTCACTTCAACTAAAAAAATGTCCACTCATTACTGGACACAAAAAATGATAGAAAGTCTGGAATGGCAGAAGCACAGGTGTAGGAGTTCAAAGAAAATCCATGAATACATTCTGTAAACGTCTGGTGTAAGTTGTCACTGCAGAAAGAGGAATAATGATGTTTTGAGCAAGGGGCGAGGCTTTACCTGTGGTTAATGGTGTGCTGGTTAATGTTTTCACAACCGGCTGTCTAGAAAATAGCACTTGCTTATTTCCATGGAATAAATTCTTCCACCATGGCTGATTCCAAGATACCAACACAATATCACTAAATGTGGAGCTGAGAAGTATACCACCATACAGACACAATAGACAGAAATAACCTCAAGAGCATAAATACCAGTAAAATAAATAATTATAAAGTGACCAGTTTGGGGTGTTTATCACCTTTGTTTTTAATCCAACTTATTGAATCAAAAGTTGATACAATTTAGTTTTCATTAAACTAAAGAACCAACTCAGAACATTCATGAAAACTTAACCATCAGCTACTGAGAGCTTGTGCCAGCCACTGCCAGCACACCACTGCCTAGGACCAACTGGGATAGACTTTTAAAGGGGACATTTAGAAAAACATAGCTTCAAATCCCCTTTCTTTTGGAGAGGGACTTCCAAAAAGTCCCTCTCCAAAGACAATTGCTATTCACAGCAACGTTTGAAAAAATTCCACTCAACTGAAGTCAAGTGCAAAGAAGGAAGAGTAAATAAATAAGCTCATTATTTTAGACTTCTTAAAGTATACATTCCAATAATACCTACCTGTTTTTGTAAATATAATTGCAGTCTACTTCATGCATACCTGATTTTCATCCTAAACATCTAACCTTAAAGTATCTTTGGATCTAGGTTATTCTATATCTCTTCTATCTAAACTAACCCCATATTTTTTCACACAGTTATTACTCTTCACATGACACCAGAAGATGAAGAGTAAATGGAGAGAGCAAAGACTAGCATATCTATGTATTTTATATCTACATTAATATAGACAACTAATTTTTACTGAGCACTTCATACCATATTGGGTGCTAAAATCTTTTTATGCACTCTCTCACTTAATCCCCACAACACTATGAGGTACCCACTCCTCTTATCTTCATTTTACAGAGAGGCAGACTGATGTTCCCAGAAGTTCAAGCACATGCTGTAGGCCTCATGGTTGGTGAGTGGTGGAATCAGAATACTCCAAAGGCACAAGCATATGGCCTCCACACATGAGTAATGCTTTCGTCACCCATTAAACAAAAGTTATTAAAAAAATTCACAAGACAATTTCAAATTTCAAGACCCAAATGAAAGAAAGTATGAGATAAATTGGGTCACAAATAGGATACTGGAAATGCACACAGTTTTCAAACAAAGCTATTCTGTAGTTATTACATTGATTTCTAGAATGGTTATTCTCTATCTAGAATTTTTCAAGAAAGTTAGACATTATAAAATTATTATGCTAGAGAAAGCTGTTATGAGGAAAGAAAAACATTCAATACAAGATGTTAGCACAATTGATTAACTATTAGGGAAAATAATTGTTTAAACACTCATTTCATATTACCAACTAAAATAAGTTCTCATCAGATTAAATTTAATAAGAACAGTAATACTATAAAAATTAGAAGAAAATACAAATGAAATATGGTTAAATACCCAGATGGATGGACAAGCAAACTTTAAGTTGGAAAGAACGGAAAGAGATCACACTAAAAACTGTAGACATTCTTAGATTATATGTGAAGTGGAATATTATTTTAAAAGCATACTGAATAGTATTGAGCACACATATTGAGCACCCTAAATAAAACCCCAAAATAAAACTGATAATCCTCTAGCTTATCATCAAGGAAATAGGAAGAGAGAGAAGATACAAGTTACCCATGTATCAGGTATGGAATTCAAGACATCACTACAGATAATAAGGGAATATTGGCCACATGAATGTCTTCTTTTGAGAAGTGTCTGTTCATATCCTTTGCCCACTTTTTGATGGGTTTTTTTTTCCTTCTAAATTTAAGTTCCTTGTAGATTCTGGATATTAGACCTTTGTCAGATGGATAGATTGCAAAAATTTTCTCCCATTCTGTAGGTTGCTTGTTCACTCTGATGACAGTTTCTTTTGCTGTGTAGACACATTTTAGTTTAATTAGATCCCATTTGTCAATTTTGGCTTTTGTTGCAATTGCTTTGGTGTTTTAGTCATGAAGTCTTTGTCCATGCCTATGTCCTGAGTGGTATTGCCTAGGTTTTCTTCTAGGGCTTTTATGGTTTTAGGTTTTATGTTTAAGTCTTTAAGCCATCTTGAGTTAATTTTTGTGTAAGGTGTAAGGAAGGAGTCCAGCTTTTTTTCTGCATATGGCTAGCCAGTTTTACCAGCACCATTTATTAAATACGGAATCCTTTCTCCACTGCTTGTTTTTGTCAGGTTTGTCAAAGATCAGATGGTTGTAGATGTGTGGCATTATTTCTGAGGCCTCCGTTCTGTTCCATTGGTCTATACATCTGTTGTGGTACCAGTACCATGCTGTTTTGGATACTGCAGCCTTGTAGCATAGTTTGAGGTCAGGTAGTGTGATGCCTCCAGCTTTATTCTTTTTGCTTAGAATTGTCTTGGCTATATGGGCTCTTTATTGGGTCCATGTGAAATTTAAAGTAGTATTTTCTACTTCTGTGAAGAAAGTCAATGGTAGCTTGATGGGAATAGCATTGAATCTTTGAATTACTTTGAACAGTATGGCCATTTTCATGATACTGATTTTTCCCATCCATGAGCATGGAATGCTTTTCTATTTGTTTGTGTCCTCTCTTATTTCCTTGAGCAGTGGTTTGTAGTTCTCCTTGAAGAGGTCCTTCACATCCCTTATAAGTTGTATTCCTAGGTATTTTATTCTCTTTGTAGCAATTGTGAATGGGAGTTCAAACTTATGAAAAAAAGTTCATCATCACTGGTCATTAGAGAAATGGAAATCAAAACCACAATGAGATGTCATCTCATGCCAGTTAAAATGGCACTCATTAAAAAGTCTGGAAACAACAGATGCTGGCGAGAACGTGGAGAAATAGGAATGCTTTTACACTGTTGGTGGGAGTGTAAAGTGGTTCAACCATTGTGGAAGACAGTGTGGCAATTCCTCAAGGATCTAGAACCAGAAATACCATTTGACCCAGCAATCCCATTACTGGGCATATATCCAAGGGATTATAAATCATTCTACTATAAAGACGTATACACATGTATGTTTAATGCAGCACTATTTACAATAGCAAAGACTTGGAACCAACCCAAATGTTCATCAATGATAGACTGGAAAAAGAAAATGTGGCACATACACACCATGGAATACTACGCAGCCATAAAAAGGAATGAGTTCATGTCCTTTACAGGGACATGGATGAAGCTGGAAACCATCATTCTCAGCAAACTAACACAAGAACAGATAACTAAACACCACATGTTCTCACTCATAAGTGGCAGTTGAGCAATGAGAACACATGGACGCAGGGAGGGGAACATCACACACCAGGGCCTGTCAGGTGGTGGGGGGCAAGAGGAGGGAGATCATTAGGACAAATACCTAATGCATGCAGGGCTTAAAACCTAGATGATGGGTTGATGGGTGCAGCAAACGACCATTGCACATGTATACCTATGTAACAAACCTGCACATTCTGCACATGTATCCCAGAACTTAAAGTATAATAAAAATAAAACTTAAAAAATAATAATAAGGGAATATTATGAATGATATGGTTTGGCTCTGTGTCCCAACCCAAATCTCATGTTGAATTGTAGTTCAATGTTGGGGGAGGGACCTGGTGGAAGGTGACTGGATCATGGGAGCAGATTTTCCCCATTCTTCATGAATGGTGGTTTTCATGATGGTGAGTGAGTTCTCATGAGATACGATGGGTTGAAAGTGCGTGGCACTTCCCCACCTCGCGCGTGTTCTCTCTCCTGGTCCACCTTGTAAGACATGCTTGCTTCCCCTTAGCCTTCTGCCATCAGTGTAAGTTTCCTGAGGCCTCCTAGCCATGCTTCCTGTACAGCCTCTGGAACTTTGAGTCAATTAAACCTCTTTTCTTCATAAATTACCCATTCACAGGTAGTTACTTATAGCAGTGTGAGAATGGACTAATACAATGAACCAGTGTGTGCCAATGGATTCAACTAGATAACACCAATAAGTTCCTTAAAAGATTTAAATTACCAAAATCAAATCAATAAAAAAATTAAAAATCAGAAAATCCCTGTATCTATTAAAGGAATTAAATTCATTATTAAAAAGATTCCAATAAAAATCTCTAGGTCCAAATGGCCTAACTGATTAATTCAATCAAATACTTCAGGAGTAAATAATAGCAATTCTACACAAACTCTTAAGCAGATAGAGAAGACACTTGTCAACTTACTTCATGATGTCAGCACTACTCTGATGCCAAAGCCAGACAAAAATTTTACAAGGACAGTGTAGAACAATAACCCTCATGGCATAGATTTTTAAAAATTCCTTAACAAAAGAGTGTCATATTGAATCCAGCAGTACCTATTAATAAAATACCTCCTGACCAAGCGGAGCTTATCCCTGGAATGCAACACCGAAGGACTGTTTAGCATTTGAAAATCAATCAATATAGTTCAGCACATTAACAGAATAAAGGAGAAAACCCATACGAAAACTATAGAACAACAAAGCTTATAAAAGAAAACATAGTTAAAAATTTTTGCAAGCTTGGGCTAAGCAAATTTTCTTGAATAGGATATTAAAAACAAAAACAAATTGATAAATTATATTTCATCACATTTAAAACTTCTATCTTTGATGGACAAAAGAAAATGAAAAGGCAAGCCACAAATTGAGAGAAAAAATATTTGCAATGTATGTATCTAACAAAGGAACTGTATGCAGAATACGGCTTTTCACAAAAGATGGTATAGCAATAGACAATAAGTATGTAAAAGAGGCTCAACATCATTAGCCATCATGGAGATGCAAACTAAACCTAGGAGGACACAGTACTACCTATCTATTAGATTGGCTAAAAATAAAAAAGGCTGACAGTATCAATTTTTGACAAGAATGTGAGCAACTAGAATTCTCATGCATTGATGGTGAGGATGTAAACTTGTAAAATCACTTTGGAAACCAGACTGGCAGATTCTTATAAGCAAAGCACACAATTGCCATGTAGACTAGCAATTCCAGCCATAGATATCTGTCCCAAAGAAATAAAAATATATGTTCATGTAAACATCGCACGTGAATGTTCATAGCCGCTTTATTCATAATAGCCCCAACCTGGAAACAGCCCAAGTGTCCATCAACTAGTGAATGGATCAACAAATTGCAGTAGGTCTATATAATAGAATACTAATCAGTGAGAAAGAGGGGCAAACTACTGATACGCTCAACAACTTGGATAAATCTCAAAACCACAATGCTCAAAGAAGCCAGACACAAAAACGTACATATTGTCTGGTTTCATTTACATGAACTCTAGGAATGACAAATTTAATCTATAATCACAGAAAGTACATTATTGGTATGGGAGGCTCACTTCAAAGAGGCAGAAGAGAATTTCTGGGGGTGTGGAAATATTCTGTACTTTGATTGTGGTTATGCTTTCACCAACTGTACACTTGATTGTATTAAATTATACCTGAATGTTTTTACTATCACCTGGTATGATGATAAACCTTACAATTTTATCTCTAAACCTGATCTCTCTTTCTCTAATAAAACATAAACCATATTTCAATTCTGCAAAATTACAATACAGAGTTTTCTGGAAAACTGAACCAAAAAAATGATACCTGAATGAAGTTGACTTAAATTATAAGTGAATCGTAACGGATACTAGGTATAGCAACACATGTTCTCTTACAGACTCCTGCTAAGTGCATACATTGGCAGAGTACTTTTGAAAAGCAGGTCATCAATAGGGATTTTAATCATTCACTTAAGTAATTCTACATTTAGAAATCTATTCTGAAATAAGAGTAATTTTTCATGTGAATAGAAGTTTACAGCCTGCTACTTCATTATAATAAAAAAAAGGAAAAGACAAACCCTACATAACAGACAACAGTGAATGGTTAAGAAATTTATGAACAAGGCATGAGAGGGACTATTTTAGAGCTACATAAAATGATATTTCTAAAGGTTGTTTAATAATATGATAAAATATGTCAAAATATTAAATGAAGAGAACTAAAGAAAAATCATGCCTACTGTAATATCTTAATCCCACAAAATATAAATTATAAAAGGAGGCTAGAAAACATAACAATCATTATTTCTGGATGGTGATGTAACTTTTTCTTTATTCTTTTCTATATTTTCCAAACAGCTCATAATTTATGAAAGATTCTGGACCAGGGCCCTCAGGGAGGGGACCCTGCGGCTAGAGTGGGCTAGGCCCTGGCTTTGCCCGTCAGATTTGAACGAATGTGTGTCCCTTGAGCCCAAGGAGAGCGGCAGGAGGGGTGGGACCAGGCTGGGAGGACAGAGCCAGCAGCTGCCATGCCCTCCTGCTCCCCCCACCCCAGCCCTAGCCCTTTAGCCTTTCACCCTGTGCTCTGGAAAGGCTACCAAATACTGGCCAAGGTCAGGAGGAGCAAAAATGAGCCAGCACCAGCGCCTTGGCTTTGTGTTAGCATTTCCTCCTGAAGTGTTCTGTTGGCAATAAAATGCACTTTGACTGTTAAAAAAAAAAAAAGAAAAAAAAAATTATGAAAGATTATGTTTATAATAAAAATATGCATTACAAAATAGCTAACAGTAAATATGCAAATATACCACGTAACTTTTAAATACTGATTTTGAGTCCTGGTTTTATAATTCAAAAGGGTTAATTTATCATGGTGAAAGTTCTGTCTATAAAAGGAGCCCAAGGAAATCATATAGGATTTTCCTTAGGAATTTTCAAGTAAAAGCAAACCACTTAACAGTGCAAACCAACAACATTAGGTGGCATGAGTGCACCAGATGCTAAGCCACAAAGCATAACACTTGCCTGAAAAGAGCTTTGAGATTTTCCGGTAATTCGGTTCGACCAGCATAACCCGGGTTCATAGTAATAAATATTCCAACTGATGGCTTCAGTGTGATAGCTTCCCCAAGAAATACAAATCTACCATAAAAAGAATGTTGATGAAATTAAATGTGTTCATTGAATATGAATGCACATTGACAAATGCAAACCACTGCAAAATGCAAATTATTAGGAAGCTGTTTATTCTGTGTAATTTTCTTTAAAATTCATAAGCCCATACATATTTTGAATATGTTTTGAAGCATATTTATTAAAAATACCCTCCCTTTTCCTGGAGGAATTATAAAAATGGGAAGTATTCTTTTTTATTTTAGCATAGCCTTAGTATCCTAGAATATAAAAATAAAGACTTGACTATTTTAACATTTAATGGAAGGAGGTGATGGCATTTTTACCTTCAACATGGGCTGCAATTCCTTGAATGGGATGCTGCATAGACAGAGAATGCCCATACTAAGAGGAGAAAGGGACGTCCTGCTCAGTCTTAAGTTTTGTCTATTTCTTCAACTTCTCTTCCTCTTTCCCTCCATACCTTTCATTGACTCAAGAAAAATCTATTAAATATCACTGAGAGGTACAATAGCTCTGGAGCCAGACTGTGAGTATTCAGATACCAGGCATATCCCTTTTAGGCAAGTTAATTATCCTATGTTCCAATTCCCTCATCTAGTAAAAATAATAATCATATTACCAACCTTATTGGATTCTGCAAGGATTTAAAAGGGATTATAAATATAAATGGGTAAAAGTATAATGCCTAGAACATGGAAAATACTCAAGAGATGTTAGCTATGACTAATGCTATTACTGTCACTTAAAGGCACTGGAGAAACAGTGAAAGATTTGCGTTGGAGAAATAGTGAAAGATTTTCAGAAAGATCTGTGAGGACCCAAGTGGGTTGCTGCTGGCCAGGGCAATGAATGGTAATGTGCTATGGGAGCCATATTGAGAGACAGGTAGAGGGAAACTTTCAAATGAGGGTAAACGAGACAAAATATAAGGCTGATCTCTTGCATTGCTGAGAGGGGAGGGCTGAAGCAGTTAAGGAGCTGGGTCTGCATCATGAAAGAGAAAACACAGAAAGAAACCACAGTGTTTAGGACTAAGGGTGCTTTAGACACTAGGTAATTAGGAGCAGGTGGATTTTGTATAGTCAAGATAAAAATGGAGAAAACTTCATTTCCCAGAATGTCAGGCTAGGGAAGGCAGACAGGCTGGCAGGGCCGCTCACACGCAGAGCGGTGGCTCTTGCCACAGAATAACTGCCTCTTCTCCCATTGTACACAGGAGGGACAGCCACAGTCAAAGGTGTGGACCTCCAGAGGGTAGAGCTGGCAAGGCACTAGAAGGCTTTGTAATTGAGGCATGGTCCCATCTCTTAAATCTTCATGTGTACAGAGAATTTAATAAGCTCATGAAGTCAAGAAGGAGCAGAGCTGTCTGCATATGGGCTAAAATAAGATGAAGAGAGCAGACCTACAGACATTCAGACAAGAGGAGACTACCAAGGAGTATTCTCGGCAATTTTCAGAAATCAGTACATGGATCAGTTACATAAATCTCCATAAGAAAGGATGGCCTCAAATGACATCTGGGTTACATCAAATAAAAAGATTTTGACTAAAAGCTAGATAAAATATAGCTGGAGATCTAAGAACAAATAACTGAGCCTCTCTATCATGGCCTTAGAGATGGGACAGGTCAGGAAACAGACACCTGAACACAAAAAACTGGGACCCAAGGCCCACGTGGCAGAAGGACTGAGAGATTTTCTAGAATGTAGAAATATCCAGATGTATCTCCTGATAACCTGGAAACTTCTACAACAGGTAAACAGTCCAAGAGGCTAGATAATCCTTGGGACATTGAAAATGTTCCTATGGACAAGCTAGCTGAGAAAAATATTCTAAAAACTAAGGGGGCACAGGTGGGCCAGATAAATAAGATTGCCCTGTTGATAAAAATGTTACAAAGAGAACCAGAATTGTGCTGCATACTATACTAATTTATTTCTCAAATTAAGCCATCAAACGTAAGTGCCAGCTGTGTTTTGCTTTTTGGAATGTGGCATTGTGTTGAGAAGCATTTAGATTTCGAACATAATTTGAAAGGTCTTGGCCCAAGTTACTGCAAGAACATGAAGGTATAACCTATTGGGATGAGACAACTAGCAAAGAAGGAGTTGGTGGAAGGACTAAGATTTTTATTTTGGATATATTAAATATGAGAAGCCTGGGAGACCTCCAGTAGAGCCTTGGGATGCCCCAGGCAGTTGTTTAGGTCAGTCCAGAGATGAGGAGAGAGGAAGCCTGGGCATCTGGTAGTCAGCAGCATAGAGAGAGTTTTTTTAAAGCCCTGGGACTAGTTGAAATCAACAAGGGGAGAAAATATAGAGAAAGTAAATCCAAAGACTGGGGCCTGTGATGCCTAACGTGAGTTGGGTTGGCCAGGAAATAATAACAATAAAACATAATAGGAAACACGGATATAGTGCTTACTATGTGGTAGGCATTTTTCCAGGTACTTTGCATTTAATCATCACAGTAGTCTATAAGGCAGGTACTCTTCTTTCCCCCATTTTATAGATGAGAAGAAACCAGCAATGAAGCGCTGTGAGGGGAGAGAGATGTAGGAGAGGTGTTGTCCTCAACCCACGTGAAGAAAGTATATCATGCAGTGGAGAATAACCAACTGCATCAGATGCTGCCAGAGGTCAAGAAAGATGAGGACTGAGAACTGATCAATGGAATGAGCATCTTAGAAGTCTTTTGGGTTTTTTGGAGAAAGGGTCTTGCTCTGTCTCCTAGGCTGGAGCACGGTGGCACGAACACATCTCACTGCAGCCTTGACCTCCTGGGCTCAAGCAATCCTCTTGCCTCAGCCTCAAAAATAACTGGGACTACAGGCACATGCCACCATGCCTGGCTAATTTTTAAAATTTATTTATTTTGTAGACACCAGGTCTCGCTATATTGCCCAGTCTGGTGTTGAACTTCTGGGCTCAAACAATCCTCTCGCCTCAAACTCCCAAAGTGCCAGGATCACAAGCATGAGTCACTGTGTCTGGCCAATCCTAGAAGTTGTTTGTTTTTTAAGTGATTAAAGTAATGTAATATACATGTGTTGTACTCAACACTTAGAAACCACTAATAAAAATGGGAGACTATTCAAAATAATTCCCCCAAATCGACCAGAATCTTCCTTTATCTATTTCATGAGACAGGGAGAGGTAGCAATAGACAGTGAAGGGGAGGTTACCTGCATTATTCCATGTTTTTCTATTTGTAACAAGAGATAGCCTGCATGCCACTCACCTCTTCTTCCTGTTTCTGATGGCATCATGAATCATTTTCACTTGTACTGCCACCACTGACAGAACTTCCACAGAGATTCGGTTGAACTCATCAAAGCAGCCCCAAGCTCCTGTCTGCACCAATCCCTTATAGATATTGCCTATGGACTAAATGATAAAGTGAGGCACTCAGAATTTAACAGAAGGGGTTTTTACGCTATTATATTGAATAATTCCCAATCAGGAATAATGTTAGAGAATAAAGTTTTACACATTATTCTCTTACTAACTTACTTTGTAGTCCATTTGCTCTGAACAGTTGAATACATAGACCATCATGCCAAGGGCACGTCCTAGGTCTTTGGTGGTCTCTGTTTTCCCGGTACCAGCTGGGCCAGCAGGAGCCCCACTCATGGTTAGATGAAGTGATTGAGTTAAGGTAATATAACACCTTTAAGCAATAGAAAACACAAACATCACAGTCTAATATGAGATTTTCATAAAACATCAGAGGCAATACATTAGAAAAAAAGTTTAAGAAGCTCTAGAATGTGATAGTAGCATAAAATACTGATATACTTCTGATTTGTTCATGGCAATAATGAATCAGAATATTTTCTATCACATTTATTTTTAGGCTAGCTGTCTAAAAATACTAGAAAAGAATGTATTTCTTTGTTTATTGATCTCATTTCCTAAGAGCTGTGTATTTGAATACAAATAACACTTGATTTGTAACACTATTAAATTTCTGATATTTCTAGGTAAAGATATTAATATGGCAGACAACATCCAAACTATTGTTTATAAAGGAAAAGTAGAAGAGAAGTCTTAGATGATGAATGAATTAAACATTGGCTGTATTAAACTGCTACTTAATACATTAAGAGATATGTAATTTCTATAAATACATAGTATACAAATAACATATACCTATTTCAATATACAAAGAAAATATAAAAGGGCAATTTACTGTATTTAAATATATTTTACAAATTCCTTTGGAATGTGTTGCTACATCCACTTAGATTACCATAATACTTATTTTTGCAGCAAAGACTCAGAAGTTCTTAGAAAATCATGAAACAAGAATACCTAATAAAAGAAGACAAAACAAATAGCAAGGACATCAAATGGCTGTATTCTTTATTTGGAGTTTCCTCAGATTTATAAATTGTTTTTCTCTTAGTACAGACAGCAGGTCTAGTGAATGATATACACATGGAGGTCAGGAGACGAGAGACTAATGTCCCCTTTGCCAATGATCAGATGCTAATCTTAAATAAGTCTTTTGACATCAACACACCTCAGTTTTCTCCTCTATTAAATGAGGTTAATTGTAGGAATATATTCAGAAGGCCAAAGGTAAATGCCTTAAAAAATTGAAAGTACTATGCAAATAGAAGCGATTAATTATGAAAACAGACAGTGTTTCTGCATTTTATATCCATTGCATGTTTAAGTGTATCTTACAATGAATGAGTGAAAAGGCTCCCAGACTAGGAATCAGAGTACTTTTTGTAGTAGAGATTTTCGCCTTGTAATTTTCTCCAGTGGTTCCAAGTTTTGGGTAGGCATATGGCTGCCAGTGTTTAGAGACTACATTTCCTGCCTTCCTTTCAGTCAGGAGTTGCCAAGTGACCAAACTCCAACCAATGGTGTATGTGCAGAAATGACGAGTGCCATTCCTACAACACTTCCTTGGAGATATTTGACCTGGACTCTCTTTTTTCCCCTTTCACTGGCTAAAACACATGTGGAAACCATGTTTAGCATGTCAGCCACCTGCCAGCCTGTACCTCTGGACAGTGAGATACCCACTTCTGTGTTATTTCAGCCATTGTCTTTTGTTTGGAATATCTAACAGCAGCTTAACCGGCATCCTTCTAGTCAATACACAGTTGACTTAAGTCTCTGAACCCATCCACATATGGAAGAAGGAGACACTATCTCCCCTGCCTACCTCACAAAGGGATGGTCAGCATCAAATGAAATATAATGGAAGAATTTGAAGGGCATCATTTTGTTAATGTAAACAATTAGTAAATAATTCAAAGAATGAAATGGAAATGGAAACATTTTATCCAACACAATTCACACTATCAAAATGAACTTTCATCTTCCTTTCAGCTCCCAAAAAACCCACATGGTGATTCTTCTAATTTCAAAGTTAATAAACTATCAGGCCTCACATAATGATAAACTTTAAAATGCCTCTTCCCTTTTTCTCCTATACCCTGGGCCTCCCTTTCCTCCTTCTCTATTGACAATGGCATGCGTACGGTAGACTCTTCACATTTGCAGTTTTGACTATTCTCAAGTGACTTCATCAAGCTACAATTTTAATCCCTCTCACTGAAAGCAATGCATAAATTAACTAATGAGGACAGTGAATGCTGACTTTTAATCAGAGACAAGTTAGAAGAACTGAATTAGACATAATTATAGAAACTATACAATACACAAATGTCGCGATTATGAGCAGGTTACTATGTGCAAGAACAATCACAAATGTAGTGGGAGAATCCTACCAGCCTCTCAGGACTACCATAGCAAACCAGCTTTATAGACTTATATTTGAAATTGTCTACACTTCGGTGATAGTGGATAATTGGGCATGCAGCTATGACCTTGAGGTGTGATTTCTGCTTCATGAATGCCAAAGATTAAATGTGCTGTCTCCCATCAAACAGGTCAGCAGAGATTGGAATACTAACAAAGAAATTCCCGTCAATGTGACATATTCTTATCTCCGCAATATTCTGACTAGGTATGTATTTACTTGGAGTCAAGTGGAAACGAACTATTAATAATAGTAACCTCCTGCCCCCTTGAAATACTTGAGCCACACTGGCTTTCTTTCTATCCCTGAAACTGGCCAAGTGTCTTCCCACCTTGGAAACTTTGTCCTTGCTCTTGCCTGTAACTTTCTGCCCCAGGATCTCTGCATAACTGATTCCTCATCATTTAGGTCCCAGCTCAAGCTCTCCACAATAGTAGGCTCTCCCTTCAAGACAATTTTAAACATATTGATCTTTTTTTATTGTTGTCATAGCATATATCACAGCCTAAAATAATTAATTTACTTTTTTATTGTTTCTCTTTACCCCCACTTACTAGAAAGTAATCTCTGTGACAGCAGGAACCCTGGCTGTTCAACAGTGGAATAGTACTTAGCAGAGTACTTCAGAAGTATTTGTTGAATCATTTAATGAATGCTATGTTCTTCACCTTCCCTTCCTTTCACTGTATGCAGTTCCTCAAATATGAATTTGAACACAGGCAATTCCTAGTTATTGTACACTTTCAGTAAAGGAATCCTGTGGGGGTGGAGGGAGGTGGTGATAGATCCTGATACCAGAAAGTTAGTTGTAGATAACTAGGCAGAATCAACAATGCTTCCTTGAGCCATATTAATCCACTCATGATTTCATCATTTGTGCATTGTATAGCTTCTGTAACTCTGTTTCTCTAATTCAATTCTCTTCACCACTTTCACATAGTTCATTGTTCATCGTTTCCTCTCATTCCTTCCTTTTCATTCTCACACTAGGGGACTTTTTTGGGTTGTTTTTCCTATCTGGACGGAAACTTTGAATTGTTACCTGTCAGTTAGAGGAGTGATCACTAGTCGAGGGCTGTTTCCTAAGTATTCATAGAAGTACTGGAACTGGGCATCACAAATATTAACAAAGCAGTGTTTCTGGGTATCCTCCCATCGGTGACGAAGTTGAGACAGCCATGTAAAAGCTTGGGGACTGACAACCTAAAGGCATTGCATAATCATCATACGCAGGACACTGGTAGTTTGGGGCAACAAGTTATTAATCTAATCAACTCTACTGGTTCACATTTCTAAAATTCTCATAAATAGGAAATCTCTTGCACGCTATTGCAAATTATAATAGCATATACATGGTTAAATACTTAATAAGAAATATGCGTGTAATAAGTCTTCATTTTAAACTGGCTTTTATGTAAAACAATATGAATTTCTTCAAGCAATGCTTTTTCCTCTTTTATGAATCACCCCAGGGGATTAGATAAATCTTGTAACTTTATACTCATATCACTGAAGTCAGATGGAAAAATATACTGTCTATATTTAAATGACACATAATCCATAATTTCTGCATCGCAGAGGCATAAATAAACTACATTTTCAACCAAGTTCATTCTAAAACCAATCTGCTTTTAGTACAGAGATTTTCTGCTTTGTTTTTAATCACATCAAATAACAGTATTTTTCATTGCTGTTCTTTCCCATCTACTCAATCCTAACCATTCATCTTCCAGTTAAAAATCCCTGTCTCTTTCAAGATAAATGTGACCCTTGGATTTCTTGAGAATCAGTTGAACTTACCAAAATTACTGTATACTAATTTGTCTGATGACTACACAGGTTTCAGCATTGCATATTCACGTATATTAGATGGTTGGGTATTAGACAAAGTATTTTTTAGTACAAAATAAAGGACATATTTTAAATCAGAATTTATCCTACTTGAAATCATCAGACTTATAAAATAGAATAAAATATATAAGAAGATACAAGGCCATATTAAAGGAGTAGTTAGATATAAACAGTTCATTATCAAAGTCAGAACACATGGTAAGCGATGTTTTGCAAGGAAAAGTTTTGGACTAGCAATTAAAGAATATTGCTCACTAGTGGTCCTGAAGCTGGATCAAGGAATGTTAATATATGTTTATGGTTCATATGAAAAGCATTTTCTTGCACTTTATGAAAATAATTAAAATTCACTTTGCTTTTAATAAATTGAGAAAAAAACCCAGAAAAAAACACAGAAACACTTCACAATACGTACAGGCATTCGAATTGTGAAAGGAATTGCCTTGTTTTAATACTACCAAACAAGCGTAACCCAGTAGACAAGCATACTCCTGACTTTTGTAAATAGGAATATATTTTGGAAAGAAGGATGAGAAAATTCTCCTTTCACATTAAACACTGCCAACACTTAAAGACACACAGAAATTTTTTTTTTTTTTTTTTTTTTTTTGAGATGGAGTCTCGCTCTGTCACCCAGGCTGGAGTGCAGTGGCGCCATCTCGGCTCACTGCAACCTCTGCCTCCTGGGTTCACACCATTCTCCCGCCTCAGCCTCCCAAGTAGCTGGGACTACAGGCACCCACCACCACACTTGGCTAATTTTTTGTATTTTTATTAGAGACGGGGTTTCACCATGTTAGCCAGGATGGTCTCGATCTCCTGACCTCGTGATCTGCCTGCCTTGGCCTCCCAAAGTGCTGGGATTACAGGCGTGAGCCACCATGCCCGGCCGACTTTTTAAAGATATATAAAAGAAAGGTTATTAGTATACTAAAAGAATTAGAAAATAACTTCTTACAAGACAATAATTTAGTTGTTCAAGGAAGAGACAAAGGATTACCCAAGTGACAACCTAGAATTATGACCAACACCTCTCTCTTCAAGGGGAAATGTATCAAAGGCACACAGACATGGTTTAAATCACATACACATAATCTTACTGCTATTGGCTGTGTAAGTCACAGAGTTGAGGCTCACAGGCCAATGACCAAGACGGTCACACACAGAGAGATGAACACAGTGATTTCTCACGGTTCTTCCACTGTGATAAAATTTTTTTTGATGATCTGATGTTCCTAACTTGGCAAAACCTTTTGGGATATCACTTGGAATAGGTCTCATCAGAATAATATATTGGCTAACCAAAATCAAATGCACCCAAGACAAACACAACTTTTCAGGACTAATTAAAACATACAAACTTTCAAAAAAACAACGACTTTCTTGGAACTACTCTGGCAATAAACACCACTTTCAGGAAACAATAATGAATACATAAAATTTCTACAAACAACTTGCCTTCTGAGAAATAAGTTTTGCCACCACGTCTCTGGCATGGACATCTATGGTACAAATTGTCATGATCTTCTGTCTGTCTCCAGGTGGAAGTTCTCCCAGCAAAAGTGTAATCAGTGTATTCAGCTGAGAAATCTAGAAGGAATCATTTTTTAAAAAGGAGAGAAGGGTTACAAATACAGAATTTAAGAGCCCCAAATTCTTCGTATTTGTAAAGGCTGATTTAGTTTGCAAAACAATTTCTTTTTTTTTTTGAGATGGAGTCTCACTCTGTCACCCAGGCTGGAGTGCAGTGGCATGATCTCTGCTCACTGCAACCTCTGCGTCCTGGGTTCAAGCAATTCTCCTGCCTCAGCCTCCCTAGTAGTTGGGATTACAGGTGCCCACCACCACGCCCAGCTAATTCTTATATTTTTCGTAGGGACATGATTTCACCATTTTGGTCAGGCTGGTCTCAAACTCCTGACCTTGAGTGATCTGCCTACCTCGGCCTCCCAAAATGCTGGGATTACAGGCATGAGCCACCACGCCTGGCCACAAAACAATTTCAAATATGTTACCCCAGCTGGACCTCAAAGAACCTTGGTGTAGAAATCACAATATTATTACCCCCTCACACAGATGAAGGACAAGAGAACCTGTGAGTAATGACAAAGCCAGGGAAGACACAGGGTTTCCCGGCTGCACTGGACTGACCCTCTACCCTAATGATAGCCCGGTCCATAACATTGTTGGAAAGGAAATGACTACAAATCTTGAAAGGCCAAATTAGACTAACTTTCAAAAAAGCATAGTAAAAGCTAAATGACAAATTATATTTTTCTTTAGAAAAGCATTCACCTAACAATTTGTGTTTGCTTTGGTTTTTAAAAATACAAGATAGTGATGACTACTGAAAAAATATTTAAAATTAAGAGATGAAGAATATCCTCCTTTATTCTTATTCTTGTTTAGGTCCGTCGAACTCGTAGATAAATATTTTTCAAACTGCTGGTCTTTTTTCATAGAATGGAAAGGAATAAAATGGAATGCCATGAATGACAATTCATTGAAGTGAATGGAATAGAAAATACGGTATCACAGGTAGTAAGAGAATGTATTGTTTCATGCTGTTTTATTTCCGTTTTGACTACCTACATAAACATGTGAACTTGGATCTAATAGAAAATATTTCTTATGGTGAATTGTGGTCAGAGAGGTTTGAAAGATGCTGTCTTAGGTGGTCATTTTGTTAGTATGGTTATTTACACAAAAAGATTTCTGCCTTACTCAAGCCTTATTTACAAAAACAATATTTCTGCCTTATTCCAGGTATCATACTGTGAAACAATACCATCCCCTTTTCTCTTCAGCTCTGCAAAAGGACAGTCAATGACAAACTGCTAGCACCTAAGAAAGCTGGTGGTAAGTGAATATGACAGATCACCAGAGACTCAAACCTTTGTAGCCTACTGTCAAAATACAGGTCCACTACTGTACTATTATCATGCCCCGGAAAATGCGAAACCCTGCAAACTTCCCTGAGATTGCCGTGCGGCTGGAGGCTAGAGAAAGTCATACAGCTGGAATAAGAAGGGAGAAGAAAGGGAGGAAGAGATAACTGTAACATGTGCAATTTCCATGAAATAAGAACAAAGAAGGTTCCAGGCACTGACTAAGCACGTTGCTGATCTCATTGCACTTAATCTTAAAATGCTAAATGACGAGTGAATGGGTGCAGCACACCAACATGGCATATGTATACATATGTAACAAACCTGCATGTTGTGCACATGTACCCTAAAACTTAAAGTATAATAATAATAAAATTTTTTAAAAAAGAAAGATAATCTGTATCCGAACTTTGCAGATGAGAAAATTGAGTCAAAGCCCTATTAACCACATTTGCCAATCCAGGGAGGAGAAATTCAAATCCCAACAGTCTGACTTCAGATTCATCACAAAGACCCTCTCCAGCCTCCACAAGACCTACCCATCCCTTCAGGTCTGAGAAACTGTAGCTGTGCAAGAAGCATTCAGGACAGACTTAGAGTCAAACACAAAGGAAAGCTGGCTTAAAGAAATAAAAATATTAATATATGTCCCCTAGATATTCAGGATACACGACAGCTTTATAAGCATTTGCCCTATTTCTCCACCCCCTGGGCTTTATTGAGGTATGACTGGAAAACAAAAATTGTATACGTTTAAGGTATACAACGTGATATTTTGATGTAGGTATACATTGTGAAACTATTACCCCAACCAAGCTAACTGACATATCCATCAGCTCACACATCTTTTAAGTGAAAATACTTGATATTTACTCTCTTAGCAAATTTCAAGTATACACTACGTTATTATTAATTATAGGTGCCATATGTTAAATTAGATCTCTAGAACTTATTCATGCTATAACTGAAAGTTTGTACCCTTTGACCAATATCTTCTGTTTTCCCCCATCCCTATCCTCTGGTAACCACCATTGTACCGTTACTATGTGTTAGACTTTTTTTTTTTAATCCACTTATAAGTGAGATTATGCAGTATTTGTCTTTCTGTGTTTAGCTTATTTCACATAGAATAATGCCCTTCAGATTCATCCAGGTTGTCACAAATGGTAAGATTCCTTCTTTGTAAAGGCTAAATCATATTCCTCTGTGTGTGTGTGCATGGGCATGAGTGTCTACACATTTTCTTTATCCATCTATTAATGAATACTTGGGTTTTTTCTACATCTTGGCTATTGTGAATAAAGCTGCAATGAACACGGGAGTGCACATATCTTGTCAAGACAGTGATTTTATTTCCTTTACCTATATACCCAGAAGTGAGATTGCTGGATCATTTGGTAGTCCTATTTTTAATATTTTGAGGAATGTTCATAATGTTTTCCATAATGGCTATACTACTTCCTACCAACCACCAAGGAGGTCAAAGATCCATACACTGAAAACTACAAAACTCCAAGGAAAAAAATTAAAGACACAAATAAATGGAATGATCCTATGCCCTTGGATTAGAATAATTTATATTTGTTAAAATCTCTGTACTGCCCAGAGTTCTCTGTAGACTTAATTCAACTGCATCAAGATTTTGATGCCATTTTTTTTTTTGCAGATGTAGAAAAAACAATCTTAAAATTTGTATGGAATCACCAAGGACCCTGAATAGCCAAAGCAATCTTAAGCAAGAAAAACAAAGCTGGAGGCATCACATCTCTTGATTTCAAATTATATTACAAAGCTATAGTAATCAAAACAGTGTGGTACTGGCATACAAAAAGGCACATAGACCAGTGGAACAGAATAGAGAGTTAAAAAATAAATTTTTCAACTGATTTTCAGCATAGGCACCAAAAACAGTGAAGAAAGAAGACTCTTACATTAATGGTGTTGGAAAAAACTGGACATCACATGCAAAAGAACGAAATTGGACCCTTACACTATACACACACAAAAAAAACTCAAAATGAATCAAAGACTTAAAGATAAGACCTGAAACTGTAAAATTCCTTAAAAAAAAAAAAGTGGGAAAAGCTTCATGACTTTGGTCTTGACAATGATTTTTTGGACTTGACACCAAAAACATAGACAACAAAATAAAAAATAAACAAGTGAACTATATCAAACTAAAAAGTTTCTGTACATCAACAGAAAAAAATCAACAAAATAAAAAGGTAGCCTATGGAATGGAAGAAAATATTTACAAACAATATATCTGATAAGGAATTAATATCTAAAATATATAAGGAACTCATACAACTCAACGGCAACAAATAGGCTGATTAGCAATGGGCAAAGGACCAGAATAGACATTTTCCCAAAGAAAACATACAAATGTCTAACTAGTATATGAAAAGATGCTCAAAATCACTAATCATTAGAGAAATCAAAACCACAATGAGCTATCACCTCACACCCATTACACTGGCTATAATAAAAAAGTCAAAAGATCTTGTTGGCAATGATGTACCTTAACCTACTACAAGAGTGACATCAAAGATCACTGATCACAGGCTGGCCGTGATGGCTCATGCCTGTAATCTCAGCACTTTGGGAGGCCCAGGCAGGTGGATCACTTGAGGTCAGGAGTTAAAGACCAGCCTGGCCAATGGGGTGAAACCCCATCTCTACTAAAAATACAAAAAATATCAGCCAGGCATAGTGACGTGTACCTGTAATCCCAGCTACACGGGAGGCTGAGGCAGGAGAATCGCTTGACTCTGAGATGTATAGGCTGCAGTGAGCTGAGATCACACCACTGCACTCCAGCCTGGGTGACAGAGTGAGATTCTGTCTCAAAAAATAAAAAAAGATTACTGATCACAGATCACTATGATAGATACAATAATAAAAAAATTAAATATTCCAAGAATTATGAAAATGTGACAAAAAGACACAAAGCAAGCTCATGTTGTTTGAATGATGATGTCAATGCCCAGCATAGATAGGGTTGCCACAGATCTTTAATTTGTTTAAAAAAAAAAAAAAAAAAAGGCAGTATCTGCAAAGCACAGTAAAGTGAATCACAGTAAAATGAGATACACCTGTACTTTTAATACATTGCATCTTTAAAAAGTAGTTAAATGTTTAAAAAGCAGATGTGATTATTGTTTTATGTCTAATATGTTCACTGCTCATCATCCCCTAGATTTTATGTTCCACAAAGGCAACGACAGCATCCATCTTATTCGATGCCTTTTCCCAGAGCCACTGAAGAACTGTCAGAGTGTGGGTGCTCAATGGGTGTATGCTGAACAGATGAATTAATGTACAATAACAACCCATACCTATGCAAGTTTCTAGGGAAAATTAATATACACTTTAGTGAGAAAAGAGATATTTAGGCCTTGGATATTTTCTCATCTGGGTCAAGATATCCGGTCTTTGCAGTATCCAATCTTACACCACTACCAGTATTTGGTTTAAAATAAAGTTGATTGTAACAACAGTAATAATATCATATGCCTTATAAGAACATGTATAATTGTAAGTGCATTCACACGCATTGTCTTGCCTGAGCCTCCCAACAACCTGTGATTTCTGCATTATTGATTCATTTTTCACAGAAGTGCAGTCAAATGGAAGATGATTAAAAACACAGCTTGTCAACATAATCTGCACAGCATCATATGCTGGGGATCTTATACTGTGTATCAAGATTAAACCTTCTCTGATGATACTCTTTTGTAAGTAATAAAATTCTGTACCCACAGTTATATAATGTAGTTATAAAATGTCTATTATTTGGGCAGTGGCAAGAGATAGCAATCATTATGGTCAGTACTGTACTTGTATATAAGTTTATGGTCTGTGACATAGAAAACACTCCTTAGCAGCTTTAAGAAAATATATCCTATCATGTAATCAGTACATATTCTTGCCACTGATCGCAACAGTGTTACATGATTTTCTACTGGATCAAGGGTGTCTTGGCTCAAGTCTACCTACGCCCCTTTGAAACTCAAGTGGCTATTTTCCTGGGACATCTTGGCTTCATTAGAGTGCAAGTACAGCATGTATCTTGAACTAGAAATAAGCCCAACTTAGAGTAAAATCCAAACTTTTGTTCCTGGAGCACAAAGTCTTCCATGACCTCACACCACTCCTTTCCTATCTCACTTCACTAACCATGCTGGCCTTCTCTCTGTTCTCCTATCACAGCTGTTTTAAGGCCACAGCAACCACTTCATGTTCCGGGAGTCATCTTCCCTCTAATCCTTGTATGACTGGCTTCCTCTCATTATTCAAAGCTGTACTTCAAATTTACCTCCTCAAATTGGCCTTCCCTGGCCATTCTATTTACTATTACCCCCTATCTATTTATTCTAAATGTTTCTATTTTATTATCTTTATGGAACTTATGAGTATCCTATCAATCATGTATTTCTTTGTCTCCTCCACCCTAAACTCTAAAGGAGCAAGGCCCACATCTGTCTCATTCTGTGTTATGTTCTCATGCTTAGCATAGCGGCCAGCATAAAGCATGTGTCCAAATCAACACTCGCTGTAGGAACTGATGAAGAAATGAACAAACGAACGACAGCAACAATACACACCAAAACAACAGTTTTTTGTTCTCTCATTCACTCACTCATACAAGATGACAAATGTGGTTCTTGTTTCCAGACCTTACAGGACAAGAAGGAATGCAGATAAATAATTAAAATTGTTTTGCTAGGGCAAGTAGAAAGTATGCTGACAGCACACAGAAATAAGGCCTTGCCTGATATAGGGATTAGAAAGGCACTTTAGAGGAATGTATACTAAGACCTAAAGAATGAGCAGGATTTAGGTTGACAAGAATTTAGGGGTTGGCCAGCAGGGAGGCAGTCGTTATGCCACAGGAAGCAGCCTGTGTAAAGGCCCTGAATGGATCGGGTGGCTCTGTGGAAAAACTGAAAGAGGTCACCCATGGCAGGAGTGGGCGGCATAGGAAGGAGGGGTGTGTAAGGATGCTGCAGAGGAAGGCAAGTGCCCAAGCATGCAGGGCTTGCCCAGCTCAGTTAGGACAATGAGATGGTGCTGAAAGGTCTAGAAAGTGGGGTGATAATGAGATTTGTGTTATTAAATTATTTCTCTGGCTATACTGTAAAGAATGAATTGGAGGAAGGTAAGACTGGAAGAAAAGACCTGTGAGGAGGATGCTACAGTCATTTAGATGAAAGAGAGTGGCTTGGTCTAGGACATTATCAAAGCAGTTGGAGAAGGCAGTGAGAATAGGGATCTTCAGAACAGTGACAGAATTGGTGGTTGATTGGCTATTGAGGAAAAGAAGAGTCAAGCGGGCTTCTAGTGTGAGCAACTAGTGAAGTATGTTGGTTTTTTGTTCTTTTTTTTTTCTGCAGTTGGGCACGTTGGGAGGCAAGTTTGAGAAGAGCTAATGTGCACTGGATCTTTTAGATTGGGTGTGCGTGTGAGACTTCAGTGAAAATTCCCTATCTGCTTCTGGCTGTGCTTCAGGAGAGAGATGTAGACTGGAGCAAAGGAAACTGAGCAGCCATAAAAGTGGATGAAATCAGTCAGGGATGTGTGAAAAAAGAAAAGAGGAAAAGAAAAGGGAAGGAAAAAGAAAGATCGTGGCAGGCCGAGGCAGATGGATCACTTGAGGCTAGGAGTTACAGGCCTGGTCAACATGGCGAAACCCTGTATCTACTAAAACTACAAAAACATTAGCCAGGCATGGTGGTGCACACTTGTAACCCCAGTTACTTGGGAGGCTGAGGCATGGGAATTGTTTGAAGCTGGGAGGCAGAAGTTGCAGTGAGCCAAGATCACACCACTGCACTCCAGCCTGGGTGACAGAGCGAGACCCTGTTTCAAACAAAACAAAACACAAAAACAGACCAGGCGCAGTGGCTCACATCTGTAATCCCAGAACTTTGGGAGGCCAGGGTGGGTGGATCACCTGAGATCAGGAGTTCAAGACCAGTCTGGCCAAGATGGTGAAGCCTCGTCTGTACTAAAAATACAAAAATTAGCTGGGCATGATCACGCCTATAACTCCAGGTACTTGGGAGGCTGAGGCAGAAGAATTGCTTGAACCCAGGAGGCAGAGGTTGCAGTGAGCCGAGATAGTGCCACTGCATTCCAGCCTGGGCGACAGGGTGAAACTCCATGAAAAACAAAACAAAACTCACACACACACACACACACACACACACACACACAAAACAAAACAGAATAGAGCCATAAGGAACAGGAATATTTAAGGAGCAGGAGGAAGACCAGCCAGGTGAAGTAAACAGCAGCCCAAGTTTTCTAGGTAGAAAACTAGAATTCAAAAAAAAAACATGAATATAAAGGAACAGAGTATGTGAAGAAGTAGGAAGTATTTTCTAAGTTAAAGAAAACAGAAATAGACTCAATCAAGTGGTAGAAATAGGTTGTGGTGATGAGAAAAAGGAAAGAGCAAGTATAGGTCAGCAAGCTTGATTATAATAAAACAAAGATAAGGCAGGAAACAAAAGATGTGGCATGAGTGGACAATTTTTGGTTATTATTTTGTTTTGAGTAATGAGGGAGTTGGGCATGTTTAATTACTGATGGGAATGAGCAAGAGCGAGAAACCGAAGAAACAGGAGGAAAGAAAGTCAGGGCAGCCTTGAGAGAGGTCAGAGCAGAAGGGACCCAGAGCAGAGATGGAGAAATGCTCTGGGCAGTGGAGATCACCCTTCCCTCCTAGCTGGAGGATGCTGTGGGGGGAGGGACATCAGCCTGATGGCCATTGCTCTAGTTCCTCTTTGATGATGTCGGCAGATAATAAAAGCACTGACTGACAGGCATTGTATGGGTACATGTGTACTGTGTATGTGTTTTCTAATTTAATCATCACAACTCTACGAAGTAGGCACGATTAGTATTCCAGTTTTACATATGAGAATATAAGATTACCTGCCTGAGATCACACAGTTATAAACGGTGGAGCCAGGGTCTAGTACACAATTCTAAGATCTCACTGTATATTTTACAAATACTAAACCTTCTTATGTGGATAACAGGGTATCAGACCAGGCAAGAGCTGGCCTCCAATGATTGTGGTAAGTAGAGAGAGATAACTCAGTATACCCCACTTATGAATTCTCTTATTTATATAAACATAGAAATGCTTCCTAACAAAAAGACAAGATCTTACACCTTCTATGTCACACACCGTGAAAAAAAGAAAAAGGAAAAGACACAATCTTGACCACCATTGGGGTGTATAGGATACACATATCTAAAGGACTACAGTGTTCCCAAAGAGGGCCAGCGAGCTTGGTAGGATGACAGTGGGTTCACCATGTAGGACAATGTCAGACCTAGAAAGTAACAGACTTAAGGTCAGAGAGAAGCAGTGGTTCCTGATACATAGTGGTGGCTGGTCCCCCATTTTTTCCTGTCCTGGCTCCCATGGCAGCATGGTAGAAAGAGGCCATACCGTGAATTTAAAGAGTGTGTCCCTAAATACTATAGGTTTAAATAAGGCAACAAAGAAAAAAAATCTTCCTTGCAGCAGAAGCATTGCAGTTTTACCAGCATCAGCCATGGCATATCTCCCAATATGGGGACACCCAAGCCATGGTGGCAAAGAAGCTGGAAGAGGCCACTCTGCAGAAAAGTTGAGATCTGGAGGTCAGATTTGGTGGCTCATGCCTGTAACCCCAGTGCTTCTGGAGGCCAAGGAGCGAGAATGGCCTGAGGCCAGGAGTTTGAGACCAGCCTAGGCAACACAGCAAGACCCCATCTCTACAAAAAAATGTAAAACTTAGCCAGACATGGTGTTAAGCCTCTGTAGTCCTACCTACTTGGGAGGCTGAGGCAGGAGGACTGTTTGAGCCCGTAAGTTTGAGGCTGCAGTGAGCTATGATCACGTTACTGCACTCTAGCCTGGACAATAGAGCGAGACACACTCTCTTAGAAAAGTAGTCTGGAGCTAGAAGTCCTCAGCTTAGCAGATCAAAGTGAACATTACAATGTAATTGCTATAGCACCTTGGAGATCAGCTACCAGGATCCTGGATCCCTTTCTAACAAGACATAATACTGAAGTTCCTCTTGTTTCATAACAGCAACGAGGACCTCTCATCTTGAAACCCACCAGTTTCACCTTCAGCAATATCAGAAACAATGAATTTTCATTTCCGCCAGCCAGAGCAAAGGAAATGACAAAGAGACCAAGTCCCATGCTCTTAAAACTATCAGAACATGGGTTGTTGAATCTCAGTTTGTTGTCCTCTTTTCAGTGTTCACTTCCTACTTCTCCTTTAATCCTACTGCTAAAACCACCAGTGCAATATTGAGCAACGAATGTCAGATATAGTGAGCATCATTACCTGATTCTTGACACTAATGGAAATGATTCTAATGTTTCACCATTAAGTATGATTTTCTCTGCAGGTTTCTGGTAGATATTTTTTAAGTTATAAAAGTTCCTTTAAATGCTTATATTAGAAAAGAAAAAGGTATAAAGTCAATAAACGCCCACTGTAAGAAACTTGAAAAAGAGGAACAAATTAAGCTCAAAGTAAGTAGAAGAAAGGAAATAATCAAAATAAGGGCAGAGATAAGTGAAATATAAAACAAGCTATAGAGAAAACCAATAACGTCAAAGATTAGTTCTTTGAAAACAGAAATAAAATTGATAAACACCTAGAAAACCCAATTAAGAAAAAAAAGAGAAAAAAAATAAATTACGAACCCCAGAAATGAAAGTAGGACATCTGGGCAGATCTTCCAGATGTTCTGAGGATAATACTGAAATAGCATGACCAACTTACATCAGTAAATTGAAAAGCATAGGCCAAGTGTGGCCCTTTTCCTGAAAAGGAACAGATAGTAAATATTTTTGGATTTGTAGGCCATGCAGTCTCTGTCACAGCCACTCCACTCTGCCATCGTGATGTGAAAATAGCCACAGACAATAGACACTGGGCCAGATTTGGCCAGAGGTTTGTAATTTGCCACATGCTGAATTACTTAAAATGGGCAAATATCTTGAAAAATACAAACTTCCAAAACTGACACAAGAAAGGAAGAGCCCAAAAAACTAAACAGCTGCATATGTATAAAAGAAATCAATTTACAATAAAAAATGTTCTATAAAGAAAACTTCAAGCCCAGATGCATCACCAGTGATGTCTAACATAAGCTCTTTCACAAAATAGATATAAATGGATCACTTTCCAACTCCTTCTAAGGAGTATACCCTGATTTCAAAATCTGGCAAAGATATCATAGAAAAAGAAAATTACAGACAAATGTACCTGATAAACATAAATGTAGAATTTGTTAACAAAATAATAGCAAATAGAATCCAGCCAAAAATACACACACACACACACACACACACACGTACACACTTAAAGGATAATTCATAACCAATTGTTTATTATTCAGGAATGCAAAGTTGGCGTAACTTTCGAAAATTCACCACAATAACAGAATGGCATGGTCATCTCATGAGATTGGAGAAAGCTCAATGCTGATTTAAGATGCAAACTCTCTGCATGTGGTAATGGAAAGGATTTTCCTCTATCTGATAAGGGGCATCTCCAAGAAACATTCAACTAACATTATATTTACTGGAGAAACATTACTCTTACCAAAGAATGTAAATGGACAAGGATGTCTCACTACCTCTATTCAACACTGTGCTGGAGGCCCAACCAATTCAATAGCTCAAAAAAAGGAAATAAAGAACAAAAAGAAAAAGAATGGAAGAGAAGAAAACTGTCATTACTTACAGATGATGTATTTCTGTACACAGGAAGCCCTGTAGAGTATATATTTATTTAAAAACTACTAAATGTACTAAGTAAATTTAGCAAAGCCCCAAGATAAAAGGTGAATATTTAAAAATCAATAAATTTCTATGTACCAGCCAAAAACACTGGGAAATGAAATTTAAAAATTATTATATAAAATAGAATAAAAAACACATCAACCATCTAAAAATAAATCTAATGAGAAATGTGCAAGGCTTCTACATTGAAAACTACAGAAAACATTGCTGAGAGAAATTAGAGAAAACCCATATAAAGAGATACACCATGTTCTTGGGTTATAAGAACCATAATTATTGAGATGTTCATTCTTCCAAAATTTATATTTAGAGGCTGCCCCAGTCGCAATTTAATTAGGCTAAAATTAATTAGGTTTGTACAAATAAACAATGTGATGTAAGAGTTGTATAAAAAAGAACTTCAAACAGTCAAAACAATCTTGGGGAAAATAATGAACAAAGTTGGAAGGTATATATAAAATGACTTTAAGGATTACTACAAAGCTATGGTAATTAAGAAAGATGGATTTGGCATGAAGGCAGAAAAATAGATCAATGAAACAAGAGAATCTGAAAATAGACCCACATACGTATATAGTCAGTTGACTTTCAACCAAGGTACCACATTAATTCAATAGAGAAAGGAAAGAGGTATGGATTGCAGACCTAATGGGAAAAACCCAGAACCATGAAGCACCTTGAGAGAAACAGAAATATATTTTCATGACTTTTGGACAGGCAATAACATCTATCTCTCATACACACACACACACACACACAAAAAGAAAAACATTTTTAAAAAGACACAAAAAGCACTAGCCATGAAAAAAAAATGTGATACACTACACTGCATCAAAATTATAACTTTCTGATAAAATATGCCATTAAGAAAATGAGTAGTCCATTTTCGAACAAAAAACTTGTATCCCAAATAAATAAAGAAATCCTACAATCAACAATTAAAAAAGACCAGGCTCAGTGGCTCACACCTTTAATCCCAACACTTTGGGAGGCCGAGGCAGGAGGATCATTTGAGGTCAGGAGCTCAAGAGAACCTGGGAAACATAGCAAGACCTACAAAAAGAATTTTTAAAATGTTTAAACTGAGCACGGTGGTGCTTGCCTCTAGTCCTTGCTACAAAAGAGGCTGAGGCAGGAGAATCGCTCGAGCCCAGGAGTTTGAGGCTGCAGATTGTGCCACTGCACTCCAGCCTGGTTGACAGAGTGAGACCCTGTCTTAAAAATATATAAGGCAAATCACCCAACTGTTTGAAAATGGAGCAAAAGATCAAAAGATTTTAATAGATACTTCACAATAGAGGATGTACGAATGCTAATTACCCCATAAGAAGTTGCTCAACATCTTTAGACATTAGAAAAATGCCAGTTAAAATCACAATGATATACTATTTTATATCCACTGAAATGGCTGCAATTATAAGACTGACAATACAAATATGAGCGAGTATATAAAGCAACTGAAATTCGGTTACATTGTCCATGGTAGTATTAACAATAGAGAACTGTTTGACTGTTTCTTAAATGGTTAAACGTACACTTTCTCTGTGATCCAGCAATTTCACTTTTAGGCTTCTACCCAGGAGAAATGAAAATATATGTTCACAAAAAGACTTAATCCAGTAATGTTTAAAGCAGCCTTAGAAATAATAGTCTCAAACTGGAAACCCAAATGTCAAGTAACAAGATGAGTAGAAAAATTGTGGTACACGTATACAATGTATTATTAGTAAGCAATAACAAATAATGAACAGCAAATACATGCAACGACAGAGATGAATCTCAAAAATATGTTCGTTGAAAAATGTGAGGGGTCTGAAATTTTATCCTACTTGCTGGCTAACAAGTCATGGATGCTGGCAGAAGACATGAGACTCACAGGTCAGAGATAAAGGACAGTTTATTACAGCAATACCATGAGTAATATTAGAACATTAGCACTGAGTACAAACTTTCAAAGGATATTCAAAGAGGGCTAGCACATGCAATGAGCTGTGTTACAAGAGAAACATTCTGGATTTAGGGAGTGCAAATCTTTTATAAGACAGCATGTCTGACATTTGCCCTAGGAAGAGATATTATTTTTATTATACTAAAAAATAAGTCAACATGCCCTTTGCTCTGGAGAGAGATACTATCTCTATTTTCAAGAATGTTCACTATAAAAATATATCTGGAACAAAGGGCAGTCATTACCTCTGTTCATAAGATGTATATAAATGTAAGACCCATAAGGACTGGCTCCCAGTGTTAAGTAAAAAATCCACACAAAAAAGAAGATATGCTAACTTAGGAGATTTGCTGAAAGAATTTTCTTTTGTATTTTATCTTTGTGTGGTTTTTCTATCAAGTATATTAGAACTTTATAGAAAGAGTGGAAAATCCTTACATCTCTGTTTATATTCCAGAACAGTTGATGTAACATGGTGTTTACCTTTCCCATGATAAAATCATTGAAACAGGGTCCTATTTAGGAAGGAGTGCCCATCTTTGACTACCATGATTACAATTTCAATTATTTCCATCGTTAATGGTCTACTTGAGTTTTCTAAATTATTTTGATTCAATTCTAGAAAAAGTATTCATAGAGAAACATCCATTTATTTTAGATTTTGACTTAATTATTAGCAAAAAAAATCACATACGTACACAGTCATTTTAAAATCTCTTACAGGGATTATGTTTTTTCCCTATCCCTTTATTGTATGTTTTTGATTCCTTCTCTAAACTGCAAAATTTGTCAGTATTATTGGTCTGTTCAAAGAACCAACTCTCATGTTAATGGATCATATTGAAATCCAATGGCATATATGGGTGACAAATCCTTTTTTCTCTTACCTCCATCTCTCATTGTGGGGATCTTCAGTTACTTCAGGATTTGTTCTGCTTCTTTCTCTAAAGCAGAGGTGGTAAACTATAGGCCATGAACCAAATTTGGCCCACCACCTGTTTTTATAAACACCATTTTATTACAACCCAACTATTCACTTACAAATTATGAATTGCTTCTTTGCAACCACTACAATAGAGATGCGTGCATGCAGAAGAGACTATATGGCCCACAAAGACAAAATAATTACTACCTGATTCTTCCCAGAAAAAGTAGGCCAACTCCTGCTCTTCAGTCAAGACATATTTATGACAGAAGCCCTCTATAAATGGCTCACTTTGCTTGCAAAGCATTTCTCAGGGCTTTGTACTGGGGACAAACACCTCCACTAATAGCCTCTTGGGATATACAGGGGAGAGAAGCTGCTACAGTTATCCATTTCTTCTAGATTTAATCCTTATCACTAACCATAAACTCCACATTTTTTATATTTGCTTAAGGTGAGTTCATAATTTATCTGAAATTTTGCTGGGTGAAAATTGGCTTACCATTGCAATAGCTTCCTCTTTTTATAGGTTTGGACTGATTTTCTCTGTTCTTAGTCAGCTATCAATTCAATTTCATGTGTTCCTAGCATTCCTCAAATCATCTGTTCCTGTATTTCTAGGAACACTATGTTTTTTTTCATATACCTTACCTGTCATTCAATGTAACCTTTGATGAGAGGGGAGGTAGAGAGTATGTGCTCTACTCATGATCTTGTGAGTTACTGCTAGATTATAAAGTATAAGGCTATCAGATCACATTGTTATATAAAGGCCAAAAAAAAAAAATACTTGTGTCCAATATACACTTGGTAGCTCCAGGCTTGACAGGCTTCTCTATTCAGGTAATAGGGCTGAAACAAGATAAGAATGCTACCAATATTGTATCCAAATTTTTTAAAAGACTTCCTTAGCAACTAAAAGTGAGGCCAAAAATTGGCTTTCAGCAGCAAAATGAGGGTCTCTTTCTTATATGTATACTGGTATTTCTGAGTCTTTGTTGAGAGGGAGAGGATGGTTAATGAGAAAAGTTTTATATTATTTATCATGAGTTCTTAACAAAAGTCTCTGGGTAATGTCCCTGCACACTACAGATATTAATTTTTTAAAGTTTAAAACACTTCTATCTCTCTTTTGATGATTTTCACACAGCTCAATAATAAAAGAGGAGTGGAGAAACTTTCCTACCATATCCCAAGCCTCCAAAACA
The DNA here is from genome assembly GCF_000001405.40 of Homo sapiens. Classification (NCBI taxonomy): domain Eukaryota; kingdom Metazoa; phylum Chordata; class Mammalia; order Primates; family Hominidae; genus Homo; species Homo sapiens. The sequence continues at coordinate 21,666,335 of NC_000007.14, read as the reverse complement.
AAACACTTTCACCAAGGAACCTTCAAATCTGGGAAATTAAATTTATCATACTTGCCACTTTTTTCAAAGACTCTGACAAGGCAGCGATATATATTCAAAATGCAGTATTTTTGCCTTTAATCCCAATACTAATATGCAATCACCATAGATCCAAGGGGGAAATAGAGTTTAAAATTATTACCTTGGTTTATTTATCTCACTACAATTTGGGATAACCAAGGAAAGGAATTACTGAAAGGAATTACTTATAATCATCAATTATACACAACTCTGATACCAGTTTTAAAATTAAGCTATTTTAAATGACTAAAGCTCATTTAAAAAACTGCTTACAGTATTAGTAAGAATAATTTTAATTAAAAGCACACTCCAGCAGATGGTTACATCCATTTTGAAAGGAAGAAAACTAAAAAGGTTTCAACTTAGATGCAAACATTTCTCATGACCCAAACCACAGCTTAGCAGAATTCAAATGTTAGCTTCTGTAATATACATGTTAGTGCCAGTCACAAAACTGAAACACTGTAGTAAAAGCATCTGCTTGTCTGGTCTGTCAAACATTTCAATTCATGCTAGAAGTGTTTTATAATTATGTGGATAAATGCTTTCTTCACAAATCATCCCTTTTCTCTATTTCTCATCCAACATGAAAAAAGAAGCACTATTTAACTCTAGAACAAAGTGGAAAACTTTTAAAAGATTTTAAGAGAAGAACACTAAATTCCATTAATTAGTTGAACCAGCCAAAGCTACTGGGATATGAATAATTTTATAAGAATGAGAACAAAAAAAAGAACCAGCCCAATGTTGTTGACAGGGGAAGGAGTGGACACTTCTTATACACTGATATTGGGAAGGTAAATTTGGCACTATCTTGCAAAGGCTTTGATCTAGCAATTTTACATCTGGAAATTTATCCTGAATAAATAAAAATACATGTAACATGTCTATACAAGGCTGTTCCTTGCAGTATTATTAACGATAACCAAAAATGGAAAAGCAACCCAACTAGCCAGTATTACCAACAATAATCATCATAATAATAGGTGGTCTTGCAATATATTAAATGAACATGGACAATTTCTTTATTAACACAGAAATATGAAATAAAACAGAACATATCTAAATACAAAGTACATAGCCAAACATGAGAAAGGTAGAAAGGGGGAGAGGTCAATAGCGGAGTGAGAGAGAGGGAGTGAAAGGCACTGAGAGGGAGGAAGGGGAAGAGAGAGTGAGAGAGAGAGAGAGAGATAAAGAAAGAGAGGAGACTGATCCCTTCCTGACAACAAGAATGAGCCTCAAAGCAGAGAGGTATGATGAGGTCGATAAGCGAATGCCATGGCAGCTCAAAGAATTTGGACAGAGAGCCAAACATCTGGAGCTGAGGTTTAAATTGCCACATGGGGACAGAAATGTTCCCATTTCAGTTGTGCCTCTCATACTCCCTCAAGCAAGGCAGAAAGTTGGGACTGAGATGTTGAACATAAAGCTGAGATACTGAAGCATCCAAATTAACCCTGCTAATGTGATCAGAAAATCCTAAACTGAGTAATTGCAAAATTAATCTACAACTGGCCGAGGCAGTGGCTCACACCTGTAATTCCAGCACTTTGAGAGACTGGAGTGGGAGGATTGCTTCAAGCCTGGAGTTCAAAACCAGCCTGCTCAACATAGTTAGACCACCTCTCCATAAGAAAAAAACAAAAATTAGTCAGCTGTGGTAGTATGCACCTGTGGTCCTAGCTACTCAGGAACATGAGGCGGGAGGTTTGCTTGAGCCCAGGAGTTTGAGGCTGCAGTGAGCCATGATTTCTTCACTGAACTCCAGCCCAGGAAAAAGAGCAAGACTGTCTCAATCATAATCACAATCATCACCCAGAACTTAGAAGATCTATAGAAACCTGAAAGAATTGCGGGGGCGGGGGCGAGGGGAGATACACTGTAGAGACATTTGCTCAATTTAGGGAAGACAATTCCTACAGAAAAAAAACCAGACATAAAGATAACCTTTAAAAATGAACATTTAAAAACAAATCAAATTTAACAGGAGATCCAGCCTCAGAACTAGAGCTAGTAGAACAATCCAAGTAAAACTATTAAACATCTCTTTAAAATAATTAATAAGATTAAAGAATAGAAACCACAATGAAAAGACAGGTGACCATAAAATTTTTAAAAAAGCCAAAAAAAAAAAAAAACTTTGGGAAATTGAGATATAATAACTGAAATTAAACTGATGAATTGGGTATGTAAATTGAAGTGCTTAAAAAGGGAATCCTTGTACACTGTTGGTGGGAATGTAAGTTAGTGCAGCCATTATGAAAAATAGCATAAAGTTTCCTCAAAAAATTAAAAATAGAATTACCATATGATCCAGCAATCTGACTAATGGAGATATATACCAGAGAACTGAAATCAGTACGTTGAAGAGACACCTGTATCTCTTCAGCATTATTCAGCATTATGAAGAATCACTAAGCTATGGAATCAACCTAGGTCTCCATCAATGGACGAATAAAGCAAATATGGCAAATATACACAATGAAATACTATTGTGTCTTTAAAAAAAAAAAAAGGAAATCCTGTCATTTATGACAATCAGGAGGACATTATGTGAATTGAAATAAGCCAGGCATAGAAAAACAAATACTGTATGATCTCACTTGTATGTGGAATATAAAAATGTCAAACTCCATGAATAAACATTTTTCAAAAGAAGTTATACAAAAACCAAAGGACATCTGAAAAAATGCTCAACATCACTAATCATCAGGGAAATGCAAATTAAAACCACAGTGAGATACTATAGCAGTCAGAATGGCTATTAAAAAGACCAACAACAACACAGATGTTGGTGAAGATGCGGAAAAAAAAGAACTCTTATACATTCTTCGTGAGAATATAAATTAGCACAACCCCTATGGAAAACAGTATGGAGATTTCTCAAAGAACTAATAATAGAACCAGCATTTGACCCAGCAATCCCATTACCAAGTATCTACTGAAAGGAAAATAAGTCATTGCATCAGAAAGATATCTCTACCCCTATGTTTATTGCAACACTATTCACAATAGCAAACTTACGGAATCAACCTAAGTGGCCACTGACGGATGAATGGAAAAAGAAAATGTGACATATATATACAATGGACTACTACTCCACCATAAAAAAGAATAAAATCATGTCTTTTGTAGCAACACGCAGGGAACTAGAGGTCATTATCATCAGTGAAACAAGTGAGACATAGACAAATGTCACATGTTCTCACCTATAAGTGGGAGCTAAACAATGTGTACACATGGATATTGAGTGTGGAATGACAGACAACGGAGACTGGGAATCATTAGGGGGTGGTAAGGGGTGGATGATGAGAAATTAATGGACACACTATACATTGTTCAGATGAAAGATACCCTAAAAAGCACTGAATTCACCATTACGAATTCAACGCAGGTAGCAAGATTGCACTTGTACTTCATACATTTCTGCAAATAAAATTTAAAAAAATTTTAAATGAAAAAGTCCAATTTACATAAACAGCAAAATAGTAGTTACCACAGGCTGAGGGGTAGAAGGTTTGGGGAGCTATTAGTCAAAGGACACAAAATTTCAGTTGGGAGGAATAAGTTCAAGAGGTCTATTGTACATCATGGTGACCTCAGTTAGTAACAAAATAAAATATTTTTGAAAAGTGCTAAGAAAGTACCTTTTAAACATTCTTACCACAAAAAAAAGTGAGGTAACGCAAATGTTAAATACCCTGATTTAGCCATTCCATCATACATACAGATATCAAAACATCATGTGTACACATAAATATACACAGTATTTACCTTTCAATTAAAATTTAAAATTTTAAATAATGGAATATTTAGGGGTAAAGATTATGGTATCTGCAACTTCCTTTGAAATGATTCATAGACACAAAATGAATTGATGGATGGTTATAGGGTTTGATAAATGACATGTTATAAAGAAAATAAAACAAGATATTAATTGTAGAATCTAAGTGGTAGGCACACATGTTACAAAATTCTTTCAGCTTTTCTGCATGTTAGAAAATTTTTCTTATAAACTACTGAGGAAAATGTATTAAATAAGTTGTGTACCACACTGGACACCATCATCATTATTGTCATAGCATTAACAACAGCAGCAATAGCCAGCCCTTATATAGCACATAAACTAAAACACTATTTAAAAATAGCATTTGGCCAGGCACAGTGGCTCATGTCTATAATCCCAGCACTTTGGGAGGTCGAGGCAGGTGGATCATCTTGAGGTCAGGAGTTCGAGACCAGCCTGGCCAACATGGTGAAACCCTGTCTCTACTAAAAACACAAAAATTAGCTGGGCATAATGGAGGGTGCCTGTAATCCCAGCTACTCAGGAGGCTGTGGCAGGAGAATTGCTTGACCTGGAAGGTAGAGGTTGCAGTGAGCTGAGATTGTGCCATTGCACTCCAGACTGGATGACAGGAGCGAAACTCCATCTCAAAAAAAAAATAGTATTTTCCATATACTAACTAAGTAATCCTTCTAATGATCCTACGATGCAAGTACTGTCATTGTCCGTGTTTTGCAGATGATAAAACTAAGGCATAGAGTAGCTAAATAGCTTGTCCATAGTCACATAGCTAATGAATAGTAGAAGCTGAGATTTGAGTCTACTTAATCTGGCCCTGGATTCCTCTTTCTTCTTAATCATATGCTACAAGGAAAAAAGTTTTATCAGAACCACAAAAAGAAAGAAATCTTAAAATTATCCCCCAAAACAAGACAGATAGCTTACAATGGAAAAATAATTTGAATGACATAAGATTTTACAATAACAATAATAAAAGCCATAAGATAAATGGAAAAATATTTTTCAGGTATTAAAAAAAACTATCAACTTAGAATTCTATACCCAGCTGGATTATCAAAAAGGAAGTCAAAATAAAGACAAGGGACCAGAAATTTTCCTGTAACAATTCACCACTGCACAAACTCCTAAAATATATTCTATAGAAAGAAGGGAATTTAATTCACAAATAAGCAATCAGGTGAAAAATAAATAAAAAATGAGCAAAGTCATTGGTAAATATGTTGGTAAATCTAATTAAGATCTGAAATAATAATACCACTCCCACCATAATTAATGGATAATTTTAAAAAAATAAGGTTTAAATGACTACATGTAAGATGGGGAGTGGAGAACAGAATAAATGATCCTAAGATTCTTGAGGAGAGACGTTAAGATCTATTAATGATTAACTAGAATGTAAGTGCCTGAGTGGAGGAACATCGCTGCTAGAATCACAGAACCTAGAGCAGTGCCTGATAAGAAGTTAGACAACCAGAGTAAACCGAAACAAAGGAGAAGAAAGAAAATAAATTCTGGTATATCCATATAAAGAAATAATATTCAGTCACTTTTAGTGTGGATCTGATGTATATTTATGACAAGAAAATATGTAGATAATATATTGAGTGAAAATATAAAATAATCAAATAAATGTATGGAATGTAAAATAATTTTTTAAAATGTGTATCTATAGACACAGATACATAGCTACATAAATAATTACACTTATATATAAATAGCTACAGATTTATACATGTTTATACCTATAAACAGGCATGTCTATACATTCATAAAGACAGACAAAAGATAGTAAATAGAGAAAAAACTTTTGATGTTTGCATGCCAAAATGTTAATAATTTTTCTCCTGAAAATGAATTTATGGGTGTTGTTTAAATGTTATGTCCCTTCTTTTCATTTTCTGTGACTGTATTTTCTTTATCATCTTTAACAGCAAAAAATAACAAAGAAATAAAAAAGCTGATATAAATAATAAATAGCCATAAAACATCATTTAACCTTATAAGCAATAAAACAGTCTAGAAACAAAAAAAAGACAAGTTGGAGATAAGAGTTAGAAAAAAAACAGAGTAAAATAAGTAGGAATATGCATGTAGAAAGATTTAAGTTTGAGTAGTGATTGAGGATAGCTGAAATTTAAAAGAGGATATTATTTTAACCAAGTATTTTTAAATGTCCTTACTTATATGCATAATGAAAATGGTCATAATAAAAGCATAAATATCAATAAATTAACTAACCAGAGGCTATTTTATAAGAAAGGCATAGCAGAATTGCATTTAATTATCTCAGTTATTTATGTCCATGAAAAAAAATTTAACTACTCAGCTTCAGCATCCAAGTGGTAGTTACTAGAATTGCAAAGATGGCACCGTAGGAAGAAACCAGCCACTTCTTTCAATTGAATCCTGTAACTTCAAGCCTATTAAATAGAAACAATTACCTTATCTTCCCCTAAGAGTGTAAAATCAAGAATTTCTTTTTCCCCAAAAGTAAGTGGTACAAACACTTCTTTAGTAATATAAATAAGTTGGGTGGTCGCTATGCAAGATTGAAAGAGTAAAATTAAAAGGAATAATCCACACTTGAATCTTCAAATGTGTTAACAATACAAGGATCACTCACTATCTAAATCTATTTGATTCTCAAGTTATTGAAGTAAAAGTACTGCTAAAGCAGAAAAGGGGTCGATGAGGAGCATTGGGAAGCATTCTAACTCAGTACCAGGAAGAAGGTACAATCCTACCAGGTTCACTTATAAACTGTGCAACATTGGGAAAGCCACTTCATATTTATGGATTCAGATTTTATCCACTGAAAACCAGAAGAGTAGACAAACTAATACTTAAACTCCTTTTCAAGCCTAATATACTCTGATTCTATAAGACCAAAGAAAGACTACATCTCTGAACTGTTATATAGCTCACAGCACATATTAAGATGAAAGACTTAAGGAAAGGTCACAGGATAACTGGGATCAATAAAATAGAATTCAAAATAGATTATTTTTCAAAGTTCTCATCTGTAATTTATAATTAACAGAAAACCAAAGCCCATGAAAATATTTGCTCTTGCTGAGCCAACCTCCACCATTTTGAATAATGCAAATCATGCACATATTTTCTAATAAATACATGATCTGCCTAGTTGGAGAGTCTTACACAGAAGAAAATAAGCATGTACAGTATCTAGTATGAGTGCTATCCTAGAGCCTTAGAAGACAATAGACACGATGTACTTTTTAAAAACCCATAAAGAAATCTAGAAGGATACCACAAAGGTAAAAAATGATTTAACAACTGATTGCTAAAATCTTCCCAGCATAGTATTTTGCACACAGATGACACTCGGTAAATGAATGACTAAAAGAATGAATGAAGCAAGCTTACATCTTGAAGTTCCTTTATGTCTCAAAATCACAAATCTATGTAATACCTGTTTTTTATGGAAATCCTTCAGGGCTGTTTCGTAGCCTTCTTCCAGTCTACTGAAGGCTATTCCTACATCTGTGGTCCACCATATTTGTGAGCTGGTTAGTGCAACCTGAGCTGGGAAATCAAAAATCCACAGTTCCCTAGGTTTTTCCTCGTAGGCCACTATGGCTTCTGTTATAGAATGACGCACCGTTTCTTGCATAGTCTGTTCAAGTTGCAGAAGCCATGTTTCCACCTTTGGAAGCAAGTTGAAATGTTATAACACAGGCTTAACTATGGAAGGATAATTTCATCCTCCTACTGGCTCTAAGGCCACGCAGAGGGTAATGCCCCAGGTGGATTCATTTTAAACCCAGGTAGAAAACTGCAAGAGGCATAACTCAAAGGGGAAAGTGAACAACGGATTGGTGAAATCTTTCTCCTGCAGGAACCCGCCTTCTCCCAGGAATAATGCTCATCTGACTTTACCCACCAGCTGGCTAACAACTTTCCACAGCCTAAACAGAAAAGGGGTTCTTCACTATTCATTTCTCAGCTTTGAAGGCAAGGAGGTTCTAGACCAAGATTCCCCTCTGGTAACACACAGTGTTTTCAGAAGCCAAACATCACAGACACCTATAGAGGTATGAGTCATATTCTAGAGCTTTAATAATAAAAATTCAGTTAAATTTTTTTCTATTAATTTTTAAATCTACTGAAAATTCTTCTCTAAAATCTTCATAGTTCACAGTTTTAAGATAAAATGTTTTCAGCAAGTACCTTAATTATATTCCCTACTGGCTCTAATCTTCACACTTGTCAGAAATTAGACCACAGGAGAGTATTAGACATAGGACAACTGCTGACTTGTAAAAATTAATCTTTTTTTTTTTAAAAAATTGAAGCTTAGTTTGCGCCCAAAAATACAACTTAGCCCAGTTTCCATCCTGTTCAAATGTATTTTGTTATATTAATCCAGGTATTTATTTTCTTAGGATATCATATAATTAAAGTGATACATATATTATTTGCAAATAATTGACCATAGCAATAAAAAGTGACTATAAAAAATAAATACCAAGAATCACATGAGATTCTGAAGATGATACAACTGACTTCTTCCTCCACCCCTGTGAAGAGAGCAGCAGCATTCCTAGAACCTCTGAAGAATTGGAATGGAGTGATAAGTGGTTAATGAGTGGACAACCTCCTCTCTTGAAAGAAACAGGAAACACTGCTCTGGAAATGGCCTCAGTATCTCTTCTTAAGGGCCTTCCCTCTGGCTTCACAACTGTGCTTTGTTAACATGCATGAGTTCAGATTAACCGAATTATGTCAGGTTGTTCTGATCTAACCAATGGGGTCTGGTATCTCTGCCTTAATAACTAAGGGTAACTTTTAAGGTCATCAAGCAACAAGTTCCCTCATTAATTCAGTCATTATTGTATGTCTCCTGGATACCCTGGGATCCATATCCTCCACATGGCCACCTGTTCTCAAGAACTTTGCAGTCCATTTGGGAAGACCAAACACACATACATGTCAATATGTCAGCTCACGTACAGATGACTGTGCCAACAATGGCAACCTAACTCAGTATGCTTTGAGAACTAAGCTCTGATGAGGTGCTTGCTGGATCCTTCCCTTTTTGGCACTTCTCAACCAACCCCCTATAACAACAATTGCTACCTCCATTATTATGTGCATATCCATTTTCTCAATGGGCCTAAGAGCTCCTCGAAGACAAGGGCCATTTCGGAACTCCCCAAAGCCTGACCTAGCATCTGATGCATAGTAGGTATTCAACACTTGCTGAAGAATACACTAATGGACTAAATTGGGGTGAGCCAATTAAAAGAGGCAGAAATACAAAAAAGCACCAAATTAAAAGCATCTTTTTATAAAACAAAGGCAATTAGAGGGTGAATTTGTATATGTTTACAAGTCTCTAGCATAAGTTGCTTATACAGAATAAATTAGAGCACTATAAAAACTTTCAATATCAAGGGTTCCTGCTAGTGACAACCACATCCATCAATTGGACTATCCCCCTCCGGGCATCATGCCAGTCGGTGAGCAGTTTGCTGGGAGGGAGCAGACAGCAACACACTTTTGTCAAGAGAGTTTATGGCAACTTTTTCTAATCATTATAATATCATCCTAAAAAGCCCAAGAGATCAAAAAATATATTTTAATCAAAGTATTCCACCATCTGCTTCTCCTTCATTTGGCAGGATTTTTCTGGTACAATATTAAAAAGCAACAGAAAGGAGTAAAGAAAACCCTTGTGAAATAAGGTTGCCACTCATCTTTCTGCAAATACTTTCAGGAACCCCTGCCCCAACCCAAATGGTTCTCCACTAGACACTATTCCATCAGTTACTCTGTGGATTAACCCAAGCTACGCAAGCTCCATCATAAAAAGATGCAATTCCCCTAAATCATCTGAACACACCAGAAACGCTTTCAGAAATCATAATGAGCCATTCTTGCGGATAACTGTTAAGAATATTTTTGAGGTATTTGGCTGTGAGAGGAGAGAATATGCTAACTTAACTCTGTGCACATGGTAATTAGAGTACAGGACATCAGCTTGCTAGACTCGATCAACTTTATTTATGAGGAGCCATTTATAACATTCACAATGGACTACTGAACCACAAAGCCTCTTTAAAACAAGCTTTATTGCAAGGTGCTGCTTCACTATAACCCTTCTCTGTTCTCCGAGCAGTGGTGAAAACAGAATACTCTTTGTAGCAGACTCAGTCACTGAGTTGCATTTGCTACTAATTCTGGGGTCACTCATTCAATCTGTGACAGTTGCTTCTGTCTAGCTCAATTCCTAGCGTCTCTGAGACCCTGCTGGGTGCCAAAGCCACATGAGTAGAAACTGGGACGCATGGCAGAAGAGCCCTCTGTCACAGTGGATACAGATAAAAAGGAACCTCCGAGCACAAAACTAAGCAGAGCCTGATTTGACCTGGGTTGAATTTTTTGCTTGTTGAACTCAACCTTCTAAGAGCATGCTGAAAATACTCCCCTAGCATAGAAAACCTCATAATCAAATCTTACATGGCCCACACATTCACACTCGGCTTGGAATGGGACATACTCCTTTTCTTTGCTGTACATTCCAACTGCCCTGTGTGCAGAAACATCCTGATTGTCTTCAAACTGCAGATCTGCAATGCTGTCGAAAAGTTTGGCAAGGTGACATGTTACCTAAAATGAGAATATTAGAAAAGATAAGAACATTTCTTACTGTAGGTATATTCTGATAATCTAGAGATGATGCCATATGAAGTCATGAAACGTTATGGAGTTAGAGTTGTCTCAAAATGTTTTCCCTCAAAATAAAAGTCACTTCTAAAATATGAGAGCTTGAAAGGATCTTGGTGGTGAAGTGGCCAGTCACTCTGGTCAAATCATCACATACTGGCTGATGAATGCTTACCATGAAAAGTGACCTATTTTCTACTTGATGACTGGATGCTTACTGACTTCTCTATCTGTACCATATTCCTGTAGACAGGCATCCTACTGGGGCTTCTGTAGTAAAGTTTTAAAAATTCAGATTCCTAGCATTAGTGTACACTATGAAAAAGCTATTAAAATGTCTGAAATGAAAAATGTCAATTAGAAAGAATTTTACTTTTGGGGGAGATTATCTGTTAACACGCACTTGCCTTGATACTTTGGTGAGCCCCACAGTATCCTTGGTACATAAGAAAGATGAGTAGGATTTCTCCCTTTTCATTGATGAGGAAATTAAAACTAAAATATTAGGTAAATTCTCCAAGTTGACATAACTAAAAGTAAGTGGACAGTTAGACAATGAACCTATAATTCCAGGCCACATCTATAAAGATCAAGTTCTTCTGGTGTCATAACCTCTTACATCCTAAGTTTTGCGTTCTCCAATACAAAACCAGTAAATAGCACATTGAACTCTATGCAGGCTCCAGACAATTTGGGGGTGGGGGGGGAAAACCAACAACAACAAAGATCAGATCAAAGACAAAACATTAGCATTTATTTTGCAGAAGTCAGTTTGAAGAACAAAATCTATCTGGCCTCCAACCGCAACCCCAGAATGAACAACACTTATTCATCTTGTTATGTTAGCACAGACCGGAACAATCCTCCTCTGGGGAGCACTGCCCTGTGTTTTTGTCATGGAGGAAAGGAGAGAATGACATGTGTTGTGTAGGTAAATTCACACCCAAGGAGACAAAAAGAGAACAGACTTTATTAATCAGGGAAGTTACTCTATCATCTCTCTTGAGGTAGACTGAGTAAAGGGCAGGGGCGGCCCAGAAGAAGTATCAGAAATGGGAATACATGTTCCCTTGTTATTCACGGTGCAAATAAAAGCCGCTAAGTGGAAAACAGTTTTGTGGTTCCTCAAAAACTTAAACATAGAATTAGCAATGATCCAGCAACTCCTCTCCTAGGTATATACCTACAGAGTTGAAAATAGGAACTCAAACAGGTATTTGTACATCTCTGTTCATCGAAGCATTATTCACAATAGCCAAAAGGCGGAAACAACCTAAATGTCCATCAAATGATGAATGGATAAACAAAATGTGGTATATCCATACAACGGAATATTGTTCAGTCATTAAAAGGAATATTACTGATACATGCTACAACTTGGATGAATCTTGAAAATATAAGCTAAATGAAAGAAACTAGTCACAATATACCACACGTCGTATCTTGTATTATCCCATTTATATGAAATATCCACAAGAGATAAATCCATAGATACAGACAGCAGATTGGCGGCTGCTAGGGGCTGGAGGGAGGGGTATGAGAAGGTACTGCTTAATGGATAGGGGGTTTTACTTTCGGCTTGATGAAAATGGTTTGGAATTAGATAAAAGGTGGTTGTGAATGTACAAAATGCTATTGAATTGCACACTTAAAACAGTTAATTTAATGTTAAATTTCACCTCAACAGAAAAAAATAAATATGAGCTGCTGATAACCAGAAGATAGGGTGAAGCAATACAAAACATTTCCAAGCATACAGGCGCCACTGCTGTAACAAACTTTTCTGGAAGTGCAGTTTAACTGGACATGAGAAGTATACCACAGCAACTTCTAGAAACAATAGCAACCTGCCTAAATTTTCTGCATGACAAGACCAACACCAATATTGGCAAGGAACTTCCTTAGGGTGATTTAATCTTTAAAGCTTTCAGCCTTTTCATTTTTGCTGTACATGCAGTTTTAGTATCAAAGAAAATCACAGCAAGAAGTCCTCCGAGTTTCAAATAGATGAGTTTTTGAGACTCTCGCTTACTTTAAACACAGATAGAGCGGTAGCTGCCTGATCACAGCTTGGGTTCTATTCTCCTCCATCCCTGTACATTACCCAGAGGATATTAATATAGAGAAAGTCTCCACTAATCTCATAATTCACTCTCCCAGCTGAAGTGGCCAGGAAGTACACAGATGTTGAATGGCTTCTACTGTGTAATGGGCCTAGATAATATTCAACTGAAAAGCCTTTGGATAAATGAGCCTTCAGCCATCAGACACCCTCACACATTACGGCTTGGGTGAGAAAATAATTTCAAGAACTTCTAGCTCTATAGTAACTCAATGACCAGGAAACACAAATCTTAGGCAGAGTTCTCCTATTTCTTATACATGGCATAGTTGACGTTAGATGTTTTCATACTGTCTTCTATTTAAACTTTCTGAGGGAACAAGACTATTTTTTTAACTCGTGTGGCCCCTGTTGCCCTCAGATTTGTTCTATTTTTAATGAGATTGCTTCGTATTTGTTAACCCAAAATTAAAATTCCTTCTTCCCAGTGAGCTGTTCGGAAAGGCCTTTCATTTTACAACTAAAAAGAATAGATTAGGCTGGGTGCAGTGGCTCATACCTGTAATCCCAGCACTTTGGGAGGCCAAGGCGGGTGGATCACCTGAGGTCAGGAGTTCCAAACCAGCCTGACCAACATGGTGAAACTCTGTTCCTACTACAAATACAAAATTAGCTGGGCATGGTGGCACATGCCTGTAATACCAGCTACTTGGGAGGCTGAGGCTGGAGAATCACTTGAACCTGGGAGGCAGAGGTTGCAGTGAGCCGAGAAGGCACCACTGCACTCCAGCCTGGGCAACAACAGCAAAACTCCATCTCAAATACATAAATAAATAAATAAATATTAAAAAAAACTAATACTTCGTAGGCCCCTCTTTTGATAGAGAAAGGATATGAGCACCTCAAATCATTTTTTAAAAAGAACCAATAACTCACCATGTATTTTGAGTAGGTTTCTAAAAGATTAGTACAAAAATTGAATACAGGTAGTCCTGACTTTGCAGAATAGTACAAAATCATAAAAATGACCACACCAGTTGAAATCACGTTATGCAATCTGAATGATCAATGGGAGAAACCTACGATGGGACAATGACCTTTACAAATTTGTGTCAAAACATTAAAGCTTCTCACTGTTGGTTATAAACATACAGGGAGATCAAAAAAATCCATAAACTAATATTTTGTCAACTGCATTTTAAAACACTAAACAGTCTTCGTTGCAGAAAACTTAAGTTATATGAATAGCATTGCCTCCTTCTCATCTTACTACTTAAGGTACAGAACGAGCATCTTTTCTCTGCCTTGACAAACTCATACTCCCTTTGAATTTATATCCGGCCATCAACATTTTACCTTTCAAGCATTCAATGTCATGAAATTTATTGTAATTCTCTTCAATGTGAAGTCAGTTTTTGTTGTTTGGGAGGTTTGTTTTATTTAATATGTTTGTTTTTCCTGGCATCACTTCCTCTGGTACATCTTCATTCTTTTTGTCAAAACCACTGTTGTCGTTTATGTTCCCAAGTTTATCTTCACTAAGTTCCCCTGGCTGCATATCACTCTCTCTGGTGGTGTCTGGTCATCACTGTCCGTCAGCTCTCTCTTCTGTGACTCCCATCTATGTTTGATTCCATTTTTGCTTCTAGCATTATCAATTTTCATTTCTTTGCTACACTTCCAACTTTGTTACTATTTCCTTCTGTCCATTAACTAATGAAAAATGTCATGTAGGTTCATCATAGAACTACAAGCTTAGCTGTCTGTGTGTGAAGTGAGTAAAAGCAGCACAGTGGCTAATCACTGACAGAATTAGAAAGATGTGACATGACTGTCACTGATGATGATGCACATCTGTTACTTAGGCAGTGATTTTTGTGGGCTGGAGAGTTAGTAATCAACTATGTGCTTTATGCAATCACTCAAGAGTTAATTTACCATAGTAGCTGAAATTTGAACCATGTTGCCAGGGCACTGGCGTTATTTAACCAAACCTTAGTGACTGAAATTCATAAATATCAGAACTCTGCACAGGGAGAACCTCTTATGAAATAAAAGAACTTACATTTATCTAATTGTAAGTAAACTGAAAATACCTAATCACTAGCTAATTTTATAATTTAAAATGCATACAGTGATCAGTTGATCTACCGTCATGACTCACAGCTACTGTTCACTTAGAAAACAAAGGGAAAAGTGGCACGCGCCTATAATTCCAGCTACTCCGGAGGCTGAGGCAGAGAATTGCTTAAACCTGGAGGGGCGGAGGTTGCAGTGAGCTGAGATCGCGCCACTGCACTCCAGCCTGGGTGACAGAGCGAGACTCTGTCTCAAAAAAAATAAATAAATAAAAAATAAAAAAGGAAGAAAGATGAAATTACGGCAGCTTACAATTATATTCTCAAACCATACCGCTTGCTTTCTGCCTATATCTAAGTTCGTATTTGCCCTACCTACCTAAAGATGCTGCTGCCGCTTATTAATGGGATAAAATATACACAAAGCCTAGTGCCACTCCTGCCTGGTGAGCACCTCAGGACTCATTCATATGTTTTCATTAACTAATTTATTCATAATGACAATATTCATAATAATATTTGTAAGAATATAAATCATGACCAAAATATGGGCAGCCCTGGTCTTTTGTGGATGATATTCTCTAGAATGAGATAAAGTGAGTCCATGATTTTTACATGTGTAAAAACTTAAGTCAATGTGTCAAAATAGTAAATAGTTGCATGTGTTTTTTTTTTTTTTTAAAATAACAGTTTTGGGCCCGGCACGGTGGCTTACGCCTATAATCCCAGCACTTTGGGAGGCAGAGGCAAGTGGATCACCTGAGGTCAGGAGTTCGAGACCAGCCTGGCCAATATGGTGAAACGCCAACTCTACTAAAAATACAAAAATGTGCTGGGTGTGGTAGCATGTGCCTGTAATCCCCGCTACTCTGGAGGCTGAGGCAGGAGAATCGCTTGAACCCGGGAGGCAGAGGTTGCAGTGAGCTGAGATTGCACCACTGCACTCCAGCCTGGGAGACAAGAACGAAACTCCATCTCCAAAGAAAAAAATAATAATAAAATAATAAAATTAAATAACAGTTTTGGTGATGGTACAGGGAAATAGGCATGCAATATGGTTAAGAATCTAAATTGGAAAAAAAAAAAAAAAAGGCCTTCTAGAAGCTAGTTAAATCAGTATGGCACATTCATAAAATGAAACCTCTTACAGCTATGAAACATCAAATTGTAGAGGAATATTACAATTTTGTTTAAGTATATATGTTATAACTCACAAACACAGACACATTTAAAAAACTATAGTAACTCAAAAATAGCAATGAGTATATTAATCTCAACTTTTTAATGTATTTCTATATTTGTCAAACGTTCAATAATGAACATGCAATTACTTACATAATCCAGATTTGCTTTTGCCAAAAATAAAATCACAGTATAATATTTTGTAATTTGATTTCTCACTTATTACTGTAACTTAAACATATCCGTATATCAGTGCATATAAGGTTGATTTGGTGTTTCTTTCATAAAATGTTTACATGCATAAATTGTATAATTTTATGTAAATGTGTTCACAACACAAATGCTGGGTTTTTTTTAAAATAAACTTTTGGAAATTGCAATACATATATGCAGAAAAATGGGAAAAAATCATGTGTGTACAACTTAATAAATTTTAACAAAGTAAGCACAACTCTTGTGCTTACCACAAGATTAAGGAATAGAATAGTCGCTGGGCATGGGGGCTCACGTGTGTAATCCCAGCACTTTGGGAGGCAATGCAGGCAGATCACCTGAGGCCAGAAGTTTGAGACCAGCCTGGCCAACAAGGCAAAACCCCATCTCTACTAAAAATACAAAAATTAGCTGGCCACGGTGGTGCACACCTATAATCCCAGCTACTCAGGTGGCTGAGGCTTAAGAATTGCTTGAACCCAGGAGGTGGAGGTTGCAGTGAGTCCAGATTGCACTATTGCACTCCAGCACTCCAGCATGGGTGACAGAGTGAGACTCCATCTACAGAAAAAAAAAAAAAAAAGAGTAGGATACCAGCACCCGTAAGACTCCTCATGGTGCATGCCAGTTACTATTTCTCTAAAAAGGGACATTATCTTTATAGAAGTGAATTCACATAGTACGTACTCTTTTGCATCTGCCTCCTATAGTTCGATATTATGTCACTTGAATTTATTCATGTTATTTGGTATACCACTAGGTTTTCTTCATTTTTATTGCTATGTGGTATTCCATTGTATAAAGACAATACAATATATAAATATATTTAGCCATCCCACTGTTAAGGGACATTTAAATTGTTTCCCATTTTGGACTATTATAAATAAAGTGGCTATGAAAATTCTTGTATACTTCTTTTGGTCCATCTATGTATTTCTGCTGAGTGTACACTGAAAAGGTGAACTGCTAGATAAAAATGTATGATATATTCCTATTTAGAAAATGCTGTTAAACAGTTTTCCCAAGTAGTTGTACTAACTTATAATACTGGTGGCTAGATATGAACATTCCCATTACTCCACATCCTTTCCATTGTTTAGTGAGTTTTAATTTTAGCCTTTGGTGGGTTTGATCTTGATATCTCATTGTATGAGCAAGTATATGTGTTTTTTGAATCCCAAATCATATCAACAATTTAGGAAATATCTACACAAATTAAAAAGAGAAGGGAAAATGAATACTTTACTAGGCAGAGTATTTTAAGTAAAGAGAAACACATTAACTTATGATGTTTTCACCAATCTTCCCAAACTCACTGATGTCAAAACAATAATATCAAGGTATTCAGGAAGGGAAAAAAATTAAAGAAATAAAGAAAACAAAAACTTGGATTAGTACTTGTTTTAATCAATTCTTTGCTTTGTTTTTAAATTTCAAGTAAAATATTTTATTTTAAATCAGTAGCACAAAGAGTCCTTGATACTGATGAATATATATCCACATACACATATATAAATATGTAAATACATAACATATATTAATTAACTTTGCAGTATAACAAAACACGCCAAGATTTAATGGCTTCTTCATCAGCCACAATTCTGTGTGTTGGTTTTGGGTTGCCTCAGCTAGTCCAGCTGGGCTGTCCCACATATTTGTAGCCTGCTGGTGATCGGTGGCTTCTCTCATGTGTGTGATGGTTGCTCAGCTGGTAGCTTGGGTATGGGCATGTTCATCTCATTATCCAGCAGGCTAGGGTTGACCCATTCATGATGGGATGGTTACAGGTTTTCAAAGAGCAGCAAAAGGGCAAGTGATGATATACAAAAAATTTTCAAGCTTTTGCTAATGACACAGTGGCCAAAACAAGTCATATGGCAACCCAAATGGAGAACTAGTTTCTAGCCTTGATCAATACGGCCACATCACATTCAAAGGGCATGGATACAGGAAGGGAAAGAATTTGTGGCCAATTTTACATTATTGTACGTTACGTACTTTTATTGGTTCTTTATGCACTTTGTTTTGCCTGTTACTTAGAAGCCAAACAGACAATACCTACTGCTTTCTGCATTTGGTATATAAGGATATTGAGGTTCAGAAAGGTTAAGCAATAACATAGCCAGTTATTATAAT
The DNA here is from genome assembly GCF_000001405.40 of Homo sapiens. NCBI lineage: Eukaryota > Metazoa > Chordata > Mammalia > Primates > Hominidae > Homo > Homo sapiens. Next base: position 21,648,103 of record NC_000007.14, on the reverse strand, counting down.
CAACAGCACCAGTATTTAAACTTACATATATATTATTTCAATGTTTCTATGTTTTTGGTACCATTCCATCTTCTAATGATTGGCTAATGCTCCAATTTTTTCTAGTTCCATACAGTTGACATTTCAGTGTTCATAATTTTTTGGTATAGATCCAAATTTCCATCTAGTGTCATCTTCCTTTTGCTTGAAGAACTTTCTCTAACATTTCTTGTAGTGCCAGTCTGGTGGTGATGAAATCTTAAGAGTTTTTGAATGTGTTAAAACATCTTTATTTTGCTATCCTTTTTTAAAAAGGTATTTTTACTGGGTATAAAATTTTAGAGTTACAGGTGTTTTTTTTCTTTCAGTACATTGAAACTGCTACTCCACTGTAGGCCAGGTGCAGTGGCTAATGCCTGTAATCCCAGCTCTTTGGGAGGCTGAGGCAGGCAGATCACAAGGTCAGGAGATCAAGACCATCCTGGCTAACAAGGTGAAACCCCGTCTCTACTAAAAATACAAAAAAAATTAGCCAGTTGTGGTGGTAGGCGCCTGTAGTCCTAGCTACTCAGGAGGCTGAGGCAGGAGAATGGCGTGAACCTGGGAGGCGGAGCCTGCAGTGAGCCGAGATCAGGCCACTACACTCCAGCCTGGGCAATAGAGTAAGACTCTGTCTCAAAAAAAAAAAAAAAAAAAAGAAAGAAAGAAATTGCTACTCCACTGTCTGCTTACTTGCTTTGTTTCCAATGTGAAGTCTGTTGTCATCCTTATGTTTGTTCATTTGTATAAAATATGGCTTTATGGATGATTTTGAGACTTCTATATTGTTTTGACCAATCTGAGCAATTTGGTGTAGTTTTCTTTCTTTTTTTGTGTTTGGGCTCATTAAATTTCTTAAGTCTGTGAATTTACACTTTTGTACTTTTCATCAATTTGGAGAACTTTTGGCTGTTGTTTTTCAAATATTTTCTATCTTTCTTCTTGTTCCGCACTTTGGGAAGTCCTAGCACACATATTAAGCTCTCTGATATTTTCCAGGTCTCACTTAACTTTTTGAACACATGAAATACACATATAATTACTTTTAATATCTTATTGGCTAAGTCTATCATCTGTGTCAGTTCTGGGTCAGTTTTGATTTGTCTCTTTTTTCATGGGTTGAATATTCCTATTTCTTCACATGCTCAGTAAACTTTAATGCAATGCCAGACATTGTGAACTTTACGCTGCTTAAAAATGAATATATTTTCACTCCCATACTTTTGAGATTTTTTTCCTGGCATAAATTACTTGGAAAAGGTTTGATCCTTTTGGATATTGCTATTTAAGACTTGTTTGGTGGGACTAGAGCAGTGTCTAATCTAGGGCTATTTATTCCCCGCTACCAGGAAAGACCCTGTCAGTATTCTACCTATAAATTATAAGGGCTTCAAGTCTAGTTGGTAGAAGCAGCCATTATTTCTTGCCCTGCTGGAGCTCACTGGGCACCTGATAGTTCTTTCCCCAGGCCTGGGTAGTTTCCTCACATGTAGTGCACTATTCAGCACTCTGCCTAATACTCTCCAGAAGTCTCTGGAGTTCTCTTTGTACAACTCTTTCCTCTGTGGTACTCAGTTCTGCAAAGTATAGTCACTTTGGACTCTGTCTGGGTTTCCCTTCATGTGCTATGGCCTGGAAACTCTCTCAGGACAGAAAACTGAGACAATCATAGTGCTCACTCCATTTGTTCCTCACCTGTGATGAATCCCTGTTCCTCATCTGTCATGAATCCCCACTGCCTGATGTCCAGCGTCTAGAAAGCTGCTGTTTTTCATATATTTTGTTGAAATTTTTCATTGTTTCAGGCAAGAAGGTAAATCCAGTTCCTGTTATTTCATCTTGGCCATCCTGTTATCTCATCTTGTTGTGGTTTTGGTTTACATTTCCCTGATGACTTCTGAAATTGAGCAACCTTTCTTATGTTTACTAGCCATTCCATCTTTTTTTTGTGAACTAAGTATTCTGCCCACTTTTATATTAGATAATCTGCCTTTGTTTTTTTGTTGGAGTTCTTTATATATTCCATATATGAGTCTTTTGTTTGCATTGCCAACACCTTTTCCCACTTTGCAGCTTGCATTGTTATTCTCTTAAGAGCATCTTTTGATAAGCTAAAGTTTTAAAATTTTAACATAGTCAAATTTATCCATTTTTTTGTTTATAGTTAGGACTTCAGTGTCCAATTTAAGAAGATTTTGCTTAGTGCAAGATTATGAAGATATCCTTCCTCACATGTTGTATATCGTTTGTTTCACCTTTCACATTTAGATCTACATCCATCTGGAATTGATTCTTAGATATGGTAGATATCTAATTTTTAGATATCTGATTTAGATATCTGATTTTTAGATATCTGATTTAGATATCTGATTTTTAGATATCTGATTTAGATATCTGATTTTTAGATATAGTAGATTCCTCCTCCCCCTACCCTGGCAAATTTCTATCCAATCCACCTTAGAACCATTTGTTATTATTGTTTGATTCTCTGTATATATCCTCCTTAATGGGGCCTGAGTTCCAGTTTTATTTTATTTCTCTCCTTCTTTCAAGTTCCACGAGCCTCTTGAAAGCTCTGATCAGCTTCTCATGCCGTTGGCCACATCTATGAATTATCAAATGTCTCGAGGAGAAAAGCAGCACCAAACTGCTGCTATCGTAGCCCCTGGCACACTTATTCTTCAATACTCTTTAAATGCTCTTCAGTGCATTTAAACAGATTCAGTTAAATATTTTATCCAGCTTTTCTAGTTGTTTCCAGAAAGAACAGTACTCTGTGAAAAGCTAATCTGTTATAGCTGGAAGCTCTACCCACTGAGTTCAAGCTGGAACTGAACAACCTTCATCAAGTGACATCAAAGCAAGGCTGAAACCACAACAATTTCAGATTCCACAGAAGGGCCTAGAAACTCCTCGCTGGCAGGACCCCACATTTGTAACATTTAATTTTTGGAACTCATAACATTGAAGTGATATTTTACTTTAATCTCACATTATAATAACCTTAATGTTGTTGTACAACTTATACATTGGCTATGGAGAGAATTCCAAAGGGGCTACAATAGAATACAATGCAGTGGCAACACATATGCAAAATGAAGAAAAAATTGTGCATATTGTTGTACAGTTTGTGGTTAACCACATATTCATCATTTTGAGAAGATAATCAAGGATAATCTCCATGGGATATATAATTTATGGCATTTATTCTGAAAGTAGATTCTCTATTTTCTTGTCATACACCTAAATACCTGAACCTCTAGGTGAATCAGGCTGCCTTTATATTAAGGTATCCATTTAAAATATTACATATTCATAAGTCATGCCAAGCAGAGTTGCTCTTACACTGTACTTTCTGTGACAGACTACACTTTCATGAGCAGCTTCTATTCCTTCCTCCTCAGCTGCAGGTAAATAGAGCCAATGGCAAGATGGTCAAAACCATGACCCCTTTTCTGTGTCCTTTTGCTCCTTCTTTCTCATTCCTTCTTCAGCCCCAGCTTAAACTCAGGAGCAACCACTTCCTCCACATTAGATACGTCTTATCTTTCCAGCTTTCTACTTCCTTTAGGAAAGTTAGAATTTTTTTATGGATTTCATTTTAACTAAAACTCATTCATTCTTACACGCCCTCAACTTACCATGCACGTATTGAGTCTTTTTCCTATTAATTTTCTAAAGAAGAATATCCTCCTGTCAGTGAAGGTTTTGGCATACTATGAATGATTATTGAGCTCCATCCTCTTAAAATTCATATGCTGAGACACTTTTACTCTATCAGGAAGATAACCAAATGGAAGCTCTGCATAAAAACACACTGTGCTTGTGGGAATGTGGGGTCTAGATATTTGCTCCTTTAAGATCCAGTGGTGCTTTTTATCACCTAATATAAAGCTCATTTCTCACAAGCACCTTTTTGAATGCCAATATTTACAGTCTATTAGAGGTATCAGTTGAGTGCCATCTGTCTCATCGCTGTAATTTAGGGGATTTCTCCAAAGACAAGTTGGCAGATTTCCTTGTGTGTAGATTGGTGCAGATGTCCTTGAAGGGCATTTCTTCATGCAAACATTAAGCATTCCTGAGTATATGTATCTTGTCATTTTACAGAATGCATTGTGGCTTCAATTTCCACAGCTACAACCATCTAGCAGCCACATTAAGTCATATTTTAAAAAGGTGAAATTAATTTTAATGTATATTTAATCCAGTATATCCCAAAATATTATCATTCAACATGTGAGTAATATAAAAAGTGAGATCTTTTGCATTATTTTATTTGCAGCAAGTCTTTGAAACCAGGTATGTATTTTATATTTACAGCATAGCTCAATTTGGATTTTTCATCTGAAAATGCTACATCTGTATTTGCGTTTCATACAATATGCAGGGGCAAAGGTAGATTCACTCACCCAAGTTGTTTCAAACACGCAATGTTTTCCAATTACTGAATCAAATATCAATTTTTGGATTTAAATCAATTGCAATTCATTACAATAAAAAGTCAGTTCCTTAGCTGCCACATTTCAAGTGCTCAGTAGCCATATAAGAATCACAGCTACCCCATGAGAAGCACAAGTAGAGCCAATCACGTTGACAGTGAGTCTTTCTTTAGTATAGCTCTATTGTGGATTAGCTTCTCCAAACCTAACCTTTATGGAGAAGTTAAATGTTTCATAGACAAGAGAAAGAAAATGTGCAAACTGTTCTCAGACAAAAAGACCTTTCACATCATAAGGAATCAGTGGTTAAAAACACCTTGATTGCCCAAAGTTGTCAGTTATTTTAAGGTAGTATATAACAACCTGAAAGGGTGCAAAAGGGTAAACTGATATTATTTTGTCTGACTTTAACAACTATACTAGTTCAGTTAAAAAATACAAATGTTTTTCTGAAAGGGGAAAAAAATACCAAAGAATGTTAATACTGAATCCCATAAGGACTTCAGGCCAGTTGTCCATAGCTATTGCACCATGTCAATGAATCCTGCAAATACACCTTTAAGTTTTATTTCTACAGCAACTACCAGAGACTTTTATCATTGAAGTTAAGCAGCACCTGTATCCATCATCCTTTAGTTAATCGATAACCTTGGGAGGTCAGGCTAAATTTTGAGGGAAGGAAATTTTTAAAACTTGACCTTAACCAAACTTACTCCTAAGCTGATAATTACTGACAGCATTCTAGACACACCAATTTTATCACTCTGTCATTCCAACTCTTGTATCTTAAACTGGGGGTTTCTGCTTGCAGAATGGCGGTTGTAGTGGTTATCAGACCTCCCTGGCTGGTCTATTCAAGCTGATCACATTCCACAATTAACTGCAGAAACTCTCACTTGGACCAACACTCTTAAATGGAGTTTGGGTGAGTAAAGGAGGGACGCCTGGAAAATTCAAGTCATTCACAAGATGTCAAGATGAGTTATCTACCCACACAGGGCGCCTTTTATGGGGAAATTGCATTGTTGCTCCACAAGCTGCAGTTGCCATGTTATCTCGGTCACACTACAGGGAGCACATTCAGGAATGTTAGCACAAAAGGCATGGACGGAAAGACTAAGTCTGGTGGTTTGAAACTGACTCTAATGTTGAAAAGAGGGTAAGAGAGTGTGGCAAGATCACACTATCTGGCATAACAGCCTGTAGCATTAATTATTCCATAGTTAGTGAGCAAGAATTCAGAATGCATGTTGAATTTGCAGAACCATTTCTTTCAGGGAAAGAAGCCGACTATGGCTCTAGATGACTCAAATGGCCCCTAGCTCCTTCTCAACAAGTCACTCTTGGATGGTTATTTGTACCACAAAGGCTGCTAAACACTTCTAATGATAGACCTTTAGTAACAGTGTGATAGCATTTTATGTAAGTGTTAATTGTTCAAAATTTATGTAGTGTACATGAAAAGACCTCAATGAAATCACATTTTGAGCACAACTTGGAATACAAATTTTCCCAAAATTTCAAAATATATCAAAAATATATGTAACCACTTCAAATCTGTGTGTCAAAACTGTAAGCATGTTTATACTGTGGCCACAGGACTGGATCCTTTAGCTGGCAAGAAGAAATACCCACCTCCCTTTGTTAGCGTGGTGGCATTTATCAGCACAGCTGTGAGGGAGTTTGGAGAGCTCTACGCTATGATTTTAACATTCAGCTTCATCATAATTTCAAATGTTTCAAACGTCTTATATAATCTAGTCATTCATTAAGGAGGGGGACTAGTACTGAGCAATGTACCTGGAATTCAGGGATTTAGAACGCGTAGTTAAAATGCTATGAATGGGGTAGGTGAGGAGACATTCACAGTAAGTCACACTGATAATGGAGAAGATAGCACTCTGTAAAATACCGAAGTCATGTTGTAAAAAATTTTTTTAAAGGATGTAAAAAGCACATCACTGAAATCTGAAAAATCAACTGGCATCAGAGATGCACAGACTGTGAGTCAACATGTAGTTTAGCTAAGGCATGAAGGATTTTTTGATGATTTAAAAGGAGGGTGAACAGAGTTGGTGACAAGAATTCATTGAGTGATCTTTTCCTCTAGCACAGACTAGGACTTCAATTAAGGACAAAGAGGTGGTGAGTATGTGCACATTCTGAAGGTAATGGACATGGGTTAGGACAGTTAGTCCTTCCAGGGTTTGGTAAGACACATCTCAATACCCCACCCTCCTCTACCTCCATGCATGCCTTCTACAGAAAGTACCATAGGGAGGAAGAGGGCAAAGGAGGCCATCTGCACAGTGTGAATTATCAGCCACGACGGGGAGGCCATGGCATCTCCCCCGCCTTTTTTGGGTAAGGTAGAAGACTGGGTCCCCCAACCTCCACTCTAAGGTCAAGGAAGAGGAATAGGAGAATCACTCATAAAAACTCTGGGCACCAGTAAGAAGTGAATCTTTGATGTGCCCCTTGTTTGGACATCTGCCTAGGTAGAAAAGGAGGAGGAAGATGGAACCAGGTGGCTGGTTACACTGCCAGGAGCAAGAAATGGGAGGATTAAAGTGGGGGTGGCTCTGGCATATACATCCCTGGGGAGGTTCCCTTTGTCCAGAGGACCTGCACACTTGTTCCACCAGAAATCCAGCACGTGGATCCTTGCTGTTAAGGGTGAAGATGGACAGTCACCACTGGTGAGGGAAGCAGGAGCGGTCATTAAGAAAGGACAATGACAGACAGATCACACCCCTAAACCCCTCCTCATGATAAATGGACAGAGACGGGGGATGAAAAAGCTGAAGTCTCCCTCCCAACACCAAGTTATTAAACGAAAGCTTGGCCTTGACATGGAGATGAGATGGAAATTTCCAACTAGAATATGCTGAGTTGCTTTTGGTTTCTTTTTTAAGTTTTTAATAAGAAAGGGGGACCAGGAGATTACGATACCTGCCCGAGATATTATTAAGGGGTCTGCTACCTGGGCAAAGAGACTCGGCAGGGCACATGTGAGATTAGTCATTGCAGAAAGATAAAACTGTTTCATGACTGTTATCCCATGGAATTAATATTATTCAATAAACCAGTCACATAAGTGTTCACTGTATTTAAATAATATGATTAAAAGAAAAAGAATGCTTACCTACTCACAGATTTATGTACCTCTCTGCTAACTTACTTATTGAAAATTCATTTTGCATTATAAGCATTTCAGATTTGAAAAGTATTCAGAAACACGTACTTTTGTGAAATACAATACCTGCTACCCTCATACAGTCACCCTGGGCAGAGGGTTCAGCTGCTGGTCATGAGGATGCCCTCAGGGGCTTATTGAAGCATAGTGTAGTGACAACTATTATGTTTCAAAATAGTTTTTTTAAAGGCATCCAATTGTGTGCTAATAAGTATGTAAAAGACGGATATAGTAGATTCATAGTCAATTTAATCACAGATTTTATTTGCAAAGCCATCTGGAAATTAGCATGAATATACAAAACAATACTACCTGAGTGGTGACCCTGAACCTGTTGCCCAAATTGTCCAACAATTCTGTTACTAACAGCACGACTGCACTTGTATTATCAACAACAAGAATAGCCAACCAATTGAATTTAGGTTCAAAGTTAAGTGATGAACAAGAGAGAAATAATTAAGATAAATACTGTGCCCAAAGAACAGCAAAATTCAGGGAACTGCAATGTGAACAGACACAGATTCTAAAGAAAATGGCACAAAAAATATCTAGAGTAAAATTTTTCTGAGAAAAAAAAAACATGGAGAAAACTCCACAATTATATAGCACAAGCTTCAGTTTTAAAATAATCTGTAATATACACTCAACTCTAGGAGTGACCAGCTATGTCAGCCACAACTGTAAGATCTAAGTGAATAGGAATGATTGAGTTGGTCTAAATGAAAGGCAACATTCTCTTAAAGTTTATAGGAAGGAGTGCTTTGGAATTTGTACAGTTTGTCCCTGATCTGAGCTCTCAGATTACACAAGATAGTATCTGTTTTTATTTGCTTTAAATATTGACATGGGAATCAGCAAAAAGGTGATGCATTATTTTTGCAGAGATAGGGGAAAATTAGAGGGTTAATTCGGGATGATCCTGAAATGATACAAATCTAACTTGGACAGCACTGAAGATAAGCCCAATGTCATAATTATGAAGGTGACTCTGGAGGGAGGAGTAAGAAGGTACCAGCTATGATCTTGTTCCAAGTGACCCTTTCTCCCCTAGGAAAGCTGCTAACCAGGCAATGGATGTCCCAGTTCTTGTCCCAGAATTCTGGGGGATTTGGCGACAGTGTTTCTTTCCATCGACTTCTTTCAGCACTGTAAGCCTTACACACTGAATATAGTTCCTCTTTACACAGCACCAGACAGTTATTCTTCCTACTCCCTTTTGCACAGCCTCTGACATCCCTCTGATGCTACATTACAAATTTTAACTGCAGATTTTCTAGTTCCTGGCCCACGTGACATGACAGGTAGCATTTGACAATGATAGAGACGCTATGACATTCCTCAGCTAACACAGTATAATACGAGACTTTCAAAAAAAATATTACCTGTTTAGGCTGAGCTCCTTTTGAGAGAATGTCAAGTAAATCAGCAGAAGAGACGAAATAGAAGCGAGGAAAGGCTATGCGCTTGGTTTCCAGGTATTCAGCGAGAGCTTTTTCACAAAGAGAAAGCCTACATGAATGAAAAATGTTTTTAAGCATATCTTGTCCCTTCAGTCATTAAAACTTCGGCAAAACAAAACTCAAGTCCTCTATGTCCATTCATTATAGTAAACTCACTGTTTAACAGGTAGCTTACTTCCTTCTTTTTTACACCATCATCTATCTTGCTTATGACTAATATACATTATGCCAAGTAGAAGAGTACTATGCCAAATACACACACACACACACACACACACACACACACACACACACACCCCATTAGCTGTGGCTAAATATGAATTAGACTTAGGTTTACATTATTCATTGCTTTTCCGAATGACACTCCTAAACAGCAGTGGAGAAGACTAGGTCGCCATCCTTCAACCTGAGAGCAAAATGCACTGGTAAGATGTAATTCGTTTACAGCCTTCTTTTCCCCCACTGGATGTCTACAAAACACAAGTGACTTCCCTCCTGTCAGGTATTCAGAGGAGTCATAAGATCCAGAATTGGTTCCACTTTATTGCCCTTAGCAGAGCAGAAATGACCCAGAGGCAGAGCCCGAGCCCCAAAGCCCCAAAGAGCATTACTCAACTGAAATAATTAACTTCGCCCTTTTCGTTACCAAAAAAACTTTCAGACTATAAAACTGCTCTGTTTATGTAATATAAAATTTTATCTAGATCTTCTCCTTACCTTGCAATAAAAAAAGGATCGCACTTCCACAACCCATCATTTTAGTAGCAGATCTGCTCATTTTTAATCAAAAGCCAGAATATTCTTACGACCACTAACTCTTATAGAATTAAATGTGAAAATTACTTTACAAATGGCCCTTGGGACAATGATTTTAAAAATGCTGCTGTGCTCCCTCAGGATAATTTCTAATAAAATGAAACTACATAGAAACTAAAGGACTACATTAACGGAGTGCAATCCCAGGTGCTCAATCAATATTTACAGGATAGTCTGAGGAAATAATTGATCAATCAATCATGTCAATTCTCTTGATAATAAGATACTCTAATTTTACTAGTATAATACTCCTCTCAGAAAACAAATATTTTTGGGTTTATTTACATTAACTTACTATATATATGTTCCATGTCATATGTACGAGACAACTAGATAATTATAAGCAAAATTACAAAATAATTTAGTAGAGGTTGCACCTCCATAACACAGTATTAAATACTATTAGGTATGTGAAAAAGACTTCATAAAATTACAGTAAATTGATTATCTTATATAGCTTTATTCTTACCTGGACTGTAAATCTTTAAGTTTTTCATAGAGATTAGGTCTGCACGTTGCTTCTAACACATTTTCTACTTTGGCTGTCTTGAACATTAACTCCTGCATGAAAGTACAATACGGGGCCGTGGATATTAGAACAATCTTTTCTAAACTTTTAATCATTTCAAGAATTAAAAAAATGAAGAACAAAGAATGAAGAGGCAAGGTCAAAGATACTTCTAAGAATGTCTGACACCACATCTGTTTACTTTTGCTTTTCAACTCTTAGATGAAGATCAAAAGCAATGTAGAAGCACACCGTTTTTATAAAAATAAATGTGATAAGCACTGTCACCACTTTAGGCCCACACAGAATTTTTCTCTTCTAAATCAAACGAAAAAGAATAAAGGCAAAAGGAGACAAGGAAGGGAGAATGGGAAGAGGAAAAAGAAGAGAAAGGGAGACAAGTAGGAGGAGGTGGGGGCAGAGGGGGAGGAGAAGGAGAGAGAAAGGGAGAAAGAGAGGAAGGGAGAGAGAGAAAGAGAGAGACAGAGAATGAGAGAGCGCCCAGAATCTTAAAAAGCATACCTACATATAAAAATGAGAGAGATATAAACAATCTATTTTTTCTTCCTCAAAAGTTAAATGACTTAAAATTTATCTGTGACTTCTACTTCAGGTAGAAAGAAAAAACCTTTTAATCTCAATTTTTATGAGAAATAGTCACTCTCCTTTGCTAGAAATCTCTCCAATCAATTATCATTACATGCACCATGCCACGTGCTTTCTATGGCTTTTACAGAAAAGAAAAACCGAAACTAGTAGTGTTATTTTCTACCTGTTGTCCTTTCTCAGTCTTTTACTTCTGAAGATGAATCTGTTTACCTTTATTACCACAAAGGTCGGCAATCTATGGTGCATGGGACAAATATGGCCTGATGTTTGTTTTTGCACGACCTAGCAGCTAAAAATGGTTTTTAAATTTATTTTGGAGACAGGGTCTCATTCTGTCACCCAGGCTGGAGTGCAGTGCTGCAGTCATAGCTCACTGCAACCTCAAACTACCTTGGCTCAAGTGATCCTCCCACCTCAGCCTCCCAAGTAGCTAGGACTGCAAGCTTGGGCCACCTTGCCTAGCCAATTATTAAAAATTTTTTAGTAGAGAAGGGATCTCACCATACTGCCTAGGCTTGTCTCGAACTCCTGGCCTCAAGTCATCCTCCTACCTTGGACTCCCAAAAGGCTGGGATTATAGGTGTGAGCCACCGAGCCTAGCCTACCTTTTTAAATCAGTGAAAAAAATAAAAAACAGTGTATTTTGTGACACATGATAACTATGTGAAATTCAAATTTCAGTGTCTACAAGTAAAGCTTTATTGGCATATAACCATATCCATTTGTTTATTTATTACCCATGTCTTCTTTCATGTTGTAATGGCAGCATTCAGAAGGTGTTAGACAGGCTGCATGATCCACACAGCCTGAAATATTTATTACCTGGCCCTTTGCAGGAAAAGTCTCCTGACTCCTGCTTACTCATGCAAAAATGCATTCATTTTTATAAATACGATGCTCAAAACCATGTTACTTTACAAAACTTTGCTAGAATAGCATACAGCCTGTCTTTGACAAACCTTAAATTCAGCATCCACCCCATCAAATCTTCTAGCATCTTTCACAAGCTGGATTCGAATATCTTCTGAACAGACAAAAATGCTTTCCAGGTGAGACCAAGTTCGCTGGACTTCCATCCAAGTGAAGATGACCAAGTCTGCTATGTTTAATTTATTTTGCCAGCTTAACACTTGCTCAATGAAATATTCTACATACTTGCTTTGAAGAAGAGTCTGCAACTGAACCTAAAATAAAGGCAAAGAATTTTAAATAGTAGCTAAATTTAGTAGAATGTGAGTGCTATGAGGGAGGCACTATATCTACTCTGTTTATTGCTGGATTCTTAGACCTAGCATGTAATATCTGGAACTGGCATTTAATAAGTTTTTGCTAAATGAGTGAATGAGTGAATTAATGGTAGTAAATATTTATATTAACATTTTTCCAAAAAGAAAAAAAGATAAATATATGCAACTGTTATCTCCTCATATGTCTTTCTCAAGAAGGCCCTGCATCTATTGCAGGCAGAAAAAAAATACTGTGTATTGGGGGTTCAGCACTGGGAATTAAACTGTATTCTTTCATTGCTCTTCCCCTCATCCCTGCCTATTAGTCATGCCAAGATTGTATAGGTATGTGTTTATTAATCTTAAAAAAATAGGCCGGGCACGGTGGCTCACGCCTGTAATCCCAGCACTTTGGGAGGCCGAGGTGGGCGGATCACGAGGTCAGGAGATTGAGACCAACCTGGCTAACACGGTAAAACCCCGTCTCTACTAAAAATACAAGAAATTAGCTGGGCGTGGTGACGGGCGCCTGTAGTCCCAGCTACCTGGGAGGCTGAGGCAGGAGAACGGTGTGAACCCGGGAGGCGGAGCTTGCAGTGAGCTGAGATCACGCCACTGCACTCCAAGCCTGGGCAACAGAGTGAGACTCTGTCTCAAACAAACAAACAAACAAACAAACAAACAAACTGCCCCCCACCAGCCTGCTAGGCCCTCCAGCTTCCACTTTCCTCCCTTTTCAGTTTACTGCTAAGCTCCACAGCTCTCCTATCACCAGTGCTTGTTTTTGTTTTGTTTTTTCAAGTATTGGTTGCAGTTTTATTTTGAAAAGAATGCTATAATTAATGTGGTTTTTGTTTCTCATGTTTAAATTAAAAGAAAAGCTAACAAACTCTATTTTAATTAAAATATGGTTAGTATGTCTGAAACGCTTCTATCACACAGCATTACATATCTGCCCAACTTAAATGTTTTAAATCTGTCCTCATATGTCTTTTTTTCCCTTCCAACATTTATTTTGGGTTCGGGGGGGTACATATGCAGGCTTGTTACATAGGTAAATTGCATGTTATGGGAGTTTGGTGTGCACATGATTTCATCACCCAGGTAATGGGCATAGTACCTGACAGGTAGGTTTTTGATCCTCACCCTCCTCCTGCCCTCCACTCTCAACTAGGCCCCAGTGTGTATCATTCCCTTCTTTGTGTCCAAGGGGACTCAATGTTTAGCTCAGCAGTGCTTGTTTTAATGCCATGGAGCCTAGCTAGTATTTCTCACTATTCTATGACACTGAAATCTCAGAAAGTCACTGAGTACAATGACCTCTACTGCTCATTTTTCTCTACTCTAGGTATTTAACATACTTGACTCTTCTTTGAGGGAAAAACCTCATGCCTTGACTTCTCTATGACATTACAGTATCCTGTTTCAAGCATTTCTCTGACCACTCTCTTGCTGCCTCCTTTTTGTCTCCTCCTCTTGTTCACCGAATTCAGTCTTTTCCAATGCTCTATTCTCAGCTGGCTTATCTCCTTTAGTCTCTTTATCTAGTTCATCAAGTCTCAAGATACTGACAGTGAACTCCCAGCTACCAGCTCTTGGCTGAACCTCTGTGTTGAGCTGTGGTCTGGTGTTTCACCTTTGCATAAATGTCCTTCACACTGAATAAACCAATAATAAGTGTCATCTCTCCAAACCAGTTTCTTTTCCTAAATGTCTTATGTCTAATAATAACACTACTGTTATTTCCTCTGAATAGTTTGTCTCTTCTACATTTCTTTTCATGTCTGAAGAGATGTTAACACTATAATTTTAGAATTCAAGACCATGTATCATGTGCTCAGACTATCTGTCCAGGCCTATCTTTCACTACCCCCATAAAGAAAATCTATAGTCCAAGGAAACTAGAGTCTTAACATTACCTTTGAATGGTAGAGACATCCTGTCATTCCAAGGTGCTACTAATATTGTCCTCATTGCCTAAATACCCTTTTCTGACTGCCATTTTTTGAAGAATAATAGACTACCCTTCAAGTCTCAGCATGAGCACCATCATCTTCTAAGGCCCTCCCTGGGTCTTCCGCCCACCTTAATCACAAAGCCTCTCTGTCTCTTCTTAGACTCCTTGGAGTCCTTTTGCTTGTCTCCCTACTCAAGTGCATCTTCCTAGAGAACAAGTGTTCATAACTTTGGATCACAAATGGTATCATACCTGGAGCCTGTAACAATTAGGTGCTCAATGAATAAATAAACATATGTTGAGTATTAGAACTAGGAAAAAGTAAAAAATCACAATTTAAAATTTAAAAAATGTGATTTAAAATGTATATGAACCCAACATCAGAGAACCTAAATATATAAATCAAATATTAACAGGTCTGAAGTATGAGATAGACTGCAATACAGTAATAGAAGGGGATAACAATATTCCACTTTCAACAATGGATAGATCATCTGGACAGAAAATCAAGAGAGAAACAGTGGACTTGAACACCTTAGACCAAATAGACCTAATGGACATCGACAGACTATTTCATCCAATAGCAGAATACAGATTTTTCTCAAGTGCAAATGAAACATTCTCCAAGACAGATCATATGTTAGGCCAGTGATATGGTTTGGCTGTGTCCCCACCCAAATCTCATCTTGAATTTTCACATGTTGTGGAAGGGACCCACTGGGAGGTAATTGAATCATGGGGGCAGGTCTTTCCCATACAGTTCTCATGATTGTGAATAAGTCTCGCAAGATCTGATGGTTTTAAAAAGGGGAGATCGCCAGCACAAGCTGTCTTGTCTGCCACTTTGGGAGACGTGCTTTTCACCTTCCACCATGATTGTGAGGCCTCCCCAGCCACATGGAACTGTATGTCCAATAAACCTCTTTCTTTTACAAATTGCCCAATCTTGGGTATGTCTTTATCAGCAGCATGAAAATGAACTAATTCAGTAAATTGGTACCAATAGGGTGGGGTGCTATTGAAAAGACACCCGAAAATGTGGAAGCAACTTTGGAACTGGGTAACAGGCAGAGGTTGGAACAGTTTGGAGGGCTCAGAAGAAGACAGGAAAATGTGGGAAAGTTTGGAACTCCCTAGAGACTTGAATGGCTTTGACCCAAATGCTGATAATGACACAGACAATGAAATCCAGGCTGAGGTGGTCTCAGATGGAGATGAAAAACTTGTTGGGAACTGGAACAAAGGTGACTCTTGTTATGTTTTAGCAAAGAGACTGGTGGAGTTTTTCCCCTGCCCTAGAGATTTTTGGCACTTTTAACTTGACAGAGATAATTTAGGGTACCTAGCAGAAGAAATTTCTAAGCAACAAAGCATTCGAGAGGTGACTTGGGTGCTGTTACAGGAATTCAGTTTTATAAGGGAAGCAGACCACAGAAGTTCAGAAAATTTGTAGCCCGACAATGTGATAGGAAAGAAAATCCCATATTCTGAGGAGAAATTCAACCTGACTGCAGAAATTTGCAAAAGTAACCAGGAGCTGAATGTTAATCTCCAAGGCAATGGGGAAAATGTATCCAAGGCATCAGAGACCTTTGTGGCAGGCCCTCCCATCTCAGTCCTGGAGGCCTCAGAGGAAAAAGGGGTTTCCTGGGCCAGGCCCAGGGTTCCTGTGCTGTGTGCTACCTAGAGACTTGGTGCCCTGCATCCCAGCCACTCCAGCCATGGCTGAAAGGGGCCAACATAGAGCTCGGGACGTGGCTTCAGAGGATGCAAACCTCAAGCATTGGCAGCTTCCATGTGGTGTTGAGTCTGCCAGTGCACAAAAGTCAAGAACTGAGGTGTGGAAACCTCTACCTAGATTTCACAAGATGCATGGAAATGCCTGGATGCCCAGGCAGAAGTTTGCTGCAGCGGCAGCGTCCTCATGGAGAACCTCTGCTATGGCAGTGCAGAAGGGAAATGTGGGATCAGAGCCCCCACACAAAGTCCCAACTGGGGCACTGACTAGTGAAGCCATGAGAAGAGGGCCACTGTCCTCCAGACCCCAGAAAGGTAGATCCACCGACAGCTTGTACTGTGCACCTGGAAAAGCTGCAGATACTCAACACCAGCCTGTGAAAGCAGCCGGGAGGGAGACTGTACCCCAAAAAGCCACAGAGGCGGAGCTGCCCAAGACTGTGGGAACCCACCTCTTGCATCAGCGTGACCTGGATGTGAAACATGGAGTCAAAGAAGATCATTCTGGAGCTTTAAGATTTGACTGCCCCGCTGGATTTCAGACTTGCATGGGGCCTGTAACCCCTTTGTTTTGGCTGCTTTCTCCCATTTGGAATGGCTGTATTTATCCAATAGCTGTACCCCCATTTTATCTAGGAAGTAACTAACTTGCTTTTGATTTTACAGGCTCATATGTGGAAGGGACTTGCCTTGTCTCAGATGAGACTTTGAACAACTGTGGACTCTTGAGTTAATGCTGAAATGAGTTAAGACTTTCGGGGACTGTTGGGAAGGCATGATTGGTTTTGAAATGTGAGGACATGATTTGGGAGGGACCAGGGGTGGAATGATATGGTTTGGCTGTCTCCCTATCCAAATCTCACCTTGAATTCCCATGTTTTGTGAGAAGGACCCAGTGGGAGGTAACTGAATCACGGAGGCAGGTCCTTCCCATGCTGTTCTCGTGACTGTGAATAAGCCTCAAGAGATCTGATGGTTTTAGAAAGGGGAGATTGCCTGCACAAGCTTTCTTCTCTTGTCTGCTGCCATGTGAGACAAGCCTTTCACCTTCCACTACAATTGTGAGGCCTCCCTAGCCACATGGAACTGTAAGTCCAATAAACCTCTTTCTTTTGTAAATTGCCCAGCCCTGGGTATGTCGTTATCAGGAGCATGAAAACGGACTAATACAGCCACAAAACAAGTCTTAACAAATTTAAGAGAAAAAAGAATGAAAAGCAGTGAAGATTGTCTACAAGATAAATAATATTAAAAACTTTTGAAAGCCTGAGAGAGATATAAATATCCAGGTACAAAAAGGTCAGAGAACACCAAATAGAACTGACCCAAATAATACTACTCCAAGTCATAAAATAATCAAATTCTCAAAGGTCAAGGACACAGAGAATCGTAAAGCAACAAAAGAAAAGAAGCAAATAAGATATAAAGGAGCTCCAATTTGACAAGAGACATCTCAACAGAAAGAATACAGGCCAGTAGAAAGTGGAATGACATTTTCAAAGTGCTAAATGTAACAACAAAACAAACCCCTACTAACCAAGAATACTGTGTCCAGCAAACTTATACTTCAAATATGAGAGACAGATTGAAGTATTTTCCCTGACAAACAAAAGCTGAGCTAATTCGCCACCACCAGAATAGTTTTACAAAAAATGCTAAAGGAAATTCTTCAATCTGAAATAGAAAAACACTGACATTAAACAATGTATTTAAAGCCATAAAACCCACTGGTAAAATTAAATATGTGAACAAACACAGAATATTCTAGTACTGTAACTATGGTGTGCAATCTACTCATACTCCTGGCATGAAGCCCAAAAGACAAATCTATCAAAAACAATAGCTACAGCAAACGGTTAAGAGATAGACAATATAAAAATATACAAATTGAGACAACTAAAGCTCAAAATGTGGGGTGGGGGGAAGGAATGGAGTTTCTTCTTCATTTTTTCTTTGGGTTTTTTTTTCTTTGTGATCTAATATAAGTTGTCATCTCTTTAAAATAACTTGGTATAGTTTTTCTACGACTCATGGTAACCACAATGCAAAAACCTGTAATGGATTCACTAAAAATAAAAAGCATTGAATTAAAACATATTAACAGAGAAAATCACTTAACAATAAAGGAAGGCAGTAAAAAAGTAAAAAAGAAAAATTACAAAACAACCAGAAGATAAGTAACAAAATGGCAGTAATAAGTCCTTAATAACAACACTCACCATAAATGGACTCAATTATCCAATTAAATGCATAAAGTGGCTGAATAGCTAAAGAAACATAACAGAACTATACAGTGCCTACAAGAAACCCACTTCACCTATAAAGACACACACAGACTGAAAGTGAAAGAGTGGAAAATGATATACCATGCAACTAGAAACCAAAAAAGAGTAAGAGTAGCTATACTTAGATCAGATAAAATATATTACAATCAAGACTGTAAAAAGAGGTAAAGAAGATAACTACATAATGATAAAGGAACCAATTAGGCAAGAGAAAATAATAATTATAAGTATTAAATATCTGTGCACCCAACACCTAAACTCCCAGGTATATAACACAAACATTAATAGACCTAAAGGGATAAAGGGAAAGATAGGCTGCAACACAATGATAGTACAGGACTTTAACGCCCCATTCTTAGAAATGGACAGATCTTCCAAGATTTCAAAAATCAACAAAGAAACATCAGACTTAAACTACACACTAGACCTAGTAGGCCTGACTGACTGACACAGAACATTTTACCCAACTACTGCAGAATACAAATCCTTTTTGTCAGCACATGGATTCTCCAGAATAGATCATATCTTAGGGCACAAAACAAGTTTCAAAAAATTCTAAAAAGTAGAAATCATATCGAGTACCTTTTCTGATTACAATGAAATAAAACTAGAAATCACTAACAAGAGGAACCTTAGAAATGTCACAAACACATGCAAATTAAACAACATGCTCCTAACCAACCAATGAATCAATGAAGAAATTAAGAAGCAAATGTAAAAATTTTCTGAAACAAATTAAAATGGAAATAAAACATATCAAAATCTATGTGATACAGTAAAAGCCAGTAATAAGAGGAAAGTTTAGAGCAATAAGCACATATATCAAAAAAGTAGAAGGCCTTCAAATCAACAACCTAACAATACACCTCAAGGAACTAGAAAAGCAAAAACAATCCCAAGTGAACATTAGCAAAAGGAAGGGAATAACAAGGATGAGAGCTGAAACAAATAAAATTAAAACTGAAGAAAAAATACAGAAGATCAACAACACAAAAGGTGGTTTTGTGAAAAGATAAAATTGATAAGCCTTTAGCTAGACTAAGAAAATGAAGCCAGCATTACCCTGATACCAAAAGCAGAAAAGGACACAAAGAAAAGAGAAAATTACAGGCCAATACTACTGATAAACATAGATGCCACAATTCTCTACAAAATATTAGCTGATGGAATTCAACAATACATTAAAAACTCATTTACCATGGTTAAGTGGGAGTCATTCCAGAGATAGAAGGACAGTTTAACTTATGTGAGTCAACAAATGTGATGTAGCACATCAATAGAACCAAGAAGAAAAACCATATGATTATTTTAACAAATTTCAAAAAGACATTTGATAAAATTCAACATCCGTTTATGATAAAAACCCTCATCAAAATTGGCACAGAAGGAACATATCTCAAAATAGTAAAGGACATATACAATAAATCCACAGCTAACATTGTACTGAATGGGGAAAATTTGATAGCCTTTCCTCTAAGATCTGGAACAAGACAAGATACCCATTTTCACTCTTTGTATTCAATATAGTATTAGAAGTCCTGGTCAGAGCAATTAGGCAAGAGAAAGAAATAAAAGGCATTCAAACTGGAAGGTAGAAGTCAAATTAGCCTTGTTCTCAGATTACATGATCTTGTACTTAGAAAAACCTAAAGACTCCATCAAAAAAAAAACTGTTAGAACTGATAAACAAGTTTACGCAAGTTGCAGAATACAAAGTAGACATACAAAAAACAGTTGCATTTATATGTACCAACAGAAAACATTTGAAAAAAGAAATCAAGAAGGCAATCACATTTACAATAGCTACAAATAATATCAACTATGTAGGAATCAAATTAACCAAAGAAGTGAAAGATGAAAAGTGAAAGTTTCTATATGAGAAACATTATGAAACACTAATGAAAAAAACTGAAGACACACACAAAAAACAGAAAGATATTCCACGCT
This sequence comes from Homo sapiens, assembly GCF_000001405.40. NCBI lineage: Eukaryota > Metazoa > Chordata > Mammalia > Primates > Hominidae > Homo > Homo sapiens. The sequence continues at coordinate 21,627,902 of NC_000007.14, read as the reverse complement.
CATGGATTGGAAGAGTATTGTTAAAATGACAATATTACCCAAAGCAATTTCTAAATTCAATGCAATCTCTATCAAAATACCAATGACTTTTTTCCACAGAAATAGAAAAAGTTTCAAAATTTATATGGAATCACAGAAGACCCTGAATAGTCAAAGCAATCCTGAGCAAAAAGAACAAAGCTAGAGGCATCAAACTACCTGTCTTTGAAATTTACTACAAAGCTACAGTAACCAAATCAGCATAGTACTGGCATAATAACAGACACAGAGACCAATGGAACAGAATAGAGACCCAAGATATAAACCCATACATTTACAGCCAATTAATTTTCAACTAAGGTGCCAAGAACATACAATGGGGAAAGGACAGTCTTTTCAATAAATGGTACTGGGAAAACTGGATAACCATATGCAGAAGAATGAAACTAGATTTCTATCCCTCAATGTAAACAAAAATCAAATAAAAATGGATTAAGAGTTGAATCTAAGACCTGAAACTATAAAACTACTAGAAGAAAACACTGGAGAAATGCTCCAGGACTTTAGTGTGGGCAAAGATTTTGTGTGTGTGTGTAAGACTTCAAAACCCCAGGCAACAAAAACAAAACTGGGCAAACAGGATCATGCCAAGACAAAATGCTTCTGCACAGCAATAGAAACAATTAACGAAGTGAATAGCCAAACTACAGAATGGGAGAAAATATTTGCAAACTACTCATCTGATAAGGGATTAATAACCAGAATACATACAAAATTCAAACAACCCAGTGGCAAAACAAAAACAAAACAAAACCCCAATCTGATTTTAAAATGGGCAAAATATTTGAATAGGCATTTCTCAAAAGAAGACACACAGGCCGGGCGCTGTGGATTATGCCTGTAATCCCACACTTTAGGGGCAGAGGCACACAGATCACGAGGTCAGGAGATCGAGACCATCCTGGCTAACACAGTGAAACCCCATCTCTACTAAAAATACAAAAAATTAGCCAGGCATGGTGGCGGGCGCCTGTAGTCCCAGCTACTTGGGAGGCTGAGGCAGAAGAATGGCATGAACCTGGAAGGCAGAGCTTGCAGTGAGCCGAGATCACGCCACTGTACTCCAGCCTGGGTGACAGATGAGACTCCGCCTCAAAAAAAAAAAAAAAAAAAAAAAAGACATACAGAAGGCCATCAGTTACATGAAAAAATGCTCAACATCACTAATCCTAAGAGAAATGCAAATCATAATACAATGAGATATGATGTCACCCCAGTTAAATGGCTTTTACCAGAAAGATAGGCAAAAATGGATGCTGCTGGCAAGGATGTGGAGAAAGGGGAACACTTGTACACTGTTGGTAGAAATGTAAATTAGTATAGTCACTATGGAGAACAGTACGGAGAGTTTTCAAAGAACGAAAAATGTAATCCAGCAATTCCACTACTAGGTATATACCCAAAAGAAAGAAAATCAGTATGTTGAAAACACATCTGCACTTCCATGTTTTTTGCAGTACTAATTTACAATAGCCAAAATACAGAATTGACCTAAGTGCCTACTAACAGATAGATTTAAGAATGGCATATACATACAATAGAATATTATTCAGCCATAAAACTAATAATTAAATCATGTCATTTGCAGCTATGTGGATGGAACTAGAGGACATTATGTTAAGTGAAATAAGGCAAGCATAGAAAGACAAATATCACGTATTCCCATTCACATGTGGGAATTTTTTTTAAAAAGCGGGTCTCATAAGACCCAGTGTTAGATAGATCAGTAGGGTGGCTACAGTTTACAATAATCTATTGTGTATTTCAAAAGATCTAGAAGAGAAAAATTCCAGTAGTTTTAGCACAAAGACAAATATTTAAGATGATGGCCATCCCAATTACACTGATTTGATCTTTACATTTTATATGCATATATTAAATTATCACATGTACCCCCAAATTATGTACATCTCTTACGCATCAATATAAAAAAACATAAATGTTTTCCAAGTCTGCCAGATAATCTTAGCTAAAAACTTAAGAAGATCAAAAATAACATCAAGTATTTTTCCAATCACAGTGGCATAAAAGTAGAAATCAATAACAGGAGGAATTTTGGAAACTCACAAATACATGAAAATTAATAACATGCTCCCAAACAACCAATGGGTCAAAGAAGAAACTAAAAGAGAAATTTTAAAATATATTGAGACAAATGAAAACAGAAACACAACATACTAAAACTTACGGAATGCAGCAAAACCAGTTCTAAGAGGGAAGTTTTTAGCAATAAGTGTTTACAACAACAAGAAAATCTCAAATAAACAACTTAATGCTAACCCTTCAGGAACTAGAAAAAGAAGAACAAACTAAGCCCACAATCAATAGTAGGAAAAAATGATAACGATCAGAGCAGTAATTGATGAAACAGAGACTACAAAGACAACAAAACGACCAATGGAATGAAGAATTGGTTTTTTGAATAGTAAACAAAATCAACAAACCTTTAGCCAGACTAAGGAAAGAAGGGAGATAACTCAAAATCAGAAATGAAAGAAGAGTTATTACAACTGATACGACAGAAATACAAAGGATCATAAGAGACTACTATGAACAGTTATATGTCAACAAATTGAAATGGTTAAGTTCCTAGAAACATACAACCTACCAAGACTGAATCAAGAAGAAATAAAAGATCTCAACAGATGAGTAAAGACACTGATTGAATACTAAAATATTTCCCCTCAAAAGAAAGGCCTAGGACAGGAGGGCTTCACGGTGGAATTCTGCCAAACATTTAAAGAAGAACTAATACTAACCCTTCTCAAACTCTTCCAAAAAAACTTAAGGAGAAATACTTCCAAACTCACTTTATGAGGCCATGATTATTCTGATACCAAAGCCAAACAAGGACACCACAAGTAAAGAAAATTAGAAGCCAATATCCCTGATGAACATACATTAAAAAAATCCTCAGCAAAGTCTAGCAAACTGATTTTAACAGTACACTAAAAAAGATCATTCACCATGATCAAGTGGGATTTATCTCAGGAATGCAAGAATATGCAAATCAATAAATGTGATATACCATATTTAACAGAAAGGACAAAATGATATGAACATCTGAATATATGCAGAAAAGACATTTGGTAAAATTCAACATCATTTCATGATTAAAACTTCCAACAAAATTGGCATATAAAGAATGTACTTCAGCACAATAAAGGCTGAACATGAAAAGCACACAGCTAATATACTCAACAGCAAAAAATCAAAAGCTTTTTGTCTAAAATCAGGAAAAAGATAAGGATGCCCACTCTCATGCTTCTATTCAATACAGTACTGGAAGTTCTAGCCAGAGCAACTAGACAAGAAATAAAAAGCACTCAAATGGAAAGGAAGAAGTGAAAGTGTGTCTGTTTGCTGATGACATAATCTTATATTTAGAAAATCCTAACAGCTCCATCCTAAAACTGTTAGAACTAATAAATGAATAAAGCAAACTTGTAAGGTACAAAACCAACACACAAAAATCAGCATTCTTTTATACTAACAACAAACTATCTGAAAAAGAAATTAAGAAATCAATCCCATTCACAATAGTATCAAACAATAAAATACTTGAGCAAATTTAACCAAAGGAGGTGAAATATCTGTATACTAAAAACCACAAAACATTGATGAAAAAATGTAGATAATACAAACACACTGAAAGGTATTCAGTATTTAAAGTTATCCCAGTATTTAATATTGTTAAAATGTTCACACTACCTGCTATTGTACTACCTGTTATTGTGTCTCAAAGCTCATGTGTTGCAACTTAATCAACAATGCAACAGTGTTTGAGGTGAGACCTTTAAGAGGTACCATGAGGGCTCTGCCCTCATTAGTGAGTTAGTGATATTAAGAAAGTGGATTCTTTTTTTTTATTTTTTATTTTTATTTTATTATTATTATTATTATACTTTAAGTTTTAGGGTACATGTGCACAATGTGCAGGTTAGTTACATATGTATACATGTGCCATGCTGGTGTGCTGCACCCATTAACTCGTCATTTAGCATTAGGTGTATCTCCTAATGCTATCCCTCCCTCCTCCCCCCACCCCACAACAGTCCCCAGAGTGTGATGTTCCCCTTCCTGTGTCCATGTGTTCTCATTGTTCCATTCCCACCTATGTGTGAGAACATGCAGTGCTTGGTTTTTTCTTCTTGTGATAGTTTACTGAGAATGATGATTTCCAATTTCATCCATGTCCCTACAAAGGACATGAACTCATCATTTTTTATGGCTGCATAGTATTCCATGGTGTATATGTGCCACATTTGCTTAATCCAGTCTATCATTGTTGGACATTTGGGTTGGTTCCAAGTCTTTGCTATTGTGAATAGTGCCACAATAAACATACGTGTGCATGTGTCTTTATAGCAGCATGATTTATAATCCTTTGGGTATATACCCAGTAATGGGATGCCTGGGTCAAACGGTATTTCTAGTTCTAGATCCCTGAGGAATTGCCACACTGACTTCCACAAGGGTTGAACTAGTTTACAGTCCCACCAACAGTGTAAAAGTGTTCCTATTTCTCCACATCCTCTCCAGCACCTGTTGTTTCCTGACTTTTTAATGATTGCCATTCTAACTGGTGTGAGATGGTATCTCATTGTGGTTTTGATTTGCATTTCTCTGATGGCCAGTGATGATGAGCACTTTTTCATGTGTTTTTTGGTTGCATAAATGTCTTCTTTTGAGAAGTGTCTGTTCATGTCCTTCGCCCACTTTTTGATGGGGTTGTTTTTTTCTTGTAAATTTGTTTGAGTTCATTGTAGATTCTGGATATTAGCCCTTTGTCAGATGAGTAGGTTGCGAAAATTTTCTCCCATTTTGTAGGTTGCCTGTTCACTCTGATGGTAGTTTCTTTTGTTGTGCAGAAGCTCTTCAGTTTAATTAGATCCCATTTGTCAATTTTGGCTTTTGTTGCCATTGCTTTTGGTGTTTTAGACATGAAGTCCTTGCCCATGCCTATGTCCTGAATGGTAATGCCTAGGTTTTCTTCTAGGGTTTTTATGGTTTTAGATCTAACGTTTAAGTCTTTAATCCATCGTGAATTAATTTTTGTATAAGGTGTAAGGAAGGGATCCAGTTTCAGCTTTCTACATATGGCTAGCCAGTTTTCCCAGCACCATTTATTAAATGGGGAATCCTTTCCCCATTGCTTGTTTTTCTCAGGTTTGTCAAAGATCAGATAGTTGTAGATATGTGGCATTATTTCTGAGGGCTCTGTTCTGTTCCATTGATCTATATCTGTTTTGGTACCAGTACCATGCTGTTTTGGTTACTGTAGCCTTGTAGTATAGTTTGAAGTCGGGTAGTGTGATGACTCCAGGCTTGTTCTTTTGGCTTAGGATTGACTTGGCAATGCGGGGTCTTTTTTGGTGCCATATGAACTTTAAAGTAGTTTTTTCCAATTCTGTGAAGAAAGTCATTGGTAGCTTGATGGGGATGGCATTGAATCTATAAATTACTTTGGGCAGTATGGCCATTTTCACAATATTGATTCTTCTTACCCATGAGCATGGAACGTTCTTCCATTTCTTTGTATCCTCTTTTATTTCATTGAGCAGTGGTTTGTAGTTCTCCTTGAAGAGGTCCTTCACATCCCTTGTAAGTTGGATTCCTAGGTATTTTATTCTCTTTGAAGCAATTGTGAATGGGAGTTCACTCAGGATTTGGCTCTCTGTTTGTCTGTTATTGGTGTATAAGAATGCTTGTGATTTTTGTACGTTGATTTTGTATCCTGAGACTTTGCTGAAGTTGCTTATCAGCTTAAGGAGATTTTGGGCTGAGACAATGGGGTTTTCTAGATATACAATCATGTCATCTGCAAACAGGGACAATTTGACTTCCTCTTTTCCTAATTGAATACCCTTTATTTCCTTCTCCTGCCAAAATGCCCTGGTCAGAACTTCCAACACTATGTTGAATAGGAGTGGTGAGAGAGGGCATCCCTGTCTCGTGCCAGTTTTCAAAGGGAATGCTTCCAGTTTTCGCCCATTCAGTATGATATTGGCTGTGGGTTTGTCATAGATAGCTCTTATTATTTTGAGATACGTCCCATCAATACCTAATTTATTGAGTTTTAGCATGAAGGTTGTTGAATTTTGTCAAAGGCCTTTTCTGCATCTATTGAGATAATCATGTGGTTTTTGTCTTTGGTTCTGTTTATATGCTGGATTACATTTATTGATTTGTGTGTATTGAACCAGCCTTGCATCCCAGGGATGAAGCCCACTTGATCCTGGTGGATAAGCTTTTTGATGTGCTGCTGGATTCAGTTTGCCAGTATTTTACTGAGGATTTTTGCATCAATGTTCATCAAGGATATTGGTCTAAAATTCTCTTTTTTGGTTGTGTCTCTGCCCGGCTTTGGTATCAGGATGATGCTGGCCTCATAAAATGAGTTAGGGAGGATTTCCTCTTTTTCTATTGATTGGAATAGTTTCAGAAGGAATGGTACCAGTTCCTCCTTGTACCTCTGGTAGAATTCGGCTGTGAATCCATCTGGTCCTGGACTCTTTTTGGTTGGTAAGCTATTGATTATTGCCACAATTTCGGAGCCTGTTATTGGTCTATTCAGAGAGTCAACTTCTTCCTGGTTTAGTCTTGGGAGGGTGTATGTGTCGAGGAATTTATCCATTTCTTCTAGATTTTCTAGTTTATTTGCATAGAGGTGTTTGTAGTATTCTCTGATGGTAGTTTGTATTCAACTCTTGTGGAAGTCAGTGTGGCGATTCCTCAGGGATCTAGAACTAGAAATACCATTTGACCCAGCCATCCCATTACTGGGTATACACCCAAAGGATTATAAATCATGCTGCTATAAAGACACATGCACACGTATGTTTATTGTGGCACTATTCACAACAGCAAAGACTTGGAACCAACCCAAATGTCCAACGAGGATAGACTGGATTAAGCAAATGTGGCACAGATACACCATGGAATACTATGCAGCCATAAAAAATGATGAGTTCATGTCCTTTGTAGGGACATGGATGAAATTGGAAATCATCATTCTCAGTAAACTATCACAAGAACAAAAAACCAAACACCGCATATTCTCACTCATAGGTGGGAATTGAACAATGAGAACACATGGACACAGGAAGGGGAACATCACACTCTGGGGACTGTTGTGGGGTGGGGGGAGGGGGGAGGGATAGCTTTAGGAGATATACCTAATGCTAAATGACGAGTTAATGGGTGCAGCACACCAGCATGGCACATGTATACATATGTAACTAACCTGCACATTGTGCGCGTGTACCCTAAAACTTAAAGTATAATAGTAAAATTTAAAAAAAAGAATAAAATCCTGGTTTGCAACAACATGGATGACCCTAAAGGACAGTGCTAAGCAAAATAAGCCAGGAACAAAAAGACAAATATTGTACGATGCCATCTACACGTGGAATCTAAAAAAGTTGAACTCATAGAAACAGAGAGTAGAATGATGGTTACCAGAGCCGGGGGGAGGGGGCAAGAGGAGCTGTTGATCAAAGGGTACAAATTTTCAGTTAGACAGGAGGAATAAGCTTTAGTGATCTATTGCACAGTTGGTGACTACAATAAATAATAATGCATTGTATGTTTCAAAATTCCTAAAGGAGATTTTAAGTGATTCACCACAAAAAAAATGTTAAGTGTATGAGATGACGGTTAGCCTGATTTAATCTTTCCACATTGTAAACATACATCAAAACATCACATGGTACCCTATATATACAATTATTTGTCAAATAAAAATAAAATGAAAAATATATGCAATAAAAATATCCATCTTACTTGGTTGTGCTCTAGAGTTTCAAAAAGTTGTTCATCAGACTTTAGTAATGGAATGCCTGTTCGATAGTGAACTTCGTAAGAAAACTTCATGGTTGCCCAGGTCTGACTGATTTCAGTAATAACCTAGTAATCAACAATATAATTAATGTGCACAAAATTTAATTGATAATCAATATGTAGACTATTATCTGGAATTAATTTTTTTCAACTTTCAAAAATGCAAACTGATATCAAGTATTATTGGCTTGAGTTTTTTCCTCCAAGTAATTCATGCTAATGGGGTTTGAAGAATGAATTTTATCACATCAAAGGTATGAGCATCACACTAACATCAAACTTCTACTGAATGTGAGTTTATCATCCCTAACCAAAACACAATTCAAGAGCAGGAAGGGACTTAAATGTTTGGTAGATACTATTTACAAATTAGCCAGCATGAAACAGGTAATGCCTCAAATGTGAATGAATCTCAGTCTTCTGTGTGAATCTGGGTAAGTTAATTATCTCTTTATACCTCAGTTTCCCCATGTGTAAAATAGAGATACTATTACTTACCTCAGAAGATTAAATGGGTTAATATAAATAAAGCACTCAGAGTGGTGTTGGCTACAAAATAAAGGATATGTAAGTATTTTCTGCTATAATCATCATCATCAACAAGACCAATCCTCCTGTTTTACTGTGGCTTAGAATGATTCTAGTTCCTGCTCATCCCACACCTAATGAACAGCAGGGAACAAACTGGGACTCATCTCTCCAGGCTCCCAGGACATCAAAAGGACTTTTCTCTAAGTTGGCTTCTATGCAAATACCCAAAATTAGCCAAGTAGAAATGACCCAGTCCCGAGGACACTACCTTCTCAGTCCCCAGCTCTTTCACCGCCTTGTCCACAATCCTTCGGACATCATCTTCCACTCTGTGTAACCGCAGTGCTAACAAATCTGCCAAAGTTGTGGCTTCATTTATTAAAAACTTGACCTGATTGGGGGAAAAAAAGTTAGACTTTATATTCCACATATATGAACGGTTCCTTTTGCCTAAAGGCTGGTGAAATGAATCTTAACTAAAATATACTCAAGTCAGGTGCTGAGTACATCTCTCGTCTTGAAATACGTGGAGAATCTAAGACACTCCTTTTTAACTCACAATTCCTGAGGCGTCACCTGCCGGAAGCAAGGGCCACAGTTTAGTCACATCCGTGCTACACTATTTTCTTTGTTTCACATCTTTCCCTTGTCGGCACGTTTCTTATCTCCTTTGCCCACAAAACCCATTTTTAAAGAGAATCTCATTGTTCATTTATTATAATTTGGTTGAAATCCCAGGAATCAGGTAGTGGCTCATTTGTCTTTTCTTCCTAAAGAACCCTATTCACTGAACATAATTCCCAGCTGCTTCTGTGATTTAACCTAGTTTTATCACTAATTTAATCTCAGTTCATTGGCAAAAAAAATAGTCTTACAGTGTCATTATTCATATTTACCATGTGAAAAATAATTCTCATTTCCACATTGTCTTGTGACAATGACTCCCCTTCTCTCACATTGACTCTCCTTCCCTCCCCTATATTGGGTCCTTGAGACATCCTCAGCTCTTCGACATACCCAAACTCACTCATGTCTCCTGTAAGTGAAGAGTTGAGCCAGCCATATGGGTTGCAGGAAAGCCATTTTCTTTCCGGCTTTTGCTAAGAATATCCAGAATCTGCTTCTTGGAAGCTGCCACCCTCTGCCCCTCCCTACCCTCTAACATTCCTTAGCACCATCCACGCCTCTGCATAAGAGGACCAAATGCCCTGATTTGCTCCGGACTGAGGGGTTTCTAGCAAGTGGATTTCAGGGATGTGATACTTTCAGTGCTAAAATCTGGAAAGTCCTGAGAAAGCTAGATGAGTTTGCCAGACTATCTCTGTGTCAACTTTGGCCTCACTCCAGAGTTGCTGGGAGCCAGGGAGCTAGGTCTGTCCTTGAGAAAGAATGAGGAGAGATGAGTAATAGGGCCACCCTGATTAGTTGTGCAATCTGTGTACTGAACGTGGACACCAGCCCAGATGACAAATGGAGATGGAAGCCAGCCTCCGCTCTGCTGTCCTGGGGACAGCCTGGAGGAGGGTGCCTTTTTCTAAATTGTTGGTCGGATCAGGCGACTTTTTCTAGACAGCAAAAAGGCATAACACAGCAAGTAGAGGCTATGCTGAGGGGGGTCTTTTCATAAATTACACTTCATCTCAGATGATGCAAACCAAGAAGTAACACTTCACAGTCATAAAAAGGTTCATTAGTGAGACCAAGGATACTGACCCCAATAGCTTTCATCAGCTGGTGCCAATGCCTGTCCCTGAGGGCAGGGCTCTGTAACTCTGTGATGGCCCTCAGGGAGGCTGTCATGTCCTTAACTGTGCCTTCCAGGCCCGTGTAAGCATCCCAGACGCGGACTTCCTTGTTGAGTGACCAAATTTCCTAAAGAAAAGTGGAGGAAAAAACCTAGCTCCCAAGATATAACACAGTATATATTAATAATTTGCCTCCTTTGACATATATTTCCCAACTCCTGGATTAGAAAAGAGTGAAAGCATTTGAACTCCTAGACCAAGGAGCAAAACCAGAGAAACGAAAAGGGATCCACTCATTTGTACATTACAAGCCCACTCCGTACAAGCCACTTGTATACACTGCTTTCTCATTCACAAGATCTAACTGAATGTCCCATGAGGAAACACAGGTAAGTAACAGAGTTCACAGGACACGTGCAATGAAGAATGTTTCTTCTATAAACATAAGTAAATGGAAACAGACTGTTATCAGATTACTAAGACCTCCTTCGGAATACATGACTCATTTAAACAACAGCCTTGGAATGTTGATTACCTTTGAGTGCCTGTTTCTTGAAACCTAAATATTTCATCATCTTAAAATGCCAAATAGGTCCTTTGACTTGGCTGGTCCTCTCAGCCCAAGGAAAAACATCAGCAATTGTGAATGAGAAAACCCATAAGAAAACAACTAGAACTTAGCACGAAATAAAGGACAATGTGACCCCATGACATCCGAAAGAATGAAGGGACATTTTAGTTTGGGTCTTTGGGACTGGCATAATATGGGGGAAAATACAGGCGAGAGTGGGTAGAAGCTGAGGCAAGGAAGCCCTGGGGTGGAAAAAAAGCAAATGGTCCTGTCACTTTTAACTGCCTTTCACTGATATGCATTTTGCCTTTATCCAAAGATGCTCTGTCTTCAGAGGGCATACGGCTATGCAGAATAGACATCAAATTCCAATAAGTACCAAATTACAATAGGCTCAGTTCTGTATATGTTGAGCCCCCTTGGGATACCAGAGTCATTAATAAGAACAAAGATCATAGTATTCCGCATAAATCCAGAGGTGGCATGCTCCTATTAGTTGCCCCAAATTCCAGAGCCAAAAGGTACCTTTTCAGATACAAAATGTTTATGGTTGCTAAGCAAAGAAATCAAAAGCTTTCAGAAGCCTGACCCCTTGGCCCTGATAATGTTCCTCTCTGTTCTAGGAAGCTGTAGGAAGCTCATAATTAGAGTAGCTTCTCATAAATTCATTAACCCTAATATGCTTCTATCAACTCACTCACAGAAAGACAGGCTTGATTAGAAGTGCAACTGGCTAAGGGTGAAAAAAACACTGTCTGCTATCACTCTGTTAGAAGTAAATAAGTACATGCAGCCCAATACACCAGATACTAGATTAGGGAAGATGGAAGGAGGTGGTGCTGAGAAAGATAAATTGTTGTAATAGACAGTTATGGAACTCGCCTTGGCAAACCTTCTGAGTTCTACATCCATCTGTTCCACATGAATCTGTCTCCACTGGGTTTTAGTCCAATTATCAATGCTTCTCTGAAAACGCAAAAGCAGATAAAAGTGTCAACAACATTTGGTGAAAGCAAGTCTCTGCAGCAAAATATATAAACTGATGATACACTGTAACTCTATCATCCAGTGGAAAGTCAATTTTTAAAATATTAACTGCACTTGTCAAAACTTCCCTATCACCAAAACAAAAAAGTTGTCAGAACACGTCAAGCTAAAGGCTAAAACATTATGATATATTAATTTCTAGTAGCGATGATAAATTCCATACACATACCATCATTATCACTTAATCCTGTGTACTTTGAATAAATTGATAAGTAGATTATTAAATAACAGACTTTTATAATTCTACATGTAACTAAATAAGCTTTCACATGACAATTTTCAACCATTATAAACAAAACTCTCATCAACCATTTCTTGACCATATTTTATATTTTGTTAATATATTTCTATATGGCTTTCAACTAACATAAAAGATTATAGTGCTTGTTGCAATATGCCTCATTCCCTAGAACTTACTTTTTCACTTAAGTTTTTAACTTAATTAACCACATACAAATTATTTTTAGGAAGGGTCTGTTTGTGTATGCCCAGGCATGTAAGTATAAGCATAGGAATATGTATGAGTTGGTATGCACAGATGACTACACATGTAATATATATTTATATATTAATTTTTATTTTATTTATATTCTTTACAATCTCCCCAAAGGATTTGAGGCAGTCAGCTTATTAAACAAAGTTTCATCCTGAACTAAAAATAAAAACAACTGGTATTCAAAGAAGAATCATCCACTAACAGAGATACATGAACTCTAATTTGGGGCTGGGGTGAGGATCTAATTTCCACATATTTCAAGACATTATAAAACCCAAATAGAATAATATAGGCTCCACAAACTGCATATGTAAAAGAACTACTAAATAAAAAGCATGTTTTGAAAAAGCACATCTTACTCGAACATAAATAATGACATCCCACAGTCCCTTGAGCAATTTTATTTCTTTGCGACACTGTTTCATTTGTTTGTACTCTGGAAGAGCCACTTCAAAAAGACGAGTAGATTCTTGCATCTGCAACATTTCTTCTTCTAAGGCCTCAAGCTCTTCATTTGCCTAAGGAGAGAACATAAACACCTGCATACAAACTGCCAGAGAAAGAGAAGACATGCAGTTCTGTAGCTCTGGTTATCTCGACATTTCAATCTTTGATTTTTAACGGGAAAATAAAAATAAATCTGCAGCGTAATTACTGGCAAAATGTAGGTTTTAGAAGAGCAAACTCAGCTGCACAAAAAGTGAGAACAGATTACTGTTAAACACAGTAACTTCAACAATACTGTCCCTATACACGTATTAGCAAAATTTCTTCTTCATCAGATTTCTCTGAATACAATTTTTCCTCTTGGTTTTTGTACCGAGAGCTGGGGAATTTGCTGAAGAACAAAAGGTGGGGCTCTAGAAACTTCCATGTAAGAATGAATTATATTTTAAGTAATGACTTAGTTTATTAAAACTTTCAGATTTAAAAAATACCCTACAGATTATCAATAATATCAAATGCACTCAAGAGAATTTGTGAAATAAAGCATAAAGCTAAAAACACAGCCCAGTATGAAAACATCACCATATGACTGTCTTTATCAAGGTTCAATTATATACCCCATCTACATAGAATAGTTTACATTTTACACCAAACGTAAATGCTGACATGTTTTTTCTTTTGTGATGACCAAGTCTTAATTTTCATCTTTAATTAACAAAATGGTACTATGCTTACATGGTAAAAGTTCAAGGTGTAGAGGAGCACTTGCAAGGCAGGAAAGCAATCCTTCAGGTTCAGTCATTCTTTTGGATGCTATTTCTGTAACTTCCAATTCTGTGCTCAAGCTGCTCTTTGTTGATTGATCACGTTTAGACATTATACTAGGTTACTACTGGCTTTGCAAAAGAAGGATTTGACTTTGTTTTTCCACTTTCTATTTTCTCCCATCCTCCTCCCAAGATCCAACAATTGTATTACTTTAGTTTCTTTGAACTTTAAATACCTATACTTAATGCTTTTATGTTCCATCAACCTTCAACTCTTTTTCAATTGACAAATAAAAATTGTATATATTTATCACGTACAACATGATGCTTTGGAATTGCGAGGCTGGGCACAGTGGCTCATGCTTGTAATCCCAGCACTTTGGGAAGTCACAGTAGGTGGATTGCTTGAGCCCAGGAGTTTGAGACCAGCCTGGGCAATGTAGCAAAACCTCATCTCTATTAAAAGTGCAAAAAAAAAAAAAATTAGCTGGGCATGGTGGCATGTGCCTATAGTCCCAGTTACTCGGGAGGCTGAGGTGGGAGAATGACCTAAGTAAGATCAGGGAAGGTTGAGGCTGCACTGAGTTGAAATTGTACCACTGCACTACAGCCTGGTCAGAGTGAGACCCTGTCTCAACAAAACAAAAAATCTATATATTGTGAAATGGCTCTATAGAGCTAATTAATATATGCATTATCTCACATACTTCATCATCTCACACTTTTTGTGGTGAGAACACTTAAAATCTACTCAGCAATTTTCAAAATACAGTACGTTGCTATTAACTATAGTCACCATATTGTACAAGAAGTCTTGTGAACTAACATCTCCCCAACCCCAACTCTGTCTCTTCATTTCCTACTATGTAAAGAAGAGTATTAGCATCCTGCTTTCATTTTTACAAGTTATATCTTCACATACAAGAACTGCAATTCTTTTAGTTTTAAAATGTTTTATTATGAAACATTTTATACACATAAAAGGATATATGCGTTTGTTCCCCACCTAGCCTAAGAAATATGACTAATAATTTTTAATGCCTTTTCTTAATTTCATCCCTCTTTTCCCTACTACATATTTAACCACAAAACCTACCTTTTTATTTAATAATCTAATTTTTATAATATTTTCACATTAATGTATTGCTAAGCGCTAAATGTTAAAATTTATGTTTGTGAAATGCAGTTTACTACATATATCACATTTCAATTGATATTTATGTCCACCTATATATTCATGATGATGTGTGTGAAGTTCATTTCCCCTACTGCATAGTACTACATTATATGAATACACACTATTTTTTTTTACTTCTGATAGTCATTTTGTCTTTTCCTATGTTTCACCCTTATTACTAATGCTTCTGGAAATTTTCACGTTCCCTATCGTATAGTATTTTACGTAGAGTTTTCATTCTTTTATTAGGTAAAAAATGGCTGCTAAGTGTTTCTATCATGAATGAATGTTGAATGATAGCTAAAGTTCTTTTGGCATTTCTCGCGATAATCATACGATTTTTTCTCCCTAATTTGTTAATGCAATTAATTACACTGATTTTCTAATGTTAAGTGAAACTTATTTTCCTTAAATGAAAACTTGTTTATAAATTGGTATAATTTGATTGTTTTGTTTAGTATGTTTGTATCTATATGTACGTGAGAAAGACTGATCTATATTTTTTTCCTTTCTCATACTATGCCTTTATAAAAATCAGACATGCTTCACAAAGTAATTTTTGAGTGTTCATTCTTCTTCAGGTTCCTGGAATCATGTGAATGAGATCCGTTTCTTGAAAGCTTCTTAAGATTCACCTGTAAAGCCATCAGGGCTTCTTAGTCTCTTTTTTTTTTTTTTTTTTTTTTGAGACGGAGCCTCACTCTGTCGCCCAGGCTGGAGTGCAGTGGTGCAATCTTGGCTCACTGCAAGCTCTGCCTCCTGGGTTCATGCCATTCTCCTGCTTCAGCCCCCTGAGTAGCTGGGACTACTGGCGCCTGCCACCACGCCCGGCTAATTTTTTGTATTTTTAGTAGAGACAGGGTTTCACCGTATTAGCCAGGATGGTCTCGATCTCCTGACCTTGTGATCTGCCCACCTCGGCCTCCCAAAGTGCTGGGATTACAGGCGTGAGCCACCATGCCCAGCCTTCTTAGTCTCTGTTTTGGAAATTTTTTTGTTTTTTAACTACTGGTTAATATTTTTCTTTTTATTTTCTGACTGGCTAAGTTTGAATAGTTATATGACTACTCAGATTTACTGAGACAGTTTTGGTAAATTATATTTTTCTAAAAATTTATCCATTTTAAGTTTTTAAGTTTCTTATTAATAGTGCTCTATATTTTTGAATATCTGCTGTTTCTGTACAATCATTCCCTATTTTATTCTAATACTGTTAATTTTGCTGTTTTTCTGTTTTTCCCTTGATGATTTCACCAGAGGTTTGTCCATAGAGTTAGTCTTTTCTAAGAAGCAAATTTGGCATTGTTTGGAGCATAACTAGTTATTCACTATAAATAACTAGAGTTAGTGATGGTTCACTATAAATAACTAGAGTTATGTTAGTAATGGTTTATTGGTGGTAAATATATTGCATTTTTGTTTACCTGAAATATCTTCATTTCACTATTATTGAGAGAGAATTTTTCCCAGTAGAATTGAAAGACATCATCCACTACCTTCTGGCTCCGATTGTTGCTAATGAGAAGTATGCTCTTAGCCTAATCATCATTTCTAACAAGTGACCAGTCTTTTCTATCTGGTTGCTTTGAAAATATTTTTGCTTTTGGTATTCTGCAGTTCACTGTGATGTGTCTAGATGCAGTCTTTGTATTTATCCTGGTTGGGATTTGGTGAATTTCCTGAATCTATCGATTCATGTTTTGACCAGTGTATTAGTCACGGTTCTCCAGAAAGACAGAACCAATAGGAAAAAATAAATAGATACATGAGGGAAGTTTCATTAGGGGTATTGGCTCACACGATTATGAAGGCTGAGAAGTCTCACAATAAGCTATTTGCAAGCTGGAAACCCGGATGCCAGCAGTGTGGCTCAATGCAAGTTCAAAGGCCTCAGAACCAGGAAAGCTGATAGGGTAATCCTCAGTCCGGGGCCAAAGTCCTAAGAACCAGATGCTGAGGGTGGGAGGCTGCAGGTTCAAGTCCTGGAGTCCAAAGTCCAGGGACACTGGAATTCTGATGTCCAAGACCAGGAGAAAGGTATTCCTTTTCCAGAGGAGACAGCAAATTTGCCTCTCCTTTGCCTTTTTCTTCTATCTGGGCCCCCAGCCAATTGGACAATGCCCACCCGCACTGCAGGTGGATCTTCTCCACTCAGTCCACCAACTTACAAACCAGTCTCTCCTGTGTCCTCAGACATGCCCAGAAATAATGTTTTACCAGCTCTGTAGGTATCCCTTAATCTAGTCAGGTTGACACCTAAATTTAACCATCACAACCAGTCCTTTAAGTCTTAGCTATTATCTTGCAGACTATATTCTGTTCATTCTCTCTTCCAGGAAGTATGAATAGAACAGTTGGACGGCATTCTAACTTCTTTCTATGCGTCCCTTAGGCTCTTTTATATTTTCCATCTCCTTACACCTATGACTGCGTTCTAAGTGATTTCCTCCAATGTAATTTGTATTTCACTAATTCTCTTTCCAATTTTAATGAGCTCTTTAACCCATCTGCTGAGTTGTATTTTTTTTTTCACAACTGTATTTTTCATTTCTGTAAGTATCTGGCCCTTTTTCAAATTCAACTGATCATGGTTGATAGTCTCAAAACTGAGAACTTGCTCATTTTTTTCAATATTATCTTTTATTTCCTTCTAATATCTGAAACTTTGCATGCATCTCTATCCGTGGTTTCTTTCAACTGACTCTTATGCGTAATGGTGTGTTCATTGTTTTATTGTGTACTCATATTTGACTGAACTTAATCTGTTGGACCCCCTAAAGAGACTGAATGAGAGTGCTTTTTTCCAGAGATGATTTAGGTTTGCTTCTACTAGTTACTAGGAAGATACTTGTAACCATTTCAATTTCCTGTCTTAGAAATTCCTTAATCAGAGGGGTAGTATAAAACCGGACCATAGACCCTTGTGAGAACAGGAATATGTTTACAAACTCCCAGAGTATCTTTTTCTGTTTTGTTTTTGTTTTTTTGAGATGGAGTCTCGCACTGTCGCCCAGGCTGGAGTGAAGTGGCGCAATCTCGGCTCACTGCAAGCTACACCTCCCAGGTTCACGCCATTCTCCTGCCTCAGCCTCCCGAGTAGCTGGGACTACAAGCGCCTGCCACCACGCCCGGCTAATTTTTTGTATTTTTAGTAGAGACGGGGTTTCACTGTGTTAGCCAGGATGGTCTCCATCTCCTGACCTTGTGATCTGCCTGCCTCAGCCTCCCAAAGTGCTGGGATTACAGGCGTGAGCCACCGCGCCCGGCCCCTTTTCTGTTTTTTTCACCCTACTCTGAGCATTAGTGAAGACCCACAGTGATCTCATCGGCTTCCTTTGCAGGCTGCAGACCTTCCCTAGCCCACTCTCCAATGAGGGTATCACCCTTAACAGCATCTTCTACTTCCCCATGAGAAACTCAATCTCATAGTTCTAGACTTCTGATATTTCCATTTTCACTACAGCAGCACAGGCTTCTGCATTTGCCTCTATTTTTTCTTGCCCTTTAGAGATTTGTTTTATGTTCTTGTGAACTCCGCAACAGATTAAAAATTACACATTTGTGAATATGTATTCAGCATCTGTTTTATGAAAGAGGGCTTTTCAAAATGTCTGGTCCACCATAATCTCCAAAGCCAATATCCCTTTGATTTATTTTTAATCGTTTTTTTTCCTATCACTTACACTAATTCCATTATTCCTAGAAATATATACCCAGTTATGGCCGGGCACAGTGGCTCATGCTTGTAATCCCAGCAAGTTGGGAGGCTGAGGCAGGCAGATCACTGGAGGTCAAGAGTTCAAGAACAGTCTGGCCAACATGGCGAAACCCTGTCTCTACTAAAAATACAAAAATTAGCCAGGTGTGGTGGTGCGTGCCTGTCTGTGGTCCCAGCTACTCAGGACGTTGAGGCAGGAGAATTGCTTGAACCTGGGAGGCAGAGGTTGTAGTGAGCTGAGATCATGCCACTGTACTCCAGCCTGGGTGACAGAGCGAGACTCTGTCAAAGAAAGAAAAGAAAAGAAAAACGAAAGGAAAAGGAAAGGAAAGGAAGAAATACCCAGTTATGTTAATTCAGCTGGTTATTATACAGTTACTATATCTTTGGCTGTGAAGAAACGGTAGTACTTAACCAGGGAACCTCATTTTAAAGGGAGGGATTCACTGTACTGTTCTCCTTATTTGTGGAAAGTCAGTGTTTTCTGTCTTGTGGACTGAGATGCCTTCAGAACCAGGGTCCACCATACCAGCCCAGAACAATAATACATATGCCTTTCACTGAGTCTAACTAGATTTACATTAGACATGTCTGCTGAACAAACACACCAAGAACATGACTTCAAGAAAAAGTTCACCCAGCCCTACTACATTCAAAATATTCCTGTAGTTATAAGCGTACAGTCTCTGACTTTTAAATATGTAACTACATGCTGTTATAGTATAGCATGAACATGATACAATTCAATAAGTAACTGTAGTAAATGTTTACATACAGCATGTTGGTTAGTCAAGTAAAAACGTTTCCCCATCCACAATCTGTTCAGACCACCTGCAATTTAGACATAATCTTTAAAAAATAAAAAATAAAACCAAGTATATTAGCATACTCTAACCTACTCCCTTTTCAATGAATATGTTAACCAATTTTCTTCTGCCAAGTGAAAGAGGCAACATGATGCTATAGAATGGTGTTTTCTGAATAAGTTTAAAGCAATTAAATCTAAATTCAACCCAAAATTTGGAAAGAGAGGTAAGGGCTCTGTCAGCCGCATCCAGCTAAGGAGTTAAGACTATCTCCAGCATGAAATGAAATCAGGGTGACAGGCTAGATGAGCAACTCAGAAAGGTGCCCAGCTCCTAAATCTAAACTTCACCCAATTATTTTCTTATTTTGGTTGCCAGGTTAAGTTCCTAGAGAAACAAAGACACCATTTTTCTAATAAAAGTTTAAAACATCTTTTCAAGTGTTCTGTGAATTACTTACCATTTGGATTCTTTGCCCACCATATTCATTCTTATAGTCAACTATAATAAAGTACAGTTGTTCATTATAAACTAGGATTGAATGACTCAACAATCTTCATGTCCAGGGTTAAGAATAAGTTATGGGCTTCCTTGACTATGGTTAAAAGTTACGGGCAAAAGAATCACAAGAGAAAGGGTATAGTGGTTAAAATTTCTGATTAAAAAAAAAAAAAAAGTTTAGATAGCCAGAATGTTAATCCTAGTTCTGTCACTTACTAACAGAAATCTGCAAGGAATTACTTAATTATACAAGCCTTTTTTTTTTTTTTTTTTTTTTTTGAGATGAAGTCTTGCTCTGTCGCCAGGCTGGAGTACAATGGCGCAATCTCGGCTCACTGCAATCTCTGCCTCCTGGGTTCAAGAGATTCCCCTGCCTCAGCCTCCTGAGTAGTTGGGACTACAGGCACCCACCACCATGCCCAGCAATTTTTTTTTTAATTTTTATTTTAGTAGAGACGGGGTTTCACCGTGTTGGCCAGGATGGTCTTGATCTCCTGACCTCATGATATGCCCACCTCGAATCCCAAAGTGCCTGGGTTACAGGTGTGAGCCACCGTACCCGGCCACAAGCTTGTTTTTTTAATTGAAAGAGGAAAAGTAATACAAGCCATATCATAGGGAGACTGAGAATTAAAAAGAAATAATGAAAGTCATATGCTTAACAAAATTCTTGACATATAGTAAGGACTCAAAAAATAGTAGTAGTTGTTACTGTCTCTCGTATGATTACTATGATGATTGTGATAGTTAATACTGACTGTCAACATGATTGGACTGAAGGATACAAAGTATTGTTCCTGGGTGTGTCTGTGAGGGTGATGCCAAAGGAGATTAACAATTGAGTCAGGAGACTGGGAGAGGCAAACCCACCCTCAATCTGGGTGGGCACCATCTAATCAGCTGCCAGCACAGCTAGGATAAAAGCAGACAGAGGAATGTGGAAGGACTAGGCTGGCTGAGTCTTCTGGCCTCCATCTTTCTCCCGTGCTAGATGCTTCTTGTCCACGAACACTGGACTCCATGTTCTTCAGCTTTTGGTCTCTTGGACCTACACCAGCTTGCTAGGGAGTCTGGGGCCTTTGGCCACAGACTCAAGGCCGCAATGCTGGCTCCCCTACTTTTGAGGTTTTGAGACTCAGAGTGGCTTCCTTGTTCCTCAGCTTGCAGACAGCCTACTGTGGGACTTCGCCTTGTGATGGTGTGAGTCAATACTCCTTAATAAACGCCCTTTCCTATATACATCTATCCTACTAGTCCTGTCCCTCTAGAGAACCCTAATACAATGACGATGATGGTTTTGGGAGGCATGATTTGAAATACAATACAATTTACTTAAGGGGAAATTGCTTATAACTGGGTTTTAAATAAATCAATTCCTATAACAGCAAAACAAAGACAAAATGTGGCAGTATTTTGTGTCTAAACTTACATTTTTTAAAGTAGCTATTTTAATGCACACAGGATATTTGAGATCTGTATTACCTTATCAAGCGCTGTGTATGGATTTTCTGCATTAAATCCAAGAGGGGCATAGTGTCTGAATCTCTCTCTGAACTCTGCCTGCTTTGCCTGATCATTGCAAAAAAAAAAAAAAAAAAAAGTGAATTTCAAACAAATACTTCAATTATCCTAGTAAAACCTTTCTTAAAACAAAAACTTGGTAACTAGCTTACGTCAAACAAAATACATTTTTTCCTTATAAGAGTGACTTCCGCATTATGGAGAGGTGAGACTTCATGTCTGACAGTTGCTGCGATCTTTTTGGTAGTTTCCCATCTTTCAGGTAATTCCTGCAAAAGCAAAGGCACAAATGCGAAATTACTTCAATTCCTAAAACAAATCAACCCTATAGGATTAAATGACTCTAATTTCTTTCTTTTTTTTTTTTCTCTTGAGACAAGGTCTGGCTCTATCCCCTAGGCTGGAGTGCACTGGCATGATCTCAGCTCACTGAAACCTTCACCTCCAAGGCTCAAGTGATCCTCCCAGCTCAGTCTCCCCAGTAGCTGGAACTACAGGCATGTACCACCATGCCCAGATAATTTTTGTATTTGTTGTAGGACAGGGTTTCAGCATGTTGTTCAGGCTGGTCTTGAACTCGTGAATTCAAGCGATTCACCTGCCTCTGGCTCCCAAAGTGCTGGGATTACAGGCATGAGCCACCATGTCCATGTAAATGATTCTAATTTCTTTACACTAACCCATGACATCTCTTCATTCTTATATAATGAGTTTATAAAAAAGGATGAAAGTGATGAAAAGGCTTAGAACCAAGGCTGAAGTACAGGCTGATTCACTGGCACTGCTGGGTTCAGAACTCCAAAGCATGTACCAGAATTGTTCTCATCTCAGAATCCATGGAAATCTTTTTAAAATAAACACAAATCTCCTAATTGTTTTGCTGCTGTGGGAATAAAATTGAAGTGCTCTGGAAATGACTTTGTTGATCTCTAACAACTAGAAATGGAAGCCAGCCATGTTTAGTAATTTAGCAAGTGAAAAAAAAGATGCTTTGAAAATGCTGGGGCAAGGATGAAAATGTGA
The DNA here is from genome assembly GCF_000001405.40 of Homo sapiens. Taxonomy (NCBI): domain Eukaryota; kingdom Metazoa; phylum Chordata; class Mammalia; order Primates; family Hominidae; genus Homo; species Homo sapiens. The sequence continues at coordinate 21,605,671 of NC_000007.14, read as the reverse complement.
ATCAATCTCATCCTCGGCTTTTCTCTAGCTCCCAAAGCTCTGTACATTCTCCTTCTTGTTGGAGAGTTTGAGGATTGAGGTTGGGTTTATTTTAGGGGACTAGGAGTTTTTGAAGGGAGAAGAGGGCAAAGGGAAGAAAGGTTAATTCCTACTCTATGTAGGACAAAAGACACAATAAATAGTTCAGGTACCAACTCAACTCTGCTCTCCCTGCCTACAATGCAAATAGGACAAAAGCAAGTTATTTTCTTTAAGGAGCAATGCATGGAGCATAATTACTGTTGAAAAGCATTCCTTGTGTCCCAATTAACAAAGAATTGTTCCTCTCGGTCATCTCCTGGGACAGTGAAATTGTTTTGTCACACAAACCCACCCACAGTGATGGAACTCTACTTGTAGCTGAAGTGCAAAACTCAAAGGTTCTAAAGACTATTTTGTAAACCTCAGTAAATATTTGATGAACGATTCAGTAACTGCCAGTTATGGAAAAACGCACTGTGCTAGGTCTAAATACTATTTGTGTGGTGAACAGGGTGCTAAAAAGGTAAAACATTCTCTCAAATTGTTTTATAATCTGTCAGAGTGAGCAAGAGGCACACACAATAACTATTCTACACAACAGAATGTGCTAACTATCAGGAGGTCTATGTGTTATGGAATCAAAACAGTTGGGAGACAATTTGGTGACATGACAGGAATACCAAACCAGCTCAGGAACCAAGGGACCTGGGCTTTAAACCCCTTTGTCCTTCCCTCTCGTGGCTTCTCATCAAAACTCTGCATCCGCCCTCTGTACAGACAGAGTCTCACTTTGCATTTCCAATTCCATTCCATGGAACCTAAGTATTCCATGGAGTCCCTCGGAGGCCATGGCTGGGAAGCCAGGAGGAAGTTACATCCATGAGCTCAGGTCCCCTTATCCCTCTTCAAACACAACAAACCTGCTTTATATTTGGGGATTCCAAACAAGTTTTTACTTGGTAAAAATAAATTTTCTTGAAACCCAAAAGATCAGATGATCTCCAAAGCCTCTCAAAGTCAGATGATCCACTCAAGGAGGAGGTGACACTGAAACTGAGGCTCAACGAAATGACTAGGTTTCAACAGGCAGAGATTAGGGTGAGATCCCTTGAGGTATGACGACCAATACAGGATGGTGTGAGTGTGTGAGCTCTTATGGAAACTGGACAGCATTCGGGAAGTTAGGGGCAGTTAATGAAGGTTTCTGAGCAGAAAAGGGACTGGATAAGTCCTGCAGATCAGAATATTCATCTTGTTTCAGAGTATATTGTGGGTGGGGTGTGAGGAGGAATGGGATGAATTAAGGGGCTGTTGCTGTGAGGTGAGAAGTAACAAGAGCTGAATTAAAGTGGGTGTTAACAGCAGTGAAAAGAGGCAAAAGACTGAAGAGATGCTCCAACAGGACAAAGATCTTGCTGGTGGTGAGTCCTCATGACTTTAAGGAAGTAATACTTCAACTCTTAGTAGGCATAGCCAGACTTTAGGGTGTTTTCCCACAGAACTAAGCATAGACAAGTATTTGGAAAATGTTATGACTTCTCATAATAACAAAGGAGAAACTGAAAGTAACTATCACTTGAAGTTGCTTAAATTAAAATAAAATTGGGCCTCGTTACCCTCCAAATACACCACATACCGCCTATGAATCTTATTTTCCCTCCTGACAAGTCTAAATTACTGATACACAGCTAAAATTGTATTCTGCTTTTGAAATGTTGAAAAGCCTAATGCTTTCAATACTACCATCACCCGAAAGAGTGAACCAAACTTATATAATACAAATTCTGGAGGCCATATCTAAATTTCCCTCATCAATTACTTATTATGACTACTTTCTCTATGAGATATAGTTTAAGGTTCAACATCTGATTCAAGGAATATCTAAATCTTCCTAGAAACAAGAACTATTTATAGTTGTTTCTACTGTAACTGTTTTATCTCTTCATCTTGTTATGTATGTATCTGTCTAGAACTTGTCATCTTGCTCCATGTCTAACTGGCTTGCAAGCTCTAAGGGCAGTTTTATACTTAAATAGAATTTAACAATTCATATACAGTAATTCTCATAGTCTTTATAGTCAAGAGAGCACTTGTAAATACCCTGCTGCATTTAATCCTCACAAAGCAAAATGACAGAATATAAAACAAAACAGCCACTGTGAAAAATAGTTTGGCAATGGCTCAAAAAGTTAAATATAGAACTACCAGATGACCCAGCAATTCCACTCCTAGGTGTACTGAAAAGAATTGAAAACAGATACTCAAATAAATACACACCAGTGTTCATAGCAGCACTACTGACAATAGCCCAAAGATGGAAACAACCCAAATGTCCATTGACAGACGAGTGGATAAGCCAATGGTGGTATGGACGGACATACAATGGAATGTTATTCAGCCATAAAAAGAAATGAAGTACCAACACATGCTACAATGTGAATGAACCTGGAAAACATTATACCAAGTGAAAGAAGCCTAACAAAATAGGTCACATATTGTATGATTCCATCTATCTGAAATATCTAGAGTAAGTGAACCCATAAAGGCAGAAATAGATTGGGAATTGCCAAGGATTGGTGGGTAGGGGTTTGCAAGGCTTGGCAGGGCATGGAGGAGGATAATGGGGAGAGACAGAGAAGTGGTATGGGATTTCTGGGAGTGATGAAAATTTCTGGAACTAGATAGAGGTGGTAGTTGCACAATATTGTACTAAATTGTACATTTTTAAATGGTTACTTTTATATGTTATCCGAATAGTACATTTCACCTCAATAAAAAAAAGAAAAAAACAGAAATTGATGGGAGCAAGTATAGAGAAATTGTTTAAATGAGGGATCATGAGGCATATTTTAGCAAAAAGTAAGTGTGGTCTTAGACATTAACAAACTTGTCAAGGCAAACAGAAAAGATGAACTCATACAGTACTTGAAAACAAATCTAAGTTTGAGTTCTGTGCTCTGACTACTAAACTAGATCAACTAGAATCCAGTGAAAGCTTTTTGGTTAATGTGTCCACTGATCACATTTGCAAAATTCAAGTACATGTGTGTACACACACACACACACACACACACACACACACACACACACACAATCTATAAAATATCAATATTGGCATAGAAAAAGAATCTAAATTGTGAGACTGTGGTTCATGATTTCAGTTCTAATTAAAGAGACTTTGTTGTTAAAAAGCCCCCAAATCTTTCCACAGCATGGAAACAGGTGGATGGCATAGAAATCTATTTAGAAAGCACAGTGATTTCCCCATCCAAATTGAGTTTCATTTATTTATTATTAGTATTATTATTATTTTGAGAAGGAGTCTCGCTTTGTCCCCATGCTAGAGTGCAGTGGTGTGATCTCAGCTCACTGCAACCTTCACCTCCCGAGTTCAAACGATTCTTCTGCCTCAGCCTCCTGAGTAGGTGGACTACAGGTGCGTGCCACCATGCCCAGCTAATTTTTGTATTTTTAGTAGAGATGGGGTTTCAGCATGTTGGCCAGGCTGGTCTTGAACTCCGAACCTCAGGTGATCTGCCTGCCTCAGCCTCTCACAGTGCTGGGATTACAGACATGAGCCACCACGCCTGGCCTATTTATTCTTTATTAACAAATCCATGATACGTTTGCAAGACTAGGGCACTTCTTGACTGACAGGTAGTTTTTTTGAATGAAAAAAAAAAGTATGGATATATTTCATGTGTGAAAAATGATGGTAAAACTGAACTCAAAAAAGCAACTCATAGGTTCTTTACAATCTACATTCTTTCTAATAAGAAGGCAGTGGAGCACAGTGGTTAAGTATTTTGTCATAAAACACACCGAGAGTGTTGGCTGGCTTTACTATTTGCATGACCTTGAGAAAGTTATTAAATCTCCTTAAGTATCAGATTCCTAACCTGTAAATTGAAAACATCAAATGTGTACAGTATAGATTGTTATAAGGACATCATAAGAGAGTACATGTAAAGTACTTTAATAAAAGAGATGCTCAATTTATGGTAATTATGATTATTTCACCTCTGCACTTACCTCTAGCTGAATATAGACCTGCTCAGGCATCTTCTGGCCATAGCTTTCCAAGAGGGTGATCGTTTCTTTTAGAGGTTCAAAGAGTTCATCAGTAGCTCTCTGTCGGCTTCTTACAGCCAGAAGATGCACCATGATGTCAACTAAACCATCATGATCACCTTCATTTAATTCTCTCTGAAGTCCGGAATCTGTCTCCTTTATAAATTCTTGTAGCTCATTCAGACTATTAAATATATATGTACATAGATACACACAAATTAAGTTTATTAAAACATTTAGCAGTATAAGACTTCTGATTGAATCTTATTTTCATTATGTACCTGATTAAACATTTATCTCTATCATGAAACTGGCAACATTAATACGCTTAAAAGTAACATCTCAGTTTTAGAAAGCAGTTTAGAAAGTTATAATTCCAAAAACCAAAGTAAAAGGCTACCTGTCAATGACAAATCTCAAAAGATGCTCCTGAAACATCCAGCTCCATTTCTTAATTATGGTTAACAAGCTCACTTTGAAAGGCTTCATGTCCACCTTGAACCAACTATCAAACACTCTAAAGTCCTCAAATTTGCTCATTTGAACATACAAAGCTTCATAAATGTCAATCTGTAGTGAGAAAAAGATTAATTAGAACAACTCAGTGAAAAGCCATTTCACTACATTAAATGCTAAGGGTTTTCCTTGCCTGTTCTTTGAATTGCTCAAGAGTTGGTGGTTGTTCGGGAATTTCTTCATTTGCATGAGCATCCATTTCATCGGAAGACACAGCATGGCCATACAAGAGAAAATGCTTCATAAACTCAGCTCGATCATCCACCCAGAGGTAAGTGTGGGTCTCCAGGGTGTTTCTGAAATCTAAGACTTTGTTGATGACATTCACCACTCTGTTCATGATCTCCTGCCTGACCTCTGCCAGGCCTAACATGTTATCCATATCATTCTAAATGAGAGGAAAACACAGCACTTACTATTCAAACCAACCTTACTTTACCAATTATCTACAACATAACATTACCAAGGTAATTCTTCAAAGGGAGAGTAGTTAGAAAAATTAAAAATCATGTTGCTTTTTCCAACTTCTCTTTTCCCTGTGCTTCCCATTTTCCTAATTTGTTCTGGGTTTTGTTTTCTGGTGGTTTTTTGTGTTTTGTTTTTGTTTTTTTGAGACAGGGTTTTGTCACTCAAGCTGGAGTGCACTGGCTTAATCATAGCTCACTGCAGCCTCTAACTCCTGGACTCAAGCAATCCTCCTGCCTGAGCCTCCTGAGTAGCTGGGACTACAGATGCATGCCACCACACCCAGCTAATTTTTTAATTTTTTTAAGAGACGGTCTTGCTATGCTGCTTAGGCTGGTCTTGAACTCTTGGGCCCAAGCAATCCTCTTGCCTCAGCCTCCCAAAGTTCTGGGATTCCCAGCATGAGCTACCATACTCAGCCACAATTTGTTTTTGAATCATTAATATAAAAGCTAAATACCCATTTACTAAGAAAATACCTGATAATTTTTAATTTCCAGGTGTGTTGCTATTCGGTTCATCTGGGCAGACATTCTAAAACTATTGCATAACATTTCTTCTACAAGATCATAGAAGCCATCCCCAGCCTCTCTGTCTAGGGAAGGTTTAAACACAATCTCAGGAGGCAACAAGATCATTTGTGCTTGAAAAAACGGTGCCGGTTTCAATTGTTTCTCTGTATTCTTCAGAAAGAAGTCTAAGTCGTGCATTATAGCCTGAAAAAAGCCTTCCACCACAATGTCGTCAATGAATTCTACATAAATTTTCCAGGTATCCAGAGAGGGATTGGCTTTGAAGAGCTTCCTATTTTCCTAGAAACAGACAAGTATTAGTGGATGAATATAAACAAATAATTAGCATAAAAACTAAAACTCTCCGTTTAAATAGTTTGTAAAAGAAGAGACTGCATTGTTGTGCACAAGACAGGAACATTCAAATACTAAGTTGCAGAACCTTAAGCTAGATGTCAAAGATCTAAGCAGGAATTTAGAACATTAAGTTCACACATGAAATACATTCAAAAGTTGTTTCAAGGAAAGTTCTCTACAAAGATTGCTATCTTCAGATACAGACAGGAAATACACTAGTTCCCAGTGAATTCTAGACATTTTGGACCTGGGCTCTAGTTTTTGCTCTGTCACTAACTCTGTGTCCTTAGACTTTGCCTTCCAGGGCCTTCCGTATAAATAAAGAGATCTGTCAAACTGGTCCTTCAGAGAACACTGTTCTGGAACATCTGAAGACTATCAAGTCAGTGAAGTACTATGTACTCTATGCCATTCTTGGAGACTCACAATGTACCTATTCTATTAAAGTCCACTGAGGCTATTATTAAAAAGTCAAAAAATAACAGATGCTGGTGAGGTTGCACAGAAAAAGGAATGTTTATATACTGTTGGTAGAAATGTTAATTAGTTCAACCACTGTGGAAGACAGTGTGGAAATTCCTCAAAGACCCAAAAACAGAAATATCATTTGACCCAGCAATCCCATCACTGGATATACACCAAAAGGGATATAAATCATTCTATTATAAAGACACACACATGTATGTTCATTATAGCACTATTCACAATAGCAAAGACATGGAATCAACCTAAGTGCCTATCAATGATACACTGGATAAAGAAAATGTGGTACGTGTATACATGGAATACTATGCAGCCATAAAAAACAACGAGATCATGTCCTTTGCAGGAACATGGATGGAGCTGGAGGCCATTATCCTCAGCAAACTAATGCAGGAGCAGAAAACCAAATACTGCATTTTCTCACTTTTAAGTGGGAAATAAATGATGAGAACACATGGACACATAGAGGGGCACAACACACACTGGGATCTAAAGGAGGGTAAGGATTGGAAGGAGGGAGAGGATCAGGAAAAATAACCAGTGGGTACTAGGCATAATACCTGGGTGATAAAATAATCTGTACAATAAACCTTCATGTTTTCAGACCTTGTTTAAGCACAATTTATTTATTTATTTATTTATTTATTTATTTATTTATTTTTGCATACCATCTATGATAAGCAACCTGTGGAATAGACCCAGTTTAGAAAACACTGGACTAGGGAAGTTCTAAGCTCCCTTCTTGCATCAACAATATGAGCTTCTTGCACCTTAGTGTCTCCCAAGAGTTTGGGCGACACAATGGACAAGCCAGTTGGGGCAAAATAGGACCTGAAGACAGAGGTGTGGTTAAGGACCACTACAGGTTGAGCACGCAGTGTGCTTGCCTAGAGACACAGGTTTCAAAAGGTCAGGTGGGCAGCAAAGTTGATTCTAGAGAGGCTGAGTGGCTAAACTTGCATGGTCTATACAGACCAGACGGCAGATACCCAAGGGAGGAACTGAAGCACAGAGCAAAAGAGACATTGGAATAAGAGCTGATTATAAGGTGACACTGGAATAAGAGCTGATTGTAAGGTGGACTATACTCTCTGTTTTCTTTGATTATTCTTTACTATGGATATATGATCCAGGATGCAAAGGTGTTATGTTGTAAGCAAGAATCAGAACTAGAGAGGTAAGTACAGATCCTAATAAGGCAGGGGAGAGATGAGAGAACCCTAGCTCTCAAAAAAATTTAAGAACTGCTCCTTCTCAGGAATGCTGTGTTGCCTACCAGCCAGGTGGAACCATTCACATCTGTGTAATCATGTGACATGCACCCCTGGAATTGTGCAGTACACACCCTAGGAAAGTATACACAGCTGCCCTGGCCCCTTTGTAGGCACTAAAAGAGAAAAGTATAGATCTTACAGCTGAAGAAAAATCCTTAGAGACCATCTTGTTAAGTCTCCTCATCTTAAAGATATTAATACGGTTTGACTCTGTGTCCTCACCCAAATCTAAACTTGAATTGTAATCTCCATGTGTTGGGAGAGTGGCCTGGTGGAAGGTGACTGAATCATGGGGGCAGACTCCCTGCCCCAACCCCCCGCTTGCTGTTCTCATTACAGAATTCTCATGAGATCTGGTTGTTTGATAAGTGTGTGTTTCTTCCCCTTTGCTCTCTCTCCTGCCACCATGTAAGACGGACCTTGCTTCCCCTTTGCCTTCTGCCATGATTGTAAGTTTCCTGAGGCCTCCCCAGCCATCTAGAACTGCGAGTCAATTAAATCTCTTTTCTTCATAAATGACCCTGTCTCAGGTAGTTCTTTTTTTCAAAGCAGTGTGAAAACATACTAACATAGACATGAAAACAAAGACCTAATACACATTCAGCGTCGCACTAGTAGGAAGTTAATAGCTGAGCTAGGACTAGAAACCAGCCCTCTTGACCTCCCAGAGTAGGGCCTTTCCCATCATGTCACGGTCATACACACTTTTTCATACCAAGAGATCCAGTTTACCTCACTACAGTCACATTGATGAGAAATGCTGTATCTTCAGCACATTCGGATAAAGGGAGCGAAAGGAAGAGAAAGGAGAGCTTTAGATAACTGAATGATCACTCAGGCCCAATATTCCATGGTCCTGCTCCTCTCTTCTCTCCATCTTTAACTCTGACTCCAGACCACTCGCTGACATGCCACCAGCCAGAAAACATGCAGCATGCAAAAGGCAGAACTGACTCACCCTTGGCCATATTTCTACAGCTTTTCCCCAAACCATGTTCCTCACCAGAAGCCTGAGAACTAGGTTCAACATCACGTGCTAAGTCAAGAGGAAAATAATCACTTAAAAGACCCAACTTATGGAAACAAATAATCATTTCATTTCCATTTTAAAGCTGGCTTACATTCCCTCAAGGCAGAAGCTCTCTTCCATTCTTGGATTGAGAACAGTGATTTCAAAGCTTCCTAGTTTTTGCCTTAAGGACAAAAATAGGAGAATCCATTTATTAATACAAAAAATTCTAACATTTTTCTCTGAGATGACAATGCAAAACCTTGTTTTCTGATGATTTCTAGTCATGTCTTGGCCATACTTTTAATGCATTTTCATCAGGATTCATATCTTAATGGTTTAAATCCTTAGAGTTTGGGGAGTACATTTTTTTATTATCAAGAAAATGTAACAGAAAAAACTAACCGTAATCCATCATCTGTCCTCTATGAGACAGATTCTAACACATAAACAGTTGTAGAGATGTCTTAAAAGTCAGAGAATAATTCACAGCATTTATTGAACAACTAGAAATAGTCCACGGCATGACTTAGTTAAGATACTGCTGAAAAACAAATTAATTTCTAGATAAATACCTCCCTTACACGTCAGGACACCCCTGAGATTCTCTCCAGGCTACCCAGGACTTTGGCAGAGCCTTCTGAGGGAGCATGGCCCTGCCCACACTTTGATTTCAGACTTCAGCCCTCTAGACTATGAGAGAATAAACTTCTTTCATTTCAGGACAGCCTGTTTGTGGACCTTGTCATGGCAGCCTTGGGACGCTATTCCAGGCAGTACTCAAAGAAGACAGAAACAAAGTCTTTGTCCTAGCAAATTGTCATTGATGGGAAAATTAAAACTTTCTTAGAAATTTTAGAAAACACTGGAAGTCAACAGAAACACTGAAACCCATGTTAATTATGTACTTCTTTTTATTTTCTTCTCCATATCCACTAGAGCATATCAAATGTACTGTACTTTACGTTTTGGTAAGAAAATCTGTTACCCTCCGAACCCTTTCTTCACTCGGCTTCCTGTCCTGGTTTTCCTCCTACTGTCTCAGCCTTTCCTTTTCTGCATCTTTGGCTGGTCCTTCTTCTCCCTGGTCTCCTAAGAGAAGAATGGTGGTCCAGCCAACAGTCCTTGATTTTCTTCTATTCTCTAGCTAAACTCATGTTCTCGGTGATCACATCCAGTCTCCTGGCTTAAATATCATTGCCATCCACTCCTCCTTCATTTGTGTTTTCAGTTTGGACCCCTCTCATTAACTCTAAATGAGTAAATCCAATAGCCCACTCAACTCCTCTTGGCTAATTAACACCTCAAATTCAAAATGCCCAAAACTGAAATCTTGACCTTCCCTGCTAAGTCTCTTCCTCTCATACCCTTCCCCATCTGAATAGATTGCAAATTCACCTTTCCAGTTGATCATGACAAAATGTGTAGAATAATCTTTAACGTGTCTTTCTTTCGTGCTCCACATCCAGTCTTTGGGAAACTCTGTTTGCTCCACTTAATTCAAAATATATCCAGAATCCAACTACTTCTAATCACTTTCACTGCTACCACCCTGGTCCAGCACCATCATCTGTTACGTGCCTGTGCCACTGTCTGAATGCTTATGTCCTCCCAAAATTTGAATGTGAAAATCCCAACCCCCAAGGGGATGGTATTATGAGGAGGGGTTTAGGAGGAGGTGATTAGGTCCTGAGGGCAGAGCCTTCATGAATGAAAGTACTGCCTATATGAAACAGGCCCAGGGGAACTTCCTCCATGTGAGGACACAATGAGAAGTTGGCAGTCTGCAACCTAGAAGAGGGGCCTTGCCAGAAACTGATCATGCTGGCACCTGGTCCTCCAGAACTATGAGATAACCATTTCTGCTGTTTTAAAGCTACTCAGTTTAGAGTATTTTGCTATATCAGCCTGAACATACGGAACCCCTAGATTACTAGTAAGAATGGCAACCTACCAGGTCGGCCTGCCTCTTCCCTAGCCTCCCTACAGAGGGTCTCAACACAACAGCCAGAAATCCTTTTAGAATGAAAGTCAGATTGTATTTACTCCCCTTCTCAAAATCTCAAAATTCTGCAGTGTCTTTCACATACCTCAGAGTGAGCCAAAGCCAGAATCTGCAAAAAGGCCTATGAAGCCTCCCCTGAGCTGCCAGTCCCTCACCACGCAGCTTAGCGTCTGACCTCACCTCAGCAACTCTCCACTCAGCTCCCTCTACTCCCCCCACACTTACTTCCCTGCTCCTCCTCGAGCATGCCCAGGGATCTCCTGCCCCAAAACTATCTCCTCTGCCTGGAACACTCTTCACCAAAGGCCCACTTGGCTGACTCTATCACCTCTGTCAAGTCTTTGTTCAAATTTCACCTTCTGGTTGAGGCCTACTCTGATCATCCTACTTAAAACTGCATCCTCGACCCCACCCTCCAGAATTCCCTTGCCCTGCTCCAATTTGATCTTTTTCCTGCAGCGCGTACCAGTTCTAACACAGCACGACTTACTATGTCACTGCTTATTGTCTCTCTCCTCACTTGATTCAAGTTCCATGAGAGCAAGGAACTTTGTCTGCTCTGCTCTCATATTTCAAAAACCTAGAAAGGTGCTGGGTACACACAATGCTCACAATAAATATTTCTCAAATAAGTGAATGATGATGGACTGCAAAGACAAGATACATAATGGGTTGCATACAATTCCCAGCAGGAAAACCGTAATCTATTTCTTGTTCTGCTGAGAATTATCCTAGAGACAAGGACCTTCATTTTACACATGAGAAAATTCAGGCCCAGCCTCTGGAAGACTCTGGTTTCCAGCCTTTACCAAGGACACTTTCCCTACCCCACACTGTGCTACTTCATGATGGCTTCAGAGTGTGTGTGTGTGTGTGTGTGTGTGTGTGTGTGTGTATGTGTGTATGAAAGAGTGTGCATGAGGGAGAAAGAGTGTGTGTGAGTGTGTGTGTGATATGTGAGAGGAAGAGACTGTGTGTGAGAGTATGTGACATACAGAGAAAAAGAGTATGTGTGTGTGAAAGAGAGTGTGTGTGTGTTAGAGAGAGAGAGATTTTGTGTCTGGGGGGAGCAGGGGCAGGGGAGGGGGTCTGTCTGCCTTGCCCAAAGGAGAGTATTCATGGATTAAGGACTGTGCTGGTCTATAGAGAAGACTCCACATAACAAGGATGCTCAGAGGAAACATGAAATACGCTCTTTCATTCCTATCCCTTTTTTCCTTAAGAAATAGTAACAACAAGAAATCAACTCCCCATGTTCCCATCATCAGCATTGCACATCTGTGAGCACCACATTCCTATCTTTGCCTTCCCTCCATCCTGTACTACAGATGAATGCTCCGCGCTCCTGTCTAAAGACACCTTCTACAGGTATTTACTAAATCCCATTTCCCTCAATGGCTTTCTTCCAACAATTTTTTCTCCTTCCTAGATTACTGCAGTTAACATACAAACATCCTGAAACATCAACCACTATTAAAAATAAAACCCTCCCCACCCTGATACACAGGCCCCAGGTACTGCCCAGTTGTTGGTTTGCCACACAGCAGAGCTCCTCAGGATCTCCTCAGCTGCCTCCACTCATATTTCCCCATTCTCTCATCAGCCCACTCCCACCAAGCTTCCACTCTGCCACCACATGAAATCACCTCTCCTCATCCCAATGACTTCCGTGCTGCCAGATCTGAGGGTTAGCCTCCGTCTTTATTTTCAGGTCCTACGTCAGGATGGGACAGAGTTGAGCTCTTCCTCCTCCTTGAAATCCCTTCTATTATTGGTTTCCAGGGCATCACTCTCTCTTTTTCAGTATCCTCTGTGGGATTTTCCTCTTCTCCCTGACCTAGGGAGGACTTCGAGGCTAGTTTTTGGGCCTCTTTTCTATCTACAATTCCCACATGTTCTTAATCTAATTATATGGCTCTAAATACCATACATATGTGCATAAATCTCAATTCTCTGTTACTTACCTGGATTTTGCCCTGAACACAAGACACATTTGCAATTCTAGTCTACTCAAAATGTCCCTTAGGACAAGCATCTCTAACTAACTTGTCCAAAACCAAACCTCCTTTTTTTTTCTGCTACAAAATCTGCTCACCACAGTCTTCCTCATATCATTAAAGGGCAACCCCAGTCCAGTCCAATCACTCAGACCAAAAACCTTGAAATCATCCTTGACTTCTCTCTCCTCTGATTCCTCAAAGCAAATTCTGCTGGCTCTGCCATCAAAATATCTGCAGGATATGAACTGCCTTGATCACTAGCACTATGACCCAAGGCAGCATCATTTCTCACCTGGATTATTAGCATAGGCTCTGAAGAGTCTCCCTGCCAACCACTTCTTTGCTTGCCTGTGGCTTACCCTCCACAGGGAAAGCCTTTGAGCAGAAAGTCTCTGGCTGCTCTTTCCCCTTACGGTAAAATCCAAAGTCCTCATAACAGCCTGCTAACCCCACATAATGTACCATTAGTCTCTTCTACCTCACCCTCTACTACCACTCCCCTTGCAAATTCTGATCTCAGTTTGCTGACTGATCCTGGAACAGGCCAGGCTGCTCCTGCCTCAAAGTGTCTATACTTTTGCTCTCCAGAATGTTCTTCTCCTGATATCCATATGCTTTGTTCCCTGTCAGTTCTCTGCAGAAATACTATCTTAGGAAAGAGGCCTGCCCAACCACCCTACCCGCAAGCGACTCCCTATCCCACCTGCTCTGCTCTATTTTTCATCATTGCTCCTATTACAACTGACATATCTATTTGTTCTTTTCTCTTGCTAACTTCCTCTGACTAGAGTGTAAGCTCCATGAAATAAAGGATTTGGTGGTGGTTGGCAGGGGAGCATTGTGTTGTTTGCTTTTATTTTCCTGCCTTCTGCCTTTTGTGTGTGTGTGTGTGTTTTTTTTCTGTTTTCTCTTGCATTCACAAGCCTAGATGAGTGCCTGTTACTGTTTTAGGAACTCAAATCTTTGTTAAAAGGAGAGTAATTATTGTTGCCACCCTTAGGAGATGGTTGAGAGGGTACCTTGAGATGACCTAAGGAAGTTGTTTGTTTGGCACATACGAGGCAGTCAACAAACAGTGGTAGCTATAAGGAGCATCCAAAAGAGGATGCAACTGTGACAAGATAAAGATTCTATCACTAGCCTTTCTGTTTAATCAACACATCTCACATTCTAATCTCTTCCCTCAGGAATGACAGTGGTGAGGGCTACAGAAATTGCAGGCAAGTAACACAAATTCCTCCACTTTAAATGCCTAATAATACCATTCATAAAGCTCTTTCAGGCTTGATAAAAGAGTCCCACATTATTAGGTTAAAGATTTTTGCTCTTCTCTGAACTCAATGAAAAGATCTATAAATCTTGAAAGGTTAAAAGCCATTACCTCGACCAAGTTGTGGATCTTGCAGCCATCTCCTTGGATTAACTTGTATTTTTTTGTAAACAAATCACCCTTGTCCTCCAAGGTGAAGGCTGCCTCTCGTCTGTGCTCTCTCCTGGGAGGTAGCACGCACCTGGCCCAGCCCCTCATGGTCTGCTGGATCACCTTCACGTTTTTCTGTGTGCGCTCAACTCTGTGCTCCAACTCGGACGTGGCTGCCCTCACCCTCTCGATGTAGCCCCAGCAGTCATCCTGCCATGTCAGCCACGTTGTGGCTGCTGTCAGCTGCTCGTCAATAGCCCTCAGCTCATCTTCAATCAGAGGGTATTCAACTTCCAGGAGCGTCTGTTTGAGTTTATTATACCCTTGCACAAGAAGGTCAAGATTTCCAATGTACTGAGCAAAGAAAACCCCAAAACAAAAAGTGCCAAATATGTTAGCTATTTTCTCTGTCTTAAAGGTGTAAAAATATCATATAGATCTATATAATAATTAAAATTCAAAATATTTATATTCATAATAGGCCCTAGTATCTTTTTTTTAACAAAAATCACAAACCTTTAAAATAGTGTTCCTTTTCTTGAAGATGGCTAAAGCTGAATCTGGTATGTCTTGTTTCTTCAACATCAAAAGATATTTCACTTCTCTCAATACAGCCACTAGCTATTAAAATACAATTATTAAAATTATTGCATATTTTCATAATGTCATTCTATTTTAACTCAAGTTTAACTTGAAATACTTAAGATGTTATCCAAGTATTACTATATTTCCAAATCAAGGTAAATAGACTTTTGTTTCATATACTTTTTAAAAACAAAAATCATACATTCATAATATAGTAAAGGTATATGAATTATCCTTAAACATCTCAAGAAATTAGTTTCTATAAATTGGTTTTATGAAATCAGAAAGTAGAACGAATCCTCAGTTAACTATGTCATATATTTAGGTATGTGTGCTGAGTTTTACTAGCAAAATAAAGTCAACTATTCTCTGTACATATTTTAGGGAAACAGATCAGAATTTGGGTGCAGAGTATGCTTATCCAACTCAGTGAGGCTAACTTTCCCACTTCCTAGGCATGCATTTTGACTGCCATGAGAGACTCCAGGTAATCACTAATAGTGAATGTATAATCTTCATCCCCTAAAAATTCAGCTAGATGTTTAAGGCATTTTGTGTTTTGTCATGGAAATTACAAATAGATATTCTTATAAGCTTGCCCCTTACCCTAAAGCATACCCATGGTGGTAAATAGAAAAGAAAGCTTATTTTATGTCTCATATCTAGCAAGCTGCCAGACTTGGAGATCGTTTGTTTAAAATATATACAATGCATATACATACATATATACATGCACATCTAGCATTGATTAAATATATGCACATATTGTATAATTATATACACATACACATACATAAATGGTAACAAAAATCCCATTGTTACATAACATGTAATGAAATTATGAGAATTGAGAAAATATATGAAATTTCCTTTGTTACATGACTTACCATGCATTAACAAAAGACCTGTTCAATAAAGATAATATTCATCCTGGACATTATTTAACTTAATATTTTTTATATTAATATGTTTTATGTTTTTTAAAATTACCATCAATTTAATTACCATATACAAGCTTATTGTCCCTTTGAAAGAAATGACAATAAATTAAAATCTACCAGTGCTCATCAAAAACGTGACGTGTCTTTCATTCTGTGTATTCTGTTGATTCCCCAAATCTTAACTTACGTGATGAAATTTTAACTAAAACACTGGTGTATGTTATGAATATATTTAAGCCAGAAACTGTCCGGCAAAGACAAATGATTCAATTCAGTTGAGCTAACATTTACTAACTGTCACCAAGTACCAGACACTAAACTAGAAACATAGAGCATAAAGATGCAATGAAACGGATGCTACTCTCAGTGGCTCATTATCTAGTGAGGGTGGCGTGGTAAAGAAACAATTACAATACAAATTAATAGAGTAATTAGTAGAATTTGAGAAACAAATCTCTACAATGAAGACCTGTAAGAAATTGTTTACAGTTACAGTCCTCACAACTCTGACATTTTCCCAAATGTAAATTACAAATGACTGGAAATATCAGAAATAGGCTTATAATAAAAAGGGCACTTATAAATCATCTTAAAAAATCAAATCCCTACCTTTGGGTCAAAATTGACACAGAGAAGACCATTTATGGCACTGAATTTAACCAAGGGTTGATTCAAATTGAATTCACAGATTTCATCCACATTACTTTTCCATTCATTATAGATACGACTTTCAAATTGATCAAGCAAAGTGGTCATTTCAACATACTTTTGATAAACTAAAGCGTGATCAGGATTGCCCAAAAATCTGTAGGAATAAGGTTTTTCTACTGGTTTATACGTATATTAGATAGATTTCCGCTTAATAATTGTATAGTAATACAATATATAAAATATAATACACTATAAACAACCAGGAAGAGAAACAGTCAAGACCAAATTATGTGCGTATTAATTGCTTTTGCTTTAAAAGATAAAGTTATAAGATGAATGAAACTCAAGATTTTACTAAATGTTGATAGCAACAAGCTACTGGCTCCTAGGAAGAGAAGAAAAAGGTACAAAGATTGCATTATAAAAGCAGTGTTATTTATTGGAAAAAGGAAAAACAATAACGAGAAACTCCAAACATGGTGGGTGGAAAGGACAAGGAAAAAGAAAAAAAGGACCAGAAAACATGTAAGCATATGAAATTCTAAGAGTCCCATTAGAAATATTCCAAAACCATGGGAATGAATCCCTCTCCACAAACCCAACCAGTGAGAGAAGTGAACAGGGCAATGGCTTCCTAAGTGCTAATATGAACAGCTCACTCTCTTATATAAAATGTCACCCGTACCATTAGAATAACTTGCCATGACCTAAGCTTAACTACTTACAGATAACGGAGAGATGCGAAGTTTGACCAAAACATTTGAAGTCGTTGGAGAACCTGCTGGGCCCATTTCATATTTCCTGAGGTAAATGGCATGTTCTTGTTAAGAACTACATGACCACATTCAATCTGCAAGTTGATATTTTGGTGAAGAGGAAGAAAGGGAACATTTAGTCAGAATGGTTTCCAACCCTGTAAGCAATTTTTCATTTTGGTATTTTTACAGTAGTATAAAACATATGTGTTTAATCACTTGATTACTAGAAGAGTTACAGTCCTAAAGCAAGTTTACCATCTCCATGAGGAAACCAGTTAAATAAAAGCACAAAAATGTAGTGCCTATATCTAATCTTTAGATATAATCACATAGAGTTCTAGTTGATGGTCATTATCCGCCTAAATGATATTGTAAATGTGTCCAACCTTATCCACCACTTACCTGTTTCATGTGTTCATTATACAGTTGCTTACACACATCCAGCTCTGTATTAAACATATGCACTAGTGTGCTGTAATGTAGGCTGAAAATTTCCATGACAACTGGCTTCTCTAGAAAATTTCCAAATATGGTCAAAAGCTATAAAAATCAAAGTGAAGGCAACATTAAGCACTATGAGTTTTTAACAAATACTCAGCTCATAATGTTCCCCTTCAAACCTCTTACATGACTAAAGTTTAGAATCTTAAAAGCATCCTGTGATGCTTCAAAATGTAAAATGTATTTTTCCATCTCCCTAAAATTTCTGTACATCCAATAAACCAATTCTAGATGTAAAATAATTTCCCTTTCTCAGCAGAAAGGAACCACTGTCTGTCTGCAATTTCCGTTCACAGCTAATATTATTTCCTGTTGGGTTCCAGGTAACATTTTAGAAGATGCTTTGCAGATATAAGAATAGAAACAAGATTCACATACTTGTTATTGTTCTTCCCTCCTACATATGTATTCTTTAGATATAAATATCCATATATCCATATTAAGGCCCTCTAGGTCACAGCATGAATAATTATACCAGATGTGCCAGTCACCATGACTGCATGCCTATGGCCGCTGGTACATCCACACGACCCAGCCACCCCCAACAGTGTCCTGGGGCTACAGTGGTGACTGTTACAAGGACAACCACTCCACAGGTGGATGACTGTCCTGGCTCAAATCAATGCTTTGAGCTAATAAGATTCTTTCTCAGAGTCAGGGCCTGGCTGAATCCATGCTGGCTAAAATTATCAGTGAGCAGAAACTACTAGCAAGCAGAGGAAGTCAACTGATAGTGGGACAGGAGAAAGCAGACACACAGACTGAACAGGATCACATGACCAGCAAAGCAGGAGTCGAGTCTCACAAACTCCTCTTGCTCAGTCAATGGAGCCCCCTAGATTTCAAACTTACCTTCACTGCCGGTGTTCACAAAGCTTAGTTATCCAGTGAGTCTGATTTTGGATTCCCATTAGTCTCTTGTCTTGTTTACTACCCAATGTGGATTCTTCTGTGTGCTAGCATAAAATAGCTCTTTCCTTGCAAGCAAAATGATGTAACCAAAACATTTATTTGTATATAACCAATGTTTCTATAGTGCTATGTCCCAGGAACTATGTGTTAAGGGCTTTAAAAGTGCTGTTATTATTACACACTCCAGGTGAGGAAACTGAGTTACAAGGAGGGAATGATTTTCCCAAATTCGTAACAGCTAGTGGCGGAGCTGGGATTTGAAACCAGGCAGTCTAGCATTCGGGTTTGTGCTTCAGTGTGTAGCTTCTCATCAGCTAATACGCCATTGAAAGTTATGTCATTTTGTTATCTGATCATTCTGTGTGGGCTTTATAATATGTTAGTTATTAAGCCTGTCATATAGGTATTTTCTCTGAAAGAAGACATCTCAAAATAACTAAGTATATTTACAGTGGTAGATAAACTGTATCCAAGGTCACGCCTTGTTTAGCAATATGGCAAAGGAGGGGGCTTTGTTCTTTTTCTTAAGGAAATAACAGGTATTCCCTAAAACTTGTTTCACTTAAAAAACAGCTTCATAATAAAAATTTGCAAATATTTCCATAAACTACATTCACTGAAAATAAAATTACCATGAAAAAATTATAGAAACTAAAATGTAACTATAACTATACCTTAGGGATCAATTTAGACAAACACATTCTGACTTTTTCTGGTGACAGCAATTATAACTACAGTAGAAACTGCTAAATATTTTTAAATCTACTACTCGGGGCTACCTAGCAAAATGTAAATGATTAACTTTCTTCCCACAGTCATTGTTTTGTTGAGTTTGGGTTTCAAATAAAAATTCTGAAGTAAACATTGCCTTATGTATTTAACAAAAAAGTATATTCCAACAAGAAATGATAAGTGTATTTATTTCACAACATTATTTTGTAAAAACTTATCATATTGACCACAATGGAAAGAATACCAGAAGCTTCCTAGCTACATCACATCTTGCCCACCAGCTTAGCGGTCCTTAACTCCAAGTTTTCAAGAGAAAATACATAGAGAAAATACTCTGAGGCGAGGTTGTAAAGCCAAAAAGTAGTAGGAAAAGTCTCAATGTTTTAGGCAGTATACATTATTGTAATTGTTTGTCATGCAAAATGTATAAAAACCACCCTCCAGGAGGAGAGTAAAGGTCATTTCAACCTCTTGCTTCTTTGTTCACAGTAAAACTAAAAGCTATTTTATGAAGAGTAGAGATGTTTTCTTTCACATTGACTTCAAGACTAAAGAGTAATTCCCACCACATGCTTCTCTTTCTAAATATCACATCTGAGATCTGCAAGGTTTGCCTTAATTTTGCTCCACTTCTCTTTCATTGCATAATACAGTTTTTCATAACACCATTGCCATTGTTCGGTGTAGTACATATTTATATTTTTCCTAGGTGCGCCTCTTTCAAAGATTTTTAAAAATCTGTGGCCACCTAAACCATATACACTTCACATTTTAATACTTTTCAAAGCTGAAGTCCTTTCTAGACAATTTTTTTTACACACTTCGGTTTACCTTCATGTAAATTTTAGAGAGCCATTCAGTAGTATTTGGTTTTGGTTTTTGGTGAGCACCAGCACTTCAGATTTTAAAGTACTATACTTTTATATTAGAGTAGAATAGCGCTCAGTTCCGGTGCCCTTCCTGGCCATGTCTGTGACAATAGCAGGTACTGGAATAGTCGTCTTCAGAGAACCATCTATAAATATTTTTTTCCCAGGGACCAACAGTAAATGGTCTGAGCTCATCATTCTATCCCTATGGATGCAATATTTTTCTAAGTACACAGCCTTGTAATTTTTTCCTCTGCCATTACACTTGCAGCAGTTTACCCTCATCAGCATGTTATTTCATTACTTGAACTACCAGTCACTCCACCTAGCCTCAAGTACTTATTAAACGCCACTTTGTACAAGTCACCATGGAAGGCAATCTACACAGAAGCTGTAAGATGATGCCACACCCCCGCCAAGCTTATGACAGTAGGATCTCATCTTATATTTGTTCAGTAAACAGGTCAAATATCTGAAAAGTTAAAGAAAAAAACCTTTTACCTAAGAGATTAAATTGTTTAGAAAAAACATTAACTGACAGGTACTATAACAGAATTCATACTAATGGTTGTGAAAAAGAGAGACTTGAATTGAAAATGGCAGGAGCCTCTGTAATTGAGATTTCACTCTACATTTTTTTTAGTTATTTGTAAAAGCAAGAAAGAAAACTAGTTCCAGTAGCAAAGAATATGATAGACTATCACACATGTAAAAAAATAATACTTGAATTCTGTTATAAAGGCAAGAAAAAATTTTATGACTCTGTTAAGTGAAGAAGATTACAGTAGAGGATTAAAATATAATGTCATTTTTGTCAAAGAGAAACATGTATGCATATCTAGACAAAGAAAAAATAGTGGCAGTATTAAATATACTAGCAAGTATACCTGAGAGATGAGATTACAGGTCATTTTATAACAACAGGCTGTACATTTCGGCTGATGGCTGGCACCTGAGTTTCACTGAAGAGTTCTTATAAAACAAAGAACTATTTGATCCTCATGAATTTTTTTTAATACTTTAAGTTCTGGGATACATGTACACAATGTGCAGGTTTGTTACATAGGTATACATGTGCCATGCTGGTTTGCTGTACCTATCAACCCATCATCTACATTGGGTATTTCTCCTAATGCTACCTCTCCCCTAGCCCCCCACTCCCTGACATCCCCTGGTGTGTGATGTTCCCCTCTCTGTGTCCATGTGTTCTCACTGTTTAACTCCCACTTATGAGTGAGAACATGCAGTGTTTGGTTTTCTGTTCCTGTGTTAGTTTGCTGAGAATGTTGGTTTCCAGCTTCATCCATGTCCCTGCAAAGGACATGAACTCATTCTTCTTTATGGCTGCATAGTATTCCATGGTGTACATGTGCCACATTTTCTTTATCCAGTCTATCATTGATGGGCATTTGGGTTGGTTCCAAGTCTTTGCTACTGTGAACAGTGCTGCAATAAACATATGTGTGCATGTGTCTTTATAGAAGAATGACTTATAATCCTTTGGGTATATACCCAGTAATGGTATTGCCAGGTCAAATGGTATTTCTGGTTCTAGATCCTTGAGGAATCGCCGCACTGTCTTCCACAATGGTTGAACTAATTTGCACTCCCACCAACAGTGTAAAAGCATTCCTATTTCTCCACATTCCCTCTAGCATCTGTTGTTTCCTGACTTTTTAATGATCGCCATTCTAACTGGCATGAGGTGGTATGTCATTACGGTTTTGATTTGCATTTCTCTAATGACCAGTGATGATGAGCTTTTTTTCATGTTTCTTGGCCACATAAATGTCTCTTTTTGAGAAGTGTCTGTTCATGTCTTTCGCCCACTTTTTGATGGGGTTGTTTTTTTCTTGTAAATTTGTTTAAGTTCCTTGTAGATTCTGGATATTAGACCTTTGTCAGATGGATAGATTGCAAAAATATTCTCCCATTCTGTAGGTTGCCTGTTCACTCTGATGATAGTTTCTTTCGCTGTGGAGACGCATTTTAGTTTAATTAGATCCCATTTGTCAATTTTGGCTTTTGTTACAATTCCTTTTGGTGTTTTAGTCATGAAGTCTTTGCCCATGCCTATGTCCTGAATGGTATTGCCTGGGATTTCTTCTAGGGGTATTATGGTTTTAGGTCTTACATGTAAGTCTTTAATCCATCTTAATTTTTCTATAAGGTGTAAGGAAGAGGTCCAGTTTCCGTTTTCTGCATATGGCAAGCCAGTTTTCCCAACACCATTTATTAAATAGGGAATCCTTTCCCCATTGCTTGTTTTTGTCAGGTTTGTCAAAGATCACATGGTTGTAGATGTGTGTGTCATTATTTCTGAGGCCTCTGTTCTGTTCCATTGGTCTACAATCTGTTTTGGTACCAGTACTATACTGTTTTGGTTACTGTAGCCTTGTAGTGTAGTTTCAAGTCAGGTAGCATGATGCCTCCAGCTTTGTTCTTTTTGCTTAGGATTATATTGGCTATACATGCTCTTTTTCAGTTCCATATGAAATTTAAAGTAGTTTTTTCTAATTCTGTGAAGAAAGTCAGTGGTAGCTTGATGGGGATAGCATTGAATCTATAAATTACTTTGAGCAGTATGGCCATTTTCATGATAATGATTCTTCCTATCCAGATCCTCGTGAATTCTTTATGTTAAAATGCTTGACTGGGGCCAGAGAACGCCGGTGTCTTCTCCACTGACCAGCCAATTCATTCGAAGGTCAAAATCAAACAATATCTTTTAAAAATCTGTGTCTGCTATATTGTTTGGCACTGCCATTCTCAATGAATTATATCCATGATTTCTTAGCTCTTTTTCTTCTGATATTGAACCCTCCATCCCTCTTTTGGGACGTTATCTAATTATTAATTTATACTTGATTTGTGATTTTTTTCTTTGTCAAGCAAGTTTTACATGGTGTTGCTATTCCTCATATTATAAGCTTTTCATCTGGGGACACTATTGAGATGCTTTTCTTTTATATAACTCTTAACTGTATTTCATCAATTCTGTGACAAGCATACTTTTATGTTTCAAAATCTCTGCGACTGAAATACATTATGCAGTCAATGAAATCATAATTATTTGGCAGCATTTTTTATTGTTACACAAAATAATGGTGTGTCTGATAATCAATGATGTCTTATGCCTGGGTAAATACAGTATATAAATTGCTATTTGTTTCAGTCAGAATAATAAAATAGGCAGATGAACCTAACAATCTAAACAATGGTAAATAAAAGAAATTCCTGAATTAAGGTATTTTTCACTTTTCACTGTGACTTAATTTTGAATCAATATTTCATTGGCCAGGCCAAATTTGCTGTGAAGATAATGAGAGCTAAAACACTGTGAATGCAAGAACAGAACAGTAACTAAATGTCCTAAAATAATCTTGTCCAAAGTGTCATTATTCATTAGTACACTATTCAAAGTTTATTATTCAGTGAGCTGAATTTGAAGGGAATA
Organism: Homo sapiens; assembly: GCF_000001405.40. Taxonomy (NCBI): domain Eukaryota; kingdom Metazoa; phylum Chordata; class Mammalia; order Primates; family Hominidae; genus Homo; species Homo sapiens. The sequence goes on along the minus strand of NC_000007.14, from coordinate 21,582,132 downwards.
TGACTAGTTAACCTAGTGAATACTCTACCTGAATGAGAATTCACCCCTTTCATTTAACAGCCTATATTATTCATAGTAAACGTTTTTTATGATAGCTTCTTCAGAACTAACCTTAAATGCAGCTTCTAAGCCATTGCAGTTAAAGAAAGCTTCACAAATAATTGTCCCAAGCCTTCTGTCAAATTCCAGAGTTTTGGACTTAAATGCCACATAATCACTTTCAAACTCCTGTAAAATTCAAAGTGAAATATTAGTATATTGGAAATAATCCAACAGCGAAAATAGCAATCACACAAGCGTGACCTTACTTTAGCTCTCTCTCGCTCGCTCTCTGTCTCTGAGTGAATTTATTTTTCATAGCAGCATTCTACGGAAGTTCAAGAAAGAGCTATATCTGACTGACTGTGCAAGTGCCACCTTACAGAATCACTGAAAGCTTAGCACTGTTCCCCTATGCTTTCCCGATTCTTTTCAGTGGCCCAGGCCTCAACAGCAGTGCTTTGGCTCACATGCTCACATAGAAGCCTCAGTCTCTCCTCCTACTCCCAATTCATTTTGATTATAAATGAAAAAGTGAAGTTTTTCAGAAAAGAAAAAAGAACCTATCCTCATTATAACTTTAGTCCATCTATAAGTTTAAATAGGAAGGGTTTTTGTTTGTTTTTTCATGGAGTTGTAAATCTACACGGAAACACTATTTCTTCAGGTGAGAACTGAAATCCACTGGTAAGAAAATATCATTAGTGATACAGAGGAAACAAATACTCTTACGTTTTCCCAGTTTCTTATTAGCGTGCGTTTAGCATCCCTCAGTTTCCTCCTGATACATAACTATCCACTCCCATAGTTACAATGAAACGGTGAAAGAATAACTATTATCTTCACAGCATCAGAGTTGAGTCTCCAGTAAAGAAGTCCCAGGATTTCAGAAACATTTTGGTGCTTCATAGTCAAAAGGCCTCTGAAGTACACACCACAGATTTCTCACAATGAAGGCCTTTGCCACCTCTGTAAACTGAGCCTCAATCTATTAACAATAACAACGGTAATAGAATTAATGACAGTTAGCACGTGAGTAATTCTGTTCTAAATATTTCACATGATTAACTCACCTCTTACAACATTTCATGTAGGTTATAATTTTTTGTGCATTATAGGTGACAAAACAAACTCAGAGAAGTTAAATGATTCACCTAAAATCACACCACTGGTAAATGTCAGGGCTGGAATTTAAAGCCAGGCAACCTGGCTCCTGATCCCAGATGCTATGTTTCTTTGAAGGAATATACCTGCTAGAGTCTGAATGTTTTATGTCCTTGCAAAATTTTATTTTGAAATCCTAACCCTCAATACGATAGTATCAAGAAGTGGTGCTTTCAGGGGTGACTAGGTAATAAGTGTGGGACCTTCATGAATGGGATCAGTGCCCATATAAAAGAGGCCTGAGAGAGACTCCTCCATCCTTCCACCAAGTAAGGACATGGCTAGAAAGTGCCATCTGTGAACTGGGATGTAGCCCTCCCCAGACACTGAACCTGCGGGAGCCTTGCTCTTGGACTTCTCAGCCTCTGAAACCCTGAAAAATAAATTTCTGTTGTTTATAAGCTACCCAGTTTATCGTGTTTTGTTATAGCAACCTAAACAGAGGGCACCTTATGCTGAATTTCACACAAGCTGAAAAGCAGTGTAACAGCAAAGTTCTAGGACACTATGTGTCATACACCACAATGTTATATTTAGCATCAAGAGGAAGTTTCCACTTCTGAATTAGAGCCAAGCAATCTCTTTATTCAAGGCTCATTGGCTAATAAAGTAAACACAACTTCCCAACAAGTTTTAACACGCCTAACATCCCTCTTCTTAGTATAGTAATAGAGAACATACGGCTTAAGGTCACAAAACATTAACTGAACATTTAGAAATAAACATCTCAGGGAGAGAAAAATATGCTAGTCTCCCTCCCTGATATCTGTCACCTCCCTCCCTTCTCACTCACTCATTCCTGAAAACAAATTTAGAACTGCACGTGGGACCTCTCCCTTGGAAAGTCCCACAAAAAATTCATACCTAATTTGTTCAAGTACAAATCTGAACTTGTTATCTTCTCTACAAAGCTGCTCTTCTTTTTATACACCCTAATAGAAACTTGGGCAACCTCCTTGACTTCTCTGTCAAGTGCTCTTCTAACTACCTCTGGAGTCTCTCTACTATCCTCCATCTCCAGGATGCCCTTGGTCCAAGTCACCATTATTGCTCATCTGGGTATCTGTTAATCACTTTCTAACTACTCTTCGCCTCTAGTCCTATCTCTGATTCATCCTCCAATGGCTGACTAAATAATCTTTTTTAAAATAGAAATCTTATCATGTCACTTTCTTATTTAGAATCCTTTAACTCACAATCTTAATTCGGAATTGTCAGTTTCTTAGGATAACGTCCAAAGGTCTTAGCATAATCTACTGCATAAGACCCTATGTGGTCTGGATGCCACTTACTGCTCCTAACTATTCTGCCATCTCTCCCAATTTCACACTCTCAGATCCAGCCACAAAGCCTTATCACATTCTGTCTCTCTCCTTCACCCACTTCTCACCTGCTTCATTTCTATTTATGTTACAGGTCTCAGTTTACATTTCACCTCCTCTGGAAAGGGGCCCTATGTAAATGTTCTCAGAGCACTCTGTACTCTTCATACTCCAGCACCGGGCACCCATATGATAACTGCCTGTCTACATTCTCCCTTGGATTTTAATCTCTGAGTGTAACTGCCAGGTTTATTTTTCTTTCACAATTACAGTACCAATATTTAATGGAGTTCCCAGGACATAGCTGTTTCTCAATAAATATATATTACAGAATAAATGATGTGCTAGTATTGTTCAGAAATCATTATAAAAATGTTGCTGTATTCTGAAAACTGCATAATTGCCTTTATTAGCATCATGAGAAGCTATTGAAGGGTTGTAATTAGAGAAAAGCCATGGTTTGACTTAGTGTCTAAAAGGCACTCAGGCTGCCGTGTGGAGAACAAACTAAGAAAGCCAAGATGGGGAAGAGGGAGCAGTTTGGAGGCAAGTGCAATAAGCCAAGTCACAGAAAACACCTGGAAATACTTTCAAGGCATAGCTGAAAGAACTGGATGGTTGTTGTGAGAAAATGAGCAAGATTACAGATGACTCAAAGGTTTCTCACTAAGTAGCCCATTATATGTACCATTTAATGAGTTGGAGAGACAGGCAAGAGTAGGTTTGGGGAGGGACAGGCAGGGGTTTAGATCTGAATGTGATTTTGAGATGTGTATGAAATATCTCAGTGGAGACGTTGGGTAGGCAGTTGTGTTTGGCACATGTTTCTGTGGGTACACAGAAGCCAAGAGTTGAGCCTTGAGAACCTCCACCTAGATTTCAGAGAATGTATGGAAACACCTGGATGTCTAGGCAGAAGTCAGTTGCAGGAGCACAGCTCTCATGGAGAACCTCTGCTAGGGCAGTGTGGGGTTGGAGCCCCCACACAGAGTCCCCACTGGGGTACTACCTAGTGGAGCTGTGAGAAGAGGGTCACTGTCCTCCAGACCCCAGAATGGGAGATCCACTGACAGCTGGTAGATCCATACACCTGGAAAAGCTGCAGGCACTCAACATCAGCCAGTGAAAGCAGTTGTGGGGGCTGTACCCTGCAGAGCCACAGGGGTGGAGCTGCCTAAGGCCTTGGAAGCCCACCTCTTATATCAGCGTGTCCTAGATGTGAGACATAGAGTCAAAGGAGATTATTTTGGAGCTTTAAGATGTAATGACTGCCTTGGTGGGTTTCACACTTGCACAGGGCCTGTAGCCCCTTTGTTTTGGCCAATTTCTCCCATTTGGAAGGGGAATATTTACCCAATACGTGTACCTTCATTGTATCTTGGATAACTAACTTGTTTTTGATTTTACAGGGGATCATGGAGGGTGAATTTACTCTTTGTTGTTCTCATGACAGTGAGTTTTCATGAGATCTGATGGTTTAAAAGTATGTGGCACTTCTCCCTTTGCTCTCTCTCTGAACACTATGTGAAGAAGGTCCTTGCTTCCCCTTCATCTTCCATCATGATTGTAAGTTTCCTGAGGCCTCCCAGTTATGCTTTCTGTTAAGTCTGTGGAACTGTGAGTCAATTAAACCTCTTTTCTTCATAAATTATCCAGTCTCAGGTAGTTCTTTGTAGCAATGTGAAAATGGACTAATACACTACTTTAAAATCTTTTTCAAGTAATTCCAAAATCTCTATTATCTTGGTATTGGCATCTACTGATTGTCTTTTTTTCACTCAGTTGAGATCTTCCTGGTTCTTGGTATACTAACTGATATTCTACTGAAATTTCATATTGTTATAAGACTCTGACTCTTATTTAAACCTTTTGTTTTTGCTGACTTTCTCTGATGCTGCTCCAGCCTCATTACAATAGAGACAGAAGTCCAGGTTCTCCACTCGGCATTTACTCATCCACCAAGGGTGGGCGGGGCTCCTTGTTACCGCTGGGTTGGGACTTCCAGTTCCCCATGTGGTCTCTACTGCTGCCACAAGTGCAGGTGGCCTTGTTACCACTTGGCCTCAGGGTGATAGTCTGGACTCTCCATCAGGTTTGCTCCAACATCAGGCTGGGTGAAGAAGGAAATCCAGGATTCCCACATGGTCTCCGGACACCACAGAGAATGAAGTTCATTCCTGGCCAGCAGGGATGAAAATCATGGCTCCCTATGTGGTCATCTCTGACATCACCCCAGCAAGGGTGGGAGTTGGAGCATTTTCAGACAGAAAGGGTGTAAGTCTAGGCTCCCCACTCAGCTCTTCCTGGCAAGGGGAGGGGTGGGACACAGTTTCTTCCATGGTGTTTGGCTAGAGTGGACAGTTGATGGCTTACAAATCTTCTTTTGTGTTAAGCTCTCTCCTTCTTGAGCCTTTGGCTAGGGAGAGATCAGGCTTTTACTGGGCTTCTTTCTGGTCTGTGCCCACTGGCATTTCCTGGTTGCCAGTGTTTTCAGCTCCAAGTCTGGATTACTTCAGGCAACAGGAAAATCCAGGGAACTCATCATCACGTTGTTGTTTCTTGAGTCCCAATATCCTTAGCCACTCTGCCTTTTTCTTTTCACCTTTCAGAGTCTTCTTAGGTCTGTTTTATATATAATGGCCAGTGTTTTTTTTGTTTTGTTTTTCTCAGATACTGTTATTTTATTTCAGAAATAAGTAGTAACACACATAGACACATTTCTCTTTCTGCCTGCCCAGAAAACCACTACCCCAAAGTAAGTTTCAATCTTTCCCATGTGTGTTTTCACACTTTTGTTATAAACATCATAATATATATACATAAGTGTGCATTGAACACTTTGTTTTTACATTTCCTTGAAATACACTTAAGAATTCTGTCTTTCTTAATTGCTTACAGCACAAAGACCAGGTCTTCACGAGTAAGCTGAAATACAGCATTGACACTGATATTAGGCTAATTTATGCCCACAAAATGCTTTGGCCTAAAATATTCTGAGAAGCAAGGAGAACATCTGTCTTACTTCAAAAGAGCTGTTTATAAGCACAATCTCCCACTTACTTGCTTGATAGGGTCTTGGCTTAAGCCCTAGAAAGGATCAAACATATTATCCATACCCTCTATCAGAGTTTACATCTTTCAAGAGAGTCTTGAGTCAGTATTAAGATCTTCTGGGATCTCAGATCTTGGCTTCCTTTTATCTCCTCTCCCCTACAACCCCAAGAACAGTCCCTTAAACCAACTTGGTGCTTCCTTTCTGGGCTTCCTGCAATAGACATTTTCAAGGGTTGTTTGTGGCCGCCGTGCTTGCTGAGGCCTTTCAGGCAGGCAAGGAAGACACAACCTTGGAATATGTATCAATCCTGTACAAGATGAATCGCTGTCCTTCTTGGGTAATTAACTTCCTGCCAAGCAGCTGTTTGGTCTCCTCAAGGGATAATACCATGGTGGAGCCTCAGAGTCAATCTCCATCGCTGGCAGGTAGGATACTCAGCAGCAACAAGATCTAGAGGAGTCTCGGTGACAGGTGAGCCATGCTACTGTATAACGGCCAGTGTTTTAGTTGCACTTACTGGGAGCAGTAGGGAAAAGTACATCTCCCTCTTTCCAGAAGCAGAAGTTTCTCATTAAAATTTTAAACAATGATATCTACTAAATGACATTTTAAAATAAATAAGATAAACTTTAGTATATAAATCTGATGGAATGCGCAGTTGTTTTAAGATGAGCAATGCTATTGTAGTGACACAGAATGACTGCCAAAATATAGTAAGGGATAAAAGCAAGGTATAAATGCTATTAATGCAAAAGCAGAAAACAAAGGAATAAATATATGTATATGCCAGTGCATGCACCAAATATCTCTGGAACATCATATAAGAAATTTTTAATAGAGATGCCTTTGGGGAGGAAAAATGGAAGACTAGGGAAAAGGCCATAGGGTGAGAAGAAAGGGACTAAGTTTTTACAGATGTTACCTTTCCAAAAGAATTACTAAGGAAGGTTGCTAAATAACTCATTTAATCTTGAATAATAGGCAGGCAAAACATGAAAATGCTGTGTATGACTAATAAAGATGAAATCTGTTTAATTAAAATGAGAAAACACTACATAAATAGCAAAAGAATAGTTCAGTGAGTGACAGCAGAACAATAGACTCGTTCTAGGAATTAGAATACAACCTAGTACAGATGAACTAAATAACTACTTTTAAAATGTATTTTAGATTCTGATATCATGGTGAACAAGGCACCTGAATAAAGCTTCCCACTGAAAATCAGCAGAAAAGCAGACACAGCAACCTGGATCACTCCATCTCAGGCCATAGGTCCTCAGGTGAGTTCCCACAGATGAACTTATTCCTTTCATTTCAATGAGGATGCAACAAGCAAGATAAATACTAACAGGGTGGTGCAGTGAAAAGAATGCAGGGGCTGGGCATGGTGGCTCATGCCTGTAATCCCAGCACTTTTGGAGGCCGAGGCAGGTGGATCACTTGAGGCCAGGAGTTTAAGACCAGCCTGGCCAACATGGTGGAAAACCCCATCTCTATTAAAAATACAAAAGTTAGTTGGGCATGGTGGCACACTCCTGTAATCCCAGCTACTCAGAAGGCTGAGGCAGGAGAATCACTTGAACCTGGGAGGCAGAGGTTGCAGTGAGCTGAGATCATGCCACTGCACTCCAACTTGGGTGACAGAGTGAAACTGTCTCAAAAAAAAAAAAAAAAAAAAAAAAAAAGCCCAGTGCAGTGGCTCACGCCTGTAATCTCCTCAGCACTTTGGGAGGCCAAGGAGGGTGGATCATCTGAGGTCGGGAGTTTGAGACCAACCCGGCCAACATGGCGAAACCCCATCTCTACTAAAAGTACAAAAAAATTACCTGGGCGTGGTGGTGTGCCCCTGTAATCCCAGCTACTCAGGAGGCTGAGGCAGAAGAATCACTTGAAGCCAGGAGGCAGAGGTTGCAGTGAGCTAAGATCGCACCATTGCACTCCAGCCTGGGCGACAGAGTGAGACTCTGTCTTAAAAAAAAAAAAAAAAAGGAAGGAAGGGAGGGAGGGAGGGAGGGAAAACAAAAGTATGCAGGGCTTGTGGTTGAGAGTTCTGGATTCAAACTTCCATTCCACCAACTGGAAACTATAATCTCAGGTAATTTAGTGAAACTGTCATTTGCCTGCGGGACCACTCTCTGGGTTATAGTGAAAATTAAGCAGGTATATAATGTGGGAAATCTCTGGCACAACGCCTGGCATCCAGTACTTCGTCCATAAATATTAACTGGCTCTCATTAACAGAGACTAAGTGGAGCCAAGGGGTTACCCTCAACAAGAATAGCTACCATCTTTGCTTAGGTATCTGAGGGATTTCATCAAGAAACACCACAGAAAGACAGCAAAATTACTGAGTCTAATATTGCTGGACTAACTGTTCAACATTAATAATGAAGAAAGCAAGTCTCTTCCCATAACTGTCTAGATTTCAAACAGTCCCCTAAGAAGATGTCAAAGAAAACACCTAAAGTAACATTCAATAATTGAGAAACCCAAAACCATTTTTATGGGCACACCTGATAAAATCCCCACATTCTGTAAATGGACCACGGCAGCAAACCTTTCGGTACGCCAATAAAGGCTCAAAGCCTGATTAGTAGGCATGAGATTGATGAGAAGAGAAATAAACAACAGCATTTCAAAAAGCAAATTACCAGTGATCATTTCTTTAATTTACTGGAACATATTTAAACCATGTATATACCAAAGGGCAGAATGGCTGACCCTGACACACTTCCCTGTTATATAAGCACTAGTTTGTAGTCAGAGGGGATGGGGCAGGAGCAGGAACATGGGGGTGAATGCAATGGGAGGGGAAGGGCAGAGGTTGGGCATGTATTCATATGTACATGCAAATATATGCATACACTAGGTTGGAAGTCATTTGTTAAAATAATGTCTCAAAAACTACCAACTGATTTCATCATGAAGTCAAAGTACAAGGAACTCAGCTAAAAAGCACCAAAATGAACAGCTTATTAAGCAAAAATATATGATAAATGCAATATTTTAAAGTAATAATGATAGGCAAAACACATTTTTTTAAAAAAGTAATGGTCATTTTCAACATAAGTATGCTGATTAAGTTAACTTTTAGTTAATTCATGTTTTAATTTTAGGGAATGACCAAAGTCAAGGAGCTTCTAGATTCTAAGGCAAGAATCAGACAGGAGGATGAAGGGAACTTCAGGGGAAGGTTATGATGTCTCCAACCAGACCGAAGATCAGAGGTAAACCCTGCCCACCTTATCTGCAAAATAGAATAGGCTTCCAAAATACAAATACCAAGCAGATATATACCTCAAGAGTAAATGAATTTTCTATTCCTACATGTTTGTGACTATGCAGGCTTTAGGCAGAGACAGGAGTAAAATCAGGACCTTTGGCATGGCCAAGGTAGTGACGTCAATTAAACCTGGCCACATTCTCTAATTCTGGCACTCTGAAAACTTGCCAGTTTTTGTAATTATAACAAAATCAAGACTCTCTTGCAATCCAAATGTCCCCAAGGATCTTGTGCAGGCTCAGTCTCACACTCCTCCTCCACTAGCTCGTTCAGCGGCGCTAACCTAGAGGCTCTCTTAAGAATCCCATTCTGTACGTATTTATTGAATGCCTTCCAAGTGCCAGGCATCTTACAAGGCTTTGGGGATGAGCTCACTCAAATTATTCATCACCATGATCCTAGGTTCCTCATACTTTTTCACAAAGTGTAGTGCCCTGGTTTAGCAAAAAGTCACCTATTACAGCAGTGTCCTTCTACCATTAACTCCACTTTCCAAAACTGACTATAATTCAGAGGGCTTAAGTTTGCTAACTACATCCTTATAAAGCTAACATACTGCACTCGTACACTTCAAAGAATCAATTGTTTGGCCAAATATAAACAATAGTGAATAAACTCACATTACATATACAATAATAAGAACAAGAGCTAAATCTTCATTCTTTTGGACTTGGGCTTCGCTGTTCTTGGCAAACTACTAAAATGAAGCTATTTTTATCCTAGAACTGCAGGGATGCTCACAGGTAGCTCCCTGGCTACTAACATGCTGGAACTGACAGAGCACAGAAGCAGCTTAAATCAGAAAGGTTCCCCCTTTCCTGTGGTTGGAAATATGAAATTATAATCAGCTCTCAAGAATAACAAAAATTATAAGAAACAACCAACATGTAAATGATACACTTAATGACTGGGGTGAAAGCAAGTGTTCAGGTGAATCAAAAAACAAAACATCCAGTGATTCAAGAAAATGCTAAAATAAAGCACGAGTTACATGGACATCAGATCAAAATGAATTCATGTGGAAAGTTTCTGTTTAGCATACACAAACAAGATACAAATCCAGACTGAGGTCTGCAGTTTTATCAGCCGTCATTCTGAACTGAAAATGCAAAAGCTTAAGTTCTGATCCCTGATCTACTAACTAAGTAGCTACAAGACTTCAGGCAAGTCATGTAACCTCTTTTGGTCCTAGAGATATTGGAATGGATGGTCCCTATTATCACTGTGACCTATCTTCCTTTTCAGCTATAAAATTATAGGATCCCATGCAATGAAAATGCAAAGGTACAACATTACCATGTTAGTGCAATCAGATGGGTCATAAGTGCTCTGTTTAAAAAGTTTACAGAGTTCCATAAGTTCTTCACTCATCTCGTGGACTTGTCCATTTAAAATTGCTCCTTTGGTACCACCAAATTCCAGTCTTTCCAGCTTTTCAAATTCCAAAGTGGTGGCAAATATATCCTTTGTAAAAAACACAGTAAAGACCTTTCCACTACATTGAGCAGCAAAATATTTTAAAGTTTCAAATCAAGAACATTTTCAAATGTTCAAAATCAATGAGTCAATGACAGAAAATGACAGAAAATAAATATTTTCATGACAGAAATAAGTATTTAATTAAACAAAGTCATTGCTAATTTTTAAAATTACTCTCCCATTTTCATGTTTATTAAAAATTAACTCTCACTGGCCAGGCACAGGGCTCACGCTTGTAATACCAGCACTTTGGGAGGCCGAGGCAGGAGGATCGCTTATGCCCAGGAGTTTGAAACCAACCTGGGCAACAAGGAAAGATCCTGTCTCTATGAAACATTAAAAAGTTAACTAGGCATGGTGGCGTGCACCTGTAGTCCCAGCTACTTGAGAAGCTGAGGCGGGAGGATCACTTGATCCAGGAGGTCAAGGCTGCAGTGAGCTGTGTTCACACCACTGCACTTCAGCCGGGGTGACAGAATGAGACCCTGTCTCTAAAAAAAAGAAAACAAAAACTATCTCGCAGTAGAAGCAACCTCTAATTTACCATAACTAGACACATAACTCCCCCAATTTTATATCTTCCTAAACGTAAGTCAGATCCCCAGGTAATATCCAAAACTCCTGTTTTCATCACCCCATACCCGGCAGTGAGTCTGCTTTATTGAAAGCGAGCCCAGGAAACTGTTAAGGAAGGCATATGTAAGCTGCCCTTCATTAGGTATTTCACATTCAGAGACAGAAGAGGCATTCAGGCTCATTTAAGTGATTACGAGAATTCTCAAGACATAAAGCTCTAATTTTGAATGGAATAAAACAAACCTTTATCAATGACAATGCCCAAAATTCTTAGAGCTTTACAAAGAAAATAAGGCAGTGTCATCAATTTAAACTTTTTTTTTTTTTTTTTAAACTAAGCCAATAGACACCATATAAATGTAAGAATGTGTAGGTTGTATGTGTTTAATTTTTGGTTTTAAGGTATTTGAAAACTTTTACACAGAGCACATACTTTTCCATGTTTTATTTTTACAAATGGTTTTAATATTTTTGTAGTACAGCATATATTCATATACTAAAAAAGTGTGATAATTTAAATTATGCAATGGGTTTTAGGGTATGAAATACCAATTTTAAGCATTAAATATACAAAAGGAAAAGTGGATTTATTTACAGAGGATGAGCTTACTGCTTCCTGACTTACAACTCTCTCTCAGATTAGTCAATTCTAAGAGTCACTGATACATAAAGAGATTTACTTATACTCAATGTAATAATGGAATCAAAAATGAACTTTTAAAAAATCCAAATTAAAGATTTAAAAAATGCCCTTGTATCATCATAGCATTGGCCTGCTGAGCTCCTTATGAGAATCACTGAGAAAGGAGACCTCCACCTATGATATAAAGTAAACTGTTCCATGAATCATGTGAAAAGCTACTGGCTTTTTGCACCCACCTTCAACATGAATAAATAAAATCAAAAAATGAATACCTCTATTTTTATTAAACGATCAAGAAACTTGTCAAATCTGCAAAACACCAGATGAGACTGGAAATCCCATGGTCTCAGCTTTCTTCCCATAAAGTAGCTTGCCAATTTTTTTCTATAGTTGAAAAAGGAGTTTTTGAAAGTCTTTAAGATGTTAACAGCCACCTGCACCTTTTCCAGTGACTCTTCTATTTCTCCCCTCAAAAGGTCCTCAGGTGAAAGGTAAGCTGTTGCCTAGGATTTAATGAAAGGGAACAATGATCAAAACTATGTTTAACAGTTTTTCCCTGTAACCGTCTCTGTTTCAAAGAATCATTTTTAAATGCCAGTATCTAAAGTTGGGCCAGCAATGCTGAAAGAAAGAAAGCACAAGTTCTAGAAATTCAGCTACTTGGACTTCAATGACATACTTGTATAAGTTAGAATTACATACAGGAGACCCTACTATTTCTGGATTTTTACATTCTAGCAAATGACTAAATTGTTGCTAAGCCTCATTATATGACAACTGTCATGTAATTTGCATGACTGTGCCTGCCAGCAAATATTCTGAACAATCGTTTTCTCATCTAAAGAATATACGAGGCAGACAAGGAAATCTATCAGAACATGAATTTTTAAAGTATGCTCACTTTACCTGGTAGTTCAGGACCACTTGTAAAGAGAAAGAGCTGATTAGGAGTGTGTAACAGTGGAAATTCTTTCAAGTTAGCAAACTTCTCTTCTGGGGGCTCAAGTAACATTATAGGACATACAAACTGGCTGACGTGTGCCACATGAACTAGTTTTGAATAGAGGAAAAGAAAGGAAGAGAGGAGAAGGATAAAAGAAAAGACTGGAAGATCCACGTGGCACTGGTCAAATTCTCATGGGATCAACCGACACTCCCAACTTCTTCTCTCTTCATATTTGGTATAAACATTCAGAATTCCCCTCTTCAAGGACCAAGAACCTCTGCATTCTGAAGGTTCTTTTGTATGCTACCTCTTCCTGACGCATCTTAACCTCATATAAATTATAGGTTTAATTTGTGTGCCTTCAATTTTGTGGTCGCTTAGAATGTTGTTCAAGATGTCAATGGATAATGTAATGAAAGCCCTGAGTTCAAAATAGCAGAGGGAAGCACTTCTTCCCTAAATGTAGGCATATGACCTTTCATTTCCCATTAATGAAAACAGTTTTACATGCAATATAGGCTCTGTGCCATGAATTTGTAAGGCAATAAGGAAATCATTCATTTAGTGTCTAAAACCCCTACTGATTAGACTCCTTCCCAATCTATGCTTTTATTTCCCTGTCAGGTTAGATAGAAAATTAACCTCCACATGAGGGTGCTATAACAGCAAGTCATTCAGGGCAGTGAAGAGAACCACCAGGAATCCCTCAGCAATGTGAATTTTAAAAGAGTTGACACTTTGATGTGGCATATGGTGTATTCCATATACCTTTATCTCTATGTATTCTTTATAGTAAATGTGTCTTTTTAGGATGCTGAAAAATCTATGGCAAACGACTCCATCTTTTGCTCGAGTGGCCCTTTCTGCTTCAGCAGCCCCCTGTTACCTAATTACTTGTATGTAAAGTAACATCCCTAGGACAAGTCATGCTTAATGTTTATTCCTGTGCTTCCTGGCTGGCCCCTCGCATAGATGAGACAATCATAGACAAAGAACCTCCTGTTCATACAGCCCACTGTTGAGTAAGGCCTCCTAAGATGGCACTTAATGTCCTAAATGAAAACACTCAGTCTGTCTCCTTGCACGGGGAGGCAGAACGTGTGAAGGAAAAAGCATGACCCGACGCAGGGGCTGGCTGTGACCCTACTAGGGGCCACAAACTACTTTTGTGATACTAGCTAAGTTGTCTCAGAGGATCTATTTCCTTAGCTGCAAAATGAGGGAAATGAATTAGGTGAACTTCAAAATCCCTTTTAGCTCATAAACTCTAAATTCTTTTCTACCTCTCACAGTACCCAGTCTGGAGCACGCCTAACCACACCAGCTCTATCATCGCACACTCAATGGTACCAGCACAAACAAGCTAAAAGCCACTAGATTTAGGATGAACTAGTCCCACTTCAGAGGTCTTATAAACTAAAACACTGCTTACCAACTTATTTATCAATAAGCTAATGATCAATTAACCAATTTACCAATGATATTGTTAGTTTGAGGCTCGTCTCCCTGCTGCTGCTTCTCTATTCTTTTGCATGTGTTTTTATGGACTGTTATTTTAGCTCAGTCCTGACAGCTCCACTCCACACTCGACTACTCAGACTTTAACTCTTCCTCACCTAGGATCTTGTAGGTGACAATATCTACAATAGATACACCAAGCCATGGAATAGACAACGTAGTGTCTAGAGTGGTAATGACACACAAGGACCATGGAGTAGTGTCAGGTTACCAGAGAAGAAAGGCAAGGCATTAAGACCCCACTACCAAAGCCTGTGCTAGCACGCAAGGTGAACAGGTGATGCCTTTTATGTGTCTGGCCTAGATAATGATGTTAATGTTCACTGCTAGAAAACAAGAGAAAAGAAATACATTTGCTTTTAAAGTAACAAAGAGTTTCCGACTCTGACTGGCATTCCCGTCATAGGGTCAAGCATGTAATGAAACTGAGTAAAGTAGATCAGAAAGGACAGTGAACAGTGAAGGTCATGGTCATCTACACAGCACCTGTTCCACCTTAAGGGGCATTTGAAGTTACAGTCACTGGCTGCGCCTGTGGGGATGGTGCAAGCACTGTAGCAAGATCTCTGAGTTTTCAGTGGAGGCTGAAATGCTGGCATTTAAATGAGATCTATCCAATTTAAGTATTAACAATTTTAAGTTAAAAATATTATACAAAATAAAAACACTGCATTGATCCTTGGGCCGAATGAGCTGACAGCATGTCAGCTTATGACCTCTAATATGTAACATAGGAAGGGCTTGAATTTTCACAAAAACTTTATCAATAAATTCATGAACGCAAAGAACATGTAGGTGACAAGAGGAAATACAATTATAGAAAACATAAAATGTGTAATCACACATATATCATGCAAGGTACAAATTTAAAAACATGTTACCACTAGATACCCAATAAATGACCCCAAATTTTTTTAAAGATGGCAATGCTCCAAGTTGACAGGTCATAGTGAAAGCTTTTACACATTGATAATAACAATGTAATTGATATAACCTTTTAGAAAATAATTTGAAAGTATTAAATATTGCTCAAGAGCCATGAAAAGATTGTACCCTTTGACCAACATCAGGAATTTATAGTAAGCCAATCATTCCAGTCAAAAGAGGGGATCTTTGTATAGTTTTTTTCTGCATACTGTTTACAATCAAGGAGGCTGGAAGCAACTTACATATACAGCAATAACAAAATAATCTTTCAAGAAGTTAGTACAAAATTGTATGCATGATAAAATGTATAAATATATATAAGTTTAGGAGGACAGAAAAATAAAAATGCTTTAATAATAGAGTGATAAAACTCCAGAACCATTTCCAATGTTCCAACATTATGCAATGAGAATATTTTACAATTATCGTTAGCATACCATGTATTAGGTCACATTCAGACATTAAAAAAACTTATTTTAAAATATGGAGCATGGTATAACGGGTGAGAACTCTATTACTGACTTGCTGGGTTGGAGAGTTACTTATCTTCTTAGGCTTCAGTGTTTTTTTTTTTTTCATTATAAAATGAAGCTACTAATAATACCTACGTCATAGTGTTGCTATGAGGGTGTAACTTTTGAATTTTTGTAAAGGGCTTGGAAAAGCTCCTGAACAAAATAAGTACTATATAATATTTGTTAAATAACTATATAAAAGTAGTAAAATTGGTGGCAGGGTGGTTAGTGCTTCAGGGAACCAGCTATGGACATTGGCTAATTGTTAACTTTTGACTCCTAACATGTTGGGCATATTTACCACAAAGTCTGAAATCTGCCGTTCATAGAATCAAAGGAATCGGGTCAATGAAACCTTTGGATAGAAGCCAGAACTAAGGAACAAGAGAAGCCACATTATTTTATCAGGAGCTTGGCAGACTCTGGCTGTTGAAAGACTAGAAGCCAGGGATGAGAAGTTTACAGGCTTACGGGTAACTAGGACTTAAAATAAGTCACCTATGCCAACAAATGGTCTCCTCTGTGATTCATACGTTAACAAGGATTTGCAGTGAAACAGTTTCAATTATTCTCAAAATGAGAAATAGGTCCCTAAAAAGGGGTTTGGGGGAAGTGGTGGTCGTAGTTTTTGGCCCTGCAACAGGGATTGTGGTGTTTTACATAGAGACCCGCGCCATTAGGACCCAGGGAACCTGTTTAACAAAAGGGCAAAACTGAGTTTGCCCAACAGAGTAACAGATATTGAACAAAACCAGAGGAGATGATGGTAAAATATAGCAAGGAATCGACCTGTTGTTATCTGCTACCACCAGCTGCAACTAGCCTGTAAGTCAATAGTTTGGGCAAAAGAACAGAAGGCAACTAACATTTACTGAGCCTCGATTAAACACCGAGCACTACGCTGGGCATTTCACTTAGGTTATCTTTGAATCCTCGCAATAGCCATGGACTAGGCATTATCCCCACTGATAGATGTGGGAACTGAGGAGTAATTGAACTTCCCTTAAGTGAGAAAATTAGATTTCAATCCAGGTTGGTCTAGGTCCAAAGCCTTTCCCACACACCACTCTATCTTTTCAGAATCAGAGAGGGAAGAGAGATGAAAAATATTAACAATGCAACCTCATACTCCAAAAATTCTAAGCTGCAAGTCTGCAGACCTGTTCTTTGGTCTGGCTTTCCTCCTAACTGCTCAGGGAAATTGAGCAAATAACATCATTTTTCAAGTCTTGGTTAATTCATTTGAAAAATATCTGAATTGTGTCCATTCAAATTGATAAATATTGAAAGCCTAACTCCCAATGTGACTGTATCTGGATATAGGGTCTTTAGGAGGTAACTGTGATTAAATGAGGTTGTAAAGATGGGGCCTTAATCCGACAGGACCTGTGGTCTTACAAGAGGAAGATGGCCAAGTGAGGACACAGTGAGAAGGCAGCCAGCCATCAGCAAGCCAGGAAGAGGGCCCCCACCAGAATCTGAGCACGCTGGCACCCTCATCTGAGACTTTCAGCCTCTAGAACTGTGAGAAAATAAATTTCTGATGTTTAACCTACCCAATCCATAGTACTTTGCTATGGCAGCCTGAGAAGATTAAGACTAAGTGGTTCCAAATAAGAACCACTGGATTATGTAGCATCCAAGTATCTTTTACCTCTCAAATTATGTAATACCCTCTGGTACTGTGAACATGGAAGAATCCACATTCACACAGACAGGATGAGGACACAGAGGAAGGTGGTCCTTTTTTTAAATTTTTTTTTTTTTAACATTTTGCAGGTTGAGTAAGGAATAGAGACACAATTACAAAAGAGATTTTAAAAGATCAGCAATGAATCAGAATTTTTTCAATACAATTCTACTACTTTTTTAGGATTTTCTTTTTGCCAGATGCTCTTAACTTACCACACTTTCCAAAAGGCTTTTATCAGCCAGTGTTTCTGTGAAAACCGAAGGGAAGGCTACAAAGAAGGTACTACACATGTCTGTCTTTTGCTGGAAGCTGCCTTAAAGCCTTTTGAAGAAAGGTACAGATGTTAAACAAAACCAAGCAACAACTTGTCCTTTGATTATGTCTGACTTATTTTCATAGCTTCCTGCCATTTAGGATTAAAAGGTTACCTGGCCTTTGTTACCAAAAATGTCCTTTCTGAAAAAAGAAAAAGAAAGATGGTGTTCTTACTGTATACTAGATTATTCTTCACTAGTCTCGTAAAACCTACCTCACAGCAACAATTCTTATTGTTCCTGTTTTTTGATGCTTCATACCTGGTTAATGAAGAGATTACAAAACTCTTGCAATAAAACTATAACCCGAGCTGGGGTGTTATAAAACTTGGAATGACTCCAGATCAGACAGATGGTATGAAATAATGGAGCGATTAATATGCGTGTCTGTGGGAATTCCGTCTCCTGGAGACACTGGATGTGTCTCCTCAGAGGTCTCAGGTAAAGTTCCACATCTTGGGCTTCGAGAAGAGCTGAAAGCAAAGAACCACCATTAACGTGATTCTGGTTTGTTTTTTTTTTTTTTCTAAATTCACTTTACATGTAGAAGAGAGCCACGTAAAACAACATGGCCACACTTAAATGTTGTCATAGTTCCTTTTATATTACTTATCCTACAATCTACACACGAGCAATTTGGAAGACTTATACGCTGTCCATCTGTAACTGAGTCATCTGGGAGAGCACTGATCTAGTTACCCACATAGCATAAATAAATTGTGATGGAAAACCCAAGGGGAAAATACCCCTGGAGTCTAAAGAAATTTACTCAACCCTGTGGAAACTGTCGGAATAAAACCTCTCTGCAATGTTGTCACTTTATGGCTTGGATTACAAACTTCATCACTAGAATGTTAATTCCTTCTAGGAACTTGGTATGAGCACAATTGAATTGTTTACTCTCTCATTCCAGTTTCCTATGACAGTAACTCATGCAATGATTGAGAAAAATTATATCATTAATAAAGGTTTAACTTAAAATTGTTAAGTACAGTGATGAAAGGATTTTGAAACTCGACAGAGGTGAGGTTGTACAACATCATGAATGTACTAAAACTGGAATGAATTACATACTTTAAAATTGTTAATTTTATGTTATGTGAAGTTTATTTCAATAGAACAAATGTTAAGCATGGTAAATATTTTTTTTAAATGCTACAGCGGGCCAGGTGCAGTGGTTCATGTTTGTAATCCCAGCACTTCGGAAGGATTAGTTGAGTCTAGGAATTCGAAACCAGCCTGGGAAAGATAGCAAGACCCCATCTCTACAAAAAACTTAAAAATTAGCTGGGCATGGTAGCAGTTGCCTGTGGTCCCAGCTCCTCAGGAGGCTGAGGTGGAAGGATCACTTGAGCCTGGGAGGTCGAGGCTGCAGTGAGCCATGATCATACCACTGCACTCCAGCCTGGGCAACAGAGCAAGACCCTGTCTCCAAAAAAGAAAAAGGAAGAAAAAAATCAAACAAAAAAATGCTATAGATATGAAAAAAAATTTAAATATTTAACTCTCATTAATGACTGCTTAATTGAATCCAAAGTTTTCTCTTGCTTAGCACTGATCCTTTTAATATACCCTAAATGGATCTCCATGAGATTCCATTTTGCTCCCAAGGCTACAAATACCCTTGAGGAACTGAGAACAAATTTTATTATGAAAGTAGGGAACAAAGTCAAGTAAATTCTAGTTTTTGTTGTTAACCCAAAAGACTTGTGTCAAGAACAAAAAAAACCCTGCTGAATTTTGTCACCAGGAGTCAAGGATGAACCCAGACACTTGATGTGTAACCAATTAATCTGTCTGTGTAACCAGTTCATCTGTCTATGTAACAATAAAGCCCTGAGAATAAAAAGAATGTTCAGGAATTATTTTCTTTCCCAGATGTACTCATGTTTCAAAATTACTATTTTTATCAATGTTTATGTCAAAATTATATAATCGTATCTAGTAGGTAAGTGCCCTTAAATATTAAGTGTCCTTAAAATGTGATCAGCATGTGTGGTGACTCCACAATGCCTGAAGTGTGTCTTTGAGAAGAGCTTTCTTCCTTCAACTTGACCATGAGTTTGAGCCACTTGTTCTATTGAGAAGTGTTTTCTTCCTGAATCTCCAGGCCACACATGCATAAGGCTCAGAGGAACCCTGGGATTCATTCCTGCAGAATCTGTAGCCAGAGAAAATTTTCATCTTATGCTAACACAGAAAAAAAAATGCCAACAGCTTCTATTTATTGAAGCATACTTACTACATGTCTAGTACCTTGCATAGTGTATAATATGCTATCCTTAACCCAGTGATTCTCAACCAGGAGAAATCTTGCCCCCAGGGGACATTTGGCCATGTCTGGAGACATTTATGATCATCACAACAGGGATGGAGCCAGCAGGTAAAGGCCAGAGATACTGCTAAATATCCTACAATATGTAAGATGGCCCCCCACAACAAAAAAATTATCTAACCCAAAATGTTGATCATGACAAGATTAAGAAATACTAAATCCACATAGCAACTCTTCAAGGAAGGTGTTAATAGGCCAATTTGGCCAATGAAAAACCAGAGGCTTAGCAAATTTAAAATGCTCAGTAAGCAGGGTTGGGACAGGAATTCAGATCTTACAGAGCCCCTGCTGTATATATTCCTCCTTATCTTATGCCCTCTTTTTAAACAGAATTCATGCAGAAAACCCTAAAGATGTATTAAAACATTTTTGAAGTGAATTTTCAGTATTTCCTAACTTTCCAAATGTCACGTGGGAAAAAATAAACTTTTTAATATTAGAAACAAAAAAAGTTACTTGTCCATATTATCTATTTTATTATTTAAAACCACAGTATCATGTATATCCATAACTAAATGCTTATACATGTGCAAAGAAACATGAACAGAAATCAAGGAACTGAGCAGGGTTGTCATCTTTGGGTGGGGCTGAAACTAGAGAGTGGAAGGACAAGGATGGTGAGAAGACTTTCGACTGGATATCATTTTATGATTCCTGGTTTGTAACAAGATGCATGCATTGTCTATTCAAAGTTCAACAAACCCTCCACTCTGTACATTTAATCTTCACCAAAACTTCAATGATGGCTTTGAGTGTTTGCAAGCTAAATAACTGGTTACCAAGCACACTCAGAGAACTGAACTGATGAATAACTAGACTCACCATAGCCCAATCTGTTGATTGGAAAACCTCTATCCAGACTTATTTTTTTTTTTTAACTCCGAATGAAGGCCTCACTCCTCCACAAACATTCTAATTAAAATTTCAATCTGGAGCCATTTTGGCAGGTACTACTATATACCAGATAAACTAAAAGTAGTTTAGTATGGGTGGAGAATATAGTACAAAGGGTGAGATGAATTTATCATTAGAAGAGCCATGAGCAATCACTCCACAAACATGGCGGAAGGGTAAATATCAAGGCCGAGCAGGCAGGGGCTGGATCATGAGCAGATGGTGATATTGATGCCAGGCTGAGGAACAAGAGTCTTACCATTTTCCACAGCCAGAAAAATGTCCTTCAGAGTAGGAAAATAGCTGCTTTGTTTAGTTGTCAGGATCTTAACCATTTTGAGGACAACAGGTGCCTGAAGCTAAGTTAAAGGAAAAAAAGAAGAACTTTAATAAATATAAACTCGATTACTAAATACATGCATTCTGTAATAAAATATTTAAATTCCATTTCACTCACAAGTGATACAGTATTTAACACTCAAAGTTATATCTGGTTTCCAGTTGAAAATAATTTTAAAAATACATTTTTTTCTTAGCCTTGTATTTTATTTTGCATTTAGGTTTTTAAATTTGGATATATATTATTATATGTGATAGTTATAATTGAGTGTCAACTTGATTGGATTGAAGGATGCAAAGTATTGTTCCTGGGTGTGTCTGTGAGGGTGTTGCCAAAGGAGACTAACATTTTGAGTCAATGGACTGGGAGAGGCAGACTCACCCTCAATCTGGGTGGGCACCATCTAATCAGCTGCCAGAGCAGCAAGAATAGAGCAGGCAGGAGAAGATGGAAAAGCAGACTTCCTGAGTCTTCTGGCCTTCATCCTTCTCCCATGCTGGACGCTTCCTGCCCTTGAACATCAGAATCCAAGTTCTTCAGCTTTTGGACTCTTAGACTTACACCAGTGGTTTGCCAGGGGCTCTTGGGCCTTTGGCCACAGACTGAAGGCTGTACTGTTGGCTTCACTACTTTTGAGGTTTTGGGACTCAGACTGATTCACAACTGGCTCCCTTGCTCCTCAACTACAGACAGCCTATTGTAGAATTTTACCTTGTGATCCTGTGAGTCAATTCTCCTTAATCAACTCCCTTTCATATATACATATATCCTATTAGTTGATCCATCTAGAGAACCTAATATATTATATATGTAAAATATTAATTTTTCCATATAAAATTTCTGTTTCAGAAAATCTCCAAAAGACATGTGAATGGATGTCTTAACTTTTAGAACCTTAAGTAAGTAATTTGTATGGCAAGCACCCAGCAGAGGAACCAAAGTTAGTCTTTCCAAAGCTGTGTCTCTCTACCAAGCAAGACCTCACTCCTTCCCAAATCAATTAAGTTGACTAATTAAATTTTCCAGTCTTCAACGCTTCCCTGGGTAAGTACTGCTCTTCCAAGGTAGCACAATATTTCCAATCATCTCAAATGCTGTCAAAATATTCTCAGAAAGGCAAAGTTACTTTAAATTAATGTCAAAAGTGCACACCACACACACAGAACTCTGGATTAAGAAAAGAGGGCAGACCAGTAAATTATACAAAGACAGTGTGTTAAATCTTTAAAACTATTGGTCATTGCAGCTCAGGACACTTTGCTAATTTAATTTATAATTTCTAGGGCTATCTACTTACTTGATCATAAATGCATGACAGATTTTCTCTCCTCATCATCCAGAAATCTAGTTCTGCTTGAGGAGACAAGTGAAGACCATTCAACAAACGCTGCACTGAATCTCTTTCTATAATTTCTTGGATTTGATGTGACCATTC
Source organism: Homo sapiens (assembly GCF_000001405.40). Lineage (NCBI taxonomy): Eukaryota > Metazoa > Chordata > Mammalia > Primates > Hominidae > Homo > Homo sapiens. The sequence continues at coordinate 21,559,654 of NC_000007.14, read as the reverse complement.
AATAACCACAGATTCAATTGCATGAAGTATTATCCTTTCGTTTGACGGTGGCCTACAAACATTAAGATAATAAAATAATTCAAAGATGAATCATTTTATCCAAAGACATAGACTTTAATAGTTATTTTAGGCATCCATAAACTAGTTTCCTAAAAATAAATTCTTGAAAATCCATTATTTTTATGGTCTTGATTTGAGTTGTGGGGTTACGTTATTCTGTCAGTGACATATCTCTAACCTCAAAAAACACTGTTAAAGAATTATATCCTCAAAAACTATTTTACTAAAGGAATAATGTTACTGGCATGGCAATTACTACAGTTTGCTTTTTGTATAATTTGCTTTTTAAAAGCATACTTTAAAAGGAAATAATTCACATGGTGTTTCTGCACTTATTTTAAAAATATGATGTAGCTGTAATTCTCTGTTTGCTAATGGGTTTGCTAGAGGTGTGATATTAAATGGGTATGCTCACTTTCCATTTTATTTTATTTGTGGAGATGAGATCTCACTATGCTGCCCAGGCTAGTCTTGAACTCCTGGGATCAAGCAACCCTCCCACCTCAGCCTCCAAATTGCTGGGATTATAGGCATGAGCCACCGTGCTGGCCTGGCTCTCTACTTTAATATCCTGTATATATTGTACTGTTACGTACTTGTTCTCTGAACAATTCTGATCCAGATCCATCTTTCCTGCAACAGTGGGAATTGGTAGAAGAGTTCTTCTAGACATTTTGCCCCTAAAAATATACATCTTCTTTTTCATGACTTCTATGTGATATTCCATATCTTGTGAAGTAAAACAGGACCAGGACTTATGGTTGTTCTTATTAGAAAGAACTGGCACTAAAATCTAGAGAAAGAGAAACATAGTTAAATTAATTTACAGACAATGCATTCCTTCAAAGATTTTCTTGTCGTACAAAATTGGCAACAAAACTGTCCAATTTCATAAATATCCAATGATATCAAATCTACAAAGAGAGGATAAAGTCAGTGACCCATTTAGATTTAATCAATTAGACATAAATTCTGTCAAAGTGGAATTAGCATACTGCTTGTTCATTCATTTACCCATTTATCAAACATTTGTGGAGGTTCCCAATAACTCAAACACTGCATGAAATAAGCAGCTATGTCAAGTAGGTAAACTGCCCTCATGATGCAAACTGAGCACACTGGCAGGCACATTAATGAAAACAATCTTTCTGAATCATATGGAAGCTAGAAGTAAATTAATCTTCTCAAGCCCTAGGTGGCATCCCAGAGGATTAAAGTTTGGGTAGTCAGAAAGATGTTTATTCAGCCACATGGACCTTATTCAGAACTCCTTCTACCATGAAACGGGAAACATCAATGAAACTATGTGAAAACTCTGAAAAAGTATTTTTCCTATTTCTAGAGCCTGGCATATATTATGTAATTAATAAGAGAATGCTGCATTAATGAAGTTGGTCTCTTCTTGCTTTCCCTTCAAGTATCTACTCATTTTAAACATTTTTTCATTTTTCTGATATAATCTATATATAATCTGTCCAGTTTATAAACATTTTACTATAAAACTTGAATTAGCCAAAATGCTCAGAAAATGTTTATTCTACCTTTTTAGAGTTTAGTTTGACAATACAATCTTCTAGTTAAACAAAAAGCTGAAAATTCACTTTCATTTTTGAATGGTGTTCAAACAAATGTCTCCAAATATTATTATTACCTTTTCCTACTTAGCACCCATTACATGTCAAGCTAGTAATACAGAGATTAGTACAAGATAGTCCCTGCCCTCAGTGAGCTCAGTAGGTGAGATCCTGGAACTATGACAGTCAAGATAAGAACTGCCATGATTAGAGGTATGTCCAGGATGCATATGAAAACACGGGAGAAATATCTGCCTCTGGGAGAGAATGGTATTAAGAAAGACTTGCCAGAAAAGTTGTTACTTGGTTTGAATCTTTAAGATGAAAGAACAGGGCAAGGCAGGTGTTATGGTGTGAATATGTGTCCTCTGAAAATTCATATATTGAAATCCTAACCCCCAAAATGATGGTATTAGGAGGTGGAGTGTTTGGGAGGTGTATTTGTCATGACGGCTGAGTCCTCATGAATGGGATTAGTGTCTCCATAAAATAGGACCAACGGAGCTTGTTCGCCCCTTCCACCATGTGAAGACATAGCTAGAAGGGGCCGTCTACAAACCATGAAGCAGCCTTCAGATACCCGAATTCACTACTGGCTTGATTTTGAACTTCCAGCTCCAGAACTGTGAGAAATAAATGTCCAGTATTGATACACCATCAAGTCTGTGGTATTTTGTGATAGCAACCTGAACAGAGTAAGACAACAAGCATTCCAGAAATTAGAACACTGATAAAAATCATGGGGACTCAGGGAGTATGGTGCTTGTAGGAAACTGCCAGTTTGACCATCCTGGAAATAGAGCCAGTACCCCTGAGAGAAATGGCAATACTTGGGCTGTGAGGACGGCACGGGTAGTTTGTGAAGAACTCTGCAAACAGGCTGAAGAGTTTAGGTTTAAGCAAATTAACACAGGAACAGAAAAACCAAATACTGTATGTTCTCACTTTTTTTTTTTTTGAGACAGAGTCTCACTTTGTCACTGAGGCTGAAGTGCAGTGGCAAGATCTCGGGTCACTCCATCCTCCATGTCTCCTGGGTTCAAGCGATTCTCCTGCCTCAGCCTCCCGAGTAGCCAGGATTACAAGCATGTGCCACCATGCCCAGCTAGTTTTCGTATTTTAGTAGAGACGAGATTTTGCAATGTTGGTCAGGCTGGTTTCAAACTCCTGGCCTCAAGTTATCTGCCCACATTGGCCTCCCAAAGTGGTAGGACTACAGGTGCGAGCCACCGCACCTGGCCATGCATGTTCTCACTTATATTAATAACTAGGAGCTAAACATTGAGTACACATGGGCACAAAGAAACGAACAACAGACACTGTGGCCTTCTTGAGGGTGGAGGGTGGAAGGAGGGTGAGGACTAAAGAACTGCCTATCGGATACTATGCTGATTACCTGGGTAACAAACTCTCTGTATACCAAACTCCCATGATGCACAATTTACCCAGGTAACAAACCAGTACATGCACCCCTTGAATCTAAGATAAAAATTGGAAAGAAAAAAGTTTAGATTTGTTGGGCTGAACATGCATTACCTACTGGGAGACTGTTTTCTAGATTAAATCCTTGATATCAACAGCTTTTTCTAAAAGTCAGGCTCAAAGAAAATTAAAGTTATTCAACATTTCTAACGTACTGGGTACTGTTTCAGACTTCACTCTATTTACTATTCTGAGAAAACATTTTAAAGGGTCCATTTTTGAGGCATAGTAAATCTAAATACTGGCAGCCAGCCTGCAGATGTGACAAATCGCACAGCTCATGCACCTAGAAAGTCACAAAAAGTGAACAGAATGTAGAGAATGGGTCAGCCCCTAAAAGGGAGGAAAGTTTCACTGTTGGAAAATCGAAACTTAAGCAGAGAAAGGGACCAGGGTATAACCTTATAAGGGGGATAATGAAACTTAGGCACCGTCTGTGAGAATTGTAACCCCATAGTACTCAACTAATGAGGAAATGGGGGAAGAACTTGCATGCTAGGAGATAAATGACCTGCTGTAGCTGCCTCGGGTGTGCCTGCCTACCAGACACCCAATCTTGCAAGACCGCCATTAAAAGTCTTGCTTCCACTGTTCTTCATGTCTCCAAGTCCATTCTTTGGGTTCGGATGGGTAAATGTGTTTCTCACAAACTTGGGGGCCCGTCTGGGATCTCTGTGCCTGTGCAGAGAAGGACTCCAGTCGAGAGCAGAAACACGTCCCACAAAATTTAAGTGGCCCACTCTATCCAGGCGTCCTGGATCCCTGCAGAGGCCATAAACAAACCCAAGACTTATTCAGGAGGCAGTGGAGGCAACACAGGGAGAAAAGCAGGCACCATGGCAACCAGGCAACGTCATGCACAAGCCAAGGGAGGAAAATTGGACTATAGGTACTGCCTTGGTGGTTGGGCATTTTCAGAGGTCAAGTGTGTGTAACTGAGATATAACATAGATATGAAGCAAGTGCGGAGTTCGAATCCCAATCCATAGTTCTGTTCTCCCATGAGGGAAATGTCCAGAGACAGGCAAAGCAATTGGGGTGTGCAAGAAACCTCCAGTAGTTGGGGGTTGAGTACACAGGGAAAAGCTTGGACACAAAGACTGACCAAAAATGGGAGACAGAAATTCTAGGCCTATGGGCCAAAGGAAAGAGGGAGCCAAAGAGACTCCCTCTGACATTCCCCCAGATAGTCCTTTGGGAAGAATGAGGTTTGGAGTGACAACCCTTGAATCAGGGACAAGGAAAGGCAAAAGATGATAAAGCGTTGCTGTTTATCTAGCCTAAAGACCCCATTCGTAAGCCTTTGGTCTTGTGGCCTAAGTTTGGCTCAGATAAAAATTGGGTGTACCAAGCTTTAATTCTCTATGTGAATGATAAAACCCCATCCTCACAAGAGGAGATGGGCTACACTCTCTGCTGGATCAAGGAATTAGCCCCCATGTTCCCCTTCAAAGAAGAAAAGAAGCCTAGTAAAAAGTTCCTGCCCAGTGAAAAGCCCTGGGACCCCCTATCATCCATACCCCCTCCATGTGTCTCACAAAATAGGGGACAGGAAAATCAAGGGGCAGCAGGAGGGTTAGAGGAAGAAAGACCTGCAGACCATGGCAGAGTCGAACCAATTGCTCCTTTAAATCCTTATCCAAATTTGAGAAAATAATTAGAACAGTGTAAGAGGGATATTGAGAACTTCCCTATCCCTTCCACACAGCAGACATCTAGCATATTCCCTCTTAGGGAAGCTCCCATAGACAGGGAGAGACTGGCTTTGTAAATGCTCCTCTTACAAGTACTGAAGTTAGGAATTTCAAGAAGGAAATGAAACCACTTCTAAAACATCCCCTGGGTTTAGCAAACCAGCTGAACCAATTCCTAGAATCCAGTTTTTATACCTGGGCTGAAATGATATCTATCACAAGTATCCTTTTCACAGGAAAAGAAAGGGGAATGATTAGGAGAGGGGCCATAACCATCTGGGAGAGGTAACAACCTGCTGGGCAAGACGTCTTGCCAGCTGAACAAAAATTTCCAAATGTCAATCCCAAACGAGATAATAATGATCCCAAGGGGCCAGGTGCAGGGCTCATGCCTATAATCCCAGCATGCTGGGAGGCCGAGATGGGTAGATCACCTGAGGTCAGGGCCTCAAGACCAGCCTAGCCAACATGGCAAAACCTCATCTCTACTAAAAAATACAAAAATTAGCTGGGCATGGTGGTACGCACCTGTAATCTCAGCTACTCAGGAGGCTGCGGCAGGAGAATCACTTAAACCTGGGAGGTGGAGGTTGCAGTGAGCCAAGATTGCACCACTGCACTCCAGCTTGCGCAACAGAGTGAGACTTCCCCTAAAAAAAAAAAAAAAAAAAAAATCCCAGAGAACAGACACAAATGCAGAACCTCAGGGAACTAATAATAAAAAGGATCAAAAAGTCCACTACTGGGACACAAAAGGTCTCAAAGGCATTGGAGATTCAACAAAAACCAAAAGAGGAAACTTCCTCCGCATTCCTGCACAGGGTCAGAGACTAGTTAAGAAAATACTCCAGATTAGATCCAGAGGACCCAGTAGGGCAAGGCCTTTTGAAGGTTAACTTTGTAAGAAAGAGCTGGCCTGACATTAAAAAAAAATTACAAAGGATTAATGGATGGAATGAGAAACCAATTAAGAAATTACTAAGGGAGGCTCAGAAGGTCTTTGTAGGGAGAGAGGAAGAAAAGCATAAATAAAAATGAAACTCATGGTTCCACTGTGGAAGAGGTAATCAAAAAAAGGTTAGATCAAGATCCTCCTTGAAGGAGACAAGGCGAATGACAGATTTCGACACAAAGAAAGAGGTGAAATACATGGAAAAGCTCCTAAGACTATGAGGGGATGTTACAAGTATGTAAAGCCAGGGCATTTTAAAAAAGAATGCCCTAAATGGAAAAAAGAAATGGTGATCCACCTCATGACCGTTGATGAAGACTGTGGGGGGAGTTCCTTCTGAGTAGGTCCCACCCACCAGGAATCCTGAATAAATCTGAAGGTGGGACCCGAGGGAGAAGAAGTGACATTTTTGGTTGATACTGGTGTGGATCCCTCCTCCCTAAGTCACCAACCAAGGGGTACAGAACTCTCTAAGGAAAAATTGATAGTGTCGGGTAAAAGGGGAGGGATTTCAGGTTCTGATATTCAAGAAAATGTTAATTAGATTGGGACCAAAACAAACTGGTCACTCTTATATGTTCCTAAAGCAGAAACTAACATCCTGGGTCAAAACATGATTGTGGGATTGGGTTTAGGATTAGGAATAAAGGAAGGACAAATAAAAGTAATAATGGGCCTCCCAAAAGAGGAGGAGGAAAGAAAATTAATCACCTTGTTTGGGTTAGAAAAGGCAACAGGGGAGGGTTAAAAATCACACCCTTACAAATTAAACTAAAACAACCAAGAGAAGTAGTTTGCAAAAAAAAAAAAAAAAAAAAAAAATCCCATTTATACTGAAGGGAGAAAATATCACCAGCTAGTAATAAAGGGATTAATGAAAAATGGACTATTAAAACCCTGCATGTCACCCGTACAACACTCCAATTCTCTCAGTCAAAAAGCCTAATGGGTCGTTCAGATTGGTGCAATATCTAAGGGGTATGTATCAACTTGTCCAGACCTACCACCCTGTGGTGCCTAACCCCTACACCCTCCTCAGTAAGATACCCTATGAACATAAGTGGTTCAGTGTGGTGGATCTAAAAGATGTATTCTGGGCATGTCCCTAGACTTCAGGAGCAGAGACCTCTTTGTCTTTAAATAGGAAAATCCTATTAACTGGGAGAAAATAATGGTACCGCTGGACTGTGCTGCCACAAGGTTTCATGGAAGCCCCAAATGTATTTCGTCAAATCTTAGAAAAGGTCCTGGAGAAATTCCAACCTTCCAGGGGAACCCAGTTGTTATAATACACAGATAATCTTTTAATTTCTGGGGAGAAGAGGGCCGAGGTATCAGAAACCACCATAAGCTTACTTAATTTCATAGACGAATGGAGATTGCAAGTCTCTAAGAACAAATTGCAGTTTGTAGAAAAAGAAGTTAAATATTTAGGACACCTAATTAGTAAAGGGAAGCGAAGAATAAACCCGGAAAGAATATTGGGAATAGTGGGTCTGCCTTTGCCTAAGACAAAGAGAGAACTCCAAAAATTTTTAGGTTTAACTGGCTACTGTATGTAATAAATTAACTCATGCTCAAAAAAAGATTCTGTATCTCAAGTTACTAGAAGAGAAACCCGACCCCTTGCAATGGTCCCAAAGGAAATTCAGGCAGTAAAACAGCTAAAGCAGGCCTTCATTACAGCCCTGGTCCTGGCCCTCCCTTCTTTAGAGAAACCATTCCATGTGTATGTGACAATGGACCAGGGCGCGGCCCTTGGGGTGCTCATTCAAACCTGGGGAGGGAAGAGGGAACCTGTTGCTTTTGCCTCCAAGCTTCTTGATTCTGTCTCTCAGGGGTGGCCCGAATGTGTACAAGCAGTGCTGCCACAGCCCTGCTGCTAGGAGAGTGGAAAGCTAACCTTTGGTGGGGCCCTAACAGTAAGCAACCCACACTGGGTCAGGAATATATTAAGTCAAAAGCCAGGAGATAGTTAACAGATTCTCAGACTCTAAAATATGAAGCCATAGTAGTTAAAAAAATTATTTGCTCATAACAACAAATATTTGCCTAAATCCAGCTGGTTTCCTATGGAAAGGAGAGGAGAAAAAGAGAGACATCAGACCAGAACTGCTTAGATATCATAGAATACCAAAGAAAAGTTAGACCAAACCTTAGGGAAGCTCCACTACATGATGGGATAAGGCTATTTGTGGATAGGTCGTCCCATGTGATAGATGGCAAGAGACATAATGGCCATGCTGTCATTTATGGGAATAAACACTTCTTGTGTGAGAAAGGTAGATTACCTAATAGCTGGTCAGCCCAAACCTGTGAATTATATGGTCTTAACCAGGCCCTAAAGCTCCTTAAAGCCCAAGAAGACACTGTATATACTGATTCTAAATATGCCTGTGGGGTGGTACACACTTTTGGAAAAATCTGGACAGAGTGGGGCCTAATAAATAGCAGCGGAAAGGAATTGGTACATGGGGAACTGGTCAAACAGGTTTTAGAAAGCCTCCTGCTTCCAGCAGAGGTAACCATAGCTCATGTAAATGGTCATCAAAAAGGGAACACTATAGAACCTACAGGAAACAAGCTTGCAGATGGCGCTGCTGAGCAAGCCTCCCTGGACGAGGAAATTAGAAGACAAGCCTGATCCCAGACGTCCCTAAGGTAGTATTAAGGCCCTAGTTTACCAGAGAGAAGAAGGAAGAATTAGACAGGATAGGGGTCAAACTGAAGATGGCAAATGGGTACTTCTTGATGGGAGAGAAATAAGTAAACTCCATGAGAAAACTAATATCTATATTATACAAAGGGAGTCTTCGGGGACCCCAGGCTCTGTGTGATGCAATACTTAGGAATTATGGGTGTGTATAGGGATTTATACCCTCACTAAATAAGTATGTGGAAGTTGTGTAACTTGTCAAAAGACAAACAAAAAGGTGATTATAAAACAGGCCATGGGAGAAAGACCTCCAGGACTAAGATTATTTGAAAGCATTCAAGCAGATTTCACAGAAATGCCCAAAGTAGAAAGACTAAAGAATTTACTGATAATCGTAAATCACCTTTCTGGCTGGGTGGAAGCCTTTCCCCTTCCATAGCCACCACTGGGAATGTGGTCAAAATAATATTAAAACAGGTTGTACCTAGATTTGGCCTCATGGAAAATATTAATCCTGACAATGGGAGCCACTTTACCTCAAGGGTGTTAAGGGGAATTATGGAAGGTTTCAAATTAAATGGGATTATCTCACCCCTTGGCATCCCCCTTCCTCTGGAAAGGTAGAAAGAATGAATCAAACTCTCCAAAAGTATATCACCAAACTAATCTTTAAAATGCCTTGAACCAAATGTCTCCCAGTAGCACTCCTTAGGATTAGAACAGCCCCAAGAAAAGACTTGGGATTATCCCTCTACAAGTTATTATATGAGATCCTATATTTGGGCACAGCTAGACATCTCCCTACTATGGAAACCAAGGATCAATTCTTAAGACATTATATACTGGCCATATACTCCACCCTGTCATCCCTTAGGTTAAAAGGACTTCTGACTCAAACTTCACCTCTTGAGTTCACGGCTCACTACTTCCAGCCTGGCAACTTGGTGCTGAGCCAGACTTGGAAAGAAGACAAGCTCCACCTAAGCTGGAAAGGTCCCTATCAAGTGCTCCCGACCACTGAGCTGGCTGTGCAAACAGCTAAACTGGGGTGAACTCACTATACTCAAGTCAAGGGAGTGGTTTAAAAAAAAATGGAAGGGAGAAAAAAAGACGAATGTAAAGTGCACAGGTCACCTAAGGAACCCTTCAAGTTAACCCAGAAAAATCTAACAACAAAACATGGGCTGGCTCCATTTTGGAAGTTAATATGGCTGGGATGGGCTACTATACAAAGAGCAGGTCAAAATGGAAACGGGCAGGGGACTCCCCCCTACTCAATCAGGTTGCTTATTAATGTAACCAAGACGGTAGCACCCCAAACTATAAGATTTAATGCCTGCCAGGTTTTACCTTGTGGGAATGTGGAAAATCAGAAACAGCTCTCTCAAGTGGATACATATCTTTTCCCTGAACCAAATACAGGTTATAGTAGAATATCACCCTGCCCCAGCTGGGATACTATATGGTGGACTACCCAATTGCAGGGTTGGACAGTAAACATGGGGTGGGTAACTCCAGCCTGGAGACCCTTAAAGAATAAATTACATCTGTCCAAGGGCTCCCCACCAAGTAACTGCCAGAATTTAAAACGCAATCCTATACTCATCACCATTGAGAATCCAGCTCTTCTAAACCAAGAACCAAAAGTAGCATCTCGGTTATATGGGTTGGTGCAAACACCACAGGGAAAAACCCCCCTAGGGCAATTTGTTCTCAAACTAATAAAAAACTCAACCCCCCCATTTGCCTGGGACTACTCCAACCCCAAACCATAATAAACGCTTTAGTTCACCAAATAATGACCGTAAAAGGGTAAAAATAATTAAGGTAAAGGATTTAAAGCAAACCTTAGAGTATGGGAATATGAATGCCTGGGTCAAATTTTCAGTACAAGCCCTCAACAAGAGTAAGTGTTATGCATGTGCTGTGGAACAACTTCAGGCACAGGTGGTTCTGTTTCCTCTAGGATGGAATACCAATCCTAAAGAAATGCACTGTGTTGGCTCTATACCGGGACAAGGATGCATGGGGAAATAAGACTTATAAAAGTCTGTCATTGGCCAGGTACGGTGGCTCATGCCTGTATTCCCAGGACTTTGGGAGGCCAAGGTGAGTGTATCACCTGAGGTCAGGAGTTCGAGACCAGCCTGGCCAACATGGCGAAACCCTGTCTCTACTAAAAATACAAAAAATTAGACAGGCACAGTGGTGCCTGTAATCCCAGCTACCCAGGAGGCTGAGGTAGGAGAATTGCTTGAACTGGGGAGGCAGAGGTTGCAGTGAGCTGAGATTGCGCCATTGCACTCCAGCCTGGGCAATAAGAGCAAAACTCCGTCTCAAAAAAAAAAAAAAGTCTGTCATTGCTCTTTCCCACATTGCGGAGGTCAGATCCCAGAGCAATTCCCTCATTCTCCATAGGGAATATGAACTACTCCTCTTGCCTCTCTAGGCAGGGGGCAGAGTTCAATAAGCCCATAGGAGAACTCTCAACTTGTATCCACTTCCTAAACATCACGAGTGAGTCAGGCAATGGCAATTACCCAGCTTTCCATGTGCCCCAGGCTAATGTCTGGTGGTATTGTGGGAAAAGGAACCTCTGTAACCTGTTACCTTCCAGTTGGATCAGGACTTGTGCTTTAGTCCAATTGCCTTCACTCTGGCATTTCCTAAGACACCCGAAAATACATATGGCCACCAAAATTGGAGATATTTGACAAATTCTTTTAATCCCAATATATATGTTAACTCCGTAGGTGTCCCTAGGGGGATGCCTAATAAATTTAAGGCCCAAAACCAAAGAGCTCTGGGTTTAAGTTAGCACTCTTTTGGTGGTCAACTATTAATACAAACATGGATTAAATTAACTATATCTATTATATTCAACAAAAATTCATCAGTTATACTAAGAACGCCCTCAAAGGGGTGGCTAGCCAGTTAAATGCCACCAGCCAAATAGCCTGAGAAAACAGGCTTGCACTAGACATGACACTAGCAGAAAAAGGGGGTGTATGTGTTATGCTGGGTGGGAAGTGTTGTCATTCCCAAGAATACCGCCCCAGATGGCACCATCACAAAAGCTTTACAAGAACAACCCTAGCCAACAAACTAGCAAAAAATGCTGAAATTAATAACCCATTAATGGGTTGGGTAGAAGGTTGCTTTAAAAAATGAAAAGGTATGATAGGTTCAATCCTTACATCTCTCATAATTGTGGCAGGAGTCTTAACAGCAATGGGATGTCGTATTCCTCCTGTGTAAGGGGACTAGCACAAAAATAGCTATTAATAAACAAATGTGCATAACTTACTAGCAAAATAATCTGCTACTATTAGAGACCAAATTAAAGTTGCTCTCCTATAAGGAAAAAAGTAAACAACTTTTAGAGTGATTCAAGAACCAAAAGGGTTTAGATAAAAATAAAACCAAAGAAAGTAAATAGAAAAGAGGAGGGAACTTGTGAGAAAACATTTTATACGGTCAATTTTCAAGGCATGATAAATCTAAGTACTGGCAGCCAGCCTGAGGATATGACAAACCTCATGGCTCATGCATGTAGAAAGTCATGATAAAGGAACAGAATGTAGACGAGGAGTCAGCCCATAAAAGGGAAGAAAGTTTCGTTATTGGGAAATCAAAAATTAAGTGAGGAAGGGGGCCAGGGTATAACATTATAAGGGGCATATGTCCAGGCAAACTTAGGCAATGTCCAGGAATATTGTAACCCCATAGTACTCAACCACTGAGGAACTGGGAGAGGGGCTTACATGCTAGGAAGTAAATTACCTGCTGTAACTGCCCCGGGTGTGCCTGCCTACTAAACACCCGATCTTGCAAGACTGCCATTAAAAGTCTTGCTTCTGCTGTACTGCGTGTCTCCGAGTCCATCCTTTGGGTTTGGAAGGATAAATGTGTTTCTCACATTATTCCATGACAAAGCCAACTTCTTTTAAAACTTAATGTCTGTGTCATGAGCTGTGGATAAAACACTACGAAATTCTGAGCCACATGCTCTGGAAAGCAATTCGTAACTCAAACAGCTAAAGCATCTCTAGAAATATCGTTTAAAACAAATAGACCTGGGATGTACTTATTAATTACAATAAATTTTATTAAATATATACAAAGTAAGTCAATTAATTTGAGGTTTTGTCTTATTTTAGTTGTCAGTTTGTGTAGTTTTTGCATTTGTAAGAAAAATAAACTTTCTCTATGAACCAAAGTAAGGTTCACCAAGGACATATACACCTATAGATAAAAGAGCAAGTGTGCCTTTGCTGTGGATCTCTTTACTTACCTTCTGTTTCTCTTTTCAAACTGTGGGGTTTCTCTTTATGACAGTTCTTAAACCATTCAATACAATTACTGAGGAAACACTTTTAAAATACAGAAGCCCAGGCCCCTCTAGATTTTTTAAATTGGAATTTCCAAGGATGGGGCCCAGATATTGACTGAGAAGAACCAAATGACATTTTCTTTATGTCTTGGTAAGCATTCACAATTATTGTTTCTTTTGAAATGTGGGCCAACGTGATACATAAAGAAATAACCATATGACATTTTATATACTTTGGCTAAGTATAAATATATAATACACTCTGGTATGGAAACACATCATAATGTTGAGGAGCAGGCATACCTTTTTCAGAATATTAAGCAGATCCTGGTACTGAGAGAAAGAGTAGAGAAATTTGAAAAAGGCTTGTATCTTCTGTTGCCAGACACAGATAGTAGAGCAAGAATTTCACAGTGTAGCCCTGCCCCTCCAAGTTCCAGTTGATAGTGGTCTAGATTCTCATATTGAACCAAAGTCATCAGATTCAGTTCAATTAAAATCTGAGCACCTGCTGCATACCAAAAATTGTTCCTGGTACTGAAGTTAAAAGATTGTCTTCCTAGCACCTCCCTGAAATCAGCTAAAGCCAATTAAATTCAACAGGAGCGAAGGGAAACCCAGGCAGGGTACAGGAGTTAGGGGTGAGAGACTTTGGTTAGTCCAGCAGGAAAATACCTCCCTTCAAAAAGACAGAAGAAGAGACTCAAAAAGTAGAAGAGGTGTGATCATGAGAGACTGGTAAATAACTAGCAATAAATATGTCAGCATTTTTCCTACCTTAAATATCGGCCTTGGCAGGACTACACTGATTACAGAGGTCTGATTTAGAAATTGGCCTTGTAGACAGATATCTAACCCAGTGGCTCCCAAAGCTCACTGTACATTAGAATCACCTGGGAATCTTGAACAACTGCTGCTACTTGGCTCCCATTCAGGACGTTCTAAATTAACTGGTATGGGTGTGACCTGGGGCATTGTGTTACAAGTTCCCCCAGGTGATCCTAATGTTCAGCGAAGTTTGAGAGCCAGGTTCTAGTTCCATGGAACCTGGTTATTTGGCAGTTGTTCTTCAAAGCTAGTCCACAAACAAAGAGCATCAGCAACAGGTTAGAAATGCAGAACCTCGGGCTCCACTCTAGACTGAATGAACCAACCTCTTTCACAAAATCCCCAGGCAGTTCTTATGCACATTAAAGTGTCAGTAACATTGGTTGAAGACTATTTCTCTATTTTAAGAGGAGAAAAAGAAAGTTTAAGAACCATTTCTAACACTTTCATCACCTTTTCCCATTATCTGCCATGAGTGAATCTTAGTCTTTAACTGTTAGTTTCTAACAAGTATAAAAAGGAACTGATAATACTCATTTTCAAAGTGTAAATTTGTCTCTACTCTGAATGTGAAGCTTAAAACCTGCTGCTAAGGTGCAAGAACCTATTCAAGTTGCTTTTTATTTGCTTCTATTGTGTTGGAAGGAAGAAAGGGAGAGAATGATCCCTGCAATTGCCACCTGTTGAATATTAGCATCAGTAAGCATGAGCTCCTTTCAGGAACAGTCTAGATGTTATGACTCCATCCACCTGGCTAGAGACTCCTGGCTTCTACAAGCTTTTTTTTTTTTTTTTTTTTTTAACCACCCCCATCCCCTTCCCTTCCCCTCCTAGCTCTTCTTTTTTTAATTATCGGAGTTGTCCTAAATAATTTCAAATGTCATGGAGATAAGTGAAAGCTTTAAATATTAAAGACAGACCAGTACCTCATCAAGGAAAGCAGATACATGTCCAAGAGACAACGCAGGTAACTCTCCAAATAAAACCACTTGAGAAAAGTCATTTACTCCAATGCTTTCAGTAATCTTCTTGGAAATAAAAACAAGTTTATGGTTTGCATCTCTTGGAATCTAAAACAAGAGCAAGATAATTAGTTCAAGTAGTTTTCTTGTTAACAAGCAGGATTTACTATATCCAACTTGTAGCTGTATTGCTAGCAGAAGAAACAAAACCTGGCATCTTGCCTGCCCTATAAACAAGGTCCTTCTACGGCTCTTCCCTAGTATGCAGCGAGTATACAGTTTTCTTTGTTCTTTTATAATGCTAATTTCACAGCATTACTGGTGTGGAAATATCACCTTTTAAAGGCATGCCAATTATACCAGTTCATTATACACCAAAAAAAAAATCTTATAACTAAAAACAAATAAGGAGCACGTAGGCATGTAGAAATGTTTCAATCCTAAAGGGTTATTTTTTATACTCTTCTCTGGTTTGGAAATAAGCCAAACTGAGATAAAGACAAGCCCAAGAGGTTAATTTGTATTTCTATCAAAGAATAGAACCGTATAACCAAAACATGCTAACATTTCCACAACTACTGAGTCATTCCATTGAACATTATAATAACTATTTAACTTAGGTAATACTAGAGTTGTGTTCTATCGCCTTGTCTACTGACAAACTTATTTTTTTTAAAGTTACAATTAGGAGAGTCCTAAAACAAAAGAATTCAAAATTCACAATACCATAAGGCAGCCTTCCTATTACTCTTTCTTCTCTGAGATCCTATTTCCCAACTATTACAATGACCACACCTAGTGATAAAACGACATAACATGTTAAACTGAGCATTGCGCTACTTAAAAATTGTGAATCTTGCTCCAAACTCATCATACTTGAAAAATACTAAATACAAGTGCTGTACGTTAGGTGATACGTTAACCTTTTAGTGGACAAATCATCGAAATTCAAAAAGAAAAGGAAGAAAAAGAAGAAAGGAGGGAACTGTTCCCTCTAAATGTTCAGTAAACACCCATGTGTGCGGAGATTGCAGGGGCCTTCCTTTTTAAGGACTTAATGTTTTTGCCTGGGGTGAAGTGTTGTTGGCACGTAATCAAAATACGTGACGAGTTACATGCGCTCTGCCAAACACCCCATTTTTTAAAGGATGTGACTCCAGAGTGACCCAAGAGCAACTGAAACGCAAGTTTTTTGGCACAGAAAGCCCACCTGGCGCCTAACACCCAAGCAGCTAAAGAAAGCGCTGGTGTTCTTGGGTTATCCTGGTCGAACAGGCTCAACGCGGGATTCTCGGTCAGATACAAACTGCTGACTTAGGAAACTAACCTGCAGCTGCTGAACTGCAGAGTGGGTGCACGTGGGGAGGAGTCCTGCGGGCCTCAGGATGGGGACTTCAAGCCAAGTTTGTTAAAGTGCCCGAGTGAGCGCCCCGCGGGAATCCAAAGGGGAGCGACTGGGCTGTCTCCCCTGGGTAGTTTTGTTGGATGGGCAGGTCCCCTTGCCCGTCGCCTCTTACCTCCTGGGAAGCCGCAAGGCGCCCCGAGGCGGCGAAGCTAAACACAAGGCAAGCCGGGCTGGTGCTTTCCAGAAACTCCCCAAGAACCTGCCGGTTGTCCTCGCTTTCCAAATACTGGCTCCATTTCTCCTCCGTGAACCCCAGCATCATCGCCAGGCGGCCGCCGAGGAAGCGCACCCGCGCGTCTTGGGCGAAACTCCGCGCTCTCCTGGCCGCCGCCTCCTCCTCGTTCTCCTCCTCCTCCTCGAGCTCCACAGCGCCCACTGCCTCCAGGCCGGCCCCCGAGGTTAGGCGAAGGGTCGGGGCTTCTCTGAAGTCTCGCGCCTCCCGGGCTGCCACCTGGGCTGCCATTGGGCAACCGTCCGAGGGAACGCGAGGCCGGCTGGCTCCTCACCCGAGACTCTGGGCCCCCCGAAGTGAGCGAGGACACCTCCGCAGGCGCCCACCCTCCTCCGCGGTCGCCGCGAGCGCAGACCCTAGTCTCCCACCTGCTGCTACTTAGCAGCCGCGCCACTGCGCACAGCTGTAGCCTCGCAGGCCGAAGCGAAGGCCTGGGACAAGCAGCGCGTCCCGTTTCCCGGGGGACGGTGTCCCCGCCCCAGCCCGCTGGGGGCGGAGTGAGCGCACCGCGCCACCGCCCAGTATACGCCAAGGCCAAGGCCGAGGGGAGAGGCCCTCGGGCTCTAGGTCCCGAACACGGCCGAGAAGCCGCGTGTCCGGGGTGGGTCTGAGCCCCCAGTGCGCTCGCTCCACTGCCCTCCGGCTCCTTCGCCTACTGGACACTTGGTGGAGATCCCAGCATTGGTTAAGTGCTCTGGATGAAGCAATGCTCTCTTGTGCCAAGGTCCGTGCTAATCTCTTACCTTGACTAGTTGACATAATCCGTAGAAAGCCAAGTCTCTGACTGGTCAGTCTTTGTTTTATGGGCAAGGAACTAAGTTACAAAAATAAGTAACAGAGAAGTTTCGGGGCCCAAGTTGAAGGCTGTTATTCACCTTTCCCAAGGTGTCCAAATATTACCAGAAGAGAGCCAGTCCTGCAATTCAACTTTCCTAGTTGTGGGAATCCAAGATCTAAGTATTCGAAGTCCTCCTGATTGCCATCCTCAACCTGAAACTTACTGGAACTTCAGTACACCCAGTAAGAGAACGCACAGTGCCCTTTCGTGATCTCCAAAATGTTCCGAAAATCTATAGATTTATCATTTAATTCAAGAGTAAAAAGGTCAAAGAGAAAAAGCTTCAGATTAAAAACAGTTTCATGATACTGAAATAGGATTTCACTGCGGTCCATTAGTGGCTTTCGTTGAGACTCTTATGGAAATTCTAATTATTAAAGCAACCAGAATTTTGAGGAGGAGTCCTCAACTAAACTTTTAAGTCTCCTTTGTTAATTGTTTATTTCAAACTAAAGTCTTCAATCCCCACCCCTTCCATGGGGGCTACTGAAGGACTGTTGCCCACAATAATCCATTTAATACCTGAATGTTGACAGACATTTCCAGAAGATGAGGCTTCAACAATTTTTTTCTTTGCAGGATATTAACTGCCCCTGAAAACCATCGACAAGTTTCCAGTTATGTGATCAGAATCTTGAAATAACACAGGGCCTTGGAAAACTTTGATAATGACTTCTAACCTGTCAAGGCTGCTTTATATTGTCCATAATAATCTTTGGGGCTCCCAGTTGCTGGTATACAAGGCTGGCAATCACCAGTTCCTTCTCTCCCCTCTTATATTCCAGCTTCACATCCCTGTAACCTAGAAAACCGGGAATTCTGTAAATAATAGTTGAATTAAATTGAAAGTGAATAACCACTTTCAAATCTAGCAGGAAAATTTTTTAAATGATGCTAACTTTAAAGTGCAATTTCCAAAAAGTTAACTATGTAACTCGAAATATAAGATGAAGATATGTCAAAGATTGATTTAACTCATAAATGAGGAAAGCAACAAAATGATGTAAGTTCCAAGGACAGTTCGAGAAAGAAATTTAGCAGCATTGGAGGAAGACAGGATGAGTCAGCTTGCTAGGTTCAAAACAACACTCACTAATGTCATACAGGGCAAAATAATCCTTTGTTTTTTAAAAAATAATTTGTTTTTCCAAAATAAATTACATCTGTATTGAACAAAAATCTGTAAATAAAAACGTAACTTCAGAGTTTGAGACTTCGATCAGTAGTAGTTAATGAGTCCAAAAAAGATACTTTTCCCTAAATAATTAATAATCCTTTCATTGGCCGGTGAAGCAGTGTTTCAATGTGACAGTGAATGAACATGGCTTTACCTTGTTCCCAAGTTTTATGTATTTTTTCTCAATAATAATAGCTAACATTGATCAAGTACCAATTATGTGCCATGTGCTGTGCTGAGTTCATTCATTTGTCTAACAAATCTTTACTGAATGCCTACTAAGTGCCAAGCACTGTTCTAGGTGCTGGGAAATATAACAGAAAACAAAACAGATTAAGTTTCTACCCTCATATTGGAGATACAGGCTAGATTTCTACTGAATAGAGTGGAGCTATACCAACTGAATTTGCATTCCATTTCTATTTTCTAGGTGCCTGAGTTTCCTCACCAGAAATAGGAAAAAAAAAATGGTAGATGAGACTATTTTTTAGCAAATATCTCTCCCCCAACCCCACCTTCATGAAAAGAGTATGCTTATACCTTTTTGTGCTATTAAAGTTGTGGCTGGCCATGTGACTTGCTTTGGTCCATAGGATATTGGCAGACATAACAAACAGAGGCATCGCTTCTTTTGGCTAAGATCAAGTGTAGTAGCAAACAGATGCTTGGAATGTCTTTGCATGGTGAGGCTTGCCTTCTTGTGCCTCTGCCACTGTCTTGAGAAGAACATCCCTAGTTAGCTTGCTAATGCAGGGAACCAGCCTGGACCCGACTTTTGTAGCTCAGAGGCAAGTCCAGCGAAGGCTAGTCTTGATCAATCTACTCTCAGTCAGCCCACAGATGCATGAAAATAATGAATGATTATTGGTTTTAAGCTACATAGTTGTGGTGAGGTTTGTTATGTAGTGATAGTATGGTAATAGTAAATGATACACCACATCATAGAGTTGTTGGGAGAAATAATTCAGCTTAAATATGTTAAAAGCACAAACAGGCCAACGCCTGGCACATTTATTATTAGTTGTGGAGGGGGAAACATGAGAAACTAGGCAAGCAAAGATATAATATGTTTATTATGTCAGATGTGACAGGAAATTAAATTTTGGGACTCTAAACTCGTTTAGCCAATGGGAAAAGTCAAGCTGGGAACTGGGTCATGCAAATCTGCCTCTCCCTTTTCGTTCCTAAATAAGATGGCTACAAGATGAAAGGCTACATGCCTCCCCCATATTTTGCCCACAGGGAAATTATGGGTGAGCTGTTAAAACTTCACCATAGCAATGCAAATTGATAGCTTGTCTTTCCAGGTGCAATCACCCACCAGACACAAATGCATATCTGATTGTTCCCCTACCCCATTTTGTTATCTTATGTAAAATGCGATTCCTCACATTCTTCCTCTGCCCCCTTTTGTTTATGTGAAAACCTGTGTGCTTCTCAATATCCCGCCCTTTCCCCTTTAAATTTGGAGCCCTCAAATTTATCTTCGGAGAAAGGCATAGACTTGTCTCCCAGAGTGTCCTTAACTTTGGCAAACAAATCTCCTAAAATGATTGAGACTTGTCATTTTCCTCGATTGACACAGATGATCAATTCTAAGAAGAAAAGCAACGGAGGGTAAAAGGTTGGGTATGGAGAGCATGTTAATTACCATTGGTGTTTAAGGAAGGGCTTACTTTTGAGCAGAATTCTGAGAGTGAGCCATGCGTTCTGGAAGAACACTTCAGGCAGAGGGAAGGGCAAGTAGACCCACAAGAGAGGATGCTTGATTTTTGGAGAAACAGCAAGAATGCCAGTAAGAGGGAGAATAGCAAGAGATGAGGACAAAGAAGAAATATGAGACAAAAATCACATAGGGCTGTGATAATAGCTAGATTTTTTTAAAAGAAGATGATGTAGCAGAAACTGCTAACTGTCCCCAGTGTCCATTCACCTTTTCCTTCTCTTGGAAATACGACATTTACCCCTGTTCCAAGTTTTAATGGGACTCATGTCCACCCAAACTGTATACCTCATTTACTTTTCACTTCACATTAGCTAAAAGGGAAACTAGGAAATTTTCTTTGTAGCTAATGTGAAGTGAAAGTAAATGAGGTATAAAATGCTTGTATCATATTCTTAGAATTTCCCAGTTCTCCATTTCCTCTTGTCTTTCCAACTTGCTGACTAGTATATCAACATGAAATGCTGAACCGTGTTCAATTATGCAAATGTCCCTTAAACATATAGCAAGATGCTCAACTTCCCTCACAAAAGAAAAATACAAATTCAAACAAGAGTACAAGACTATTTTTTCACTTACTGGTTTTAAGAATGACATCATATTATTGGCATGGCTGAGGAAACAGGCACTTTCATACATCACTTCTGGAAATTCAAAATGATATAACCCCATAGAATTCACTGATTTCTAGAAAAAATCCTACGCATTTGTCCTTTGACCCAGCATCTTTATTCTAGAAATCTACGCACAAGGTTAGTCATTATAGCACTAATGGTAAGAGCAAAACACTGGAAATAAGCCAAATATCCTGCCATAGGAGATGGGTTCAATAAACTATCTAACATCCAAACAATGGAGTAATATACAGCTAAGAAAAAAGGATGCAACCAACTGGGGCCTCCTGGCACCCCCACCCATGTTCTATAGCCGACAGAGTTCTAATTTAACCCTGGGATGGATTGCCCAGAGTGCAGGACAGGCTACCACCTTGGCTGTTTGTGTGTCTCAGCCAGGCCAGCCTATGGGTCTTGGAGAGCTCAAACCAATCAGGAGCTGAAGGGATCCCCAACACAGCACAGCTGCTCTACCAAAAAGCAGCCAGACTGCTTCTTTAAGTGGGCCCCTGATCCTGTTCCTCCTGACTGGGTGAGACTTCCCAAGTGGGGTCTCCAGCCACCTCCTACAGGTGTGTTTGGGCCAGCAACAGGTCAGTACCCATCTGGGATGGACCTTCCAGAGGAAAGGGCAGGCTGCCATCTTTGCTGTTTTGCAGCCTTCGCTGGTGGTACCTCTAAGTATGGAAAAAGTTGAGGTAACTAGGTTCTGGAGTGGACCCCCAGCAAACCACAGCAGCCCTACGGAAGAGTGGCTGGACTCCTAAAAGAAAAACAAACAGAAAACATCATCAACAACAAAACCCACAAAAACCCCATCCAAAGGTCAGCAACCTGAAAGATCAAACGTAGATAAGCCAGCAAAGATGGGAAAGAATCAATGCAAAAATGCTGAAAACTCGAACAACCCCCTTTCATCCAAATGACTGCAACACTCCTCCAGCAAGGACTCAGAACTGGGCTGAGGCTAAGATGGCTGAAATGATAGAAGTAGCCATCAGAATGTGGGTAAAAATATAAAAATGAACTCTGCTGAGCTAAAGGAGCATGTTGTAACCCAATGCAAAGAAGCTAAGAATCTTGATAAAAACAATGCAGGAGCTGTGCGTGGTGGCTCACGCCTGTAATCCTGGCACTTTGGGAGGCTGATGCAGGCGGATGACATGAGGTCAGGAGTTCAAGACCAGCCTGGCCAACATGGTGAAACCCCGTCTCTACTAAAGATACAAAAATTATCCAGGCCTGGTGGCACATGCCTGTAATCCCAGCTATTCTGGAGGCTGAGGCAGAATTGCTTGAACCTGGGAGGCGGAGATTGTGGTGAGCCGAGATCGTGCCAGTGCACTCCAGCCTGGGCGACAGAGCAAGACTCCATCTCAAAACAAACAAACAAACAAACAAAAAGCAATGCAGGAGCTGACAGCCAAAACAACCAGTTTAGAGAGGAACATAACCAACCTGATAGAGCTGAAAAACACACTACAAGAACTTCACAATTCAATTACAAGTATTAATAGCAGAGTAGACCAAGTGGAGGAAAGAATCTCAGAGCTTGAAGACTATCTTTCTGAAATAAGACAGGCAGATTAAGAATAGAGAAAAAAGAATGAAAAGGAACGAACAGGCCAGGCGCGGTGGCTCATGCCTGTAATCCCAGCACTTTGGGAGGCCAAGGCGGGTGGATCACAAGGTCAGGAGATCGAGACCATCCTGGCTAACACAGTGAAACCCTGTCTCTACTAAAAATACAAAAAATTAGCCGGGCGTGGCAGCATGCGCCTGTAGTCCCAGCTACTTGGGAGGCCGAGGCAGGAGGACGGCGTGAACCCAGGACGTCGAGCTTGCAGTGAGCCGAGATCACGCCACTGCACTCCAGCCTGGGCGACAGAGCGAGACTCTGTCTCAAAAAAAAAAAAAAAAAGAAAAAGAAAAGGAATGAACAAAACCTCTCAGAAATATAGGATTATATAAAGAGACCAAATCTATGACTAATTGGCGTCCCTGAAGGAGATGGAGAGAATGAAACTGAGAGGTGACAGCGTGCTGGCAGCCCTCACAGCCCTCGCTCGCTCTTGGCGCCTCCTCAGCCTTGGTGCCCACTCTGGCCGTGCTTGAGGAGCCCTTCAGCCTGCCACTGCACTGTGGGAGCCCCTTTCTGGGCTGGCCAAGGCCGGAGCCGGCTCCCTCAGCTTGCGTGGAGGTGTGGAGAGAGAGGCGCGGGTGGGAACCAGGGCTGCATGCAGCGCTTGCGGGCCAGCACAAGTTCCGGGTGGGCGTGGGCTCTGCAGGCCCCGCACTCAGAGCGGCTGGCCCTGGGCAGTGAGAGGCTTAGCACCTGGGCCAGCAGCTGCTGTGCCTGACTTCTCCCCACACCTTAGCTGCCTCCCCGCAGGGCAGGGCTCGGGACCTGCAGCCCGCCATGCCTGAGCCTACCCCCACCATGCTGTGGGCTCCTGTGCCGCCCGAGCCTCCCCAACAAGTGCCGCCCCCTGCTCCACGGCGCCCAGTCCCATTGACCACCCAAGGGCTGAGGAGTGCAGGCACATGGTGTGGGACTGGCAGGCAGCTCCACGTGCGGCCCCGGTGTGGGATCCACTGGGTGAAACCAGCTGGGCTCCTGAGTCTAGTGGGGACTTGGAGAATCTTTATGTCTAGCTAAGGGATTGTAAATACACCAATGAGCATTCTGTATCTAGCTCAAGGTTTGTAAACACACCAATCAGCACCGTGTCTAGCTCAGAGACTGTGAATGCGCCAATCAGCACCCTGTGTCTAGCTCAAGGTTTGTAAACACACCAATCAGCACCCTGTGTCCAGCTCAGGGTTTGTAAATGCACCAGTCGACACTCTGTATCTAGCTAATCTAGTGGGGACGTGGAGAACTTTTGTGTCTAGCTCAGGGATTGTAAATGCACCAATCAGCACCCTGTAAAAACGGACCAATCAGCTCTCTGTAAAACAGACCAATAGGCTCTCTGTAAAATGGACCAGTCAGCAGGATGTGGGTGGGGCCAGATAAGAGAATAAAAGCAGGCTGCCTGAGCCAGCAGTGGCAACCCGCTTGAGTCCCCTTCCACACTGTGGAAGCTTTGTTCTTTCGCTCTTTGCAATAAATCTTGCTGCTGCTCACTCTTTGGGTCTACACTGCCTTTATGAGCTGTAATACTCAGCAGGAAGGTCTGCAGCTTCACTCCTGAAACCAGTGAGACCATGAACCCACTGGGAGGAATGAACAACTCCAGACGCACCGCCTTGAGAGCTGTAACACTCATCGCGAAGGTCCACAGCTTCACTCCTGAGCCAGCGAGACCGCAAACCCACCAGAAGGAAGAAACTCTGAACACATCCGAACATCAGAAGGAACAAACTCCGGACACGCCGCCTTTAAGAACTGTAACACTCATGGCGAGGGTCCGCGGCTTCATTCTTGAAGTCAGCGAGACCAAGAACCCACCAATTCAGGACACAAAACCAAGTTGGAAAACATATGTTAGGACCTTATCCAGGAGAACTTTCCCAACCTAGCAAGACAGGCTAACATTCAAATTCAGGAAATCCAGAGAACCCCAGTAAGGTACTCCACAAGATCATCCCCAAGACCCATAATCATCAAATTTTCCAAGGAAAAAATGTTAAGGGCAGCCAGAGAGAAAGGCCAGGTCACCTACAAAAGGAGGCCCATCAGACTAACAGCAGACCTCTCAGTAGAAACCCTACAAACAAGAAGAGATTGGGGGCCAATATTCAACATTCTTAAAAGAAAGTATTTCCAACCCAGATTTTTTTATGTGGCCAAACTAAGCTTCATAAGCAAAGGAGAAATAAGATCCTTTTTAGACAAGCAAATGCTGAGGGAATTTGTTACCACCAGACCTCCCTTACAAGAGCTCCTAAAGGAAGCACTAAATATGGTAAGAAAAAGCATTACCAGCCATGACTAAAACACACTGAAGTACACAGACCAGTGACACTATGAAGCAACCACATAAGTCCGCAAAATAGCCAGCTAGCATCATGACGACAGGATCAAATCCACACATAACAATACTAACCTTAAATGTAAATGCGCTAAATGCCCCAATTAAAAGACATAGAATGGCAAGCTAGATAAAGGATCAAGACCCATCAGTATGATGTCTTCAAGAGACCCATCTCACATGCAAAGACACACATAGGCTCAAAATAAAGGGATGGAGTAAAATGTACCAAGCAAGTGGAAAGCAGAGAAAAGCAGGGGTTTCAATCCTAGTTTCTGACAAAACAGACTTTAAACCAACAGAAACCAAAAAAGACAAAGAAGGGCATTACATAATGTTAAAGAATTCAATTCAATAAGAAGACCTAACTATCCTAAATATATATGCACCCAATACAGGAGCACCCAGATTCATAAAGCAAGTTCTTATAGACCTACAAAGAGACTCAAACTCCCACAATAATAGTGGGAAACTTTAACACCCCACTGACAATATTAGACAGATCATTGAGACAGAAAATTAACAAACATATTCAGGACCTGACCTCAGCTCTCAATCAAGTGGACCTGATAGACATCTACAGAACGCTCCACCCCAAAACAACAGAATTTACATTCTTGTCATTGCCACATGGCACTTACTCTAAAATTGATCACATAATCAGAAGTAAAACGCTCCTCAGCAAATGCAAAAGGACTGAAATCATAACAAACAGTCTCTCGGACCACAGCACAATCCAATTAGAACTCAAGATTAAGAAATTCACTCAAGGCCGAGGGCGGTGACTCATGCCTGTAATCCCACCACTTTGGGAGGTCAAGGCAGGTGGATCACTTGGCGCCAGGAGTTTGAGACCAGCCTGGCCAACATGGCAAGACCTCATCTGTACTAAAAAGACAAAAATTACCCAGGCATGGTGGTGCGTGCCTGTAATCCCATCTACTTGGGAGGCTGAGGCAGGAGAATCACTTGAACCCAGGAGGTGGAGGTTGCAGTGAGCTGAGATTGTGCCACTGCACTCCAGCCTGGGCAACAGAGCAAGACTTTGTCTGAAAAAAAAAGAGAGAAAAAGAAAAAAAAAAAAGAAATTCACTTAAAACAGCACAACTACATGGAAATTGAACAATCCACTCCTGACTGACTCTTGGGTAAAAAATAATGAAATTAAGGTAGAAATCAAGAAGTTCTTTGAAACCAATGAGAACAAAGAGACAATGTACCAGAATCTCTGGGACACAGCTAAAGCAGTGTTAAGAGAAATTTACAGCACTAAATGCCCACATCAAAAAGCTAGAAAGTTCTCAACTTAACAACCTAACATCACAACAAAGAGAACTAGAGAACCAAGAGCAAACAAACCCCAAAGCTAGCAGAAGACAAGAAATAACCAAGATCAGAGCTGAACTGATGGAGATAGAGGCCTGAAAAATCCTTCAAAAAAATCAGTGAATCCAGAAGCTGTTTTTTTATTGAAAAAAAAAATAAATAAAATAGACTGCTAGCTAGCCTAATAAAGAAGAAAAGAGAGAAGATTCAGATAAACATAATCATAAATGATAAGGGGAATATCATCACTGACCACACAGAAATACAAACAACCATCAGAGAATACTATAAACATCTCTATGCATATAAACTAGAAAATCCAGGAGAAAGAAGAAATTGACTCCCATAATAGACTAATAATAAGTTCTGAAACTGAGTCAGTAATAAATAGCCTACCAACCAAAAAAAGCTCAGGACCAGATGGATTCAAAGCTTGATTCTAGCAGAGGTAGAGAGAAGAGCTGGTACCATTCCTACTGAAATTATTCCAAAAAATTGAAAAGGAGGGACTCCTCCCTAACTCATTCTATGAGGCCAGCATCATCCTGATACTAAAACCTGTCAGAAATACAACAAAAAAAGATAACTTTAGGCCAATATCCTTGATGAACATTGATGGAAAATCCTTAACAGAATACTGCAAACCAAATCCCGCAGCACATCAAAAACTTATCCACCATGATCAAGTAGGCTTCATCCCTGTGATGCAAGTCTGGTTCAACATATGCAAATCAATAAATGTGATTCATCACATAAACAGAACTAAAGATAAAAAGCACATGATTATCTCAATAAATGTAGAAAAGACCTTCAATAAAATTCAACACCCCTTCATGTTAAAAACGCTCAGTAAACTGGGTATTGAAGGAACATGCCTCAAAATAATAAGAGCCATTTATGACAAACCCACAGCCAATATCATACTAAATGAGCAAAAACTGGAAGCATTCCCCTTGAAAACTGGCACAGGACAAGATTGCCCTCTCTCACTGCTCCTATTCAACATAGTATTGGAAGTTTTGTCCAGGGCAATCAAGCAAGAGAAAGAAATAAAGGGTATTCAAATAGGAAAAGAGGAAGTCAAACTATCTTTGTTTGCAGATGACATGATCCAATATCTAGAAAACCCCATTGTCTCAGCTCAAAAGCTTCTTAAGCAGATAAGCAACTTCAACAAGGTCTCAGGATACAAAATCAATGTGCAAAGATCACTAGCTTTCCTACACACCAACAATAGGCAAGCTGAGAGCCAAACCATGAATGAACTCCCATTCACACTTGCTGCAAAGATAATAAAATACGTAGGAATACAGCTAACAAGGGACATGATGGACCTCTTCAAGGAGAACTACAAACCACTGCTCAAAGAAATCAGAGATGACACAAACAAATGGAAAAGCATTTCATGCTTATGGATGGAAAGAATCAATATCATGAAAAAGGCCATACTACCAAAAACAATTTATAGATTCAATGCTATTCCCATTAAACTACCGTTGACATTCTTCACAGAACTGGAAACAAAATATTTTAATATTCTTATGGAACCAAAAAGGAGCCTGAATATCCAAGACAATCCTAAGCAAACAAACAAGCAAAAAACAAAACGTAGCTGGAGGTATCACACTACCTGACTTCAAACTATACTATGGGGCTACAGTAATCAAAACAGCACGGTACTGGTACGGGAACAGACACAAAGACCAATGGAACAGAATAGAGAACCCAGAAATAAGACCACACACAACCAGCTGATTTTTGACAAACCTGTCAAAAACAAGCAATAGGAAAAGGATTCCCTATTTCATAAATGGTACTGGGAGAATTAACTGGCTAGCCATATGCAGAAAATTGAAACTGGACCCCTTCCTTACACCATATACAAAAATCAACTCAACATGGATTAAAGATTAAATGTAAAATGCAAAATTATGAAAAAAAAAAACCCAGAAGAAAATCTAGGCAACACCATTCAGGACATAGGCACAGGGAAAGATTTCATGATGAAGACACCAAAAGCAATTGCAACAAAGGCAAAAATAGACACATGAAATCTAATTAAACTAAAGAGATTCCACACAGCAAAAGAAACTATCCTCAGAGTAAACAGACAACCCACATAATGGGAGAAAATGTTTGCAATCTATCCATCTGACAAAGGTCTAATATCTGGCATCTATAAAGAACTTAAATAAATTTACAAGAAAAAAAAACCCATTAAAAAGTGGCCAAAGGACATGAACAGACACTTCTTGAAAGAAGACATACAGGCAGCCAACAAACATATGAAGAAAACCTCGACATTACTGATAATTAGAGAAATGCAAATCAAAACCACAATGAGATACTATCTCACATAAGTCAGAATGGCTATTATTAAAAAGTCAGAAAACAACAGATGCTGGTGAGGTTGTGGAGAAAAAGGAATGCTTTTACACTGTTGGTGGGAGAGTAAATTAGTTCAACCATTGTGAGAGACAGTGTGGCAATTCCTCAAAGACCTAGAGGCAGAAATACCATTTGACCCAGCAATGGTATTACTGGGTAAATGCCCAAGGGAATATAAATTGTTCTATTATATATGCATGTGTATGTTCATTGCAGCACTGTTCACAATATCAAAGACATGGAATCAACATAAATGCCTATCAATAATAGACTGGATAAAGAAAATTTGGTATATATACACCATGGAATACTATGCAGCCATAAAAAGGAATGAGATTGCGTCCTTTGCAGTGACATGGATAGAGTTGGATGCCGTTATCCTTAGCAAACTAACGCAGGAACAGAAAACCAAATACTGCATCCTCACTTACAAGTGGGAGCTGAATGATAAGAATATGTGAACACACTGAGGGGAACGACACATACTGGGGCCTATCAGAGGGTGGGGTGTGGGAGGAGGGAGAGCAGCAGGAAGAATAGCTAATGGATGCTGGACTTAATACCTGGGCGATGGGATGATCTGTGCAGCAAAGCACCATGGCACACATTTACCTATGTAGCAAACCTGCACATCCTACACATGTACCAGTGAACTTAAAGTTGGAAATTTTTTTAAAAAGGGAGAGAGAAGTTATGAGATGTGGTTAGATTCTGAATATGTTTTAAAAGTGAAGCCACAAGGAGTTGTTAATGATGTGAATATAAGATATATAAAAAGTAATGAGTATGGATTAATATAATTTTTTTCTGATAAAGTAAGGGATAGATTTAAAATGTGATGAAAGGCTGGGTGCAGTGCTCATGCCTGTAATCCTAGTTCTTTGGGGGGCTGAGGCAGGAGGATTTCTTGAGGCCAGGAGTTTGAGAACCACCTGGGAAACATAGTGAAATCCCATCTCTAATAAAAATAAGTTTTGAAAAGATTACCTGAGCATGGTGCCATGTGCTTGTACTTCCAGCTACTTAGAAGGCTGAAGCAGGAGAATTGCTTGAGCCCAGGATGTTGAGGCTGCAGGAAGCCACACTCACAACACTGTATTCCAGCCTGGGCAACAGAGTGAGACCCTGTCTTAAAAAAAAACAAAAAAGCTGAGATAAGGAAACCTGCAGAATAAAATAGATTTGAGGAAGGAAATGAACAGATTGGCTTTGGGTATGTTAAGTGTGAGGTGTCTATTAAATATTCACATGGAGATAGTGAAATGACAAATGGATTTATAGTACAGGTTCAGGAAAGAGGTCCAACCTAGATAAATAAATCTGGAAATCATCAGCACAGAAATGATATTTGAAGTTATGAGACTAGACAAGGTTACCTAAGGTTGTGTAAAGACCAAACCCTGAGGCTGAGGAGGCACAAGTAAAGAACGCTGAAAAGAAAACTGGTAAAGATAGGGGGTAGCAGTGAGAGAGTGTATCGATTAGAAATGAAATAATGGAGTAGTTACTTTCAATTGTCAGAAATGAAGAAGCCTCTGGTAAGACCATGACGGTGAGTAGCTGAGGTACAGTGGGAAATAAAAAGCATATAATGTACAAAGAGAACCAAGTGAAAGCAGATTTCTAGAAGCCAATGGAAAAAAAGGACTTCCAGAAAAAGGGAGTAGCCAACTGTGCAAATGCTGAGGGGTCAAGTAAGATGAAGACTTGAATCAACTGTTGGACCTCATCACATGGAGCCGTCATTCATGACTTGGAGAAGAAGTCTGTCAATGGAGCAGTAGGGTCAAAAGTCTGGTTGGAATAAGTTTAAGAGAGAGTGGAAGAAGAAAATTTAGAGAGAATAAATGTGGAAAACTCTTTCTAGAAGGAACAGAGAAATGGAGTAGAAAGTAGGTATAGAAACAAAAGTTTTCTTTTTATAGGCATTTTCTTATTTTGAAAATATATCTCTGCATTTTCTTTTTCTGATGAAAGCGATTCAATAGAGAGGGAAAAGTTGCTGATGCTGGAGAGAAAAGGAAGGAATTGCTATCTCTGAGTAGGTAAGAAGAGGATGCAGTCTAGTCTTAAATAGAGATTAACCTTTAGAAACACAGATTTCATCCATAGAAGAAGGAGGAAAGGCAGAGTAAGATATAGGTAGCTTGATAAAAGTGGGAGTGGGAGACATAGATGCTTATGTCTATTTTCAACTTCTTTTTTTTTCTTTTATTAGTACAGATGGGGTTTTACCCTATTACTCAGGCTGGTCTTGAACTCCTAGCTTCATGCCTCAAGTGATCCTCCACCTCAGCCTCCCAAAATGCTGGGATTTGTAAGCCACTGTGCTGGCCCTGATTGTGTCTATTGTCTAATGAAATAAAAGCAAAGTCATCAACTAAGGATGCAAAATAGGGAGGAAGTGTTCAGGAGACTGGAAAAGTGAATAAACTATGGAATATAGTATATTTGCAGAGCAGCAATAAAGGCCCACTTGAGTGTAATTATCATGGATTTGGATGTTTTCCTCCAGCCTTATTCAACTGCATGGTTATTAGAGCTATGTTGGCTGGATTTAACCATGACTGGTTTGGATTTTGCCAGGATAGTTTGATTGAGAGGCATTAGGGCAGGAGAGTTCAGGGGATATAAAAGTGACTCATTAATATTTTACTATAATAACTAAGCTGGGTAAGGAGGGAAGTGAAGACATGAAGAAACTGAGAGGCAATAAAAAGGCAATGACATGAATGGATTGCTTGACCAGGTAGGGTCAAAGATTTTTAAAGTGTGAGTAGTTGAGTAAGTGAGCTAGAAAGATAGGAGGTAGCAGCAATAATATAATGGTTAGAAGTGAATTAAT
Source organism: Homo sapiens (assembly GCF_000001405.40). NCBI lineage: Eukaryota > Metazoa > Chordata > Mammalia > Primates > Hominidae > Homo > Homo sapiens. The sequence continues at coordinate 21,528,588 of NC_000007.14, read as the reverse complement.
GTAATGGGGGCCGTTACTTACATTTATTGGAAATGAAGAGGTCTAGGGTAAGGCCACGGGGGTGAGTAGCTGAGGTAGGGTGGACTTGAGGATCACTGTAAGAGAAGAGGTCACATAATTAAAGCTTTGGAAGAATCATCTCTATGGCTATTGAAAGCACTAAAAATTGTTACAGAAGTAGTGTTAGACAGAGTGATAGTGTGCCAAGAGCTCTGTGAAGGAGTGGCCAGGGGTCTGGGGATGACTACAAGTTTGTGTGATTATGTGAATTATCTCACATAATTCTCACAGTGACTCTAGAGATATTACAGTTATTATCTCCATTTAACATATGAGGCAGCTGGCACTCAGATTAAATAACTCAGATTAAATTACCATCTAACGTATGGTAAATATGCAATCTCTTGTTTGGGAAAATAGTATTCATGCTGAACACCCCAAGGATGAATTCATACTTAGCTTTCAGTACCAGACTAATAAATAACAATACATAATTATTTCCAGTCTCCTATTATTCTATAAGGATGAATAATCCAATCTCACAACTCTTCAAATTTGATGGGCAGATAATTTTAAAAGAATAGGAAGGTTCTGAATAACTGAAAGGAAAAAGAGTGCCCTGAGGAGAAAGGAAAAGGGCAATGTATTAGTCCATTCTCACACTGCTGTAAAGAGCTACCTGCGATTTATAAAGAACAGAGGTATAATTGCCTCATAGTTCTGCAGGCTGTACAGGAAGCATGGCTGGGGAGGCTTCGGGAAACTTACAGTCGTGGTGGAAGGTGAAGGGGAAGCCAGCATGTCCTACAGGGCTGGAGCAGGAAGAATAGAGAGCAGGGGGAAGTGCCACACACTTTTAAACAACCAGATCTCATGAGAACTCACTATCATGAGAACAGCAAGGGGGACATGTGCCCCCATGGTCCAATCACCTCTCATCAGGCCCCTCTGCCAACACTGGGGATCACAGTTTGATATGAGATTTGGGCACGGACACAAATCCAAAGCATATCATTTTGCCCCTGACCCCTCTCAAATCTTATGTCCTTCTAACATTTCAAAATACAATCATGCCTTCCCAATAGTCCCCCAAAGTCTTAACTCATGCCAGCATTAACTTAAAAGTCCACAGTCCAAAGTCTTATCTGAAACAAGGCAAGTCCCTTCCACCTGTGAGCTTGTAAAATCAAAACCAGTTGTTACTTCCAAAATATAATTTGGATACAGGCATTAGCTAAATGCTCCCATTCCAAAAAAGAGAAATTGGCCAAAAACAAAGAGGCTACAGGCCCCATGCAAGTCTGAAACCCAGCAGGACTGTCATTAAATATTAAAGCTCCAAAATCATCTCCTTTGACTCCATGTCTCACACCAGGTAATACTGACACAAGTGGTGGGCTCCCAAGGCCTTGGGAAAGCTCCTCCCCTCTTGTTCTGCAGCATACAGACCCCTTTGCTGCATTCATAGGGTGGCACTAAGTGCATGCAGCTTTTCTAGGCACACAGTGCAAGCCAATGGTGGATCTACCATTCCAGGATCTGGAGGACAGTGGCCCTCTTCTTACAGCTCTACTAGGCAGGACCTCAGTGGAGACTCTGTGTGGGGGCTCCAACACACATATTGCCCCTCCAAACTGCCCTAGTAGAAGTTCTCCAGGAGAGCTCTGCCCCTACAGCACACTTCTGCCTGGACATCCAGGTGTTTCCATACATCCTCTGAAATCTAGACAGAGGCTCTGAAGCCCGAATGCTTGCCCTCTGTGCATCTGCAGGCTTAACACCACTTGGAAGCTGTCAAGGCTTATTGCACCCTGTGGGGTAGCGGCCTGAGGTGTACCTGGGGGACTCTTAGCTACAGCTGGAGCTGGAGTGGCTGGGACACAGGGAGCAGTGTGTCCAAGTTTGCACAGGGCAGCAGGGCCTTGGGTCCAGCCCGCAAAACCATTCTTCCCTCCTAGGCCTCCAGGCCTGTGATGGAAGGGGCTACTGTGAAGGTCTCTGAAATGTTTCAAGGCATTTTCCCCATTCTCTTGGCTATTAACATTTGGCCCCTCTTTACTTATGCAAATTTCTGTAGCCACTTGAATTCCTCCCCAGAAAATGAGTTTTTCTTTTCTACCACATGGTCAGGTTGCAAATTTTCTAAATTTTTATGCTGTTTCCCTTTAAAATGTAAGTTCCAGTTTCAGACCATCTCTTTGTGAATGCATATGACCATATGCTGTTAGAAGCAGCTGTTAGAACAGCTTTTGCTGTTCAAAAACAGACCACTTTTTGAATGCTTTGCTGCTTAGAAATTTCTTCCACCAGATATCCTAAATCATCACTCTCAAGTTCAAGATTATCTCCAGCCACCTTCTAAGAATATGGCCACTAGGAGGAGCCTGAGGAAAATCTGGGTTCTCTTAGTGAGGAAAGGGGAAAAAGCATTCATTTGGTAGTCAACCAAGGGAGGTATGAAGGTGTTTTTGTCTCAGATGCACCTGCTACATATATAACATCATTGGAAATATCACTTTACACTAACATGATTTCCCATAAATGATGAATACTTTATTACTTTTTTTTTAAGTATGACTAAACGTTAAAGGAACTTTATTCTAGCAGAAGCCCTTGACTGAGGTCAACTTAAGATTTTGCAAAGAGAAAAAGAAAAACAACGTAAAATTGAGAAAACCATGTGACTTGAGGAATTTTAATATCTGGTTTAGAGACAGAAATAAGCAGGTGAAGGACAAATATAACAGGGAGCTGCTATTTGGGTCATCAGATACATAACATGGACAAGGGTGGAGGCAGAGAAGGATTATCCACCAGTAGAAGATGCATGCAGATCACAGGCAGAAGTCAACTCATAAGGTAAAGACCATTCAAAGCAGAAATAAAGTGATATGGTCTTACCACTGCTGGTTTTGATAGAATAATTAAAAAAACAAAAACAGCCGAGCATAATGGCTCACACCTGTAATCCCAGCACTTTGAGAGGACAAGGCAGGTGGATCACCTGAGGTCAGGAGTTCAAGACCAGACTGGCCAACATGGCGAAACCCATCTCTACTAAAAATACAAAAAAATTAGCTGGGCATGGTGGTGTGCACGCTTAATCCCAGCTACTTGGGAGGCTGAGGCAGGAGAATTACTTGAACGTGGGAGGCAAGAGATTGCAGTGAGCCGAGATTGTGTCATTACACTCCAGTCTGGGCTACAGCTAGGCTTTGTCAAAACAAACAAACAAACAAACAAACAAACAAAACAAGCATTTCTGTAGACTATAACATGAATTTAACAGTTAAAGGAGGAAAAATAGTAAAGAAAAACTGATTAATTTATAGGAAAGAACAATGTTGCAATATCTACAGAGAAAAAAACTGCGGTGTACTAAAACTGTCAAAAGCAAGCAATCAAGGCCAGGCACAGTGGCTCAGGCCTGTAATCTCAGCACTTTAGGAGGCTGAGGCAGGTGGATTGCTTGACCCCAGGAGTTCAAGACCAGCCTGAGCAACATGGAAAAACCCCTTTCTACAAAAAAAATTTTAAAAATTAGAGAGGCATGGTGACATGCACCTGTAGTCCCAGCTACTGGGGAGGCTGAGGTGGGAAAATCAACTGAGCCCAGGAGGTCAAGGCTGCAGTGAGCCGTGATGGCACCACTGTATTCCTGCTTGGGTGACAGAAGAAGAGCCTGTCTTATAAATAAATAAATAAATAAATAAATAAATAAATAAATAAATAAAGTAAGTGATCAAGGAAGGAAACAACCACCACAAGAATCTCAGGAGAGGAAGTCCTCACCTAGTACTTGTCTTCTTTTTCTGTACCAATATAATACACATTACCCTACATTATACCTAACTGTATAGTTTTCTTAGATTTCCTTGTAAATATTTAAGCCCTTTGAAGGCAGACACTATCAGGGACTGGGTCATTTTGTTAAATCCCCTGCAGCATCTAAGTTAGGCCCTCTAGCAATACTATTGTTCATATATTTGTTGAATTGAAAGAAGCACTACAAAGATGTTAAGGAGGGAGGGACTTCTGTGACCCAAGAAATTCCAGTCAGGGAAAGAGTTAGAGCCCCTGAAGGAAAAAGGGGGAAGGATAAATCTGTAAAAAGAGATTTAAATTCCAGGTAATCAGAACAGGAAAGAAGCTTTATTTTAGGAGTATTAGCTCCAGAGAAGGAAGAAGATTTAGGGATTAAATAAATTCATCCAAAGAACATGAAAGGGAGTTAAGTTGTAGGGGGTATAAGCACAATTATTTCTGAACTTCTTCTAAATCGTATTAAACATCATTATTTCTATTTTTGTTCCTTACACCTTTCCTTGAAATCAGAAATGAAGAGAAAGCTCAGAGAAAGTGGTCAAAGTCAGGCACAGGTGGGAATTAAATGAGGATCTGCCACTCTCTCAGCATTGAGGCAGCCCACGTATGTAATTAAAGTGTACATTGGTCTAGTGCTTAATAGTTTAAAAACCTTTCCATACGTGATATCTTACTTATTGGAGAAGGATTAAAGGAGGATATCAGTGTGGTTAGGTCAGGTAAATCTCTGTCTTTATTTTATATTTGCTTTGACTATGCACCCGTTGGGTGTGGCACTGCTAATTGTTTGCATTCTTGCTTCTCTCTCTCTCTCTCTATATATATATATATGTGTGTGTGTGTGTATGCATTACCTAATATGCTGGTAATGAATTGTTGCAAGATATAGACCATTACATGTAACTGAAATATTTCCAATTCTTTAAAGATTAATATGCCCTCTTTAAGACCCAAAATTCCACCAGCATCATAAGCTCCTTTCCCAACAACCACCATCACCACTTACCCAGCAATTTCAGGACCCCACAAAGAAGGTATTCCCCTTTGTGACACTCATAGCAAAGGTTTCTTGGGCTGAGAAATGTTTGAGTTAACAAAGCATTCTTTCAGTTCACACCAACGGCTTTTCCCCCCATAACCATACAAGCCCTGTGCGGTGCATGTAAAGTGGAGGATGTAAATACACTAACCCTCTACGAACCTCAGGTTTGTCCTGAAATGGACAAGATCAAGTTCTTAGAGAGAGAAAGGGGTTGATGGAGGCGGAAGGCAGATAATAAACATGACCTAAAACGTCTTTCACTGATTCTATGAAGCACATTTTCCCCCGTATTTTAACATCTTTGAAAGAGAGATGTGTCATTTGTGGTCTGCCAACAGGCAGGTATGTTGTAGGTATTATTGCCCATATATCTCCAGCAAAACTTGTAGAATGTATACCATTAGTGTAGAGAAAATTCCCAAAGATAATAATGGAGGCTCCTTTTAAGAAATGCTGCATCGTTTATGCTTTTAAGGGCACAGAAGGTATTGGTCGAAAATTGTTGACTTACGGTATATTAGTTATCTATTATTGCATAACAAATTACCCCAAAATGTAGCAGTTTAAAACAACAAACATTTATTAGTTTCTGTTGGTCAAGAATCTAGGACCAGCTTAGTTGGGTTTGCCAGTTCAGGGTCTCTCATGAGATGTAGTCCAAATGTTGGCTGGGACTGCAGTCATCTGAATACTTGACTGGGCTGGAGGACCACTTCCAAGCTCACTTAGGTGGTTATTGCCCAGATATCTGAGCAATATTGGGCCTCTTGATAGGATTATGTATGACATAGTGTGTGGCCTCCCTGAAGCAAACAATCTAAGAGAACTAAGAGGGAAGCCACAGTGACTTTTTATGACCTAGTGCCTGAAATCACAGCTGTTACATCCACTTTATGCTATTCATTAGAAGCAAGTCATTAAGTCCATGCCACACCCAAGTGGAGGGGACTTAGGCTCCATCTATTGAAGAGAGGAATATCAAAAAATTTGTGAACATAGTTTTAAAACTACCACTCGTGGGCAAAAACATGATAAGGTTATCACTGGCCAGGCATGGTGGCTCACATCTGTAACCCCAACACTTTGAGAGGCTGAGGCAGGAGGATCACTTGAACCCAGGAGTTTGAGACCAGCCTGGAAAACATGGTGAGACCCTGTCTTTACAAAAAAATTAAAAATTAGCTAGGCATGGTGGTGTGCACCTATAGTCCCAGATACTCAGGAGGCTAGGGTGGGAAGATCGCTTGAGCCCAGGGGGTCAAGGCTGCAGTGAGCCGAGATCATTCCACTGCATTCCACCCTGGGCAACAGAGTGAAACTCTGTCTCAAAAACAAACAAACAAACAAACAAACAAACAAAGTCACTGATGTGAAGAAACTATTTCATTTATATATGTATGTATTTCAAATTGGCACATAATTGTATGTATTGTGTAATGATCAAATCAGGGTAATTGACACATCCATCACCTCAGACATTTACCATTTATTTGTGTAGAGAACATTCAAAATCCTCTCTTCTAGGTATTTTAAAATACACTATAATTTATTGTTAATTATAGCCACGCTGCTGTGCTATAGAATTTATTACTCTTATCTAACTTTAATTTTGTATCAATTAACCAACCTCTCTATCCCTCTGCCAACTCCCTACCCCTCCCCAGCCTCTGGTAACCTCTATTCTATGAGACCAACTTTTTTAGCTTCCACATATGAGTGAGAATGTGCAGTGTTTTTCTGTGCTTAGCTTATTTCACTTACCATAATATCCTCCAGGATCATCCATGTTGCCAAAAATTACAAATCATTTTATTACAGCTAAATAATATTCCATTGTGTATATACACCACATTTTCTTTACCCATTTGTCCATTGATGGGTGCTTTGGTTGATTCCATATCTTAGCTATTGTAAACAGTGCTGCAATAAACATGGGAGTGCAAATATCTCTTCAACATTCTGATTTCCTTTCCTTCGAATATATACTCAGTAGTAGAATTGCTGAATTAAATGCTATTTCTATTTTTAGTTTTCTGAGGAACTTACATACTGTTTTTTATAATGACTGTACTAATTTGCATTCCTACCAACAGTATATAAGAGGCCTTCTTTTTCTGCATCCTTGTCAGCATTTGCTATTTTTTGTTTATTTGATAATAGCCATTTTAACTGGGATGAGATGATATCTCATTGTCATTTTGACTTGCATTTCCCTGATGATTAGTGATGTTGAGTATTTTTTTCATGTATCTGTTGGCCATTTGTATGTCTTCTCTTGAGAAATGTCAATTCAGATTATTTTGCCCATTTTTTAATCAAGTTATTTGCTTTTTTGCTCTTGGTTGAGTTCCTTATACATTTTGGATATGAATCTCTTGCCAGATGGATAGCTTGCAAATATTTTCTCCCATTTTTTAGGTTGTCTCTTCACTCTGTTGTTTTCCTTTGCTGTGCAGAAGCATTTTAATTTAATATAACCCCATTTATTTTTGCTTTTGTTAACTGTGTTTTTGAGGTCTTATCCAAAAAAATCTTTGCCTAGACCAATGGCTTGATGTGTTTCCCCATGTTTTCTTCCAGTGATTTCAGTTTTGGGTCTTACCTTTAATTCTTTAATCCATTTTGAGTTGATTTTTGTATATGGTAAGAGATAGGGGTCTAGTTTTATTCTTCTTCATATGGATAGTTTTCCCAGTACCATTTGTTGAAGAGACTATCCTTTCCCCATTGTATGTTCTTGAACTCCTGGCCTCAAGTGATCTTCCCACCATAGCCTCTCAAAGTGCTGGGATTAGAGGCATGAGCCACCACACCCAGCCTCCGGTTATATGTTCTTGGAGACTTTGTTGAAAATCAGCTGGCTGTGAATACGTGGATTTATTTCTGAGTTCTCTATTCTGTTCCATTGGTCTACCTAGACTGTTTTTAGGCCAGTATAATTCTGTTTTGGGTACTATAGCTTTGTAATATATTTCAAAGTCTGGTAGTGTGATGCCTCCCAGCTTTGTTCTTTTTGTTCAGATTGCTTTGGCTATTCAGGGTCTTTTGTGGTTCCATACAAATCTTAGCATTTTTTTCTATTTCTGTGAAGAATGTTGTTAGTGTTTTGATAGAGGTTACATTGAATCCATAGATTACTTTGGGTAATACATTTCACTTGCATTTCTAACGTAGAAAGAAGAATGATATATGATAAAATATATCAACAAGTCTAACAGCTCTTTTATAAGTTTAAAAAAGCTTTTAAATGATATTAAAGTAATGGATTATAGTGTAATTGGCAGGGTTTTTTTTAGTGGTATATGAAATAATCAATTGTGTCTTATATTCAATAAATACAGTTAACAGATTTTTTTTTGAAAAATCACTGAAAAGACAGTTTAGGAAGTAATCACATTTGTTGACATACAAACCAGCTGTAATCGTCTCCCTTTCTCTGATTTGCCTTCTAAGATGGTTTGAGGCATCATAATCCACTGAAGCTGCATCTTACATACATTTTACAGGAATTTTTGAGTCAGTCTTAAGTATCCTGAAGTGAAATGACTTTTCCACTTGCATTTTCCCTTGATTTTCATGTTTCTCAGCAAAATCTTTAAGTAACTGCATGGGCCTTTTTATTATCTTAATAACTAAAATAATGGTTTTGGGATTGGGTTTTTCCATCCACATACTGGAAGTCTGAAGCATGGGTAGAGAATAAACGCACCTACTCAGGGTGCACATTAATCTGGGACACCAGTATAACCACACTGGTTGGTTATTAAAATATTGACATAATTCTATACAAGGAGGCAATTCCATACAATAAACTTCTAGTTCCTGACTCCCCTACTACTACCCCATGACCTCCCCAGAACCCAGCAACTAAGGGGAGGGAGGGAGATTGCTCTAGGACCTTCTTCCATTACTATGTCCAGCATCCCTTCTGACTGATGAATGCTGTGCTGTGTTACAATTGAACACAAGAATAAAAGTACTTCCAGCTACTTATCAAATTGGTGGACATATTTACACAGACTTTTAGTACAAATTGGCATCCACAATATCGTGAAAAGCAGAGCAAAACAAGGAGAAATGAGTTTTTTTCTACAGAACCCAAAACTCTGTTCTAGTCATAACTTGCTCCATAGAAACGAAAATACAGGCTGAGCACGGTGGCTCACACCTGTAATCCCAGCACTTTGGGAGGCCGAGGCGGGCAGATCATGAGGTCAGGAGTTCTAGACCAGCCTGGCCAATATGGTAAAACCCTGTCTCTACTAAAAATACAAAAATTATCAGGGTGCCTGTAGTCCCAGCTACGTGGGAGGTCAGGAGTTCTAGACCAGCCTGGCCAATATGGTAAAACCCTGTCTTTACTAAAAATACAAAAATTATCCAGGCGCCTGTAGTCCCGGCTACATGGGAGGCTAAGGCAGAAGAATCACTTGAACTCGGGAGGCGGAGGTTGCCGTGAGCCGAGATCATGCCACTGCACTCCAGCCTGGGCAACAGAGTGAGACTCCATCTCAAAAAAAAAAAAAAAAAAAAAGAAAAAAGAAAAGAAAAGAAAATTTAAACAAGGTTGTAAGTGATAATCAGAATAGGGCTTAATTTTCTAACAATTTTATGTCTGTCCACATAATTAAGGACAGAGAATAAGCAACTATAATGCCAAACCATAGTAACATAAATTTAATTCTGCCTTATAAACTATAAACATATATGATGCTCCACCTAACATGTACACACATACATTTCATGTGTACATATATGAACCTGACAAAGAATAAGCTAATGTAAAGGGCTGCAAAAACATAAAATACATTAAAGTGGTAACTGTTTACAGTATTACTGAATTGGGTTGGAATCTTTTTTCAGTTAGCTTATTCTTTGCCATTAGATTATTTTCCTCAACAGTGATTTTCAGACTTGTTAAGGTGACCAAATACTTGGAAGCCATAATGCCCTTCACACAGCACCATGATTTACTGATGTATTTAATTCCAGCATAACATTATACAAGCAAGGAACAATTTTACCAGCAGAAAATATAACGTTATTATGTTTCCACATCTAAACATCTAAAAAATACTACTACTATAAATAAAATATTTATGAAACCACAATTCATAGCAGGATAATAAATAACAAAATTTGAACCAAGCCAACCACCTAGAAAGACATGATTCAAAGACAAACTGGCGTTTATGACAACTGCTCGTTTAATTTTCTCCTGTTCCCTATAATTTGCTTTTGTCTGATCTTAACACCCACATCTGATTTCTTAAGTCTCTGACCCTGACTTGAAACCTGTTAACTTGCTTCAGATTACCTGAGCCTCGGCTCCTCCCCGTAGATATGGTCTCAATAGACTCCAGTATCTCTGCAACTGCTGGCCTGCCCATTCCTAGGCATAGGGTAAATGGATCTCAAGGAGCTCCAGAAATCCAGCTGAGGTTGGGATGCAAGAAGGCAGAGTTAGCATAGAAAAGAAAAACAGCATCCCTTGTGCCTGAATCTGACACACAGTAAGTGCTCCATAAATGTATTAATTGGAAAAAGCATCTCCAACAAAGGTAAGCTTGGGAATGAGCAGAGCAACTCAGAGTTAAGAACAGGATCTGAAGCAAAGGTAAGAGTTAAATGGGCAAGAAGGCTGTAACTGGACAACTGAAGCTACAGCCAGCAGAGATGCCTCAGCCTTGCAGGGCATTATAAGTTTAGACATTTATTCTATATCCTATCTTATTTCACAAAGAATCTAAAAAGCAAAGTAAAAGTAGAGCATCCTATTATCCTTTTCTGAACCAAGTCTGAGAGGAAGTTGTCTAAGAAACTTTTGAACTCCACATTCCATGTTTTCTTTTTTTGGCTGCAATTTGGTAGGTAGCTGAAAAGAGGGGTACATTTGCCCTGTATGCCTGGGTTTATTTAACACATATATTTCTAAATATAGAGAATGCTTTTAAATATAGAAAATCATCCACACATAAACCCACAAAAGTTAGTGAACAACACATGAGCAGCTGTTTCTGTTTTTCAGTAATTGGTTTGCTTCTTGTTCACCGGTGTGCTTGTCTGTTATCACTTTGAGGTAGGCAAACAGTAATTGTAATTAACATTTAAAAATTAGGAATTAGGCCAGGCGCAGTGGCTCATGCTCGTAATTCCAGCACTTTGGGAGGTGGAGGCAGGCGGATCGCTTGAGCCCAGGACCAGCTGGGCATGGTGGTGTGTGCCTGGGTGACAGAGTGAGACCTTGGCTCAAGGGGGGGGGGGGAAGAAAGTAACTAAGATTTAAACCTTTTATTTTTCTTAGAATTGGAAAAAGACTGTCATAAAATTTTGAGGTAGAGTATGGCAAAGTAGCTCACAGTTTGAGAAAAATATGTTTGAATTTGGAAATTCCCACTGAAATTTCATTTTTAAAATGGGATTTGAGAATTAACTTTTTGATGTATTGTTGCCCATTTTCAAGACATTTCAGCATTGGTCCAGGTGGGAACTATTCCATGCCCCCTGCTATGGTCTGAGCAGTTGTGCCCCCCAAAAATTCATGTTGAAACCCAATTACCAATAATATTACCAGTGATATTAAGAGGTGGAACCTTTGAAAAATGATTAGATCATGACAGTAGAGCTCTCATGAATGGGATTAGCGTCATTACAAAAGAGGCCCCAGAAAGTTGTCTTGTCCCTTTCACCATGTGAAGACACAGCTAGAAGTCACCATCTATGAACCAGTAAATGAACACTGAATCTGCCAGAATCTTGACCTTGGACTTCCTAGCTCCGAAGTGAGAAATAAATTTCTGTTGTTTATAAGCTACCTAGTCTAGTTTATCTTGTTATAGCAGCCCGAATGGACTAAGACACCCGTCTGCCTTTTGGGTTAACTTATAATTAACAATAATAACGTATTAAACACAACTATGTGTTACTCAATATAGTTTTCTTGTTTGATCTTAACAGACCTATGTATTATTCATAATGCTTAACATTAATAAGCATTGCTCTTTTATTCTATGAAGTAGAAAAAAATAAGTGCTTAAAAGTTCAATAACTTGCCCACGGTTGTGTGCCTACTAAGTGGCTGAACCAGGAATCCAGCCTGAAATCCTCAGACTCTCCGTTGATCTCTTTTGGCACGGTGCTTAGCTATTAACCAGGGAGATCAACCCACTGCATTATAAATAGGCCTTTATGCTCCTTTTCCTTTCCTTTCTCTCTTCCTTCCTTCCACTATTTCTGCTTGACATTACTCTCAGGTATCCAAAAATAAATTATTTCATTGCCACCTGTTACTAAGAGGAACAGAGCCCAAGGTTTATGCTAATCAGCCAATCTTAAAAGAATGGAAAATACATGCCTTAAAAGTCCTGCTACCGAATTACAAGTTGGTTGTGTGTATATTAAGCAGACATTACTGTTCAGGCAGTAAATATAGCAATATATTATTCAGTTTCACAAAGGAATAAAGTATTTCAAGTTTGCTGTGACACTTGAAGTCTCTGCACCCCTGAAATTAAGCATCTGAACTTTTAATTAAAAAATAAACAATACTGTATATTTTTCTATTTTCAAGTTGTCATTACCAATGGCATTGTAAACCACACCCTATTAGTATTGCTTTTAGCACTGCTTCAGCTTTCCTAACTTACTACACCAACAGCTTTTGTCAATTTTCAAGGTGATTTATCCCTTTTTCTTTATTATTGTCTTTTTCATGTGGCTGAAATTTCTAGAAGTACAAGAAGCAAACTATATTAAAAATTGAAAAACACAATGACATTTTCTAATTGCATTATCCTTTTTTTTGAGACAAGAGACTCGCTCTGTTGCCGAGGCTGGAGTGCAGTGGCGTGATCTCAGCTCACTGCAAACTCCACCTCCTGGGTTCAAGCAATTCTGCCTCAGCCTCCCGAGTAGCTGGGACTACAGGCGCACGCCACCACGCCCGGCTAATTTTTGTATTTTTAGTAGAGATGGGGTTTCACCATGTTGGCCAGGCTGGTCTTGAACTCCTGACCTCGTGATCCACCCACCTCAGCCTCCCAAAGCTCCGGGGTTACAGGCGTGAGCCACCTCGCCTGGCCTGCATTATCCCCTTTTATACGATATCATCCTGATGCTTTCTAATGCGAATTTTTCAGGTAATTGAAGTGTATCTTTACTTTGGATAGAAAACATCCTTTGACAATTCCTTACTGTCTTATTTGACAGAGTAGCATAAATTCTTTGATTCAGTCAGTGTTATGAACACATTATTTTACAAAGTTGTAACACAACTATGCCTTTAGGACCTTGCTGTACAAGGTTCTCTGTCCAAACACCTTGTAGCCCCTGCTTACTACCTAAAACCTAGAGTCTTTGGAGTCTTCTGTCAGTGGGCCAGCGTACTTCTCTTGCTGCCTAACATCCTACCTCCGCCACCCTGGGCCAAACCCTCGCTTTGCTATGTCTATATCTGGTGTGAGTCTGGAAATGTGTTAGCTGAAGTTGTTACAATAATGTATTCATTATGTTACTAAAGGTCTTCATGAGATTTGCAGGGCTCTCCCAGGAGGAAGACAGTTTCTGCTTGTAGTCTTTGTGGCATCTATGTGGCCTATATTGCTTCTCAGTGATTCTGTGAGCTTAAATAATATTTTAATTATGTTTTTCGTTTTCAGGTCTTCCTATAATTTCCTAACATTGATTGCTTAAAATATTTAAGTAAAAAGTGTCTCTAAATCAAATTTTAATTTCCATAAATGTCTAGAGCAATGGCTACAAATTAACATGCAATTTGAATTGGAGTTCTTTGGCGGTATGTTCAGAGAAATGGTGACCAGATCTCAATACGAGGAATTACGAACGGTGGCCAATGTGTTCTCCAGTGAGAAGCATTTAACTCTCCAGTGTTCATGATAAGTAGGTTGATAGTTCAAATAATTTATTGCTGCTTTATAGTATACATAATTAAATGAAACATGTTAAACTCAAGGGAATTTTTAATAGGTTACTTGCAATTGTTATTGCAGGCAACAACTTGTACATGATTTTATTTCCAAATCCACAAAAAACAAATTTTATACAAATCAGCACTGTAAAAATGTCAATTACAGCCCCAGAGGCTTTGCTGGCAGAATAATTGTCTAAATTCTAGAATATGGGAAACAGGTTTTTTTCTGGATTCATCTTTTTTTTTCATTTTTTTTTTTTTACAAAAAAAATTTACAAGTGAAATGTTACTACAAAACTTTTTATAAGGAATTTTTGCAAAACATTTACATTTTACCATCAACTATTTCTGTTTTAAAATCATTATGTAGATTTAATACCCTATGCTGCACATCAATTTATGTGGGATGACAACTTAGTGACATGCATAAAAAAACACCACAAGGCATTAAAATGGAGACTTAAATACAAATATTGTTGCAATAAAACAGTTATAAAATTGAAAAATAGGACCTAAACATCATGCTTATCTAAGTTTGACAAATTAACTTTTTCTCCTAGATTACACACTTTTATTACTGCTCTCATGAGAGTGTGATAAATGACTTAACATCAAGTTCTAATGTAATCAGCAACACATACACAAACCTAACCAAAGAAAGTATACTGTAAGAAAAAACTATTCTAACACTGGAGTTTTACCATGATAAATACATAGCTTTGCACTGATAATTACAATAAAGAAAAGTTTTATAACGGTGGTAAAGGGAATGAACAGTGAAATGCCATTAAACAAGACTCTACTGCACATCTGTGCCCTATTACTTATAACAGCTATATCCCACTGAGTCAAATAAAGGACACTGAAATTTACGATTCTTCTAAAGACAGAAAAGTAGACTCAGAATGGTATGCAGAACAGACTGTCAAAATATTTCTAATTTCAGTGGTGAAATGTGCACCTGCTAACACAAATTAACATATTTTATATGCTATAAAGCTATCTAGATTCATCTGATAAATTTATAATAGGCCTCATTGTTGATTAAAAAATAACTTCCATTTCTAATGGACATACATAGGTTTGCATTAGAACTGGTTCATGGAATAATGATGCAGAGTGTTCATACTTGGTATTAACAACAACAAAAAGTGTCACTCTGAGGAAACATGATTAAAACATTAAGAAAGTTTCTTTGCATAAAAAAATTTATAGCACTGATTGTGTAGCATAATGATAGATAAAATATATATTTGATGTTTCAGCTCCTATATAATAAAATTAAAATGAACACTACCAAATGCTCCTCTGTACCAAACAAAACAACAAACCAATTCTGATGTTTTAAAGCCAGATACATCAGTTGTTAAGAGTACATTAAATAAAATATACAAAACAATTTACAAAATCCAACTTAAATTTAAAGACTCTGTTACAAGTCTACAAAAGCTTTAAGAAACTTGAAATTTATAACCACAGTGTAAAAATTTTTTTTTTCCTTTAATCTCAAAGCTTTTTTATACAAACTGAAAGCACAAAAGACCTTCAGTTTTATATAACGCTACAAAGGGCTGGCCTAAAGTGTACATAGTGTAAACAGTGATCATTACAGTATTTCTCCTTCATCAAAAATACAAGAAACATCACAATTTTGGAAGAGAATTCGCATTAGTACTTTTCCTGAAATTATAGAGAATGCACAAGAAAACACGTACCTATATTCAAACAGTCCCCAAAGCAATGATGTTAATAAATTGAGCAGGTAGGTAAAAACTTTTAGTTTTCAAATGGTCAATTTCACTGATTATGATTCTGTGTAAATACTTTTTTAAAACATAAAATATCCTTATTAATATTTAAGTTACTGGTTTATAATCCAATTTTTTTCATATGAAACTTTTGGCCATCTTTCCTAGTAAGACCCTTTCCTAGCCGGGCATGGTGGCTCATGCCTGTAATCCCAGCACTCTGGGAGGCCGAGGTGGGCAGATCACCTGAGGTCAGGAGTTTGAAACCAGCCTGGCCAACATGGCGAAACCCTGTCTCTACTAAAAATACAAAAATTAGCCAGGCATGGTGGCAGGCGCCTGTTAATCCCAGCTACTCAGGAGGCTAAGACAGGAGAATCGCTTGAACCTGGGAGGCGGCGGTTGCAGTAAGCTGAGATCGTGCCATTGCACTCCAGCCTGGGCAAGAGAGCGAGACTCCATCTCAAAAAAAAAAAAAAAAAGACCCTTTCCTGTAAGACCCTTGCATAAACAATAATATAGTTTTTTTCTTTAGTCACTTACTTCACTGAAAATTATTCTGCCTTTTCAAAAATAAAAGTTTTGCTTCATAATATATCTATTATATATTAGGCTAATTTTTAGGGAAAATTCAGTTATTGATGTAACATAAAAACATTACTGTGTTATAATTCCTAATTACCTTCTTACATAGCACTAGAAATAAAATGGGACTGGCCAATTTTTAGTAGAGGAAAACAAGAATTACAATGTAGTTAAAAGAGAATTTTCTGCTGGCCTTGGAAAAAAGTGTAATTCTTTCTTTGGCTACCACATCAAAGCATAAAGAATTCTGCACATTGTCAACATAACTCATATTTACAAAATATGAAACTACAGAACAATTTACACTCTATGCAAATATTTCCAAATATAAACATTTTAAATGAAATTTTGTGGTTCAACCTAGGGTTAGGAATATAATCAATCCTAACTTTAGAACATTGCATGTTAAGATGCCTCATTTTATTTTTCTGAAGCTATGATGAGTTTTGTTTTAACCATTTTTTTCCCAGCATTTTCCTAAGGTGTCAACCTAAAATTTAACCTAAGATTTAACTCTATGTTCCTCTTGTGTCTCCAAATGGAGAAAGTAATTGGACTTCACTGATTGTCTGCATACACACTACTATAATGTAGTGGTAATAAAGATCTGAGATGCATCTCAGATTACTGTTTTGGAACTTACCTAATTCAACTGTTGAAGAATTTCTAACATTTAGAAAAGACGGCCAAACTATTTTCGGTTGATTTTCCAAAAATCAAGCTAAGGAAATACAGTATTATCCCTATCATCAGTTAACTATCTGTTTTCTGTGCTATAGAGAAAAAGAATACACGTAAATTATTACTGACTGAATTTATAACAAAGTACTTTCAAAGAAAATAAGTCCAATTAAGGTCCAGCCTGCAAACTACTAAGGTCTTTTTAAACATGTTAACACATGATATTAAGAGATGGGAAGATTCTGTATAAAGGTTATGTGATATATTTCCAAACAACTACAACTTATAGTATGGAGGAAATACTTTTCTGTTTCCAGTACATCAGTCTGCTTTTTGTATTTTTTAAAATTCAACACTTCACGTGTTGACCCCAAACCCTGGAATACTTAAAGAAGCCAAGAATGAAAACATAATTTCCTACTCTGTAATCCACTTGACCAGCCCATTTCCAGATTTTCAAAGGTGTGTAAACAAGTGCAGCACTAGAGGTCTCTGTTATAAATAACTTTTCAGAATTCTTCCATGTTGGTTGAAACATTGGGAGTTGCTGGATTCGAATCTTGAGAAATGGCTGCAACTGTGACAATTCTTGGGGAGCCAAGCACCTCTGTAACAGATGAGTCCAGTTCTCCCGAGGTAACAATGGCAAGAGCTGTCCCACCACCTTTTTTATTCTGGTGCGTTTTGACATGTTTGGAGAGATGATCACTCCGCATAAACCTTTTAGAACATTCCGGGCATTCAAATCTCTTTTCACCTACATAGAAAAACAGTAAATGGCGTTATACACATTTTGCTTAAGTGAAATTATAATTTTTAATAATCTCCCTTCTGGTCACATTATATGACTTTTTGTACAGTTTCACTAGTTGCAAAATGCTTTGTTTTATTTAAAAACGTTATCAAATACACAATGCAAAGAGAAAGACCATGTGATTGAGACGAAAAGACCTGAAGTTTAAGTCCTGCTTCTGCTATGAACTGGAAATAAAAGCTGGAGCAAGTAAATAGCCACTGGAACTCTCAGTTTTCCCATCTACAAAGCAAGAGGGTTTTTAGCAGACAATTTAAAATATCTCTATCAGATGTAACAAATATATATAATGTTCAAGGCTCATGTCCACTCTTCTTCAAAACTGCTAACCTGGGTTTTAGTTTTAATCTTGGAGGCATGAAATATCTTGGAACTATTTCAAATAAACTAAGTTAATAATTTAATAGCATACTGAGTTCTTTACAAGGCAAAAATGGGAGGCAGGCACATGCTACATTCAGAATTTAATAAAGTTTTTAGGTTTCATAAGATAACAGTTTCTGTTGTCCAAAGCAATTCTTAAATATGTTTTCTTCAAAATATAAGATAGTTTTACTGGACCGACTTCTTTGTTTTGGAATAAAAGCTAGTTTAATGTTAACTAAAAACAAAAAGGCCTTTTTGTTTTTGTGTATAATAAATGAGGCATATCAAAATTTGGTTAACTGGTTTATCCTGATGTGCACAATGAATAACTGTTAGCCGTAGATCTTCCCTCTAAAATTGTTACTTAAGGGACTGAAATGTTGTTTTCCCAGTCTGATAAAACTTGGGTAATAAGTGATAGGGTTTGGCTCTGTGTCCTCATCCAAATCTCATCTTGAATTGTGCTCCCATAATTCCCACATGTTGTGGGAGGGACCCAGTGGGAGATAACTGAATAATGGGGGTGGGTTCCCCATACTGTTCTTGAGAATAAGCCTCACAAGATACGATAGTTTTATCAGGGATTTCTGCTTTTGTGTCTTCCTTATTCTCTCTTTGCCTGCCACCATCCACACGAGATGTGATTTGCTCCTCTTTGCCCTCCACCATGATTGTGAGGCCTCCCCAGCCATGTGGAACTGTAAGTCCAATTAAACCTCTTTCTTTTGTAAATTGCCCAGTCTAGGTATGTCTTTATCAGCAGCATGAAAACAGACTAATATAATGAGAAAATTCAATTTGGATAATTTCTTTTCTTGGCCCTGCTTTTGACTTACCAATAAAAAAAATCTATAGGCTCAAGTTGGTCCACGTCAGATATTCTCTCTTTTTCTTTACATTCTCTTTTTCTTTACGTGTGTGCTTTTACTTTTGAGTAAACTTTGAAAAAACCATTAGTCTTCCTTATTATTGTTACAAACAAATATTAAAACTTACAGGAGCACTGCACTCAATACAATATTGTATTAAACATCCATCTGAAGTAACACAAAGAAGATGCACCTCCATGTCATACCACACACCAAGATACATGCTACAAAGATTTAAAACCAAGTATTAAAAAAAAAGGAAAATATTTCTATAACCTAGAGTTTGAAGGTACTTTAAAAAGTACAACAGGTTATTTAGAAACTATAAAAGAGAGAATAGACAAATCTGACTACACAAAAATAAAATACTTTGTATGACTTAAGATTCCATAAAGTTAAAGGAGAGAAAAAAAAGGTCAACAGAAGCATAAAAACAGTGTGATAAAATTTAACACATTTTGATAAGAGCTCTTGGCAAACCAGGAATAAAAATTTATTTCTTTTACCTGCTATACCCCTACATATAATTAATGGAGAAACTTCTGAACTATTACTTTATACATCAGGAACAAGATAAGAATGCTATTATATATATCATTACTATTTTCAACATAATATGAAACATTCTGACGAAGCCAACATATAAGACAGTAAAATGAACTGAGGTACAATCACTGGAAGAAAAAAATTGAAATAGATTATTATTTACAGTTATTACTATTTACATAAATAATCTGAGAAAATAAACAATTAGAATAAATTTGTCGTGGCCAGATTCACAATCAATCGATAATAAGCAACACCATCCATTAATTATATAAATCAACATGTAATGCAAATGTTGAGGCTACAGTGAGCCACTGCACTCTAGCCTGGATGACAGAGCACGGCCTTGTCTCAAAAAAAAAAAAAAAAAAAAAAAGTGTGTAGACAAGGCCCTGACCCCAGGTCAAACACAAACTCTATGCCAAGCCACAGTTGGCAAGCCTGGTCTTGGTATCTTATTCCAGGGTCTAGCTAGGTTCTGACAGGAGGAACCTGGGATTTCTCTGTACAAAGGTGGAGGCAGTGGCCTACTTAAAAAAACAAACAAACTGTATTTAGGCTGGGCGCGGTGGCTCACACCTGTAATCCCAGCACTTTAGGAGGCTGAGGTGGGTGGACCCTGAGGTCAGGAGTTTGAGACCAGCCTGGCCAACATGGTGAAACCCTGTCTCTACTAAAAATACAAAAAAAGTAGCTGGGCGTGGTGATGCACGCCTGTAATCCCAGCTACTTGGGAGGCTGAGGCAGGAGAATCGCTTGAACCAGGCGGGGTGGAGGTTGCAGTGAGATTTGGATGCTAGGAAATAAATTACCTGCTGTAACTGCCCCGGGTGTGCCTGCCTACCAGACACTCCATCTTGCAAGACCACCATTAAAAGTCTCGCTTCCATTGTTTGTGTCTCCAAGTCCATTCTTTGGGTTTGGACAGGTGAATCTGTGTTTCTCACAAACCTGGGGGCCTGTCTGGGATCTCTGTGCCTGCATGGAGTGGGACTCCAGCCGAGAGGGCAGAGGTGTCCCACCCGATTTGGGTGGCCCACTCTGTCCGGGCATCCTGGCTCCCCACAGAAGCCACAGACAAACCTGAGACTGTTATTCAGGAGGCAGCAGAGGCGACACAGGGAGAAAAGCAGGCACTGCAGCAACCAGGCAACCTCGTGCAGAAGCCAAGGGAGGAAAATTGGACTGTAAGTACTGTCTTGGTGGTTGGGCATTTTCAGAGGTTGAGTGTGTGTGACTGAGATGTACCCTAGATATGAAGCAAGTGCAGAGTCCCAATCCATGGTTCCGTTCTCCCGTGAGGAGAATGGACAAAGAATGGCCAGAGAATGGATGAAGTGATTCCATGGGTGTGCAAGAAACCTCCAGTAGGGGGTGCTGAGAACACAGGGAAAAGCTCAGACACAGACTGACCAAAAATGGGAAACAGAAATTCTAGGCCTAGGGGACAAGGGAAAGAGGGAGCCAAAGAGACTCCCTCTGACATTTACCAGCATAGTCCTATGGCCTAAGTTTGGCTCAGATAAAAATTAGGTGTGCCAAGCTTTAATTCTCTATGTGAATAATAAAACCCCAACCTCACAAGAGACAGGTTATGCTCTCTGCTGGATCAAGGAATTAGCCCCATATTCCCACTTAAAGAAGAAGAAAAAGAGCCTAGTAAAAATCCCTCACCCAGGGAAAAGCCCTGGGACCCTATCATCCATGCCCCTCCATACATCTCACAAAATAGGGGACAGGAAAATCAAGGGGCAGCAGGAGGGTTAGAGGAGGAAAGACCTGGACACCATGGCGGAGCCAAACCAACTGCTCCTCTAAATCCTTATCCAAATTTAAGAAAAGAACACTGTAAGAGGGATATTGAGAACTTCCCTATTCCTTCCACACAGCAGGCACCTAGCATGTTCCCTCTTAGGGGAGTTCCCATGGGACAGGGAGAGACTGGCTTTGTAAATGCTCCTCTTGCAAGTATTGAAATTAGGAATTTCAGGAAAAAAATGAAACCACTCCTAGAAGATCCACTCGGTTTAGCAGACCATCTGGACCAATTCCTAGGATACAGCTCTTACACCTGGGCTGAAATGATGTCCATCAAGAATATCCTATTCATAGGAAGAGAAAGGGGAATGATCAGGAGAGTGGACATGACCATCTGGGAGAGGCAACACCCTCCCAGGCAAGAAGTCTCACCAGCCAAACAAAAATTTCCAAATGTTAATCCTGAATGGGATAATAATGATCCCAGGGACTGCGCCCAAATGTAGGATCTCCAGGAACTAATAATTAAAGGGATCAAGGAGTCCACTCGTAGGACATAGGACACATTCACGATTCAACAAGAAAAAGAGGAAACTCCTTCTGCATTCCTATATAGGCTCAGAGATCAGATGAGAAAATGCTCCGGATTAGATCTAGAGGACCCAGTAGGGCAATGCCTTTTGAAGGTTAACTTTGTAATTAAGAGCTGGCCTGACATTACCAAAAAATTACAAAAGATTGATGGATGGAAAGAGAAACCAACTGAGGATTTACTGAGGCAAACTCAGAGGGTCTTTGTAAGGAGAAAGGAAGAGAAGCAGAAACAAAAAGCAAAAATCATGGTTTCCACTGTGGAAGAGGTAGTCAGAAAAGACTTACATCAAGATCCCCCACTTAGGAGACAAGGGAATTATAGATTTCAACACAAAGAAAGAAGGGAAATGCAGGGAAAAGGTCCTAAGACTATGAGTGGATGTTACAAGTGTGGAAAGACAGGGCATTTGAAGAGAGGATGTCCTAAATGGAAAAAAGAAAAGGTGATACCCCTCATGACTATTGATGAAGACTAGTCGGGGGCAGGAGCACCTTCTGAGTAGATCCCACCAGGAACCCTTAATAAATTTGAAGGTGGGACCTGAGGGAGAAGTGACATTTTTGGTTGATACTGGGGCAGCTCACTCCTCCCTAATTCACCAACCAAGGGCTACAGAACTCTCTAAGGAAAAATTGAAAGTATCAGGGGTAAAAGGGGAGGGATTTCAGGTTCCAATATTTAAGAAAATTTTAATTACATCAGGAGCAAAACAAATTGAGGCGTCACTTGTTCCTGAAGTAGGAACTAACCTCCTGTGTCGAGACCTGATTGTGAGATTGGGTTTAGGATTAGGAATAGAGGAAGGACAAATAAAAGTAATGATGGGCCTCCTGACAGAGGAGGAGGAAAGAAAAATTAAATCCCCTTGTGAGGGTTAGGGAAGGCAACAGAGGGTTAAAAATCACACCCTTACAGATTAACCTAAAACAACCAGAAGTAGTTTGCAGAGAACAATATCCCATTTCCACTGAAGGGAGAAAAGGTCTCCAACTGGTAATAGAGGGATTGATTAACGATGGACAATTAAAACCCTGCATGTTACAATACTCCAATTCTCCCAAAGAGCCTGATGGGTTGTATAGATTGCTACAAGATCTAAGGGCTATAAATCAAACTGTCCAGACCTACCACCCTGTGGTGACTAAACACTACACCCTCTTTAGTAAGATACCCTATGAACGTAAGTGGTTCAATGTGGTGGATCCAAATGATGCATTCTGGGCATGTCCCCTAGACTTTAGGATTAGGGAACCTCTTTGCCTTTGAATGGGAAGATGCTATAACTAGGAGAAAACAACAGTACCCCTGGACTGTGCTGCCACAAGGTTTCACAGAAGCCCCAAACGTATTTGGTCAAATCTTAGAAAAAGTCCTGGAGGAATTTCAACCTTCCAGGGGAACCCAGTTGTTACAATACATAGATAATCTTTTAATTTCTGGGGAGAGGAGGACCGAGGTATCAGAAACCACCACAAGCTTAATTTCCTAGGAGAAAGGGGATTGCGAGTATCTAAGAACAAACTGCAGTTTGCAGAAAAAGAAGTTAAATATTTAGGACACCTGATTAGTGAAGGGATGTGAAGAATAAACCCAGAGAGAATACTGGGAATAGTGGGTCTGCCTTTGCCTAAGACAAAAAGAGAACTCCAAAAATTTTTAGATTTAACTGGCTACTATAGGTTATGGATTGACTCATATGATCAAAAGACAAAGACTCTATATATCAAGTTACTAAAAGAAGAACCCAATCCCTTGCAATTGTCCTCAAAGGAAATTCAGGTGGTAAAAGAGCTAAAGCGGGCCCTCATTACAGCCCCGGTCCTGGTCCTCTCATCTTTAGAGAAACCATTCCATCTGTTGGTAACAGTGGATCACCCTTGGGGTGCTCACTCAAACCTGGGGAGGGAAGAGGGAATCTGTTGCTTTTGCCTCCAAGCTTCTCGATCCTGTCTCTCAGGGGTGGCCCAAATACGTGCAAGCAGTGCTGCCACAGCCCTGCTGGTAGGAGAGTAGAAAGCTAACCTTTGTTGGGGCCCTAATAGTAAGCGCTCCACACCAGGTCAGGAATATATTAAACCAAAAGCCGGGAGATAGTTTGAACACGTTCTTCATAAAATATGAAGCCATATTATTAAGAAAAAAAATTATTTGCTTGTAACAACAAATATTTGCCTAAATGCAGCCAGTTTCCTATGGAAAGGAGAGGAGATCAAAGACATCAGACCAGAACTGCTTAGATATCATAGAATAACAAACCAAAGTAGGACCAAACCTTAGGGAAGCTCCACTACATGATGGGATAAGGCTCTTTGTGGATGAGTTGTGACGAACGAGAGATGGCAATGCTGTCACTGATGGAGATAAACACTCCCTATGTGAGAAAGGTAGATTACCTAATGGCTGGTCAGCCCAAATCTGTAAATTATATGGTCTTAACCCGGCCATAAAGCTCCTTAAAGCCAAAGAAGGCACTATATATACTGATTCTAAATATGCTTAATGGGTTGGAACACACTTTTGAAAAAATCTGGACAGAGCAGGGTCTAATAAATAGCAGGGGAAAATAATTGGTACCTGGGGAACTGGTCAAACAGGTTTTAGAAAGCCTCCTCCTTCCAGCAGAGGTAGCCATAGTTCATGTAAATGGTCATCAGAAAGGGAACACTATAGAAGCTACAGGAAACAGGCTTGCAGATGAAGCTGCTAAGCAAGCCTCCCTGGACGAAGAAATTAGACTATGTAGCCTGCTCCCAAACATCCCTAAGCTAGTATTAAGGCCCCAGTTTACCAGAGAGGAGGAGGAAGAATTAGACAGGACAGGGGTCACTCAGACTGAAGATGGCAAATGGGTACTTCCTGAAATAAGTAAACCCCTAATGAGAAAACTAGTATCTACATTACACAAATGGAGTCAATGGGGACCCCAGGCTTTGTGTGATACAATACTTAGGAATTATGGGTGTATAGGGATTTATACCCTTGCTAAACAAGCATGTGGAAATTGTGTTAACTTGTCAAAAGATAAACAAAAAGGTGATTAGAAAACAGGAAGACCTCCGGAGTAAGACCACTTCAAAGCATTCAAGTAGATTTCACAGAAATGCCCAAAGTAGGAAGACTAAAGTATTTACTGGTGATGGTAGATTACCTTTCAGGCTGGGTAGAAGCCTTTCCCCTTCCAACAGCCACTGCTGGGAATGTGGTCAAAATAATATTAAAACAGATTCACCTAGCTTTGGACTGATGGAAAATATTAATTCAGACAATGGAAGCCACTTTACCTCAAGGGTGTTAAGGTGAATTATGGAAGGTTTACAAATTAAATGGGATTATCTCACCCCTTGGCATCTCCCTTCCTCTGGAAAGTAGAAAGAATGACTCAAACTCTCACAAAGCATATCACCAAACTAATCTTAAAAACTAAAATGCCTTGAACCAAATGTCCCCCAATAGCATTCCTTAGATTAGAACAAGCACCAATAAAAGACTTGGGATTGCCCCTCTACGAGTCATTATATGGGCTCCTATATTTGCGCAGAGCTACAGATCTTCCGGCTATGGAAACCAAGGATCAATTTTTAAAGAAATTATATAGTGGCCATATACTCCACCCTGTCATCCCTTAGGTTAAAACGACTTCTAACTCAAACTTCACCTCTTGAGTTCATGGCTCACCACTTTCAGCCTGGTAACTTGGTGCTGATTAAGACTTGGAAAGAAGACAAGCTCCACCCAAGCTGGGAAGGTCCCTATCAAGTGCTCCTGACCACTGAGACAGCCATGCGAACAGCTGCATGAGGTGGACTCACTATACTCGAGTCAAGGGACTGGTAAAGGAGACCCTGGAAAGGAGGGGAAAAGACCAGTGGAAAGTGCATGGGTCACCTAAGGAACCCTTAAAGTTAACTCTGAGAAAAATCTAAAAAGAAAACATGGGCTGGCCCCAGTTCTGGAAGACTCTTGGTTATATGGGTTAGGGGCAGACATCACAGGGAAAGACCCTGTAGGGCGATTTATTCTCAAACTCATCAAAAACTCAACCCCCCAAGTGTCTGGTACTACTCCAAGCCCAGGCCCTAGTAAACACTTTAGTCCACCAAATAATGATCCTAAAAGGCTAAAAATAATTGAGGTAAAGGATGTAAAGCAAACCTTAAAAACTGAGGGTATGGGGATGTGAATGCCTGGGTTGAGTGGGTCACATTTTTGGTACAAGCCCTCAACAAGAGTAACTACTATGCATGTGCTGCGGGAGGACCTCAGGCATGGGTGGTTCCATTTCCCCTAGGATGGAATACTGATCCTGAAGTAATGTGTTGCATGTTGGCTCTATACCGAGACAAGGATGCATGGGAAAATGAGACTTGTAAGAGTCTGTCATTGCTCTTTCCCGCATTGTGGAGAGAGGTCAGAACCCCTCATTCTCTACAGGGAATATGAACTACTCCTCTTGCCTCTCCAGGCAGGGGGCAGAGTTCAATAAGCCCATGGGAGAACTCTCAACTTGTACCCACATCCTAAGCATCACAGGTTGAGTCAGGCAATGGCAATTACTCAGCTCTCCATACACCACGGCTGATGTCTGGTGGTACTGTGGGAAAAAAGGATGATAAGTTGTTACCGTCCAATTGGACTGGGACTTGTGCTTTAGTCCAGTTGGCCATTCCCTTCATCCTGGTATTCCATAAGATACCCGAAAATACACACGGCTACCAAAACCGGAGAGATTTGACGTATCTTTTGATCCCAATATATATGTTAACTCTATAGGAGTTCCGGGGGGGGGGGGGTGCCTAATGAATTTAAGGCCCGAAACCAAATAGCAGCTCGGTTTAAGTCAGCACTCTTCTGGTGGTCAACTATTAAGAATGTGGACTAGATTAACTACATCTATTATAATCAACAGAGATTCATCGATTATACTCGGGACATCCTCAAAGGGGTGGCTAGCCAGCTAAATGCCATCAGCCAAATGGCCTGGGAAAACAGGCTTGCGCTAGACATGATACTAGCAGAAAAAGGGGGCGTATGTGTTATGCTGGGTGGGAAATGTTGTACTTTCATTCCCAACAATACTGCCCCAGATGGGACCATCAGAAAAGCTTTACGAAGACCAACAACTCTAGCCAATGAACTGGCAGAAAATGCTGGAATTGATGACCCATTTATGGGTTGGCTAGAAGATTGGTTTGGAA
The DNA here is from genome assembly GCF_000001405.40 of Homo sapiens. Taxonomy (NCBI): domain Eukaryota; kingdom Metazoa; phylum Chordata; class Mammalia; order Primates; family Hominidae; genus Homo; species Homo sapiens. The sequence continues at coordinate 21,501,635 of NC_000007.14, read as the reverse complement.
AATGGAAAGACATGGTAGCCCTCAATCCTTACATCTCTCATAATTGTGGCAGAAGTCTTAACAGCAGTGGGATTTTTGTATTAACCCTTGTGTGGGGGGACTAGCACAGAGATTAAAACAGCTATTAATAAACAAATGCCCATGACTTAACCAGCAAAATAACCTGGTACTATTAGAAACAAAATTAAACTCAATCTCCTATGGAGAAAGTAAAAGACTTCTAGAGCAATTCAAGGACAAAAAGGATTTAGATGAAAATGAGACCGAAGGAAGTAAACAGAAAAGAGGAGGGACTTTGTGAGAAAATGTTTTAAATGATCTATTTTCAAGGCATGATAAATCTAAATATACTGGCAACCAGCCTGCGGATGTAACAAACTGCACGGCTCACGCACCTAGAAGGTCACAATGAGCAAACAGAATGTAGAGAAGGGGTCAGCCCATAAAAGCGAAGAAAGTTTCATTATTGGGAAATCGAAACTTAAGCAGGGAAGGGAAGATTACACCCTTATTAGGGGGATAATGAAACTTGGATGATGTCCGGGAAGATTGTAACCCTGTAATACTCGACCTATGAGGAACTAGGGGAGGGATTTGCATGCTAGGAGGTAAATTAACTGCTGTAACTGCCCTGGGTGTGCCTGCCTACCATACGCCCCATCTTGCAAGACCACCATTAAAAGTCTCGCTTTTGCTGTTCTTTGTGTCTCCAAGTGCAGTCTTTGGGTTCAGACAGGCGAATGTGTGTTTCCCACATTAAGTAACATGGTAAAAGGGACTGTGCAGATCTAACTAAAGTTATGGAGCTTAATATAGGGATATTATTCTGAATTATCCAGTAGTGCGTAATGTAATCACATGAATTCTTAAAAGCGAAGAGCTTTCTTTAGCTAGAATCAGGGAGATTAGAATAGTGAGGGGAAACGTGCCCTGCTGTTGCTGGAGGGGGCCACATGGACAGTATGAGAAGGAGTGTGGGCAGCCTCCAAGTGTAAACACTGGAGGCTCCCAACTGCCAGCTGGCAAGGAAACAAGGACCTACATTCTACAACAGAAAGGAACTGAATTTAGCTGACAATTCAAACGACTTTGGAAGCAGGTTTCTCCCCAGGGTCTTCAGTAAGGAATGCAGTCCTGCCAAAGCCTTGATTTTGGCTCTGTGAGAAACTGAGCAGAGCACCCAGCTGAGGCCCCTTGAACTCCTGACCTAGAGAAACTATGAGGTAATAAGTGTGTGTTATTTTAAGCGGCTAAATTTGTGGTAATTTGTTGTGGCAGCAATAGAAAACTAATCTAGTTACATATGATATAACCTTATAAAAAATTTAAAGCCCAATAAATTATAGCTGACCTAATATATGGCTCAAGATATGTAAAACATCTTCATTACAAATATCCAAAGTACGTCAAGAACAAATTTCAAATTTCATTTCTTCATGAAAATCTCAATGTATCCCAAGAAATTTTTAATAAACTGAGTATAGGAAAAAAAATGCTCCTTTTGCCTAGATTATCTAAGAGAATACCATGCTTTATCACATTAAGAAAATGTAGTCTTTTAAAAGGATTTAAATACAATGTTCCAGAAACTACATTCGACTACTTACTATTTTAATATTCTTAACAGTAATTTCCCTTGGAAAAAATTTGCTGAGATTTCAAATGGAATGATAGATTGGAATGGATGAGTGGAATAAACCAGATCTTTTAAGCTTTCTGTATCTGAAGCACCTATCAAGAGTCAGTTATCTAACTGTCAGAGTTCTGCCTATAATCTGTTTTTCAAATTGCTACTCTCAAAACTAAGCTATGACAATGTATGAAACATACTTTTTAAATTACTAATGCTATTTCTAAGTTTGTCATTTGATAATATACCTCCATATTTATAAATTAAAATTAATTTCAAGAGCAAATTAAGGTAATATATTAGTTTCCTCGGGCTTCTATAAGAAAATACCACAAACTGGGTGGCTTAAAACAACATAAATTTATTTTCTCACAGTTCTGGAGGCCAGAAGTCCAAAATTAAGATCTCAGCCCAGCCTTGCTCCCTCCAAGGACTCTAGAGAAGAGTCCTTTCTTGCCTCACCCTAGCTTCTGCTGACTGCTGGCAATCCTTGGCATTCCTTGGTTTGTAGCTGCACTGCTTCAATCCCTGCCTTTGTCTTTGCCTGGACTTTTCCCCTGTGTCTTCTCCTCTTATAAGGACATCAGCTATTGAGTTTAGGGCCCACCCTAATCCAGTATGGCTTCATTTTAACTTCATTTCATCTGCAAAGACCCTATTTCCAAATAAGGTCACATTCACAGATACTAGGATTAGGATTTAAACATATCTTTTTGGAAGAAACAATTCAACCCACTAAAGGGACATTTTTAAATGTGTGGCATTTAGAGACCGTAAGACCGATCCTTTCTCTTCCTCCTCAAATTCCTACGTAATTTGAATACAAAGATGAAGACCTTTATGAAAACCCACTTCCACATAATGAATAGTAAATATATTCTTTCTTCCTTATGATTTTCTTAACAGTTTTTTTTTTTTTTTTTTTTGAGACAGAGTCTTGCTCCATCGCCCAGGCTGGAGTGCAGTGGCGTGATCTCGGCTCACTGTAAGCTCTGCCCCTCAGGTTCCTGCCATTCTCCTGCCTCAGCCTCCCGAATAGCTGGGACTACAGGCCGCCACTGTGCCCAGCTAATTTTTGTATTTTTTTTTAGACAGGGTTTCACCGTGTTAGCCAGGATGGTCTCGATCTCCTGACCTCATGATCCGCCTGCCTCGGCCTCCCATAGTGCTGGGATTACAGGCGTGAGCCACCGCACCCGGCCTAACGATTTCTTTTCTCTAGTTTACTTTAAGAATCTGGTTTATTATACATATAACATGCAAAATACGTGTTAATTGACTATGATCATTAAGGCTTCTAGTCAACAGCAGGCTATTAGTAGTTAAGTTTTAGGGGAGTCAAAAGTTACACGCAAATTTTCAAATGCTTGAGGGTTGACTTGCCTCACCTCTGTGTTGTTCAAGGGTTAACTGTAATCATTTTTGAATGTAAGGACTCAAGTTATTCAAACTGAGAGCCATGTAGTTCCTGAAACACCCCTACCTTACTCCCAGTCTATCAGTCCCTCCTACACTCTTTCTTACCTACGCGGCCTAGAATATCTAAAGTCTTTTCATGAGTACCCTACATTTTCCAGTATCATTTACCTGGGGGTAAAAGTAGATAGTTGCCCTTGGTATACACTAGGATTGGTCCCAGGACCCCGTAGATCCCCAAATCATTTGATGCTCAAGTCTCTTATATAAAATGGTGCATACAGTATTTGCATATAACCTACACACATCCTCCCATATACTTTAAATCATCTCTAGATTACTTTTATGACTAATATAAATAGTTGTTATATTATTTTTAATTTGTATTATTTTTTACAGTTTTTATTTTTTCAAAAATTTTCAATCTCTAGTTGGCTGAATCTGAGGATGAGGAATCCACATATAAGGAGGGCTGGTTGTAATAAGGGGGGAAAGATGATAATTTGAGAGAAGTCATGCTTTAATTTTCTTTAAGTAGAAAACTGAGAGTAAGGCGAGGTTGAAGGGGAGTGACAAGGGATATAAGAAGACTTAAGGAGGTTTAGATAATAATTAAGTTAATGAGAAAACTGACAAAGACGACTAAGATTGATAGGCAGTTCTGAGAAACTGGTTGAGATTTGAGACCATGAATTTATAGGGACACCAATCTGCATAATGAGTGATTTTTCATTTTTTCCTGTAGCAATTATCAACTCAAATATAGAAGCTCTTTGGTTATTTCATTATAAATGCTTTATTTAGGCTATTTAATCCACTTTGTTTTAACTATCATCTATAAATAGATGACTACATCAAGATCCAGATTCCGAAACTCAGCTGTGAATTAGACATTTCCTGGATGTGCCACAGACAGCATCATTCAACATGTCACAAAGAGAACTCATCAACACAAGGATCATTCTAATCCTTATGATGCTTCAGAAAGAAAGAGGGGGCAAGAGCAAAACCAAGAAATGATGTCACTGACCATGGTGAAGAACCTCCAAAACTTTGCTCTTCCATAAAAGCAACAAAAACCTATGGGAAAAAAACTGTCAAAAGCAACCATTTCAGATTCTGGCAATTAATCAAGGCTTGCAGCAATCCATGGAAGTGTTTATTCAAGAAAAATGGCTGAATTTCTGTAAGAACAGCAAGCTTTGTAGTATTTTAACTTACTAGTCTCATTTTCCACTCCCCACCTCTGTGGCAGCCTTGAAAAATAACAGCCTGAATTCTTGGCACCATCTGGCAGCCACTAGAGGGGGTGGAACACAGCTGAGGCTCTTTCAAAGCCTAATTCCCAAATAATCATTCCCTGAAGACTCCACTTATAAAACTGTCATATTTAATCTGACTCTGTGAAGTAGCCCCATGAGAAATGCCTTCTCCCAGATGTAAGGCAGGGCATGTGTTTGTCTAAAACAATTAGAAGCAAGTATTTTAACTTCATGGATGCCCAAGACAGGGGATAATAATTGGGACAAACAATAGACTAACCAAAAGGCTTTAAAGGAAAAGCTAGCTGAGAGCTAAGAGATTCAGAAGAGCTTTAAAAACCTGTGACATATACACAGGAATCTAGAAGGTCATACATGTTTAGAAGGTCACACACGTTTAGTGCTGTGAGCCTGCTCAGAATAGCATGAGAAGGCCCTAACTAATCTGTGCCTAATCCTGAGGCTCTAGGTAAGCAGAAAGTGAAGGCTAAGGCAGAGATGTCAAATGACTGGCTGAGTGCTGAAGGCAAGCTGCAACATGCACACAGAACCTTTCAGCACAGGCTGAGAGACTCATTAGTTCCAAGGTGTTTAAAGAAAGAATATTTGAAAAATAGGTAAAAACTTCCCCAATTTGAAAAAAAAATAAATAAATAATAATCTGCATATCCAAGAAGCTCAATGAACTCCGAGTAGGTTAAATGCAGAGAGTCACATCGAGTCACATTATAATCAAACTGCTGAAAGACAAAGACAAAGAGAAAATCTAGAAAGCAGCAAGAGTAACTACATTTAGAGCCTTGGAAGACAATTAGCCTCTTGAGCCTTCAGTTTACTTATTTATGAAATGATGGGGTTGCACAAAATAATTTTCAGGAGTCCCTTTGGCTCTAAATCCTATTATCCTTGGCAGAGTTAACAGAAGTGTTTGCCTGATACTGAGGCATGCACATGAGGCTTAACAGAAAACTGTTCTGAATTCTTAAAATATAAAATAGTAAATCTCTCTCCCTTTTTACACTGTAGTCTCTCAAAATGAGTTTGTCTCCACTTTTTTAACATTTATGTTTTAATTTATATACAGTAAAATTCATTTTTTTGGTATAGAGTTCTATGAGTTTTGACAAATGCATTCAGTCACATAATCGCCACCAAAATAAACACACAGAAGAGTTGCTATCACTTCCAAAAATTCCTTTGTAGTGTCTCTTTGTAGTTGAACTCTCCCTCCTCCTTGCTTATGCCCTAGAAAACACAAATCTGTTCTCTGTCCTTATAGTTTTGATTTTTCCAGAATATCACATAAATGATATCATATATTATGCAGTCTTTTGATTCTGAAATCTTTCACTTAGCATAATGCATCTGAGTTTCATCCATGTGGCTGTTTATTAATAATTCATTCCTTTATGTTGGGGAGTAGTACTCCAATGTATGGATATTTTTATCCATTCACCAGCTGAAGGACATTTGGGTTACTTCCAATTTTGAGTAATAAATAAATAAATCTGCCACACACACACACATGCACACTCACAGCTTTTTTTGTGTGAACACAGTTCTTACTTCTCTTGGGTAAATACTCAGAAGTAGATTTGCTAGATCATATGGTAATTGCATGTTTATAAGAAAATGCCAAACTAGTTTCCAAAGGCAGTGTGTCATTTTGCATTCCCACCAGCAATATATGAGAATTCCAATTGCTCTGCATCCTCACCAGTACTTGCAGTTACCATGTTCTCATGGTTCTTGCTTTTGATTTTAGCCATTCTAATAGGTGTACAGTAGTATTGCATTATGGTTTTATTTTCCATTTCCCTAATAGATGATATCAGACATCTTTTCATGCACTTTTCCGTCACATACATATGTTCTCTGGTGAAGTGTCAAATCCTTTGCTCATTTAAAAAAAAAAAACTGTTAAATTTGTTTACACTGAGTTTAAAACTTCTTAAGGTGTTCAGCATAAAAGCACTTTGTCAGGTATGTGATTTTCAAACACTTTCTCCCAGTCTGTATCTGTATCTGTTAAGAGTTTTCATTCTCTTAACAGGATCCATCACAGAGCAAAAGTTTTTAGTTTTCATCAAGTCCTATTTACTGATTTTTTCTTTTATGGATTACACTTTCGGAGTTGTGTTAAAGCACTCGTAGCCTATCTCAAGGCTGCAAAGATTTTGTCCTATATTTTATTCAAAAAGCTTTGTTGTTTTAGGTTTTGGATTTAAGTCTCTGAATCACTTGGAGTTAGTTTTTGTAAAAGACTTGAGATATGTAGGTTAAAGGTTTTGCATATGGCTAATTCTTCTATACAATTTATTGAAAACGCTACTTTTTCTTTACTGAACTGTTTTTGCACCCTGTGTGTGGAGGGGAATTTCTGGACTCTATATTCTGTCTTACTTATCCATGTGTCCTTCAAAACTACACAGTGTTGATTAGTGTAGCTTTACAGGAACACCTAAAATTATGCAGTGTAAATCAGCCAATTATGTTATTTTTGAAACTGTTTTGGCTATTCTAATTGCTTTGCCTTTCATATAATTTTAGAATCAGCTTGTTATCTATAAAAATGCTGCTGGAATTATGAGAAGGATTATACTGAATCTGCAGATATGTTTGGGGAGAAATTACATGGAAACAATATTGGGCCATCCAATCCTTGAATACAATGTGTATCTCTGCATTAATGTAGTTCTTCATTGCATTCTTTCATCAATGTTTTAGTTTTTAGCTTACATGTCTTGCATATATTTTGTTAGATTTATGGCAAAATGTTTCACTGTTTTCATCATATTACAAATGGCACTCTTTTTATAAACTACTTATATCCCGTTATTCACTGCTAGGATGTAGAAATACAATTCACTGTTGTACATTTATCCTGTATCTGGCAACCTTGCCAAACTCACTAGTTCAAAAAGCTTTTTGGTAGGCACCACGGATTTGCTATACAGACAACCTGGTGTCTGCAAATAAAGATAGTTTTATTTCTTCTATTAGAATCTGTATGTCTTTTATGACATTTTCCTGCTTTACTGCACTGGGTAGAAATTCCAGTACTATGGTGAATAAGAATGGTAAAATCAGATGTCTTTACCTTGTTCCTGATTCCACAGGGAAGCAAAAGGTCCTTCATCATTAAGAATGATGTTAACTGCAGATTTCTAGCAAATGCCCTTTACCCAGTTAATGATGTTTCCTTCAACTCAGTTTGCTGAGAATTTTTACAGAAATATATGCAGAATTTTGCCAAATATTTATTGTGTGTTTGCTGTCATGTGATTTTTTTTCTTTTGTCATTATTAGTGAATTACATTGACTTTTTCAAATATTCAAACAGCTTTTCATTCTTGGAATAAACTGTACTACGTAACAATGCATTATCCTTTTTATATATTGCTGGATTTGCTAGTATTTTGTTGAAAATTTTGACAACTATACTTACGATATTGGTCTAAGTTTTTTTCTTTGGTATCATGATAATGTGAGCCTCATAGAATAAGTTGAGAAGTGTTCCTTATTTTCTGAAAGAAATTGTAGAATTTGGTATTATTTATTCCTTAAATGGTAGAATTTGTCAATGAAACCATACGGGCCCAGAGTTTTCTTTTGTCAAAAGTTTAAAATTACAAATCCAATTTCTTTAACAGATATAGGAGCATTCATGCTATCTATCTCTTCTTGAGCCAGTGTTGGTAGCTTGTATCTTTCAAGGAGTTGTTCCATTTTATCTAAGTCCTCAAATTTAGGTTGTAGAGTTATGCATAGCATTCTTTTTATTTCTACTCTTTATTATTTCCCAACTTCTTATTTTGAATTTAATTGGCTCTTCATTTTGTAGTTTCCTAAGGTGGAAGTTTAGACTATTGACTGAGGACCTTTCTTTTTTTACCAGTAAAAGCATTTAATGCTACGAATTTCCTCTAAGCACTGCTTTACCTGCATCCCACAAATTTTATGGTGTATTTTCATTTAATTGGAAATATTTTCTAATTTCCCTTGAAACTTTTTCTTGGCCCATGTGTTGTTTGATTTCTAGATATTTAGGGATTTCCTAGATATTTTTGTTATTTGATTTCTAGCTTAATGATGTGAGAACATACTTCGTATGATTTTTTTTTTTTTCACATGGAATCTCACTCTGTCGTCCAGGCTGGAGTGCAATGGTGCAATCTCAGCTCACCGCAACCTCCACCTCCAGGGTTCCAGAAATTCTCCTGTCTCAGCCTTCCAATTAGCTGGAACTACAGGCACATGCCACCATGCCTAGCTAATTTTTGTATTTTTAGTAGAGGTGGGGTTTCACCATGTTGGCCAGGCTGGTCTCAAACTCCTGATCTCAGGTGATCCACCTGTCTTGGCCTCCCAAAGTGCTGGGATTACAGGCATGAGCCACCATGCCAGTCTGATTCTTATTTCAAATTTGTTAAGGAGTGTTTCATGGTCCAGAATATGGTCTACCTCTGTGAATGTTCCATGTGCTCTTGAATAAAATACACATTCTGCTGGGATATTCTTTAAAGTGGAGTGTTATTCAGATACTCTCTTTATCCAGAGTATACAGCTGGATCCTTTTTAAAAAATGTCATTGGACAGTATCTCCCTTTGGATTAGTATAATTTATACCACTTGCATTTAGTGTAATGATTGATTTGATTAGATTTTAAGTCTATCATTTTATCATCTGTTTTTAAATTGTCTGTTTTTCATGCTTCTATTTTCCCTTTTCTCCATTTTTTTCAGATGACAGTCAAGTATCCCTTATCTGAAATGCTTGGGCCTATAAGTGTTTCAGATTTTGGATTTTTTTCCCAGATTTTTGAATATTTGCAGAATACATACTGACTGAGCATCCTAAACTGAAAAACAACACACTCCAATGACTATTTCTTTTGAGCGTCCTGCTGGTGCTGAAAAAGTTTCAGATTTTGGAGCGCTGTGAATTAGAGATTATCAACCTATATTTGAATGTTGTTTAGTATTCTCATTTAATTTACAAAATTATTAAAGTCTATAATAATTATCAGTCCTATATATAGGAGACATTTAGGGGAGTATCTCCACCCACCCTCTCTGTAGTGGTTGGTATATATCTAACTTTTCAAAATATATATAACAACTTCTATATTATCAGAGTAAAACAAAGCAGCTTTTTAACTATTGGCTTCCTTACCCTCCCTTTCTGTTATATTGGCCATATGTATTACATCAACATACAATGACTATCTACAAGACAATGTTAATTTTTTTTAACTGTAAATAGACATATGTTAAAGAATTTCAGCAGAGGAAAAACAGTCTGCTCTATTTACCCAGGTATTTAGCATTTCTTTTGGCAAGTGGCTGAGAAAACAGAAAAGACGATTTATTTTTATTTTTTGCCCTTCCTTCATTATTCAATTTCAAATTTCTCTCTGGTATAATTAATTTTACCTTGAAGAACTTCCTTGGCATTTCTATTGAGGCAGATCTGATAGCAGCAAATTCTCTTAGTTTTCCTTTGGAAGTATCTTTACTTTGCTCTTGTTACTATACTGTTTTGAGGATATTTTCCTTGGACATAAAATGGTGAGTTGATAGTTGATAGTTCTTTTCTTTCTCTGTCCTCCATAGTTTCTAAGAAGAAATCCGCCATAATTTGAATTTTTGTTCCCCGGTATATAATGTGTCCTTCTCTTCTGGCTTCTTTCAAGATTTTTTATCTTTGATTTACAGCAGATTGATTACAATATGATATTGTTTTCTTTTAGTTTCTGCTTGGGATTCAACGAACTTCCTGAACCTATTATACCTAACATGGGAAGTCCCAGCCATTATTTCTTCAAATTTTGTCTTACAGCAGTATTTTTCCTTTCCTTCTGGGAGACCAATGACACAAATTTAAGACCTTTTATTATTGTCCCACAGATCCCTGCAATCCAGTTTTTTCTGACTCCCCAATCTTCTTCCTTTCAATTCTTCAGATTTTATAATTTCCAGTGGTCTATCTTCAATCTCACTGACTCTTTCCTCTATTATCTCCACTTAGCTACTGAGCATCTGATAAACTTACTTTTAATATTGTATTTTTCTAAATCTAAAATTTCTATTTAGTTCTTTTTTATAGTTTTTATAGCAGATTTCTCTGCTAAAAACTTCTGCCTTTCCATTGATTTCAGTCACGCTTATCTTTAGTCCATGGATCATGGCTATAAGAGCTGCTTTAAAGGTCTTATCTGATAATTCCGAAATCTAGATCATCTTGACATCTGTTATCTTCTCTCTTAATAAAAAGTCAGCTTTACGTGGCTCATAGTATGTTGAGTAATTTTGGACTGTATCCCGGACATTTTGGACATTATATTGCAGAGACTTTAGGCCCTGTTAAAAATTCTCTGGAAAATGTTTTTGTTTTAGCAGGCACTCAACCCGTTTAGGTTCAGACTAAAAGTTCCATCTTGCCCTCTTTGAGCAGCAGTTCCAACATTAATTCACTTTTCAAAGGCTTTGTTATGCTTTTTGTCTCTGCTCAGCACATGCTGGGAATTGGATGGTGGTTTTTAAGATGTTTAGTTCTTGAGGCCTTTGCTGTGGTTCTTTGTGTCTGTGCTGTGCATGCAATGCTCAAGGTTGAGCCCAGTGCAAGGTTGAACCCAGGACTTCTTTTGATCTACACACAGAATTAGGAAGCATCTTTTATATCGCTCTCAAAATTTCCCCTATGCCTTTCCAACCTCCAGTTGTCTCACCTTCTAGTTCCTCCGGCTAGAAAAGCCAAGTTACTGGGGGCTCCCATAATGTTCTGCACTTACACCACGACTGGGACCACCTTCAGAGTAGAAGTGGCAAGACAGAAAAATGATGTTGATTTACCTCAGATTTCTTGGAAAACAGACTCTATTTTCTAGTTCCCCTAGCCAGAGATATGGGTATTTTCTAGAGATTTTTTGGTGCCTAAGCTGCTACTATTTCAGTGTAATCTGCAAATGGAACTGGTTTTGGAGCAAAAGGCCCCTTTTCTTGCTTTTCTGGTTAGATACAAGAGGTTTCTCTTAGATTGTTTGCTACCTGCACCTGCTATGCAGTGCCCGCAGGGTTAAACC